>NC_000006.12:138820790-140070790 GCF_000001405.40 Homo sapiens | reverse complement strand
ATATAGTGGAACCACTGAAATTTAAGTAGTCATTTCACAGGAAAGGGGGTTCTATGGAATAACTTCTCAGGAGAGAAGAGTGTCGACACAAATAAGGAAGGTTCTATAAGTGTTCCTGAATAGATGTGGGTAGGTGCCAGGTTTACACACACACACACTCAGACATACACACACAATTTGGCTGCAAGTATATAGTGTGTATTTTTAGAATCCATTTATGAGTTGATGTGACTTTGTTGTTCCTTGAGAAGTAAGAAATGGCTTTCAACTAAGTTAAGCAAGACATAAATAACTGATTTTCAGGATTTATTACCTTTATAGATAATACCTATATCTTAAAACTAACTGCCTTACGCATAGAAAAGAATAAGTCAACAGAGAGAAAGTAAAGGCTGGAGAAAGGATTAGAAAGCAAGGGGGGACTGCCTTCAGGACCTCTATCGCTGACCAATTACATGGGTTTCACAGGAGATCACCCAAATATGAAGTATATGCAGAATTGAGAGTTTGTGCCAAGCTGCCATTGTCTTCTGACATCCATTAAACTTATACTACAGTAGTCCCCCCTTATCCTCAGAGGATATGTTCCAAGACTCCCAGTGGATACCTGAACCTGCAGCTAGTATTGAACCCTATACACACTATGTTGTTTTCTATACATACATACCTATGATGAAGTTTAATTTATAAATTAGGAAAAGTAAAAGATTGTCAACAGTAACTAATAACAAAATAGAATGATTATAACAATATACTGTAATAAAAGTTTGTGAGTGTGATCTCTCTCTCTCTTGCTCACTCTCAAAGTATCTTATTGTACTATACTCACCCAATTTTGAATCCCAGTTGGCCACAAGTAACTGGAAACTGAGGAAAGGGGGGATACTGTATTCTGTCACTTACACATGACTCTGCTTTTTTCCTATCCAAAATCACAGAAGAAAGCACTCTTTTAAAAGATTTATTTATAAATTTAGTCTATTAAGTGGAGGTTTATGTGGTGATAAGGCAAACAAAAAAATGAGAACCAGATTGTTTTTCTGTGTGCAATAATTCCTGCCAAGGAAAGAAGCAAATCAAGGAAATTTTTTTTTTTTGATTTTAAAAACTGTAAAGTTTCCTCTTTATGAGTCTTCACATTATTTTAATGCTTTGGTGACATTTTCTGTAATACTTTTAGTTTTAGGGCATGTGGATAAAAAAAGTAAAATAGAAAACAGAAACCATATTTGAAGATAAAAGTGAGAATATTATTATTGCTCTAAGTAACAAGAAAACATCCAAATTAAAAAAGATGGGTAAAAATCTTGCTGATGGTTCCTCTATAGGTCATATTTTACTCTTTCTAGCTGTCTTGAAGTTGCCAAATTCTATGTTCAAATGTCCAGCTTCATGGAGATACAACTTTTTATCCATGGAAATAAATACTGAAATAAATTATATTGGTTTATAATTTATTTTGAGACTCAGATTCTGGATTTATACTTATTCCTGGATGTATTTTATTGTCAATTCATGCTACCCTTATATTAGAAACCTGGAATGGAAATTGCTCATATTTATTGTCCTGCAAGTACAAAATTTCTCAGTGTTCACTGCTATTCAATGTAGTATCTGCTAGAATGGGTCACTGTTTCAATCCAGCTGTATTAGCACTTTATAAATGCAATAGAATCAAATTCTGTATTGGAAAAAACTGAACTCTTTGGAATATGTCAGTAGTTAAAGAAGTAAGAGAAAAAAAAAACCCCAACATTCCATGAGCTATATGTAGCAATAAAGAATATTTAAATATGGAAAATTTCCAAGGAATGAAATCAGGGTTGGGAAGTAAGAAAAATACTGCTGAAATATCTTCAAAAGTAAATTAAACGTCTATGGGAGACTATAATGTCTAGCAAGCACAGTTTGCAAACGCTGATGTCCTGCATGCCATTACACCACCAGTTCAGCCTCTTTCCCCTAAAACATAGCTGATTGCTACGTTTCTTGCACTTTGTCTCCATGTGAACAATGGTTCCATTTTATAATGGAAAAGATACAAAAATAGGATAGGTGTCTTGAGATTCACACTGCAGTAACACTCTACTAAAGATATTGGATGGATTGCTGGATTCCTGAGTGAGATGTGATGCAAAAGTACTCCCAAGGTTTTGGATTTTCAGGGAATCACACTACCATGGTGCTGCTAACTTACTTTGTAACATAGACCACTTAAATATTCCAGAATCTGGGGTTAACGAGAAGTTAGACAATTAACGTATTATCATTGGAGTTGCCTCGGCAAGATCCCTCTCCAGCCAAACCTAAGAGGAAGAAAGAATAAGGACTGAGCTCTGAGCTCCATGTCTGGGCCTTTTAAATCAAAACTGCTGAGGCTCCAGACAGTGCAAACTTCTTCAAAGACACAATTGTGCCCCGTACACCAACGATTGGTATGTGTTCTCCCGACATCAGGTGGTTCCTATATAACCAGGACCTCCAAATAGGCAGGGGGAAACCCAATCTACTACTTCAGTCTAAAACACGAGCAGAAAGTCTCAGGCGTTATCATAGTAACTGTTCTTAAAATTGAAGAAAAAAAAAAAAAAAGACAGGCACAGTCACATGTGCCTGTAGTCCCAGCTACTTGGTATGCTTGAGGCAGGAGGTTGAGCCCAGGAGTTCAAGTTCAGCCTGGGCAACAGAGCAAGTCTCTGTCTTTAAACAAACAAACAAACAACAACAAAACTCTGATGCTTTAGGAAAACCTGGTCTTCTAGCCCTCTGCCTCGTATCCTGGCTTTCTGGCTTGGTCCTGCGTACTTACCTTAGACTTTGAGAAGTAGATTAAAGTATTGGTTGAGCCGTATGGGTTCTGGGTTCTGATCGCCTGGTTGAGGTCTGATCAAGTAGCTAAAGTTTACTCACCAGTTATAAGACTTCTGGCAAATTTCTTAAAGTCTCTATACTTTATTTTCTTCATCTGTGTAAGGGGGTACAAAACTGCATCTTTCTAATGGCGTTTTTATGGGGTTAATTTAGTTAATGTTCATGAAACTCTTAGCACAGTGTCAGAAATATGGCATGTGCTTAGTAAGTGTCATAATGAACCCCGACACTGTGAGCTATTGAGTGTTTGAATATCACAGTTCTGTCTTTGCCGTCCTCCTTTGTTCACTTGTGTCCTTCAATGGCCGGACTGATGAATTTGGGCCTCAGTGGCCTCCAACTATTATCCTCTGGAGACTCAAGCAGTCAAACTTGCCATAGATGGTGGAGTTCTGTTTCATTAAATTCTGCTCCAGAATACCCATCTTCTCTATTGTTTAATTGCTCCAACTAGGAAGTGGTGTGAGATTTTCTAAAAGGCCCCTAGAGCAAAAACAGATATGTTGGTATTTGTACTTTCAAAGCTTCCTCAATTATACTTTAAAAAACAATTCCCAAGCAATGAATTTTGAAACATAAAAGACTTTCTCAGGATTGTTGGATATCATTATATAATTCTATAGTTTCTAAGTAGCCTGATCTTTAGTTCCCAATTTATCCTATGTAGAATACCCAACTGTGGTGTCCAAGCTAAAATAAGAGTCTATAAATGAAGACACAGAGTCAGCTTTATGTTGAAAACATTTAAACTAACTTTGTTGTAAGAAAAAGCTTACATACTAAGAATTGAGAGTGTTTCTGCTAACTGGTTCTGGAGTTACATTTTAATTGTGTGGTTTGCTCACAATTCACAAAAACAGAAAAAAATTAAAAGGTCATATACAAAAAACTAATATTCTAATAGATACAATTTAAATTTTGAACTTAGGGTGAAAGACTTTGAAAGTTTCCCAGAAATGTGACATAGATAGTAAATGGTTGGTGCCATGGATTTGCAAAACAAGCTCCTAGTCTTCTGAGCCTGCTCTGAGGAAAGAGAAGATTGAATACAAACAGTGGTTGACTGTCACCTCAGGAACAGTCCCCAAGAGTTGCAGATCAAGCTTTAGTCCAAAGGAAGCATCTGAAATATGGATCAGTTGGATTCTTTTTGAAATACAGGATTTAAATCAATGCCCACAAGAAAAATGTCATCAGTAATATGCACTAGAGAGCTGGTAGCTTAGAGCTTCCAAACAGCAAAAGATACTAAAGAACTAGGTGCCCTTTGTAAACAAAAAGTTTGGCGTTGAGTATGAACACACATCTCAGTTTTGTAGTCCAACCAATAAAAGGAAAATGGCACTTCTCTCTTAAAAGCTTTAACAAAAAAACCATCATTTTCTGAGATCCCCAATAAACATCACAAACTGAGATCTTGGTTCTTCATTTACCCAATACACTAAAGTAGAGAAGACCAAGGAAATTGAAAATGATTGATAGGGAGAAGGATAAGCAGGGAAAAACTTAATCCTTTTTCCTGAACCTACCTATTAACTAACTATGCCCTGATAGAATTACAAATATCCATGTTTAAATTTTGACAGTTTCACTAACAAATTAAAGGGTTCCAATTGGAACTCATAGAAACAGCCAGCAGCAGAAAGTAGTTTATTGTTCTTAATGCAAAGATCAAATGTCCTGAAATCTCTTTTTCAACTTGGCATGTTTTGGAAGTATTTTGCCTGCTTTACCTCAGAAAGAATAGATAAAAAGAATTCACACAGCTTTACATGAAAAGAATGACAAGTATCCCAAAATAGTACATGTCATTTGGTGCAAGATAAAATATACCACAAAATGAAAGATCAACTTTTTACTCCCTTTCTATTCTTAAGCACCAACAACACAAAGTCTTGCCTTCTTTTTTCTGAGTTACCTGACCAACACATTTTGCCTTTGTCCTCCTATGATTACACACCTTTTTTATTTTTACTTATTTATTTTTTTGTAGAGATGAGGTCTCACTATGCTGAGCTGAGATAGCCTGTCCAGGCTGGTCTCAAACTCTATGGCTCAAGTAATCCTCCTGCCTCAGCTCCCCAAAGTTCTGTGATTACAAGTGTGAGCCACTATCTCCAGCCTCATTACACATCTTGATCACATTTTTTTTTCTCTCCTAGAAAACTCAATATTCCATGCCTGTTTTCTACAACCCCCAAAAAAAAAATTCCGTTCTTTCCTTGTGGCAAAGACATTCAGAAACCAACACTGTGTCACAGCTACTCCCCAGCAGTTAGAGGTTCATCTGTTGACAATTGGAAAGGGGCAAGAGAGACATCACTTAGTAGGCCTGTGTTTTTCCCGCAGTTACTGAGTTTTGTGTACCTTAAAAATGAAAATTGCATATTCTTGGCCATGGTCATGTTTTATATGTAGGAAGAAATCTGTAACAATTCAGAAGATACTAAATTTAGTGAAAGATGTGAATACATTGAAGTCTTTTGAGAACGATTGAAGCTCATTCATTTACAACAGAATGGAACATTTCTGGGGTAAGGAAGAGGCAATAGAATGCAAAACCGCACCTTTCTGAGTGTGAAATAGAAATGAATGGGAATCCCAATAGAGTTTATTCCTTAACCCCACTGTACTGGTAAATAATAGTTCATGTCCATGGTGCTCTTGATTCCCTTGAAATGGTCATTAAAATTTCTTTCTTCCCTCTGGTTCATCTCTCTCTCTTTTCCCTTCCCATCCCTTCCCTTCCCTTTCTTCCTGTCTTTAGTCATGTTTGGATTGATTTTCAGAAGGTTTAGACTGTTTCCTCACGTTGTCACCAGCTCATTACCACAGAATTACACTTCACAAACAAGAGCTGGCTGGAGAGCTAACTTGGCTTAGCTGTGCTATCTGAGGGAATTATTATTATTATTATTATTATTATTATTATTATTATTATTACTATTAGAGACGGAGTCTCGCTCTGTCATCCAGGCTGGAGTGCAGTGGCGCGATCTCAGCTCACTGCAACCTCTGCCTCCCGGGTTCAAGCGATTCCTCTGCTTCAGCTTCCCACGTAGCTGGGATTACAGGCACGTGCCACCACGCCCAGCTAATTTTTGTATTTTTAGTAGAGACGGGGTTTCACCACGTTGGCCAGGATGGTCTTGATTTCCTGACCTCGTGATCCACCTTCCTCAGCCTCCCAAAGTGCTGGGATTACAGGTATGAGCCACCGCGCCCGACCGGGAATTATTAAAAGGATAAATTTCTTTCTTTTTGAAAAGACAAGCACAGTCTGATCAGCGGGCAGGCAGCACCACTGCCTGTTCTCTTTTCAGTGCTGTCTTGTGGCCTTTGCTCCCACAGAGTCATTCACTGATGAAGTAAATAGCAGCAGTGGTGTTTTTCTGCTAGGAACCAAGATCCCCCGTGTGCTTTGCTGCAAGAACACATCCTTCACAGCTTTATTGTAATGATTTTACCATTTCTGCTGTTGTTACATGTACTAACAACTAGAAGTCTATATTTCACAATGATATTAAGCACTGAACTTTATATACACACACACACACGATAAAGAGTTATCAACACATGCTCTTTTACTGAGGAAAGCTAAATGCTTTCCTCAGTATTCCAGCTATGGAATTTTATATATATATATATATATATATATATATACACACACACACACATATATAAAATGTGTGTGTATATATATATATAATGACCATATATTCCATATATATGGAGTATACATATATATAAAATATATATGGAATATATATATATATATTCCATGATTTTTTATGTAGTGTTGTTTCCCTGATTAGATAACTTTGATTAGGCAAAAAAGTCTAAAACCAGCTAGATAAATAATAGTTTAGAGGTATACATACAACATGAAAATGCTGAAAGTAGTGAGCATTGCATATTTGGAAAATAATTCAATAAGAAATTCTTTCTGTGCATGTATTTAGCAGCACATAAAGGGAGAAAACAGAACACTTAAAAAGTTTATAAGAGTCTCATAGGTTTTTCTCTGTCTGGTAGTCTGTTTTTGACATTATTATCAGCGAACTTTTGACAAGAGACTGTGATGTCATCAGTGAATATTTAAAAACAAAAACAAAAAAACATCAGAGTCCAGCAAGTCTATTTGTCCCTCTCAGAGAATTTTGGCAGATCAGAAAATCTTTGATTTGTGAGATAGTTTTTTTCAATAAATTATCTTTGGTTACTTTCTTTGTTTTACATTTTATTGGTTTTATCAGACATGTGAAAAAATTTTCTATGTTTACCTACTAGAATCTCCCATGGGATTCTTCTTATAAAGAGTTAGTACAAATATGCAAAATTAGAGCAAATTATGGTGTTGTTATTGCCTATTCCAAAAGTATTATGGAAATACTGGGATAAATGTCAGAGAAGGCAGGCCCAAGAATGAGAACATAAGGAGAATGACTTAACTTAGCATTTTTACATCTATTAGAATCACGGTATACAGAGATATTTTTCACTTTCTACCCATATCTATGATCCTTAGTGATATGTGGCCATATCTAGAAACCCAGAGTTTAACATGCATTACTAATCATGCTTCTTCTAAATCAACTCCCTACCCTAATAACTAACAGAATATTTTCCCCTCCTCACTCATTCCCAGCCCTCATTAGCAATTCCTTCTCCTGGGCTTTATTTATCATGAATTGCACCAGTTTGACCAGACATCTGTTCTCTTAGGAGTGTTAAAGCTTCCATGTCTAATGTTCCTTCCAGAAAAGGCAAGGATCTTACATGCTCTTGACTTCCATGATGAAAGTGCATGGGTAATTTAAAATACACATTATCAAGAATGTGTGATAGCATAAATGAGCCAAATGTGCCTTGAAGCCCTTAACCAAGCCAGTAGGCTATAGAACTCAGTTCCTTCCCCTATATCGAGTTGGAAGAACAGCATCTGGCTTGGCTTATTGACCACTGAGGGGTGGACCATGCCATGAAACATAGAGGTCAAAATTCCCAAGGCTGGCATCAGGATGATGATAGGGATACTGCTGATGTTCAGATGATTTCTGTTTACCACAGTAATTGGCTGTTCCTAGGCTAGAGGAAGCCAGGATTAAAATACAGCCAGAGAGGCTTCTTTTTTTGCTGAGGTCTCTGAAACTCCCAACAAAGGGTGAAGTCCAGAAAATAATTACCTTGTATTTCTGCCTTGGCTCTTTCACACAGTTTTTATTCATATCTCATTTGCTATACCTTAATAAAGATACCAGTTACTTTTGAATTAGGCTTTTGTCAGATTGCCAATATCTTGAAATCTTAAAAACTCACTGCAAATGTGAGCACAGACTTTGAATAACCTGGGCAGCTGGCCAAGCACTGAAGATCTTTAAGACAAGAGTAGTCAGCCATCCCACTTAATGTTTTGATTTTGTGCTCGAATAAAAAAAAGACTGGACCAGATAACCTTCTAACTCGAAGATTCCATGACTCTATTTTTCAAATATCTTCATTTTCCAAGTATTCTACAGGAGAAATACTAAAACTGTGTGGTTTGTTGTGTTTGCCTCTCTCTCTCTCTCTCCCCTCCCCCTTTCTTTTTCTTTTCTACTCATCCCACACCCAAATATGGTGCAATAACAAATTCCTTCACTAAAGCAGCAGAGTTTTTAGTTATTACCATGCATGTTTTTAAATTCTCCCCTCACTGATGAAAACATGTGATATGAAATACTGAAGAAACCTCAGGGGCATTCCAAGCATTTATGGACAAAAAGTCATGACTTGTGGTATTTTCCTTCAAAATCCATGTGAACTGAATCAAACAGACATAAGAATGTATACTTAAAAACTTCTGAAACAGAATGGATGCATTCTGTCATTGACAATCCATTAATATTGTAACTCTGAAATAACATAAATCTGTCTATTCCATTCCATCTCCCTCAGCATTCTTCTAGTGCAAGGCCCCCTATTCTTATCTAGACCACTAAAGCAGCTTCTACACAGGCCTCTTCCCATTTTGCTCCAGGCTGCCTTTATGTGAGTACTGGGTTAAGCCTCCAAGAGTTCCTATCACGACTCTGCATAAAACCAACATTAGTTCCCCTCTCCCTACTAAGTAAATGCCTGACCTTGATATTTAAGTATTTCCAAAGTTTTGCCTTGCCTTGTTATTTTAGCTTTATTTTCTACGATGTTCTTACATATTCCCAGAATGCAGTATTTCTCAATCTTGTCACTATTGGCATTTGATGCAGATAATTATTTGTTGAGAGGTACTGTCCTGGGCTTTGAACAACGTTTAGCATCATTCCTGGCCTTTACCGAATAAAAGTTAGTAGCACTTCTAAGTTGCAGCAACCAAAATTGTCTTTGGACATTTTGCAGTGTCCCCTAGGTGGCAAAATCATAACTGATTGAGAAACACTGCTATAATAAAATCAAATTGCATTATTTGTTGTTCCTAAACCATGTAGTTCTTCTACTTAACAATACATATTTATGGATAATAATTTCTTCTAAAATATTACCATAATCCCCCTCCCCCACACACTCCTTAGTTTTACATGTTAACATTTCAGGGGACATCTAGAGCTTCCTCCATGAAACCTTTCTCAATTTCTGCATACCAATGTGGTCACTCCTTTAAACCCATCCTCTGTCTCCATCTTATTCATTAAACATCCTTCCTTTCCAGGCTTACAATATTTACATTGATCTATTTGTCAAATTGTCCTTGAAATGTTCAAATTAATTCATTCAACTTATAAGCATTGAGCCCCTATAATGTCCCTGGCATTGTTGTATTCGTTCAGAACTACTAGAGTTCTGAGCAGAGCAAGCACTTTCCTTCTGTCAAACTCACAGGTCAGGGAAGAGGTGGATGGTAGAGGGAGTGTGTGTGTACAGGGGGACAATAATAAATGAGTAGTTTCTTTTTTTTTTTTAAGAAATACACCATTTGAGGCTACAAACAGATGGTGCAATAAACTATACGTAGAAACTCTTTAGATACAGCAGTCAGGGAAAAGCCTTACTGGGGTATGATATTTAAACTGTGGATTAAAGTATAAGAAAGCTATCCTCATATTTTTGCCTTTAGAGATACCAGCCTGTGCAAAGGCCCTGAGGCAGAAGTAAGTTTGGCTTATTTGAAAACTTGAGAAAAATGCCTAGAGCTGGCTTATAGTGAGCAGAGGAGAAGGATGTAGAAAATTAATTGAGAGAGGCAAGTAGAAACCAAAGTGTGCAGAGCCTGTTAGTTCAAGGTAAGAATTCTGGATTTTCTTTGAAATGTTTTAAGAAGTGAAGGGTTTTATGCAGTGAGGTGACATCATCTGATTTACACTATTAATACATTACTCTGGGATTCTGTATGAAGAATATGGAAAAGGAGTGTTTCAGTTTAAAGAACCTCAAAATTAGAGGATATCTTAATTTTTTCTATAATGAAAACTCCAGAAGGATTAAATTCCCTATTCTAGAACACTGTGCATGTATCACAAAGGAGTTGGTGTATTGACCTCTTCAGCCCTTGGAAGAGTTTGCTTCTGGTTGTATCTCAATGTGCCATTGAAATATTTTCCATGCGTGCCATAGCAGCAAGAAGGATAGGAAGAGAAGCACTGCTAAAACACAGCATTAAAATAGTTGCCCACATGATTATTCAACAACTCCAAAAGACTGGGAACTCATTACCTCCAAAAAGAGCTTTTTCCAGATTTGGAAATATCTGCTTTTCATTGAGCTGAGTCACAAATGTGTGGGATATATTGATGAGCTCATGAGTAGATCCATTTGGCTCAGGAAAAGTTCTTTTAGATGAGGCTCATCTAACTCATCAAAACCCCTCCTCCATCTACCAAATTGCCTGCCTTTGGGGAAAAATATTATCCTCTGCCAAGGACTTGTCCCATTTACACCTGCTTCTCTGCCTAGGCCTCCCTTAACCCCATTTTCCAATTATTCCAACCAGTCTTCCTCCCTATAAGATGATTTTGGTATCTGTGATAAGCTTCTCTGATCCCATCACCATCTTCAGGTAGCTAGTCATCCCCTCCTCTTCTGTGTCTTCTCTATTAAACTGTAAACTCCCTGAGGACAGGGACTAGGCCTTATTCATCTTGCGAAGTTAAATGTCTACTACATTACAGATGTCTAGTAGAAACTGGTTAATCATTATGGGTGGAGTAACTCTGAGATTTGGGGTAAAATGTTCAAATATTTATTCTACTAATTATGGGAGTTACTCATTCAAACATTTGTTCCACAAATATTACCCAGTGCCTGTGTGCCCAAGTGATGGAAATATACATGGGCCCCACCTCATGGAGCTTATGACCCAGATGAAGAGGCAAACACTAAACAAATATTGAATGATAAATAATTATTAAATGATATGAATTTTACAAAGGAAAAATAGAAGGTGCCATGAGAATACATATTATGGAAACCAAATTTTGCCTGGGTGTTCAGGAAGCCTTTCTTGATGGAACGAGATTGGAACTAAGACCTAAAGGATGAGTAAATCTTGAGAAATGCACTTTAACTCCCTAAGCCTCAGATCCCTCACCAATAAAATGGGACAATAATGCCTTTTCTTTAGAGTTCTCCCAAGAATTAATTAGTTAGCATATGTAAAGTACCTGCTAAGAGAAGGAATTCAACAACTGGTAGGTTTTTTCTCCCATAATAAATGAGGAATGAAGGCAGCCTGAGCAAGCAAAATAGTGGATGAACCTGAATGCTTCCTGTCATGTGATGAATTGTATTCCCAAAACATGTATGTTGAAATCCTAACCCCTAGTACATCAGAATGTGACCTTATTTGGAAATAGGGTTATTGCAGACGTAATCAGCTATGTTAAGATAAGATCGTATTGGAATAGAATGGACATTCAATCCAATATGACTGATGTCCTGTTGAGAACAGGTAGATTTGAACACAGACACAGGAAGGAAGAACATTATGTTGCAATAGAGACAGCAATTGGAGTGCTATAGCTGCAAGCCAAGGAATGCCAAAGATTGTTGACAAGCCACAAGAAGCTATGAAGAGGTAAAGAAGGATTCTCCCCTATGGGTTTCAGAGGGAGCATGCCTCCATCCATACCTTGATTTTGGACTACTAGCCTCAAGTACTGTGAGACAATAAATTTCTCTTGTCTTAAGTCACTCTGTAATACTTTTTACAGCAGACCTAGGAAGCGAATACATCTCATAAAAGGATTTGGAGGCTGGGCACAGTGGCTCATGCCTGTAATCCCAGCACTTTGGGAGGCCAAGGCGGGCGGATCATGAGGTCAGAAGCTCGAGACCAGCCTGGCCAACATGGTGAAACCCATCTCTACTAAAAATACAAAAATTAGCTGGGTGTGGTAGCACATGCCTGTAGACCTAGCTACTTGGGAGTCTGAGGCAGGAGATTCGCTTGAACCCGGGAGGGAGGGGGAGGTTGCAGTGAGCCAAGACCATGCCATTGCACTCCAGCCTGGGTGACAAAGTGAGACTTTGTCTCAAAAAAAAAAAAAAAAAGGATTTGGAGTGCCTGTTACATGCAATGATGCAGACTTTAAAGACTGATGAGTTGGAAGGTAGAAGTTGAACAAGCAGACCTATATAAAAAGGTGTCTTAGGAAGATAAATCTAGAAATTTAGCCATGTTAATATATTTCCTGTTCCCAGTAGATCCATATGCTCCTTGAGGGCAGAACCCACGCCTTCCATGCCAAGCCAAACTCAAAATATACTGACTAAATGAGATCTTTCAAATAAACACTTTGGTGTGTAAGCTATTTATGAAAAATTTGGAGGTAAAACATTTTAACACATTGAAATTTTACTCTTCTAAAGTAAAAATCATCTTCTCATTTTATTTAATTGAAGAGGCAGCGCATGCAGTAAATTAGGTCCAATTTGCATGCAATTGTGCATGCAATGTAGATCTTGGCTTTAACTAGGGAGCAAGCTGTGTACAAACTCAAGCACCCTTACATTTGAAGTTAACATTAATTGTTTGCTTAAATTTTTCAGTACTTTCCTTCTTTTGCTTTCAAAGACACATATTATAGCATTTTGCTTTCTAATTTAAAGACCACAAAATCCATAGCTGATAATAAGAATCTATCCCTCAGGGGCTAATACATTTCTCTGACAGCATAGTAGTAATGCCCACAAGCTCTGTAGCAAGCCTGTAATTCCGTAAAAAAATCTTCATGGCTTTAATTCATATGATTTTGCTCTGTTTAATTATATTTATCATCCAATAATATTCTGTGCTTATAAAAATAGTGAATGGTATATAGAAGAAGCAATGTACTGTATCATATTTTATGAAATTTCATATGCCATGTGTATTGATTGTGTATAAACTAGAGAACATATTTGTTTAAATTAAGGTTTTAAATTCAGTTTCATACCAATTCCTTCATCTCATTATCTGTAATATATTTGTTTACATCCATGAAAATGTTACCTGGTTAAATTACAAAATTTTTCCTAATTCAGATTGATTTATATCTTCTATCCTCTTAATTTGTGTGATTTCATGTTGTGATCATTAAATAATTAAAAAAGGACCTTAGTTTGATCAAATTAATATTGTTGCCCATGAATGTTAATTAAATTTGCAAGGAAAAAGAAAGCAGAAACCAGATAAAAGAGAAAGCTGGACATGTTTAAAGATGCTATGCTGACCTTACAATAATTCTAGTACAAGCAATTCTCAAGGTCTTTCACATGCCCCCCAGACTTCCACTCCTGTGACACAGGACACCCATTGACACTTTTATTCTTAGGAGCATTCATCTTTAGAAATTGTCCTTTAGTTCCCCTTTCTGCAAATTTTCTTCTTCTTTAGAAGCTCCCAGATTTGTCCAACTATCCCCAATCAGTGGTTTTTAAATTTTAATGGCAGCTACAAAGATGCCCGGACCTCCATCAAACATTACTGAAATCAGATTCTTGAGGGATAAGGCCAAAAAATTTGCATTTTTGAAAAACACTCCAGATAACTTTGCTGCAGAAGATCTAAAACCTCAGAGGGAGAAATACTGTCCTGGACTTTTCAGCTCAGTGATGCCTTCCCAGCACACTCCACTTGCAACCACTGGATCCTCCTCCTTCCTAGTTTACAGACATTGTGTCTACATATACCCTCCGTTGTTCTTTTCTCCTCTTAAATGTCATGTAATCTGCTGGACTATCTTGGGCTACTGAGAGAGTGCTGGGAGGATTTTGCCAGTTCACATGGAAGCATCTTCATAAAAGTCTTCTGATGGCTGTGGCCAGCCCCCTTGGAAGAGGTCGTAACCTGGACCTGGGAATATCGTTCAGGTGATAATTAGGATTTCACCATGTTCCTTAAATAATATGTTGTGCATGTCTTCCATTTGCACAATGATATAGGACAACAGTGAATATCTCTGGAGGGGACTTCCTATTGGATAGATCTTAGCTTGAATTCCCAGTCTACTATGTGCTACCTATGTGGCCTAGGTCAAGTAACGTGACCTCTCTGCGCCTTGCATTTATCAAAAGGAAATAATAATTTATACTTTCCAGAATTCTCTGGATTAATAGTGTAGGAAAAGTGTCCATAACATGAGTACATGGTATTTAATAAATGGCATTAAAAACATATGCCAAAAGTGTATCATTTCTACGAAAAAAAAGACTGGTCTGAGATCCTTAGTGGTGCCAGGTGCCCATGCAATCCTTGCACTACTAACAAAGGCCATAATTGTGGAGTTTGTCCCAAATTCTTAGCTGCAACCCCATGGGTAAATGTAAAGGCTGAGATAAGGATAAAGGCAAGGCCATTTAAATTAATTGAAGGTCCTGAATTTTTTCCCTTTGGGGAACAGCTTAGGGAGGGGAAAGAAAAGAATCTCTCCATTAAGACGGTCTTTAAATTGGCAAGCAAACACTTTTTGGTTAATATCAAACAAAGGATCAATGTAAGAAAAAAATTATGTATTTCTCCTGTCCAAACTACCATATTTCAGAGCATACTCATTGGCAGTTTTCCATCATTTCAGTTTCTGGGACAGGGACAGAAGCTTTGGACAGCCGGTTTGTTTGTGTTTTATTCTTTTCATTTGTTTGTTTAATTTTCCATTATGAATTGGACATGAAATGTGCAACCAAATTCCTGCATTAAATATCCCTGGCATAAAAGACATGCATTAAATACCCCTGAGATAAAGGACATCCCCAATATACTCCATCATTAATGAGCTTAGTACTGAGTTTCAATCGCAAGAGAGGAGTGGCAAGTTTTGATATGTCCTACAGCAAATGATCGAAGGTTTTTACCCTCCTTGTAGTATGAAGAAAGTATCAGTCAAGTTATCTCCTAGCCTGGACTGAACAGGTGAGTAGTTTCTATGCCTTAGATATTACTACCATGAAGTGAAGGATACAATTACATAACTGTAGGCTGGGGGCGGTGGCTCACGCCTGTAATCCCAGCACTTTGGGAGGCTGAGGCGGGCAGATCACAAGGTCAGGAGATCGAGACCATCCTGGCTAACACGGTGAAACCCCGTCTCTACTAAAAAATACAAAAAATTAGCCAGGTGTGGTGGCGGGTGCCTGTAGTCCCAGCTATTTGGGAGGCTGAGGCAGGAGAATGGCATGAACGCTGGAGGCAGAGCTTGCAGTGAGCCAAGATCTCGCCACTGCACTCCAGCCTGGGCAACAGAGCAAGACTCCATCTCCAAAAAAAAAAAAATTATGTAGCCATAGAATAGGTTTACAGCCTAAAATCCTACGCAAACCTACCATAAGCTTTTGTGAATTAATGAGACCTTTGAAGCATTAGACATTTTATTCCCTCTTTCTTAGCATCATAGTTGGTCCTCAATATCTTGACACTTTCAGGCATGCAATACTTATTTTGAAATACATATTTTCAAAGCATTTCGATGCCTACTTTTCCCAAAAGAGCATTTAGATTCTTCAGTAAATGAACCTAGACATACAATTTGTGTCTTATCTTCCACTGGCCAAAGCAACTTATATAGATTTGTTTTCTCACAACTCTGCAAAATACAGTAAATACAAGAATAGTGACTTTTTAATTTTGTGGACTAACTGAGGAAAACAACGATGAGGACAGTCTGGAGCAGGAGTAGGCAAACTATAACCCATGGGCCAAATCTGGTTCAATGCCTGTTTTCATACATAAAGTATTATTGATTGAAACATAGCCAGGTTCATTTGTTTATGTATTGTCTAAGGTTGCTTTCACACTAAGATGGCAGAGTTTTAAATATACAGATACTTATTATCCACAAAATCATCAATACTTACTATGGCCCTTTACAGAAAACATTTGCCAAATCCTGGTCTGGAGCACAGCCCTAACAATTTGAAGACCAATGTCTGTGGCCTTCCATAAATTTTCACTTGTTGACAATCCCTGGACAGCAGATGGAATTTACGCTTAAACAATCTGGTTATTTTTATATTCTTAAATATGAGAAGTTATCTTAATTTTTGTTGAATACCTACTAGAAGTATATTTAATTCTCTATTAGATGATATTATTTCCAAATAAGTTTCTGAAAACTACCATCCTACACATTATTCTTCTTCAGAACTCTTTGAGTACATTTTCAAATATAGACAAAATGAAAAGCAGACTTTTAAAATAGTACTTTGATGGGAAATGCATTATTGTAGTAGTGTATATAAGAAAAAGAAAAGGACAAGAAGGTGATGCACAGAAATTGCCTTTAGATATTTGAGGTTATATGTATAAAGATATATATGCATATACATACACACATATAATCTTATAGATAATTTGTATACTCCTTTTGATTCTGGTTTGATCCTCCAGATCTATAATTCAACACAAATAATAGTGAATTGCATGTTTATTGACTTTTTTAGGTAAATACTTTTACAGCCTAATGTCATACAGTAGCGGCTGATAACATCAGTTTAGACATGGAACTGCTTTACTTAGAATTTGTTTTTCTCTCAAAGGGTCAAAGTATCCTTAATAAAAGAGAAAGATTTCCCTTATGTTTTCAGCTAGCCACAGCAACTAGGCACAACACTGAAAAAAAAAAAAGACAAGTAAAACTGTCTTTCAAACTTCTGTTTGCCCTTGCAAAGTGTCCTGGCTTAGGTGGATATTGAATATTGAATAACTTTGTCTATTCTTAATCCAAAGGCAGTGCAAAGCAAAAGACTAATAAAGAAGGATTAAGACTAAGGCCACTACATAGAGTCATCAAGTCGTAGAAAAGACTATCATAACATTTCTGACTCCACATCTAAGTTATCCTAAAATAGAAGCTGTTCTTTGAGCAATAGAGCATCCTTGCACTGACCTGGAGCACTGCTGCAGAGTCCAATTGGGTTAGAATTAAATTACATAATCATTTAGTCATAGTACACATTCTTATTGAGTGACGCAGGCATCAGACATGGTACTAAGTACTGAGTGTCCAAAGTCATGCAACGCAAGGTCCCTGTCTTCATGAGGCTTTTATTTAGTGGCAAAGGGAGACAACTCAATCTGGGAGAATGTGGAGAGTGCTATACTCTACTGGAGTTCAAACCTGTGACTCCCACCCTCACGTAATATGAGCATGTTTTATTTAACTCATTAATTAATAAGATGTTATGACCAGATCAAAAGTTGTTTTATAAGCTGGACAGAGACCATCTTAGAATGAGATTGATGGGTAGATTTAAAAAGTGGCTCATGTCCAACAGGACCATAAACCTTTGGAGTTATCTGCTCCACCTGGCAGAAATTATTTGCAGCTCCACCATGCAAAAAGCTACAAGTCAACAGCGAATGCTACAAAGTCTGGAATTTGTAATTAATAGTAAACAGTGAGGTAACCTAAGTATATTAGTTAATCTGTAGCTGGCCTTCTTTCAAAAAGACAATGAATGGAGGCTGTCCACATTTTTTACTTATTTCTTAAGCTTCAGATATAGTTTCTGAAGCACAGAGGAGGCCACCTTGAGGTCAGGATGGGGCAAGGCAAGCATGGCAGCATTTGAGTTAAGATTTGGAAGCTAAGTAGGAAAAACTGGCCATGGATGTGAAGATGGGCATTCCAGGAAAATAAAGAAAAATATGTGGCAACTTCACATTCATTCCTGTGCTACGCTGTGTAATTCCCCTGAAGGCTGGTAATTCAAAAAAAAAAAAAAAAAAAACCTCTAGAAAAAGATAGAAAACACAGAAGTTCCCATTTTTAGAATGGAGAATCAATCTGCCAAGTTTAGATAGGCATGGATTAAGAAATAAACTCACAAGGAAGCATTATATTATCCAGAAGCTGTGAAGGACCAGAATGCCTCCACAAAGCCTAGGGGATGTTCCACATTGGACCATGAGCCTAGCGAATGACTGAAAAAGGGCAAAAAGGGGGAAAAACTGTAAATGGTCTATTTCCTAGCCACATGTGCTGCTTGTCTGAATCAGGTTACGGTCTCTCACTTACTCTATTTAGAATTCTGTACATCTGGGTGTATTTTTTTCTAGTGTTTCCTATCATATCAGTGACAGAATTGTCAACACTGAGGTATCCATAAATTATACTGCAGTCTAGTAGTTTCCAGTGTCTGCGAAGCTTAGAACAAAAGACTCAAATGCAAATGTGAGCTGCTTAATTCAGTGAGTATTTGTGATGTTACCCAGGTGCCAATGACATCTTTCTGACCAGCTCAGAGGCACCAGGGAGCAACCCAACATACATTTTTAATGTGCTCAGCTGTGACAGCATATACACACAGAAGACCTTAAGGCCTTAAAGCCATCCTCCTGGAAACCACTGCACTTTTAGGGACCCAGAAGAAATGGTTTAATTAATCTTCTTTTTCAGGGTAGCTTTTTTTGATATAAATTATGTACACTGAAAACCTGCCAATTATAGCAAATTAAGGGACTTGGCAAGTGCATCCCTTAGAGGCAGATGGTAAATAATATCCAGATTCTGATTTGAAATAGGACCAGAGATTAGCTGGTGCAGAATGTAAAAGCAATCTAGATATGAGAAATAAACAGATTTAGTGTGAGCTCAAGAGGAGGGTTTTGGTTTGGGAGAGCTATAGTGATGCATTGAAAATGGATGACTCATTATCACTACGTGCATTTCCCTGAGATGAGCCAGCTCCAAGTGCTTCTTTCTGTGATTCTTTGATGAACAATTATTTATTGCATTAGTATCTTCACTATGTTACTCAGATGCTTCCGTTTCCTAATCTGTGCAATGAGCATAGAGCAGGTTGGGGTGAGTTTTTAATGTCATCACCACATCATGTGCTCCGTGTAGTACTTGACGTACAGTAAGCGTTAAAAAATGTTAGCTGTTTTTGTTAGTTATGACTACCAAAATAAAGAACAACTCTCACATACCTTCACCCTTATGTTTTGGCCAAAAATCCTAGCTAATGCTTATGAAAGCTGATTATGTGCTTCTACCTGATTCCATCAATTTCTTTACTTATTAATAGCATTCAAAATAAAGAGTCTGACCTTAACTTTGTTTATTTTTCCTTCTTAAATCAACCGTTAGCATTCCTCTTATCTATTAGGGCTTCCCATAATACTCTCCCCCACCCTCTGCCTTTTAATGTATAGTCTAGATCATTTGTGCTTAATTAGATAAAACCTCATCTCTTGTCTCTATACAACATTTTAGTATCTATTACTTCACTGATAATGTAAAAATTTTTGCCACATACAACACAGCTTTACAACATAAAGCTTCATGCATGATTTCATACCATGCTTCATACTCTTACTAGCTCTTCCACTATTCTCATTTATGCATGAGGAATGGGAGGCTCAGAGAGTTTAAGTACTATGCCTTTGTCACACAGATGGTGGGTCCCGGGAGCTGACTTGCCTTGATATTCTGTTGTCACTCAAAGACTGAAAACCACATAAAACCAAAGGAAATCGTGAAAGATAAAGTGTTCAGGTTGGTGTATCCTTGAAAGTGCCAGAAGAGAACTCCACTATGTATATCAAAGTTAAGGTGATTATCTAGGGAGAAGTTTAGACACATGCAAGACCAAATAATATTACTTCTCTGCTCACGTTTTTACTTCTCCAACCTCAGTTTGTATCTGGTTTGAGTCACTACAGCAAGGAGGATGGTGACCTCACCTTATTCGCTTAGTAACTAGATTTCTTGTTTTGCTAATTCACCACAGAAATAATTTAGAACAATTACTGGGTTCAGTTACAGATTCCACACTTTGGGGGAAAAAAAAAAGTAGGGTAAAGGCAGGGAGACATCCACCAGATGACAAGGTAAGAATGGAGGTTAGAATGAAGGTAAATGGGCAGAGCCAACAGAGCAAAACTCTCAGGCTCTGCTTGCACAAAGCTGTCGCAATCCTGCAACTCCCAGAAAACAGTCGTCACATTAGCCAGTACGTGTACGGCAATCTTCCCGGAGTCCGAAGTCTCAGATAGGACAAACTCAAGCGCACATTCGTCATGTAATTCATGTTCAGCCTAGGTTGCTAAAATTAGGGAATGACTCAATCATCATACACCATTACAGCTATTTTCAAGGCTGTAAGTGATGCGTTGCACCGACACTGATGCAAAAGCTTACCCCAATTAGCTTCTGCAAATGCTCTTCCTGCAACAGAGCTTCGTTTCCTAGGAGCCTTCAATCTAATTACAAAGCTTGATTCTCCCGCAGGGCCTGCCTGGCCAGATGATTTCATTTTACTTTTAGGCTAACCTTTGCCATCAGTGATGTCACTGAAGTGTTCCTTCTCTTGAGAGGCTCCTAGGAGCACACTAAAAGGTTAATTTGTTTGATATTTGGTTAAAGAGACTTCTCTACTGGAGGGGCTCTGTTTTGCTGTAGGCAGGTAATGGTACAAAGCAGGCATCTTCAGATGAAGGCAATTTGCACCCAGCCAGCACCAACATAGCTTTATGCACTAACTATCCAGCAGCCACTCAGATAGAAAATCACTGCTGAGAAGGAAGTCAATGGATCCTTTCTGCAATTCACATTATTCACTCAAGGAGATTTTGCATATTTCCTAGTGCTTTTTTTCTCTCAAAAACAAGAGCTGCAAGGCTCAGTGGAAAATGTAACCAGCTACGCAACAGGAAAAACTTGTGTTCAACCACCTTAGGCATCAGAAAAACAAAGGAAAAAGCACAAGTAACGTACATGCCACAATTCCATAATTATTATTCTCCAAACTCAAAGTATCTTTGCTACCTATAGACATCCTCTCCACCCTTCTCTGCCCTTTCCCTAGTGGCCCTTGCTGTGCAGAACTAAAGATGCTATAGAAAAGCTCAGATCCCAACTATGGCCACCTGTAATGGTTATGCTTATTATAGAGAGCCAGTGCTGACAATGAGGGTGTATAAACCAAACCAAGGCCACAAGGTAAGAAGCAGAAATCAAGGCAACCTAATATTTTTTATGAGTCACGTAATAACAAAGAATCGGTTCCACCAATTTTCCCCATTTACTAATGCCATTCAAAATAAACATTCTGACTTTAACTTTGTTTATTTTTCCTTCTTAAATCAACCCTTAGCATTCCTCTTATCTATTAGGGCTTCCCATAATATTCTCCCCCACCCTCTGCCTTTCAATGTGCAGTCTGGATTGTTACTTTTGCTTAATTAAATAAAACCTCATCTCTTGTCTCTATACAGCATTTTAATTTCCATTACTTCACTGATAATGGAAAAACCTTTACAACATAAGAATATGAAGCATGATATGAAATCAGCATATGAAAGTAGCAAATGAAAAGGGGTAGCTATTAAAATGAAATAGGAGGGTCCATGATCAAATTCAGCAAAACAAAAAAACATAGACAGAATGAACGCACACACAATACTCCCTGAATATAAAAATGTAGTTTACATTAAACAGTGTCATATGAGATAAAAAAGAAAAATTACTTTATTCAGCAGGTAATAAATTATAGGACTTGTCTAAGGGCTCTTAAGTGAAATTTTTAAAATAAATACATCCTTAGATAAGTTTGTAAATAATAAAGTAAAACCTGATTGTTGAAAGTTTGGGTAAAGATAGCAAATGGAAGAATGAAGCCACATCAGATCACATCATTTACATTTTCCATTATGCCTTCACAAATGAACAAATAAATAAATTTCAGAATAAAATAAATCATGATCAGCAGCAATGAAAAAGGAGTGCTGCACAACTGAAACTATAAAACATTATTAACAAGCAAAGAAACCAAAATGAAGCAACAGAAGATTCTAGAATAGAGCAGAGCAGTGTGGGCAACGTAACTGGCTTCTAAACTTTCACCAGCATTCTAAAAGTAATAATGCTGAGTTGATAATATACGAATGATTTTCACTGACTGCCAAACTTTGAAGAAGCAAATTGAAATTGTACTCTTGTATTTTTTTTTTCTAACTGAAAAAAAGTGAAAGTAGTTCCTGGGAGGGAGAGTGGAAAGGAGGAAATTAAGAAAAAATGAGGATAGTTAAGTTTGCAGGGGTTCACTGTGGGAACAATATGCAAACCTTAATGTCTACAGAAAATCATGATTTAAGATGTTCAACACAACCTTAGCTTATCACCTTTTCATCTCCCATACTCTCAACTTGTAGCTCAAAGCAACAAAAGTAGATAGCAATCATGGTGGAAAAGAAATAAAAAACTTTTTTTTTTCATTTTATCAGCAAAATTAGGAAATCAGATTACCTCTGCCAAATAATTCACATTAAGTATAAGCAATGCTAAAACAATCTGAGTGCCAACAATTGAAAGACATTATAGGGGGAAAAAATCAATAAATAACTGGTAAGTAAAAAATAGCATAAAATATGCACAAGTCAAGAAAAAACATGTATGAAAAAAGCATAGCACAGGAAGGAAAAAACATCTCCATAAATGCATTGCATTATGCTATAGAAATAGGTAAGAAGAAGATCATTTCAATTTAAAAAAAGAAAATGGAAATATGTTTTAATAGAAGCATCAAGCATTAAGTAAAATTGATGTCCAAAGCAAGAATATTATGAAACATATTAATCAATTTTAAGGAAGAAGGAATACAATAGACAAAGCTAAAATAAAATTGCTGCTCTAAATTGTTTTTTATAATCATAATAAATATAGAGAATGAAGAAAAACGTACAAAAGAAGGAGAAAAGAATAAATAAATACAAAACACTCAAAGCTCATAATCACATCATTTGCCCTTGCTTAAATAGTTTTAGAATATCTGTTTTTTATAAGCTGCCTCAAATATTTTGGAGGAAAGAGGGATTGTAAATAAAAAGTGCAGCAGTTTACCTCTAACAGAGTACAGGGAGGGAAGGAAGGAAGGAAGGAAGGAGGGAAGGAAGGAAGGAAGGAAGGAAGGAAGGAAGGAAGGAAGGAAGGAAGGAAGGAACGAACAATGTGACCACATTCAAGAGAGATAAACCCACTTAAAATAACTGAATTCCTGTGAAAACAAAGCCAACCATGAAACCAAAAACATATTAAAGAATATAAAACAAGAAAATTTTGGTGAGATAATTGGGAAAAATAACTAAAAATAAAAAGAACACACTCTAATCCAGGCAAAATTTTTACAAAACACTTAAAGCCAAAACATATCTTGGTCCACTATTGAACTTCAAAGATAAAGCCTTTTTCAAGCTACCTCCAGAAAACCCATGTCACATACCAGAAGACAAAATCAGGATCCCCTGAAACTTCTTTGCAGCAATATTTGAAGTTAAATCCTACAAAGTTCTGGAGAAAGAAAATGTGTCACATGAATTGTTTATCCAACCAAGTCTGAAAGAACAAAGGTAATAAAAAGGACGTTCGGAATCATATAATAACTCAGAGAACACAGTATCTGAGTGATTTATGCTTAAGAAAACTACAATTAGCCATTAGAATCCACTTTAAAGATTTTGTTATTTTTTAAATAGAAGAGTATTTTAAAAGACTGAGATTGAGTTGAGTTTGAGTACCAGAGAGAATTTGTTTTTAATAATGAAAGATGGATAAAATGAAGGCATTCTAAGCTGGTGGGAGCACAGATAGAAGGGAAGAGATACATTTTTAAAGTTTGCAAACAATAGCAGCTAAATTGGTATTTTCTTGCATGCACAAATCTCTCAGCTTCACAGAAGATTTAGCTATCCCAGTATGCTAACTAACACTTTATATTTGTATACATTCTATACCCATTTTTGTCAACTTCTGAAGCTTGTTTTGTTTGCTAAAAATATTTGCAAGTCAAATCACAACAGTCTTCCTTCCAGAAATTTAAAAATTTATGCAACTTTTAGAATTGGTAATGTAATTTACACAAAATAATTGGAATATCCATTATAACTTTTAAAAATTAATAAAAAGTTTGAGTATTATTTAATTTCTATTCACGCTTCAGGGATTAAAATGCCATATTTTGGAAGGGAAGTTCTGATAACTTTATTACCTTATTATTGCATTGCTGATGTAATGCCATACTAACCAGGCATATTATGTAATGTCATAATTCCCTTGAGGAATTAGCCTAGTTTTGAGTAGGGTAGATAGTTACATTATCTATTGGTTACATTATCAACAGGCTCTGTTGAAAAATTTGCTTTTAGATGAGTTGATAGATTCTGCGGTTGCATATCAATAGGGGTGCTGACTGTTGCATTCAGCCTAATTTCAGCCTTACACAACCTAATTTCAGCCACAGCTGCCTAGATGAAGTAAGACTGTTTTAGTCCCTTGACCCCAGAATGCAGAACTTACCCCTTTTACTAACTTCCATGAGAAATTTACTCATACAGAAGTAATCCGGGGCATTGCAGACTTCAGTGAAGATCTGGATGATTCCAGGATGGAAAGTCATATCTTACAACACAAAGCATTTTCTCCTCTTGCTGAACCTTCTGCCTTTCTTTCTCCCTTTCCCATAGATCCCCAGTCTTTAGGTAGAGCAATTCCCTTTAAACATAGGAGACCACTTGTCAGCCTCATCAAGTCCCGAGGAGATCAAACAAGGCACATGCTTTCAAAAATGGGATCTGGTAATGAAGAATTCTCAGGTCACAGGTGAAGGGAATGTCATTTTTCTTATATTGTGGCAGAGTTAAATATGGAAAACCTCACCTATAGATAATATTCAATACATTCTGCAGTAATTCATTCAAGAAATGTTAACTGAACCTCTATTCTATACCAACCCAATTGTTATAAATTTAATAAAGGCCTCTGTTTGGGGGGAGCTTCCTTTCCCTGTTCTGTTTGTCACTCTAGCTACACATATGAAACCAAGGCAAGAGTGTGTTTGTGTGAGTGCACTTGTGTGTTGTGTATGTGCATTTGTATGTGGTGTGTGTGTGCATCTGTTCATGTATGTGTGTGGGGTGTGTGTGTGTGCTGTGGTGTGCATATGCATGCATGTGCGTATGTGTCTCTGTGTGTTGGTGTGTATGTGTGAGTGTGTGCATGTGTGTGTGTGTGGTGTGTGTTTAGCTCCCCAAATCCCACTTGGCAGCGAAAGATGAGAACATCCCACTGCCTGTGGCTTGTCACTGGGGCCCATGCTCACCTTATTCACCCCTCACCCTAGTTGGAAGCATGACTAATCTGGGATTGGTCTGTAAGAACACATGTGGTATAGCCACTCCCTTTCCCTATTTTTAGATTTGTCCTCTTATGAATCCATATCTTCTGGAACTCCTGCTTCCACACTGTAGGAACATTTGGATCAGGGTCAGGCCTGTCTTCTAGAGATGGATCTGAAGACTCATGTCTCTCTCTGTCCCAAACATGGCAGGTAGATAAGGCAGCAAATCTGAGTAAGTATGTCTTCTCCACAGACTCAAATAGGCCTTCAGCTAGGCCTTTCAAATCCATCTGGCTTGGGAGAAATGATAGAAAGCCTAGTATGGCTATATATTTATGCCACTCTTTATTCCAGTTTTGATAGCAATAAACCTAATAATTTATCTCAATCTGACTTTTTAATCTACTTTCAAAAATTTCTTCCTAAAACACAGGAAAGATGTATGTAATTATCACTCCCTAAAAAGGTTTAAGAAAAGATAAAAAATGACACAAAAGATTTAGCTAACTGATTTTCACATTGGCATAATAAGAGGTCCATGAAATTGACCAACAGACCTTTTCCCTTTTCCTCCCCTCCCTTCTTTTCACCTTCCTTCCTTCCCTCCCTCCCTCCTTCCTTCCCTCCCTTCCCTCCCTCCCTCCCCCTTCCTTCCTTCCTTTCTTCCTTCCTTCCTTCCTTCCATCCTTCCCTCCCTCCCTTCCTTCGTTTCTTTCTTTTTTCTTTAATTCTAAGATTATACAGGATTGTGTAGGCTAAATAGAGCCCAGTCCTAACATCCAACTAGACCATGCCTCAGTCATCCTAATCCTAACAGAGGCTGCCCTGTGGTGTCTCTGTGATTGCTGCCCTAGGGCAGTCATACAGCAGCCAGGTATGGGAGTGAAAGTCTCCCCTTGAAAGCTAGCCTTCTGCCTTGAATCTATAACTGCTCAAATATCAGACTATATATTAATTAAGGGTAATATTTTCCCACAATTGTATCCCCAGTTAGGATTCTGTGAACATTCATTAGCTTATATGTTCCATGGTGAGAGACATCTCAAATGTATGACAGGTTTTATTCAACTGACCAGCTACCTCATTGAAGACAGGAACAAGTGATTGGTTCTCCTTTTCTTTGAATTCTCACCCTACTTACTCAGTCTCACATTATAGTTCTGACTCATCCTCAATAAACTTGCCATCTGATTGACAAATCACACTAAATTGTAGCACCGTCTCCCTCTTAAGCTTATATTCTAGAATAGAAGATACTAATGCAGACATTGACATTTATTAAAAAGGCAAAATGATGCATGTTGAAAATAATTTTCAGGAAGCTCAAAGCTAAATTTGATGCTCAGTTTCAGAAGCTATCTTTAGCCTATAAATTCTCTCTTGACCTAGCATAGCCCGTAATCACATTCATTTGCCCTTGCTTGAATAGTTTTAGCATATCTGTGTCTTTTATAAGCTGCCTCAAGTATTTTTGGAGAAAAGAAAGACTATAAATAACAAATGCAGTTTACCTCTAATAGAATACTGTAAGAGTTAAAATATCATAATTGCATTATTTACATGTAATGAATAAGGCACAGAACACATGTGGAAAAAAATAATGAATAAAGATGAAAGGTGGTTTTATAGCTCAAATCTATTTTGGGGAAACAGAGAGATGAGCAGCTTGATCATGTGAACTTAGAAAGGGCAGAACATCAAGGTTATCATCTTATCTGCTTGTGAAAATGATTGCACAATTTTTAGCAAGTGGTTCAGAGCAGGATCTATGTTCAATGACTCATCCAAGAGATGGCCCTTCCATTAACTCCCCAACTATAATACTAAGACATTCATTTAATTCTGACTCACATTGTTAAATGCCACACACTGAATCACCGATCCTACTACATAAAGCACCTGGCTCAAATGTCTCTATGAAATACTTATCCAGGCTGAAAATCTCCTCTTGGGCCTTGGAGACAGTAGTAACTGTGGTTACAGCTAGTTGCCTTGGAAGTCACATATGAGTTCAAGTTCATTGGCTCTCTGGATTCAAGATAAAGCCCAAATAGTCAATGGGTTTTATTTCTGCATGGTGCTTTATGATCCCACTTATACCTTTATTGTGTGCAATAAAAATTCTCAATAATCCCATTTCTGATAATTCTTGCTTTTAAAAATATTTCTCTTTTACTGTATGTTGTTTTCCTACTTGTGTTGTTTTCCACAGGAATGCTCTAAATATGGAAAAAAAATATGCTACAAGGGCCTTCAATTGAAATGCATTCTCTAACTGTCCAGATGTTCATTTCAATGCATGCATCATATAAATCTAAACTGATGAGAACGGTAATGGCCCAGCTCAGTCTGTTTTACTTGGTGAACTCTGAAACACAAATAATAAAAAATGAGCTTTTTAAAAAAAGTTATGAGTTTTACCAGCTCAAGAAAAGAAAACACCTTTTAAATTTTATTATTTTGATTTTGTGGACAATAAAGTTGAGTAGTCTTCTTACTATATAACAGACAAATATTACCTCTGTTTCAAAACCAGGTCCAAAAACTCCCTCTGTAATGAGGCTATGTTTGTAAAAAGACAAATAAAAATCCAAAGTAATCCCAGAACAAATATCAAAATATGACCGTAGTTTCTATTGCTTTTCTTTCTAAAGACTTTAAGAGATACTCTGTATCTTTACATTATCTTTTTACGCATCTCAAGTGTGGGCAGATGTGATTATTTGTATTTCTTCCACCTCTGAGAATTTACATGAAATTATACAAATGCCATATAATACAGCTTCATTTGCTATTTGATGTCCTTTGAGAGACTGGAAGAATACACTTCAAACAAGGCTCAGCATCGGTCCCTCATAGCACCCTTATTGTGGGGTTATCAAAAACAATCATTTCTTCTGATTAATAAATATGGCTAGGAATCCTCAGAGGTGGCTTCTATTTAATAGAAGGAAAGGGTGTCCCTGATGCTACATGATGTAGCTGGTCTTGCTGTAATTTCCACTCTGGGAGCCAGAGAGAGAGCAGCATCTATCTCCTCACTCTCACCCCTAGAGTGAGGCAACCTGAAAACCTGCAAATGTCCCTAGAGCAACCTTGCTCCTGGGCCTTCTGAACTCTATGCTGTCAATTGAGGTATAGTGCTGCATTGCTTATGTTTGACCCAGATCTTCCCCCAAAGTATAACATTTCCTGTAGGTGTGTTTGAATGAGGCTCTTAACCTTGCAAATGCAGCTGCTTAAATCATTTCCATAGCAACAGCCAGAGTTAACACCTACTCTGACCCACAATTCCCCAGAGCTGGGTTGCTAACATTGTACCCCAAGAGGAGAATATTTTCAGGGATCTTACCTTACACATCATCAACAGTAAATATTCATTTGTTCCTGCCTTATGCCAGACACTAAATTCAGCCCATATTTATAGTACTTTAGGAAAGTCAACACATGTAAGAAAAACCTTGATTAACTCTATCTGCCCCTAATCATTCATTCATTATGTATATGCCCTTGGCCACACCAAACTCAGTTTTCTATGAAAATATTCTTAAGGCTTTTCATGTATGATTCTTCTTCTCTAACCCCTACCCCCTGCACTACTAGATTATGAACTCTCCCAAATGCAAGGGCTGTTCAAGAATCTATTTTTCTTCATAATCTTTCAATGGCTCCTAATACAGTGCCCTGGACGTATCAGATTCTTGATGACAAACAGCTAAGTCAACAGAACTGGAAACAAAAGAAGATTCCTTTTAGCATGGAAGAATAGTTGCTAGCTTTCTTGGCTCAAGGAGAGGCATCAGGTTCAGTATTTATAATAGTAAAGAGTATTTGCCATAAGTCCATTTATTGTTCTAACTTGATTAACTCAAGAAGTTAGCCAAATGAAAATGATATTCATGGTTTCATATACTGCCAAATTAGCACTGTCCTTTGAAACTTTAGGTAAAAAGGTCTTGAAAATTCTCCTGGAACCACTGAAATAAATACCTTTAAAATCTGGAGGTAGTAATTTATCTTGTGGCACTAAAATTAAGTATGTGGTTATGATCTGGCACAATGACATTTCCCTGGATAAGTCTCTAAGTCTTTGGGACAATTTCAAAGGAAACTGTCCAAAGGCAATGAGATGGACCAAAAGCCTGCAGCCTTCTCTAACCTGATGATTATGTAACACATAAAGGCAGTGTGAGTGTTGTGGTCTTGGCATTTATTCTAGAAGCACTACAGCACATCTTAGAATGCAAGAGTCCTTCATAGATCTACAAACCAACAACAACCACCTTTGCTCTTATCTCAAGCAGCATTTGACCTGGAGAGGTTGCCCCCTCTAAGAGCATCAGGGCTCTTCTCTGCCTAAGGGAATATCCTCAGTTCAGCACCCCTTTCCATGCCTCCTCCATTCCCCAATTTAGTAAAAGACTGGAACAACTTTGGCATTTTCATTTTAACACCTTCTTCTACGTGTCCAATGAATGATATTTTAAGTGTTTCTAAATCCCCAAGTCTACTCATTTTTTACAAACTCTTCTCATTAACACTTTCTCCTGGCAACTCCTCATATATGTATATATATACTACTTAAGTAAAAGGTGCCATTATTCATTTCCACATTTTCTCATGGCGGGATAAATCCTGGCTTCAAATATTCAGATTTACTCATGAACCTGGTGGGCATCTTTATCTTCCCACACTAACAGCAGCTTCCTATTTTCAAGGTAACATTCTGTTTACTATATAGAATGCTGCTGAAGTACTTGTGATCTCACTATGAGTAAGGCAATTACTCAATGTGCTTCTGAAACTTTTTGAAGAAAAGATTTTGTCTCTCCTCCCTGAACTGACCAGGTTGATCTTCCCTGGTCCAGAGGTCTGTACACATACCTCCAGGAGCAAAGCTGGGCCTATTTTCAATCTGGCTCTATAAATATTTAATAAAGAGTTTGAGAAGAGACTGACTAGAGATCCATCTGTTAAACTGCTGGATCCATACCAGACACCATGAATTAACTACAAAATAGGTCCATTATATTGTCAGGGTTCGATAGAGGGCCAGAGATATGCAGCTGATCCCACATTCTGAATAGACTAATGTTGAGATAGGAATAAGGCAGTCAACAGTAGATGAATACAAATTCTTCCATAAAATGAAGTTAATTCCTTGTGCAAATCAGTTAGCAATGATTCGACCAGTTTAAAACAACACAACTAACTCTGATGTTTTTACAATAAGCTATCTCAAGCTGAGCCAAAATTCTCAAAGTCTGATTTCAATTGCCACTAGCTCCTGAATATTGTCATTCCTCGACAAATGAAAATAGACCAGAAGAAATGCAACAAAGATAAACTAGATGTATTTGTTCTTTCACAGTCATTCAACTCCTAACACTTTATAAAATTAATGAAAATAATTTTAAAAACCAAACATCCAAACAACCACAAATCAGACTACCACGGTGCTTTGCTGTCACAATATGAAAGGTGCTGTTTGTATTCTGTAGAATGAAGAATGTCAGGATTTTTGATATAGCATTGATAGTTCATAAAAGGTTATGTCAACCTCCTTTAGAGCAAGTGGATCTATTTTAATATGGTAGGTGAAGGATAGAATACACGGATACCAGGTTCTATCCCTTTTAAGCTTTCCATCCTGTTTTTCTTTCCAGGGACAATTTAAAATAGAAATAAATGGGCTTAAATAAAGATAAGTGTCAGTTTTTGTCCACTCAGATATTTTTTTTTCTCATATCCTCATTTCTTTTTCTGTCCTTAACCCCAAATGTTGAGAAAGAATACTTCCACCCAAGGCAGCAATAGGTTCCTATTTCTGGTCAAATGTCTTCCATCCCTTTGCCGCTTTCTAGCTCTTTTTTTGTTTCATTTTGTTTAAGCAATCATGTCCTTTAGGCATTAAAAAAAAGAGTAGCATCTATTAGAAGACTCTCCTAAGGCAATTTTTTAAGGGAGGGAGACAGAAAAAGTACTTGACACTGAGAAAATAAGAAAATAAATTAAAGTTCTTGATTGCATTCAAATTCACATGCTAAGAAAAAGAAATTGACTCTTTTTTCCACTCACAGTCTTAACCCATGTGCACATACCACACATGCATACATACACACACATAGCAAAAGCACACTTACATACATGTAGTCACACTGAAATGAACACAAACCTCCTGCAGCATTTCAGGTAAAAGTTAAGAAATCTATTTATCCCAGATATGTGGGATATATACATATACAATCTTACTTTGAATGAATAGATATATGTTCTCAGAACAGATATGTTCCTAGAGTAGCCTTTGCTATTCTATTGATATAAGGCCACCCAAAACCCCATCAGTAAACAATCTATTAGCATTTGTACAATGCAGTAAGCCCATTTTTCATGCCATGTTATGATTGGGCTTTAAGACAACAGGAGAGTGAAGGAATTGCAACCCCTACGTAAAGACTGTCTGGTGGCTACTGGACCATATTGTACATTTGAATATATCTGTTTTGAGACTAAAAGTTCTGTAGTATGGATGAAAACAGATTCTCACCATTCAAGAATGATTACAGCTCCATTTGGTTGTGGCCCCAAAGGATAATAACAAAGCCCTTTTTCAATTTAGGATTTTAGAAAGTAAAGCTGACAAATAGGTATGGATCATACTGTCAGAAGGAATATCTGTATTCTACAGCACAGCCCTGTTTACAGCACCTGAAAGCTTCTAATAGAAGCACAACTTTGACAGATTGTAATTTTAAGACTCTTTGTTATTACTCTTAAAGAATAAATGAAATAGTGATGCTATTATTAAAATTTTCCAAATCCTAGTCCAGATTTGGGAAGTAAACGAGTAAGTTCATTGACATAGTTCTCTAATTTGTAAGATTATTCTACAGTCATTATAACACACATATGCATAAAATATAAGGTAATGACACAAAGAGGTTGTTTCATGTCATTGGACCTGCTCTGTCCTTTGCGCTGGGAAATGAGTTTCCTGGGGAAGAAAGAAAATCAAGCTCTTAGATTTCTCTTCCAGATCTAACATGCTAGAATTGAGTCTCTTTTCTCATGCATCAAGTTGCTGGATGTAAGATGTCACCAGCTCAATGGCTGCCCATACAACTTACAAATGTCCATCGGGTGTAACAACACAGGAAATCAGTGCCACAGCACCAAGAAGCCATGCATGATGACCACACACTTTGATACAGCTCTGGGGTCTGCCGTGCCACAAGCTCTATCCCCATGTTGCCTTCCCACCTGGACCTCTTGGCAAGAGGGTCACAAAGTTACCATGTATTAGATCCTGAGAGGGTCACAGGGATCATATAATCCAACATTCTCATCTCATAGATGAGGAAGTGAGAGCTACGTACTGCATGGCATTCCTGAGGTTTCACAGAAAATTTCTGTCAAAGTCTGGACTGAAGCATATGATTCCTGAAAAACAGTTTTCTAGAATCTTACTATGCAAAGCATAGTGCTCAGAGCAGCAGCATTGGGAACTAACTAGAAATGCAAACTCTCAGGATTTGCTTTATACCTACTGTATTAAACAGTAGGTATAAAAACAAAGAAACAAAATCAATAAAATATATGTATATATGCCTATGTGTGTATATATACATGTATATAGATCTATTTTTATATATATATATATATATATATATATAGAGAGAGAGAGAGAGAGAGAGAGAGAGTGTGTGTGTGTGTGTGTGTGTGTGTGTGTGTGTGTGTGTGTGTGTGTGAAGAGACTTATTTTAAAGAACAGGCACATGCAGTTGTGGGAGCTGGCAAACCTGAAATTTACAGAAAAGGCCAGCAGGCTGGAAACTCAGGCAGGATTTCTATGTAGCAGTATTAACAAAGGACTCTATCTTCTCTGGGAAACTTTGCTTTTTACTTTTTAGGCATTCAATTGACAGTGCATCATGGTCCATTAACGGTCCATCCACATCTCTGGTGGCAAACTCCCTTACTTAAAGTCAACTGATTATATTAGTCACTTCTACAATCCTTCATAGCAACATCCAGACTAATGTTTGACAAAAACACTGGGCACAATAGCTTAGCCAAGCTGATAAATAAAATGTATCTATCACCTCTACTGAATCAGAATCAGCATTTTAACATGATCCCTAGGTGATTCTTGTGTCCATTAAATTTTGAGAAGCTCCCATTTTGCTGTTTATAAGTTTTGGCAACATCAAAGTTCCACTGTTATAACAGAGAGACCCACTGTAACAGTGCATTAGGTAAGTTAGAAGTTTATTTCTCCCTCATGAAAAGTTTGAACATTACAGTCTGAGACAAAGAAGGAGATCTGACAACCTCCAGGAACCCAGGACTCTTCTAACTTGCTGCTCTGCCATCTTTAATGCATGGCTTCCATTAGCTGGGCCAAGTTCATTGTTTCAGATCTTGCCATCATGCCTTTGTTCTCATCAGGATAAAGAGGGAAAACAGCCAGAGAGGGCACAATTATTTCCTTTAACTATGTGACCCAGAAGTTACACTCATCTCAGCTGTTCAAATCCCATAGTTCAAAACTTGGTTATGTAGCCACATATAGCTGCAAGGGAGGCTGGAGAACATTGTCCTTTTACAGAGTGGCCAATTATGCAATAATAATTCAGTAAGATTCAAAATTCTGTAATTAAAGAAAAAATGGGAGACTGGTTACTATATAAGACAGCTAATTATTCCTGCTCTTTATTTTTCTGCACCAGGCTACCTGCAAGATGAGGAGACAGGAGAAGCAGCAGAAGAAAGGAACCAGATTTCCTGCTTTCTTCTATAGTGAAGAGAATTGAACCCAGAGTATCACTTGCATAAGGAAACAAGACTGTTGGCTGCTCATGCTTTCATTGCATTGATTAGCTACTTCCTCAATATGGAGCCACCCTTGACAAATGCAGCCAGAATGTAAGTTTTCCTTCACCGACGGAAGTAGCTGTGGTAGAAGAAAGATAATTCTAGACTCTGAGGGTTTTTGGGGGGGTTTTGTTTCGTTTTTACATTTCATCACTTACATTTCCTCATTGTCTTACAAGAATAACTCACTTCTCCCAGTTTCCAAGGTCAAGAAGAAATATCAGGAGAAAATAACTCTCTAGCTCAATTTTTGTAATTCTCATATTCCACATCTGGTGATAAAATCATATACTGCCACTTTTAAAGTTTATGCTGACCATCAAACTCCTTATTTCCTTTCCTTAGGCAGAAGTCTCTGTGTCTGGTGGGTAAATGAGAAGTATGCAGAGGTATGCCTAAGGATAGTTTTAGGCAGAAGAGTGATGTTTGCATAAGTATATTTTTATTTAATCGACGAAAGAAGGTTGACACAAAAATTACTTAATAATAGAAGAAAAATCTGTAAAAATATATCAATTTCTCTTTGCTACTACCTCCCACAATAACACATACACAAATTTCCTTCAGAGACAAACAGCATATTGTGCAGAATTTGCTGTAACCAAGGTAACTAAACATTGTTCTCATATCAACTTTTAAGACGAAAAAAACAGGCATTGTTGTATTGAATGTTTCTTTGTAGTAGTGTTTATTGCTATGATATTTCCTGAAATTTTCAATATTTAGGTTTACATCAGGCTACTTGTTTTCTTCTAGGCACTAACTATACCTTTCAACAGGTAGTTAGAGGCATCCGCATTATAGGCCAAAGTGTTTTTTGAACCAAACAAATAAAAATGTATCAATGACAGGATTCTACTTATTTTCACATCTCTATAATAAGAGTATTTATTAGCATAACAGAATATCAATTTGTAGATGCTATATATTAATTTCATGGCCCACAAGAATAAGTGTACATACAAAGAATGATATATACAGTATGACATTATCAATAACTTGCCTGTTTACCATTTTATATAAAACCATTTGACATCTCTCTCACCAAACTTGATTCATTAATAATTATCTCTCATCTAGTTTTTTGATGAAAAAGAATGAGAGAGTTCATCCCAAATTTTATATAACTTTATATGAGGATCATTTCTCCCAAGTGGATATAAAGACATCTTTCTTAATGCAGATACTCTTTCAAAGTTTTCATTTATATGAGCGTTGCTCTTAGATGTCCAATTATGCAATGCAAACAAAACTCTTTTTGATGTTCATGAGCGTAGAACCCAGTCTGAAGTTCTGTGACATTACATTTCCCCACTAAACTTTATCCTCTTGATCTTCAGTTAATATTAATCTTTGATAGACATGCTCTAATAGCCCTCATTCATTCCTACATGGATTCTATTTTTCCTTTTAAAAATATCTCAATTACTTTGTGCAAACTGGGCTCATAAGGGCATTTTGAGCGTCCTTACATTAGGCTCCTGGTGAATGACTGCTGATATCATGAGTATTACCAAGTTCCTGAGAACTTTCACTTGTGTATGGTGGGTGTGTATGTATGTGTGTGCGTGCATAATTGGGATGTCCAACTTATCATGTAACTGCAAATGGATATTGTCAACATCACTAATGTAATGATTGAGTTTATACTTTCATTAACTTAAAAATGGCCATTTTTATTCCAGAAACTAGTGGCTTTTCTTCTATCTTTCAAGAGAAGTACACTATTTTCTTAGAGTTTAATAGAGCAAGTATTAACTTGTTATCATAGTGCTCCCAATGTCCTCTGGGAACATGTCTTACTCAATCTGTTTCTCTTATATTTTTCTTACATTAAGAATAAATTTCTGCTATAAGGATAGGGACTTGTATTCCCTGGAACTCTGTTCCCCATATGACTTAGTTTGATGAGAATAATTTCCACTCCCAGCCAGGAAATGAAAGCATAGGGCAGTATAATGTGCATGTGATTGAACTTTTCCAATAGTATAGACTATTAGCACTAAGAATTTGCAAATTTACATGAATTTTTTCCTACCTCATGATATTTTCTCTGTAGCTCTTGAGTTAGATTTTTTATTCAACTTCACAGATGTCATTTTGGTTTCAGACTTAGACATCTTCTAGAGACTTAGCACAGGGGCTGCACTTACAGTCTTAAGGAGGGAAATATTTATTCTTTGTTTTTCCTTTTGAACTGATTTTAAGAGAATATTAAGTCACAGTATGTTTTAACCTATATTCTCAACTATTTTGAAGAAAACGTTGATTAACAATATTTAAGAGATCTGCCTAAAAATAGGAGTATATAGAACACAGTTCAATGGTCTCTTAAAAGCATCATTAAATTTTGTCAACTACTTTATGGTTTAATTCATTATTATAAGCAGTGGTTATTAATTTTCTCATGGATATTAAGGTTTAAAAAACTACACATACTTGTTTATAAAATCAAATTATATCTAGCTCTAAGATCTACAGCCTGGATAACGGAAAACAGTTCATGTTTGGAAGGCTCCTACATCAGTCTCTCCAATTTAAGCCATTATAATCTAGGGCTGCGCAGGCAGCTCCTCCGCTCACATTCTCTGTTCTCACCATAGGCATCTCAACCCTAGAACCTTTGCCCAGGTCCCAAAACATTTGACCGCAGGCCATTGCTGCATCCACAGCAGCGTCCTGCCATCAAACTGGCAGCACCAAGGAGAAATGAACAGGCTACCACTTGCATGTTCCCTACCCTCTGCTCTGCTCAGTCTCAGGGACGAACAAGTTGGTCATGTTCTCCTTATTCAACTCTTTCCATCATCTTTCAGAGTTGGAAAAGTCAGGCTGCAATTTCAATGAGCCCAGGTTTTTAAATAAATCAATCAATAAATAATAGTAACAGCAAAGCTTAATTAGTGCTTACTGTATGTGGCACTTCAAATGTTTTAACTTAATAATCACAACATTAAGACCTACTTTTATTGTATCCATCTTGCAGATGAGGAATACTGAGACACAGAGAGGTTAAGTGACTTGTCATTTAGTCAATAAGTGACAGAACCAGAATTCTAATTGATACATTCTGGCCTCAGAGCTTATACTCGTAGCTACTACATTTTACTGCCTCTCAGTATGATGAAGCCCTATTAATCTTTTCCTAAGTAAAATAAGTTATCTACATCTTCAATTTATTGAGGCTTGATTTTATGGAGTGGTAACTGTGGTTGGGGAAAGAATAGGTGAAGGAAAATACTTCCCATACTTAATTTTTCATGAAACACCTCCAGGAGAATATAAAATACTGTTAAATTGTCAGCTAGATAATTTTTCCATATACATGTTGTAAGGCCTCAAATATGCTCCCATTATAACTGGGATATGCAATGAAAATGTATTTTCCTTTTTTTCTTTTCTTTTCTTTTTTTTTTTGAGATGGAGTCTCGCTCTGTAGCCCAGGCTGGAGTGCAGTGGCTCGATCTCGGCTCACGGCAAGCTCTGCCTCCTGGGTTCATGCCATTCTCCTGCCTCAGCCTCCTGAGTAGCTGGGACTACAGTCGCCCGCCACCACACCCGGCTAATTTTTTTGTATTTTTAGTAGAGACGCGGTTTCACCATGTTAGCCAGGATGGTCTCAGTCTCCTGACCTTGTGATCCGCCTGCCTCAGCCTCCCAAAGTGCTGGGATTACAGGTGTGAGCCACCGCACCTGGCCAAAAAAATGTATTCTCTATATTTTCATCTTTAAGTGTTCTGGTCTTCTATGTAAGCTCCCTCCTGCTTGATAATGTGATGGGAATGTTACCAAAATCCAAAGTAGTTGTCAACTTAATTTGATTTAACAGTTTAAACACCCAAGTTGTGCACGATCTATTGGGTTAATTACCCAAATTATCTTATTTTTAAACTCTCCCTCTTTGAGTCCTTTCTAAAATGGAGGGTATCAATTAAATTTTGTCAGCTACATTGTGGTTCAAATCATTATTATAATGGGCAAGTGGCTTACAGGACTTCATACTGTGGAGGGCTTGGAATCCCCTGGCTTTTCCCTGTGCTTGTCATTCAGCACCTATGACCTTTGAAATGTTACTGGCCCCATGTATGAATTTTCCTGTGACCTCTTGAGCAAGAGCGACTCATGGTGTCTCTCTCTCTCTCAACTTGGTCATAGCCCAGAGGCAACTTTCTGGATACCATGGTCTCCAGGGCTTTTTCAGCCCTGCTGAAACTTTACCATATTTTTCATCACGTCTTTGGCCTAGGTGGGCCACTCATACTTTTCCTCTGGTATTGTCTTGCTGTGGACTAGGAGGAGACTACTCATTCTCATCTGAGTGGTCAGGTCATGCAGAAAAAAAGGAGGTGACAGCCGGACCTGGTGGCTTACCCCTGTAATCCCAGCAGTTTGGGAGGCCGAGGCGGGCAGATCACCTGAAGTCAGGAGTTCGAGACCAGCCAGACCAACATGGAGAAACCCCATCTCTACTAAAAATACAAAATTAGCCAGGCATGGTGGTGCATGTCTGTAGTCCCAGCTACACCAGAGGCTGAGGCAGGAGAATCACTTGAACCCGGGAGGTGGAGGTTGCAGTGAGTCAAGATCACGCCATTGCACTCCAGCCTGGGCAACAAGAGCAAACCTCCGTCTCAAAAAAAAAAAAAAAAAAAAAGGAGGTGACATTTAAGTGAAAATTAGAGCCTCCTTTTCTCCTTTATTATGCCTTTTATTATTGTTTGCCTCTTAACCCCCCTAGTTAAGCCCCAGTGCTAGTGTGAAATGTTCCATCCAGGGCCCTCCTCATAGGGTATCAAACCAATGTCAGAGCAAGAATTCTCACCCCTGTGCTTATAGCTACTACCCCTGTCACTAAGCTAAACCAGGCAAGCGAAATTGGGAAAAATACCTGATTGTATTCCTTTCCTTCCTCTCTCATTGTATCCTCCCCTTTTACTCCACAATCCCCTGGATGAACTCCTGCATTTCTCAATATCATAGTCACCTTCTACAAAAGATAACAAGCTTTATGTACACAACTTTCTTTTCATAAGTTATATTTTTGCAATTCAATTTTGTGGCTATGAAAATCTTACTTGCTAGGTACATGATAAATGGATTTTATAATAACTGTTCTTAGCTTTAATCCCCAACTCCCATTCCTCAAGAAGGCAGAAAATTAATGTTCCAGTTATTTATGGCTATGTAACAAACCACCCAGACACTTAGTGATTTAAAATAACAATCATCTTTTATTTTGCTCACAGATTTACAATTTGGGCAGGAAAGTCTCATCTCTGCTACAGACTGAATTAATTGTGGTAGCTCAACTAGGTCTGGAAGATGCACTGCCAACATGGCTTACTTACATGGCTGGCAAGGTGGCACTCAGCTGAGGCTATTGGCCAGGTATCTTGGTACCTTAGATACCACAAGGTGTCTCATGCCTTTCCACAAGGATTTTCCACAGTCGCTTCTACCTCACAACACAGTAGCTATGTTTCGATTTAAAAAGTAAAAGAGAGTAAAAGCAATCAATCTTGTAAGTCCTGGGCTAGAAATTGGCTAAAAGTTATTTTGCTATATTCTGCAAGTCAAAGTTTTCACTGAGCCTCCTGAATCCAAAGGAGGAGGGAAAGGGAAGAGGAATGCAGACGCCACCTCTTGATGGGTGAAGTACAAAAAAATCTATGTCCATCTCTAGTCAATCACACTTAATTTAGTAATTTCAAGTTAAATTAAGCTGGGGCTTTTGCAGTTTATTACTCTTTAAAAACAAGTCAGATGGGCAGATCTTTTAACGATGGTAAAGAAGTCAGCAAATCCTGTCTCAAAAACAATACTATAAAACTAAACAAAATTTTTAAGAACAATCATCTAAGAGCTCAGAACATCAAGCAAGATTAAAAACAAATTAAGAAGTATTTAATTATGGAAAACTGTAGACCATTAGCTAAGAAGAGTGGGAATCTGTTGGTACTATCCCATTTTGACAGCTCATGTGGTAGGATGGTGATACCAAGGCAGAGTTGGTTATCAAAACCAGCAACTTCACTGCTGGATGGGGCTGGGTTATTTTTGAACTGAGGCCAAAAAAATCCATTTCTAGCTGGACTGTTAGTAAAAATGGTAAAATTGGTAGAAAATGAACAAGAAAAGCACACAGCCCTGCTATTCTGAGTTGTGATTGCTCTTAATGGAAGATGGCAGAACCAAAGAGTAGCCTGGAATTTAACAAGGAGATCTTGGAAATAAGAGAACCATACATGGACAAGGTAATTTCTGCATACAACTCTAGCTAGGGTGACACATAAATGTGAAGAAACCCCCCAAAAAACCAATCTCACCACACATTCTTGGCTGATTTGGAGTCTGTGTGGACACACAGGAAAGACCCGAGAAAGCTTAAGCTCTTCATACATCCTTCATTGAAAGAAAGGTTGTGCATCTATGCGTGAAAGATTTGGGAGGGCCTAGTGAAAAGAAAAGCAAGAATAAACTAGAAAAATGTATAAGTTTTGAATACACTCAGCAAGCTACACAAAGATCCATCAGTAAATGCTAAAAGCCCTTTTAAGTTCAGAAAATCGAAACAAACAAAAAGCAATAACAATTCTCAAACGGAAAAACAGAATCCAAAATTTCTTAAATGTATTACCCAAAATGTCTAATTTTAAACAAAGAAAAATGAGACATGCAAAGAAACAAGAAAATGTGACCCATATGCAGGGGAAAAAACGTAGTTGAAAGAAATGAACTCTGAGTGAACCCAGATGTTGGATTTGGCAGAGTTGTCAAAACACCTATTATAAATATATTCAGAGGATTAAAGGAAGCCCTGTTTAAAGATTTAAAGGAAGATATAATGACAATAATTCTGCAATAATAAATTTCAATAAAAAATCAAAATTATTTTTAAAAGAAACAGAGTTGACATAAAATAAGAAAAAATCAGTAAACTTGATTATGGATGACTAGGAATTATCCACCCTGAAGAACACAGAAAGAAAAGATTGAAGAAAATTTAACAGAGCCTCAGAGACCTGAGGGACAACACTCAGCATACCAAATATTTGTAGTAGAATTCCCAGAAGGATAGCAGAGAGAGAAAAAGGGTAGGGAAAATACTTGAAGAAATAATGAACAGGGACTTCCTAAATTTTATTTAAAAATGTTAATACATAGATTCAAGAAGCTCAATGATGCCCAATTTTAAAAAGCACAAAGAGATCCACACCTAGACATATCATGATATTCAAACTGTTCAAACCCAAAGAAGGAAATAAAATATTAAAAGCAGCAGGAAAAAAACAACTTATCACACACAGGAAACAATACATGATTAATAGATAACTGCTCATCAAGCAAGAAAAAGAAATAAAGGGCATCCAAATAGGAAGAAAGGAAGTCAAACTATCCTTGTTTGCACATGGCATGATTCCATATCTAGAAAAGCCCATAGTCTCAGCCCAAAAGCTGCTTCAGTTGGGAACCAACTTCAGCAAAGTTTCAGGATACAAAATCAATGCACAAAAATCACTAGCATTCCTATACACCACCAACAGCCAAGCCAAGAGTGAAATCAGAAAGGCAATCCCATTCACAATTGCTATAAAAAGAATAAAATACCTAGGAAAACAGCTAATCAGGAAGGTGAAAGAGCTCCACAATGAGAATTACAAAGCAGTGCTCAAAGAAATCAGAGAAGACACAAATGAATAGAAAACATCCCATGCTCACAAATAGGAGGAATCAATGTCATTAAAATGGCTATACTGCCCAAAGTGATTTACACATTCAATGCTATTCCAATCAAACAACCAACAACATTATTCACAGAACTAGAAAAACTATTTTAAAATTCATATGGAAGGAAAATAGAGCCCAAATACCTAAGGTAATCTTAAGCAAAAGGAACAAAGCTGGAGGCATCCTATTACCTGACTTCAAACTATACTATGGGGCTACAGTAACAAAAACAGCATGGTACTGGTACAAAAACAGGCACATAGACCAGTGGAACAGAATAGAGAGCCCATACATAAGGCCGCACACCTACAACCATCTAATCTTCAACAAAGCTGACAAAAACAAGCAATGGGATACAAACTCCCTATTCAATAAATGGTGCTGTGATAACTGACTAGCCATATGCAGAAGATTGAATTTGGAACTCTTTCTTACACCGTATACAAAAATTAACTCAAGATGAATTAAAGATTTAAATGTAAAACCCCAAATTATAAACATCCTGCAAGACAACCTAGGCAATATCATCCTGGACATAGGAATGGGCAAAGATTTCATGACAAAGACACCAAAAGCAATCACAACAAAAATTGACCAGTGGGATCTAATTAAACTTAAGAGTTTCTGTACCACAAAAGAAATTCTCAACAGAGTAAATAGACAACCTACAGAATGAGAGAAATTATTTGCAAACTATGCATCTGACAAATGTCTAATATCCAGCATCTATAAGAAACTTAAACAAATTTACAAGAGAAAAACAAACAACCTCATCAAAAAGTGGGCAAAGAACATGAACAGACACTTTTCAAAAGAAGACATGCATGTGACCAACAAGCATATTAAAAAAAAGCTTAATATCACTGATCATTAGAGAAATGCAAATCGAAACCAAAATGAGATACCATCTCACACCAGTCAGAATGGCTATTATTAAAAAGTCAAAAAATAACAGATGCTGGAGAGGTTGCAAAGAAAAGGGAACATGTATATACTGTTGGTGGGAGTGTAAATTAGTGCAACCATTGTGGAAAGCAGTGTGGCAATTCCTCAAAGAGTTGAAAGCTGAACTATCTATTCCACCCAACAATCCCATTATAGCCAAAGGAGTATAACTCATTCTACCATAAGGACATATGTGCACAAATGTTCATTGCAGCGCTATTCACAGTAGGAAAGACATGGAATCAACCTAAATGCCCATCAATGACAAATTGGATAAAGAAAATATGCTACATACATACCATGGAATACTATGCAGCCATTAACAAAGAACAATATCATGTCTTTTATGGGAACATGGATGGAGCTGGTGGCTACTATCTTTAGCAAACTAACACAGGAAGAGGAAACCAAATAGTACATGTTCTCACTTATAAGTGAGTGCTAAATGATAAGAACTCATGAACACAAAAAGAGGAACAACAGACACTGGGTTGTAATTGAGGTCGGAAGGTGGGAGGAGAGAGAGGAGCAGAAAAAATAACTATTGGGTACTTGATTAATACCTAGCTGATTAAATAATTTGTACAACAAACCCCCATACCACGACTTTACCTACATAGCAAACCTTCACGTGTCCCCAGACATAAAATAAAAGTTAAAAAAAATCATATGCAAACACACTGTACAAAATAATTGCTGTTATAAAAAATTGTCCTTGAATAATTTGGTGTCTACATAACATGCATTGAGGGTTACTTCCAGTGTCATAATATTACTTATTTAATGATAATATTTTTGGATAACGCTACTAAGACTGCATGTAGAATATTTTTTAAATAATACTTTCTCATATTAAATTTCCAGTTGGCAAAAACAACAAAAAAAGGATAACTGCTCAACAGAAACAACAGAAGCCAGAAAGTGGTAGAATGAAATATTCTACATACTGAAAGAAAATTACTGTCAACAAAGAATATCCAGCAACTTCAAAAGGAAGGCAAAAAAATAACATTCTCACTTAAACAAAGGCTGAGAGAAATAAATGCTGTGAGACCTGTCTTACAAGATGCTAATAGAAGTATCTCTGGCTGAAAAGAAATGACACCAGATGGTAACTAGATTCCATAGGGAGAAATGAAGGCCAGAAATGGTAAAAATGTGAGGAAATATAAAAGAGTGCATAAAATATTTTCTCTTTTCTTCTTCAATTTTCTTTAAAGACATAATATTTTATAAAGCAATAATTATAATAGTTAACACTCTATTTGGGGTTTATAACATACTTACATATATCTGAAAATAGATGGTGAATAGAGCAATATTAGAGGAAATGTGCTATATGTAATGGAATTAAGTTGTTATATTTAATTGAAATTAAGCCACTTGGGTAGAACATGATAAGTTAAAATTCATATTGTAATCTCTAGGGCAATTACCAAAAAATAACTCAAAAATATATTTTAAAAATCAAAAGAAAAATTAAAATAGGATGCTAAGAATATTTGTCAACACAAAAGGTGGAACAGAGAAACAAAAATGACAAGAGACAAAGAAAACAAACAAGAGATAGACAAAACTCCAAACAGGTGAGTAAATATATTAAATATTAATGGTCTAAACACTCTAATCCAAAGGTAGAGATTATCAGATTGGATCAAAAAAGCATTATCCACATATGTCCCATTTACAAGAGAAACAGTTCAGATTCGAAGATACAGACAGATTGAATGTAAAAGAATAGCAAAATATATACTATGTAAACTTTACAATTTAAGTATACTTATTAACGAGCTGGAATGGCAAAAATATATGTTTGAGAGAAGAAATATTACTACAGGTTTATCACCCCAATCTGAAAATATAAAATTTGAAATGCTCTAAAATTTAAAACATTTTGAGTGCCAACATGATGCCACAAGTGGAAAATTTTACACGTGAGTACTTAACATAACCTTTTTGTACAAAATTATCTTAAAATTACATGAAGTTACCTTCAGGCTATGTGTATAAGGTATATATGAAACACAAATAAATTTAAATGAATTTTGTGTTGAGATTTGGGTCACATCCTCAAGATATCTCATTATACATGCAATTATTCCAAATCTGAAAAATCTGAAATCTGAAACAACTTCTGGTGCCGTGCATTTCAAATAAGGAATAATCAATCTGCAGAAATAAAAAGGAACATTTCATAATAACAAAAGGGTCAATATATCAGGTACATACAGTAAGTCCTCAACATCATTGACAGGTTTTTGGAAACTATGACTTTGAGCAAAATGACATGTAACAAACCAGTTTTTTTTATCAATGTTACAAAGAAACAATGTTGAATAAAACAACATAATTTGGAGGACCTGCTGTACATAATTTCATTTAAAATTACAATTTCCAAGAACATATGGACAACTTTAAGTGAAGATTTATTGTGCAATACTTATAAATGTATATGCACCTTAAAAGGAGCACCATAATACATGTAGCAAAACAAAACCCTAAAGACAAATAGATATTTCAACAATTGCTGTTAGAGACATCAATATCTCCTTCTCAATAATCGGTATAACAACAACTTGGAAAATCATCATGGATGAAGACTTGAATAATATCAGTCAACTTGACTTAACTGATATTTACAAAACACTCCACCCAAAAACAGCAAAATAATCTTTCTTTTAAATACACATAGAACATTCTCCAGGGTAGACCAAATACTATAGGACATAAAACAAGTCTTAATATATTTAAAAGTATTACAAATCATTTAATGTATGAGTTACTATAAAAATGGAATACAATTAGGAAGCGACAACAAAAATTACATAGAAAAATCCCCAAATATTTGGAAATTAACAGAGAGTTAAAAGAAGAAATCACAAGGGAAATTAGAAAATAATTTGAACTGAATGAAGAAAAAACAACATATTACAACATATCAAAAGTAACAAGATGGAGGTAAATCAATGCTCAGAGAGAAATGTATAGCTTTAATTACCTATTTTAGAAAAGAAGAAATTATAACTCAATCATTTATACTTCCTCTTTGAGAAACTAGAAAAAGAAGAACAAATTAAATACAAAAATAAGCAGAAGGGAGAGAATAATAAAAAGCAGAGCAGAAAGCAACAAAATAGAGAAAAACAATAGAGAAAACCGATGAAATCAAAAGTTGGTTCTCTTAAAAGATCATAATATTGTAAAATCTTTAGCTAGACTGGCCGAGAGAGAGACAGAAAGATAAACCACAAATCATCAAAATTGGGAATAAAAGAAGGGACACTGATACTGACTTTACAGAAATTGAAATATAAGGGACTATTATGAACAACTCAATACCAACAGATTAAACAACTTTGATAAAATGAACAATGCCATAGAAAGACATTAACCCCAAAACTGACTAAAGAAGAAACAGATAATATACATGTACCCATAACAAATAAGAAATAGAATTGGTAATTAAAAGTTTTTCCACAAAGAAAAGCCAAGACCCAGGTGATTTCGACCATGAATTCCATCAAATACTTAAAGAGAGTATATTATCAATGCTACACAAACACTTTTCAAAAATATGGAGGGATGAACACGTCACAACTCATTTTTTAAGCCAGAAATATCTGATAGTGAAGCCAGAAAAAAAAATCACAAGAAAGCAGCAGATAAATATCTTTCAAGAACATAGATGCAGAGGAATACCATGAGAAAATGTTAGCAAACCGGACCCAACAGCATATTCAAAGGATAGCTAGTAAGCACACATAAAGATAGTCAACACTGTAAGCCATTATGAGAATGCAAATTAAAACCATAATGAGATATCACTATATACCTACTAGAATAGCTATAATTAATGTATCAAAGTTACTGTCAATATCAAGTGTTAACAAAGATATGGAGAAACTAGAAGCCTCACACATTGCAGGTAGAACATATAATAGCACAGACAATTGGAAAAACAGTCCAGCAATTTCTGAGAAAGTCAAGTATAAACATACTATTTCAATCAGCAATTCCACTCCTAGGTATCTATCCAAGAGAAATGAAAACGTATGTCCATGTTAGTAATTGTATATGCATGTTCTTAGCAATGCTATTCTTAATACACAGAAACTAGAAACAATCCAAATGTCCATCATCTGGTTAATAGATAAATGAAATGCATTATTATCTATATAATGAATACTATTCAGCAATAAAAATGAATTACTAGTACATTTACAATATGAATGGAACTAAGAAATTATGCTAATGGAAAAAATCCAGATGCAAAAGACTACATACTGTATCATTCCACTTAAATAAATTTTCTTTTTTTTTAAGAAAAGAGAATCTATAGGTAAACAGCTTAGTGATTGCCTGGAGAAGAAGTTTAGAATGGGAATTGACTACAGTGAGGTACAAAATAACTTTTGGGGATGAAGAAAATGTTCTAAAACTAGATTGTGGGCATGGTTTCACACCTCAATAATTTACTAAATGTCATTGAATTGTACACTTACACAGGCATTTTTTGGCATGTAAATTTTATTTCAATAAAGCTGTCTCTAATAAAGCAAGTCAATTTAGTATTTTCCTTCTTTTGAACCTCTTACTTTCTTCCAGGTTAGATTATTCTTCCTCTAGTAGCATCCCAACAATTTGGAGGGGATTTGGGTGACAGACCGTCTGTAGCAATACTGTACTGGAATTCATTGAAATGTATCGGTATTCCATTAAAATCACTGTCAGCTGCCTTCCATATTTCCATTTGCTGAAATTCCTGTTCTCTCACAGGCCTTCAGTCCCGTGCTTCATACTGCCATCTTTGGAGAGCAACCCTTTAATCCATAATGCTCTTGTAGGTTTTTCCTGATGAACATTCTTCAATAAAGCATATGCACCCAAATTCTTATTTCAGACTTGGCTTCTAGGGAACCTGACCTCTTAGCCCTGACACCCTATGCAATATTCTGTTTACTAACTCTACTCTTCTGCTGTGTGCGGTGCATTTAAAATCTTGCTCCACACAGAGTTCCAGATGGACATGCCTCTGCAATTTCTACCCTACTATTTACCATGTCGTAATAGTGTGAAATAACTTTCTATAATGCTTTCTGTCTTCCCAAACATCAGTCAAGGAATGAAACAAAGACTCACTCTATTCTCAATACTCCAAATCCCAGGAGTTGAAATGCCTGGGAGCGGAGTGCATTCTAATCTAAATACAGATGATCCTGTCTCTAATCCTGGATTAACCTCCAAAATCTCTTTACCTGGTCTGAGGAACCACATTTTCTTCCCCAATCTTTCTGTCTTTAAAAGCCAAGTGTATAGCATCTTGGCTGGACCCTTTCTCCATTGGAACACTAATGCTTTTGAACTAATGAGAATGAAGACAATCTGTGGCAATAAAGTGTGGGATTTCCTAAACAACTTGATTAATATCAAAATATCACCCTACTCTATATGATGGCATACATATATATATATTATATAATTGACATACATATGCACAGTAACTAATATTTTTGGTCTCATCTTAACATTTTTAATTCTAAAAATTAAGATCTAGTGACAGATTGGCAGAATTCCCATAATGCCTAGTGATTCTTTAGATGAATACAATTACTGATTGTCCAGTGTTGTCCCTGTTGACAATATTTGAATGCTAATATATTTCTACTTCCTAACACAAAGAAGTTTAACAGATTGTCATTATCATTATCTTTCTTCCAGTACTTCTAAAAACTTTTGAGACTATCAGATAGAATAATTTTTTAAGATAAGATAATGTAATGAAAACTGCAGAGGCTCTGAAGGCAGATAAAAACTTGAGTTTCAATTCTGGTTCTTCAATTTTTTGTGAATGACCAAAAAAGGAAAAAAAAATGTGGCTCCCTTAAGTGTGAGTTATTCATGTAAATGAGGAGTTGTTGTTTTGAAAATTATATGTGATAAATGTATGTCACAGCTCAATATAAAACATAAAGCACATCAAACATATTGTAGTAACTTTATTGGATACTTTGTAAGCAACCACTGAGTTCATCAATGGGAGTGATATGGTTTGATTTTGTGTCCCCTGCCCAAATCTCATGTTGAATTGTAATTCTCAATGTTGGAGGAGGGACCTGGTGAGAGGTGTTTGGATCATGGGGTGGATTTTCCCCCTGCTGTTCTTGAAATAGTGAGTGAGTTCTCATAAGATGTGGTTGTTTGAAATTGTGTAGCACTTCTCCCTTTGCTGTCTCACTCCTGCTTCACCATGGTAAGATATGCTTGCTTCCTCTTTGCCTTCTGCCATGATTGTAAGTTTCCTGAGGCTTCCCAGCCACACCTCCTGTACAGCCTGTGGAACTGTGAGTCAATTAAACCTCTTTTCTTCATAAATTACCCAGTCTTGGGTAGTTATTTATAGCAGTATAAGAACAGACTAATATAGAAAATTGGTATGAGAGAAGTGGAGCATTGCTATAAAGATACCTGGAAATGTAGAAGGAACATTGGAACTGAGTAATGGGAAGAGGTTGGAGCAGTTTGGAGGGAACAGAAGAAGAAAGGAAGATGAGGGAAAGTTTGGAACTTCCTAGACATTTGTTGAGTAGTTGTGACCAAAATACTGTTAGTGATATGGACAGTGAAGCCCAGGCTGAGATGTTCTCAGATAGAGATTAGCAACTTATTGGGAACTGAAATAAAGGTCATTGTTGCTGTGCTTTAGCAAAGAGACTGGCAGCATTGTGTCCCTGCTCTAGAGATCTGTGGAACTTTGAACTTGGGAGGGATGATTTAGGGTATCTGGTGGAAGAAAATTCTAAGCAGCAAAGTGTTCAAGATGTGGCCTGGCTGCTTCTGAAAGCCTATAGTCATTTGAATAAACAAAGAAATGACTTGAAACTAAAACTTATATTTAAATGGGAAGCAAAGTATGAAAGTTTGGAAAATTTGCAGCCCAACCATATGGTAAAAAAGAAAAACCCATTTTCTGGGGAGGAATTCAAAGCTGCAGAAATCTGCATAGTAAAAAAAAAGAGGTGAGTATTAATAGCCAAGACAATGGGGAAAATACCTCCAGGGCATTTCAGAGACCTTCATGGCAACCCCTCCCATCACAGCCCTGGAGGTCTAGGAGGGGAAAATGGTTTCATAGGCCAGGCCCAGGGTCCCACTGTTTTGTGCAATCTTGGGACATGGTGCACTGCATCCACGCAGCTACAGCTGTGGCTAAAGGAGGCCAAGATACACCTTAAACCATAATGTCAGAGGGTGCAAGCCCCAACCCTTGGTGGCTTCCATGTGATATTGGGTCTGCAGGTATGCAAAAGGCAAGAGTTGAGATTTGGGAGCCTCTGCCTAGATTTCAGAAGATGTATGGAAATGCCTGTATGTCCAAGCAGAAGTCTGCTGCACGGGTGGAGCCCTCATGGAGAACCTCTACTAGGGCAATGTGGAGAGAAAATGTGGGGTTGGAGTCCCAACACAGAGTCCCCACTGGGGCCCTGCCTAGTGGAACTGTGAGAAGAGAGCCACTGTCCTCCAGATGCCAGAATGGTTGATCCACTGACAGCTTGCACTATGCTCCTGGAAAAGCCACAGGAACTCAACAGCCTATGAAAGCAGCCCCGGGGCTATACCCTGCAGAGCCACAGGGGCAGAGCTGACCAAGGCCTTGGGAGCCCACCACTTGTATCAGTGTGGCTTGGATGTTAGACATGGAGTCAAATATTATTTTGGAGCTTTAAGATTTAATGACTGCCCTGCTGGATTTTGGACTTGCAGGGGGCCTTTACCCCCTTTGTCTTGGCCAATTCCTCCCTTTTGGAATAGGAGCATTTACCCAGTGCCTGCACCCCCATAGTATCTTGCAGGTAACCAACTTTGTTTTTTATTTTACATGTTCATAGGTGGAAGGGACTTGCCTTGTCTCAGATGAGACTTTGGACTTGGACTTTTGAGTTAATGATGAAATGAGCTAAAACTTGGTGACTGTTGGGAAGACATGATTGTGTTGTGCAGTGTGAGGAAGACATGAGATTTGGCAGAAGCCAAGGGTGGAATGATATGGTTTGGCTCTTTGTCCCCACCCAAATCTCATGTTGAATTGTATTCCTCAATGTTGGGGGAGGGTCCTGATGGGAATTGATTAGATTATGGGGGCGGATTTCCCCCTTGCTGGTCTCATGATAGTGAGTGAGTTCTCATGAGATCTGGTTGTTTGAAAGTGTTCTCACTCTCTCTCCTGCTCCACCATGGTAAGACGTGCTTGTTTTCCCTTCACCTTCTGCCATGTTTAAGTTTCCTAAGGCCTTCTAGCCATGCTTCCTGTACAGCCTGTGGAACCATGAATCCATTAAACCTTTTTCTTCATAAATTGCCCAGTCTCAGGTAGTTCTTTATAGCAGTATGAGAATGGACTAATACAAGAAGGAATAAGGGAAAATTTCAAACCTGAAAGGGGAATGAGAAGAGTTTGATGAAAAAGTAGTACATATATCTGTGTGTATGCAAGGGGTTATTTCTAGTGAGAAAGATACTATGAGACAAAGAGAGAGAGAGGAGAGAGGCAGAGACACAGAGACAGAGAGAATGGGTGTAGTTTTATTGTCCCAACTTTATTCCAAAAGAGGAGGAGGAAAAGAAAGAAGTATGATGTCAAGAGAAAGGCAATCAGGTACTTTGTTTATTTTTCTCTCATTTATTAATGCTTTCACATTTTCTGGTTGAACTTACTTATCAGAGAAAGTGAGAACCTGAAACACAAGTGGAAAAAGTCAGAGAGTGTAGAAGCTGAGTATAAAATATAAGACCTGATATGAAGAACACAAGTGCTAAGCATTGTGTTGCATGGAGGCCAGGTTCCATAGCAGAAAGGAGGAATGGTCTGGGTTCTGCCTGTGTCCTCTGCCAACTGCTGGGACCACCTGTTGCTAAGATATGATTCTAGCTCTAATGTTTGAGAAGAATGGAAGAAAGAAGTCAACTGAGGCCACGGACACATCAATTAACTGAACTCAGCTTCCATTTCCTTATCAGCAAAACAGCAGCAGGGCTGGCAGAATTGGAGATAATGTCTGTGGAGAGCCTAGCACATATTAGGTAATAAATGAATCATGTCTCTAATTATCCCAATGTGCAAAAAGAAAACATTCTCTACCATGCCAGCTAAAATGAATGAGAAGACATATATAGGGAAAAAATGGTGATTTTTAACAGACAGTTTCAGCTTTCATAGGCCATCTGTAGACATAATCTTTTCTATACTTGTATTATTGCTACTAAAGTTTAAATCTTCTTGTGCTAAAAGGGCTTGCAAAGGATGAGAATGAAGGAGCATGAGGCTGTCCAAAATAATGGATATCTTCTGGTGCATGTACCAGAACCCGCCAAGCTATGTGAGAAATTCCTAAAATAATAACCTGCATTCCCACTACTATGGAAAGGGAATATTTATTGTTGTCATTTCCTCAACTGTTATCATTATTGCAATTTTCTGAATTCCCTGCTAGACCAATTAATTCCTAAGAAGATTTAGCAGTGCAAGTTTCATGTCTGTACAACCCTACCTGGAGGAGTCACAAGCATTTGAAACTTAGCTCTTGTCCAAATTAAGCTCACGGCATTTTTCCACATGGCAGTTACCTGCCTGGCTGTTCTATCTTGTTTAGCTGCAACACCATTCACTTAATTTTCCAAGCTCAAAACCTCAGATTCACAGTTTACTCATCCATCTCTCTCTCTTTCCTCTCTTCTCAAAGTCAATGTTCTATTCTTATGTATTGCACCTTCTAAGAGTCTTTTTAATTCCTTTTCTTGACTCTCTGCCAGTTGCCATTGCCTTATTTCAAGACTTGAATAAAGAAAAACTTCTAACAGTCTTTCTACTGCCAGTATTTAAGGAGGACATTTCAAGTTAATGATTATTGTTTCAAACAATCCTGTATTTAAATATTAAAAACTTGAATTTTAAAAAAATGAGAGCTTTAGGATACTCTAATAACATAGAACACTCTCTATTTGAGGGTCATCTTAGGATGTCCTCCATTATATATTTTCTCATAAGTAATTAGTCCATTTTTCTACCACATCCCCTTTGACTTTGTTCTTATCTTTATTGCAACATTTATTACATTCCACTCTAAATATTTACTCTGGGTACTACTCTGTACACTCTAAAAGGAAATCATTATGATTTATTCTTCTATGCATCTGTTGAAACACCTACGATGGTGCATAAACCATTAAAAGTCTACTATAAATGGCAACAGAAGATTTCACCTAATACAAAAGAAACAGATGTTAGAAAAATGGCAACCCAATAGCCCTAATATCAAGGAAATTGATCAATGTTCCTCTAATCAAAGTTCTGGGATTGAAGGCAATCTTTGATTGAAAACAATCCCAAGGGATAAGCAGAGACTATACTTGCCAGAGTACACTAGAGGTCACCTGGTCTGAAAATGATATGAATGATACTTCTTTGTATGCATCCCCAAATAGAGCAAAATGTAATAATTATGAAAGATTCTACCTCTATAGATACATTTAAAAGTTTCATTTTAGCAAAAGTGGAAAAAGGGAGAAATAATTTCTCCATCTTACTGTCAGTTTCAGAAGTTTGGAGAGAAGCTGGAAACAGATGCTGTGGGCACCCTGCCCATATACACTAGCCCTCACCCGATCAGTGCACACTGGCCGGACTTGCAGCTACCAGCACCTGCTTTCTTCGCCTAAGGACTTTTTCTTTAGCCAACCTTTTGCCCACCTGTGCAGCATTCTGTATATGCTTGAATATTAACTTCCCCGGGAATAGGCTTTGACCAATTAATGCAAATAATTGGTATATAAAAACCCCACCAACCTTACCCCTTGGGTAGAACAACTCTAAAGTATTGCTCTAAACTAACTTTCAGAGCTTGCCCAGTGGGATCAAGCTCAAGTGGACCACACTGGTAGGTGCCTTGATAATGCATATTTTGTTGGCTGCTTTTCCTTCATTATTTCACTTCCCCATTCTCCTACCATTGTTTTCTTCTCTTCTCAAGTAAGTTACTTGCACATGAATCTATGTTTCAAGATTGATTTCTGAGAAAACTCAAATCAAGACTCTAATCCTATCTCCACCAAAAAAAGAACCAATTGATACATCAGAAACAGTAAAAACCCTAGGATAAATTACCCATTCAATTCAATTCAGCAAGCAATTATTGAGTGCCTACTGTGCCAGGAACTATGTAAAGATAAATAAGACATAAACTGATCTCTAAAAAGACCACTAATTCCAAAAGCAGACGACTACTGACTTTTTTAGTGCAGAAATAAGTATATGCAGAAATAACTCTTTATTATGCACAGAACGAGGAGCATCAAAACTTTGTCAGTGTGGAGATGTGAAGCCACAGAAGAGTTGCCAACAGAAGAAGTAGTTGATCTAATTTTTCTAGGCAGATGTGGAAGGGGGAATACCAAAGATAGGAGACAGTATGCAGTATGTGCAGAAGAGAATGGTGTGATCTTCTTCGTCACAAGGATTAGGGGAAGACCTCAGAGAGACTGGACAATATAATGGTTAAGAGCATGAAACTGAAACTATACTGTCTGGGTTCAAATTCTAGCTTTCCTACTTATTGTCTGTGTGATCTTGGACAAATAAATTAATCTCCCTGTGGCTCAATTTGCTCATCTATAAAATTAAGGTGTCTAGCTCCTATCTTTTGTTCTCATTAAACAACTTAATATGGCATGGATTAAAAGTTTAGTACAGTACCTACATTATAGAAAGTGCTAAATAAATGATAATTGTGATTTATTATCATGGCTGGTTAACTCACAGGAACAGAAATGGGAGATAAAACTGAAAATTTCAAGTAGACAGGAGACAAATCATGTCGGCTTTTATATTCCATACTAAGGAACTCCTTCATCCTTCAAGTTAAGGGTCAGCAAACTATATATAACCCACAGACATATCCAGCCCACCAACTGTTTTTATAAATAAAGTTTTATTGGAACATAGCTACACTCATTAATTTTTATATTGCCAGTGACTGTTTTCATGCTACTATGGCACAGTGGAATTTTTGTGATATATCTTATAGACCACAAAATCAAAAATATTTACTCTTGGACTTTTACAGAAAAAAGTTTTCTAATGCTAGCTATAGAAGAAAGGAAATGGCATGCCAAGTGAAGAATGAGATGAATGGAGTCAAAAACTGCAGGTAGTTAGATGACCGTTCCATGTGTCAAGATTATAATTGAGGTTAATAAAGCCAGATTTCATAATTCTCAAAAGAGGAAGGGTTTGGTATATAGACAAAAAATATACTGAGAGTTGCTAAAGAAAGAGTAGAATAAAGTTTACAAGCTTGCATGCAACACAGCATATCTAATCTAAAGATAACTTTATTCCATAGCGTTCATTCATTTTAAGTTAGTTGTCAATATTTAAAAAAGAGATATATCACCAATAAAACTTGAATTTCTGGCTTTTGTAGAAATATTGGAAGATGGACCAGGCATGGTGGCTCAAGCCTCTAATCCCCGCACTTTGGGAGGCCGAGGCTGGTGGATCATGAGGTCAGGAGATCGAGACCATCCTGGCTAACACAGTGAAACCCCTTCTCTACTTAAAATACAAAAAATTGGCCAGGCATGGTGGCATGCACCTGTAGTCCCAGCTACTCAGGAGGCTGAGGCAGGAGAATCGTTTGAACCCAGGAGGCGAAGGTTGCAGTGAGCCGAGATCACACCACTGCACTCCAGCCTGGGCAAGAGAGCGAGACTCCAAAAAAAAGAAAGAAGAAAGAAAGAAAAAGAAAGAAAGAAGGAAGGAAGGAGGGAGGGAGGGACAGAGGGAGGGAAGGAAGGAAGGAAGGAAGGAAAGAAGGAAGGAAGGAAGGAAGGGGAAGATCTCAGCAAAAATTTGCTTATAATCTTGAATGACAAAATCTCCTCTAGCTCCAAGGCAGCTGCTAGATTTACATGAGGCATATGCTTTCCAGTGTGTCACATCCTCCACTACTTCCTACTGTATTACAACTGGATCAGCTTTCTTCATGTCATAAGCATCACAAAGAGGCCACAAAGGGATGGGGTATGGGAGAAGAAGCAGTTGTCCCTGAAAACAGCTGTAATAGAAACAGCGGCCTTGAGGGAAAGCCAGAGTTTTGTAAGAATGGGTAAGGAGAGAGTACCATCTGAAGAGTAGAGGTAGGAGATCCATTTATTTGTGAAAGAGCAGAGATTTAAGATGGCAGAGGGCAAAAATGTTTAGGAGCAGTTGCATGCAGAGTCAAGGGGAAGAGTCAAGAGGGAGGATCAAGATAACTGGAAAAACAAGGATTGGTAGTCAGATATGTTACATTTGGATTAACGCATGAACTTGACTTGGATGAGAGCCAGGGAAGGAACTGATTGGCCTCAAGGTCCCCACCTTTCTAGTAAAACTGCCACAGTGTTAGAAACAGTTATGGCTTAGGGTTAGTGTGGTGTTAAATTTCGTCTTCACAGATGCTGCCTACAAATCTGTGCAAGTTCATTAGAACCATCCTTAGGCTAAATTAAAGTCATGGTGATGTCTCTATCAGGGAAACTCTGGTAGCAAGTGCTGAGTTGAATGGTTAAATAATTTCTTTGGTTACTTTGAACTCTAAGGTCATATATTTCTCATATCTTAGAAACGGAGGAAAAAAAACGTCATGTAAAACAATAACTATCATAAAAGAAACTCATAACCTCAGTATTCTTTTCTTCTTCTTAAGCAATAGGTGCAGCTTTTGTTCACTGAGCACCTTGGTGGACTTTACATATGGAGTCGTATTTCTCCTAAGCATCTGAAGATGTAGACCTTCTCACCCTGCCTTGCAGAAATGAACCTGGTCCATCATGTGCCTTCCATAATTTTTCCTCTTAATTTTTCCTTGATTTTCTATTCATTCATGTCAGGGAACACTTACCTATTTAAAAAAGAAAAAATACAGAATATAATGAAGAGGAAAATGTCATTAAAATCCTCAGCCTTGGCCGGGCGCGGTGGCTCACGCCTGTAATCCCACCACTTTGGGAGGCCTAGGCGGGCGGATCACGAGGTCAGGAGATCAAGACCATCCCGGCTAACACGGTGAAACCCCGTCTCTACTAAAAAAAAAAAAAAATACAAAAAATTAGCTGGGCGCGGTGGCGGGCGCCTGTAGTCCCAGCTATACGGGAGGCAGAGGCAGGAGAATGGTGTGAACCTGGGATGTGGAGCTTGCAGTGAGCCGAGATCGTGCCACTGTACTCCAGCCTGGGCAAAAGAGCGAGACTCTGTCTCAAAAAAAAAAAAAAAAAAAAATCCTCAGCCTTTTCAGTTATGTATTATTACCTTTTTTACTCTATCAAAGAGAAACATATAATTGGTCTTACCTAATGAAACATTCCTTCCTATTCTTTAGTGTCTGTTCCAGAAAATCCTAGCAAGACACAATTTATTCCATTAACTATTAGAAATATCCATGAGGGAATGGCACCCCTCAGCCATCCACATCTGCCCAGACTCTGGAGTAGAAGAATCAACCTTGAAGGGGATGAAAAGGCCAAGGATCCCCACTACTTCACAGGCAAAAATCTTATACTGTGTGCTTGAGATGAAAAGAAATTTTAATGTTTGCATTCTTGACTGAAAAGATTCCTTATTCAAAATAAAATATTTTACATTTCAAAAAGAAAAAGGAAACTGCAGAAGGTACAGATGCAGATACCTAGAGTGATGAGGTTTAGGAAACAAATCTCAGGCCAGGCGCGCGGTGGCTCACGGCTGTAAGCCCAGCACTTTGGGAGGCCGAGGCGGGCGGATCACGAGGTCAGGAGTTCAGGAGCAGCCTGGCCAACACAGTGAAACCCCATCTCTACTAAAAATACAAAAATTAGCCGTGCATGGTGGCATGCGTCTTTAGTCCCAGCTACTTGGAAGGCTGAGGCAGGAGAATCACTTGAACCCAGGAGGCGGAGGTTGTGGTGAGCTGAGATCGCGCCCGCACTCCAGCCTGGGCAACAGAGAAAAAAAAAAAAAAAAGAAAGAAAGAAAACAAATCCATCTCAAAAAAAAAAAAGAAAAGAAAAGAAAAAAAACAAATCTCACCTAAATTTCCTCTCAAAGGAATTATCAATGTGTTAGGGAATGGAGAGCAAACAGACAGTAGCAAAGAAATGATTATAAATAGATCAGAATATTATAAACAGTAACACTCAAGTAAGAGAAAGATAATGAAATATTTCATATAGTGATACATCCCATATATACTACAATTCATCCTGATCTATGCCCTGGGAGAAAAGTCTACTTGGAAATAGAAAAGAATTATGGCAGACATTTCAGAAGTTAATGGACATGGCTCTCCTCAGTGTTTTATAAAGTTGATTTCCCACAATGTTTTAAGAAAGGAGGAAGGAAAAGATGAGACAGGAAATACAAGTCCCTACTGACTTCTCTTTTGACCCACAAATACAAGAAGAGGATGAGAAAGCACAAAGTGCTGCTTAAAGTTAAATCATCATAGCTCGAACTTGTGCTAGAATTAGAAGTTCTTTACTTAATGGAAAAAAAGTAAGCTATGGGTTTATATTTAGTCTTCTTAAAGCCTAAGGAACCTAGGAATTTAGAGCTTATTTATTTTCTTTTTTCCTTTTCTTTTTTTATCTTTTCTTTATTCTTTTTATTTTTTAAGATAAATAGACTCATGATCTTTTTAAATAATAATCTATATGCCTCTCTTTTTCCTTTATAGGCATAGACAAAATGGCCCACTAGCAAAGAGTCGATGCAATTCTTGCTTTCTTTAAAAGTTTAAGGACAGAAGTCTTCCTCATGGTATAAAATTTGCTTTCTCCGTCATAAAGTCAAATTACAAATTGCTTATGTGCTATGTGTGTTACTATTCTTTTCAATATGAGAAATTTAAGAGATGCAAACAACCACTTATTTTCTCCACTAGGCGCAGAGGTCAAGATCCAAGGGTGCCTCACAATCTGTCCTGAGCTCTGTTGCAAGTAATTTGTTACTATTAATAGTTCAAAGTTAGCAAATGATTTACTTTTGTTTGTGAGTTAGAAGTCAAGGTTATCCTGAACTATCACTCCCACTTATCTGCTTTCTGATATCCTTTTCTGAGTGAGAGAGAACGGAAGGCTTTATAAATAAGATCCTGGTGAGCGAATGTCACCCACTGTTTGCTTTCTAGGGTAAAAAGGTTGAAATCACTGCATCGGACTGAGGTCAGACAGCACAACACACCATAGATATTCCAAAAAAAGATGCCATTTGAAAGTTAAACCATAAAATGAAGACAAGGTGAATATGCAAAGCCATTCTTAAGTAGGAGAAAGTGTGTGGGGCTATGCAGGACAGAAATTCCAGGCAATGTTCTTTGCCCTGCATGGTGTGCTCAGAGTCCTATTTGGTTTTATATGTTTGATTTTTTTTCTTTCAAGGAGCTCAAGTATCTAGGACTTTAGACATTTATATTTGTAGGATAAATTTATAAATTAGCATTCTGGTTTTATGAAGTGTACTGACTGTTTCATTCTAGATCCTATCTAGGTTTGCAGAGATATTTAAGAAAGAGTCTTCTCAAGGAAATTCCTTTGTGAAATTAATTAATGTGAGTTTATTCCAGAAAGGCTAATATACTCTGTGTGCCCTGAAAATCATGTTCATGAACCTACAAAGTTGAAGAACAGACTTTGGATCATGATAAATCCATCAAAGAAAATAACATATCACATTGTATGAAGCCCTGTGAGAATGAAACAACTGACCTCAACTAAAACTAAAATCCCACATAATGATTCTCTTGGTGTTCATGTAGAGATTTAGTCATTATGGAGAGCCACTGTCACTGAGCTGAAAGTCAGATGATCTTGGTCCACTGCTTATTAGCGTCAGTGATTGTAAATAAGTTAACATCTTTGGGACTCGGTTTGTCCTCTTATAAAAGGAGGCTGATAATTCTTCCTGTCTCCTCCACATGGATGTTGTGAGAGTGGGAGGGTGGGAGAGGCAAGGAACTGACTGCTATTCAACAACCGTGGTGTGCCAGAAACAGGGTTGGGTGATTCCCCACGTTCCCTCCTTGAACTCTCTCATAGCAACCCTCCCTGTAGGGTTAATTGACTTCAAAGCTGGCTTTCTCTCGGCCACATCATGTCATGGTGGAACCAGGATTTGAAAACTAATCTGTCTCCAAAGCCCTTGCTCTCCATCACTTCACCCTGCTTATGTTACATCTGACACAAAACCACTCTGAAAATTTAAAACTATTCTACCATTATCATCCACGTCTCTGATCTAAGAGTAAAAGGATCCCCTAACTCACTCTGTACTTTTACTCATGGCCATTTTCCCACTTGATAAATTATTTTCTCTTCCTATAATTATTACCCATTCCTCAAGGTTACTATATTCCTCTAGGCAACAGTGATCTTTCCTTGCTGAAAAATCTGACATATCTATACTATTCTACTGTCACATACACTTAATACGTTGTTTTCAGCAATTGTTTTCCATTTGTCTGGTGTTCTCAACCACAGTAAATGCATGGTTTGATATTCAAAGATTCTAGTAATATTAAAAGCATAGGTCTTCAAGTATGTTGTATACTTATATATTTTTAAAATATTGTAAGACAAAGACTAAAATCGTGGTTACAAAAATAGGCATTTTAATTAATCTGCTTTTAAAATAAATATAAACATTTATTTCCACCCATGTTATAGGGAAAGAAATATCAATTTTTACAATCTTTGTCTCATAGTGAAAACACTGTAATATGAAGAAAATTAAAAGTATGTTATTGCCTAGATATAACCACTGTTGCTATTTTGTGTATATAATATCTCCCTATATTTTATCTATACATGACTACACTTCTAAAACTTGAATTTAAAAATACAACAAGAAATTCTATTTTGTTATATGCTTTTTTACTTATAATTTACAGAGAATCTACAATATCGTTTTCTGTTGTATCATTTTAATATTAAAATACACCGTGTGTTTATTAATTTTTTTCTCATTTACTCTTGTCAGTTCATTCATGGAGCTCATTGCTATAGGGGTCTTTCATGTCTGCTTTGAGTGCCAGCTGAAGGCTTTCTGCTCAGTTACCACTTCCCTCTTGCAAGACATCTCTATTTCTGTTTCTAGAGAGTTATAGTATCTCTTTCCCTTTAAATTTTATACCTAATAGGGAAATACAGACTTATTTCCCATTCCCACTGTTACCAAACTCTTCCTCTCAAAACCATTATCACTACCTATGTGTGTACAATACCAATATTGCAATGTTGTCTCTCCTTTTTCTGTAAATATTTGTTAAATGCTTATTCAGCAAATATTTACAGATTACTCCGCGTGTGCCAAGTTCCACTCTAGGTGGTTGGGATGAAGAGCAAAGCAGTCCAAACTCTCTGGGATTTATACTCTAGCAGTAGGATATAAGGAACGAATAAAAATATAACTCATAAATAAGTTATAAAATAAGTTAGAATGTTAGTCCTATGGAAAAAAAAGAAAAAGTGGAGCTGAGTAAGTGAAATTGAAAGGACCAGATGGGGTGAGGGTGCATTAATTTGAATAGATTATATATATGCATGGTGAAAAATTCAGGTTGTTTAGAATAGGCAATACATGTACATGATAAACAAATGATTTTTAAAAGTCTGCAGGTGAAGGAAGCCTTCCTCCCATCCCTCCTTCCTCAGTTCTCCATTTCCCCTAACCACAGCGATTATTACCAAATTACTGCATACCCTTCCAGAGTTAGTCTTTGCATATAGAAGTTAATAATGGAAGTTTGTGTATCCATCTTTTAAAAACCAGTAATGGATGCTTAAAATATGTACTGTTTCTTACCTTGTCTTTTCAATCAATAATGTATTTTGGATATGTTCCATATCAATGCATATAGATGTGTTTCATTTTTCTTAAGGGATGCATAGTATTCTATGTCATGGATTTACCATAACTTATATAATCAATCCTCTAACCAATAAATGTTATATTTCTTTCACTTACATGATTTGGTACACATACATAGTTCTTTTATTCCAAATAATCCATAATATTATCTTTTCTAACAAGTCTTACTCCTTTGTTTTCTCCTGCAGGCTTTGCTTCTACAGCCTTCCATTCTGGGGTTTCTGTCTGGACTGGTTTCTCTCTAGGTCTCTTGCAAAGCTGCTACTTGAGTCTACTTCTCATCTCTCTCCTGGAGTTCACTGTCCTCTAATGACTATAACTTGCTTTTTCTTTTTAACTCTTTCATTTTGCTATAGCACATTGTCCAGTTGCTATGTAAGAAAGGGTCATCTGATGTCTAAACTGCTTATTTTGCCTTTCTATGTATTTTGGTCAAACATACAATTCCATATAGAAAACGTCTTTTATTCAACTGTTGAAGGTATTAATTGCTTGACTTCTAGCATCCAGAGAAGCTACTGGAAAAGCCAGGGTTCTTCAGAACCTAGTACATTGACACCTGTGACCCTCTTGGTTGTCTCTCAAGATGCTTTCTTTGTTTTCTATTTTCCAAATTTTTTTGCAATTATTTTCCAATGACATTCTATCTATTTTTCTGTGTTAAACTTCATCTATTTTCTGCAGTGGAGTCTGGGAAAGAAGAGGCAACAGATACATATATCAATATACTATCTCTAGTCCTAAAGCCCAGTATTTAACTATTGTGCTTCTATTGAATTATTTTTTTAAGGTCAACTTTTATTTTAGATACAGGGGATATATGTGCAGATGCTGAGGTTTGAAGTGCACAGCCTGTCACCCTGGTAATGAACATAGTACCCAAAAGGTAGTTTTTTAATCTACTTCCCCCACCCTCTAGTAGTCCGCAGTGTCTATTGTTCCCATATTTATATCCACGTGTGCTCAAATTTTCTGAGCATGTTTATATCCATGTGTGTTCAATGTTTAGCTCCCATTTGTAAGTGAGAACATGTGGGTATTTGGTTTTCTGTTTCTACATTAATTTGCTTAGGATAATGGCCTCTAGCTCTATCCATGTTGCTGCAAACGACATGATTTTTTCTTCTTTTTTATGGCTGCATAGTATTCCATGGCATACATGTACAACATTTTCTGTATCCTATCTAGCATTGATGGGCACCTGGGTTGATTCCATGTTTTTGCTATTGTGAATAGCACAGCGATGAGCATGCAAGTGCACGTATCTTCTTGGTAGAATGATTTATTTTCTCTTGGATATATATTCTGTAATGGAATTGCTGGGTTGAATGGCAGCTCTGTTTTAAGTTCTTTGATAAATCTCTGGACTGCTTTCCACAGTGACTGGAGTAATTTATGTTCCCACCAACAGTGTATAAGCATTCCCATTTCTCCTCACCAGCATCTATTGTTTTTTAACTTTTTAATAAGAGCTATTGTGACTGGCGTGAGACGCTAGCTATCTTGTGTGTGTGTGTGTGTGTGTGTGTGTGTGTGTGTGTGTGTGTTTGTTTGCTTTTTGAGATGGAGTCTTGCTCTGTCACCCAGGCTGGAGCGCAGTGGTGCAATCTGGGCTCACTGCAACCTCCAACTCCTGGGTTCAAGCAATTCTCCAGCCTCAGCCTCCCGAGTAGCTGGGATTATAGGCGTGCACCACCTCATCCAGCTAATTTTTGTATTTTTAGTACAGACCAGGTTTCACCATGTTGGCCAGCCTGGTCTAGAATTCCTGACCTCAGGTGATCCACCTGCCTCAGTCTCCCAAAGTGCTGGGATTACAGGCGTGAGCCACCCCGCCCGGCCTGCTCATATTTTAATGCGGTTGTTTTTTTGCTTGTTGATTTGTCTCACTTGTACAAACACTTCAACGTTCTCATGGCCAAGTAGAAATCGTAAATCTTTAGGTTATATTTGAAGTCAAACTCTTGGATAAAAGGTTTACAAAATTTCTAGTGCACATGATAGATATTTCCAAGTGTATTTGTTTTCTATTTCTGCATAAGAATTACGAAACTTGCTGGCTGGCTTATCTCAGTTTCCAAGGACTGGAAGTCTGAGCGTGTCTTATCTGGATCCTCTGCTTAGGATCTCCCATGGCTGTAATTTAGGTGTTGTTCAGCGTTGTGGCCCCATCTGAGGTGGAGGATCCTCTTCCGAGTTGACATGGTGTTGGTAGAATACATTTCTTTGCAGCTCTAGAGCTCATATTGGCTTTTTTCTTCAAGGCGTAAAGGAGATGGAATGTCTCATCTCAACGAAAGCCTGTCTTCTTTTAAACTGCTTAAGGACCTGATTCCATCTGAAAAATTCTTTCATCATGGCCATATAATGTAATCTAATCATGAGAGTGACAGCTATCATATTCACAGGTCTTTTCCACACTGAAGAGAGGGAGATGATACAGGACAAGGAGGCAGGGGGCAGGTAGGGGGCAAGAGGTAAGGAGGGATGGGTCTTGAAGGTCATCTCAGAATTCTGCCCCCAACACATTACCGTAATACAAATCTACATATTGTAAATAATTAGTTTATAAATCACTTTCAGTTAATTATATTAAAATTCGGAAAACAATAAAAACTATTTACTCAAAGTATATTTATTCTGATTTTTCTACAATTTAGTTTATCTTTTATTTAGCCATTCAACAAAATATTAGTAAACCTCTATCTATTACTTTCCTTCTGATTATTATAGCTTTTCAATGACCCTATTTAATTCTTTTTTTTTTTTTTTGACAAAGTCTTGCTTTGTCACCTAGGCTGGAGTGCAATGGCGATCTCGGCTCACAGCAACCTCCACCTCCCAGGTTCAAGCGTTTCTCCTGCCTCAGCATCCCAAGTACCTGGGATTACAGGCACCTGCCACCACACCCAGCTAATTTTTGTATTTTTAGTAGAGATGGGGTTTTGCCATGTTGGCCAGGCTGATCTCGAACTCCTGACCTCAGGTGATCTGCCTGCCTCGGCCTCCCAAAGTGCTGGGATTACAGATGTGAGCCACCGCACCGGCCATTTAATTATTAAATAATGAAATTCTATCCATTCTTCAAAAACTAGAGGAAAATGCCATGGCAATGCTTTTGGCTTTTTACAAAAATGTAATTATATATTAGTATTTATCCAGGCATTCTGCTAGTCCAATGAGTACTGGGGATACATAAATAAGTAAATTAATGTCCTTGATCTTGGGGAGTGTCCAGCCTGTGATCAACAGTGAAAAGTATATAACAAGTGTGCCAGTAAAATGAAAAACTGCCAAGAAAGGCCTTTTTAAACATGAAACCAATGGAAACACTCACAAAGGAAAAAGATGATAAAATGTACTTCATATAAATGAGGACCGTCAATTTCTCAAAAAAAATGCCAGTACAAACAGGTAAGGGAATTAATACATATATATATACACACACACATATATGTATGTAAACATTACATATGTGTATATACATGTGATATGTAGATGTATGCACACAAATAATCAACAAATAGATAAGTCAAAACAGAAAAGCAAACATAAAAGCATGAATAGAAAAATCCTTTGCAAAGACATGGATGAAGCTGGAAGCCACCAACATTTAACACTGTTAGGAAATAAAAGTTTGGGTCAATGTGCCCCAAACTGTTATCAGTGGTTGCCTCTTGCAAGTGAGATTACATGAGACTCTCTTTCTCATTTGTATATTTTTATACTGTTCACACTTTTTAAGATAGTATGTATTACTTTTATAATAAGAATAAAAGCAATAAAAATACAAAAAAAAACAGTTGGGGGACTTAATACGTATATATATAAACATTACATATGTGTATATATGAGATATATAGATGTAGGCACACAAATAATCAACAAATAGATAAGTCAAAACATAAAAGCATGAATAGAAAAATTTTCTAAAAACATGAATCCAAAATTTATAGAATAGTAAAAATGACCAGTATTTGAAAAGTTATTCTATCTCTCCAGCAATTAAAGAAATACACAGAAAGATAACATTTTCATTTCTAAAACTAGAAATAGAAATTATCTTTAAAAGATTATTTATTTTTATTAAGTGCTTGCAAGGGTGTGACAAAACAGCCTCTATATATGTATACATTGTGTGGAAGAATAAATTGTGCAACATTTCTCAAAACAAATTTGTTGATATTAAGGAGGACAAAAGAGCTTTATATTCTTTAATCCTGTAACTCCACAAATGATTTAAAAAATGAAAGGAATTGAAGAGTTTAACAATAAAGAAATTTTTAAGTAAATGAAATATTACACTGCCATTAAAAATGATGTTTTCTAAAATATTTAATTTGCATGGAAAAACAAATACTTTGATATATTGAAGGAGCCTAAAACAATATTAATCACTTTAAGATAAACCATGTACATAGAAAAATCTTGAAAAGAAATACATTAAAAATTTTAGCCGTAATTATCTCAAATAAGTAATTCCGTAATTTTTACTTTCTTATTACAAATCTTCTATACTAACAAGAATTTCCTTAAACAATAATAATAGTTCCATAATGTTATGCAGTTGATTAACAGAATAGTAAAATTCAATGTCTTTCCTATCTGCAAGAAAAAGGTCTGGTCATAATTAAAGACCTGAGACTTTAGGACTAGTATTGGAAAGCAGCAAGTGAGCATGAAATCCACTTCCTGTTTGAAGACACAATATTGATATTGAAAGCAAGGGAGGCAGGGGAGGCTCATACTCACGTGCTGGTCGGAGAGCTACCGACAATATAGGTCAGATGGATGAGAATCAAATGCTGGGGAAACTAACCCAGCAAGAGGGGCATTTATTGGCACAATATGATTAATTCTAACTAAAAGCAAATCGCATCATCCTAACCACAGGGCACAATTTAAATATTAGTCAAAATCTTATCTTAATATTTTTTCTGGTTTAGAGGCTTGTGGTTTAAAAACAATATACACAATTTATCTTCAAGAATATGAAGAGTTTTATAATGAGGTTACTAGCAAATTGTTCTTCTTTATAAAGGATTGAATAACAGAAGGAGAAATAGGTTTCAATCACAGTAAAAATGTATTAGTCAGAGTTCCCCAGAGAAACAGAACCAATCTGCTATCTAGATATCTATCTTTCTATCCAAAAAGAGAGAGATTTTTTATTATAAGGAGTTGGTTCCCTAATTATGGAGGGTGACAAATCCCATGATCTCCCATTGGCAAGCTGGAGACCCTGGAAAGCTTCCTTCCAGTACACTTTCCCTGGAAAGTGTACTTCCAGTCTGAGTGCAAAGGCCTGAGAACCAGGAGAGTGGATGGTGCAAGTTCCAATCTGTGTGTGGGTGTCCAATGGCCCAGCTCAAAAACAGACAGGGTGGGCAAATTCTCCCTTACCCAGCCTTTTGTTCTGTTCGGGCCTCCAAAGGATTCCATGAGGCCCACCCACATGGAGAGGGCAATCTGCTTTACTCAGTCCACCAATTCAAATGGTAATTTACCCAGAAACACCCTCACAGACACCCTCAGATAAATGTTTAACCAAATATCTAGGTACCCTGTGTCCCAGTCAAGTTGACATACATCAAATTAACCCTCACAAAGAAAGAAGGGATTTTGTTTGTTTGTTTGTTTGCTTTGCTTTCTTTTCTTTCTGGAGGTATGAATAAAGAACTTCTGATAAAATTTTAGCAACCAATTGCATAGAAGTTTATTATCTTGCCACTCCTAAGCTCTTCAAAATAGTACACTCAAACATCTAACTTGCTTTAGGTTTTTACTGCAAGCCTAAAGTCTGCTTAGAAACAGAAGAATGGACAAAATGACCTGTTCCTCTCCCTTAAAATTCCTATATTAATACACTACAGTCCATTGTTTAAGATAGAGAGAGTAATAGATGACACACAATATTTAGTTTTGAGTAGCAATTAATAAATATTACATTAGAAAGATGCCAGATGCACATTAGACTATTCGCCTTTAATTTCATATCACATCTTTGCAAAATCACAGCGGATAGGCCAAAACTGGAGGAGGGGATTTGAGAGAATATATGTGAACCTTATGGGTGGGCCCTGCAATTGTTAAAGCATTAGTGAATGGGATCTTTTTCCTAGAAGAGAAATGCAATTCTGTCAGGATAAAGAGGGAACTGTTTTCTTTTTTATGAAGCAGAATTCCTTTCTAATTCTCTTTTACTATAACTGCTGTGGCATGTGTTTTAAATTATACTGTATGCATGTGTTCCCTATAAAATTAGCCATCATGACCCATTGTTCCACAGTTCTTCTTTCATCACATTTTAGAGGCCGGTGTTCCATATTAGCAAATAGCCCTTAGGGAAAATTATGCATTTTTCCATACACCAACTTTGTTACATGTTTGATAACACTTATTGTGTATTTAAAGATATAGGTCAATATACAAAATTTTTTAAATAATAAAACAAGTCACGAATTGTTTCCTCATGGCAAACAAATGAGGAAGTCTAAATGAATATATCTAGCTTTGATATCAAAGCAGAATTAACAGCTTCACTTTTAACTCACATGTACACGAATATATATAACTCCATCAATACGTTAACTAGGATGAAGGCATATTGCCAAGTTTAGAACCCACTCAAATTCCTTGGGTTCTGAGTTTAAATAGAAATTTGAAACTTTCCAGGTCCAAGGTCCTTTTTGGTGCTTTAAAAATGTGACTTCCTGATTTAAAAAACTAAACATTTTTGGACACCAGCTTACTCACGCAAAATATGATAAGTGTGAATGAATCAGTAACATATGGATTACATTTTCTTTCTTAAAATCTATGATTTTTTAAAACCTTTTAAATGAAAAATTCATGGTAAAAACATGCATTGGATTTAGCCAACTCTAAATCATTCGAAAAATATTTGTAAGGCATTTTTCTCTCAATGGATATGTGGCAGAATTTCCAGCCCATAACATTGATGTAATCGCACTCTTTCCCCAACCCTCTCCCCACACCCTAGAATTAATACACAAGAGAAAGCAATTAAACTGCTACTAAATTCTCCTTCTCACTCTTGCTCTTTTTCTCCCTGCTTCCTTGAATGTGTCCTGAAAATCATATATTATTTCTGTTGCAATGACATAGATGTTTTTAAATTAAATTTGCTCCAAACTATTCTAAATGTAAAGCCCTAGCGAATAGCAGCAAAGATATGCATTAATGATGATAAGGAATACATTTGTTTGTGATTCAAACCGGACATCCCAAAGACAAGCATTTTCTTGTCTTCAGTCTACAATCCATTAATCAAAATTAACTACAACCAAGATATTTTCTCAGAATGACCTCTGAGTACTCGAGTGGTAAATAAAACTACAAGAAAATAAGAATATTGTAATGTCTTCAATCTCAATATATTGAGGTGTGTATGAGGATGTGTTTGTGTGTAAAATACTATTTTCTGTATTTATAAACCTTTATTTGGAATGTTTTCTGTCATCAAGCACCTTGAATTAGACTTTGACATAGAAAAAAAATGATTTTATGCTGTAGTCAATCCTATATCTAAGGTCACTGAATTATCTGCATGAATTATCTATGAAAACAAGATTATATATCCATGCTGCCTGATTGCAATTCTGTTCCGTTTTCTAGAATTCTGCATGTTTATAGCCCTGAGTTGTGCATGTTTTCTGAATTTGGTCAGGGCACTTTGCCAACTGCACATTTGGAGAGTTGTAATATCTTATCTATTCAGGTCAAACACTGCTGAGGTCCGAGCTAGGTTTGGACTATCAATCAGAAATTATTACCTAATGGATTTCTGATTTAAGGATATAAATAAACATTCCATTTGTTCTAAATAATGCTTACCTTGTATAGATATGGCATGCCACCTATTTAATTCAGATTTTTCTTTAAATAATATATATAAATATACAAGCATAGTATATGGAATATTAAATACCACGGTGTATAATATCCATCTAGGTTATTTATACATAGCAAAAACTAAGAATCCTAAAATTCTCATATTTTATGCAATAGTACAAATGCTACAACATTATATAATATTTATCTATATAAAACTTAACTCTGAAGACATAGCCACAATTACATGGACTATGGTAGATTAATCTATGAAGATTGTCTCCCAACTCTCTAATGACAATTAATAAATCCAATTACTATTATGACTTGAATACTATGTTTTTGTCTTAAAATCGACTGTGTCTGTTTTCTGCATCCCATGTAAAAGAATGTCACCCTAAAATTTTCAAGAATGGTGAAAATTTCCTAAAGAATTTAAAATTTAACTGTGATAAAAGTTGGGTTTATTTATTCAACATTCAACAAAATGTATTGAGTGTCTACAAAGTGTCAGATATCCTCCTACTTCTGGGGGTTTTCAATGGCTGCATAAAATTTATGCTATATCAGGATAGGAAAACACCATATGCCATAATGGCTATGATATTCTCTTTCATGTTACCAAAAGTTAGTGACTCAATTTTCCACTCTGTCTTCTCTAGATTTTCTTATTTATCTTTAATATAATATTATAGGGAAGATTGCCTTTCTTTTCATCCTTCTAAGTAAAATTTTGTTTTAGTAAAAAGGAAGACAACTAAACAGTCCTCTGTTACAGTCACTTGCTGAGTTCTGAGTGCATGTTTAAGGCTGAAATGGATTTAGGAGGCTTGATTCCTATTGATCAATTCTTGGTTAAGAGTAAAATGTTGAGAGGTGGCAGCGGTGGGACTCCTCACAGCCCTCGCTCGCTCTAGGCGCCTCCTCTGCGTGGGCTCCCCATTTGGCGGCACTTGAGGAGCCCTTCAGCCCACCGCTGCACTGTGGGAGCCCCTTTCTGGGCTGGCCAATGCCGGAGCCCACTCCCTCAGCTTGCAGGGAGGTGTGGAGGGAGAGGCGCCAGCGGGAACAGGGGCTGTGTGTGGCGCTTGTGGGCCAGCTGGAGTTCTGGGTGGGCGTGGGCTTGGTGGGCCCCGCACTCGGAGCAGCCGGCGGGCCCTGCCGGCCCCAGGCAATGAGGGACTTAGCACCCAGGCCAGCGGCTGCAGAGGGCATACTGGGTCCCCCAGCAGTGCCAGCCCACCGGCGCTGTGCTCAATTTCTCACCGGGCCTTAGCTGCCTTCCCACGGGGCAGGGCTCGGGACCTGCAGCCCGCCATGCCTGAGCCTCCCACCCCCTCCATGGGCTCCTGTGTGGCCCGAGCCTCCCGGACGAGTGCCACCCCCTGCTCCAGGGCGCCCAGTCCCATCGACCACCCAAGGGCTGAGGAGTGCGAGCGCACGGCGCGGGACTGGCAGGCAGCTCCACCTGCAGCTCCAGTGCGGGATCCACTGGGTGAAGCCAGCTGGGCCCCTGGGTCTGGTGGGGACGTGGAGAGTCTTTATGTCTAGCTCAGGGATTGTAAATACACCAATCGGCACTCTGTATCTAGCTCAAGGTTTATAAACACACCGATCAGCACCCTGTGTTTAGCTCAGGGTTTGTGAGTGCACCAATTGACACTGTATCTAGCTGCTCTGGTGGGGCCTTGGAGAACCTTTGTGTCCATACTCTGTATCTAACTAATCTGATGGGGACGTGGAGAACCTTTGTATCTAGCTCAGGGATTGTAAAGGCACCAATCAGCGCCCTGTCAAAAGAGGCCACTAGGCTCTACCAATCAGCAGGATGTGGGTGGGGCCAGATAAGAGAATAAAAGCAGGCTGCCAGAGCCAGCAGTGGCAACCCGCTCTGGTCCCCTTCCACGCTGTGGAAGCTTTGTTCTTTCACTCTTTGCAATAAATCTTGCTGCTGCTCACTCTTTGGGTCCACACTGCTTTTATGAGCTGTAACACACACCGCAAAGGTCTGCAGCTTCACTCCTGAAGCCAGGGAGACCACGAACCCACCGGGAGGAACGAACAACTCCAGACGTGTGCCGGCCTTAAGAGCTGTAACACTCACCGCAAAGGTCAGCAGCTTCACTCCTGAGCCAGCGAGACCACGAACCCACCAGAAGGAAGAAACTCCGAACACATCCGAACATCAGAAGGAACAAACTCCAGACGCACCACCTTAAGAGCTGTAACACTCACCGCGAGGGTCTGCGGCTTCATTCTTTAAGTCAGTGAGACCAAGAACCCACCAATTCCGGACACAATGTCACTCAAATTCCGAAAAAGAATTGCATCATCAGAATGTCTTATTCCATTAACAAGTGCTTAATGTTAGGAATAACTCCTGTGTTTTATCACCCTGGCAATCTTTATCTACCATGTAACTGTGAATCGAGGTGACTGAAATAATAAAACGTTAACAAATGATAAGTGTTTCTAATTAACAAGTTGTAATAGCAAACTTACATATCCCTACATACATGAATCAACACATAAAAACAGTTTTAGTGTTATTTACAAATTTTTCATGCCTTCTTTTCCCTATTCAGCATCCTCCTACCCAGGAAGAAGGTCAAGTCATAAAGTAATTACCGACAGTAATGTTGCATTTTTCAAAAATAAAGAAACAGGCCTAGTTGAGAAATGTATCGCTGGGGTATAATATTAGATCATCAGCTTTGTCATTTAAATTATTCATGTCACTAAAGGTGGACTACTAAGAGTTGGAAAGAAAGGCTAGGAATTGTTGAAAGAAGAGCAAATCTTCTAAAAACGAATGAAAAATAGAGATATTGTAAAGAACATCCCTGGGTCTAGATCAAATGTTCCACAGGGTATCAGAGAGTCTTTAAGTTGAAAGAAATTTCCATTGCATGTCTGGTAGCTTTGCTATTATCAAATTTCTGTTAGGTAGCCATAAAATTCTGTTTCTGCCATTTCAGAGTTTGGGAATCCACCATTTCACAAGAGCAACTGAATTTATTTTTAAGAGCTTTAGCCATAACAATCTTGCTTTGCTGCCTCACTAAAAATTCTACTTACGGGTTTGAGTTGGGCCTTGTAAAGTTAAACAGAAATCCACTCCACACATCATCTCTTCATGTACAGTAATCCCCCCTAATATATGTTTAAGACGTTTAGTGGATGCCTGAAACCATGCATGGTACCCAACCCTATATACACTTTTTTTTTCCTATGCATATCTACCTACAGTAAAGTTAAATTCATAAATTAGGCAAAGTAAAAGATTAACAACAATAATTAGTAATACTATAGGACAATATAACAATATACTGTAATAAAAGTTATGTAAATGTGGTCTTTGTTTCTGTCCTGAAATTATCTTATTGTACTGTACTGACCTATTTTCAGACAGTAGTTGACTATGGGTAACTAAAAACTTGGAAAGCAAAACTACAGATAAAAGGGGACAAAGTAGGCCATTATGTCTACTTTGTCTTCATTTCTTCACTTCTACCAGGGAAATCTCCTCAGTTCATCCAAATATTTGTCAGGGAGCTTGGCCTTCGCCCCATCCCATAATCTTGATGGCAGCTCATCTGTCCTTAATCCCTGGAAGAAAATACTCCTGTGCATTATCATGAGTGAGTTCAATAAAAAATTAATTCAAAAAAGTCCACCGATGTAATCTATGCTTCTTTAACCTGATTTTAGGATTGCTAATGAACAACAGAAATCCACTGGCTGAGAAAGCAGAAAAGAGTGATCCTGACCAAGTGTTCTCAAAGGAATTTAGTAGGAGACTTGTCCAAGAACAGAGATTACACACACCACCACCTCCACCACCACTACCCATTTCACCAGGAAAGTGCATGACTTTAAGAATATGGCAGATACTTTCATTTTGGAAGAAGATCTACAGAATTGGATTACTCTGGTGCTGTACATGGAGTTTGGTACTACTCTGTACTCCCACTCCCTCCCAACGAACATAATCACACCAAATCCAACAGAAAAACTTCATTGTAAATTACTTCTATATCAATATTATCTTTTCCCAACCAGCATTCTAAAAATATTAATATTGTTTTACCAGAGTAGGAGAAAAAAACTATAATACTAAGACTTTCTCTCCCTGATCACAAGATGTGGCACCCTACAAGATAGCCAAAAACAGGAGAGAATCAATGAGTTTCATCAAATTCTAATATTTCTCTTCTGAAGGCTGAAAAACGTCAGAAGTCATGTTGAATGGTTTTGTTTGTGTATGTATTTCTGTGTGTGTTTGACTTTGAAAGCCACAGGTCATGAGGTGGGGCAATGGGGAGAGGTGGCTACAGCCAACCAGTAGACATTCCATGGTAAACCACAAAACTCTAGATGGCAGCATGTTACTGGCGTAGGGTCCAGAGTTAGTTATTAAGGGTGCCTCACGTTAAGCACCAAAACAGGTAGTGATGGCTGTCACCATCACAAGGGTATACGTAGAGCTTCATAATGCTTATCTAACCAGGGGGAGAGCCAGTGACTGTGGAAGCAGCAAACATTCACAGCTGCACTCTCCAGGCCCAGAGTGCTGAGTAGGCAAGAGTCACCAAAGAGAGCCACAGAATTTCAGGGACTTGAGTGGGAGGGAGATGTCTGAGTCAAGAGATGACTGGAACATTTGGACAATCTCATATAGGAAATTTTTTGCCATGCTTGCAACCTGGACGGCATATCTCACACCCCTAGATACCCACACACGCAAAAAACTATCTTTGCATCTCACAACCCAAACTACTGTGCCATCACTGGGCAGCTGAAGCAGAGCATTCAACTAAAATCCAGCAAGTGGACAGAGAGTAGATCTGGGCCCAGGGATGGAGAGAAGCACATTCATCAGCTCAAAAGCTTCAGGAACATTGATAAACATTAAAATTAAAATACTGGATTGGTATAAGTAAGTACTCAACTGGATGATATTAATAAGACAACTCCTACTAGAAAAAATAGTCTAAACCCTTTTTATATCTTCCACCAGACTCAGTTTCATTTTTAGTCTCTCCATCTCATGCTCTATTTATTTTTCACAATCACTTCATAGGGTAAGCTCATTTAGTGTTGGTCAACTAAAATACTAAGATGTGATTTATAGATTTCATATGAATTATTTTCTACATATATCGCTTTTCTCCTGTAATATGAATTTGATAGCATAAACCTCAATGTAGGACTCAACTTTGATTCCTGCTAAATTTTATCTTGTTAGTTTTGGTCCATTATTTAAACCAATTGAAATAATTTTTCATCTTGATTCTCTCATCCATTATATTACCTATCATTCTCATCATTGTATAAATGAGTATATAACTAGTATCCTTTATCTTTGAGGTCCAAATGGACCAATCACAAATAGAAAATGTTCCTTAGTAAGTGATTTTATTCAGTCTATTGTCTTTTGAGTGCAATCCATTTGCCTTTTTGGGGTTTAATGAATGTACAGGTTATGAACTGAAGCTTCTCCTAAAAGCTAATAACATAGCTTTTGGGACAAAGCATCATTAACCATGATTTGTAGAATGATCATCAATCAAACTATTCTCCTTATTTATTTGAATTTTTTAATGCAGTTAACTTTTTATTATTTTTCTTTATGTGCTTATATTCTTCTATGAGATACTCTCTGAAATGTTTAATAGTTCAATTCAAAGGAATAGTGCAAAGGAAGGGAGAAGAAAACTAAATGTATGATTCCACTATATGAGTCAAGCACTTTGATTGACATATGTGACATCATTCCTCACCACAATTCAGTGTGTGATGTCTTACTCTCATACATTTTATTGACAAGGGAACTGAGACTCCAAAAACAAAAAAATGTGTGTCTTGGCCAAAATCACAAAGTTGGTAAGTGAGGAATCTATAGCATAAAACCAGATTGATCTGCTTCCAGAGTTTTCCTTGCTTGCTTTCCACAGATGGTGCATTCATCCCACTTAAAAAGTACCCTTTGATGATTTGTCTTAAGTCACTTTGTGCAAAGAGCACCAGGAATACAACTATGAGAAACACAGCAGAAGTAAGGAGAGTAAGAATAAGACAAGTGTAAGAACCTCCAAAGTACAAGATGAATGGGATTAGCAACAACAGAGGTATAAACTATGCTAGAAAGTGTGGCGGGGGGCGGGGGTAAGCTATTTTTTATTTGGACTTGCGTTCCTAATTGCCTGGATTATTCTAGCTTCTCCCAACCTCCTCTACACTACTGTAGGCAACTGCATGGCACAAGAAAAGACATGTTTTGGAATCGGGCACACCTGGATCTGAAACCAATCTCATCCTCTTACCAGTGGTAACTAGTAAGAGTTGGACAAATTACTTTACCTTTTCTTAGCTTCAGTTTCCTTTTCAGCAAAAAAAGTCCCATTAACACCTAAACATGAGATTGTAATTATAAATGAAATTACATCAAACATGTCATGTCGACCCATAGCAGGTGTTCTGAAAATGATTTTTCCATTCTCTTTCTGCCTCTCAAAGTAATTTTTTGTTGAACACTATTTTATGTATGTGTTATTCCTGTTTTTTTGTGTCATATGTCTGCTGTGATTTGAATGTTTTTGTTCCCTCTGAAACTCATGTTGAAACTTAATCCCCACTACAACAGTGTTGGAAGATGGGGCCTAATGGGAGGGTCTTTAGGTCATGAGGGCTCCACCCTCACTAATGCCACTATAAAAAGGACCTGAAGAAGTGGGTTCCCTCTGTCTTTTGTTCAGCCAAGTGAGAAACAGCCTTCCTCTACTTTATATGATGCAGTATTCAAAGCACCAAGTCAGGATTGGGGACTGGGCCCTCACCAGACACCAATCTTACTAGTGTCTTGATCTTGGACTTCCCAGCCTCCAGAGCTGTAAGAAATAAATTTCTGTTCTTTATAAATTATCCAGTCTATGGTATTCTGTTATAGCAGTACAAACAAACTAATACAGTGTCATTCTTCTGTTTAGAATAATTAATGACTCCCTCTGCCTTCCCCTTCATATCCACTTTCCAATGCCTGGTTGGTAAAATACGCTCATAATCTAGTCTTTCTTACCCATGGATCATGCCATCTCAATTCTGTATTCATCAGACCAGAGTTTCACTAACTCATAAATACATATCATTCTCATCCCAGTCTCAGAGGTTTTGACCACTTTTTCCTTCCCTTTTTCCTGGGCTTAGTTATCCCACAAATCTCATGCATCATTTAAGAATTCAGCTCTGATCCCTCCATAGTTACAGTTAACTACCCAAGCCTTTATTTATTCTTCCTTCTGTGAGGGCTTACAGTGATTAGTGTTTGTAGAAAAGAATTGAGCACTTCATTTTCAACCCCTCTCCCCTAACCCTGCCTTATTTCTCCCAGACCCACACACTTAGGCCTCACAAGTTTATTCTATCCCAATTTTCAGACCAATCTAGAATTGAGGTCCAGAGGTTGTCACGTCTCACACAGGCTGAAACCGTGGTATTCCTCAGGCCACTTGACCCAGCATAAGTCCCCATCAGACCAAAGCCCCCAGACCCAGACAACCTCCTAGTTTCTACACTGCTCTCTGAGTCTGTTCAATGGCATCCCTAAGGTTCACCCACAGTGTCAATGTATTAATATTTCCAATTTTTCTGTTCCCTTTGTTCCTTAATGTTGGCTCAGTGAAGTAAACTGGATGTCTGTCTTGTCCTTCAGATAATCTCAGCATTCAAAACCTGGTGAGAACCAATTTGCCTCAAGCATATACTCCTTCTTGATTACTTTGCTAATTTTTGCCAGTTATTTATGCCTCTCCAAATTAAATATAACAACAATAATCATCATTATAAATAGGCTCTGCTGAGTGCTCACCCTTTTGTAGGCACTGTTTCAAGCACTTTACATGGCTTATCCACATGCTTTAATCTTCATAGCAATCCTATGACACTTACTAAAATGGAAACTGAAGCTCCAAAGGTAACTAACTTTTCCCAGCTCATATCACTAGTAAATGAATGATCCAGGATACAATGCAAAGCAAGTCAAACTGTCTCTAAAACCTGCCCTCTAGGTACTACTCCACAATTGAAATGTGTGTCACTTCATACCCATCAAAAGAATCCCTGAAATGTGACCAACCTGACAGATTCAAGACATGATTAAAGTCTAGCTTACCCCTCTGTGCTTCATTTAGCCCAACTGGAAGTCCCTGGTGCCAAATTTGAACCTCATCCACAAGCTCTACCACTCAAGTTGCCCTACTATGGTGTTAGTCCCCTGTGCCTGGCAAGCCCAGTTGGGCAGGTGGCAGAGCCTGGCTCCCTTCTGGCTCAGGCCATAAAGAGACAGGGCCTTAATTTGAATGTAAATTTCCTGAAATCAACTAGTGTGCAATCTAATTGTAGTGCCACCCTATATCGTACGGAATCATACATTCTGTATATGCTGTATGATCGTATCCTCTGTGTTTCTGTATTAACTGTTAGAGATATAGGGTAGCACTCTAATTAGATTGCACACTAGTTCACTTCAGGAAACTTACATTGACTCTGTACATCAGGAAACACTGAATATGTGGTATGTTATTGTTTTGCAATTGTTTTTCAAGGGTATAAAGGAGTGATTATAAATAGCCATGATAGCCATGTATGCTCCAATTCATTATATCTACATAGAAAGCTAAAGTAGCATCTTATACTGCATCCATTCTTCAAAATGTCCATGTTACAAACAGAAAACAAAGACTTTTTTCTCATACTGGCAACCACCACCAGCATATACACCTGTACATAACATAAATTTCTTAGGAACTAGATCTAAAATTTTTAATTTTAGGAGAGTTGGAAGAAAATATTTCTGAACTGAAAGAAACATAGTAAGCAAGAAAAAAGAAAATGGAAGATATAACAGAGATGTTTAGTATATGACCTCCCCAAGAGAATCATGGGTTTAACTAGAGAAATTGACAACACCTCTATTGGCTGTATTCTGGGCAAGTGAATCTCAGGAGTCTCAGGTATAAATTGGGGATAATAATTTAGATGTACTTCAATGTCTTATGGGAAGAACAGAAAAGGCAATTACATAAAAATACTTACTACCTTAAATTGCTGTATAAATACTTTTATTGAACTTTAGCTCAATTTTATTTGCACTTAAGACAACTCTACTAAAAGTATCACCTTTTATCCCACAAATTTAAATAATTCTAGACATAAAACCTATATATACGCATCAAAAGTTAAATTATCCAGTAAGTAAATGTTGATTTTTGTTGTTGTTAAGTCTTTTAAAGTTTGTGTTGTTAGGAAGAAATGCCTGGTGAATTATTGTTTTTGTGTTACATGTATAGTCAACCATAGTCTTAAATCTCCCAGCTCAGATCTCTGCCTCTGGCTCTCAGCAGTTCTTAAACACAGTCCTCCCCATAAAGGGAGAGTCACCTGAGAAAAATATACTTGGTCACATCTCTATCTCCAGGCTAAAGCTGACAATAGCCTCTCATCAAGTCTCTCCATTTCACTGCACAGAAATTCGGTGTGTTAAACAACACATTCAAAAATTCGAGAAAAAAACAGCATCTGAATGCCTTTAATTTAAAACAGCCATATTAACTTTTGCTAGTCTGATTACCTATGTGGTAGGAGAACGAGGCGGAATACTTGAAAACAGCACTACTCTGATGACTAAAACAACTCACTGGCTTTTGTTTTGTTTTGTTTTCTACTTGATACAGGGCTAGGATTCCATCTTGAGTCTGAAATAACTGAGATGGGTTATGTAAGCATAAAAACACATTGTCATCGTTTGCTTCAAAAGTTTGTTTGAAATGTTTTAAATCCTAGAAAATCAGGGAAGTGTCAGCAAAATCTATATTTGGTATGGCATCGGAAAAATCACAAGATTAGAGTCTTCTGTTGAAACGAGGACTGAAAACATGGCTGTTAAGAGAAGTATGTGCTGTCGTAAGAGCCTGCAGTGAAGGAGCTGGCCTTGATGAAGCAGCAGAACGTGAAATGCCAAAACAGGTCTGTGCTTTCACAGAGCTAGTTGGAATTACAGGGGATCATAGGCAGGCAAGGAATTGTAATCTTGCTTGGTGCTTGAGAGTATTAAGTAAAATGAACAGCCCTGATTTTATTTTCAGGACTCTTCTATAGGAAAGAGGGAGTAGCAAATTTCTTTTAAAATACAAATTGTTTGTTTGATTCATAGATCTTTTACTTGGGACTGCTGCTTAGAAAGACCTGCTACAATTGCCATTTGGGGTCATATTCATTATCTCCAGGCTGTTTGGCTTTTCTACCCTTGGGGAAAAAATTGGACATAATTTCACAGAATCTCAGTTCTACTATCTTTATTAGCAAAGCTAAAAAGATAAGGACTGATAACTTTTTTCCTGCTACAGATTATTTTATATGTGGTTAAGACATGCTGCCAAAAGGATGTAAGACAACATAAAATTGTAACGTAGAATTTGCAATACTGGTGGCAAAAGCATGGATGATTATCAAGTGTAGGTTTATGAACCAATTTCTCGTCACTGTTTTCCAACCTCAAAAGCTTGTTTGCCTCTGGCTCATTCTAGAAAAAGAGAACTGCCACCAATGTACTCACAGAAGGCTGCTGAGCATTGCATGATGCAGTGGAGAGATTTGAAGTCATGTGTCTTAGAAGGGGAATCTCCTTCAAATATAACTGGGAGGAGTGATTTCATCAACAAGTGCCATTTTGAGATGTATTTGGCTCTAGTTTGGCTACATTGAGATAAATATTAATCAGAATCTTTTGTTCATATTTTCCTATCAAGATAAAAAGAGGCATAAATTCAGCTCTGAGGAAGTGTTGCAGAGATAGTGAGAGGTGATTTGTTTTAGAGTGTAAGCAAACGCCAGCTCTGTTGACAAAGCCAGTTCGTTAGAACACACTAGCCTGTCCTCAACCTCTCTGCTAGCTAGAAGGGACCTCAATGGTCATGACAAGACTAAGACAGAAGCTCACATTACTAAAAACTTACAAATAAGGAACAGGTAACAGTTGTCAAAACAATGCCATCCCATCACCAGGTCCTAAGCTGTATGACACCATGAAGGGCGATACAAGGCAGGCTTTATAACAGTAATCATGTATTTGGATTCAAAGTTACTTCTAAAAAACATCAAAACTTTCAGCTTAACCTGATGTGAGTGAAAATGAAACAAAACAAAGTAAAGCAAAAGCATCCAGGGATTGTATGTATGGACCTCCATGGCTTTTATTTATAATACAGGTGAAGTGGGGCCCTAACTCTCATTATGGGAACAAATCAGAATGTGAAGAAAAGTCCAGTTAATTGTGAGAAAGATAATGAGTGTCACCATCCTAAACCAATCCACGGAATTTCCTCCTGAGGACTTTTCCTTCAAAAGTGATACAATTAACAAATAGAAAAAGGCTATTTGGCTTCTTGAAACAAAACAAGAGACACACAAGCGATGCAGTTTTTCTGCATTCCCTGGCTAAGAGTTATGACTTTGGAAGGACAACTACTTGTATTCAAATCCTGGCTTATTTGCTATGTGACAAGGGGCATATTGCCTAACTTCTCTGTGCCTAATTTCTCCACTTAAAAGGGAGTAATAAAAGGAATTACCTCAAAGATTGGCTGTAAGGATTAAGTGAAACACTATATATAAAGTTATTAGAATGTTTCCCAACATATGGCTGATACTTCATTCCGCCATTTAGCACATATTTATTGAACTGATCCATGCAGATAGCATCTTAGATGCTTGGGTTACAGCAGTGAACAGAGAAATGTCTCTACCCTCATAAAATTTACATTCTAGTGGAATTTAGCTATTGTGATTAATCTACTATCCAAGTATCTACAAAAACTATTTTAAATAATTTCAACTTGTACTGATAGCCTAACGCATTATAGGCATAAGGCAGAGTCTAGCACTCATCTTATTGAGTCTGTAACTGAGGCTTAAAGAGAATTGAGAACATATTTCTAAACAAACAAAAACATTTGTATAGATGCCCTAAAAGCAGGGCTACTTTAAGTTTTGGGATACAAGGTCCCTTTAAGAGTTTATTAAAAGCTGCAGATCTGTTTCTAATAAAGTTAAAATACCTATCTGATGACCCAGCAATTCTACTCCTAGTTACTTACTCCCCCAAAATGAAAAGATAATGTCCACAAAAAGACATGGACAAGAGTGTTCATAGCAACTTTATTTACAATATGCAAAAGCAAGCCAAAGGTCCATGAATAGATAAAAGGATAGTCAAATTGTGTGATAGTCATATGGGAGAATACTGCTCAACATTGAAGAGAAGTTATTGATTGAAGCAATAATATGATGAATTTCAAAAAATCAGAAACTAGACACTAATGAGTATTATATACTATAGGATTCCATTAAGATGAGGTTCAAAAATAGACAAAAATAATTTATAGTGATAAGTATCAGTAAGCAGTTGCACTGGGTGGTGGATGGGAAATTGATTAGAAAAGGCCCGAAGAGAACTTTGGGTGATGGAGATCTTTTATGTATTGTTTTAAGTTGTAGCTACACAAATGTATACAATTGACACAACTCTTAGAAATCACCTTTAAAGGTCTATGCATTTTGTTATATATTATACCTCATTAAAAAAAGAAGTCATAAAAAACGGTAGTGACTTTCCCCAGATAAATACTCATGCATTGCACGTAAAATTTTAGATGGTAAATTGACCCCAGGGTAAAATTTCCTGATATAGGAACTTGTGATTGAGTTGGCTAAAAATGTCACCGTTAAAATATGTATATAGATAATTCAAGAAGAATCTTCTAGAGAAAAAGCTTGGTGTAATTCACTGACATTTTCTATATACCAATGCTATTTCGAAATGCCTTCCCCATAGAATGCTGTACTTGATCAAGACATATTTACCGTGAAGTATTTTACCATTAATTTTGAAAGGCATGTGTTTAGAGTAATTTAATATTTCCTTGAAAGTCAAGTAGAATAAAAAGGAAGAGTGTTAAGTGCATTAACTATGAAGATATCAATTCATATCTCTGCTTAAACAGCATGTTATGCTTTGAGCAATGTTCTAATGTGTTCTAAAGAAATATAGGCTTGGGCCTTTAAAAGAAAAAAGAAGGGCAATTTTCTGTCAGGGGGTCCACGACCCAGGCCAAACTATACATCTGCAAAAATGACTATAGAGACTAATAAGAAACCCAATTGTATGCTAATTTCAAATTAGCTTTTATACTTGCTTCAGGCTTCAAAGGGGACTGAGAGAAAAAAAGTAGTTATATGGAAGAAAATTACTCATTATTAGAAAAAGGCCATCACAAGGGATTCAAATTTCTCTTGTTCTGATTATAGCAAAAGGTCATGCAGAAGAGAAAACCATAAAGATTTCTGAGAAAAAAAAAAGGCATAAAAGAAGAAAGCTAAATACAAAAATGGTAGACAAGCCCAAAGGGGAAATGAAATGATTCAGATTGAAAGCTTCTGATTTGTGGAAAAAAAAAAATTGGGATTAGGCTAAAGATAATTGAAGTTTAATGAGAAGGTATCTAATTATACTGGTATATTTATTTAAGTATTTTCTAATTGGGTATTATTTTTATAATGATTTAATTACTTAATAGTGCTGCTTGTTGATTTAACAAAGAGTTTTGTTTTTACAGAGAGAGCATGACATAACAGGATAAATGTTCTATCTTCTGGATGCCTGTGGGTAGTTTAGACATTTAATTACATGACCTAAATCTATCAGCCACTGTCCCCATAAAGAGGCTAGCCCTTATTGCAGAAATACAACCTGAGAGAATATAATCTGTATCTGTACACCCTATTTCTCTAACCCATGTCTAAAATATGACCAACTTTATATATCTGAAATAAACCATAAGTGCAGACCAATAGCTTTCTAACTTTTTGACCAAGACCCTTAGTAAGAGATGCATTTTACATTGTGTCGTAGTCAGTTTGGGCTGCTATAACAAAAATACCATAGACAGGATGGCTTTAACAACAGAAATTCACTTCTCACAGTTCAGGGAGCTGGAAAGTTCAAGAGTGCCAGCCAAGTCAACTTCTGGTGGAGGCCAACCTCCTGGTTTGCAGATGAATACCATATTTCCACCAACATTCTTTGCACTATTATTTAAGTGTTCTATGAGAAGATGAACCTCTCTCTTCAGCTTTCTTCTTCTGTTTCTGAGGTCTTCCTAGAGTTGCCTTTAAAACTCTCTTCACAAAAACATTGGCTTTTGCTAGCATGCACCTCAAAACTCTTCCAGAATCTATTATTATTATTATCATTATTATATTATTACAGTAGTCCCCTCTCCTCTGTGGTTTTGCTTTCCTTGATTTTCATTACCTGCAGCCTACTGCAATTCAAAAATATTAAATAGAATATTCTAGAAATAAACCATTCCTAAGTTATTAATTAGTTTTCAATAGTAGCCAAACGCTGCATCACAACACCAATGTCGTTCATCTCACTTCATCTCAGAAACAGGCATCTTGTCATCCCACATCATCACAAAAAGAAGAGTGAATAAAGTACAATAAGAGATTTTGAGAGACATAGAGACCATATTACCATAACTTTTATTATAGCATATTGTTATCCTTTGCCTATTTTATTATTAGTTATTGTTACTTTCTTACTGTTCTTGATTTATAAATTAAACCTTAGCATAGGTATGTAAGTACAGGAAAAACATAGTGTAAGTGGGGTTCAGTACTATTCACAATTTCAGGCATTCACCAAGGGTCTTGGAACATATTTCCCTGTGGATAAGGGGGGGCTACTGTATTATAATTACCATAAGGCATTGGGTCACATGATTACGGAGACTGAGAAGTCCATGATTTGCTATCTGCAAGCTGGATACCCAGGAAAAGCAGTGGCGTAGTTTGAAGGCCTGGAAGTCAGATAGCCAATGCTATAGATTCTGAAGGTCTGGGAACCAGCAGCACCAGAACCAGGAGAAAACAGATATCCTGCTCAAGCAGTCCGACAGAGTTAACTCAAACCTTCTTCATCTTTTTGTTTTATTCAGGCCCTCAACAAATTACATGATGCCCACATACCTTGGGGAGGGCCATATGCTCTACTCATTCTACCAATACAAATGCCGTCTCTTCCAGAAACACTCTCACAGACACATGCAGACATAATGTTTAGTCAGATATCTGGACATCTTGTGTTCCAGTCAAGTTGACACATAAAATTTACCATCACACATCATGACCCAGAATACAAATTTATATCAGAAAGAGAGAAAAGGAAGGAGGGAAGGAAGGAAAGAGGAGTGAGAGAGGAAGGAGGGAGGGAGGGAAGGTAGGAAGGGAGGAAGGAAGGAAGGAGAGAGAGAGAGAGAGAGACAAACAGAAATAAAGAAGAAGAAAGAAAGAGAGGAAAGGAAGAAAGAGAGAGGAAAGGAAGAAAGAAAGAGAAAGAAAGAAAGAAAGAAAGAAAAAGACAAGACAGAGAGGAAGGAAGAAAGGAATGAAGGAAGGAAGGAAGGGAGAGAGGGAGGGAGGGAGGGAGGAAAGGAGGGAAATAAAAGACCCATAAAATAAATCTAAGTTGCAAAACTTTTATATATTTTATTATGTTCTATTTTTTCATTCTATTTTTAATGTGAATTGTTATCCACTAAAATGATTTTGCTGCCACAGTTTAAAAAGCAAATATTACAAATGCTTAATTGACTCCTCTTTACTTAAATTGTCTCTATGATTGGTAAAATAGCCATAAATTTTCTTTGCTGACATGCTGGATTCTGAGTGCTTTAAGACTACCTGAGACATGACCAAAAGGGAGAAGCCTTGAGTCTTTCAAAGAGACCTCTGGGAAAACTCATTTCTGTCTGAAGTTTCATCAAAATCATCCTGAACATCCGTATTTCTACTAACATCCTTTACATGATTATTTATGTGCTCTGTAAAACTATGGAGCTTTCTCCCCAGCTTTCCTCTTTTCTTTCTGAGCCCTCACCTGAATTGCCTCTAAAAGTCAAAAGGGGCTGAAAACCTAGTAAGATATCTTTCCACTTTGCCCTTTTCTCCACAAACTCTGATGCTCACACTGCCCTGTTCTGAGATATGATCAGGCTCCTACTGATCCGACTCCCAGAGCAGTGCTCAGTAGCCTGCTTTTCCTCACCTGGGCAATTCAAACTTCACCTACTCAGGAATTGAGATTTGCTGATTTGCTACAGCTAGAAATGTAATCAAATATTTGCGTTAGTTTTCAACCACTCAATGATTTATCATTCTTTTCATTATCTATTGTCTGGCTTCTAACCACCATCTTGAGTATAAACGGTGAAGATGGCAAATATAGGAAAGAATGGTCTTTTACTGTAGGAACCTACAAGTAATGAAGTGGGACCAAAGCAGTCTCTGAACCGGGCTTACATCTTTACAAGAATGTCTAAGAGAAGAAAGGTCGCTCTCCAGCATGTTCAGTCGCAGCAGCCAAAGAATTTATGACAGTGGAAAATGAAGAAGGTGGAATAGGCCAACAACAAATTAGCTGATTGTTGGTGAAGCAATAGGGGCCAGGATACCTTTTATAGGCACACGTTCCAGTCCAGTGAGTCGCCTTTCAGTATCCATCAGAACCCCCTAAGTAGTCTGCTTAAATCAAGATGAGTTGTCTGGTGTGTTCTACAGCCCTAGACCCTACCACTAAGTGGGAAGAGAGGGAGAGAAAAAGAGGGTGCAGGGAACCCTAGAGAAGCACAGGGCAATTCAAGTAAAAGTGGGGAAGGAATGTACCAGCTGTGCACTATCAATATTTTCCTATCAAGACATCCGCTGCCTCAGGATCACATGGTGATGAATCACAACAAAGACCCAACAAAAAATGTTGACACTTTGAGACTCTTACTTAAACATGTACATCAAAAAAGTGGGAGGGGGAGGTACTCCAAGCTGCATGACTTGATATTGACTTGATCCTTGCACAGACTACAGTCATCATTAAACACACATGCTCTCCCAATTTGTATGCCCATACCACAGTCCTCACTCCTTGTTGAGCAATAACAAGGAGATCAGTGTGACTGGAACCTAGTTAAACTATCATGCTCATGATGCTATGCAGTAGCTCTAGATTCCATGTTATAATGTGTGACGTTACCAAAATAATATCCTAAATTATCACAAAGTGGTATTTTAAAAATGCAGTTTTGCGATCCAATTACTTCACAGGTCACATGGCCTCAATCACTGACCTTAGAACTTAACAGCCATCTATAGTGTTTCCATGAAAAATATGTTCCAGGCTCCAAACAGCATTCTTTTAGGCAAACTTTTAGAACACAATCTGCTTAGGAACTGTCTCTACTGTTCTGTGATACGTTTGTTTTGCACATGAAGTTAATTTCGGACTCTTTTCTACAAAGATATTTCCTGCCCTTGGAAGATGACTTCAAATAATAAATTGTCACCAAAAATGGACATGAAACTTTTAAAAAGCAGTAGGGAGGTGGAAAAGATGAACAAGCTGAAAACAAGTCCATTTTGGGAAGGTTCTGAACATCCTGGTTAAGGGAGTTTTTCATTTTAAAGGAAAAAGTATTCATCTGATGTGCTTCTTTGTTCATGGCACTTAATATAGAATTCTACAATGTTAAAAATAGGAAGTCAGGTTTATATGGTGTTTGCTTTAATGACACTAAACTGCCTGGAAATAGCAGCACATGCTATAACAAGTTTCAGATATTAAAAGAAAAGCTACAATGCTAAACTCTTTTCAAAACTTTTATATGAAGTCCCAGGCTTTGTGGACATTCAGGAGTAAATCAGGGCTAATACGGGAAGCTTACAGATGGTAAAATGGCTTCAGGCATCCCAATTATATTAAAAAGTTGAAAGCGGCAGATTCATATTCTCCCTTTTTACATGTCATAAATTCCAAAGTGTTGGTGTCAAACTGTGTCAATTGCACTCATTTATTAATACTTGGAATACCGTCAGTGAGCTGCCTAACTGTTATTATCCATTTATTCATTTACAGCCATCTAATACTAACAGCACCAGGCACAGTTTTCAATCCTTTCCCTAAAACCATACATGCCTCAGGGAGACTTACATAAGCCTGCATCTGGGGAGAGGGGGGAGGAGGAAATAGCAAATTGCAGGATCTGCTGATCTTGGATATAGGTCTCTCTGCAGGAGCTTCCAAATGTGTCTTTGTTTATGTTCTGGGCTCTGGGTTGTTGTGGGGCAGGGATCTAAGGAGGAAGGAATTTGTTGCCTCAATAAAAAAAAAAATGTGGAAGAAAGGTTAGGTGAAAGACAGAAAAAAAAAGACTATCTCCGTGTATTCTAAAACAAATATTTACACATTCAAATATCATCTTTTTTTTTTTAACTATCTGATCTTCAGTCTTGGATGCAGTGGTTAATAAACCCTGATGTCTCCACACAAAGTAAAAAAATAAATAAAATAAAAAATGTATGGCAACAATGCCATGATTCAGACCCAAAAACTACCCTGCATAAAACATTCATTATAATTAATGCAGTGTTTCTTGGCTGGTATTATTAAGACCTTAATTTTCCACTTGGTGGAACTTACTGTATGTAGTAGAAAAATCACTGGCTCTGAGTCAGAAATGCCTTGATTCTAATCCAGCCCCTGCCACTTCTTAGCCATGCCATGTGTGTAAATTAGTTGACCTCTCTGAGCCTTGGGTTTGTTTTCTTTAAAATGTGACTTATAAGGAAATATTAAATGTGACGATTAAATAAAAGAAAGAAAAACAACTACACAGTTCCTCTAAATTGCAGCTTTCCTCCCTCACCCCTTTCCTCTTTAAGAACTGCACAGACATTTTTAATAAGAAAGGATATAAGTGATCAAAATAATTATTCTGAAAACATATGATTCATTGCAGACATTGGTAGTGTGCCCTACGTGCTATTGGGCATGAAAGAGTTAAGTGGGAACGTCACCTTAGAGTCCTGGGGGAAGGGCGGAAGGGAGGGTAATAGCAGATTTAATAGTGTTTCACAGGCAGAGTCCTGGTGCTGTGCAAAGCTCCAGATCGTGTTTCTTCTTAGACGCCAATCAGTCAGGAAGTGATTCTCAAAGAAGTTTACATTGCCCTACTCTCTTTACACTGCAGCACAGTAGGAAACCCAGGACACAGAATACTCACAAGAAAGATGCTAGCATTTCCTGGGATAATAGGGAAAGCAAATGAGCCTCATGTCACATAGCATATTATAAGGAAGCAAAGCCTCCTACACAACATTATACTAAAAAGACCAAACTTATATTAAGCCTTGAACAGTTGCATATGTAAAGACCAAGAAAATAATCCAAATAGTAATCAAAAGCTCTAATTCTTCTTCAATTCCAGTTCATGTGCTACATTTTGAGAAGCATGACACAAAAGTGTGCATGCTCTCTCACACACACACATGCACACACACACAAATATACACAACTCATGCAACACATGTTCACACCTTCTGGTCAATACAAGAAAAGAAACCTAGATTATATCAGAACACAGACAGTCTTACTAGTCAGGCTGTGTCTTCACCACATGCTTAATGGAGAAAAATGGGTAAGGTATATCAGAACTTCATCAGAGAACATTCCAAAGCTGTTACATACATTTATGCTTGTCAAGTGTGTAACATGCACATAATTCTCTTTTATTCTTTCACCCAGTATTTATTTTCTGTTAGCTAGAAGAGGGCATAGGCTTTGTCTATATTGCTTACTTTTAAATTTGTGACCACCTGGCATGTAGTAGGTGCTCAGTAAATATTTGCTGAATAAATTAATGAACATTTCCAATTCTAGGGGGGATTCTGCCATTTTAAATAAGCAATTACAGTAGAATAAGCTAATTTGATTTTTGATATCCCGAGGAACCTTTCCAAGCCCCTTTTGTTGGTAGTTTTCTTTTTAGAACACTGTCTGAACTAGGCCTATCTTATATGGCTTTGCTCCAGCTGACTGGAGATTCACGTGGTAGCCTGTGGAGAGGTATCTACATGAAAGATAAAGACATTGGTTATATTTGTACAGATATTACACTGTGCTGCAAATAACCCACTCTGTCTTTTGTTTTTCTTGAGACAGAGTCTCACTTCTGTCAACCAGGCTGGAATGCAGTGATGCAATCTCAGCTGCAACCTATGCCTCCTGGGTTCATGAGATTCTCCTCGTGCCTCAGCTCCCTGAGTAGCTGGGACTACAGGCACGCACCACCATGCCTGGCTAACTTTTGTATTTTTAGTAGAGACAGGTTTTCACCATGTTGGCCAGGCTGGTCTCAAATTCCTGACCACAAGTGATCCACCCACCCCATCCTCCCAAAGTGCTGGGATAATAGGCATGAGCTACTGCTCCCAGCCTACCCACTCTGTCTTCTATACATTAATTCTAAATCAATGATTTATGAATTTACCCAAATTGATTTTTCTCTACTTATGTTTTCAGCCTCTTCTCCTTCCAGGCAATGAGCTCCATGCTAGCATTCCCCTTTTCTTCAAAGTAATATCTTTTATTTTTTCTTAGAATTCACCACAAGCAATTCAGCAAAATGTCACTGGCGCCTCCTACAAGATACCATGACAGCAAAATTTTATCTTTACTACATGAGGATTTTTTACTTTTTCTAAAGTTTAAATTTTTTCCACTTCTTTCTCCCTTTATCGTGACCTTACAAAGAACCATCATGGTCCAGTTACAGGATGTCCTCTTACAGAAACCATATTTTCTTTCCTTCATTAAGTTATGCAAGTTTAACCAACAAGTGACTGTCTTCATCATAACTTCCAGTGGGCAGTTCAGGGACTGGAGGGGGACCTACCAGCCTGCAGACCCGGCACATTTTCTATAATTTTCTTCTAGAAAGGGATTTCACTAACAATCTCCCGACTTTCTTCAGGTTTGTAACAAAAGTGTCACAATCTAGTCCCTAACAACCAAACCATTTTCATTATTAAAATGAATGTCATCATACATTTGTCAAAACTCATTATGTACAACCTAAGAGAGAGGCCTAACGTAAACTTCGACTCTGGGTGACAATGATGTGTCAACGTAGGTTCACCCATTGTAAACAAATGTACCAGTCTGAGGGGAATGTTGATCACGGGGGAGGCTGAGCATGTGTGAGAGCAGGGGAGATATGGAAACTCTCTACTTTCCACTCAACTTTCCTGTGGACCCAAAACTGCTCTAAAACAAAAATAAAGTCAATTACAGTAAAATACCTGCATAGGACATAACTTCACGACACTGTTCAAAACATTTTACTTATTTTGTGAATATAAGTATATGCAATTCTTGTAACAATATTATGAGAGCTATATTACTACTATTATCCCCTTTTTGCTGATGAGGATTCAGTTACCTGACCCCAAATGTCATGACTGAGAAGTACCAGAACTGCCGCCTGGCTGCAGCCGACACACCCGTCCTTACTCCGCTTGGGTGCTTCTCAGTCATGCCAAACTAAGTCTCCAGCCACACATTCCTTCCCTTCGCCCCAAGCACAGTTCTTAAAGCTATTAGCTATGGTTGTTCTCATAGGCGTATTGTGTACTTAACAGTAAATATACACGCATAAAAAATATTTCTGCATGTGCCACTCTGAAGGATATGCTTTATATTTTTAAAAAAATGGAAGTGAAATCATTCCCAACAGTTTTCTCAGTAAAGATGAATATAAGGATTCACTTGAGTTCATCAAAGTGCCCCACAGATTCTTTGGTTATCTGTCTAATTCTGACATAATTCTGGAGTTTTTATAACTCACTTGGCAGTCTACTACAACCTTGATTATCCCATGGTTATTTAAGGAAGTTTTTATTTTTTAATATATTTTCTGTTTTACAAATTATCTGATGATGTGTATCATTTCTAAAAACAGAACAGAATCAACATTTTTTAAAAGTTTAGTCAAGAAAGGGACATCTAAATTGTTTAGATAACTGTGGTGACATAGACCAGAGAAGGTTTCAAAGGAAATCACTGTTTGTTCGTGAAGTGCAAATCCCTTTCCAGGAAATTAGTATCATGAAAATTATTACCAAAAAATCATAAATATATGCAGGGTTTTGTTTTGAATATATCTCTCATTAAAAAAAACAAATTATTTTTTCAGATGGAGTTGCTTGGATACAAGGAGAATCTTACAGAATACAAATGAACTTGAAGGCATTAGTAATATTTTCAAAATAATAGAGAAATGACACAAAGAGTGAAAGAGGTGAAATCTGTCTTTGATGGGAATAATATCTAAAAGGAGTATTGTACATATCTGCTGGCAGCTTTAAAAAAATTAATGATTACTGAAATTCAGAAATGTCAACAGTATGAAATGAGCAAAATTACTTCCCTAACAAGATTTTATAAGGTGAGCAATTGTTTTGAACATTTTCTAACCTTAACTTTTCTATTTATCTTAAGAATTTAAAAAACAAACAAAAAAAAACCCTAGTGTTTAAATATGAAAAGGAGACTTGTGGCAAATTCAGAATATAATAATTGACCATTAAAATAGAAATGCCTTCTCTAACCAGAAAAATGAATAAGGAAATTATAACTTACATTCTCTATGGATGTCTTTACAGAGATAAAGTAGTGGGATATTTCCTTGAAATAATGTTCATCATCAATGCTGAAGTTTACAGAGGACAAAAATATGAAATCATGTGTTCATAGACAGCCCCAGGACACACACAGTGGATGCATTGTGTTCTCCTGGGTTGCATAACTACTTTGAAAGAAGTTTTCTTTTCTGTGTCATAAAAGAAGACTTTTTGGCTCTGCCAGGATACTCTACCATTTGGCCCCATAGACTTCAAGCATGCCTGAAGATACGTGCCAATGGCTTGTTGGTTTTTGAAGATCATTCTGATCTCTGCTGAGTTACCCAACTGGACTCAGAAGGGTCTGACCCACGTGCCACATTCCAGCTGTTTGCTTGTTTGTTTTTAATCTCAACCTAGTTTAATGGGAAGAAGGTGAGTCACCTTGTGTGTATGTCAGCTGATATTTATGTCATGGAAACTTAAAGGGGATAGACTTGAAATTGAAAAGATAAGATTGTGATTGAATGGGCCTTGTATAAACTATGTTTTGTTTTTGTTCTCTTGCTTACTTACCTTGTAAACAGATTCCTTGAGTCTTAAACCAAGGATCTTAATCTTTGGTATTTACAGAGCCTTTCTTCCATGAAGCAGAGTTATTTAGGATGCTGCCAGCAAATGAGCTCTCAACTGGATCTGTCGTCATCATCATAGAACTTACTATGGTCTGGTAGTATTCAAAGTGCTTACTTAAATTAATTTCTGGAAACAACCTCACACATTTGACTCTATGTATTTTTCCACCTCATGATGAGGAAACAGACACAAAAAGGCCAAATGATTTTTTCAAGGACATTCAGCTAGGAAAGGGCAAAGACAGGCACAGATGAAGAAATAATCACAGGCACAAACGAGGTATCTGTTAATAGAGATCCTAGGAATCTGTGACTGTCAATATGAATTACAAATATGAAAATTATTTGTTGAATCAACAAAGTGGAAATAAAACTATTTTTTCTTAGCTGATTTGGTAATGACTAACAGTCAACATACCTATTAAGTGGTTTTGGTTGAAATAATTTAATTTGTTGTCAATACTAGTTCCCCCCTTTAAATTTAATGATACAGTTCCAATATCTAGATGAACAAATAAAGATAGGAGAAAGAATTCTATATTTTAGTCATTTCTGCTTATGGCCTCAATTTCAGATTCCAGAAATCCATAGCTAAGTAGTTATAAAGCAATTACAGTTGTTAGAGTAGCCCAGGATGGCTGGACAAAGTTGAATATTTCATGACTAAAAACAACAACAGCCAGGCACAGTGGTTCACACCTATAATCATAGCACTTTGGGTGGCTGGCTTAAGCCTGGAGTTCGAGACCAGCCTGGCAGTAAACTGAGACCTTGTCTCTATAAAAGATACAAAAATTAGTTGGTGTGGTGGTGTCTGCTTGTAGTCCCAGCTACTTTGGAGGCTGAGATGGGAGAATCACCTGAGCCCAGGAGGTTGAGGTTGCAGTGAGCTGAAATCGTGCCACTGCATTCCGTCGCTGCACTCCAGCAGCCTGGGTGACAGAGCGAGACCCTATCTCAAAACAAAACAAAGCAACCAAATCAATTCTCACTAAAAATAAACATACCTAAGACATCATCGTATATTTTAAATTCTTTCTAATTAAAGCAATGTTACTAAATATATTTTAAAGAGGCTTGTTATAAATGAAATACTTACAAGGTCATTGTACTGAATTCAAAATTTTTGTTATATGGAAGTTGTAGAACTTTGGGATTATGAAATACTAACACAAGTAAAAAATATAAAGTCCAATCTTTGAAAAGAAGATACTTTGTCTTAGTCAGTTTGGGCTGCTACAACAAAATACCATGGATGTGGTGGCTTCAACAACAGACATTTATTTTCTCACAGTTCTGGAGGCTGGGAAGTCTAAGATCAAGGTACTGGCCGATATGGTTCTTGGTGAGGGCATTCTTCCTACCTGATAGATAGTTACCTTTTTGCTGTGTGCTCATATGATCTTTCCTCAGTACCTGAGCATGGAGAGAGAGAAAGCTCCTGTGTTTCTTCATTTCCTTTGAAAGACATTAATCCCATCACGTAGTCCCCAACCTCATGATCTCATCTAAGCCTAACTACCTCCCAAAGGCCCCACCTCCAAATACCATCAAGATGGGGATTAGGACTTCAACATATGAATTTGGGAGTAACACAGTCAGTCCATAGACACTTCTAGGAAATCTTTTCCATGTAGTCCAGATGCATCTAGCATGCAAACCACAACAGGCTACAGAAGTGACTTGAGGGCAAGAAGAAAGATCCTTCTTTCAGACCCTAAACTCATCTTTCATGGGCCCAGGAAGGAGCCCCCAGCATGGAGGATACCCAAAGACTGAACAATAATATGAGGCTTGAGGCTCACAAATAAACCTCATTAAGAGAGAACTGGGAAAAATCAGAGTCAGAGAAAGAAGGAAAAAAGGTATGGCGGTGGGTAATGGGATTTGAGGTAGGAAAGGAAATGGGAAGGAGCAGAGCACTAGGAGGGAAGGGGAGGCGAAGGGGGAAGGTCAAAGGAAGAGAGAGGGAAGAAGATGACAAGAGCGAGCATAGTTTCACTTTCTCAGCATTAAAATCCTGAAATGGACACTCTAAAAATAAAAACTACAGGAGGTGGGGATTTTACCTGTAAATAATTTAAAAATCACTGAGCTTCCTGCCATGATAGCGCAGGCTATAGATTCCAACAATCTGAAGTGATTTTAAACGTCCCTCTCTAGAGAATAAGTAATAACATCCATCTCCCCCATAGAACAAAATTCCCTTTCTTGATGGAACTGAATGGGGTCAGTGGCATTTTTTTCTTGGAATCTTCACCAGCCCAAACTATAGACATAAGCCAACTTTCACAGAGGCTAGAGATTGTTAAGCTGTGGCTTGTCACCTATAACCCATTTTTATAAAATGTGAATGAAGGCTACTATATTGTTAGTGGCCACCTGTGGACATAAAGAATTTATAAGAGAAAAGTCAATAATGTCTTACCATGTAAGCACATCTGAAATACTGATATGATTTCAGCATTAAGTAAACACTAAAGCAAATTTGGTGACTAGTTGTATGTGTGATACACATATACATATGCATGTATGTATACCATTTAAAAAGAAACACCAAAAAAGTTTAAAATACACTGATTTTATGACAGCTGAAGAGCTAATTGTTGCTTTCCACTATTAAAACTTGGTAAATACCAATAGGAGAGGAATTGCTCAGCTTTAGGAAGGGGTAATTAGGTTTAATGGAACCAGTTGAGAAGAGGAACATTAAGCCTGTTGGGAAAAATTTCCTCCCAATGAAAACTATTAGATAATGGAATCACTTTCCAAGAGAAATGCCTGAAATCCTATCACTGAGGATATTTAGGATTCAGCTGGACATTACAAGACATTCCATGTCTCAGACTTTATGCCCTTTTATGTCCAAAATATGTTAGTATTTTATTTGATGAAATATATTCCAATCCTTTCTTCAGGACTACATATATAAAGAGACTGTATATGTGTATAAATATGCATATATAGTATAAATACATACATATATGTACTATATTTAGACTGTATATGTACAGTCCAAATATACACATAAATACACATATACATATACATACGTACTAAATATACATATACATATGTACTATACATATGTAGTCTAAATATAGTACATATGTGTATATGTGTATGTAGAGAGAGATAGGTAGATAGGCAGGTAGGTAGATTAATTGATAAATAGATAAATAGATATAAGGGAGAGAAACAGAAAAAGAATCTTAAGATTCAAGGTTCTTTTCTGTTTGTTTTTAAACTTGCAGGTTACAAATGAAAACACTAAAAACTGTGATTGATGAACAATAAAGAAATATACTCAGATAACAAGCACCTCCCTTTTTCTTGTTATACTAATTTCACCCTCAAGAGTCAGAAGCAACCAGGTTTGCATTTATTTTCAGTTAGTACTGGTTGCTTCTGAGAATAAGCCCAACTATTAATCTGAAATTCCAATAAAAGCACCAAAAAAAAAAAACCTCAGATGACAAAAATTAAAAATGTTCAGACTCTTAGTGAGAATTTAAGGTTCAATGACTTATCTAACTTTTTCTTGTAAAAAGAACAATCACTTTCAGAAAACCTATGCCCGCATGGAATGATGCATCCACTTCCTCCTAAACATAGATCACATTATCAGTGTTGCCAAATATATCAACAACAGCCTGACTGTTGAACACCATGTTTATCTAATGGACCATAACAGACAGCGAGAACAAGCACAGTTGGAGACAGCAATCTCTAAAAGTATTTCCAAACCAGCATCATTCTTTATTTTTTTTCTTTCCTTTTTCAATTAAGGGAAAGGGAGTTATTAAGCAAGACATACAAAAGCACTGTTAGGATAGCTCCACTGAAACCATTTCTTTCTGCTAAAATGTAAAATAATTCTGGAGGGTCACATTTTTATGTATTCACATGAGAACTAGGACAGAGAAGAAGGAGGGCCGTGGAGTCAAGTTTACACTGGACACCTAATCAAATCTGTTGTGAATTGCATAGAGAAAATTCCTAAGGACTCCAGAGATAAATTCTCAACTTTTCCCCTGTGCAGAGTGAAACAGTTCAAAGCTGAGGATCAGGATGGGACTGAGAGGGATTTTATTTAAATACTTGTGAGAAAAATAATGCAATTATTCAAAATGTTTAACATGATTTAATTTCAGGAATGAGACAAATTTGTTATAAAATGTTGAGAAAATACGGGTAAGTCAAAAGGAGAAAATAAACCACATATAATCCAATAATGCAGAGATAAGTGCTATTAAAATTTTGGTTTATATTTTCCCAATCTGATATGTCCTGAAACAGGTATTTTAAAAACAAAATAGAATATTTTGTATAATTTTGTGTAGTAATATTTTTCAATACATATCATATTCTGCACATTTTTCATAACAATATTTTTCTATAACACCGTTTAAATTGCTATTTGATACTCTGTTACATCAAGGCCCTCTATTTATTTTTCCAGCCCCATAGTGTTGTTACCAAACCTTTGCTATTATTAATAGTTCTGTGATATGTACTCTTACATTGTACTTTTATATGTGACCATAAATATTTCCTTAGAATAACTTACTTGAAGTGTGTCATAAAATGAACAAAACTCCAAGACTTTGTAACAGAGTGAAAATGCCCTTTATAATGTTTGTAATAATTTTCCTCTCTGCCCACAACAATGTTTATTGTGGTTTTGACAGAGTACCTTTTGTGTATTTGTTTTTGTTTACTTGAACCTATCAATCTTCTTTTATGGTTGCCTTCATAAGTTAACATTAAGAAAATTGTCACTATCTAAGATTAAATAAGTAATATATAAATAAGCTATATAAATCAAAAAAATTAAAAGATGAACATTTATTTTCTTCAAGTGGCTTTATACATCTTTTTAAAATATATAATATTTGCATCGTTATTTATTTATAATTTATGTTGATAAATAGTATAAAACAAAATAAGTTGTTACCGAACTTTCTCAATACATTTGTTAAATAAGCCATCTTGATTTGCTGATTTGATTTTATAGCACCGATTTGATGTGCTACCTCATGAAATTATTATATGCACACTATTCTTTATTTAGTTGAATCTGTAAAATTATTATAACCACTTCTTTCATGTGTCTCTAAAGAACCCAGGAGTCGCAATTATTTTACCTGTGCAGGAAGCAGTTAAAATTGATCAGCTTTTCATCATCTATGTCTATGTATTCTCAATTATTAAAAAAAAACTTTAAATATTAATCTTCCCTCAAAAATCTTAATCCATGAATAAGAAGAGTGTAGAAATCAGTAAATCATATCAAAAGGGTTTATGCAGCAACCACACTAGGGTGAGGAACCAAATTGCAAGAGAAAAATGTACTCTCATTTAAAGGACCAATAGGGTTTCCATTCTTCTTTTTTTGCTTCCTGTTCTTTCGTTACATTTCATTAAAAGCAGAGATTCTCAAAGAGGGGTCCCCAGACCAACAGCATCACATGGGAACTTGTTCGACAAAAATCATCCCAGACCTACTGAATCAACAATGGGGCCCAGAAGCTATGCTTTCACAAGTTTTCTATGTGATATTGATGCACACAAAAGCTTGATTTAAAAGAACTTTTTCAAGAAAGAATCTGAATAGAACCCACAGAAAATATTATGGTATCTGTGACATGATGGTACAACAAGCCTTTACTGAGAGATTTAATATAGACCTTTCTCCATTTGTCCTTTCCCTATTTATTATGTATGCATTCATTTATTAAACATTTTTTATATACCTCGATAAGGGCTGGAAGCTGAGTATGGACACTGAATAAAACAGATCACTTGCCCTCAAAATATTAGCAATTTATATATGGTTTTGTTCTACCTTGAAGGGAAAAGAAAACAAAAACTTATAACAGAAAAGAAAACTAGACTATTAGTTCTTTCATTTGTCAAGTTTTTTTTTTAAATACACATGGCTAGTTAAAATAAAGCCAAGTATTCTGCTTCTTAGAATATAAGCTTTTTTGTTGAAAAAACTTATGATAACATTCAAGATGAGAGCCTACAAAAATAGTACTAAAATGATCTTTAATTAAATTGCATATTACAGGGAGCGAGGTACGGAGTCATTATACTGAAACAATCAATCCAGAAAAAGCCCAAGGAAGGTGAAACTTTTGGAAAGAGTAGATAATTGACAATTTAAAGTTATAGTAATGACAGTGACAGATAACTGAGGCGTCATTGAAAAGGATCTCTCTGGAAGTGAAGAAGGACCACATGATGTATAAAAGATTGAGAAACAGCGACAATTTAGATTTGGGGAGTAGACGTAAGAAATGGAAGGAGAGAACAGGATGATTCTGAGTATTAGAAACTCAAGAAAAAGGCATAACCACAACCTTTTTTAAAGATGAGGACCAGGACTAACTAACTGACACGTTTGCTTTGTGCTAATTATGTTAAATCATTAGTTTCTCTCCTCTAAGCCTGTGCCTCTTTCCACAGTGAGCAAAGCAATCATTTGTCCTAACATCAAATCTCTTCCTCTTTAGGCTCAGCTCAGGACATACTTTCCCTGACAAACCCCTTCCCCATGCTGACTACACAATTCTTCACCTGGTGTCTTATTCAAACTCTTACGATAATTACAGGAGACCCAGTGCAATTTTAATAGCCCGATCCAGATTTATGAATGACATAGTGAGATAAATCAACTCAGCTTGCCCCAAAGGGTAGGTAGTAATGCAGAATGATACAGAAAAAAAAAAAAAAAAAAGGTCTCTAGAATGTTCAATGGGATACTTGCAGCAGGGTATTTTCCACTCTTAGGGAAAAAAAAGCTCTCCACCGCTAATGTCTGATCACACTCCCATATCAGCCAGTATTTGTTCTCTTCACCTAGACAACTTCTCATTCTTCAGAAAGAAATTTAAGCGTCATTTCCTCCATGAAGCTCATTCTAATTTGCTTGGACTATTCAAATTTTCCTGTGAGAGGTTCTTATTGCTTTTGGATCCCTCTTCACAAAACTGACCACAATTATAACTTTACATATATTTATGTGATTAAAGTTCACTTACTTCCCCTTTCTACATCTATTTTTTTCTTTTTTGAATCAGAACCTAAGGTACTGTCTAACACATGGCAGCTGCTTACAAATTCTTTAAATACTTGTTGAATGAATAAATGACTATTCACATCCTTGAACAAGTAAAGCAACCTCCCATTCCTGACTTTTAAGGTCTCTTTTACTATTGTTTTCTCTGTCTAGAATATTCCTCTCTTGAAATCCATATCTTGTTCCCACAGTGCCATCAGCAACATTTGTCAAATTATCAATAGAGGTCTTTCATCCTGGTTTTTTTTTAATTTTAAGTTCTGGGGTGCATGCGCAGGATGTGCAAGTTTGTTACATAGGTAAACATGTGCCATGGTGGTTTGCTGCATCTATCAACCCATCACCTAGGTATTAAGCTCAGTATGCATTAGCTACTTTTCCTGATGCTCTCCCCAACCCACCCTCTCCCAACAGGTCCCAGTGTGTGTTGTTCCCCTCCCTGTGTCCATGAGTTCTCATTTTTCAGCTCCCTCTTATAAGTGAGAACATGTGGGACTTGGTTTTCTGTTCCTGTGTTAGTTTGCTGAGAAAACAGCTTTCAGCTCCATCCATGTCACTGCAAAGGACATGATCTCATTCGTTTTTATGGCTACATAGTATTCCATGGTGTATATGTACCACATTTTCTTTAGCCAGTCTGTCATTGATGGGCATCCTGTTATTTTAATACAAAAAGCCACTTTTCTTTCTCATAAGTTCTTACATATTCCCATTTACTATTTGTTTTCTCCCCAACAGAATAAACTTCTATGAGAATAAATACTGACTCCTTCATTTACTACTGTATTTCCAGCATTGTACTGTGTTTGAAGGAGTGAAAAAGGAAATTTCTACCTCTCCTGTGTTAGAGTAACTGAAGGAGACCGTCACGGGACTGAGGTGCACCAGAATTTACCAAACTGATTGTAGTAGCCACAAGATAAGGATACTGTCTATTTTATGTGGTTCAGACTTGGAGTAACAAGAAGTGGAGCAGCAGGGAGAAGAAAAGGGAGGTGCTGTTGTGTACAAACTTGAGGATGTGTTGTCTTTAGCCACTGTTACCAAAGCAGATGACATCTCAAGATTTTAGACACTGAATGGCATGAATGGACAAGGCAAAAAAAAAAAGGCTTTTTCAAGCATAAGCTAATAATTTAATGCTAATATATATTTTTCTGTTAAATTAATATAAATATAACTCTAGGCCAAGAGCCCTCGCAAGATACAGGTGATAATGGAAAAAGAACATTGCCTGGTCCCACATAGGTGGTAAATGCAGAGATACTCCACTCACCAAAGTGAGTTCATTGTAAGAGTTATAATCTCACCTCTTCATGACAATTGCCAGGATCTTATGAACGTTGTGTGCATTGTGATGTTTATTTTATTTCTCATTGCCCTCCATAATGGACCTTGCTGTGTTCCCCCAAAATTCATATGTTGAAGTCCTAACTCCCAATACCTCAGAATATTACTGTATTTAGAATGACCTATTTAGGGACATAAAGGTTAAATGAAATTACTGGAGAGGGCCCCAGTCCAGTTTGACTGGTTTCATAGGAAGAGGAGATTAGGACACAAACACACACAGAGGAAAGACCATGTGAACATACACAAAGAAGACGGCCATTTGCAAGCCAAAAAGAGAGACCTCAGAAGAAATCAATCATGCCGACACCTTGATCTCAGAATTCCAGGCTCCAAAACCATAAGAAAAAAAATTCTGCTGTTTAAGTCACTCAGTCTATGGTATTTTGTTTTGGCAACCATAGCAAACTAATACACACTCTATTTTAAACAGTTTTAATTTATACTTACAAACTTAGTAAAATGCATAATGCCCGAAAGGCCTATTTGCTGATTTATTGAATGAGAATGGAAAAAATAGTTAAATTTAGAATAGATATCAGCAAATATTAACCACAACGTGAAATAGACAAAGTGTTTAGAAGATATTTACTGGTGATATATTTGCCTGAGAAGAAACCCCTATCATTAGGACAATGGTTCTCCAAGGAAGTATATAGATTGCACTTCATGTACACTGATACCTGAGAGTACATAATTTACACATACTGATAAATGAGAAAATACAACTGGAAAGAGAGATAAAAGAAGTATGTCCCCAAAGAAGTGACAAGCAGTGGAGATTTGGGAAGATACAGGTGTCAAAAAATAGATTATTTTTGGAGGAGTGGGAAGGAGCAGGAGATCATGAAAATGACAATGAAGAAAAGACCTATGGAAATGATAGCAAAATGAGTCTAAAATGTAAAGCAGAGGCAGAAGAGCAAAGAAAAAAGATGATTATTAGCATCACTGACCCATGGGCAAGGGCCCTAAAACTTTTTAAGGGTCATTAGGAATATCTGAAGTTCGCACATAAAATGCATTGAACACAAACATGAAAAGAAAACTGGAAAACCAAATTTTAAGATACATAGGGTTTACAAATTATGTCCTCTAGTCAACTGTATTTTATAAGTATACGGCAGTTATGTATCAGTTTTATATTACGTGGGGGAAAAGAACATTTAACATGCTCGGTATGATTCATGTGGGCGTGTAAGAGAGTCAAGGATCTTAGAAGTTTTTTTAAATTGCCCCAGAAAAAGGTGACAAAGCAATGTAGAGGAGAAGGAGGATATGGTAAAGACAGTATGACTTTATGTAAGGTATGGAATTGTGAGCTTTTTAGCAATTTTTATTGGTACCGTCAGACAGTTGTTCCTAGAAGAAAACATTGAGGGAAGTAATAATCAGTGCTGAAAACTCAGACATCATGTTTTGTCTTACTTTTTGGCATTATGGTTGCTAAATTATAATGCAAAAGCATATTCTTGCATTAGCAATCCAGTTTTTCAAAAAGCACATGGTTATGTCTAAATGATAGCAGGTAAACATTAATTGAACACACTCAGTGAAAGAAATATGCCATCAGAGGAAAAAGCATCATTTACCAATTGCTTGGCATTATGAAGAGAACTTTTTTTCTTACTTTTTCAAGAGATTGAATCACCACTTCCTTTAGAAATGACCTAATAAAACATATTTGGTTGCTCACATCAATATGAATCCATTGCTCAGTCAAACATGGCCACTGTTGACCATTAAAAAACAGTGTTTCTGGGGAATGCAAATAAGCAGTTATGTTAGTATCTTCAGAGAAACTTCTATAACAGTTCAAATAGAATACAAGTCTATTGATTAACACTTAATTAAAAAGATAAAGCAACCCAGTGTGATTTCACACTTGAAAGAAGAATTATGACAACTTAATTTAATGCCAAAATATGGAGTTTTATTTTAATGGAATAGTATGGGAATTTTAGGGAGGGTATAACAAATAATAAAAATCAGGATGTTTATCATATTGATAGGGCATAATAAATTTTTACAACATTCTGCCAGCATGTGAAACCTGAAAATAAATTTGACTAGAAGATAAAAAAGCCTGAGTTTCAGTTCTCAGAAGAGGGAAATTGATTGTTTAAGCCATAAAAATTAAAACCATATCTTAAATTTTCCACCATTACAGATTCTAAGGCCTAGAAGTATACATTTTCTAATGTGTACAGGTACATCTCTTATGCAGTCAGACTAAGTAAATCCAGTATGCTAAGTACTTCACACAATATGTGTAGATGGTGAATTTTGCAGTTATAGAGTTCAATTATTAAACAAACAACTGGTCTCCTTTCTTGAAACTAAAACTATCATTCGGTATAAATCTATTACTATACTTTAAGTACAAGTATCATTGCATTCCATCAATATAAAAGAGATTAACCAGTATGCTCTGATTCACACACAAGCATTTCTGGGATCTGAGAATATGGGAAATAAACCTTCACTGTTAATGTGGGCAATATTGCTAAGAGGTAACAATACCCACCATACTTAATTATACTTTGAGCTTTGCATTTTTAAGCAGTGAATTTTAAAATAATAAACATAACCAATGTACACATGTCAAGCCTAAAACTCAGTTCTATTTCAGCAATTATACAGGCTGAAATTTATCCTTTTATATGCCTATTTCTGGTATCATAGTGAGAGCACGGGGCTGGACATTCAAATGCAAAGCTATTGTCCAAACCTGTTGATTTAGAAGCTCAAGAATTCTAACTAGTCATTTAACTCCTCAGAGCTGATTCCTTCATCTGTAAAATAGATATAATTGTACTTACTTGCCATAACCTCACAACAAGATAGGAGAAGCAGAATACAATAGCAGGTATCACAAGTAAAAACTTTGAATCAAATACTAACTAGATGCTCCTAATGGACATATCACATTGGGTAAATGATTTCATCTCATTGGGCCTTGCTTATGAAATAACAAGAACAGTAGTAATAGCATCACACATGTGTATAGCATGAACTACATGCCAGGGAGTGTTGCATGTGCTTCAAATATATTAACCCATCAAATACCCAACATGCATGTGAAAGCTATACTTCATTGCCTAGTAGATTTCAGTCTGTTGAACAAAAGTTGGATAAATAAAACTGAAATATGATTTGAAATACAAGATTTTGGCATTATTTCTGTGTAAGATAAATACCTAAGTGTCTTTATAAGGAAAGGTAGAAAAAGAGTTAAATTTCTGTATAGGTGGAAAAAATGTGAAAGGATATTTTATGTTTCTAATTTTCATTAAAAAATAAATTAAGAGCAAAAATATATGAACAAGAAAATACAAAAATGGGCTACTCAGAAATATGTGGAACAGTCCAGCTGTTAGAATTTGCTATTAAACTTGACCTAAAGTAATAAAACAAAGCTTTACATATATGCTTACAGAAGCCTTCGAGTTAAGGGTTCCATTCTAACATTTGTATTTAGTGATGTCTGGTTGCTAATTAGTTAAAGACACTCTGGAAGTGGGCAGTTCACTGCAGGGTAAATTGTATACTAATAACCTAGGGAGAACCATGATCCATTTTCAGGATTTAACATCAAGAGTGGCAAGAAGCAATAATTATACTGAAATAAACACACACACATAAATGCACAGAGATAATTTTAAAACATTTAATGGTAGTGAAGAGTAAATTATTTAACTCCAACCAGGGATAAGAGCCTTTTGGTAGCTATCACTTACTGCAGTAAATCTGCTGAAGTTTGCATTTCCTGGCTGCTGGCTCTGTTTATTTAAAGTCATTCTGAATGCTCTGCTAGAAAGGATTTCAGTGGTGCTGCCAAATTTTCACTAGATTAAAAATGTGCTCTGCTGATAATATTTTTATAAACACTGCACACTGAACAAGAGCAATGTTCTTTAGATACCAATTTGCTGCTCTTCTACAGCCAGTCTTTCTGCTAGGTCTTGTCAATTGACAGATTCTGTTCAATATGGTTATTTCTGCTGAAATGTACTAGAGAACTTACATCAAAGTCCCCTTATGGGTTAAAATGTTGAATTTGGTGTCTCTCTTTAACTAGTACAGCCACTAGACAATTCATCAGTGTGAATGCTGGAATGTCCAAATATTTGTTAGAAAAAAAAAATGTCTATAAAGCCAAGGCCTTCAACTTCAGGAAAGGTAACAAATGATTTGATGTCAAATGTGACTTGTAGGAAAGCACTCAGTTTAAAAATATTTTCCCTCGACCCTGATGCTCAGGTAGAAATTGCTTTCACTATCATTAAAGTAGTCATAGTGAAGGAATTCTTAGGCTTTCCATTATTTCCTTAGATTTATCCCGGGACACAAAAGCCACAGGAGTTTCATTAAAGCAAACTTAACTCACAATAGGTTTCATGAGTGGCGGAGAGGAGTCTAATCTGAAAACTAAGGAGTCAGCAAAAGTTAATGGCTGGAGCAAAGGGAAACTCAAATTATTAGAAAAGAAAAGCTTTGACTAAGGAGTAGCAAAAGTTGAGGATAGAAATAGCGGCTATACAATAAGAGATAAAAATACATTTCTAAAGGGTTAAAGGCAAGAGAAAATCGAGTAAAAAGGCCAAGTACAAGAAGAAAAAAAGGAAGAATATCCCGGAGGAAAAGTATCAAAATAGGTAAATGTGGAAATATTGCTGAGTCCTCCTTCATTGGCAGACCTTTTCCTATGGGTTATCTAAAATTACTTTCAAACTAAAGTTCCTGGACCTCAGAAGATGTCTGAAGCTTTGGCATCAATATAGGTCAAATTGCCTGGATCACAGACTTTGCTGGGAGATAAAAGTGAAGTATTTTAATATTATTTAAATTGTTTATTTTATTTTTAAAAATACTTATATGGCAGAGAGTAAGCTTACAAGATGTTTTTAAACTAAAATAAATTTTAGACTAGCTCAGGTTCACTTTCTGCTTTTGCCCCAGTCTATTTTCTACCCCTCCAGTTAGAGACACTTTGAATAGAAGAGAAGTGTAATTATTTCAGCCACTGAAAAGGGAATGAGGTTTAGAGCAAGTTCAAGAAGGGCTTCTTAATTCTTCCCTGGTACTTAGACTTCACTCTCATAGCTGTTACTGGCTTTTTAATGGGACTTCATTAGGGAAGACTAGTTATAGCCTTTTGACTTTCAACAAAGATAACTGAAAAACAGTCATGTCTCAATTTATTTCAAATACATATATATATATACACATATACACAGAGAGAGAGAAATATATTTTTAAAACAGACAAATTAATTCAATTTTTCTAAACATGAAACAAGATATAACAGAGAACAAGTGCTAAAAATCAATTCAGGGTGGCAGCATTTTAAGTGATATTTTTCTTCTAGATTTAGTTAGTAAGTTATAAAAAGTTATCCCCATTAACCCTAAGAAGATTGAATATGGGACATTGATGAGCAGACATGACTTAATTCCAATCCAATCTTACTTCTTCTTGTGAAGGTTAAGCACCATCCTTAGAAAAGAATTTCAACTGTATCAACAATTGGGGTTCAGCCTTGTTTTGTTTATTTGACTACAAGGAATCTAACAGAAGCCAAATGCCTAATGTGGAAGATGAGGAAAAAGGGAAGGGAGTTTCTATGAGGCTCCAGGGAGCAAGCTCATGAAAAATAAAGAGGTCTAGCACATTGAGTCAGATTCTGGAATGGGGTTTGAAGATGGCAAGGCAGAGAGTACAAATAGCTGCCCACCCTGAATTATATAAGGCCCTGTGGGGTGTAAAACTGAGTATGAGTGAAGTTTAACAAAAGTAATAACACTTTGAGGCCCAAGCTACATTGCAGTGGAGACCCTTTTGAAAGAGTCTACCATAGCAGAGACAGAGCCAATGCCCCCACCTGTTTACGGAGGGACAGTAAAGTGTTACCAAGCAATCAATGGGTTGTTGCCCAATGTGCATAGAGACCAATGCCATGGCACCAGCTTTCGAGAAAAGAAAAGCTTTACTATGAGTCAACTGGCAAGGAGACAGGAGAAAATGCTCAAATGTGTCTCCCTGAGCTGGGGTTTGAATCGACTTTTATAAGCATAAGGTAATGAAGTGCGATCTGATTGGATCTTACAATGAGGTGATGCTGGGAGGCATGATCTGACTGGATCCTGCCATGGAGTCATTTCACAGCTCAGTCTGATTGGATGCTGTATCTTGCCATGGGGTGGCAGAATGGGGCTTCTTAATTCAGTCTCCCCTCCTTGGTCTGAGCACTTATGTTGCCCCTGTGGTTGCACACTTGGTTCATCTGGGCATGCTCAGGTTATGTGACCTTCAACCTGCGGGGTCCATGACAACTGAAAAACAAGTCACAACTTTGTTACATAAAAGTTGAACCAGATTGTTGTGATCCGTTTACAGAAGCAATCCTATTTAGAGTGTAACAGCACTGCTTCAAGTAGTGGCCAAAGCAAAAGTAACTAGAATGTGTCCTTGAATAACTTGCCAAGTGATCACAGTGGCCCTGGGGAATAGTACAGCATCAGCCTAAAACAGTGACAAAGTGACAGCAATACCACTGGGAGCTGCTTACAAAGCAGACTAGACTGCAAGATATCAGAGAAAGGAGGAAATTGTGATGGGTGGAGCTAGAGTCCTTGCAAACTGATGGTTGAGAAATAGCCAGATAGTAAAAGCCAGGTATGCATATCTATACCTCGTTGTACCCGCAACCTAGAATATACTCTGGGAGTATTTGGAAAAAAGAGAAAGGAACCGATATGAGACATTGCAGTGATAGAATTGAAAAAAACTCAAAAAGCAATAGAAGAACGGTGATAAGAACTCCAAGATTACAGCGACGTCTTGAGTCAGAGTCTCTGATGGAAGATTGGGAAAATTGTTTTTAAAACATGTAATATTAAATATAAGTGTTATTGATTCAATGTCATCTGGTTTTCTGATTAGTATACAATACAATCTGTCTCAAAACAAATCTCTTACTCTTCCATCTAAATGTATGTTTCCTTTGTGTTTCTCTGCATTCTCTTGGGCACTCAGATTCAGGACTTTACCATCATCCTAGACCAGTTCCTCTTCCATGTCACTCATATTCAGTATCTGAACTCCTTGATTCCACTTCAAAAATGTCTCATGTTTGTCCTCTTTTCTCCATTCTTATTGTTCAGTTTACAGAACATGACATCAGGAGTGGCTTTAAAGTCAGTTATTTACTAATCATCCCCAAACTTAACAAACACTCAAGCATTATTATCTTTGATTATCTAAGGCATATCTTTTTTAGGACCATTAGCACTTTGTATTTATATTAATTTCTGTGGACATTTCAGCTCCTCTATTAGACTATAAGTTTGTGGGAAGAATCTGTAATGAATCATTTTTAATGGGCTTATGCATTGTAGCCTAACATGAGTTAAATGAGGGCTGAAAAGATGAATAAATGACATTCTAATCACCTGTAAGGCTAAATATTAGGTAATGTACTAAAAAAGAATGTATACATTTTTAGGATATTATTTCTAATATTTGCACAGACATTTATAAATTCTTCAAATAAACATTCATTGTCATCATTCTCCTGCCTATAGATATCTAGGAGGGCTTATATGCCTATACCCACACATACATATTATGCTAGGCTATGCTAACAAGACAGCATTTAATAGCATTAGACTTAATCAAAAGACCTGAGTGTTAATTCAGCTCTGTCAATTACTCGCCATATAATCTGGCTTAGTTATTTTACCTCTCTAAGCCTCCAGTTCTTCTTATGTAAGTGATTTAACTTCTAGAATTGTTTTGATGCTAAAATGATTTGATGAGTAAGAAAGCATAGTCTGTTCCAAATAGATCTAATACTGCAAATGGAAATTTTTGTATATTTCCTTCTTCCTTTTATCTCTTCCTTTTATTGCCTTCTCCCTTCCTCTCACTCTCCCTCTGTCTCTCTATTTCTTCAAGCTACTGTTTAATGTACTAGAATAAACACAGGACTAGGAGCCAAAAGACTTGTGTTCTACAGTTTAATAGTTGAGTGACCTTGGGCAATGCACTTAGTGTTTACAAATCTGTTTCCTTTTCTATATAATTTTTTAAAAAATGGACGTGGAAATGCCACGAAAGCTGTGAATCTTTATTAATCTATAAGATTTTATTAGGTTTAAAAAAATAACATGAGGTCATTATTACTGCCCCAGTTGTTTGTAATACCTTCTCTTGAGATCATGTTCTTGACCTTGGGTAAAACACAAACAGGATTTTTGACAGATTGCATTCCTTCAGGAAAATCTGAAACTGGAGTTTGGTTTACAATACACAGACCCTCATACAAAGCAATTGAATTAATGGAGCATAGATTGGTGGGGCTAATGCACAATTCCTTCGAAGTAATTCTCATTTGCCTTTGAAATGTTTTGGGTAACTATACCTAAACACTGATACATAAATACTGTGAGAAGTAACAGAAATTCACACCCTGAATAATGCAAGCACCCTGAGGCAGTCTGACTAAGGAAAAACAAATGTTCCACATTACCCATTTTATTCCATTGTTCAGAATCTTCCTTGTCCATGAGTATTCTAGAGACAGGTGGACCTCCAAGACATATGGTAATAGAGCACCAGCCTGGTTGAGCCCTACTTTCATACTTTCTCAGAATTATAACAAATGCTTTCCTTACTCGTTGCTGGAGCTTTGAGAGAAAAAAAAAGTCAAGTGAAAATTAGAAAGAAAAAAAATCCAAAGTACTTTATTGTTTAGTGTACTTAATTTCATCAATAAAATCTGAAAATAGGAGCTGTCAGATATGCAAATATGCAAGAATTGGCTAGTATTTCACTTAGCTCTCATAAAATTTTTGCATGTTCTGGCAAAGATTGTCAAATCATTCTAGCTGAAAGAAAACTAATTTCCACAAACTGCTATTTGCTATATTCTTCCAAAAGTCTGTCATTACCACCTGTACACAGTAGCTAATTATCTCCTGTCTGTTGTTTAAATAAATGTATTTTGTTTACATTCATCTGTACCACTAAGAGGTCTTTAAAAATAATTGATCACGAAAAACTTGAATTTGAAAAAAAAAACTTGTAGAAAGTAAGTATAATTTAAAGGAAGGATGGTAGCTTAAAGGACTGTGAGAGAAAAGACGCAGGAGGAGAGGAAAGGAACAGATAAAGATACATTCATATATTATTCATATCATATGTGCAGCCATTTTGTAAAAGGTGAAATGAAAATAGGCTCACATGGGAAAATAAAACATACTCTTTTGTTATAAGTTGTGACTGTTAGGAGGTTTTTTTTTTTTTGAGATGGAGTCTCTCTCTGTCGCCCAGGCTGGAGTGCAGTGGCTTGATCTCGGCTCACTGCAAGCTTCGCCTCCCGGGTTCATGCCGTTCTCCTGCCTCAGCCTCCCGAGTAGCTGGGAGTACAGGTGCCCGCCACCACGCCCGGCTAATTTTTTGTATTTTTAGTAGAGACGCGATTTCACCGTGTTAGCCAGGATGGTCTTGATCTCCTGACCTCGTGATCTGCCCGCCTGGGCCTCCCAAAGTGTTTTTGTTTGTTTTTTGGTTTTTTTTTTTTTGAGATGGAGTTTCACTCTTGTTGCCCAGGCTGGAGTGCAATGGCGCTATCTCGGCTCACTGCAACCTCCGCCTCCCAGGTCCAAGTGATTCTCCTGCCTCAGCCTCCCAAGCAGCTGGGATTACAGGTGCCAGCCATCACGCCCGGCTAATTTTTGTATTTTAAGTGGAGACGGGGTTTCACCATGTTGGCCAGGCTGGTCTGGAACTCCTGACCTCAGGTGATCTGTCCGCCTCGGCCTCCCAAAGTGCTGGGATTACAGGCGTGAGCCACCGCGCCCGGTGTGGTTAGGAGTTCTTTGAAGGAAAGTCCTAGATTTGCATTAAACTGTGACATGAGTGAGAAAGACAATTTTGTGTGAAGGCACTGAGATATTCTGGTTATTTTTTAACACAATCAAAATTAAGTACCCTGAAATATATAAGAAGTAAATGCTAATTCATAAAGTAAAAATCTTAAGTGCCGTAGAAGTTTAAAGAAGATGGAGATCTGTTAACATCTCAACATTATGAACTCGAATACTCCATAGAGACTTAGTTTCTCACACTCTGTTTTTAAATGAGTTGCAGTAGTCAAGAGGAAAACATATGGAAGAGAAAGAAATCAAGCTGGACTTTGGAGGTAAACATGTTGTAAATAAGTGGTAACATTGGTATTGATCTAATTATACTGTTTTCCTTAGAAAGGAAAGAAGACTTAGACGAAATATTATGCCTTTAATTTGAAAGGCACGTACTCAAATCTCAAAGCTGGGAACTACACTGAATCTTTTCATGTTGGAAAAAGGCAAGGATGTAGCAATAAAGAAGTTTGGTTAGATTAAGTCAATGGATGGGAGTTAAATGTACAGCTTTTGGTAGACCCATAAAGGCATTTCTCAAAAATATTATTCACAAGTTCTGGACTACTATGGATGCCCAAGATCATGCAGAAAAAAATCATTGCTGGCAGCTCTCTGAAAATATCAACTTTCTATGATAACAAAATAATAATTTCCAATTTTATTCATCCTGTTCTGTGTAAGGATTTTTAAATGACTCTTCTACACAGGAAATCAATGTTAGTAGAAGTCTTTAGGATGATTTCTTTGGATTTCTGCCCACATCAATAATCTCATTCTCAAGCCCCTCTCTCTTCTCCTACCCGACTCTTAGATTCTTTATCCCCCTTAACATTTTGTGCATATATCTATCTTGGAAATTATATTTTTGTAAACTTTTTAATTGAAATATAAGTATATAAATCTTAAATGCACAACCTGAGAAATTTTTATTAAGTGAATATCTCACTGTAACCAACACCTAAATGAAGCAATAGAATATTACCAGAATCAAAGAAATCTCCCTCATTCTGCCTTCCTAAGAAGTAACCACTATTCTGATGTTTATCACAAAGATTTAGGTCTGCTTTTAATCTTTATGTGAATGAAATCACACAATATGCATTTTTGTGTGACTGACTTCATTTGTACCATATTATCCATTGAGATAAATCCATGTAGCATATTCCCATTGTGTGACTATACCAAAAATTTTCACTCACTCAACTGCTAAGTGGATATTTTTGCTAAGCCCAGTTTTCAGCTATTAGCAATAAAATAGCCATCAACATCATTGTACATATATTTTTCTGTACATATGGACACATTTATGTTAGAAATATATTGAGAAGTGAAAATGCTAAGTTGTAGGATATAATTATAATTTACCTTAGTAAATAATTTCAAGGAGTTATCCAAAGTAGTTGTACCAATTTAAACTCCAATCATGTATTAGAGTTTCAATTTCTCTATGTGTTTGCTTATATTTGGTATTGCCAGGGCTTTTGTTTCTTTGTTAAATTTTAGTTGTTCCAAAGAGTAGGTATTGGATTCTCAGAATGGTTATTATTTGCATTTCTCTGATGACTGATGATGTTGAAGAGCTATTTATATGCTTCTTGGTCAACAGGTTGTCCTTTTATGTAAAACACTTCTTGAATTTTTTGGTGATTCTTAATTAAGTTGTCTGATTTTTTAATCTTTGTTATTTTAAATTTCTTAATATGTTCTGTATGCAAGTGCTTTATTGGAAATATCTATTGCAAATAGATTCTTTGTGGTTTACCTTTTCATATTCCTAATGATTTGTTTGGATACACTTCTACTGCTCAATATTTCCTTCATAATGTTTCAGGGGGGTCCTTTTTGTCCTCAATTGAAACTCATTGCCTCATCCTAAATTAAGAGGGTTTTTAAAAAAATTTTTCTTCTAGGAGTTCTATTGATTTATGTAAACAAATAGATCTACAACTGGTATGGAAGTAATTTTAGGGTATGAAATATTTCCCTATGTAGATATCTAGTTGATAACTACACCTCTTATTTAAAAGAACATCCTTTTTTGCATTGTATTGCCATGGAAAGTTTGTTATACATTAGGTAACTATGTGGAAGTCTTTTTCTTTGATCAATTCCACACCACACTGTACTGAGTATTTTAACTCTATAAAGCTTGATATCAAGTCATGTAAGCTCTCTAACTTTCATCTTACTCTTCCTCAAGACTAAGCTACTCTTCTTTTCCTCTTTGCATTTTATTGTGAATTTTATAATACATTTCTCAACTCCTCCAAAATTACCTGCTAAGATTTTTATTGGAGCTGTAGTGAGTCTATAGATGCATTTGGAGAGAATTGTTATCTTTACAATAGGAAGCCATCCAATTTCTGAATATAGAATACCCCTCCATTTATTAAGGCACTTTAGTTTTATAGATTTTAATGTAGAACTATTTCACTCCTTCAGTAAAATTTATTCCTAGATATTTGGTGTGTTTTAGAAGATACTGTGAGCAATAAATTTTAAAATATTATTTTCAAATTGTTTACTGTTACCGTATAAAAGCACCTTTTTTTTTTTTTTTCCTTTGGAGACGGAGTCTCACTCTGTTGCCTAGGCTGGAGTGCGGTGGCACGATCTAGGCTCACTGCAACCTCTGCCTCCTGGGTTCAAGCGATTCTCCTGCCTCAGCCTCCTGAGTAGCTGTGACTACAGGCACATGCTGCCATGCCCAACTAATTGTTTTTTAAATATTTTTAGTAGAGATGGAGTTTCACGGTGTTGCCCAGGCTGGTTTCGAACTCCTGAGTTCAGGCAATCCTCCCGCCTCGGCCTCCCAAATGGCTAGGATTACCACGCCCGGTCAAAAGCACCATTTTTAGTTACATTTTCAAAAATTAAAATCAACTTTATTAAGGTATTATTTATATAACATAAAGTGTATCAACTATATGTGTACAGTTTGAAAATGTTAACAAATATCTATATACATATAAACGTGACCACAATCAAGATTTTTCATTGCTTCAAGAAGTTCCCTACTGCACCTTTGCAATCAGTTCTGCTATTCTTTGCCCCAGATATCCACTGATCTGCTTTCTATCACAATAAATTATTTTTGTCTGTTCTTGAATTGTATGCAAATAAAATCATACACAGTATACTTTTTTGTGTCTGATTCCTTTCACTTATAAAAATGTTGTTGGATGTTTTATTGCTGGGTAATATTCCATTCAATGGAATTACCAAGACTTGTTTATCTGCTCAAATGTGAAGGGATATTTTGGCTGTTTCCATGTTTGAAAATTATGAATAAGGCTACTCTGAATCTGTGGACTTCCAGCCCCAGCTCTGACACACAAACAGACTGGATGTTGTCACTTACATTATTACAAAAAATAAGCTGAAAATACTGAAAATAAATGACCTTTGATCATTGGAGAACTGAGATTGCAGGGCAAACAGGGATCACCTCAAAATCTGGGGCAATAGGTACATACAGAAAAGCACAGCTGAGATCTGTTTACCTGGAACATTTCCAGAGCCCAGAGCTTTATGTTTGCTTAGGGAAGGGAATTCCTCCCACTCCAGTTCTCGTCAGTCTTTCTGGCTCACCTAAGGGGGTAAAAAACATAGTTAACAGGGGTGAGGGCTTCAAACAAATAGACTGGGAATGCTATAGCCAGAAAAGTAAGCAGGTGATGTCAGGGGGAGAGGGCAGATATACCACTGGGGAAACATTTGTGAATATCACAGCACCAAGACACAAGCATTCTAAAAGACTGAGACTTAACCTTAAGGTAATCAAATGTTCCACCTTACCATCACACTAACAAGGCCTCAGTATGATAACAGCAGATTAAGGCTGGAAGAGTTGTAAGACACAAACTTTCTCTGATGGGGAGTACTTAGGACAGTCCAAAGTCAACAGGAGACTAAAACAAGCATACTACGATAATTTGAAACTCTGGCAACAACAGCTATAGCAAACATTAAGCACAGCCCAATTTCTCATACATAACATAAATCCATACATTTCTTTTATTATTACCCAATATAAAATGTCTGGTTTTCAAAATAAATTGCAAGGTGCCCCAGAAGACAAGAAAAAAAATTCTGAAGAGACAAAACAAGCATCAGAACTAGACTCAAATGTGACACACAGATGTTGAAATTATTAGACAGGGAATTTAAAATAACTAGAATTAATATGTTAAGGGCTCCAGAAGATCTTGCAAGACTAGATGAGTAATGAAAATTCAAAAAGAAATGTAAGAATGAAAACACTGTAATAAAAATAAAGAATATGTCTGATAAGCTCATCAGTTGATTTGACATGGTTTAAGAAAGAATCAATGAGCTTGATGATAGGTCAAAATAACCTTCCCAAATTGTAACGCAAAGAGAAAAAGAATGAAGGAAAACAATCAGAAAAAAATGCAAGAACTATGAGAATATATGAAAAAGTGAAACATTTTTAACTGGAATATATTTAAAAAAGAAAAAAGCAGAATAAGTATTTGAAGTAATGTTGGCCAAGAATTTTCCAAAACTAATGACAGACATAAAACCACAAATTAAGGAAGCTGAGAGAACAACAAGCAGGATAAGTAACAATAACAACAACAATAAAACCTCACACCTAGAGACATCATATTTAAAGCCAAAAAAAAAAATCATGAAGAACCCAGATGGTGAGTGAGGAACCTCACCTACATGGATACAAGAATTATAGTGAACTTCTTTACAAAAACCATCAAAGCAAGAGGAGGGTAAAGTAAAACATTGTAAATGTTGAAAGAAAAAAACACCAACCTAGAATTCTATATTCAGCAAAATTATCCTTCATATGTAAAGGAAAAATAAAAATACTCTCAGATAAACAAAAATCTGAGGGAATTTGTTACCAGCAGACCTGCCCTGAAAGAAACTTAAAAGGAAATTCTTGAAACAAAAGGAAATTATGTAGTTAGAAATTTGGATGTACATAAAGAAAGAAAAAACACTGGAAAAGGAATAAATAAAAGTAGACTAAAATATATTATTTACTTTTCTTATTTTAATTAATCTGAAAGATAACTGTTTAAATCAATAATGGTACCACTGCATTAGTGATTATATAATGTGAATAAGTAAAACAAAAGACGACAATGCTGCAAGGGACAGAAGGCAATAATTGGAAATACTCTTTTATAAGGTACTTGTTCCACAGATGAAAAGGTATAGTGTTACTTGAAAATAAATTTACATTAGTTAAAGATGTATATTGTAAACTCCAGAGGAACCACTAATGTTTTTTGGAAAAAATTATAATTGTTCCACTGAAAGAGGAGACATAATGGAATCATTCTATATGTCAGTTAAAATCAGAGAAGATTAAAAAAAAAAAAAACCTTCTGGCCACAGATAGAGAATAGTTACAAACATCACTTATATAATAAAAATATATCGGCCGGGCGCGGTGGCTCACACCTGTAATCCCAGCACTTCGGGAGGCCGAGGCGGATGGATCACGAGGGCAGGAGTTCAAGACCAGCCTGGCCAAGATAGTGAAACACCATCTCTACTAAAAATACAAAAATTAGCCAGACATGGTGGTGCATGCCTGTAGTCCCAGCTACTCGGAAGGCAGAGGCAGGAGAATCGCTTGAACCCGGGAGGTGGAGGTTGCAGTGAGCCCAGATAGCACCACTGCACCCCAGCTTGGGCAACAGAGTGAGACATCGTCTCAATAAATAAATATATATATATATATATATATAATCACATTAAATGTGAATATTCTAAATATGCCAGTTAAAACAAAGAGATTGTCAGAGACATTGAAAAAATCAAGACCTATGATATAGCTTGAATGTTTGTACCCTCCAAATCTCATGTTGAAATGTGCTTCACGATGTTAGAGGTGGGGCCCAGTGGGAAGTGACAGGATCATGGAGGCAGATCCCTCGTGAATGGCTTAATGCCATCGTTTTGGTGATGAGTGAGTTCTGGCTCTGAGTCCACATGAGATCTGGTTATTTAAATGTCTTTGGCACCTCCTCCCCTCTCTCCTACTCCCGTTCTCACCTTGTGATGCACCTGAGGCCCTTACGAGGAGTAGATGCCAGTGCTACATTCTTCCTGTACAGCCTGCAGAACTAGGAGCCAATTAAACCCCTTCCCTTTAAAAATTACTCAGCCTCAGGTGTTTATAGTGACACAAGAACAGACTAATACAACCCAGTTATATATTGTCTACAAGAAACCCATTTGAAATATAGTCAGATAGGTTAAAGGTAAAGAGATAGAAGGCATACCATCCTAACACTAATTGAAAGTAACCTTTTAGACAAAGCGTATTTCAAAACAAGAAAAATAATCAGGGATAAAGAGGGACATTACATAATGATAAAGGGGTCAATTCCCCCAAGAAAACACAGGAATACTAAATGTCTATGCAGCTAAAAGTAAAGCATCAAAGTATGTGAGGAAAAAACTGATGGGACTGAAAGGAAAAATAGACAAGGCCACTATCATATTTGGAGACTTCAACAACCTTCTGTCAGTAATTGATAGATCAAGCAGGCAGAAAATCAGTAAGAATGTAGTTGACCTGAACACACCATCAATCAATTTGAATATTCCTTCCAACAGCAGAAGAATACACATTATTCTCAAGCTCACATGGAATATTCACAAAGATAAACCACATTTAGTCCAGAAAACACATATAAACACATTTAAAAGGATAGAAATAATACAAAGTATACATTATCAGACAACCGTGGAATTAAAGTAGAAATCAATAACAGAAAGATAGCAGGAAAATTCCCAAATATTGGACATTAAACAATACACTTTCAAATAAACCAGGGGTCAAACCAGAAGTCTCAAGAGGCATTAAAAATATTTTTAAATTAATGAAAACTTACACAAATTTGTGGAAAACAACTTAGAAAGGAAGAAAGCTCTAAGATCAATAACCTAAGCTTCCACCTTGGGAAACTAGAAAAAGGATAATTTGTTAGTCACTAAAGTAAGCATGAAAAAATATATAATGATAATTAGAGGAGAAATCAATGAAATTGTAATCAGGAAAATAATAGAATAAATCAACACAACCAAAAGCTGCTTCCTCAAAAACATTAATAAAATTAATAACACTTTACTTGGGCTAACCAAGAAAAAAATAGAGAACACACAAGTTACCAATGTCTAAAATGAATAAATCTACTATAAACATTTTTGTACAAGTTTTTATAAAGACATGTATTTTCATTTCTCTTGTGTATATAGCTTTGACTAGAACTGCTGGATTTTACTAATTGTTATGTTTAACTTATAAGAAACTGCCAAAAGTTTTCCAAAGTGTTTGTATCACTTTACACTCTCTGAAACAAAAGACAGTTTTAGTCTTTGTCAGCACTTGGTATTGTTAGTCTTTTAAATTTTAGTCGTTATAGTGAGTAAATAATGGTATTAGTTTGATTTTCATTTAAATTTCCCAGATTAATATAGATATTAAGTATCTCATCATGTGTGTATCAATCATTTTTATATCTTCTGTTAGAAAGTGTCTAAGTCTTGCTCATTGTTGTTTTTTGTTTTTTTTTACCTTGGGTTGGACAGAATTTAATTTGTCACACTCAGTTAGTTATATGTTACTTTACATAGCTTAGCTCTAAATATTTTATATAGCCCTTGGTACTATTTTAAATAGTGTCCTATTTGCTCTTACATTTTTTTAATCTGGTTTTTTTTTCACTTTTATTTTACATTTAGTGGTACCCATGCAGGTGTCATATAGGTAAATTGTATGTTGTGACAGTTTGGTGTACAGATTATTTCATCAGCAACACCCAATAGGTGGTTTTTTGATCCTCACCCTCCTCCCACTCTCCACTAACAAGTAGGCCCTAGTATCTACTATCTATTGGTCCTTTCTTTGTATCCATATGTACTCAATGTTTAGCTCCCACTAATAGGTGAGAACATATGGCAGTTGGTTTTCCGTTCCTGTGTTAGTTTACTTAGGAGAACGGCCTTCAGCTCCACCTGTGTTGCTGCAAAGGACATGATCTCATTCCTTTTTATGGCTCAGTAGTATTCCATGGTGTATATGTACCACATTTTCTTTGTCCAGTCCACCGGTGATGGACATTTAGATTGATTCTAGGTCTTTCTATTGTCAATATTGCTGCAATGAACATATCCACTCATTTGTCTTCATGGTAGAATGATTTATATTCCTTTGACTATATACCCAGTAATGGGATCATTGGGTTGAATGGTAATTCTGTTTTTAAGTTCTTTGAGAAATTGACAAACTGCTTTTCACAATGGTTGAACTAATTTACTTTCCGACCAGAAGTGAACTGTATAAGTGTTCCTTTTCTCTGCAACCTCACCAGTATCTGTTATTTTTTGACTTTTTAATAATAGCCATTTTGACTGGTATAGGATGGTATCTCATTGTGGTTTTGATTTCCATTTTTCTAATGATTAGTGGTGTTAAGAATTTTTTCATATGCTTCTTGGCCACATATATTTTCTTTTGAAAAGTGTACATTCATGTCCTTTGCCCACTTTTTAATGAGTTATTTGTTTTTGCTTGTAAATTTGTTTAAATTCCTTATAGACTGTGGATATTAGACCTTTGTCAGATGTATATTTTGCAAATATTTCCTCCCATTCTATAAGTTGTCTGTTTACTCTTGATAGTTTCTTTTGCTGTTCAGAAGCTCTTTAGTTTAATTAGGTCCCATTTGTCAATTTTTGCTCGTGTTAAGATTGCTTTTGTTGTCTTCATCACAAAATCTCTGCCAGGTCCTATGTTCAAAGTGGTATTTCCTATGTTATCTTCCAGGATTTTTGTAGTTATCGATTTTACATTTAAGTCTTTAAGCCATCTTGAGTTGATTTTTGCATATGGTGTATGGAAGGCGTAACTTTTCAATTTTCTGCATATGGCTAGCCAGTTATCCCAGCAGCATTTATTGAATAGAGAGTCCTTTCCCCATTGCTTGTTTTTGTCAACTTTGTCAAAGATCAGATGGTTGTAGGTATGTAGGCCTACTTTATTTCAGGGTTCTCTATTCTGTCCCATTAGTTTGTGTCTGTTTTGGTACCAATATCATGCTCTTTTCGTTACTGTAGTCTTGTAATATAGTTTGAAGTCAGGTTACGTGATGCCTCCAGCTTTGTTCTTTTCCCTTAAGATTGCCTTGGTTTGGGCTCTTTTTTGGTCCCATATGATTATAAAGTAGGTTTTTTTTTTCTAATTCTATGGGGAATATCATTGGTAGTTTGATAGGAATAGCATTGAATCTATAAATCTGTGAATCTATACATACTGCTTTGGCAGTATGGCCATTTTAATGATATTGATTCTTCCTATCCATGAGCATGGAATGTTTTTCCATTTGTTTGTGTCGTCTCTGATTTCTTCGAGCAGATTTTTGTAATTCTTGCAGCGATCTTTCACTTTCCTGGTTACCTGTATTCCTAGGTATTTTATTATTTTTGTGGCTATTGTGAATGGGATTGCATTCTTGATTTGGCTCTCAGCTTGGACATTCTTGATGCTTAGGAATGCATTCTTGATTTTTGTACATTGATTTTGTGTCTTGAAAGATTGCTGAAGGTGCTTATGAATCTAGGAGGGCAGAGACAAGGGGGATTTCTAGGTATAGAATCATACAGTGTGCAAAAAGGATTAGCTTGAGTTCCTCTCTTCCTATGCCTTTTCTTTCTTTTTTTAGAATGATTGCTCCAGCTAGGACATCCAGCACTATGCTGAACAGGAGTGGAGCAAGGGCATCCATGTCTGTACTTTTTTTTTTCTTGCCCCGTTGCACTGGCTAAGACTTCTAGCACATGGCTGAGCAAAAGCAGTGTCAATGTTCATCTTTCTCTTATTAGAAAAAAAAATTCACTTTATTAGCATGAGGTATGATTTTAGCTGTACGATTTTTATAATTCTAATTTGTTATATTCAACAAATTACTTTCTAGTCCTAGTTTGCTGATTGCTGAGAGATTTTGTTTTGTTTGTTTTAAACAAGTGGGTTTTGGATTTCATCAAATACTTTGTTATATCTAGCAGATGATCTAGAAGTATCTCCTTTATTCTTTTAATATAATCTAATTTAACTTTGAATTAAATTGAGTTTCCATAATAAACTCCACCCTGGTAATAAAGTTTTATCCTTCTTATATATTGCTGATTTAACTTGCTAAAATTTTGTTAAGTATATTTGCATCTATATTCATGAGAGACATTGATCTCTATTTTTCCTTTCTTTTAATATGTATTCCTGGTTTTAGTAACAGAGCAATGCTGATCTCATAAAATCATATGGGACATGTTGCCTCCTCTTTGATTTTCTGAAAAAGTTAGTGTATGATTAGTATAAAATGTTCTGTGAAATAATTGATAGAATTCACTGCTGATGATCTTTGGACCTAGAGATTTCGTTACTGAATACTTTTTAGTTGCAAAAAATTTCTTTATAGGGCTAAGTTTATTGGATTTTCTCTTTTTGTTTTGGATTATCTTGGATAATTTGTATTCTTCAAATAATTTTTTCATTTTGCTTCTTACTCTTATTTCTCAGTTGTCAAATGTATGGAGATAAATTTGTTGATAGCATTAGCCTATTCATGTACATAGGCTGTTTTTATAAATCCTCACAGCAGGATTTATAGTGAGGTTCTGCTGTTTTATTCCTCTCACTGGTAACATCTGTCTCCCCCTGAAATTTTTCTTCCTATATTTACTAAGATTGAGATTAATCAATATCATTGAGTTTATCAGAGAACTACAACTTTATTTTGTTAATTTTCTCTATTGTTTGTTTGCATTCTATTTCATTCATCTCTGCTCTTATCTTTGTTAATTCTTTCTTGCTACTTAGTTTGAATTTCCTTTGTTCATTTTCTAATTTATTTCAAGTGGAACCTTAGTTTTTAAAATTTTAAAATCCTTTTTTCCTTTCTAATATAAGGATTTAAAGCATAAATTTTCCTCTAAACCTTACTTTATCGATAGCTCACAAAATTTTATATATTATATTTTGATTATCACTATTGATCAAAAATATCTTCTAACTTTTATTGTGATCCTTTTCTTTGTTCTGTCAGTTATTTAGAAGTGTGTCATTTAATTCCAAATATTTAGAGTTTTCTAAATGTTTTGTTGTTGATTTTTGAAAATATTTTGTCACTTTCAAAAAATATTTTATATTATTTCAATTCTTCTAAGTTTTGGAAGACTTGTTCTATAGTCTGCTATTTTGGTGAATGTTCACTACGCAATTGAAAAGGATGTATATTCTGTTGGTAGTGGTTCCCACAAATGTCAAAAAGGTCAAGTTGGTTCATAGTGTTGCTCATGTGATTTCTATCCTTACTGATTTTCAGTTTATTTGTTCTATCTATACTGAAAGATGAAAGTAGAATCTCCTACTGTGATAATTAATTTGTCTATTTTTCTTCAATTTTATCAGTTAAGATATATCTTTCTAAATTTCATATGCTTTGAAGCTCTTTTGAGGTGCATACACATATGGGATTGACGTATTTTATAATAAAATAGTCCGCTTCATCTCTGGTAATTTTCTTGTCCAAAGTCCATATTCTCTTATATTACTATAGTCATTCTACTTTTCTTATCATTAATGCAAAAATCATATATTTTTTACCAAATTTTAATCTATCTGAATCTTTATATTTAAAGAGTTGTTTCTATAGGCAGCATATAGTTGAGTCTTGCTTTTTATATCTCTGCCTTTATCTTTTGTGTTTATCCTTTGCTTTTTTTTTTTCTTTTTTTCTTTTTCTTTTTTTTTTTTTTTTGAGACAGAGTCTCCCTCTGTCACCCAGGCTGGAGTGCAGTGGCGCTATCTCGGCTCACCTCAAGCTCCGCCTCCTGGGTTCACGCCATTCTCCTGCCTCAGCCTCCCGAGTAGCTGGGACTGCAGGTGCCCGCTACCACACCCGGCTAATTTTTTTATATTTTTAGTAGAGAAGGGGTTTCACCCTGTTAGCCAGGACGGTCTCGATCTCCTCACCTTGTGATCTGCCTACCTCGGCCTCCCAAAGTGCTGGGATTACAGGCATGAGCCACCGCGCCCGGCCATCTTTTGCATTTTATGTAAGTCACAGTATGGTGACTATTTTGTAAGGTTTTATCTATATATTCTATTTTTCTTCCTTCTTTTCTTGTTCCCGGCCGTTTGGATTGTATACTTTTTAATATTCCAGTTCATCTCCACTATTGGATTGTGAGTTTATTTCTTTGGGTTTGTTGTTGTTATTGTTCTCATGATTCTTCTAAGATTTAAAGTATGCATCTTTTACTTCTCATCATTTACCTTCAAATAATATGTATCACTTCACTTACAATATAAGTATCCTCTTTATTTCTTTCCTCCCATTCTTTGTACTATTTTTAATACCATTCACTTGTACATATTTTACAAATCCCAAAATACCTTGCTTTTATTTCTTACTTTAAATAATTGATTATCCCTTAACATTTTTAACATGAGGGGGGAACTGTCTTTCATATTTTCCATTTATGACATTTTAAAATTAAATTTTCTGGCCCCAAGTTTCCACCTGGCATTATTTTTATTCTTCCTGAAAAGCTAATATTAACATTTTTTTGTAGCACAGGTTTATGGGAAATGAATTCTCTCAGTTCTTGTGTTCTATAACAATCTTTAAGTATCCTTAAATTTTGAAAAATATTTTCAAAATTCTGCATATAGATTTGTAGAGTTTTAACTGTCCTTCTATTGTCTCTTGCTTACATTGTTTCTGATAAGAATGGTTGGCTATTCTTATCTTTATTCCCCCTAAAGGTAGTATGTCCCCTTCTCTTACTGTTTTCAAGATCTTCTCTTTATCACTATTTCTTTTGTTGTTATCACGTTGATTATTATGCTGTGCATTATTCTGGACTTCCTATGTGCACAATCATGTAAAAATTACATTTTATGTCTCCCTTTACAGTCCTTATTTATATTTTTTCTTGCCTTATTACACTGCATAGGATCTCGTTAGGATGTTGGATAACATGGAAATAGTTGACATCTTTGTCTGGTTTCTAATTTCTTGGGGAAAAATTGGACTGGGAGCCCACCCATCTAAACTGCATAATCAAAGAGAGTTAGTCATGTGGTAAAGACATGGTCAACTATTTATAAGAAGTGACCATAGACATCCTTCATCATTAAAAAAGTTCTGTTATAATATTCTTATAATAGACAGCAAGTAATGCAGACACCTCAATTTATCCATCAACTACAATCATTTGTATTACAATAGAAAATTCACAGAGTAATTGTCTAGTCCAATATCCTCATAAAATGCTAGCATTTCTTGGCCAGGCTTGGTGGCTCACGCCTGTAATCCCAGCACTTTGGGAGGCCGAGGCAGGTGGATCATGAGGTCAGGAGATCGAGACCATCCTGGCTAACACGGTGAAACCCCATCTCTACTAAAAATTAAAAAAAATAGCCGGGCGTGGTGGCGGGCACCTGTAGTCCCAGCTACTTGTGAGGCTGAGGCAGGAGAATGGAGTTAACCCTGGAGGTGGAGCTTGCAGTGAGCCGAGACAGCGCCACTGCACTCCAGCCTGGGTGACAGAGTGAGACTCCATCTCAAAAAAAAAAAAAAAAAAAAAAAATACTAGCATTTCTTCTCTAACACGACTCATCAGTTGACATGAAGTCTTTATTTGAGTACTTCCAGGGATAAGAAGATGCATTTTATTTTATTTTTCAATCTTTTTTGTTTAGGAATATCTTCATTAAATAACTCAAAATCTGTATGTGTCCTCTCTTATTCAAACGTAGTGTTTCCTAGACAGTTCTTCAACCACATATATTACTTACAATTAGGAGTGGGCACATGAAAGAATCAGAGTAGAGGTGGGGGATAGGAGCAGTGATGTAAACAAAATAGAATTTTAGGACTCTCTCAAATAAATATCTTGACAGGTGATCCAAAGCTGGTGTAATATTCCTCAGTGTAAGGAACTCACACTCCTTATTTCTTACCATCCAAATCAAGCATGGTCCAAATGACAGTATCTACAATCTAGGTAGCTGGGCTAGGGAAAGACATAAGAAAGAAGAGGCTAACACTCTAAACATGCTGTCTTACAAGGAAGCTCCCCAGAGGTTGCCTTGTGACATTTCTGTTTAGATTCAACTGGCTAAAATGTATTCATCTGACCCATACCTCACTGCAAAGGAGCTTGGGAGATGTAGCAAGCATGTATCTTATAATACTTCCCATTGTTCTGTATTCCAATGATTCATTATTATACGGACTTATCTATTCTTTTCCTCCTACTTCTGTTTTTCCTCTTTCTGCCACAGCTTCCTAACCTCTCTCTGGTAAAAGAGACTATTCTGACTACTGAATACTTCTGTTGTCTTTTGCCCCGTGCCCTCTGCTGCCTACTCTTTCTGTAGCTCTCTGTCAACCTTTCTACCTACATCTTTGTAGACCTTAGATAGAAATCCTCTAAGAAAGTAGACTTTAATACCGTTACATAATTGGCCGGGCACAGTGGCTCACACCTGTAATCCCAGCACTTTGGGAGGCCAAGGCAGGTGGATGACTGGAGGTCAGGAGTTCAAGACCAGCCTGGCCAACAGGTGAAATCCCATCTCTACTAAAAATACAATAATTAGCCAGGTGTGGTGGTGCATGTCAGTAGTCCCAGCTACTCGGGAGGCTGAGGCAGGAGGATCACTTGAACCCAGAAGGTGGAGGCTGCAGTGAGCCAAGATTGCACCACTGCACTCCAGCCTGGGCAACAGAGAGAGACCGCATCTATTTAAAAAAAAAAAAAAAAATGCCCCTACTGGGCAGAGCTCTGGGATTAGTTCATAGCCCCGTATCCTGGCCAGCCTGGAGAGGGCTGCTTGCAGTTTGACATTCAAATTTTTTCAGGGCATAAAAATTGCCCTTATATTCCACATGTATGACAAAGGACATATTAAGAAGGACGTGTAGTATGGGTTTTGTTTAGTTTTCTAGACCACAGGCAATCTTCCTAATAGTTTTAGCATAGAAAATTGAAAAGAAAAAGACACTAATTTCAGCCTGTTAGAAATCACTAGCCAGATGTTGTAAAAAGAACCCCTAATGAAAGGACTCCCTGGAGAGTTTAAAAGTTTCTTTATATTCAACCTAATGCTCTTAAAAAGAATATCACGTTTCATTGACATACAAGGCATTCGAGTGAAATTAAAAGGTTTGAAAAACACCCTTCTCTGAATTGAAGTCTAAGGGACTGGTTTTGAAGTTTACCTATTTTCCTAAGAGGGTTTTTACTTCCCTCTGCCATAAACTGAATAATTTTTCCCAATTTGACTTGATGCCATTCAACATTTTTAATTACACCTATAGTTGGATGTTCGGTTCAGGTGAAGCTGAGTCAACAGTCACACTTTAAGTCTGTTAGGGCATCATGAAGCAAGCAGTTAAACTAGAAGTGAATCTAAAAGGCAAAATAAATATTCTTTGTGTTCAGAAATCAGGGGGAGGAGTAAAACAAAGTAATTAAAGAATGTAATTGGTAGATTTCATAAAAATCAGTAGTCAGTTATTTTCTATGTACTGGATTCAAGAAATAATTTATGGATATAATCTGGAGAAAAACAAATTTATAAAAAAAGCAATATTTTCAACTTGTTTTAAATAGACCTAACACAGTTACAACCTTATCTCTACAAGTAACTCAACATTTTCTTTTTTACATTTTTTCTAAAACCAACTAATTTGCAGTTATAGTTTTCATCCTGAACTGTTGCCTGCAAAAATGCACTTCCTGGTTATTCACAGCAAAATAATTCCTTTCCCCACCCCCTTCTGATTCTGATGTGATGAGGTAACTTTGAACAGTTGTGTGCATAACTCATTTTCCTCACTGCTGGAAAAACATTGAGTTACTTGGGGAAAGGGGGAAATGTTTTTTTTTTTTTTTTTTTTTAAACTCAACACTCAGACTTGCTGCAAGTTCATTTGTTAATGGAAATAGAAGGGAAATTTTCATTTTTTTTCTCCTTTACTTCAGCTCATTTAACAGAAAAGGGGGCTATTCATCTATAGCCATAGTAAACATCGCTTTAGAAGACTGCTTTATCTATACGGAAATTTAGGAGAAATAAATGATGGAGAAGCTATAAAGATTCAGAATATGATAAAGGCAGTGATGCTACTGAAAGTAGAGAACTTAAAGCCAAAATCAAAGAAACAGTAATTTGGTGAGAACATGTAACAATGCATGAAGTACTGCTTGAGTGACTTTTACATAAGGGCAGGCAGGTTCTGCCTACATGTTGAAAAAAAGCTTTACTGGTTTCCATATTGTTTCTCCTGGACCCTAAAGTGAGCCACGGATAAAATGACAGTAATTAGGATATTCAGTAGGCATTACCTGAGCTGACAACTCCCACAGGGAAGGTGGCAAATGCCAGGGCAAAAGCTAGGAAGTGACAGTGGCCTTTGCACAGTAAATTGAAACCTTTGTGCCAGGCCTCTGCTGATCTCGCGGGGGGAAAAATCACTACAAAAACTCAGAAAACTCCTTTACCCATTGAAGCCCATATTTGTCTCGGCAAACACTCATCTTCCTGTCTGTGAACCATTATCCCTCTCTGTCTATCTTTCCTCACACTTTGTCCCCTTCACATGCTTGCTAATTTTACTTTGGCCTTTCTCTCTACTTCCCTGAGTGAATTTCTTCTCACCGTTTTATGTATCTCATCATCTTAGGCTTTTCATCGTCCCTCTGTCCTTTGTGCTCTATAAATGTTTCAATGCTTACAAGTCATATGAGGAAAAGGAGAGTCCTCGGACCTATCAAGTAATCTAATTCGGTATCTCTCATCTCCTCTGCCCAAATGACTTGAGCTCTGTTCCCCTAACATCAGCAGAATGTCTTCAAAGAATTAACTTGCCTCCCAAATCAGCAAGGGTGAGCCCAAACAGCTGTGTCTGAGGATTCCACTTATGCAAGAATTCTGAAAAAATAAAGGCTGAAAGGGATTTTGTTTTAAATGTACGTCAAAAAAGACCAAGAGAAAATTAACTGTTGTTTCATCTTCTACTTTTTTAAAGCAGCAAAAAAGATATACATCCAAGGTCATTTCGTCTAAGGGTACAACTATTCCTCATCTGAACCTAGTAATTAACAACAATAACAGCACATAAACATACACAAGAAGCAGAATCTTTGTAGGATGGTAAAATCCTATGTCGTGGAAGCAAAGCTATATTTGTTCTCAATACATTATAATTCTTTGCAATTCCAAGTGTTCACATCTTGTTACATGCCCATAAACTTCCTACAAAATATTTCAACTTTAATACTGTGTCATTGTATTAGCTTATTGTAACATTGTTACAACACACACGAAGTAGTCCTCCCTTATCTTGGGAGAATATGTTCCCAGAGCTCCAGTGGATGCTGGAGACTACAGAGAATAGGCTGTCAATTAGAACATGTTTTCTGTTCTAATTGACATGTCTTCCATGCATGTCTTCCAAGCACAAATTTAATTTTAATTCTTTTAATCCTTAACTAAGCATTTAGCACACTCCTTTTCCGGACCCTTCCAGTTTGAGGTGGGACAGCAAAACTAGTACAAATATTTTTCTTTTATTCTTCTTCATAATTTCACAGATAGAAGATTTGTTCTCACTATAGATCTTAGCAACCTTGGCATGCCAATTTTTTTTTGTAACTAAGTCAAAAAACTTTTGTCTTTTCACTTAAAAGAAGCACTTCTCTTTGGCTTCTCTTTGGCATGTCTCAATGGCCAGTATCATTACTCTTTCACTTTGGGGCCATTATTAAGTAAAATAAAGGTGACAAACACAGCACTGGGATGTTGCAACAGTCTGATAACCCAAATGACTACTAAGTGATGGTGTCTATAGCTTCCTAGGTTTATCCTGTCCTATGAAGACTCTGCTGGTTGTGTGTGTGTGTGTGTGTGTTGTTGTTGTTGTTGTTGTTGTTGATTACTGGTTTAGACAAAGGGAAGATATAATTCCCAAGAGGAACCAAGGAAAACAGCAAGAGATTTCATCCCGTGTCTCAGAATGACACGCAATTTAAGACTTAGGCAATATTTTTGTAACTTTCCATGTAATATTTTCAGACTGCAGTTGACCGTGAGTAACTGAAACCATGGAAAGCAAAACTGCAGATAAGAGGGCACTACTCTATAAATGTATGTAAATTATTGCTCACTTCCTCTTTAAGAGGAATTTCCACAGCCTTGTACCCCTAATAGAACCTTCTATCTCTATATAGTTTACTCTGCCCAGGAACAACACAGTAATTATAGCTCGAGATGCTGAAAGAAAAATATGTTGGCCAAAATATCACCAAGCCTCTTTTTTATTTTTTCTTAACAAAACATTGTCACCACTTCTGCCAGGGAATTTGTTAAGAAAAAATGATGAAACGGGGTGGAAAGTGAGCATTCAGTGCTTCAGACCAGGGCACAGCCTCAGGGTAGACAACTTTCATTCACACTTGCAGCGTAAACATTCTCTAGTAGCCTGGTGATCAGCCTCGTGATCAGGCTTATGCATGTTCAGGGTGGGAACTAAATGTAAACAAAGATTACCAGAATCTGAGAAAATCAAAATCAGAGTCTTGACAATATCAGAATAATCCCTTCTATTAAAACCACGGTTCCCAGTTATGTTTCCAAAATCACTAGCGTGCCACAAGATGTAATTAAATGTTTTCTGGGTGGTGGGGTTGGGGGATGGTGAGGATTCATGGTCAAAAGCCTTTGGAAACAGTGGGTTAAACAGATCTCTTTACTATAGAACTTTTGTGTGTCATTAATACATAAACTCATTTTGAATCACCAAAAGGGTGATAAAATGCAATTTTTTCCAAACTAATTGGGTTATAAAACTCTTTGATGACAGAAAACATATTAACATTGTCCAAAACACAAGTGTCTCAAAAGACAGTTTGGAAAATGCTACATCTGAAGTTTAGTAGTCATTGATATTAATGGCTTTATTGAATGCTATAGCTATTCATCAAAATGATGAATTAATAGAAGGGTAGCTACATATATAAAATCAAATTTAGCTGTCACTTTCCTAAAAGTGTAATCGAAAAGCAAACAACAAATGTACTATTGTGCACCTGCACTCTGCAAAATAATATGAGCATCACTCAAAGTTCCTATCAACTTTAGAAACATATATTGTAATTTAGGAGAAAATTTTGTCTTCATCGCTTTCCATGTGCTTGTTTTCATAGAAGAAATCTCATATAAATAATTAATTAACTAATTGTAAAGCATTCGCATCTTAATCCTTCCATCTCTCTCTTGTAATACTTACAAAATATTTTAGAGATTTGTCTCAGTTCCGTTTTGTTAAAAGATGAATGAATGAGTAGAGAAGCCCAAAATGGAAAGATTGTTTTGTGTCCAAATGTTTATTAAAAGGTCACTCAATAAAAATTGCCTATACCATTTTTAAACTGGAGATGGAAAAATCATCTATGAGTGACAAGAAGCTTCTTTCCAATTTTAGATCGCTAGGATCTTTCCTTTCTGCATTTTTCCTACTTTATTGGCTTCCAATCTGAAAACTCAGGGTCTCTTTCAGATGTAGAGCTCCTTTACAAGCGATGAAATTGCTGAAGCAGCTTATTCTTACACAATAAAGCCTACATATAACATGTGTCATTCTATAACCCTCATGCTAATCCAAAATAAATAGAAATCATACATGAACTGAAATCTGACCTGCTCCTTGAAGCATAGCTCAATGGGAAAGCTGGGTTTTAAGACATTTACATTTAAAAGAAAGAAAATAATTCCTTTACCTTGAAGCTCACAGATAATTTTAGAAGTTTGGGAGACAGCTAAATTTTATCCCAAGTAAATTTTTTAATATCTTAATAGATGTATTAAAAATACTTTAAATTCAATAATCATGTGCTAATATCTGCAACTTTCTTTAAGGCTAAATAAATGGGGAAGCCATCTTGTTTTCCACATCACTGGCTCTAGCATGCTATAGAAGATCACCATGACAACAGGAGCTGGTTTGCCTGGTGTGAAGACAACAGTGTAGGCCTCATTTCCTAGATGCATGTTTCTACTAAAGTTGATTCACCAATTAAAAGACTCTTTTCTGTCCTTGGGGGCTTCAGAGATGCAAATAGTGTTGGAAAAGCTGGCTGGTCAGCTGCTACACCTAGTAACTCCTCTTGATTATCTAAAAATAAAATGACTCTTGTTTAATTTTTTTAAAAACTAGGTATTTCTGATTCCCACTGAGCTGGGAGTTAATACTCAAATTGAGAAGACTTGCTTGAAATTGTGAACTACTGTCCTTGTTATAACTTGTGATTACTCTTTAAATTCTTTAAAAAAGATTATTCTGAATGTGTTTTTAAGCATCCTATTATCACGTTATGAGATACACAGTAATGCCTTGTTAACTCTTCATGTCATTCATTATGTGAATAAGAAACAGAATGTCATGATGAAAGTTTAAGTAGATTTTTAAAAAGCATATAAAAAATGTGTGAGGATGACACAAAAGAAAAATTTAAATGTTAATCTGAATATATTCCTATAGAATATCTTTATGATTTAAAGCAAGAAAATATAAAGCAAGTATTTATTAAAGATCTAGATTCACAAAGAAGAATTTTCTTGACATTCGGGAGCTCAAACTACAAATGTCATTAATGAGTTTTTATTTAAAATAAAGAATTGTGTGTCTAGTTTAGGGACAAATGAAGAAACTACAAACTTTAACACAAGTATTTTAGAATAAATATACCAATTTTAAAACTATAGATTAGTATTATGTGTTGTATACAATGGTAAATAATGTTTGACACCTACCTCTGTAATGTACACTACTCTATGAATTTCTCTTTTTTGTATCAACTTAATAAATCCATACTTCAGTTTTGACATTTTACTGTCCTTAATTAAAAATGCAATGCTAAAAATATCCAAATTATGTTACTCAATATATTTATGATTTTTTATTAAGAGAAGATAGAAGAAACACAACAAAATTAATTTTCAAGTAAAATTACACATGTCTATTAATAGGCATATGATAAAGACAAATGTTATTAAACAGTGCTATTTAGGAATTATGTGCACAAATTAACAATACACGCTAGCCAATTTTCTGTAATGTGTTTGTATATTTAACTGTTTCTTTGTATAGCTAATTAAATGTTTGTTGCAAAGTCTCATGGGACGCTCATTTGCATATACCTTTTTATAATGGCTAAACACATTCTCACTAAGTATTGCCTGATGAATAGATATTTCACAAATGCCTGCCATGGACACAACAACAAACTATGGACACATGTCATTATTACTGTAGTTCAGCAGCACAACACTCCATGGCTGTCTCTGAATAATTAGACTAATTTAAAAATCACTCATTAGCTTATGAGTGGTAGCTAGTGTAGCATTGCATTTTAATTTTAAAAGTTTAATTAAAATAAAATTGTGTCCAGTTTTTTGCCTACTTAAATTTATATAGATATTTTAATATGAATTTACATGAAAGTTTGATTTTAGGAGAAAATTTCATATCAAATATCAGAAAATAAATTGTCAAATTCAGATATAAGCTGAAACAAAAAAGAACAACAGACGGCCGGGCACGGTGGCTCACGCCTGTAATCCCAGCACTTTGGAAGGCCTAGGTGGGCGGATCACGAAGTCAGGAGATCAAGACCATCCTGGCTAACACGATGAAACCCCGTCTCTACTAAAAATATAAAAAATTAGCAGGGCGTGGTGGCGGGCTCCTGTAGTCCCAGCTACTCCGGAGGCTGAGGCAGGAGAATGGCGTGAACCCAGGAGGCGGAGCTTGCCGTGAGCCAAGATAGCGCCACTGCACTCCAGCCTGGGAAACAGAGTGAGACTCCGTTTCAAAAAAAAAAAAGAACAACAGACAAAGATATGAACACTGTACCTTTTTCACACAGTTATATTGAAAATTATATGAGATAATCTATGTAAATGAAATGCCTATTGATGGTAGGTTTACAGTAAGTATTCATTTCCTTCTAGGTTTTTCTCCAGAATGAAAGAACTTAGAATGACCTTAAAAGAACAGTATTTAACTTATAAAATTAATTATTCTAAGAGAGTCACAAGGCATACTGGCATATATAGGAGTAAAGATTGTTTAGTTTGGGTGTGATCTTAGTTTTGCAGTCATATCTCACTATAAAAGCACAAGTCACTATTTCTTCTACTTCTTATAAGTAATTGGTGGGCTGATTAATAAGCCTTTAACACATTCAATTAAATTTTTGGCAATCTAAATATTGTTTTGCTGTTTCTTTTACATATTTCTAACTTCTTTGAATATCAGCCCTCACGGATGTTCTCAACGTCTCTCAATTTAGCATCACCTGTAAATTTAATTAAGTACTTTCTTCACCTTTTCTTGTAGATAATTAAAAAGTATGGGCCAGGCATAGTGGCTCACACCTATAATCCCAGCACTTTTGGGAGGCCAAGGCAGGCGGATCATGAGGTCAAGAGATCAAGACCAACCTGCCCAACATGGTGAAACCCCATCTCTACTAAAAATACAAAAATTAGCTGGACATGGTGGCACGTGCCTGTAGTTCCAGCTACTGGGGAGGCTGAGGCAGGATAATCACTTGAACTGGGGAGGCAGAGGTTGCAGTGAGCCGAGATCACGCCACTGCACTCCAGCCTGGTGACAGAGCAAGACTCTGTCTCAAAAAAAAAAAAAAGTGACAATCTCCTCTGACCCTACACTGTCTTGTCATGCAAAGCATTTTACCTCACAAAACACCAAAATCATGAATGATGTTTAAAAAAATGCAGGAATTATGTAGACATTCCATTTTTGTCAATGGAAAAAAAACCCCAAGTGTTTCTTGCTAGGGGATCACTAAAATTTGTAACAGTAACGGTGTCATAATTTTGATATATAAATAAGTTTTATTGAATCCACTGGACAAATGACTATAGACAACTAAATCAACAGTTTTCTATACATATGTGTAAAATTATGTTATATATGTATATGTGAATCCAGGTGTATTTCAATGCCAAATGTCAGTGCAGATTTCCTCGGTGGCCAAATGACTCTGGGGAATAAAATCAAGGAAAGAAATTAAAAAGGACTTTCTTTTTTTTTTTTCTGTGTTTTTGTTTCCATTTTTACAATAAACATGCCTTACTTGTGTATTTTAAAAAATTCAAGTTCATTTATAGATAACACAGAATTCACCTGCATGCTATGCTCCCACCATGTCAATGAACGTCCGCCAAATGTGGCTCTTAGAATTGAGTCACTGAATGGGAGGCTGAGGCGGGCGGATCACAAGGTCAGGAGATCAAGACCATCCTGGCTAACATGGTGAAACCCCGTCTCTACTAAAAAATAGAAAAAATTAGCCGGACATGGCGGCAGGTGCCTGTAGTCCCAGCTGCTCAGGAGGCTGAGGCAGGAGAATGGCGTGAACCTGGGAAGCGGAGCTTGTAGTGAGCCTAGATGGCACCACTGCACTCCAGCCTGGGCCACAGAGTGAGACTCCATCTCAAAACAAAAACAAAAGCAAAAAAAAAAGAATTGAGTCACTGAAGGCACTGAAGGAAGGAGGTAACTTTCACAAATTCAGGCAAATTATCATCTTAAAACATCAAATTTATCTCGCGTATTAACAAATATTCTTTGATAATGTATTTTATGCAAGACACTTTGCTGGGCAATGCATGGGATGCAGAGTTCGTTCATCAGGAGGCAGTGTGGCTTACAGGGTAAGATGAAATGCTATGGCTATGAGAGTTACTAGCTCTACAGCCTGAAGTAAATTAATTGACCTCTCTGAGCATCCGTTTCCTCAAATGACAAATGGTTATGATAACAGTGTCTATCTTATAGAATTGTTTTGAGGATTACGAGGTATTCTTTTGTCATTTTTGTAAAGCACTTAGAACAGATCCTGGCACTTAGAGCACTCTAAATATAGTATTTTATTTTAATTAGTGAATTCAATATGAAGTGATTGAGAGATGGTTCCAGCTGTCTTAAATCATTTTGGAACAAGGAGAGATAGAAGCAAGCCAATCAACAAATAAAATAATATAAAAAAAAATAAATAAATAAACCAGAGCTGCTGAATGAATTGTAATAAATGGTCTCTTGATATAGTTTATGTCCTAATTAAATACAGAAACAAACTACATATGCTGAATAACACAACATGTTGCATTACAATGATTCTCTGAATAAAGCCATGAAGAAATAGAGGCAAGTGACCTATTCTATCTATGAAGGTAGAGAAAGTGCTAGAAAGGATATGACACTCTTGCTGAAGTCTAAAATAAGAGTATAAGACACAGGCCTTGAAAATCATGTTCAGCTAGGTCTCTTATGCACACTTTTGCTCATGTTTGTAGGTTCAAGTCCAAACTGACTAGCCTTGGAATAAAATATTCTATACAGTCTGGCCCAAAATTATTTTTCCAGTTTTATCTGTTTTATTCCATCTTAACAGCCTTTAGAATTTTTGTTGTTGTTGTTGTTGTTGTTTGTTGATTGTTTTGTGAGACAGTTTCACTCTTGTCTCCCAGGCTGGATGCAATGGCACGATCTCGGCTCACTGCAAACTGCCTCCTGAGTTCAAGAGATTCTCCTGCCTCAGCCTCCCGAGTAGCTGAGATTACAGGCACCCACCACCTTTCCCACAATCCCGAATCCAATGGTGCTAGAGACAGACGTGTTACAGAATTCAGAATTTTTCAGATTTTAGACAGTAACTTGGTGTACAACTTAGATAATTTATCAGAAATCTGGGGCAGCACCATATCGAATACATCAATATGGCTAAAGTAAAACCTAAAATTACTAATTTCATGTCAGTTCAGTTGAGGTTTTCTGAGATAAGATGAGATCAATATTAACACCAAATGAGTTAAGAAAAAAATTTTTAGTTTTTGAAACTTTTTAGAGTTGAGAGTGTGAATAAGAGATTGTTGATCTCTGTCAAAGAATATTCCATGCTCTTTCTTCTTCTGTAAAACCTATTTCCTTTGTTACTAATGCCCCTTCCCCTCACAATTTATTCCTCAAGGCCCACTTAGACATCGTCATCTTGATAAAGATAACCTATGATAACCATGATACTCTTCTGTATCTCATTAATACTTTGGGGATCTCTCTCTTATTTTGTTTTGATAACAGTGTATGCTAATTATTTGTTAAAATGTGTGTCATTACCTCTTAACTGTAAGCTTTTAAGGTCAGGAATTGTATCTTACTCTTCTTAATATCCCCTGTTTATCATATAGTATCTGCTGTATGGTAGCTACTCAACAGTAGTGGTAGAATAGAAAATTAACTTGTATACTTATACAAGTATGTGTAGGAAGGTTTAAACTTTCCCGCTGGAGGTTAGGTAATTGAGTCGCTGAAATAAACAGACAATAAACAGATTAACAGGAGAAAAGGCAAACAAGTTTATTAATGTGCACATGTACATGGCAGCCACACAAAATATGAAGCTCAAGAAAGAGCCTAATGGTTGAAGTTTGAATACCTTCTTCATAGGGGAGCAAAAAGTGGAGAATGTAGGCAATTTTAAAGAAAGAATAAATAATTTTTAGAGAAAAGTGAATGGGTCTGAGCAACACAGAGTAGTATCCTGGGACAAAGTTCCTCAGGGCTTGGGGGAGGTGGTGACAAGTTATGGGAAGATGAGGAGCAGAGCTGCACTGCAAACAAAGGTTGTCTTAGGATGCAGATAAAGTCTCTAAGGTTAAAAAAAATTTTTTTCAGAGCAGCCTCCAGAAGAATAGGCCATAGCCTGTCTGGATATGGTGATAACTTTTTAATCTCTCCAGTAATTAATCTTCCCTGGTTATTTGATGATATTCCTAGGTAGGGAGTTTAAGACGACTGCATTCCTTTTGAAAGAACTTCCCTCAGTCAGATAAAGGAACTTCAGAAAGAACACCTCCCTGCACTAGGGAAGGGAAGTCAGAGAGAGACATTGGTGCTAAGGCTTATTACTGAGGCCTTTCAATCTCCTTTGTTCAAAGCACTCAACATGCCAACATGTCATATTCTGAGGTATTGTTTTCTGAGCCCCAACATATGCAAAACTCTACCAACACGCCTTGAGTGGTAGAAGTTATATAAGTAGTTGAGACCTTTAGTCTCAACCACTTATAGAAGAGCAATCAGAAAAAGTTCACTTCCGCGAAATAGATTGAGGATAGGATTTAGGAGACGGTAATTGAAGAAGTATGTTTATGAAAGGTAGTCCAAACTTAAAGAGCATACTGAGGAAGGGATCCAGATGAGCTAGATAGAATTCATGTCAGGGGGACAAACAGGAGATAAGGCCACAGAGGAAGGACGCTGCCAAATAGAAGAGAACCTAGACCTCTGTGGTAACAGAGTCTATTCTCCTTCTACAGCACATCAGACACCAGTATTTTTAGGCTTCTGTATTGGACAAGGGAAAAACTAGTAGAGTGAAATTGGGCAATAAATCTTTCCATGCTGATATGTTATGTTTTGGTAGGAAAACAATTTATACTGACTAATAAGCAAAACAATTTTTAGGTGGATGGTTGATGAAGGAAATCATTGCTCATTCCTGCACACTGAACCGTGAAAAACAAGTATAGGTAAGTTGATTTGACTGTGAGGCAGTAAAATCAATGAAAAAAAAGGTTAATAGTTTTCTAAAGAAAAAAAGCGATAATTGATGGATGAGTTTTTAAAATGCTTTTAGTTATTTATTCCAACACCAGGAGGAAACAATATGCTTGCCAACTTGTTAAAAAAAAATGAGGAAGGTGGTATAGAACTTACAAATATAAGGAGAGAGGAAACATGCGATTTTGGAAAATTTTAATTGGTGACCCTGGTTATGAAATATTTTTTAAAGAAAAATACTCAGTGTTTTGTGGGAGTACACTAATTATCAAAACTGATGTTATGTATTTTATCACTTTTTTTCCAAAATATATTGTCTCTAATGTTAATTATTTCCTACTAATAGATTAAATGTTCGTAAAAATTTATATTTCAAGAATGACAGACTGACAGTAGGTCTGGATATTTCTGTAGCGTAATTTTGATGAGTCCATCATAGACATCTCTCCCATTCCAGCATCAGCCTTCAGCCTACCATGAAGACCAAATATCAACCATGAGAGATTATTCCATTGAGTCTTGCAAGGTGTTCACCTACATCTACGTAGATGTGTTTTCCTATTCAAATGCAACCTTCTCCTAAAAGTAGTCCTTTAAATCTATATCAGCTGCTATTGTTCATACCACTTACTCATCATTAGCTGTAAAGTTCAAGGTAGTGAGAGAGGATATTGGCTAGATTAAACAAAAGGTAGGAAGAGAGGTGTGCTGTGAAGAGAAATGGGAGAGAGGCAGACTTCACTGTTGAAACTTCACTGTGTTTAATGACACTGCACACAAGTGAAAGTGCATTCCTCAAAAGCCAGCCCCTCCTCCCTTGTAGGACCTCATTTCACAGCAGAGTTGACCCTCAGTTAATCATAAAATGGTATAAATAAGGAGCCTGAATCTCCCAATCATGTCTGTTAATTTGAGCATTACCCTGCCCGCCCCTGTTGGCTCTTTGGAGTCGCCCCCTTTTAGAAACTATTTCAGATTCTTAGGCAACACTTTAAGAGATTGTATTGTGAAGCCACTAAGCAAAAATTATATGCCACATTTACAAAAAGAAAAAATATTTTCAACTAAAACAGTAACAAACATCTATAAGCAAATGTTTGCATTAAATTAGTGGAGGTGGTTTCCTTTTGTAAGTAAAAGCACACAGCATTAAAAGTAGTAACACTGATAAGTTAAAGATCCATTAAACTTTTAGCCCTATCCATGTTAACATGAACTTTATTGTAATTTAATTACATATATTTAGTTCCTATTTAGTTCATATTATGATAACTGTCCCAAATCCTTTTTGAAAGAAAGAGAAATGAAAATAAATAAATCTTGCTTTAACTGAAGGTACACTTAGAAAAATGAGATCTAATACAGAGTAACAGGCTGGTAGACCCTTTCAGTCACTTTCTCATATAGCTAGTAAAAAGCCTTGAATTTTTAAGCAGAATTTGTGCAGTTTTGAGAGGAAATGTGTTCTCATGGCCTTTCACCTCACAAACTCAGTTTTTGTTCTATTTTCTTCTGCATATATCTAGCACAATGTTATGCTCACCATGGAGTCTGAATAATTTGATGAAGATGATATGGTGAAAAGCAATAAAATAGACTTCGTGAATCTTAGAAAAATGTACGTCTCTCTCTTTCCCCTGCCTCGTGTACAAACACAACTACGAACACATATACTTCTGTTAAGTCATTTGTACCCTAACCTAATCCCAAAAAGGATAAGCAGTGACATATTTGTAAAATGCATAAATATAGCAACTGTTACAACAAAATAATGAATAAAAATAAATTCTAAAAGGAAAAACCAGTGAATGAACATACACAGGAAATCCTACCTGAGGAACATTGCTGTGATTGGGCCAAGTTCTAGTTCATCATTTCCTAACAGCCGAAGCAGAGACAACATGATGGATTACAGAGCCATCATTTTCTATGAACAGAAAGCACACCAGTTCATCAACAAAGATAAACTTTCCTATCCCTGAGTTCGAAGAAGAATTTGTCAAAATGATCTTTATGTAAGGGACAGGGAGCTCCATAATGTCCCCCATAGCAATTTTACAAGCAATATAGATACGTTCCACATGGCTATTCCTCATATTGCTCTGACACTGAAGCCAAGCACATTAAAAATTGTAGTTCTATAAAGGCAACGTGGGAAGTAAAGTTGGAAAATGAAGAGAGAAAGGAGAGGTTGGAAGAAAGAGAAGACACAGATCTGCATGTTTCTGCAACATGGCCTAATACAAGCTTATGCTTAAACAATATCTAAACTGAATAAATAATACTTTCAGAATATATTGTGGGAATATCAGCGTCTCCTCTGAGCTTCTAATGAAAGTTAATTGGTAGATAATTCAGATACACTAGGTCGTTAATCATGCCACCAGACACATAGATAACAAAGTTGGTATATTATTATAATTGAATAAATTATCATATGTTTGCCATATTGAACAGTCAAATCATATACACATGAAGTGGTCTGTAGACATGAGAAAAAAGTGGTCTGTTTTATTTCGTTTTGCGTTTCTTGAGAAAAATAGCTTTGTATTTTGAATAAGAGCAAGGCCAAAGTGTCAAATTCCGCCCCATATAGCGGTGTACGCTGATATGTGTGTAACTTAAACACTTCCTTGACTGATGTGTTTAACCGGCTTCACGGAGATCTTTAAAGCATTAAAATTGTATTCCAAAGCTCTATAACTTGCCAAGAAGAAAGACAAGAGTTAGCTGTGCAACCTGTAAAGGCGAGTTGGTTACCTATCACTTATCAAACTATTAGCTTGAAATTTGAAACTATCCTTTACAATATTAAATGAAGCTGGACATTGCAAGAGCTTTGTGGTTATTGTTGGGTTTGAATCTCAGCTCTGACAAATATTAAAGAAGGAGCTTAGACAAGTGCTTCAAACTTTGTTAGCTTCAGTTTCCTCATCTGTAAAATAGTGATAATAATATTTCCCCTGGAGGCTGTCTGGAGGTTGGGAGGTCATATGGTGAATGTACTGTGCCTGAAACCTTGTGTGCAAAATAGTCAATCAATCAATCAATAAGCCATAGCTATTAAGCATTTCGAATATTATAATCCAATCTTCAGAACTAGGTCCTCCTTTCTTTTATTTATTTATTTTTTTTGAGACGGAGTCTTGCTGTTTTGCCCAGGCTGGAGTGCAGTGGCGCGATCTTGGCTCACTCCAAGCTCCGCCTCCCGGGTTCACGCCATTCTCCTGCCTCAGCCTCCCGAGTAGCTGGGACTACGGGCGCCTGCCACCGCACCCGGCTAATTTTTTGTATTTTTAGTAGAGACGGGGGTTTCACCGTGTTAGCCAGAATGAGTCTTGATCTCCTGACCTCGCGATCCACCCGCCTCGGCCTCCCAAAGTGCTGGGAATACAGCGTGAGCCACCGCGCCCGGCCGGGTCCTCCTTTCTTTACAAGGAAGCAGAGACTCCAGTTCATTCCACAAACTGTTTGCTAAAGGGTTTGTGGCCTCTTAATACCAAAAACTATATAAAAATAAATGCATATGCAAATAAGAGGAAAAACTAAGCAGCTTTGTTTGTTTTTATAAGTAGCTTAGGTTGCAAACATACCTCTTGCTTTGGCTAATATGTGAACCATATAAATCGTGGGTTTTATTCTGTCCATACCTGTAGAGGACCAAAATATTTTTTTTTAGTAAGTTTAGATGAAGAGATTTCATGAAAACTATCTACAGCAATTTATGAAAGAAAACTTAATATTTCCATGATAATTTTTGTGAAGTTAAATTTTTACATAAATGAAAAGGTGGCACATCAACTGATACAGGAGCTTTGGCAATGTGTGAAATCCATTGATTTCTCTATGGCACTGAATTAACAATAACTTCTTTTAATAAACCACCATTTGACACAATTAGCTCACTTTTTACCAGTGGTAGAGCCTCAAAATGTAAAGAAAATCAAAGAAAGCTGACGGCATCCTAGGAGAATCACACTTTGCAATGAACTGATCATGAAATTTTGCCGGTTTTGAGTGTGTGTATGTGTGTGTTTTAATATGGATAAAAACTGCATTTCTCTCTCTCTTTCTCTCTGGTAATTGTATGAGTGGGAAGAGCTATAATTCTGCAAATCAACTATTGATTTTCTTTTATTTTGTATATTATCTGCAAGAATGGGACTGTATTGACTCTCATATCTGTTTATCTTCTCTCATGTAAAGGTTGGTGTCACAGAAATAATTTGGGTTTCTGAATTAGACCAACTTGTATTTTAACTCTGTTTTCTCCTATCAATTAGTTGAGAATCTTGAGACACACATGCACACATAGAAACATCTTCAAACCTTGGTTTCTTCATATGTAAATAGGGTTGATAACAACTATCTCCTACTTTAAAGTCAATTTTTCTTTCTTAGTGGAAGTAAAAGAACTTTTTCTTCCCCTGTACACGAAAGTACCATTATACAGGAACTGACCAGAGTATGAATGAAAGCTCAAGTGAGTTTCAATGGCAACTTTTTCCTCCAACACTGAGGAGATAAGGAAAGGGAAAGAATTTCAGTTAGCCAGGGATGTTAAGGGGTGTACATCTCTACCACTTCAGGCATGAGACACACCAATGGCAAAGGAGGACTGGGGTGTTATCTTGACAGCCACTTACCCTTAGAAACCCTTTTCCCTTCTAGCAAGCCAGAAGAAAAACAGAACTATCAGGGATCCTCAGAGGGACATGAACAGGCTGCCAGGCAAAATGTGTGTGCTGTGGTCCAGTATGTCCCAGAGAAAGGCTGCAAGTAAGCCCCAGCCAGTACTATAGGTCCAATGGGGCTGAGTGCAGCCTGACTCCTCTGAGGCAAGGAGAGATGGGGAGGTGGGGGTGGGGAGCCTCATCACATCTAGAGTGAGGGAGTGCTCAAGGGTGGGGTTTTTCAAGGGGTGCCAGCAAGACAGGGCAACCCCACCCAAAGAGATCTTTTAAAATGATAGATAAAATCCAATCCCACATTTACAGTGAATCTGAAATTAAACTGTGGCGGCATAGTCAATTGCCTCCAGTAATTCTATACCTAAAGCATACAACTTTCAAATTCCTTAGGGGCTGATTTTGCGTCCAGATAAAAATCTCATTACAAAATGGCTTCTCCTTGGAAGAGTTTAGACCCCAGGAAGAGGGATTTGTCCCAGGGACCCATTCCCAAGATGGGGGTGCAAATGAAACACTGTATGAAATGTGTCTGGCCCATAGGAGGCACTCAATGCCTGCTAGTGCCTTAATGTAGTTCTATTCATTTCTCCATTCTTCCAGAAAATATAGATTTATTGAATGTCTCCTATGTGGCAAGTATTGGCCGTGGTCCTAGAACTAAGCAATGACTAAGAGAGGGAAATCCACATGCTCATGGAATAAAAAGAGCAGTTTTGACCTGTGCTTTAAATGAGTTATTCCAGACATGGTCTTGGCAGTGCAGCTTGTTAGAAAGAGCACTTTACTAGGAGTTAAAAAGATTGGAATTCAACTTCTACCATTAATTAGTTATGATTTTGGAAAAGCCATTTAATGCCCTTCGATGTCAGTTTCTTTGGAAAAGAAGAAAAAAAGGAACTTTGGATGTATAAGTTCTAAAGCCTCTTTTGTCTGAGCATAGGTAACTACATGTTTATCAAACATGTGTCCTTGGGCTTGTTCATGCCATGCCAAGTTCACTAGCCTTTTCGAAAGTGCTGTTTTTCTTGCCTGACCCTATTACCACTCTCTCTTTATGCCTAGCTGACTAATAAAGGCAGCAGAGTTCTTTCAGCCCACTTTTAGTCATGATCCTGTGGCAAAACAGTTTGCAGATCAAAGTGACTACCAAGACTTAGAGTGCAACCATTGACAAACAGGTCTCGGTTACCCTCTCCAGCAGTGGACACTGCTCAGAAGCTGTCTACACCATGATTTAACACTGTGACCTTGTTTTGAAACAGTTCTTTTTGACACCAGATGTCCAACAATGGCTATGTTCGCAGACCTTGCACAGTACCTGCAATATTCATGGATGTCATTTTGCTCCAAAATGTGCTATATCAACAGCCTGTCTCAACACCATCTCCTGTCTCAGGTTTCCTGAGAAAAGGAAGGCACTGGGGTGAAATGAGGAGACTCCACTGGATTGATGGGTGAGCCTCAGCCTTATCTAGATTCCCCTATGTTTCAGGGTAGTTTTGTGCACTTTGGTGATGCTGAGAACAGATTGATGCCAATAAGCCATTTGAGATAAGAACTAATTGGAAACAGAAGGTTGAAGAATGATTATGTTGGGAATGAGCAAAGGGGACAGACAAGTAATTATTCCGGCAGAATTTCTTTACACAAAACGCAGATGGAAGAGGGAACAAAATTCCAAAGTCCGTGGCAGAAGTACGCAGCTGCACATTTCTTTTTTGCGGAAAAGCAAACAGAGTGATTCACTGGGTTGGTAATGGGCTTCGGGGATCCCTAGGGATTCACAATGTGCTGGCAGCCCACAGCATGTAAAATAACTCAGTGGCCTCTGTGTACTTCGCCTCCTCAACTGGCTGTAATTGTGAAGCACATGGACAAGATGGAAGGGAAGGACTGAGGAGAAGCGGCCTCCTGTTTACACATGAATCACGGTGGTGGTGTGTTGCAAAGAAGGCAGAAACAGCAACGCATACATATTCCACATTTGTAACAAGCCATAGATCAGACTGGACTGCACACTTCCATTCATAAATATGAGCTCATAACAAATAGAAATCAGGGAAAGTAGAATCTTGCACAATATTCCTCAAAATTATTATAGAGTCATCAGGCTGCAGTTAAATCGAGCTCTGTGATTTCAAAACTATGATTTGATTTGAAAGGCAAAGACAATAATAATTAGTAATCAGGGTAGAAAACTGAGCATCCACCCCCACCCACAAAGAAAAATCCATCAGCAGCAGTTTTACTCAGCGAGGCTAATTAAAAGCTGTCTAACACTGTAATGCGTACAAAAATACAAAATAAAGACAGAAAACCTTGCCTAGTTTTGGTCTCAGACTTAAACGATATCTTCCTTTGGCTATTTGTGTGTGTATATATATAAATATATATTTATAGTCAACAGTGATTTAAGGACAAACGCATTCAAAAAACATTCAAGGGCATCCCTCCTAAAGCATGATATAGTCAAAAGGAAACTGGACTCCTCACTGGATGGGAACATGAAGGACATTGCAGGCTTCACAGTGATGAGAGGAGTTATTAACATGTAGGAAATTATAGAGAAAAAGAAAAAAATAAAGAGATATAAGACCTTGGCCGGGCGCAGTGACTCATGCCTGTAATCCCAGCACTTTGGGAGGCCGAGGCGGGTGGATCACTTGAGGTCAGGAGTTCGAGACCAGTCTGGTCAACATGGGGAAACCTCGTCTCTACTATAAATACAAAAATTAGCTGGGTGAGGTGGCGCATGCCTATAATCCCAGCTACTCAGGAGGCTGAGGCAGGAGAATCACTTGAATCCGGGAGATGAAGATTGCACTGAGCCGAGGTTGCGTCACTGCACTACTGCCTGGGCGACAGAGCGAGAGTCTGTCTCAAAAAAAAAAAAAAAAAAAAAAGAGAGAGATATAAGACCTCATATGAGGTAAGAGCCATAATTTGGAAACACAGATAAGAAAAAAGGTAGGTACAGTTATTCAAAAAAGAAAAGAGGTTGGGCGCGGTGGCTCATGCCTGTAATACCAGCACTTTGGAAGGCCAAGACAGGTGGATCATGAGGTCAGGAGTTCAAGACCAGCCTGGCTAAGATGGTGAAACCCTGTCTCTACTAAAAATAAAAATAAAAAAATAGCCGGGCATGGTGGTGGTTGCCTGTAATCCCAGCTACTGAGGCAGAGAATTGCTTGAACCCAGGAGGCAGAGGTTGCTGTGAGCCGAGATTGTGCCATGCACTCCAGCCTGGGTGACAGAGTGAGACTCTGTCAGAAAGAAAGAAAGAAAGGAAAGAAAGAAAGAGAGAAAGAGAGAAAGAGAGAAAGAGAGAAAGAGAGAAAGAAAGAAAGAAAGAAAGGAAGAAAGGAAGAAAGGAAGAAAGGAAGAAAGGAAGGAAGGAAGAAAGGAAGGAAGGAAGAAAAGAAAGTGAGAAAGAAAGAGAGAAAGAGAGGGAGAGAGGGAGGGAGGGAGGGAGGGAGGGAGGGAGGAGGGAGATGGCAGTAATATATTTCAGAAGAAAAACAATAGTAGATTTCAGAGTAATAGATTTTTGGTGAGATGAGGTATGGACTTTTACAATGCTTGATTGGTTTAGGGTTTTTAAAAATTGATGTCAAAGTACATCCAGTTGCAACCTCTTCCCTGCCCCAACTCTCTTTTTCCTCTTCCCTCAAGCGTCTAAACTCCTTTCTGCTGTAGGCCGACACAAAGAGTTCTTCTGTTGGTCTGGCTCTTCTTGACTTTTCCCTCCAGCTAAATCACACTCAGTCTTCTGGCTTCATGGGTGTTTTTTGCACATGATGCAATGAAATCTGTAGTTATATATTTATTTCTGTGTTGGCTTAATGTCAGTCTTCCGTGCTACACAGTAAGCTGCCTTAAGCCGAGACTTGTCTGTCTTGTTCACCACTGTTCAATCTGGTCCTCGGCCAAGAGACTGGCACAGAGTAAGTGCTCAATAAAAGCTTGTTTCTGAATTGATAAACATCACCCCAAAACCTCTCACAGACCTTTGTTAGTAGGAAAATGGTTAGAAGGAATACAGCTGGATCAAGAGACTGATGTATGCAAACAAAATATTTAAATTTGAAAAAGTAATTTAAGCAGCATTTTGCTACTTACAGCTGGCTAAAAGTGATAATAATATATAATTCACCCTAAACTGAAGTTATGTTTTTCTTCTCTGCTCTGTGCTGGCCAGAGGTGCCTCCTGAATCATGAGCTTAATATGATTCTTCAGGAAATGACTTAGGTGAACTGAAGCTATTACCACAGGCAGCGAATTGCCTTGGTTCACCAAATTTGCCTGTTTTGAGTGGCTTCGTCCAGAGAGACTTCTTAATTTACTCTAACTTTCTTTTATGGTGATGAGTAAGTACACTCAAACACTCAATACAGGTGTGCGATAGGTAGATTTTTGCACAATAGTGAATGTGAAGGCAAGCTTGATGCAAAACTTCCTGTCCCTTCCTACCCAAAGAGCCCTCTAACTTCCAGGAGGAAAGGTCAAAAAAGCTTTATCTTCAGCTTTGTTAATCCCAGTTTTAGTGCAGCTTGGGAGACTGCTAGTTAGGGAGATAGCAGTGGCTGCAGGCTGGGTTGCTACAAAAGATGGTAGCCCAGTCTTGGTATTCAGCTAGAAAACTTAGAAAACCTGAATAGTACCTGTATCCAAACTGGATTGTGTTTTAATGGCTGATGGCTGTATTTTTCCCATGTTAGAAAGATACTAATGAATGCACCTGATTTTTAAGTTCCTAGGGGTCTAGTTGTTCAGAATCCCCAAGGATAGAAACTTATTTCCCTATGGGAGTAGGACCTTAACCTCACTCAGTCACATTGTAGGAGCCAGGATAGCTGTGGAGTTTTCTTAGGAATTCAAGCTTCCAAAAACATCCATGTAGTCAAAGCTTAAGGAAAAACAAATAAAAAGAATACAATTTATTTTTTATATTCATTAATGAATGTGGTTTGTGCTTGGAGATGATCACTCATACGATGTCTCATTTTTTGTTCTGTTTTGGTTTGGTTTTGCCGATTATTTTGTTACTTATATTTCAAAAAAATAAAATAAAAATCATTTTTATTTTTTAGCTTGAAAAAACATATATAGTTTAACTATATATACAATCGTAACAAAAACGATATCTAAGACTTGTATAACAACCATGTGTCAGGCACTATTCTAAAAATCTTATTTACATTAATTCACTTAATCCTCATGACACTCTTGTGATATAGGTACCATTATAATTTCTATTTGTAGAAATGGAGACATTGAGACAGAGAATGTTGAATGACTTGCCCAAAGTAATACAGCTATTAAGTGACGGAAGTTATATTAGTCAAGGTTCTCCAGAGAAGCAGAACCAGAGAAAGGAAGATTTGTTTTAAGGAATTGGCTCACATGATTATGGCAGCTGGGAAGTCCAAAATCTGCAGAGTGGGCTCCTGGGGTAAAGAGCTAGAAAAGGGTTGATATTGCAGTTCAAGTCCAAAGACAGTTTGCGGACAGAATTCCGTCTTCCTAGGGGGAGGGCAAGGCTAGTCTTCTAAGACCTTCAACTGATTAGATGAGGCACACCCATGCTACAGAGGGTAATCTGCTTCGTTCAAAGTCCACAAATTTAGTCTATGGCCATATCACCCTGAATGCACCAGATCTCATCTCAAAGTCCACAGATTTAAATCTAACATCCTCACATCAATGTGTAAACTGGTGTTTGATCAAAACTGGGTACCTTAGTATAGCCAAATTGACTCGTAAAATTAGCCATCACAGAGCCAGGATACAAACTCAGTCTACTCTGACATCCAAATACTTAGTGAATACATTATCCAGGCATTTAGACTATAAGGATTAACTGAACCATTTGATCTTAATTTTAGTGGCTGCATGAATTCACCCTTAATGTTTATTTTCCATATGTATGGGGTGTGCGTGTGTGTGTGTATGTGTGTGCGCGCGCATGTGTGTTCGTGCGTGTATAAAATACAGGGTCATTTTGCTTCAATAATTTCCACAGGTATCATGATAACTGCTAAATATGAAGGTGGCAAAAGGTAAACTGCAGGAGTGATAATTTAAAAATAACGTAGTGTTCACTGTCGTTGTCAAATGAGCTTCAGATGGCAGGGGAAGAGCTAAGCACTTCAAAGCATTCATACACTACTGTATTCCATGACAGCAGAGTCACTGAAGTATTGGTTATGTTTTCAGAGATGAACAGTGAAGAGAAGAGACAATCCCAGGGTTTCAGCTGTGATTCTACCATGAGTCAGAAAGTGGTCTCTCTGTGGAGCCCGCCAGGAGCCTTCAGAACGCCCATGCCTTCTCCATGGCAGCCTCTCCACCATCTTCCCGTCCAAGCGAATAGTCCATGCTTCCTGCTCATTCCTTAGAGTAAGGTCCTGCCTCCAGAACACCTGGGTTAAATAAAAAATGTGTTGACCTGTGGCTAATACATTAGGTCATGGATATATACTCATAGAGGCAAAACTGAGTTTATTATTTATAAGCCACCATAGTGGAGACCCAAGTCCTGTCTAAAAGGAACACAGATTCGTTCTGCTTTACTTTTCACATCCATAAAAGAGGGATAGATATTACAATTATGAATGTTGACACATTATAGAATATTGGGAGAAGCAATTTCAGAAGCTCACTCCCTAGAGAACCTCTTTTTCTCTAAAGTGGAGCCTGGCTTTGCAGGAAATGCCCACTAGAGAATTGGGGTAAATATTTGCCAAGATTTTTTTTTAAGCTGAGGATAACAGAAGATATTTGCTGAGAACTTTTGTCCGTCATTAAAATAGATACCCTGAAGGCTGGCAGGGGATTGAGTTCTACTCTTCCTCTGACCTACCCACTTTTTGGAATAAACCAGAGTAGGAGTGGTATATCAGCAGATCCCAGAAAAAACTAAGACCCTACAGGTCAGTTCCATCAGGGCAGCACCTCCTCACCGAATGATAGCTACATGATTCTTCAGACAGGGACATCAGTTAATGTAATACATTCTTGTTACAGAGTCTAAATTGAGGAATCAAAATTTTATGTATAACTAGAGGCATGATAATTGATGGTTTGGAACACCAAGAAGCAATGTTTACATTTCAAACACAGAGTGCTTGATTTTCCTGGCAGGAACATGAAAAAGACAAAAAGGATCTACACAGTTACACAGGAGGAAACATGTTTCAACCATGAACATTTCACTGGAAATGACGAAAAGAGCTTCTGGGAAACCTGGAGGACAGGGAATTGAGTGAACAAAACAGGGATTCACACATAGAGATGGTGTTAAAGAGGGTGGGACCAGGCTCTTTAAGACAAAAGGAGAGAGCACCACATTTCACAATGTTTCCCTTTGCCTGGTCCCCTGCCCCTGCCGCCCCCGCCTTCTGATAATAAGGAGGAGAGAGTTTGATTGACTGCTATGTCCCCCACAAAACAATGCCACGATAACACAATTCTGTAGGGCTAGACACCAGAAGAAATGCAGATAAAGTCAAAGAGGAGATTATGAAAAGGATGTGATAAATATATTGGGTCATGAGAGAACATTAGAGAGGAAGAGGTGAATTGTGAAGCTGGTCAGTGAAAAGGGGGAAAAAAAAGCAAAAAGCATTTGCCAAGGGGCTGTGTAAACAGGGAGAAGCAGAAGTGAAATGCTCTTAAGTAAGAGGCTGGAATGAAAAGAGTCACTGGCTCTCTGAACAGAACAACTGGTAGGAGAGAGATGCTTTGGGAAGAAATATCAACAATAAACTGTTTTATGAAGCACCCTCGCGTCTGGGGCATATTGACCTCATTTGGTGTGCAGGTGGCCTCATGTGAGAAGCAGAGAAGTGTCAGGAGAAAGGCAGAAAAATGCAACAGGGCAGAGCCAGGAAGGGGGACGCTGGTGGGGTCATTAACATGCGCAGCAGGTGACAGCTGAGCCCCAGTGAGTTAATAGAATCCCCCAGGTAAAAATAGCAGATGAAGAAGACCAAATGGGAAAGTAAAAAGGTGGGACAGGCACTGAAAGAAACGCTAAAGCTATAAAATAAGAATTGGATTATACAGTGAGTTAGAAAGAGGAAGTATTAAATTTAGTAGAAAGAGGAAGAATAAGCCTGTAAAATAAAATAGGAAACTGATGAGGAAAAGAGACCCAACACAAAATATAACACTTAACTGACTTCACAAAACTTCTACAAACTGGAGACAATCCAATTATCCCAGTCAACTGAGTGCCAAAAATGTTTATAGGACCAAATGAGAAGGTTGTCTCCCTCCCCTGGGCTCCAGCATTTTTACAAAGCAAACGGTACCTAGTGTTTCTACCCCTGAGCTGATAGGACATACTCTTCTAAGTCACAAGAGGAGTAAGAACACAGTTCGAGCCTCACATAGTTTGGAAAGCCAAGTCACACAACTTTCTAATCTACAGTGGTCAGCATTTCTATGATCATTTGCGAGTCCTATCTACAAGTCAAAATGACAGAGCACTGAAATACTGAAGCCATGGGGGAATGCCAGAGCTACTTTAAACCAATGTTCCTCTGGCTCACACCTATAATCTCAGTACTTTGGGAGGCCAAGGAGGGCAGATCACTTGAGGTCAGGAGTTCAAGATCAGCCTGGCCTATATCGCAAAACCCCATCTCTCTTCTAAAAGTACAAAAAAAAATGGTGGTGGTGCGTGCCTGTAGTCCCAGCTACTCTGGAGGCTGAGCCGTGAGAATCTCTTGAATCTGGGAGGTGGAGTTTGCAGCCAAGATGGCGCCACTGCACTCCAGCCAGGGCAGCAGAGCAAGACTCAGTCTCAATAAATAAATAATAAATAAATAGAATGTTCCCCAATAAAATAGTAGTTGAAGCAGAGTTGGCTTCCTTGACTTTCAGTTTACATTCTCTTTTTCTTCTTTTCATTCTTGTTCTCATCTTAAGAGCTATGAGAATATCCCTGAACATGTTCCTGCCTTCCACCTTATTAGTATCTTGAAAAGACACATTGCCAGTTACCATACTGTTTGTTTAAATACTTCTGAGCCAAATGACCCATCTCTGAAGATTAAGAGACCTTCTTTTCAAAATTATAAAACACTTTTCTCTTAGTTTTGTGACTTTTCAACATACTAGCATATTCTCTGTCTTCCTAGGTTCTAAAAATGAATGGTTTGAAAAACTGTCATTCGTAACTCAGAAGCAGGTTCGAGGTGGAAGCATTTCTCCCTCTATCCTGTCCACTCCAATATTTTAAAAGTCCATTATTCTTCATGTTTGTGGAAAGGCACAGAACCACATTTCAATTTCTCCTGAATGCAATCTCTCATGACTAAAGATTTTGCAATAGTTTATGGAGGCGACAGCATGCAAGAATTTAGCTTTTGTGGGGTGCGTGCATGCATGTTGGGGTGTATGTTTGTGTGTGTGTGTGTTTGTGTCTGTGTGTGTGTCCCCTTCCAGAAATGAAGGTGTTCTTTTCACCTCTTTAGGGCTGCGGCAGAGAATAAAAGCCTCTACAGTTTACATTCGCTTTGTCAGCCCCGTAAGCAACCATCTGTTTCAGTTGTGGAGTGCGATCTGTCAGTTTTGTTTTAGGTTGTGATGCAGTGGCAGGAGCCTGCTCATTGTTGTCTTCTTAGAGAACTGCAAAGTAATTAACCATTCCAGTACTGGCTACAAAAGACATGGCCACTCTCAATGTTGGGCCAGATTTTTGCTTTCTCCAGTGCTGGAAATACTACAAAAAATTGAATAGCTATTCATCGTGTTTCATTGTTCCCTAAAGAGGCAACATGCTCTTTGTTATAAAGGCAACCTGGATTTTCCTACATACCATTTCATTTCAATGTCTGTGTGCCAAAGATGAAACAAAGTCTGGATGATGTAGACAAACAATCAAAACATGACAGTGACAAACACCCTGAGAGACCTCATTCACTAACACGTGAACAGAGAAATATCTTTCACAGACGATGGAAGGTGTGAGCTGGGGGCTGGGAAGAAATAGGAAAGAAGAGGGGGCAGGGCTTGTTTTAATATGATTGGGGATGAAATACTCTCCTGATTGAGCATAACTTCATGGAGGAGGGGCGCAGTCCTAATAAATAAAAGACCTGTGGAAAGAGATAAGGGCCAACAGGTTTTATATTTCATTCTGTTTTCCTCATTGCTTCTCTGTGTTTTTCTTTCTTTTTTTCTCTCCAATCTTGAATATGATCTTTTATCTCTTCTCATCATAAAATGAAATTAACAATCAAATTTTGAATTAACAAGATATTGAAAAATACCTCTAAAATGGATATGTAGAATAGGCTTTAAAAACTTTGGGAAATAGTTACCCTATAACGAGAAAAGTAAGGGAACAATGAATAATTTATTGTTTTGTCTCTCACATCAAGATTTCTAAGGAGTATGTAATATAAATGTATGAATTTAATAGAGCTAGTCAAGCGTCAATTCTATCTCTATTTCCAACTGACTCTTATTTTTACCAGCAAATTAAGAAGTTTGATGAAACAGTTAGGTTGGCTATCACATCAGATAAGAAAATATTGCCAGTGATGTGGAGTATATATATTCCACATCTGTAGCTATTCTAGCCATGTACACAATAGCAGGATTTGAGTAATTAGGTTCTCATATTCTGAATATATCCTCTAAAAGTCATTTAACCACTTTCCCTGACAGCTTGCTAAATTTCTTGATTTTTCTAATTAACATTTATTATGCTTTAAATAATAATTTATAAAGATGTTTTCCTTTGCAATTAAAACTACTCCTTATTAATTAATGAGAGTAATTAATTCATGTCCTGTTCTTAATGTTCCTTTCATATCTTTAGTCAGATCTCTAGTCTTCCATTCTTCTTTTCTCAATATGGTACATAGAATATTTATTAATTTTACTTTTCCCTGTAGATGTTTAGTTATACAGTTTTGGGTCTGCTATGTTGATGGCTCCTCTTTTTAAAACTGTATACATAAGTAATATCAAGGCATAACAATACCACGTGAGACAATATATGTTTCCATCCTACTTTTTAGAAATGATGGTCTCAAAGTTAGGAAGGTTATTTTTTCAAGTTTATGCACATCATTTTCCTAACACATATTTTATCTATGATTCTCCTTATGACTTCGAAACTTTCAAAGTATTCAGTATTTAATTATAATTAGAATCATGCAAACATTTTTGGTGCCTTGTTTAAATTTGATTTTAAAGACTCGTTTTGCTCCTTGCAGAAAGAATATTCTGGATCTGTCCTTGGGATCTATATAGATCTATGTAGCCATGTCTGGTAGCCATAGCATTATGAACATCTTAACTCAACAAATATCTTTATCTTGCTGTCTCCATCTAAGATAATACAGATCACCCTTATCAAGGCACAGTCTTCTAGAGAACACTGAAAGCCCAGCCAAAGAGCAAGCTCTTGGCAAAATTACAGAGTAAGTGATATTTTAAGTTGTACATCTCTGACCATCTCATCAGAATTCAATATCCTAGAAGTCAGGCTCAATATTTTGTTTAAGTCTGCAATTCTTCAATCTTCCCTTTATCCTCAGCCTCGGTGCTTTTAATCTAATAGAAGGCCTCTGTCTATAGAGCAGACATCTAGGAAGTGTCTAAGACACTTGCCTATACCGCATACCTTATCTCTCACTCTTTCATTCTCTCTCCCTCTGTTTCTCTCTATCTCTTTATCTCTCCAAAATTCTCAAACAGAATCCCCATGCAGCCAATCAGACATATTCTCCTCAAGGGTTTGGCATGCTCTTGCCTAGGGGTGATGGAGTGATCACCCACCCCATCAATAATCAGTAAGTATATTCTAAACATTAATATATATACAAATAGATTTTATTCATTAAAAAAAATTTTTTTGGAGACAAAGTCTCACTTTGTTCCCCAAGATTGAAGTGGAGTGGCATGACTGGCTCACTGCCGTTTCTACTTCCTGGGCTCAAGCAATCCTCCCACCTCAGCCTCCCAAGCAGCTGAGACTTCAGGTCCACACCACCATGCCTGGCTAAATTTTGTATTTTTTGTAGAGACAGGGCCTTACTATGTTGCCCAGGCTGGACTTGAACTCCTCGGCTCAAGAGATCCCAAACTACTGGGATTACAGGCATGAGTATGCCCAGCCAATGAGACTTTAGAATAATGGAATAAAGAAGAAATACATATTCTTGAAATAATTTACATTTTGTTTATTGATGGTACAAAAGATTTTGCTTTCAGAAAATACATTATCAATGATAACACTAAAGTGTTTACGGGGATACTAATTCAAATAGTAATAATTTCAATTTGTTTTAATTCTTGATTTTGATATTTGTCATGACTGAAAAAGATATCTCTCAAAGATAATGATTATATGGAAGAAGTCTATGATTGTCCGTACTTACAAAAATCACAATACTAATTTTTTCAACCCTAATTTTTTAATACTAAATTCAACCTTGATTATTAATACTAATTTTTCCTTTTTAAATTATGAAAAAAACTTTGTTGAAATGTGACTACTAAATTTTCATCTTCCCTGATGTCATTCAGTTGTCCTTGGAAGTAAATTGGAGATTCAATTTTGTACTTACAGCCAACAGTACAGTTGAAGTTCCTCAGTTAGGATATACAAAAACAGGTTTGATAATCCTTTTTCCAAAGCTTTTAAGTGTTCAGATGTGAGAATTATAAATAGATGACATATTTGTATTGTTTTTAGCAACAAAATCACCCCAATTTTTCTTAACAATCATTTATAAAAACCTTTCTCCATAGCATTAATATATTTCAAAAGTCATTTCTTTTTCACTCCTTATTAAAAATGACATGTTTACAAATATATATGCCAGGTCACTTACCACTGAAAGCAATTTTCTGAGTTTGGATGATAAAGAGCTTCTATTAGGGACAAAGTCTGAGGTGTGCCATTTTATTGTTTCCTTGTACCTGCCTTCTTAGTATTTTCTCAACCAGAATTTCCTTTACGGGACTCTTATAAACACATTTAACTGTTTTGTGCATTACCTAAACGGGATAATGAATTAATCAAATTAATATGACTCTTTTCCCAAGAGAAGAACATATATTTCACAAGAAAAGACATAGAAATGGCAAATAAGCACATGAAAAGATATTTAATGTCATTAGGCATTAAGAAAATGCAAATAAAACCACAATATAGTACACTTACTTATTAGAATGACTAAAGCTAAAAATATTGACAATGCCAAATGCTGACATGGATGTGAAGCAACTAGAATGCTCATGTATTGTCAGTGGAAATGCAAAATGGTACAATCACTCTGGAAAACACTTTGATAGTTTTTATAAAGTTAAGCATACACTGAACGGCCTAGACAAATTAAAACTATGTTTATGCATATTTAAACGGCTCTATGTATAATTGCCTATGGACTTCAATAGGTCAACAGATAGATAAACTATAGTATAGTCACACAATGAAATACTATTCAGCAACGAATAGGAACATACTATTGGTACATACAACAACATGAGTGAATTGCAAAAGAATTATGCTGACTGAAAGAAGCCAGTCTCCAAAGGTCACATATTTTATAATTCCATTTGTATTGCTTCCTTGAAAAGATAAATCTATCAAGTGGTTGCCAGAGATTATGAGTGGAGGGAGAGGAGACTATGAAGAAATAGCAAAAAGGAGTTTTTTATAGTGATGGAACTGTTCTGTATCCTAATATGGTGGTGGTTTTATGAAACACATGTATACATGTGTTATAATTTATGAAACTGTAAACCAAAAGAGAAAAAATCAAATTTACTGTATGATAATTTAAAAAATAGAATTAAAAGTAAAAAGCCAATGAGGCTACAGTCAACCCATCAGCATAATCACCATTTGACATAGGGACTAACTGAGAATATAACACTTGATAACAAAGCTAAATTTACTTATTTTAGGTGAGAGAGTAAATAGAAATAGAAAGTTTAATATGTTTTCCTGTAACTCAATGGATTTTCTAAAACACACCTGACCTTGCAGACTGCTGTCCTAGACCCCTGCTACTCAAAGTATGGTCCATGGACCAGTAGTATTTTTGCATTCCTTGGGGACATCTTAGAAATCTGGGTTTTAAAATGCCTGCCAGGTAATTGTGATGCATGCTAAATTTGGAGAGACACTGCCCTTGAGTACTTGTTAGATAAGATTCCTGAGCCCCATCCCCAGAGATTCTAATTCAGTAGATATGCTGTGAGAATCAAGGGTTTTCATTTCTTGCAAGTTCCCAGTTAATGTTGATGCCACTGATCTGTGTACCACACCATGGGAATCCCTGCTCTAGCCCACTCGCTCGGCTACAGCAGCCACTAGCCACATGTGGCTTTTAAATTTTGATTTATTACAGTAAAAAAAAATTAAAACTTCAGTGTCTCATTTTCATTAGCCACATTTCAAATGCTCTAAGTCACGCTATTTGTTATGTGGCCCTTTAAGAAACAGTTTCCTGACTGTGGATCTAGGGAAGCACTGCTCAGTGGACTTCAATGAAGTTGTTCCATGTCTGTGCTAATACAGTAGCCAATAGCCACATGTGGCTATTTAAATTTTAATGTTAATTAATTACAATGAGACAAGATGAAAATTTAATTCCTCATTCATAGTAGTCATATTTCAAGTACTTAATATTCACATGTGGCTAGTGGGTACCATATCAGCATAGATACAAAATATTTCCATCATCATATCTTTTTTTTTTTTTTTGAGATGGAGTCTTGCTCTGTGGCCCAGGCTGGAGTGCAGTAGCACGATTTCGGCTCACTGCAAGCTCCGCCTCCCGGGTTCATGTCCTGCCTCAACCTCCTGAGTAGCTGGGACTACAGGCGACTGCCACGACGCCAGGCTAATTTTTTGTATTTTTTAGTGGAGACAGGGTTTCACCATGTTAGCCAGGATGGTCTCTATCTCCTGACCTTGTGATCCACCCGCCTCGGCCTCCCTATCATATCTATTTATGGGACAGTCCTTCTCTAAACTAGGGGCTAGGGAAGCTTTTCTTAAAATTTACCTTAACAGTAAATAGTAAATCATTGAAGCTTCCAGACCCAATGACCTCTGTCACAACTGCTCAACTCTGCCTTTGTAGCTGGAAAACAGCCATACCTAGTAAGTAAACAAATGAACATGACTGTTTTCTGATAAAAATGTACTTACAAAATACGAGCAGCTAGCCTGAGGACCACAAATTGTTGAACCCTTCTCTAGACCATTTCCATAACAGATCTTCAAAGGCTCTGGGACCCTGCTTTCATACCTCAAAATTAACACTTCATATTTCAATATAGAAACTGAACTGGAAGAGTCTTCTAAACAGCTCTTCTCCTGGCTGCTTTAACACTGATTATGTTAAGACAATGTCCAAATGTCGTTGTAAAAATATTAAGTAAAGTAATACTCTTGATAGTGGCTTTATTTTATGTCAAGTGAAAGGAAATGGTAATTCTTGTGGCAAACCTAAAATAAAAATATTTTAGACAGAAACATTTTGGGAATGTGTTGCCTTTTGGCTTAGAATAGATTAATATCCATTATGGGAAAATTTTTTTCATTGTTTCAGTTACAGCAGTAAGTGAAACACACAAGGTGTATCTCCACATACTCTTCCATTATAACTTCATGAGTAGTCAGTTCTTTTAGCATATGTGAAAAACAGAAACATGAAAATCATTATTTTCTCATTCTTTACATCAAAAATCTATGTTCAGGAAGAAATAGTTAGCTATGTACCTAGTGTTTTAGGAAAAAAATTTACTAGTGTCTCCTTTCAACATAAAAAACATTTTTTCAATATAATTTGGATTAGTAAATATCTAAATACACATAATCTACTAGGCACCGGGAAGAAAAATATACAGTGTTGCCTTTACCAAGTGTTTAAATTAGTGGCAAAACTTAAAAGTTTCTAGAATCTTGAAGAAGAGATGTCTCAGTTGATTTTCCCTCACTTGATCTTCTAACACAAGCTTGTCCAACGCATAGCCACATGCATCCCAGGATGGCTTTGAATGTGGCCCAACACAAATTCATAAACTTTCTTAAAACATGATATTTGTTTGCAATTTTTTTTAGCTCATCATCTATCGTTAGTGTTAGCGTATTTTATGTGTGGCCTAAGACAATTCTTCTTCCAATGTGGCCCAGGAAAGCCAAAAGATTGGACACCCCTGTTCTAACAGGTCTAACTTCCTTAGAAGTCTCCAGGTTTCCAGGGGAGCACCTGAGAGAAAGAGGGGGCAGCCTGATCTGAGAGCTCCCTGCATAAGTGTGGGAGAGGGGAAGAGTTGATCTGAGCACTCATAAGGGTCAAGCTCATTAGACAGAACTATTTTTCAATCATTTTATTTCTTCTTTTGGCTGCAATAATTTTCATTTTTATTTAGATCTTCATTAAAGTTTCAGAAACAAAAAAAAAAGGTTATTTAATAATTTACTGACTCAAACCATCCAAGGCCAACGAATGTCTGCTTTTCTCCAGTACATGTCATTTCCAGGTAAATTAGGTTATGGTACTGTTATGATTTGAATGAGTCCCCACAAAGTTCATGCTTTCGAAGCTTAATCCCCGATGCAACACTGCTGAGAGATGGGACCATTAAGAGGTGACTAGGTCATGAGGGCTCTGCCTTATGAATTGATTAATGCTATTGTGGGAGTAGGTTAGGGATCTTGATACTAGGTTTCTGATAAAAGGATGAATTTGGTCGCTTTCCTCATTTGATCTTGGTCTTGTTTTCTTGAGCTCTCCTGCCACTGGATGACACAGCAAGGAGGCCTTTACCAGATCCCAGCACTTTCGTCTTGGATTTCCCAGCCCCTAGAACGGTGAGGAGTCAATTTCTTTGCTTTAAAAATTACCCAGTCTGTGGTATTCTGTTATAGCATTACAGAATTGTTGGGACAAAGATGGGCACCCTGATCTAGAAGACAAATATACTCTACTAGGAAAATAGATACTTAGTTCTGCTGCTTTTTGGAAAGGTTACTAAAATGCCTATATTGGTTAATTAGTTAGTTAGTTGGTTAGTTAGCTTGTTTAAGTGGACTTTTTTGTTTTTGGGAGTAGCGTTCCTGTTTGCCCTCATTTAGAGTTGTGCTCAAATCTGTGAATCTTGCTATAGTCCAAACTCCCAAACCACTGGATCCTGGCAAAAGAACAGGTATCAAGAGAAAACTTTGAGACTACAAGTTAACAAATGAAAGGTGAGCAGTAAAGAATGGGACAGTCACCTATCATTGTACTACAGTCAGGTTAGAAATCAAGATTGTGAGGTTTTACCTTTTCAGGGAAAAAAATATTCAAAATGAAAATATTACAGGGAAAAACTATACTTTGATAAATAATAGCTTTTCTGTTATTCTGATAAATATTTTACATTTTTCTATATATTATATATTGTTAATCTATAGGAAAAGATTTTATTCAATTTTGAATCAATTCAGTGATTAGAAAAATACTATATTAAGTGTGAAGTTCTGAGATAACTGTATATCTTAAGGAAGATATGAAAGAATTATAATACTTACAGTAATAGTAATTCTTACCAATGCATGAAGCACATAATAGATAGCTGGCAAGTGTTTATGAGATGAATATTGATTTAATTCTTAGTTTCATAAGTGAAAATGAAAAAATATGTGAGTCATTCTAGTTCATAGGTTTACAAAAGACAAATCATCACACTTAAACAGCATAGAGTTGATTAAGCCACTGGACAAGAAAAATAAGGTGAATGTATCTAACCAAGAGGAATAGATATTTGAATAAGAAGTTCATTAGAGTTTACAGACCAGTGACATCACCACTCTTCAGAACACTTCTTTAGGATCATGTTGTTTTCCAAATAGTTTTTTCAATCTTTCTGCCAAAGGTTTTATGTCAGCTTTTGATTGGCAGCTGATGAATCACACCACCTATAATCATATCCTGATTTATCTTGATCTTTATGTAAATAAATGAGGAAAGAGGAGACATGCTTACCATGAAATATTCCAGTAGAGTTTGAAAATGCTTGTTCTCATTGAGCAGTGAATGACTTTGAAGATTAACAAAGCTAAGTACGTAAATGATATCAACATGAGAAACAAACATGAATTCAAAGAATCACGGGATTCTATCAAATTGCTGGTTTGTAGCTAAACTTACATAATTTAGGTAAGAGGAACAATGTATACATGAAATAAAAGACCAAATAAGTTTAGTTATTAATACACCTACTGTAGGAACATTACTCTAGAAACATCCTATGGAAACCTATTTAAAATGATAGATTAATTCATAGAAAGTATTATTTATAGTCTGAAGTTAGTCGAATAAATAAGCCTATTCTTGTTCTACTATGGATTTTCCTGGGAAATGTATAAAAGGTAACAGATCCTGGCCAGGTGTGGGGGCTCAAGCCTGTAATCCCAGCACTTTGGGAGGCCAAGGCGGGCGGATCACGAGGTCAGGAGATCGAGACCATCCTGGCTAACACGGTGAAACCCCGTCTCTACTAAAAATAGAAAAAATTAGCCTGGCGTGGTGGCGGGTGCCTGTAGTCCCAGCTACTTGGGAGGCTGAGGCAGGAGAATGGTGTGAACCCGGGAGGCAGAGCTTGCAGTGAGCCAAGATCAAGCCACTGCACTCCAGCCTGGGTGACAGAGAAAGACTCCATCTAAAATAAAAAAAAAAAAAAGTAACAGATCCTTAGTGAATAAATTATTTGGAAATGCCATGTAGGTGGTTCTTTCAAAGAAGTCCCCAACAATATACACGAGACCTGAACAAAATTTAGTAAAGATGGATTTTAATTTAAAGCATAAACCAGCAAAATTTGGTAAAAACTTGAACCTAATTTTGTAGACATAGTCATAATGGCTGCAAAAATAAACTATGGTTGGAATCAAATTTTAAAATCAGTGTAAATGTGTTAACAACTAAAAATTAGAGGCAAAACTATCAACATTTATGGTATGTCCCATTATACTTTATGTGGCAGAAAATAAAATGATAAAAATAAACATTTCTCTGATTTAAACAACAAAAGTCCTGTTCACTTGGCCCAATCCAAAGTGTCCTTCTTGTTAAAGTAGATTGCTGAACAAAACTTTCTCAGCAGGATTGGAGATTTATGTTTGTTTTAAGTGACACGATGTAAACAGATTATTAAAAGCAGAACTATTTAATAATGAGTAGAGAATCAATATGAGAGTATTTAACACAGCTTTTTTTTTACTATTTTCACTCTTTCCAGTTCTCCACGATAATATATTAACATGGACCTTTGTAAATATCTTTTAAAGTATAACACTGCTTTATTACCGTCTACATATTACTATAGATTTGTTAAATATTACAAATATTGATACTTTTTCTCAGATGTCTAGTAATTGACATTGAAAACTAATGCAGTACATTTTGGTTCAATTGGTGTTTCTCTTTACATACATTTACTCCCTCTATTTCACTGTTTCCTTATGGGAGAAATAGTATTTTTTTGCAACCTAGAAAGATGCAAATCCACGTGTGGAAATTTTTAAGCAAAAGCTCACAGTTGGTAGTGAGCAGTCTTTGTGTTATCAGCAACCTAAGGACACTTCAATGAAGTTTTCAGTCACAATATTTAGAGGGAATTTATCTTATTTTAAAAAGTTTTGGGGTATTTTAAAGTTGTATATTTAGATCCTTCTTAATAAAGCACATATTCCTATGATACTGAAATTATTAGAAAAATAGCTATTACTAAGTGTATGCTATTTGAGAATTGAATTACAAAATTAATCCCATAGGATGTAGAATTAAAGAGCAACAATTATCTGTAACAAGTTGTAATTCCACTACGGACCTTGATAATATTTTTTAAGTATTGAAAATAAATCCAAAGCATATTTTTAAAACAAATAAACAACAGAAAATTGTAAAGGTCAGATTATAGTATTAAGTCATAAATGAAATCTTCACTTGATATAGTGATAAACATGTTTATTTAGAAATGTTTTTCTATCTTTTATTTTTGTTTCTTCTACTAGACTTTTTTGTCTACTACATTTTCATCTATTGATGCTCACTTGAGCCCTTTGTTGTATGTCTTACTTAAAAGATAATTATCTTCTTAAGAACTAAATGTCACTGAAAGCAAATTTATTCTGAGATCATATAACCAACCTGTCTTAGTCTGTTTAGTGTTGCTATAAAGGAATAACTGAGGCTGGATAATTAATAAAGAAAAAAGGTTTATTTGGCTTACAATTCTGCTGGCCGAAAGACTGGGCATTTGGTGAAAGCTTCAGGCTGCTTCCACACATGGCAGAAAGCAAAGGACAGTTGATATGTGCAGAAATCATATGGAAAGAGAAGAAGCAAGAGAGAGAGCTAGGGAGTTGCCAGGCTCCCTTTTTAACAACCAGCCCTCATGGGAAGCAATAGAGTGAGAACTCACTCATTAGCATGAGGATGACACCAAGCCATTCCTGAGGGTTCTGCCCCCATGACAAAAACACCTCCCATTACCCCCCACCTCCAATATCAGGATCAAATTTCAACATGATGTTTTGGGGAACAAATATTCAAACTATAGCACAACCACTACCCAATCTGCAGTGGTTGTGTGTGTATATACCCAGAAGATACATCACAATAGAGAGAAAGAAGAGATTCTAGTTTATCTGCCACTAACACATTTGTGATCTTGGTCAGCTTCTTAACATCTGAGTCTCAGTTTACTCATCTTTCAAAGGAGTTTGATACTCTAACTTTGCTTCCAAGTTCTGATATTCTGTGATCTTATCACAGTTGTTTAACTTGCCAAAGTATTGATACTAGTGGTATGCCAATAACAATGTTGAGAAATAACCTCACACAAAACATCACAAACTTAATTATGGCTATGAAGATCATATACCAATGGTAGGAATAACTGGAGATGTTTGCATGAAATAGAACTTTGGTAAAATGAAATAAAAAATGTAATGAGCTGTGTAGTACGCCAGCACTGTCCATGCTGTTTAAGGCACACAATGCATTCTGATTCAAAGTGAATATAATTAACACTGTCATCAGTAACTGAAGTTCTTATTTTTTAAAAAGAAGACCGTAACAATTTATTTATGTTACATCAGAATCTAGAAGAGTTCTTTATACAGTAGGTACTATGTAAGTATTTTTAATCAATTGGCAGAGGGCATCTAAATAGGCTGACAAATTTGCACAGATATTAAGCAACTGACAGGGCAAACGTAGGCAGTGATATGGTTGGGCTATGTCCCCACTCAAATCTAATCTTGTATTGTAGCTCCCATAATCACCACTGTGGCATGGGAGGGACCTGGTCGGGGGTAATTGAATCATGGGGGCAGTTTCTTCCATGCTGTTCTCATGATAGTGAGTGTTCTTACAAGATCTGATGGTTTTATAAGAAACTTTTCCCCCTTTTGCTCAGCACTTCTTGCTGCCACTGTGTGAAGAAGGATGTGTTTGCTTCCCCTTCCACCATGAGTGTTAAGTTTCCTGAGGCCTCCCCAGCCATGCTGAACTGTGAGTCAATTAAACCTCTTTCCTTTATAAATTACCCAGTCTCGGGTATGTCTTTATTAGCGGCATGAGAATGGACTAATATAGGCAGAAACCCACTAAACCCAATAGGCAACATCTGAGTCTTTAATATAAAATGTGCTGTACTTGCAAAGCAGTAGAAGCCATTGGGCAAAAATTAGCTTCTAGGTCAAAACCTAATGCTTAAGACATAGTCAGGAACAGAAGTTTGATACATGAAAGACAGCAATAGTGTTGTAGGTCTATATTACTGTTGCAGAAGATGACTCTAAGTACCATTCGATAAACTTATTAAAAACTATCAGGCCTCCCATGACATTTTATATTCTCATAAAACAACACAAATGCTAAATTAAGTTTGAATTTGAATTAGCAAAGAATAAGAAAATCAATTTAAGTGTTCCCAATGCACCTTCAACCCTTGCACCCTTGCTTTGCATCTGTATATTTCATTAGTATATTTTGTTACATGATCATGTAATATTTATGCAGTAACATAATATGCTCTGTACATCTACGATTAGAGAAAAAGTGCAGTTCTTTTCCATTATTTTGTGCCCTTTATCTGCTGAACACTATGTAACATTACCCAGGGTTTGGTGATTATGTAATGAGGACTCCTATTGTAATACACGCTGCACAGTTGGAGGATTGCTGTGGGAAACTTAACTCTGCAAATCCTGAGTTTGGGAACAATTAAAGCCTTGATTTTAATGTTACAGTCACCTCATTTTTCCCAAAATATTTTGCTTTTTTCTTCTTAAAACCTGTAAGTACTGCAGTAGAAGAAATGTAACAAGAATTATAGAAAAAAGTTCCACAGAAGATGAAATAACTGCCATCTGGTGCACAACAGATGTGTGTTCCACAAAGTTTTTTTTTCTTTCTTTTGAGTTCTCCTATCCAAGTCCTGGCCAGACCCAAGCACTGTGTCGAGCTTATGAGATCTGACAATTTTACAGCCCCAGGCTGAATGACTGCAGGCTAGTGTTTTTCCTAGAATTCACTGAGGCCCCAGGGAATAAACTAACAGGTTCAAGAATGATACTGAAATGTTATTCTCCCCCAAAAAGCTGTGAGGAACTGCCACTAATTTCCTTCATAAGAAATAAAGTCCAAAAAAATTTCAATAGAGGGTCACTACAGATTTTGTGCCTTAGAAGAGAGATATTCAAGACTTGGTATCATTAGCAGATGCTCTCCCAGTCCCAGAGAAAGGAATCACCTGGAGGGCACATTGTATCTTTTATCCAAGTAAAATTGGCCCAAACTGTTTACCCAACATTTGCACAAGTGCAACTTTACTGAAACTGATAAAACTACCTGCTCCCTAGCAGCCTTCACAGTTCCTGAAATTTCTAGGGCTGGTGATTTCTATTAGAAAGTACTGAAACACGTGAAAAGCAAGTAGAAGTTTATAGTGCCATTACCTTTGTGATTTTATAAATTGAGATGTAATTTTTTTAAGATTCAATTCCAAAATTAAAATTCAAATGAAGTCATTTTTAATGAGTTCATGGAAATGATACTGTCTTTATACATTTTGGTTTACTCCCACAGCTCAAGTGTTGCTTAAATCAGCTCTCAGATTTTGCCATGGTGCTTGTTCATGGGTCAGATAAGCCTGTTCTTAATGCATTGTGATCATAATGTGCTTGACATGCCCTAAGACTTATAACAGTCCAATTTTTTTCTGTGAATGTGACCTTTGTCTCTCTGGTTTCCACCTACCTGGCACCAGTGAGCTCAAATAACTATAGGTGACAATAATAGTAGTCTCTAGCTCTAGATAAAACAAACGTAATGGCTGAAATTCCCTGTTTACTAACATACCCTACATTTTCCACTTCTTTGGATATGACCCTAGGGTGTCCTAGTTTCAATTGGTGGTCATTATTTCTTTTCTCCTTAAAGCCACTGTTTTTAGAAACTTATTTCCTTAGTGCCTCAACCATGGTGAAGTTCTGGATGCTGCATTGAGGAGCTTCCAGATATTCTCATGCATTGTGAGTGATTTGTCTCCTTTCTTGATTTACCTTCTCCCTTGCTATTGTTTCTAATGATGTGGTTTCATCATACAGTGAGTGAGTTTAACATTTGCCACTGTGTCATTGAAGCCACATTCATTATGTCATCACCATCAACTCAATTCATCTTTTCTCCCCTGACAGCCTACAGTAATGGATCCCAGCCTGCCTACTTAGTAGTTGGAAGAAACCTACAGCATTAATTCAAGATAACTTGCTTGCTATTTGGTCAGGTAGCTAATGTGTTCATAAAACACAAATGTCCATTAAAATAATCACTTATGGAAAATAGTCCATTATAATTATGTATGTATGTCAATCAATAAACATGTTTTTAAAAGCTAATTTAATTGGAAATCAGTAGGACAAGGCCTATTATTGGCAGCTCAAATAGAGTGGCTTTGAGGTCTAAGTCCTTGCAACAGCCCTAGTTTCACAACACTTTTATTGTACTAATCTAGCAGTCCGACTCTGAAAACCTGAGACAAGTTCCGTGGGGGGGATGGAGAGGAAAGGGGAAAGAAAACTGAAAGCAATATAATTTTCTGTACCTATTTGAAACAATACTGAGAGCAAAGCAAATTTAACTCAGCTACTTGCTCCAGAAACTACTTGTTTCTTAAAGATAAGACTGAACCAACTAAACAGGTTACTTATAAAGACTAATAGCTTGTTTATAATGAATAGCTTCAAGACTCTGGCTTCTCTGAGCCCATTTGTCTAAATCTATTCTCTAATAAACTCTCTTCAATCCCAACCAGTACTGTTTCTTGCAAGATCTGACTTAAAAAGTCCTAGCCCAGGCCCTAAAAGTCTATTTGATATCTTACCTTGAAGTTCACCTTCTGAGACACTACTAAGATTTGTCATGGTGGTATTCTTTCTTTTTCATAAACAGGTATTTCCAGTGAACTTCTAAGGAGTCAACAGTTGACAAACCAAAAGATCCTACCAAGACCCAATCAAGATCCCTCCTTTACTGCATACATGAAGATCTGGAGAAATACATTCCCCTGAGATTTCTTGATCCTCTAAATTGGGATCGAGGGAGTGTCTCTGACCTCAAGATTGAGGTATGACTTGAATTGGGTCTGAGCTCCAATTTTGTTTTGTCAATTCACAAACATTATTTTCCCAGGGAGGGACAAAGAAGCATTTTAGGCATTTTTTTTAAAAAAGAAACATTTTAGGAATTATTAACATTTTAAAGAAGTATTTTAAATATTAGATAAAGATTTAGGTATCACATATTATATAAAGAAGACTTTTAGGAATTATTAAGTAGAAAATTGCCTATTTTTCTAACAACATGTCTTAGTGTGTTCTCACACTGCTGTAAAGAGCTTCTCTGAGACCAGGTAATTTATAAAGGAAAGAGGTTTAATTGACTCACAGTTCTGCATGGCTGGGAAGGCCTCAGGAAACTTACAATCATGGCAGAAAGGGAAGCAGGCACCTCCTCACCAGTGGCAGGAGAAAGAGTACAAGCAGGGGAAATGCCAGACATTTATAAAACCATCAGATCTCATGAGAACTCACTTACTATCATGAAAACAGCATGAAAGACACTTCCCCCATAATCCAATCACTTCCCTCTCTCTACACATAGGGATTACAATTCATGATGAGATTTGGTTGGGGACACAAAGCCTAACCATGTCACAACATTTTGGATCATCTCTGTCTTTCTGTTACAAGTCTTTAAGACGAAGCCTATAGAGAGAGGAGGTGCATAGGCCAAGTGCGTCCATCCCAAGTACTGAAGAATTTAAAAGATCATATCACGATGGCATTATTTGGACATAATTTGCATTGGGTCAGTTTTCTAAAACCTTATACATATGCTCTGAGTGGATGTATTAATAGTTTATGTATACCTTAATAAAATTGATTTAAAGTAAACATTTAAGGACTTTCCTGTGGCTTGTCTTTGTGTCCCTAGAATTGGTTTATTTAGTTTTGTCTGACCTGAGTTGGAGGGTTTTTTGGGCCCTGTATTAGTCTGTTTTCATGCTGCTGATAAAGACATACCTCAGACTGGGGAATTTACAAAAGAAAGAGGTTTATTGGTGTTACAGTTCCACATGGCTGGGGAGGCCTCACAGTCACGGTGGAAGGCAAGGAGAAGCAAGTCACATCTTATGGGATGGAAGCAGGCAAAGAGAGCTTGTGCAGGGGGACTCCTGTTTTTGTTTTTGTTTTTGTTTTTTTGAGACAGAGTCTCGCTCTGTCCCCCAGGTTGGAGTGCAGTGGCACTATCTCGGCTCACGGCAAGCTCTGCCTCCTGGATTCACGCCATTCTCCTGCCTCAGCCTCCCAAGTAGCTGGGACTACAGGCACCCGCCACCACGCCCAGTTAATTTTTTGTATTTTTAGTAAAGACGGGGTTTCACCGTGTTGGCTAGGATGGTCTCAATCTCCTGACCTCGTGATCCACCCACCTCGGCCTCCCAAAGTGCTGGGATTACAGGTGTGAGCCACTGCGCCCGGCCAGGACTCCTGTTTTTAAAACCATCAGGTCTGTCTCATAAGACCCATTCAATATCAATCATTAATTGATAAAAAAAAAAATCTTTTTGTCACTATGTACATACTCTAGGAATATGTAGCCCAGGTAAACAATAAAGAATTTTCCAAAATAAAAAAGACCCACCCCTATGATTCAATCATCTCCCACCATGTCCCTCCCACAGCACATGGGAATTATTGGAGCTACAAGATGAAATTTGGGTGAGGACACACAGCCAAGCCATATTAGGCCCCCAGCTGTTATCAACTCATCTTTGACCAGATTCTAGAGACACAAAGTAGAACTACCTTTTTTGACTTTTATCATCTACACAGGATCTTTTTTCTTGTGTTAACTCATGTGCATATCCCTCTAAAATAATTACACCAGGATTGATCTAAAATTTCAGTGGTTACTTTGGGAAACCTTTACCATAAACAATAGTGTTTATTTGAAAGAGGCATTAAAATAAAAAGAAACCCTTATAGAAAGATTGTCTAACTGACTCCTCTGTCTCAAAGTGAGGTCTCTTTCTTTGACAGAATAAACTCTTCCTCTTTCATGACCATATGTCAAAGGCAGATGAACAATTAAAAAGCATACAACTTGATGAAATTGTAAAAAGCCAAGTGAAATTCTTCACTACTTGGAATGGACTTACTTTGCCTATGCACCTCCTCTCTGTTCAAATCACCTATAATGATTTTCAATCTCTTTCTCTCTCTGTTGTGTGTGTATATGTGAATGAGTGCACACACGTGTATGCATGCCAAAATGAGTTTTCATGAATCTAAGCTATCTCATCTCCTTGCAGAGGATAAGACAATTTGCCATCTGCATTAATAATTTAATATCTATCTGAAACCTGCTGCCTCTCACTTTTTTCTCCCTTCCTCTTCTACTGTTTTGTTTTGTCTCCTGGGTAATTTTAGAAATTAATAAAAAATAATCTTTTTGTCACTACGTACATACTCTAGGAATATGCAGCCTAGGTAAACAATAAAGAATTTTCCAAAACAAAAACAAATTGCTCTAATGTCGTATGTTTTTTCCTCGCCAAAACTGTAAATCAGAAGAAAAAGTTTACTTATGAGTTTGGATAATGGTAAAAATTAAAGCTAGGCATATAAACCTTTTGACATGAATATATAAGTCTTAATATATTTTTCTGATATACAAATACAAAGGTAAATTTATATTTTTAATGTTCATGCAGTATAAATAGATTATTATTTAGACAAATTAGGGTGATCAAGCTTAAAAACAATTTCAGTCATCTCCCTAGTATTGTTAGTAGAAAAAATAATGTGAGTACAATGGTTTCATTGTACCATTCAATGTCCATTAAGACATGATATGGGTTTAGTTTCTCATATTTTAAACTTTAAATTTTTCCTTCATTAATTCTGTGAGTCTATTAAATTATTATCATTTCTCTCAATAATTTAGGTTACAAACATATATTGAAAAGTGTTTGACTAAATAACACCAAATAATAGGTATCTTGTTAATATTGTGTATTCTCATAATGCTATTAATATGCCATAAAATTTAGCCTATCAATTTAACTCATAATTTCCAAATCTGTAGTCAACTTTAAGACTTTAGCCTTATATTAAATTGAATTAACTAATAAATTGTTTTTGGATAGAGAGACATGTCCTAAATAGGAAAAAATGCTGCTCAAAGAAATCAGAGATGACACAAACAAATGGAAAAACTTTCCTTGCTCATGGATAGAAAGAATCAATATAATTAAATGGTCACTGCCCAAAGTAATTTATAGATTCAGTGTTATTCCTATCAAGCTACCAATGACATTCTTCACAGAAGGAGCAAAAGCTATTTTAAAATTCATATGAAACAAAAAAAAGAGCCCAAATAGCCAAGGCAATACTAAGCAAAAAGAACAAACCTGGAGCCATCACGTTAACCTGACTTCAGGGTGACAGTAACCAAAACAGTGTGGTACTAGTACAGAAACAGATACATAGACCAATGAAACAGAATAGAGAGCTCAGAAATAAGGCTGCATACTTATAATCATTTGATCTTTGACAAAGCTGATAAAAACAAGCAATGGGAAAAGACTCCCTAGTCAATAAACGGTACTGGGATAACTGGCTAGCCATATGCAGATTGAAGCTGGACCCCTTCCTTACACCATGTACAAAAATCAACTCAAGATGGATTAAAGACTTAAATGTAAAACCCACAACGATAAAAACCTTAGGCAATATCATTCTGGACATAAGAGCAAGCAAAGATTTCATGATGAAGATGCCATCATGATTGCTGTTGAAGATTTCAAAATCGGTCTTGAAAAGCAACATAAACAAGAGCAAAAATTGACAAATAGGACCTAATTAAACTAACGAGCTTCTACACAGCAAAATAAACTATCAACAGAGTACACAGACAACCTACAAAATGAGAGAACATTTTTGCAAATTATGCATCTGATAAAGGTCTAATTTCTGGCATCTACAAGGAACTTAAACAAATGTACAAGAAAAAACACCCCATTAAAAAGTAGGCAGAGGACATGAACACTTTTCGAAAGAAAACCTGCATGTGGCCAACAAGCATATGAACAAAAGCTCAATATCACTGATCATTAGAGAAATGCAAATCAAAACCATAATCAGATACCATCTCACACCAGTCAGAATGGCTACTAAAAATTTTAAAAATAACAGATGCTGGTGAGGTTGCAGAGAAAAGGGTACACTTACACACTGTTGGTGGGAGTGTAAATTAGTTCAACCATTGTGGAAAGCAGTGTAACGATTCCTTAAAGAGCTAAAAACAGAACTCTCATTCAACCCAGTAATCCCATTACTGGGTATGTACCCAGAGGAATATAAATCATTCTACCATAAAGACACATGCACGCACATGAATGTTTATTGCAGCACTATTCACAATAGCAAAGACATGGATGTCAACCTAAAAGTCCATCAATGACAGATTAGATAAAGAAAATGTGATACATATACACCATGGAATACTACTCAGCCATAAAAAGAACATGATCATGCCTTCTATTGGAACATGGATGGAGCTGGAGGCCATTATCCTTAACAAACTAACACAGGAACAGAAACTTAAATACTGCATGTCTTGATTTAAAGTGGGAGCTAAATGATGAGAAATCATGGACACAAAGGGGAACAACAGACATTGGCACCTACTTGAGGGTGGAGGGTGGGAGGAGAGAGAGGATCAGAAAAAGTAACAATTTGGTACTGGGCTTAATACCTGGATGATGAGATAATCTGTACAATAAACGCCCCATGACATGAGTTTACCTATATAGCAAACCTACACATGTACCTCTGAACCTAAAATAAAAGTTTTATTAAAAAAATTCACACATTAAAAAAACCTTTAATAGATAATCATCAAATAAAGGTTAACAAATTTGAATGTCTTTGAAAAGAAGAACAAAGAAAAATGGTAAAAACATTGGTCATTAAACTTTCCTTAAATAACTCTTTTTTCTTACTTTTATACACGGAATTGGTTTCTATTAAACAAGATATGCGAATCCCTTTAAATTATATTTTGCATATGCTTATCTTGTCATCTTAAAATGTGTTAATACTGTATAAAATAAGTGCTCATGAAAAAATATCTAGATAATTTTTTATGTACTACCTTCTAGTTTTTTCAATTATCCACAAAACCAAAAGTGAGCTCCTTTAGTTACAGGTTATAATTAATATAAATGATTACAGAGAAAGAGGAACATGTATGCAAGATAATAAATATGGTTTGAAAGTTCATTAAGGGAATTTTTTTCAGTTTATTAAAATGGTAATGTAAAAATAATACATGCATATTGATAATATATAAGCGATTAAGTTAATTACATTTAAAAGATAAGATTAAAAGCTTCAACTTTATCTTCTCTTTGCATGGATGTATGTATGTCTTAGCAATACATAAAAATATATAAATACCTATAAATATATATATTACATACACAAAATATATGAACATTAATTCAAAGGCTTATACATAATTTTAAATGACAAATTTAACAGCATATTGTCAATGAAAAATATTCATGAGAAGAAAATTTATTTATCTGACAAAGGCATATCAGGTACTGTGAACAACTAACACAAAAGTAAAAGTCTAAGGTGTGGGTTCTTTCAGCCATCTTTCTCAATTAAAAAGGCAACCATTATCATTGATGATGAAACATTGTTAGGAATCTTCCAAAAGCATATGACATTTGGGAAAAGAAAGCTTCCACTCAAAAATTTTGGATAACGATTACTGTAAATAGCTTCTATGCCAGACCCACCAACAAGACCCATGGCTGGTCACACTCTAATCTGCATGTCTTATTTTTAATTTTCTCAGCAATTTTCTTTCCTTTTAGCTGTTTTAAGGTTCTGGATTTTTACCTGCCACTTTCTAGCTCTGAACTTTAATTTGATATTTAACTTTGACTTTGGTGATTTCCCTATACTGCTGTAAGTCTAATAAATGGAGCTTCGCTTACTGGATGAGTTTATGTAGTGGTTATGTGGGGAGTTGGAAGTTGACAGGGCCAAGTCAGAAAACTACGATCCCTTGTTAACTTTCCTGCCCCTACAGGGAAATATTTAGAGGTTGAAGAAACACTTATCATTATTATTTTTATTATTATTTTTTTTGAGAAGCACCTTCATCCAATCAGCCAGGAAATCTGTGTGAGGACCCATTGGGTTCCCATGCAAACTGAACCACTGTCAGTCATCCTTGACATGCCAGTGTTCCACAGGAGATCTAAAATTAGGTTCCCAAAAGTGTAAAAGAAAATTGAAGGGAAGATTGATTTGAAATAATATTATCATATAACATCTCATATATTACATCCCATTTATGTATACTTAAATGTGTATATAATGTTTTAAAACTTAATTTTTTATTTTTATCAGGTGCCAAAACTGAGAGTGATAATGAATATGATAAACTTTCTCTATTAAATCTAAAATATATGCAGCTAACACATATAGATCAACCCAACTCCTCACAAAGAATCTGACTTTACTAAAATATGTCTCAATATTTTTAGTTCCTGTAAGAAAGGGCATGCTTGGCTTATCTACTTAGATATTAAAGCACTGTTAGTGGAATTTCAATGTCAAAAAACCTCACTGGTTTATCAATTTTTACTGAGAATTTTTAGGACTATTATTATGAATCAGCTGGATATTTCATGCTCATGCTATTGTACTGTATACATTCCCTCACATATGTTGGGTTCCATCATGACTAGTTCTAATAATGTTGATTATTACTCAACTAATCCAAAATTTAATTCCTCCAAGATATAAAATGGGCCTAGTTTATTCATGTTAAATAAGTCTCAAATGAATATCCTAAACTAGCATATAATTTGGAGATTAAGAAAATAACACATGGTTTAAGTCTGGGGTGAACTGTTAAATGTTCATAACCACTCAAAGCAATCCAATTCATAATCCAACACAGCAAATTAAGTCAAACTCAGAGAACGGAGTCAGAAGCATGTATCCTTTCTGATTTTTTCATATGAAGCCCACAGATTTCAAGATTTTATTATTTTAATACAAAATTAAATAAAAACTTAGCTAGGAAAGCAATATTTGAGTTAAAGCAATATTTGCGTTAAAGAGCCCTAATCACAAAAGAATATTTTAACAAATAAAATTCTAAGTGTTTACTGACTTGAAACTCTCTAACACACTGTCCCATGTTGGCTATTTCACCCATGTGAAAACATTTTTCTTTTTTCTTTTTTTGTTTTATTTTTTGAGATGGAGTCTCACTCTGTCACCCTAGCTGGAGTGCAGTGGCGCGATCTTGGCTCACCGCAAGCCCCGCCATTCTCCTGCCTCAGCCTCCTGAGTAGCTGGGACTACATGCGCCCGCCACCATGCCCGGCTAATTTTTTTGTATTTTTAGTAGAGACAGGGTGTCACCGTGTTAGCCAGGATGGTCTCGATCTCCTGACCTCATGATCCGCCCGCTTCAGCCTCCCAAAGTGCTGGGATTACAGGTGTGAGCCACCACACCCAGCCCACGTGAAAAAATTTTAATCCAACATCTTGACTCAATGCAATTTGGGTTTATCTCACTGGCTTTTAATAAGTTATTTTCCTCCAATATGCCAATATAAGTCATCTCACTTCACATTCAGGTTCATCAATTTTTTAGCAAAGTTCACATTCAAGCTATAAAAGCTGTAAATTAAAAACAAAGCTTTCAGGTAAGGTCAGTCTGGGACAATCAAATCCAAGGGTTCATTGATGTAGGACAAAAAGTAATGATGGAAAAGCAAATGCACAATGTATTTTAAACACTAGAGGGAGTGAAAAAGAAATGTGAGGGATGGAGTGTTTTGGGTTTGTAAAATCTACAAGCAGAACTTTCTTAGAACACCAGTGAAAATTCAACAATTAAATCTGCCAATAAATGACCAAGCTTGTCATGCAACATGCGTGATAGTGTTTCTCAGATTGCTTAGCATTGGATATTCAAGCTATATAGGAACCTTGTACACTGTATTGCCTTGCTGTGTGACTTTGTACAAATCACTCAACCTCTCTGGGTCTCATCTCTCTTATGTATTAATTGAAAAGAATGCAGAAAATATAAGTAGTTGTAAAATTACTTGTAGATTTTAAAATATATTACTAATGATAGAGGCAGGAGGCAGATAAATTCTAGGTAGACAGGGGCTGGTCCCTGGCAAAACCCCACCTTTGACCTAAAAAGACTGAAACCCATGGCCCTAAGTGACAACTTCTATCCCTGTTTGCCTGCACTCTCCCAATTGATTCTTTCTGAATAATGTCTTTTTATCAATCAAGTGTTGCCTTTTCCAAAACTACCTACAGCCTGCCCCACCCCCGCCCCCATCCTGTGCCTATAAAGACCCCAGGCTCAGCTGGTAGAGAGAGAGAAGCAGCCTGACTGGAGAGAGGTAACTTGACTTCAGGGAGATGGCTGGATTTCAGAGGAGAGATGGATTAACTTTGGAGAAACAATGAATTCAAGGAAGAGCTGGCCAGAGACGGCCAGACTTTGGGGAAAGATTACTTGCTCATCCCGTCCCCTCACCATTCCCCTCCCCAATGAGAACCATTTCCATCTGTTAATAAAATTCTCTCCCTTCACCATCTTTCAAGTGTCCAGGCGACCTCATTCTTCTTGGATGATGGACAAGAGCTCAGGACTTACCGAGTAAGGGTACCCAAAAAAAGGCTGTCATACTGGCCCTTTGCCCTTGCTGGTGGAAGGCATCTACCCCATGCAATGAGGCAAAAGGCCCACTGAACTGATAACATACCACTGTCCATGGACGGTGGAACTAAGAGAGCATTGTAACATGCCCTCTGGAGCTTCAGGCGTCACAGTCATCCCCATCGGGTTGCTGCCGCTGGGCCCGCACAGAGCCTGCTCCTGACAGCACCCGAAGCAGCCAGCTGGATCCCATACTTGCTTGCTCACGTTCTCCCTCCCTCAAGGGGTTGAGAGCAGCAGGCCAAGTACACAGGATAGCCCTGTTGCAAGTCCGATGAAGGGGTCAAGAAAAATACTGCATCACTAATATTAATTAAAGTGGGAGAAGCTTTTAGAGCAAAGATGTGCTATAAAAGAAATTGCATAATTAACAGAATAGTTGTGAGAGTAAGCAAGAACTGGAATTAAATCCTAAAACTATCGAGATTCAAGTTTTACTTACTAGGTCTCTAACCTTGCACTACTTAAAACTTTTCTTGACCTCTTTCCTTAGCCTTAAGAATGAGCTGATCTCTGTCTCAAGAATTTTGTGAGAACTAAATATGGCAATGGCTTAAATTCTAAGACAAGGCTAGCAAACAGTGGTAATTTAATACTTGGCAAATATTATGTTTGTTTTTATTTAGGTATGTTAGCCAGGAGATAGTCCCAAAAATTCTAAAGGTCACTCTCAAGGTTTTATATTTCTACCCTTCAATGATATTAATATAGTCACATTAATCTAAAGTGGATTCCTTCTGGCCTGTCCTTGATCTTATCAGAAATTGTCAAAAAAATTTTTTGTACCACTCTGGAATGACTGTCACCTGACTTAGAGAAATTGAAAAATGTCAGAGATTGTAAAATACTGTAGGTTATTAATTGCATTACAGAGATGCTCCAATTTTAAAAACGTCTATCTTAGGATAAATGAAATAAGTATTCTTAACCATTCTTGATCCTTTGTGTCTGGGAATTTGGTCCCAATTCCTCTTTCCAGGCCTTTCTTCCACTAGCTCATTAACTTTCCTGCCTCCACATAATTTCCCACTCTTCAAATGCTCTCCTTAAAAGTCCTTCTCCTGAAGTCTTCCTCCATCTTTCTCCCTTCAGAACATCGGTAATCCTTTATTGGTTCCTATGATGCCGTAGTTAACATTTCCCGCCTTGCATAATGTTTATGTTTCCTTTTATTTCATCTCCCATATTAGAATGCACACTTTGAAAGCACAGAAAGTACTTAGTCATTTTTGTATCCCTCACAGAGCTTTGTATAGGACAGAAACTTAATATATATCATTTGATCAAATCAATGAAACTGTAGCAGAATTATTTACACTTCAGTGAATAAGTTATTTCCAAGAATTTCAAAGATAGCCCATTACATATAGCAAAACATATAACCTAATTAACTCTCATTTTAGGTAACATGAGCACAGAGTTGTTCATTCAATGAAGTAAAATGAAAACTAGAAATATTCTCCATACCACTGCTCAGTTCAAGTACTTCAGTGCACCCTTTTGTTATCTTTTATTGAATGCATTATCCTTAAACATGAAAAACAAGAGGGTATTTAATGATTGTCATCTTTGCATGAGGGTTCTGAAATATATTGACCAATGATTTTATGGAGACACCTGTGTAATACCATGATACCATGCAGAACGTTGTTCAAGAAATGTGAAGGGTCTGAGATTCTACTTTATTTGCAAGTCAACCTATTGGTCTGCCACAGTTTCATTAATTCTGGCAAGAGACATAAGACTCATGAATGAAAAACAAAAGAAAGTTTATTATTCATAGCAACAGTAGTAGCCAGAGAAATGTTTGTTTTTTTTGTTTTTGTTTTTTTTTTTTTTTGAGATAGGGTCTCGCTCTGTTGCCCAGCCTGGAGTGCAGGGGCACCATCTCAGCTTATTGCAAGCTCCGCCTCCTGGGTTCACACCATCCTCCTGCCTCAGCCTCCTGAGTAGCTGGGACTACAGGCGCCCGCCACCATGCCCGGCTGATTTTTTTTTTTTTTTGTATTTTTAATAGAGACGGGGTTTCACCATATTAGCCAGGATGGTCTTGATCTCCTGACCTCGTGATCTGCCTCGTGGCCTCCCAAAGTGCTGGGATTACAGACATGAGCCACCGCACCCGGCCCTAGAAATGTCATTTTTTTACTCATTCTCCAAGACTTAGTTCCCATGGGGTGATACAAACAGCATCAAGTGACACCTGAATGCACCATGAGAAAAATCCTGAACTTGGAGAACTGAATGTCTTATACTGGACAGTAAGCATACCTGCTCATTGTTCTGGGGGAGAAATACTTCCTCATGCAAGGCTGTAAACAAATCTGCCCTTTATTCCAACAGGAGATACTGTCTCTAATTTCCAAAGCTGTTTGCTGTACAAATATCCTTGAAAATATATTCTAGAAGAAAGCCACTTTTCTCACGAGATGGGCAGAAACATGAGAACCTACTGATAATTCTCTTCAATAAATGCCATTCATTGACTCCCATCACTGCAGAGTGAAAAGCTCCAAAGTTTACTGGTTTGTTATATATTGAGTACAATCAGTTCTACGATAATGCATATGTATTCCTTAAAAGTGCCATCCTATGTGAAATCGTGCAATAAAAGCCAGAGGTTCTGGGAAAAATCGTGTTAAGATACAATACTCAAAGAGTTTGTCAACAACAAATTAAACATAATATAGGAACCTAATAAAAACAGTAGCATGACTTTACATGTATTAAACAGTTAACTAATACATACATACCTCAATAAATACAGCACTTGATTTTGAAGAAAAACTTGACATTTGCTTGTGAAAATGAATGTCAGGAGTTTTAGTTTTGAGTTATCGTGAAGTAGTAAAGGAGGGTTGTCTAGAATCAGATGAAAGCTATAACAACAGATGTGGATGGATGCAACTCATAATCCACGTGGTAAACTGATACAGATGGTAGATGCTTGAGATGTGTGTGTACATTTTGCATTTTTCTTGTGACTCAACCGAGCTGGGTCCAGTTGTTTGCACTTACCTAGTATTTCTCGTGGATGAAGTCATAGATGAGGAACCACACATGGATGAAATCATACATAACACAACATTGTGTTATGCTGCACTTAATTACTAATATATCAATCTTATTGACAAGCACTATAGCAGAACTACCTTTATATGATGATCTAGTCACAAGTAACACAATGTTCTCATTCATTCATTAAAGCTTACTTCCTGCAGACCACTATTAGCAAACATTCCCTTTAGCTTAATTTGAATTAAGCTGTGCACTTGAAAGTACATTCTTTTCATTGGTTTGTGTTACCAAAATAAAACGTAACTGTAAAAATCTAGAACAAGTTAGTAATTCCTTCATTTTATTATGCTGCAATCCAGTCTCTCCTCAGAGTTAACTGTGTGGCAGTTTGGTGTTACCTTCCCAGATATTTGTTTTACTTTTACACACAGGTTTAGAGGTCTTTTTTGTTTGTTTGTTTGTTTTTTCCTTTTCTTTTACATCTATGAGATTTTTTTTTTTCTTGAGATGGAGTTTCGCTCTTGTTGCCCAGGCTGGAGTGTAATGGCACCATCTCGGCTCACCGCAACCTCCGCTTCCCAGGTTTAAGTGATTCTCCTGTCTCAGCCTCCCAAGTAGCTGGGATTACAGGCATGTGCCACCACACCCAGCTAATTTTGTATTTTTAGTAGAGACAGGGTTTCTCCAAGTTGGTCAGGCCGGTCTCAAACTCCCAACCTCAGGTGATCTGCCCACCTCAGCCTCCCAAAGTGCTGGAATTATATCACCGCACCCAGCCTGAGATCATTCAATGCATATTTTTCATTCTGAATTCAATGTATTATATAGAACATTTCTACGTTAGGACATCATTCTCATTAACTGCTATATAGTATTCCATGTTGTAAATGTAACATCACTTTCATTGGTTAATTTTTCTTTATAAATAATCTTGAAAGAGGAAAAAAGATACTGAAAAGTTATTGATGCTCATATCTGAGTTTTTCATAGAATAAATTTTTGGAAAAGGCATTAACAGATGAAAAAGTATACAATTTTACATTTTGATAGATGTTGTCAAGTTGATTAAAAATAAAGCACTAACAAAATTATACCATTACTCTGTTCTCCATATTTTTGCCAACACTGGATATTATCCATCTTTTATAATTTTTGTCAATATGATGAGGATTTTATTTTCAATCTCCATTTAATACAGTTTATCGGTAAGAATGACTTTTTTTATATGTTTGTTACCTATTGCACTTCATCTCTGAATTATTTATTTATAACCTTTGCCTCCTTTTGTCATTGGATTTTTGTATGTTTTTCTAAAATATTCATTTGTGAGAGTTCTTTATATATTATGGTTAACAATCTGCTCTCTCTTAAATGTGGTGCAAATAATTCTTTCCAAACTGTTTATATGTTAACAATGACATGGTTAACTGCAAACAAGAGAAAAGAACAGGGGTAAAAAAGAAAATTGTATTCCCAGAAAATAATCTGGTTTTTGAAAGTTTTTCTAATTTAGAGAAGAGTCTCCTGAATTAATCAGGTGTTCGTAAGTAAAAAAATAAAACAAGTAAGAAGTAAGAAAGTGTTAGGCATTTAAAAAAATACAAAGATAAAACAAAAGAGAAAGAGAAACTGCAAGCCAATAAGGTATAAAATGTCAATGAGGATTGAGAAAGACACATCAGCCTTATGGTGCTTTTCTTCTAGATGAATCCTGTTAAGAGCATTATGACTAAAGTAAAGCTCTTTTATCCAAAGAAAAAAGGCTTCTAATAAAGACTAACACAAATCTATAAATAACACTAAGATTATTTTTACATATGTAAAGAAAATGTAAAGGGGGGATGCTATTATTAGGTTTAATTATAATATCAACTAAATGGAAAGGCTGTGTTTGATGGTTACAGTAATATCACATAAAGAGTTTCTTATGAAAATTTCTAGTATCTCAGAATTAATGCCAACCCAAGGTCATATTCTATTTCCTAGGTGCCCAAAACAAAGCTCCAAAAGGGGGTGATGGAATAAAAGTGCTAAACGTCTCTGAATTCATAATAAGAAAGGAGGTCAAGATAAAACAAATAATACACAGGCTTTGTCTGAAAAATATTCACAGAAAAGATAAAAAGGAACTATTTTCCACTTTACTTCATAACTTTAAAATACTCTAATATAGTTACAACTGTTGATAGCAGTTCTTTATATAAGTAAATAATATGTGAGAAGCATTAATTTTTTTTTTCAAATATAATTACCTGCGTTTGCAAGGTCAGTGTAAAAAAGGAGGCCAAGTTGTGACAATTCAATGATATCTGCCTTCTCAGATTAAGTGGAAAGAAATACACAACTCACAAGGGGCTGAAATATGCAGGGGTGTGATTATAGGACTGCTGTCTCTTGAGAACCTGCTAGAAATAAGATATATATCTCTTGAGGCCATTCCTGAGATGAGAGAAATTTAGTGAATACAAACAAATAGACACATTGCCCACATTTCTCAGCTGTAAACATTATGTTGAGCATAGCTGGGTTCCATTATTGCCGTTAGGCTGTAGGGCAGTGATCTGACCGTCTTTGTTCTCCCCAGTAAGAACTGATGCATTTCAAGTCAGTAATCAGCATTGTCTGTGCATTTGCTCAGCTAATCTTCTGGCAATGCGTGATGAACAATCTGCCTATTGACTGTCTCAGCAGTTGCTAGCCCCTCCACCCTCACCCCATGTTGATCCTCATCTAGTTTCTGCTGGCTGCTCTTTTTTCCTATAAAAGAAAGGTATAAAAAGCTGTCCCTTCTCTTCCCCTCCCCCAGGATACAATTCTCACTCTCCTAGCTAGTTCTCTAGTCCCCCCCTTGCAGTGATTCCTTCTGGAATTTGAAAAATGCTGCCTGCTTCTTCACAAGTACTTGGATAATTACTAAATTTCAAGCTACCTTGAGCTCCCTCCCAAACAAGAGAAGCATTTCTGCCATCTTTCACATCTGTGTGTTTGTGTGTTGTGTATGTGCACGCACGTGCCAACTAATTTATAACAATTTTTAGGGACATTTTGGTAACATCTGTCATCACTCCATTTAGAAAATACTTGTGATTAACACTTTCTATTGGGAGCTAGAACAGGCAGTCAGAAATATATTGACCTCTGTATTACTGTGATAAATAAGTTGATTTGCCAGTGAATCCCTCCACAACACACCCTGGAGAAGAGAGTATGAAAAATCACTGGGTTTCCTATTTTAAAACTTTTCGTTTATCCTCTTGCAGGAATAAAACAAAAGAACTAATTTGCTGAGACTCAGTATGAATTTACATTTAACAGAAGGTGTAGAAGAAGCTGTAATATGAAATGTACATAATTATAACTTTTAAACCTACTAGTACAACAGAAAATATTATTGCCCAACGTTACAAAATTTGACTTCACCTGTTCATGTTAAGTGGCTCACAATCAGCTTCAACCAAACATGTATTCATTTGCCAAAGTAAGAAAGGAAATCAGATAATTACCTATGTCTCTACTTAGCATCACATTCTGGTCTCAACTATAGATAACTACATATAATGAATACAGATTAGGGAAAAGAAAGTTCTGTACAGGCAGAACACATACCACAAAAGAGTATTTGCACTCCTTGAGTCCTTAGCTCCCCTCCCCCAGTTTTCCTTTTCTTCCGAAAGGAAACAAACACAACTATCACTGTTGTAACTGAAATGTTTCAAAGATCAATATACTTCCCCTGTTAATAGCAGGATCTCAGGAGAAGACTCATTGGTTAACCCAGGAATTCTGGGCATAGTCAATGCTCATACATAAGCTTAAAATCTTTGGAGACTGATTCTAGATCATGTGTGCTTCTGCCCTGTGGGGATTCAGAAAGACTAAATTGTCCCTGAATTTAGAAAATGTAGCAGGACTCCTTCCCTAGACAGATTATGTACTGTGTTACTCCAGATTTTTTGCTTAGTCCAGGAACTTAAAACTCCTCTTGGGGCATGTAATAGAATCACATAGATTTTAAGGAATCAATGAAAGAAGCAACTCAAAGTTAACAGATTGTTAATAGAGTTACTATACCCACTATGTTCCCAAAGCTGTTTGCCCATCTCTTCGTAACAGCACTTACTCACATTGTATCATCATTTTTCTATAGCTGTCTACCTTCTGATGGACTTTGATCCCTTAAAGGGATCAAAGGGCAGCCTGAAGGTAGTTTATATTCCTCTTACTTCAAATCATTTGTGCAACAATGATAATTATAAATAAACATAAATATAAATAAATAAAAGTTGCCTTTGCATCTCGAGGGAATACTACGATGCCTACCAAGTAGTAGACAATCAGCTTCATTTAATTACAATAACTTTGTAAATAAGCATAGATGAAGAAATGAGACATGGATCTTCTGATTAAAACTAGTTTTAACTTAACCCTTCCCTTAATCATAGTTTTCTTTCAAGCCCCTCTCTCTTTTCCTTCTTCTGCCAAACATCTTCCAAGGAATACCTACATTTACCGTCTCTAAGCAGAAGTAACCAAGACAACTGAAAGTCTTAACAATTCATATGGTTCTAGGATGGAAAGCAGGAGATTGAAAATTAGTCACTCAGTTTTTTTTTCAATAATTTCATCATGAACTATTGATATTTTACCTAAAAGGGCAAACAAAATTGGAAAACCTAAAAGCCATCTACAGAAGACTCAAGTTCCCAGAAGTCCTGATTGAGATATTTACTACATTTCTTATTTTATTCTAGTTGTCTAATAAATTCCAGTAAGAGCATCTCTTCCTAATGATGGGTTTCAAAATGTTCTGCACTCTCTGGATAAAATGCTTTGGAGTACTCACTATCAATTCATCTTAGTTCATGGCATGTATGGCATTTTTAAAAGGTTTTGCTTGCTGAATTTTTATAAAACTTCCAAAATAAATTTGATCCTCAGTTATGTCGTGTTACTTGTCTGAAAGAAAACACTTTGCTCCAGGAAATAGAAGTAATCTAGAGCACAGTTGCTCAGGATGCACACTGACTCAACTCACTCCCCAGCATTCCAGGAAGTCCCTCTACCTGGTAGGCGAGCTTTTGAATTTCGAATGAAGGGACCTGGGCAACTCGAACTTATGATCTCATTTAATGAGGTTTTTTACTTGTTTGTTGGGGTTTTTTTTGCTGGACATTTATTTTGAAATTATTGTTACTAAAGTCAACGCCATCCTATAAGGACTGATCAAGTTTTCGGTGTAGAAGAGAATTTAAGGGAAGATTCCATATCAACAGCCTGGCATCAGAAAAGACTGTGAGTGAGTGCTATGGACTGAATTGTGTCCCCTCAAAATTCACATGTTGATGCCCTAACTTCCACTGTCATATTTGTGAGGTAATTCAGGTTATTACCTTTCAATGTCATGATATTTATGAGGTAATTAGGTTTAGGTGAGGTCATAGAAGGGGAGTCTCATGATAAGATTATTGCTTTTATGAGCATCAGAGAGCTTCCTTTCTATCTCTTTCTGCCATGTGAGGACACAGGGAGAAGGTAGCCATCTGCAAGTCAGGAAGAAAGCCATCATTGTGAAAGCAAATCAGCCCTGCACCTTGACCCAGGACTTACCAGCCTCCAGAACTGTGAGAAATAAATTCTTGTCGTTTAAGCCACCCAGTCCATGGTATTTTGTTACAGAACCCCAAATTGACTAAAACAGTGCAGAAACAGGAAAAGTGTTGCAATGATACAAAAGCTTCAGACCTCCTGCCTTTTAGTTTTTGCCACCTATGCTCCACAAGAGCATCAATGTGCCAGCCTTTAAATGATTTTTAGCATTGAGTTCGAAATCTTTGAGAGTAGAGTCAAATTCCCTAATAGAAAATAGAACAAGAGCCCACTTGTGCACATATAAAATTCTGTCAGGACCTAAAGGAAGGATCACCATAATCTGAACTTTCAACACATGTTCTTTCAAATATCAAAACTCCACTTTTAGTGTTTTATAAATGGTTAGGAAGTTCTTAAGTTGCTTCCTGTTATTATCACAAACAATTCCGCTAATGCATGAATGGAGAACTAAAACATAAACATAATTCCCCAAATGGGGGGGGATAGTGGTGAAGAAGGGACACCCACATTAAAAAGACACCAATCCCTATGACCTCCAAAACACACAAAACATTAGACTACAGAGGAAAACACAGATGTGAATATAAAATGTTAAAATTATAATTTGAAAAATGTAAGACATACATTTTTATTTAGGACAGAAAAAAAGTGAAAACTAAACAGAGGACAGATTTACATTGGAAATAATTTTATAAACTTCTACAGCAGCAAAAAAGCAACTTATGAGCTAAGTTAAATTCTTACATACGGATTCAAAGGCATTATATAGTAAAGTAATAGATATAACCCATTGGAGAAATAGATAGCAAAAAATAATTAAAGAATGCCTAAAACTAGAGAATGGAAACATGACAATTCAGAAATTATTTCTGTACTAAAAGTTTTCAATGTATTAAGGGTTCATTTATTTATTATTTTAATTAAGAGAGGTGGTGGTGTAAGTCTAACAGTGAAGAGATGAACTCTAGAATCAGTCTACTGAAGTTCAAATCCCGGATCTGATCTTCCCTAGCTGTGTGATCTTTGACTGGTGACTTAACCCCTCTGTACCATTTCCTCATCTGTGTAATGAAGTCTATTGTAATAGGCCAGTCAGAGGATAATTTAACACCTATAACGCACTGTAGCTGGCCCACTGTGAATGTTTCATAAACCTTGGCTATGCTTAGCCTTGTATACCTATCTCAGTGGCCCCTTCAGTAGTATATAGTTCTCAGCTCAGGCCGGTGCTAGGCTTGATTGACTCAGAAGGGGCAGATACAGTAGGAAACTGAGGAACCATGCTCTCATTTATGCGTATCTCTTGAACAATGTTACACTTTATGGTATGGCCCAGTGTCCTTCAAATCAGATTTATGTCATAGGAATAAGGCCAAAGAACAATCCCATTTTCTTTATTTTTCAAAGAATAAACTCACAGAATTATATTTCACCAGTTTCAAATACAATTCTTTGAATTTTAAGATTTCTTTTCTTTTTTTAAGAGGGTATTTTATTGAATAAAACCAGGCCCATTTGTTCCCTGATTGCATTTCTGAAGCTGCTCTGCCAAGACAACATCATCAATCAATAAGAGAATGTGTCAGCAGGGGGCTTCTCTTCTTTTTCTGAGGGTCTATGATGTTTGTTTTTCAACAGAAACTGAGCTCTAAGTAAATACAAATTTTTATTTCAGGGTAAATGTTTTCGAGTTCTACAGCACCTTTGTTTTCTGAGAATGTCAATTTTATTTTGGCTCCCAAGTTGATAGAAAAAGAAAGAAATCATTTAAAGTATCACATTTATTTCTTGCAACAAAATGGTCCAAGAAAATAGCCAAAATGTTCAATAAAACAAGGCATTTGCTAAATAAATAAAAACTCCACAGGCTAAATAGTAAATACATGTATGAATGCATGCCCACACGAGAAAAGGAGAATAAACAAATTCTGCCAGCCTTAAATAAAAAGTGCTATGGCATTATATATCTCTGTAAAGTTTATAAAACAAAAACAGAAACAGATTCAGTCTCTGTTTCCCCAAAACCTTGGTTCGAGTTTGTGTTCCGCCTTCTGAAAAAAAGGAACTTGAAATTAAACATGAAACATGGTCGTACTCAAATTCTTCAAAACATACTTGTTAGTGAAGTTCCAAAGTGTTGACATCAGCAGGATATTCACAAACATGTGGGAAACAATTCATGCACTTTTAGTTACTGATAGAGTATTTGTTTGCTGTTTTACATGTTAATTTAACAACGTCTTCTGAGAATCAGAGACATTCATGTCTCATATGGGCTATATCCTTTATATCAAAAACTGTCATTCATACATCCCTCCAAGTCTCTATAAAGTTGTCTGCAAGTTGAAGTTTTAATGAACACAGTTTAAAGGGCCACAAAATCAAGTGGAAGGTTGGCAACCATCTGTTGAATTTGTGTTCCATAGATAGACAATCCCCACCATTTAGAAACTGGAGTGGATTGTTTTGCCCTGAATGGTGTGAATTTCCTCTCCAGGCAGTCCAAAAACACAGATAATGACCACGTTGTACTGGAGAGGCCTGGCCTGCTAGCTTTGAGACCAGAAATAAAATCATACATTGTATTCCTTTTTGAGGAGGTCAACTTGCTTTATGCACACTATCAAATCAATTCTCAAAGCATTCCATTGAAATGAGCAAGAGGCAGCTACAATATTCACTTTACAGATGAATAACCTGAGGCTCCAAAAGGTTAAGCAGTTTTCCAAGGTCACGTTAGGCCAATTCCACATAACTGCAATTACCTGGGCAGTGCAGGCAAAAAGCAACAAACACAGAGCATAGAAGGCTTTTGCTTAAATAGAGGTACAGTACCTGCATCACTAACGAAAAACAAGGACTGGGTCAGATTTATCCAAATAAGCTGGCCTATATGCCCAGATGATTGACAATTTTCTATTCTACTTGCAACTGGAAACAGCTAGGCAGAGAGAGAACAGGAATGAGGTCACAGATCTGCTATTTATAGGATACCAGCCACCACACTCAGCTGCTTTTCAGTTAAGGTGAATATTGAATGTAATTTTCTTTCTCCAACTCCATACAGAGGAACTACTTTCAGAAAAGGAAATTATAGAATTTAATAATATTTCTTGTGACATGGTGATTTGCTTTGTGACAGTCTGCACAACTTTTACCACATATTCATCTGGGCTTATTGACCATAAATAAAAATGCAGTCACATTCTTTCTCTTACTCCATGGATTTTTTTTAAAAATAAAGCAATAAAGATTCCATGGGCTTTTTCTTTCCCTCCCACCTACAAGCTATTCATTGAATTTGCAAAGTTATAACAAAACAGAACGCCAGTCTGGACAAGGAAAGCACAACATAGCCATTTATGAGGTAAAGAATCTAAAGCCACCTGATTTGCCTGTTTGGCTGCAAGAGTTAATTCCTATGAAAAATACACTTCCTCCCATTTCCTTTGGCTGAGGCTTGTGAAGGCTGCAGACAGTGAGCGGGGGAGGGCCCGAAGCCTCTGGTCTTTTGATGTAGATATTGATGCATGACACTAGCCCCTGCGCTAAATATCAAGTTTTCTTTCTCTTCAGCATTCCTCCTAAATGGTGAAAAGGGATTCCTTTAGCCCAAATGCACAGAGAGTAGTCCTAGTTGCAGATAAAAATGGCTTGTGTTTTCTGTGACTCACCAATCATAACCAAAACTAAAACAGCAAGCTGACACAGAAAGGTTCGAGTGACGTTCGAGATTATAAATAAAAGGCAAAGAAACAAGAGAGGAACCTGCCTATGGAGTGTCTCCAATCTTTTAATTCAGAAGGGACTGAGGAAGATGAGGGGCTGAGAACTCTTTACCTTTCCTCCAGGGAAAAGACTCTTTACCAACCACCCAGGAGCGCTGGGCTTCCCAGGCAGCCTGGTGCTGCTGCAGCTGAGGCTGATCTGGTCCCAGGGCCCTGTAGCTGGTGCCTATGTTGACCAGATCAGGGATCTTCACTCTGGCGTGTGAGTAGCAATCCCCTAAACTAATCTCATACAGCATGCAGATGCCCAGGTGCTACCCAAACTGGCATTGATTTGGTCAGTTTGAAGTGGGTCTCAGGAATCTGCATTTTAACCAGAATCTCAAATAGACCTAGGACCATACTTGGAGGCTGAAAAATTTATTGATAATGCCACCTGGAGGGCATTTCCAGAACTGCTTACACATCCAGCATGCCAGAGCACCACCTGAAACCTTGCATTTGATGGATTTACAGATTTTTTTACAGATAGTTACATGTAAAGGCCTAAGAACAAATCTAAAAGATATCATTTAAAGACTTCTTTTTACTGGCAAAATGAGACAGAGGTTACATTTGTTTAAGCAGTCAGGGCTGCAGCTGTCAATTTGAAATTGACAATTGGTTTTATAGGGCAAGATTTGGCAAAAAAGATCAGAGACATTTTAACCCTACTATCCACTTTTTTTTTTTTAACACATAAAAGCTACTTGTGGAGAAGCATGGTGTGTGCATGTGTGTGTTTCTTCCACTGACCGGTATCTTCGTGCCTTGCCCCTCCCCCTCCACACCATATGCCAGTCTTTCTTCCCGTGCCCTCACTGTTCCCTTTGTCTCATTTGACAGCCCTCTTTGTCCTCCTTTTGCCATCATTCAGCTTATTGCCGATACAATAAAGCTCACAAAGAGGATTGCTCATTGGTGATGGTGTTGACCACTTTATGAAGAAGAGAAGAATTACTAAAACCACAACTCAATGTTTTTAACATTTGAAATATACAGAGTACATTCATATTGTGCCATTTGACTTTCAGAAAACAAACAAACAAAAAACCAAGGTAAATATAATTATGCCCAATGAAGGCTTGACATTGAGAGAGTGTTAGGGACTTGTTCAAGACCACATTTGAGTAAAGAGTAGAGCCCGAGCTTGGACCCACAAAAGTCACACTGCTCTTTACAGCTGTACCATTTAGAAGAAGGAGGACTCTTAGAACTACTCAGGTTTTTGACATGATTGAGGCGTTTCTGTTTGAAACTCAGGTTTTAAAAAACTGATTACATAAAACTACTGGACTGTAAACAGGATTCAATTTATCCTGAAGTAATTTGTCCAATGGTGTAAAGAAAAGCACTTTTTGCATTTTCCTAGAAAGGGGGCAGGAAATAAAAAAAAAAAACAGCATAGACCCATCATCCTGTAAACATGTCTAAGGCATAAATGCTTTTGTCTCAGTTATTTAGCCACTTCTGGGTAAATGCTTTTGTCCCGGTTATTTAGCCACTTCTGAGATTACTGGTGGTCTTCCAAGTCAATCCAGTGAATCTCTGTAAATTTTAAGGTTGGGCACTAATCTGCAAAAGAAAAATACTCAACCACCCATTCTGTTTTAGTTGGAAAAACTCAGAATTAACTGAAATATACAACAGAATTAAATGATGTTTTAACTCTTTTGTTAAATCAGTCAATGTGGTTAAAGCAACAATTCAGAAGCTACTACGTGTGGGCAAGCACAGCAGACAAGTCACGTAAAGAATTGCTTGAAAAAGCCAATTTAAGGTAGTCAACTCTCAAGTATAGCGCTGTCCTCCAGGTGTTGTAAAACATCCTGAACATCATTTGAAGCAAATATTCAAGCTATTCAAAATAGTTTGTAATTGGTTTGAAGGGGGTGTTTTAAAAAATAGCTTTGTTATTTACAAACTATTTTGAAGTAACTTTGGAGAATCAAAAAGAACTTAATGCAATTTTAATTTGCGTCCTTTATCACCAGATCAGGGAAAACTGAGTTTGCTAGGGCTATGATTCCCAGTAGTCCAAGGAAGGGACAGTGTGACCCTAAAAGCAAGTCGCAGAAACCTTCATTCAAAGATAGAGCTTTACAGTCAGATTTCTATCTTACATTTCTCCAAAGAGAAACTGACATCTCACATACCTCACGTGGCTGTTTGTTTTTGTTTGGTTTGGTTTTCCGGTTCAAAGTATGCTCTACCCTTCTCTGAGACCAATGCTTAGGACTGAGGCAATCATCTCATTTGATTGCTATGGGCAGCGAGGACTCTGAAAACTTGGCAGTACATGGACATTTCCTGCTTTATGGAGGTCAAGAGAAGCAGTGGCTGCAAATCTGAGAGAAAAATTTGACCCAAAAGAGAGATTTAATGACAAAGTGGCAATACAGAAACTAAATGAATTTTACTTGGACTTTATATGCAAAGGATGCTAAGTAAGTATTCAAGTGGACTTAGAAAGAAATTAGGCTGTGTGACTTAGCCTGCCCCAGTGTTCTCCCAAGCCCACCTGCATCTTCTGGAAGGTGATAATACTCAAAGGCATGTTACCTAGATTTTTTTTCTAACATACATTTGCATGATTGCATGTTAGAATTTGTTAGAAATGTTCAGATTTATCTGTTCTTATCTAATTGCACTTAATGGTCTACGAAAATGCCCATTCTTCGATTCTCTGGCGCCCTACCTCAACCTGCCTCCTTCATAGGGTACTCTTTCTTTGAAGACTCAGTAATACTGGTTTACAGGAATTGGGTAAGAAGTCACAGATAATGGCCGGGTGCGGTGGCGCACACCTGTAATCCCAGCGCTTTGGGAGGCTGAGGCGGGCAGATAACAAGGTCAAGAGATCGAGACCATCCTGGCCAACATTGTGAAACCCCGTCTCTACTAAAAAATACAAAAATTAGCTGGGCATGGTGGCACGTGCCTGTAATCCCAGCTACTCAGGAGGCTGAAGCAGGAGAATCGCTTGAACCTGGGAGGCAGAGGTTGCAGTGAGCCAAGATCACACAACTGCACTCCAGCCTGGCAACAGAGTGAGACTCTGTCTCAAAAAAAAAAAAAAAAGAAAAAAAGAAAAGAAAAGAAAAATGAAAAGAAGTCACAGATAGTGAAGTCACTATAGAGGTTCAAAATTTTCAAAATTGTCTTTGCTCTTCATCCTGTCATTTCTTCAACACAGTCACTCTCCCAGGGTTCCTTCACTTTCCAAGTGCCCAAGACTTGATTGATCCAACATCCCTGCTTCAGAGAATATAATCTGCTTTAACAAAATGAATTCCCACTAGGTAATTTATGACTTAATATATTCCTTCAGGCAAGAATTTGCAGAAAGATTAGACCAACTAATGATGGAGTATAGGGCATTTGCCTGTGGGCTGTTGGAAATTTGGAAGAATTTTCTTGGAGCCTCTCAAATACTGCTAAGTAGATGGCCAGCATCATCATTGTCTAATAAGCCTTTGATACAGGCAGGAGTCAGAGAAATTCTAGACAGACAGGCATGGGTCCCCAGTGAAACACCACCTTCAAGCCAAAGTAGCCTGAAACCCACAGCCCAAAGTGAGAACTTCTATTCCTGTTTGCCCACTCTCTCCCAGTTGGTTCTTTCTTAACGCCTTTTTAGCAATCGAATGTTGCCTCTTCCAAAACTACCTGCAGTCTGCCCCAACCCTCCATCCTATGCCTATAAAGATCCCAGGCTCAGTAGGTAGGAGAGAGAGAGATGGCTTGACTTCAGAAGGAAGACGGCCAGACTTTGGGGAAGAAGAGACAGCTTGACTTCAGGGAAGAGACAGCCAGACTTAAGGGAGAACTATCTGCCTTTCTCATCCCATCTCCAGCTCCCCTCTCTACTGAGAGCCATTCCTACCACTCAGTAAAAATCTCTACCTTCACCTTCCTTCAAGTGTCCACGTGACCTCAGTCTTCTTGAACGCCAGAAAAGTGCTTGGGACCCACCCAATGCAGGTACCCAGAAAGGCTGTCACACTGGCCCTTTGCCCTTGCCAGTGGAGGGCAGCCATTCCACAGGATGAGGCAGGGTCCAACTGAGTTGTTAACACACAGCCGTCCATCGGACTGCATAACTAAGGGAGCACTGTAACATCACCTCCAGGGTTTCAGGGTTGTGGGCAACCACACCTGGGCCTTGCATGGAGCTTGCTCCCACCAGCAGCTGGAGCAGCCAGCCAGGTCCCGCACTAGCTCGCTCATACCTGGTCTGACTGTGGGCCCCTCATGGAGCTTGCTCCTCCTGGTGCCCAGTCCTATACTTGCTCACTCATGTCCTACCTTCTGCCGGGGTTGAGCATGGTAAGCATTCACCCCTGACATGAGTCTGGCGAAGGGGCTGAGAAAATTCCTGTATCACTCTGACCAGGAATGTAGGTAGAATTCTGCATGTGTAGCTCTATGATGCAAAATTAAGCTAGTAAAGAATGTCATCCCCTGCCCTTTTGGCTACTGAGGAAAATAACTTACCATTGGAATTGTTTTAGAGAAAAATAAAAATTATGTTTAACTAATGAAATATTCAAATAAATATAGAAGGTAGACATGACGATTAAGGTAATTCAGCTCCTTTGCCTAAATGGTTTCTATAATTTGAACAAAAGAGGATGAAATGCTTCAAAGTCAAAATCAAGTATCTTTAAATTGATCCTATAAATGTTTAACACTTCATTTCATCTTGTGGACACAACAAGGGAACACTTAGTAGACTGTGATTTGAGACAGTTGTTGAAAATTCCCTCCAGGTGGTCATGCTATATAAATGCCATATATACTTTTAGAGAATATTTAATGTACTGTATCTTGGTTTTAATTGTTCTTCTCTGGCAATTCCTTAGGGACCACACTTCACAAAAGGGAGCAAGAAGGCAGATAACGGCAAAGAAAAATGTTTGTAGTTTACTGTGGAGGACCAAGTGAGTTTATACAGGTGTGTATAATTACTTGCATATGACATACACAGAGATATGAGGGTGACCTAGTTTTTGTTTGTTTGTTTGTTTTTTTGAGACGGAGTTTTGCTCTTGTTGCCCAGGCTGGAGTGCAATGGTGCGATCTTGGCTCACTGCAACTCTGCCTCCCGGGTTCAAGCAATTCTCCTGCCTCAGCCTCCCGAGTAGCTGGGATTACAGGCATGCACCACCACGCCCAGCTAATTTTGTATTTTTAGTAGAGACAGGGTTTCTCCATGTTGAGGCTGGTCTCAAACTCCTGACCTCAGGTGATCCACCCGCCTCGGCCTCCCAAAGTGCTGGGATTACAGGCGTGAGCCACCGCGCCCGGCCAAGGGTGACCTAGTTATGACATCTGAAATCACCATGCTCACTGTGGAATCCCAGATTGATCAGATTAAGCTGGCCAACTTGGTGAGTGTTCCTTTTCATATGAGATTCCTTAGAAATTCTGCATTTGGTCAAAGAAGAGTTCTTAGGCCATAGAATGCATTGACTTACACACACAGGTAGCAAAAGGATAGGAATGCTTGGTGACATTCAAAAATACTGCTTTGCTTTATGTATGTACAGATTGCAATGTTTTATTTTTAAACTTCAAAGCTACCCAAAGTACCCAAGATAAACCCAAAAGCACCTCAAATAGAAATGGCAAAAACACCCACTTCTTTAAATTATCTTTGTGAATATATTTTATTGTTTACTATCACATTATTACACTACTTTTCCTGCTGAATACAAGAGGAAAAGAAAAAATGAATTTACCACTAAATGATCCAATTTGCTAATATTTCCACACTGCACTTATGATAGATTTCACAAGAGTATTAGTGTATCCAGCTCATCAATATTTAAACATTCTAAATAAATCAATGACAAGAATAAATAATGCTAAAATGCTAAAATACTGCTTAAGGGAACATATTGCCATACCAAAAATTATTGCAAAGCGTAGAAATAGGAATTAAAAAAAAAGACAAGGCTGAAATTAAAATACTGTCCACTTACTAAATAGTTGTCCTAAATGAGCATGTATCAGGTGTTTATAAATTTAAAATTTTCCATTGATAATCAGCAAGTTTATATACTGTATTAGTCAGTTCTTGCACTGCTATAAAGAAATGCCTAAGACTGGGTAATTCATAAAGAAAAAAAGGTTTAATTGGCTTATGATTCTGCAGACTGTGCAGGAAGTATGGTGGCATCTGCTCAGCTTCTGAGGAGGCCTCAGGAAACTTACCATCATGGTTGAAGGCAAAGTGGAAGCAGCACCTCGCATGGCTGGAGCAGGAGGTGCTACACACTTTTAAACAACCAGATCTTGTGAGAACTCTGTCATGGGAGCAGTACCAGGGGCATAGTCTAAACCATTCATGAGAAACTGCCCGCATGATCCAATCACCTCCCATCAGACCCCACCTTCAACACTGGGTATTACAATTAGACAGGAGATTTGGGCAGGGACACAGATCCAAACCATATCATATACAATGCAAATTTGATAGTTTTCTTTCATGGTTTGATTGTTTAATGGATATATTCTGTCTGTATTAGGAGATTCTTAGCACACTAAACAAACTGTTAAACAAATTTCAATAATAAAATTAGTAGAAAACTATGCAAAAGTGACTGTACTGGAAACTCTGAAATTCACTCATTGATAAAATGAATGTATACCAAAGATAAACGATGAATGATATACACCAGGAAAGCTTTGTTTGGAAAGCTAGAAAGCTAAAGCCAGATTTAATTGAAACTTCCTAAAAATGCTAAAGGATAAATATTAAGAATGGGATAAAATGGTTTAATGTTAGTAGGTGGCTATCAAAAACCACTCAAATACAGCTCTCAAATATGCCAGAAGTTTAATGCTGGGAAGAATAGGAAGAAGATGAAAACTAACCAGGTTACATCCTGAGGGGGGGAAATCATCATTGCTAAAATGATGGGATCTTCTGAGATGCACCAGCTATTGAGATATCAAGTCCAAGGAGGTCAGTGGTTTTACGGAATACAAAATGTGAGCTCTTTGATTTCAAGAAGTATGTCTTACTTATCTGTATAACCCCAGTAGCTGACGTCATTTCACATTCAATAAATACAGAAGAAAGGATAGAAGAAAGAAAGGAATGGAAAGAGGGAGAAAGGAAGAGGACCAGGTTATGAGACATAATATGTACATTTTATTATTTTAAATGACCTAAAATATCTAGACTCAAGAAAATCATCTTATAGCTTATAGAGAGTTGTCCTAATTCTCAGAAAAGGGAAATTACATCCTGAGATTTGTACGTAAGTAACATTGAAGTTGAATCTCCAGTCATTTTCTGGAACAACCTGTTAAACAGAGACAAGGTAGACTCTTAGAAAATAGCACAGTAAACACTAGGAGCCTGCACGATTCACTAAAAAAACTTAGCCCCTGTTTTATTTTTAATTGTATCACTGGATTGTAAATTAATAGGGATGCTTCCAATATAGTTCATCTTCAAAAGGTATTTGGCCTCATGACACCTTTGCTTGTTTCTACAATTATGTAGACTAGGCATTCTTTGGGCACTTATATCACAAAAGTGATTATTAATAGGATTTTATCAGCCAGAAAGGCTTCTAATATTGTGTTTGCAGAATTATTTCACAACCCAGTCCTAATGTGTTTTAAATGGATAAGTTGGCTAAACCTGGAACATATGTCCTAAAGCTAGGAGAAATAGCAATGGCTAAAGATGCAAAATTATCTTAATAAACTAAAATGATACTCTTAATAAAAAGATCAAAATGTAAACGGATAAATGGTAAACTTTGCTTGTAGGGTAACTAATACATTCCATGGGGATTTGCTTATATAAAAAAATCTTAGTAATTTTAGTTAACCAGAGCGTAAGGATGAGCTAACTTATTCACAGTTGTCCAAGCAGTTCATGAATAGAGTTCAGGGGGTATACAAATTTGAAAGGGGAAAAAGCATTATTTTCACTAACTTTTGGCAGAAATCTAACATTTAGTTTCATTATGGATGTAGGCAAAACAAAACAGTAGTGTTGGCAGTACCTGTAACTATGTCAAAAATAGTAGACACAGATATTTCCCTATCACATTATAATTTCTGTGAAAATCTCAAAATGGTCATTATGCTTCACTACTTCAAAATTAAGATAATTATTAGGCCCACCACTAGATCTTGCTACTCATACATTCATAAAGATATATATGGCTGGGCGCGGTCGCTCACGCCTGTAATCCCAGCACTTTGGGAGGCCAAGGTGGGCAGATCACAAGGTGAGGAGATCGAGACCATCCCGGCCAACACAGTGAAACCCCGTCTCTACTAAAAATACAAAAATTAGCTGGGCGTGGTGGTGCATGCCTGTAATCCCAGCTACTCGGGAGGCTGAGGCAGGAGAATCACTTGAACCCATAAGGCAGAGATTGCAGTGAGCTGGGACCATATCACTGCACTCCAGTCTGGCGACAGAAAGAGACTCCATCACAAAAATGATAATAATAATAATTATATATATATATATATATATACACACACACACACACACACATAAACATATATAGTACTAAATAATATATTTTGCTAGCTGTATTTTAATATAATTTATTGGGAAGTAAGTGGCATAGTAATGTTTCATGGAAAATCTGCTAGTCCAGTTCACACCTGTACAGATCATGCTTGAATTTGCATTCACGTTTTATTGAAAATATTAACAATTGGAATAAATTAGGGGTGTGTGGGGGAAAAGCAATGTCCAGCAAGACTCAAGCCTAGGAATTATATTATGAGAAACATAACTCCTCTAGAAGCAAATACTAATTAGCACAAGACACTAGAGAGAAACCATGATGTGATGAAAAAGATGATGTGCATCAATTTAGACAGAACTAAAAGCGTATCCCACCTCCACTGCTTATCGTCCTGTTATCTTAGGTGGCTATTTAACTCTCTGATTCTCAGTTTTGATGTCTATATCTTGAAGATAATACATACAGCAGTGCACAGTTGGAATGAGGAACAGAAAAAAATGTATTAAAGACTAACAATGCCTGGTACGTAATAGAATCTCAAAAGTTGTGTTGTGGTTGGCATGGTCTTATCAAGAAAACCAAGCCTTCACATTTATATGCCCAGGTCTGCCTCATCAGGGGTGGAAGATTTGTGTAGACCCCTCTACCTTCAGGACTGTTATATGAAAATTGAACAGCTCTGCTTTATTTTGCTCTAGGGGACAGAAACAGGACAAATAGTGCACGACAGCTTTTAGTTAACTGTCATAAAGAACTGCCTAGCAATCAAATTGTTCAATGATGGACTTTGATGCTCCATAAAATAATGAGACTCTTGCCTGTGTGTGTGTTTAAGGAAACAGTAGATTTCCCTGTACTCTGGTTGGGGTGGGGAAAGAGCTTGCCAACATGGGAGGCTGCCCATGGGGCTCACAGCTTCCTGCCAACTGCAAGGCTCTAGGAGTCTCTATAGCCTCATCAGTGAGGCTAAACAGAAAGAATATATCAAGTTGTCAGATTCAACAAATGTTGTTTTTCCTCCACTGCTGAGGACCATAGTCATCATTTAAACGATGAGATCACTAATTTGAGAATAGAATTTCCAGCCTCTGGTAAAATGGACATAATATTGGACAGGCAACATTTAAATTTCAAATAGGTAAAATGACAATCATAGCTATAGCATTCTAACACGAGCTAAAGTTCAATTTTGTAATAATTAATGACTACATAAATGACAGTAATGATAACAAAAAGGTACATGAGTATGCTATCGTCAAATAAATGTTTAAATAGGCAACTGCTTTTTCTGGAAAATTATGATCCTGAAGTTTGTTCCAAACAATACCAGCAAGGCCTTTTTAGGAAAAAGTTCATCTCCAAAAACAGTCTAGTAGCAGGTTGAGAATTTGAACAGCAGCAAAGGAATCATAAACATTTTCTTGCCAGATGTACTGCCCAGATGTAAGGACACTCAATGTTTCAGCAAGCAAGGAAAGGCAGAGAGAACCAGGAGAGCTGGAAAACAATACACAAGTTAACCATTTGTTTTAATAACTACTTAAATACAAAAAATATTTATCATTTATTATATAGTTAACAAAAATAACTTTTTTCTTTTTCCTTCTTTTTTCCCTCAGTTTTCTCCTCTCTCTCTCTCTCTCTCTTCACCTCCCCTCCATCCCCCTCTGGTCATTTCCTCTCCCTTAAGGGGCCCCTTGAATTGCTTACAAACTCTGAAGTTTCCTCATGTTTCCACACTTTGAAGTGTCCCCTTCCCCCACTCTATCTCCATTCTGCAAAATCTATTCTTCAAAAAGAGAAATAACTTTTTCCAAAGAAAAGTACATCCTGAGAGAACTACAGTTGATCAAGTCATTCACATTACTAAATAAGCTAACCACAGTTTTTTTTAATGAGCAAATTATCATACTATTTAGAGCTATTTGGATGCACACAGATATTTACTATTATATTATAGTTATCTACATATAGAAAAAAAAAACTATAAGAAAGAGAGTTCAGGCTGGGCACAGTGGCTCATGCCTGTTATTCCAGGTACTTTGAGAGGCTGAGGCGGGTGGATCACTTTGAGCTCAGGAGTTCAAGACCAGCCTGGGCAATGCAGAGAAACCCTGGCTCTACAAAAAATACAAAAATTAGCTGGGCATTGGTGGCTCGAGCTTGTAGTCCCGGCTACACTGGAGGCCGAAGCTGGAAAATTGCTTGAGCCCAGGACGGGGAGGTTGCACTGAGCTGAGATAAGGTCACCTGCACTCCAGCCTGGGCAACAGAGTGAGAACGTGTCTCAAAAAAACAGAAAGAAAGAGAGAGAGAGAAGGAAGGAAGGAAGGAAGGAAGGAAGGAAGGAAGGAAGGAAGGAAGGAAGGAAAGAGTTCAGTAAACATGTCAGTATCTAAAGATTTTTCAAATAAAGTGTTTATACATTACATTCTGGCATACTACATAGATTCATGTTATATATTTGACTTTGGCAATAATTATTTTAATCCTTTTTATAAAGATACCACAACCTATATTAAGTTGTAACTTTGATATCTGAATTGGCACATGATTAAATGTTGTGATGTCCCTGCAAATGTTCCAGGAGGAAAAGTCACTCTCAATACAACACTACCTTGGCGTGTCCACTTAGCACACAGAAAGTGCCCCTGAGGGTAAATCTTCTATTCAGAAGTATGGTCCCAGGACCTTGACCCATCCACACATTCAGAGTGTAGTTTTTCCACAGAATGGTGTATAAACTCCATCCCAATTTATTCAAATGCTATGAGAAATATAACTTCTAAAGGGACCAGCTCATTCTCTTTGTAGAAGGGAATCAGAAAGAGAGTTCAAAAGATGAAGAGAATGTCTAATGGGACAGCCTGAGGTGGCTTATCAAGGTTGGGTTTATAATTGGGGCTGGACAGGCCAGTTTCCCAGACCAGATACTCACTCTCCTGGAGAGGGCTAGAATAGGCACCACTATGAACAGCCTTCTTCTGTTTCTTCATAACTGACCAATATTCTGCTCATTATATTTTTCTTTAAATATAATTTAAAATAGTCAAAATTGATGACTTTTAAAATAGTCAAAATTGATGCTCTGGCTATAATTTTTGTTTGTGTGTTTGTTTTTTGAGATGGAGTCTCGCTCTGTCCCCCAGGCTGGAGTGCAGTGGTGTGATCTCGGCTCACTGCAAGCTCCGCCTCCTGGGTTCATGCCATTCTCCTGCCTCAGCCTCCTGAGTAGCTGGGACTGCAGGCGCCTGCCACAACTCCTGGCCAATTTTTTGTATTTTTAGTAGAGACGGGGTTTCACCATGTTAGCCAGGATGGTCTTGATCTCCTGACCTCGTGATCCACCCGCCTCGGCCTCCCAAAGTGCTGGGATTACAGGCGTTAGCCACCGCGCCTGGCCTGCTCTGGCTATAATTTTATACTTTTAACATGATTTTTTACTTCTTTGCTCTAATATACTAATCTGTTGATGTCAGTGTTTTACTCTAAGGTGATGGCATAAGGAGATTTCTATTATAAATACAAATATAAGAAATGTTTTTACCTATTGATAACCTGAAATGTAACCATGGAAATTTTTGTATAAACATACCAAAAGTGATGCATTTAGAAGCTACTGCCTGTAGCTTCTAGTGCCAGACACACTATTGGTCCCACCATATGCCACTTGTATGAGCATTGGTCAAATTGTTCAATCTCTTATAGCCTCAATTTGATCATATATAAAGTGATAATAGCATCTCCCTCCCAAGTCATGTATGAAGACTTAATTGGTTGCATGACATGAAGAGTGTGATACACTAAGGAGCTGTGTGGGACATTCCTCATTTGATTTATTTTCACTCATTACTTACTTCTCTCCAAAAAAATGAACCTTTGCATTATTTCCCACCGTGTCTCTAACAAGTCAAATTACTTTATGTGAGACTGCTCATTTGCATGCCCACATCTTTTCCCTCCAATAACCTATGGTGATATCTCTCTGACAAGCATCAGCAAAGTCACCTTCAGGATGAACATCTCCTCGTACATGCATTATCCCCTCACAGCATTGCTTTCTCAATCTGTGCTATGTCAATTTGCACTTGAAGACACATTGCTCAGTTTCATTACTCCTTATGTGCCTCATTGCCTTAATATTTTAACTTCTTGAGAGTAAAGATTTTGCTTTCTTCTTCTTTTAAACTGGCCTGCTCAATCACCTAAACCCTCACCCCTACCCCTAGCTAATGTAACAGTGGCATTAATTTCATGTGGACTGTCAGGCTAATGAGAAATTATTTTAGCACTACAGAAGGGGGAAGTCTACAGAGAAGCTGTTAGGTATATCAAAGCAACAGAATAAAGACAGAAATCAAGGAAGGTCAGAAAATTACTTACCCTTCCTTTCTTCTAAATGGTAAATGATTTATTTGCTTCAGTCTCTTAAGGGATACAGGTACCTTCCCTGTGGCTGCTTTCTACAAATAGTGGCAGCAAAGAAAGTCAGAAATGCAAGTCTCAAAGCAGAGATAACAGAAACACTTGAAGAAATAAGCTACAATAAATCAATAGGTACTTAGAGTTACAAAGAAATTAAGGAGTAAATGCAAACATTTTTCTCAAGTGTGTCCTAAGTCACCATCTAAAACGTCTTTTATAAAAAACTATGTTAAAAAATAGAGGTCTACAGTGATACATATAATTGAATACAGGTAGACTGTAAATGTAAATAGTTAAACATGTCCACAACTTCTGAGTAAGTTCTCTGTTAACCGAAGTAAAAAAAGATAATTTCAGAATGGATGAAAGGTAAGGTTCTGCACCGATTAAAACCAGATTAAAAAAGAAGAAACACGAAGCTAAATAGGTAGTTATTGTTTCTGTTTTTCTGTCCCATAAAAACCCCTGAAGAACTTTTTCCCTCCTACCATTTCCCAAAGGAGACACATTTATTCCAGGAATGTGCTTTTAGCAGGATGGAGAACTGCATTTTTGTTACAAGTGAATGACACCTAGGAATGAGTGTTTAAATAGTGGAGTGATTTGGAGGTGAATTAGTAAATAGGATTCAAATCAGAGCAAAATCAAATCATAACAGACAAATGGGAAAACAAATTCCATCCTGATGTGTGTTAGTCAGATTTTTACTCAATAATAAAAATGTGAAAATAGCTTTGGAATTTAAATCTCATTTAAATGCACGCCCAAGAAGACTTTATAATTCTAAATGAATGTAATAACTTCAATATTGTTTAACCTATATAAGATTTTGATTAGCATGACTTGATGAATGGGAATTTTCTCTTTAAAAATATTGCAGAATGTTTACAAAAAAAATAGCTACTTCAGTTAGACATGGAAATTGTTTTTAAAATGTTTTATTACGATTTTTAAAAACCTTCTTGGGAATTACTTATTTAATTTTACAATACTTTCTAAAAAGCACCCTGGCAAACATTTCTTATTAAAATTAAAGTGGATTTATGTTGATGTTTTTAAACTTTCACAGGACTTCAGGACATCCTGAGATAATTTTTGATACTTGGGAGTCACAAAACATAGATAGTAAATCTTTTACCTGAAAGAAGACTTCAGTATAGGCATACCTGGAGATATTGCAGGTTCAATTCCAGACCACTACAATAAAGTGAAAATCACAATAAAGGGAGTTACACAAACTTTTAGTTTCCCAGTGCATATAAAAATTATGATTACAGGCCAGGTGCGGTGGCTCACACCTGTAATCCCAGCACTTTGGGAGGCCTAGGTGGGCGGATCAGGAGGTCAGGAGATCGAAACCATCCTGGCTAACACGGTGAAACCCTGTCTCTACTAAAAATAGAAAAAATTAGCCAAGCGTGGTGGCGGGCACCTGTAGTTCCAGCTACTCGGGAGGCTGAGGCAGGAGAATGGCGTGAACCCTGGAGGTGGAGCTTGCAGTGAGTCGAGATCACACCACTGCACTCCAGCCTGAGTGACAGAGCCAGACTCCATCTCAAAAAAAAAAAAAAAAAAAAAGAGTTATGATTACACTATATTATAGTCTGTTAAGTGTACAACATCATTATGTCTGAAAAAAGACACAGTTTACATCTTCATTAAAAAATACTGATACGGGGAGGGGGGAGAGGATCAGAAAAGATAACTACTGGGTACTGGGCTTAATACTTGTGTGATGAAATAATCTGTACAACAAACTCCCATGACACAAGATTACCTATGTAACAAACCTTCACAAGTACCCCTGACCCTAAAACAAAAGTTAGAAAACAAAAACTTTATTGCTAAATAATACTACTAACAATCTTCTCAGCCTTTGTCAGGTTGTATTTTTTTTCTTTTTTTTTTTTTTTCAGACGGAGTCTCACTCTGTCACCAGGCTGGAGTGCAGTGGTGCAATCTCGGCTCACTGCAACCTCCGCCTCACGGGTTCAAGTGATTCTCCTACCTCAGCCTCCCGAGTAGCTGGGACTACATGTGCATGCCACCAAGCCCGGCTAATTTTTGTATTTTTAGTAAAGACGGGGTTTGGGGTTTCACCATGTTGGCCAAGATGGTCTTGATCTCTTGACCTCAGGTGATCCATCCACCTTGGCCTCCCAAAGTGCTGGGATTACAGGCGTGAGCCACTGCACCCAGCCACGTTGTAACATTTTTGCTGGTAGAAGGTCTCACCTTACTAATGGCTGCTGATTGATCAGGGTGGTGGTTGCTAAAAGCTAGGGTGGCTATGGCAATTTCTTTTTTTTTTTTTTTTGAGACGGAGTCTCGCTCTGTCGCCCAGGCCGGACTGCGGACTGCAGTGGCGCAATCTCGGCTCACTGCAAGCTCCGCTTCCCGGGTTCACGCCATTCTCCTGCCTCAGCCTCCCGAGTAGCTGGGACTACGGGCGCCCGCCACTGCGCCCGGCTAATTTTTTGTATTTTTAGTAGAGACGGGGTTTCACCTTGTTAGCCAGGATGGTCTCGATCTCCTGACCTCGTGATCCACCCGCCTCGGCCTCCCAAAGTGCTGGGATTACAGGCGTGAGCCACCGCGCCTGGCCGGCAATTTCTTAAAATAGGGCAACAATGAAGTTTGCCACATCAATTGACTCTTCCTTTCATGAAATATTTCTCTGTAGCATGCTACAATGTTTGATAGCATTTTACCCACAGGAGAACTTCTCTCAAAATTGAAGGGAATCCTCTCAAAACCTGCCACTGCTTTATTAAATAAGTTTATGTAATATTATAAATCCTTTGTTGTCATTTCAACAATGTTTACAGCATCTTTACCAAAAGTAGATTCCATTTCGGGAAACTACTTTCTTTGTTCTTTCATAAGAAGCAACTCCTCATTCATTAAAGTTTGATGATTGTAGCAATTCAGTCACATCTTCAGTTCTAGCTTTCCACCACGTATGCAGTGATTTCCACCACGTATGCAGCTATTTTCTTCCACTAAGTCTTGAACCTATCAAAGTCATCCAGGAGGGTTAGAATCAACTTCTTCCAAACTTGTGTTAATGTTGATATTTTGACCTCCATCCATGAATCACAGATGTTTTTAATGATATCTAGAAAGGTGAATACTTCCCAGAAGGTTTTCTTTTTTTTTTTCTTTTCTTTTTTTTTTTTTTTTTTTTTGATATGGAGTCTCGCTCTGCCAGGTTGGAGTGCAGTGGCACCATCTCAGCTCACTGCAACCTCTGCCTCCCGGGTTCAAGCAATTTTCCTGCCTCAGCCTCCCAAGTAGCTGGGACTACAGGCGTGTGCCACCACGCCCGGCTAATTTTTTGTATTTTTAGTAGAGAAGGGGTTTCACCGTGATAGCCAGGATGGTCTCGATCTCCTGACCTTGTGATCTGCCCTCCTTGGCCTCCCAAAGTGCTGGGATTATAGGTGCCCGGCCCAGAAGGTTTTCAATTAACTTTCCCAAATCCATCAGAGAAATCACTATCTATGGTAGCAATGACCTTACAAAATGTATTTCTTAATAAAACTTGAAAGTCAAAATTTCCCCTTGACCTGGTGGGCTGCAGAATGGATGTTGTGGTAGCAGGCATGGAAACAACATTCATCTCCTTGTACATCTCTTGGGTGACTAGGTGCATTGCCAATGAGCAATACTATTTTGAAAGGAATCTTTTCTTCTGAGCAGTAAGTCTCAACAGTGAGCTTAAAATAGTCAATAAACCATACCATAAACAGATGGGCCATCTTCCAGACTTCGTTCTTTTCTTTATAGAGCACAGGCAAAGTAGATTTAGCATCACTCTTAAGGGCCCTAGGACTTTCAGAATGGTAAATGAACATTTGTTTCAACTTAAAGTCATCAACTGCATTAGCCCTTGAGAAGAGTGTCAGCCTGTCCTTTGAAACTTTGAAGCCAGGTATTGGCTTCTTGTCTTCATGAAAATCCTAGATAGCATCTTCTAATCTAAGGCTGCATTGTCTTCATTAAAAATCTGTCAGAGTAGCCCCCTGTGTTAGGCTGCTCTTGCATTGCTATAAAGAAATACCAGAGGCTGGGCACGGTGGCTCATGCCTGTAATCCCAGCATTTGGGAGGCCTAGGTGGGTGGATCACGAGGTCAGGAGATCCATACCATCCTGGCTAACATGGTGAAACCCTGTCTCTACTAAAAATACAAAAAAATTAGCCAGGCGTGGTGGCGGGCACCTGTAGTCCCAGCTACTTGTGAGGCTGAGGCAGGAGAATGGTTTGAACCTGGGAGGTGGAGGTTGCAGTAAGCTGAGATTGCACCACTGCACTCCAGCCTGGGCAACACAGCGAGACTCCATCTCAAAAATAAATAAATACCTGAGACCAAGTAATTTATTAAGAAAAGAGGTTTAACTGGCTCATGGTTCCGCAGGCTGCACAGGAAGTGTAATGCTGGCACCTGCTTAGCTTCTGAAGAGGCCTCAGGGAGATTTTACTCTAGCAGAAGGTGAAGCAGGAGTAGACACATCACGTTGCTTGCGTGGGAGCAAGAGAAAGAATAGCGGGGAGGTGTCACACACTTTTAAACAACCAGATCTCGTGAGAACTCACTCGCTATTGTGAGGACAGCACCAAGTCATGAGGTATCCACCTCCATGACCCAAACACTTCCCACCAAGCCCCACATCCAACATTGGGAGATTACATTTCAACATGAGATTTAGAGGGGACAATATCCAACCCATATCACTACCTTCATCAATTATCCTAGTCAGATCTTCTGGGTAACTTGTAGCTTTTACATCACCACTTGTGACTTATGGAGATACCATTAAACTTTATGAACCAAACTTGACTAGTTTCAAACTTCTCTCGGCAGCTTCCTCATCTCTCTTAACCTTCACAGAATTAGAGTTTGGGCCTTGTTCTGGATTAGGCTTTGGTTTAAGGGAATGTTGTGGCTGGTTTAATCTTCTACCTAGACCTCTAAACCTTTCTCCATATCAGCAATAAGGCTGTTTCTCTTTCTTATTATTCATGTGTTTATTGGAGTTGCAGTTTCAATTTCTTGAAGATTTTCTCTCTTACATTCACTACTTGGCTAACTCTTTGGTGCAAGAGGCCTAGCTTTTGGCCTATCTCAGCTTTCAACATGCCTTCCTCATGAAGCTTAATCATTTCTAGCTTCTGATTTCCAGTAAGAGACCTGTGACTCTTCCTTTCACTTGAACACACAGAGGCCATTGTAGTGTTATTAATTGGCCTGATTTCAATATTGTTGTGTCTCAGCAAATACAGAAGTGTAAGGAGAGGGAGAGAAACGGGAATAACCAGTCAATGGAGCAGTCAGAATACACACATTAATTGATGAAGTGCACCATCTTATATGGGCACAGTTTGTGGTGCCCCAAAGCAATTACAATAGAAACATCAAAGATCACCATAATAGATATATTAATAATGAAAACATTTGAAATATTTAGAGAATTACCAAAATGTGACACAGAGACACAAACTGAGCACAAGTTTTTGAATGATACCAATAGACTCGTTCAACTCAAGGTTACCAAAAACCATCAACTTGTAAAAAAAAAAAAAAAGCCACATCTGCAAAGCATAATAAAATGAAGTATGTTCACACTCATCAATTATGAGAAATTTAAAGTACAATGAATAAAGAAAAATCTGCAGCATGAAAAAGTAAGTACGTGTAACATATTTATCTAGAGGAAGTCTTTGGACTTGAAACATGCATATGACTAAGTGTTCATAGCTCTTCAAAAAACAAACTCCAGTCAAAACTTAAAGAAGAACAGATGGATAGAAAAGAATGGCAGCAGGCTATGTGAGTTTTGGAAACAGGTTTGTAGGGATAAAGTGGCTCAGAGAGATCATTGCCTTGGGGTTACTCCAAGATTAATGTGTAGGCACATTTGTGATAAATGGGGAAATTTTGATCAGAAGTTATTGGAAAAGGCAATCTATGCCACAGTGAGTGTGTGTGTGCGTGTGTGTGTGTGTGTGTGTGTGTGTGTGTGTGTGTGTGTGATTTACATGTTTAAATAACAGGAGACATCTATTTTGAATCCAGTTGAATTATAATCCTTTTCTCTAGAAAGTAGATACAAGATATAAAATATGAACGAAGCTAGTTTTGTTTGTTTGTTTGTTTTGTTTTGTTTTGTTTGAGACAGGGTCTCACTCTGTTACCCAGGCTGGAGTGCAGTGGTGTGACCACAGCTCACTGCAGTCTCAACCTCCAAGGCTCAGGTGATCTTCCTACCTCAGCCTCCCGAGTAGCTGGGACTACAGGTGTGCACCACCATGCCTAGCTGGTATTTTTGTATTTTTTGTAGGAACGGGGTCTCACCATGTTGCTCAGGCTGGTCTCAAACTCCTAGGCTCAAGTGATCCTCCCAATTTGGCCTCCCAAAATGCTGGGATTACAGGCATGAGCCACTGCACCTGGCCATGGATGAAACTAGTTGAGATCAGTCAAGGGAATAAAAAAACAATAGATCTATGCTCTTATTTGGCATAGAATAAAAAAAGAAAATTAACAGAAGCCAAAGAATTGAGAAATAAAAAAGAAAGCAAGTTATATAAAAGGCAAGCACGTTATAATCACTAGGATTATTGTATTATGGCTGTTAAATCATTTCCAGAACTCTTCATGCTTAGTGTAGGGAGAGGGGCAGGACAGGGAGGAAGAGGTAGAAAAGGAGTGGGAGGAAACAGACAGAGAGGGAAACAGAGAAGAGGAGAAAACTAATGGGAAAGATTGGTTTATTTAAAATACCACTTTCACGATTTCTTTTCATTGCGCAAGAACTCATATATCTTAGTTAAAAATCTATTTGTGTAGTAGTGATTATCAGCCTGCTTTAGTGATAGAAGCCATTTTTTAATGTACCCAGGATAACCAACTTCATCAACATGTGGTGGAAATCTAATCACCTTTGAAAAACAGTTTTGAGTAATTTCTTGGACTACCACATCCTTTGTAATAGAAAGTCCAATCTCTCTCTCCCCAGCTACACATTTGCTATTAATATCAGGCCTTATTCAGTCCAAATAAGTTTTATCTTTCTTTTCTTTTGTTTGTTTTTTTTTTTTTTTTTTGAGATGGGGTCTCACTGTGTCACCCAGGCTGGAGTGCAGTGGCGTGATCTCGGCTCACTGCAACCTCTGCCTCCTGGGTTCAAGAGATTCTCCTGCCTCAGTCTCCCCAGTAGCTGGGATTACAGGCACGTGCCACCGTACCTGGCTAATTTTTGTATTTTTAGTAGAGACGGGGTTTCACCATGTTGGCCAGGCTGATCTTGAACTCCTGGCCTCTGGTGATCCACCCACCTTGGCCTCCCAAAGTGCTGGGATTACAGGCATGAGCCACTGCGACCAGCCAGGCTTTTTTTTTTTTTTTTTTTTTTTTTTTTTTTTTTTTTGAGACGGAGTCTCGCTCTGTCCCCCAGGCTGGAGTGCAGTGGCGTGATCTCGGCTCACTGCAAGCTCCGCCACCCGAGTTCACGCCGTTCTCCCGCCTCAGCCTCCTAAGTAGCTGGCACTACAGGTACCTGCCATCATGCCTGGCTAATTTTTTGTATTTTTAGTAGGGACAGGGTTTCACCGTGTTAGCCAGGACAGTCTCGATCTCCTGACCTCGTGATCCGCCTGCCTCCGCCTTCCAAAGTGCTGGGATTGCAGGCGTGAGCCACGGCGCCCGACCCTTCCCCCCCACCCCCTCCAAATTTCCAGAGCAGAGAGAAATTGGAAGACACTAGACTGATATTGCTGATTCTTTTTGCTACTACAATGTGTAGATATACAAAACTGACTTTGCACAGACTCATGAACGTGTAATTCCCACAGTGATTACAAACCCTGCATGGGCCATACTAATCTATTCTGCCTTGCCACTAAATATGTCAGCCATCTTGGTTTACACTCACATGTTCTACCATAGCTACTCAAAGGAGCATACCATTCCAAAATGGATGCTTACTAAGGTTCCAACCTTTCTTTGATTTATCTAGCTCTGTAAAAACTAGTACCTAGTCCTTTATTTCCTTTGATGGTATCTGTTTTTGGAGAATCCTGGTATCCTATTCTACTTTTGGAACTTAGTAGATGACATCATGATCCACTCAGGAAAGTTTTCTGGATTTCATGTGAGTATGTGTAGTCAATTGCATGTTAAAGTAACCACAGATGAAGATCATGTTTAGACATAGTTTCTAACCTGAAGATTCCAATCCTTAACTTGCTGGCATTGCCACCAATAACTGGCATTTACTCGGAGACCCCTTGAAACATGAGTAGAAGTCAACGTCTTCACTGGGATTTTTGTCAGTTGTCTGGATCCCAGGTTTTGGTAGAGAAATCTTAAAGGAAAGTAATTCAGTGTGGTGTGTATGAGGGCAGTTTTGTTTTGTCAATTCTACTAGCCTTGAAATTACAGGCCTGTATGTCATACTTAGATGGTAGGCTGAAGGCAAACCGAGCGTCTCTGAATCCCCCCTTCCCATCTATGATTTCTGATGGTTTTTTCTTAGTCTGAGTTTAGCTTTTTTGATGTAAAGAACAAAAGACAATTAAAATACACTAATGTTTCCTATCATCATCCAACTATACATTATGAAACGTGGTCTTCAAGACGTAGCAGGCAATAACTTGACTAAATGTTTTGCAACCACATGACAGGGTCAACAGTTTTTCACCTCTTAATATCTTCCTCTCCACTCAATTCACTTAGCCAAAGTCATATTTTAAGTTCTGTTTTGCAGCAACCCAGTCATAGTCCTAAATTCGTTATGACTTGGTTCAACTGCATGTAATGAAAATTCCACAAATAACAATGGCTTAAACAAGATAGTTTATTTTTCTTGCACATAAAAGGTGTCCACAAGGAGAGTATCCAAGGCAACTATGGCAGCTTTACGGTTCAATGAAGTACACAGTCCCTTGTCTGTAAGTATCATTCTGCACATGGCTTACATTCTCCAGACCATCATATTCTGGTCCAAGATGGCTGCTGGAGCTACAGATACAATACTCGTACTCTAAATAACAAGGAAAAAAAGAAAGCAAGGAAAAACCGTCATATTTTTAAGGAGACTTTTCAGAAAAATTATACCCAACAGTTATACTTAATTGTCTTTGGGCACAACCTAGTTATACGGCCACACTTAAACACAAAGGAGTCTGGGAAATGTCATTGTTTAGCTGAGTGGCATTGTGTCAACCTAAAAACGTCAGGATTTTTTTACTAAGGAGAAAGGGGGAAATCAATTTGATAAGATGTTTCTCATAGATGTTTAAGAGTTCTTACAGAAGAATTAAGTGTATTTTGTGTGTCTATATTTGGCATCAAGCACGTTTATCTATCAACGTACTAATAAGTGATTTCTTTGTCTTATGTTTTTCAATTATATACAATAGAGAAACATAAAAATTCAGACTGTTCTCAGAGATTAAGTGAAATATATATACACACACATATACACACATATACACACAAACATGCATATAATTGACATGGAGCATAATAAATCCCTATCTATGATTTAAAGATTTTAAAAAATCTATCACTACAAGGAATTTGTTGCCATAATTTGTTGTATAAAATAATATTTTATTGTTTAAACGATATTTGTCACATTTATAACTAATAGCAAAGAATTATTCCAAAACATATTCCTGAGATGAATTTTTGGTCAAAATTTAAACTGAAGCAAATTTGTAAGTTTGCAAAGACATCAAGTTACTTTCCCCACACTCATAAACTTCTTGAATTCAGTTAGCACTAGACGTAGCATATTACAAGAAAGGCTGTTTGTTTTGCTGTTTACAGCCCAAAAAGTACTGGATATCTCCCAGGAAATTCCAATTTTAGGAGGATTCCAACAAGCATGAAGAACTGAGTGGTTCAGATTTAGGCACAGATTGGAATCATAACATGGACATTATTCCAAGTCCAACGTGTCTGATCTTTGAGATTCAGCTTTCATTCATGCAGGTTCCAACAGTGAGGCATTTATAAATAAAACCTGGAGATAAAACAGGATTCAATATGTCAATATATAATCTTCATTACTGGCATAATAAAAATTAAAATGTACCACTTTCACATAAGCAAAAAAGTAATTTTTGTTACTTTTTTCTAAGATAGATGGCAGTTACTTATAGGTTTTTTTTTAATTTATGCTGTCCCATAATATACAAAAATGCTATAAAAAATGCTTAAAAACTTGAGTGAAACCAATGTTGTAAGATTACATATGCCCACCAAATATGCACTTTCATTCATGAAATTAGTTGTTCTTATGTATGTTTAAAATAGGCTTTTAGTAATCATTCATTTGTTATTTAACAAATTTTTCATTGTAATGTACAATAAATGCATTTATTTACTAGAGGTACTTATGGCTCTCAAAGCAAGTAATGCACATTGAACCATATATTAGTGGATTATTTCTGTGATATAAAGTTCAGTGTTCATCTAAAATAGATCTCTTTCTCTTTTTACTCTATGCCCTTAGTCCTCCTAATTTCTTTATCTGGTAAAATATCCTGCACAAGGAAGATATTTAATAAATGAGGTTAAGTAATAGGTAGGTCAACGGTAATATTAGAATTACCTTTCTACAAAGAGATGCATTAAGAAGCAATGTAGGTCAGTCCTGCAGAGCCTGACTAACAGGTTCTGACACAGGCAAACAGTGCACTTTGGCTAATCCTCCAGATTGCTTATTACCAACACTTGCAATTTTAACTTATTGGAGTCAATATCAGAAATAAAGATGAGAAAATGATTCAATCCATATTGCTACACTTCAATCACTGAGTTGAGAGACAAGACGTTTTAAGATTTCCAGAAGTTACAAAACCTGTCTCTACCCAATAATTGGAACAACCTGTTAACAAGTAAAAGTTATCACCAACCCAGTTTTGTTATCCACTGATGGTGTGTGTGGGAAGGGAGATTTACTGGATTTATCGATTTTATTTGACAATTTATATGCATAATTCTAAAGAATCTTTTCTAGCATAAGAAAAATGAACTTGGGACCACTGAGAGTGAGTTCATTAATTTTCCAGTACATAACGTTTTTATCTTTTTCACTAATTTTTTAATTTTTTCCAACTTAGCAGGATATATTTTCCTCATCTTCAGGATTTAATAGGTATATTTCCAATTTCACTAGTACACTAACAAACAGAAAAAAAAAGAAAGAAAAAATCATAGATATGTCAGATAAATATATACATTACATTTTATTATTTAACGTAAAAACATAAATAATTAGCCTGAAAGTAGCAAATATAGAAATGAGGAGAGCAAATTGTCATCCTAGCTTTGTCCTTACTTTCTGGGTGACCTTGAATAAGCCTCTTACTTTCCTGAGCAATAACTTTCTTGTCTGTAACATAGAATGATCATGCTCATTTCGTCTTTCACGGCGTTGTCATAACATCACATAACACAATTTACGTCAAATACTTTTAAAGCATAAAGAATTATATAGTAAAATGTTAGCCTTGTTAAAAACCAATTCAAAATATGAAATGCAATCCTCTTTAAAAAGATAAATTAGAACCTTGGGACGTCATTATTGGCATTTCAAAATGATTATTTGCTTTTTAAACAAATTTACTGCAAGATTAGTACTTTCATTTAAAGGAGAGGATAAAAGAGAAGAAAGAGAAATTTAGAAAATTCTCTGAATCTCTGGGAATAAGCGATTACTCAATTTCTTGGTTTCTGGCATAAAATGTTTAGTAGAAGACTTTCTTTGAATTATTCAAATTATATTAGGAAGTAAGTCTGAATTTACTACCAATATGAATTTCACACCACTGTATTCAACCAAGAGGCATTTGAGCACCCTCTCACTGTGATTATTGTATTTCAAGCATTAGGTAGTTCTAGGGGTCAAACTTTGCACTGTCGTCTGTGTGAATGGTGACTCTAGAGTTCAGTTCTATTCGGCCTGCACAGCCATATGAGGCAGCTCTGAGCAAGGAAATTTGAGTCTGTTTCTATTACATTGGAACTGAGTCAATGATCCCAATAATGTAAGGACACATTACCAAGCTTCCCATAATATATGTGAAACTACAAATTCTAAATTCCAAATCTAAAAGAACAGAGTATTTTCTATCTTAAGGCTTTCTAACACACTTTTAAATAGAAGCCACTCATTTAATTATGATAGGACTTGTCAGGAACATAATTACTACATAAAGCAAAGATTTCAAATGTTTCTTTCACTAATCTTCTTCATATGTCTAATAACTGGGTATTTTCTAAATCATAATCTTTATTTTTGAATGCATTTCACATTCCCATCATTCTAAGCCCTCTGTAATATTAAAAATATGTTTTTATCAGCCATCTACTTTCAATATTTTAAAATGTTGGTAGCTCTGGGGCAGATGGAAATAGGCATGATTACGTGTTGTAAAGGTGTCTTGGGCTTATGTTCTAAGATCACAGATTACTCTGACTTACCTGTTTTCATTCCTTTCTTTTAGATGTTTACCTCCTTTGGGATTATTTGCTGCTGGCTAGAATGAAAAGACAAACATTCCCTTCAAACAGTATGCCATTGCCTAATAATTTTGCAAGCTCAAATGAAATCCAACCAAATTCAGAATTTAGATTTTCCTACTGGCTTGTGTAATTTTTGTTTGTATGGGATAGAATCAGGTTCCATCTTTTATTCTCCTTCAGAATATCATTAACAAAGAAAACTTTGAATGTTAGTTGGTGGGATAGATACATTGACACTGTTTACATAGCACTGTTTCCTACTCGGGCCTGCACACAAACATTCGCACACATTTTCATGTACACACACTCCTGGGGAGGTCAATGAATATTACAATTCTTCTTCTGGAAATAATCCTTAAGAATGAATGAGCAAAAGACACAGTTTTCAACCCTATTTTCTCTTCTCTTTCTCTCTTTTTCTTCCCTCTGTTCTTTCTCTCTCTCTCTTTTTTCCTTCTTTTTATTTTTTTCTTCCTGGAGAGGTTTCTGAAGTTCAACAGTGATTCTTTAATTAAGAGAAAAAAAAAACCACACATACACACACTAGAGAACAAGAAGGAATAGTAAACAGTTCCCTCCACTGCTAGAGGGGTTAGTTACAAAATAAACATTTCACAGACTGGACCACATCTCCTGTAATGAGACAGCTCTGGCTAGTGAGACTGCAGCTAAAGTCCCCCCATTAAGGGCATTCACTCGAAAAATTAAGCGACCCACTTGTGTTGACTGAAAACATCCTTGCAGAGGGTTTTTGCAATCACCTACAGCATTTTTTGACAATCTGCCTTGTGCTTAACACTGCCTTTCCTGAAGGCTCTCTCTGCTGTGTTTTGTTTTAATGGTTCAGCCTCCTCACTGGTGATTCAAGGTCTAAGCTCTTTCTGTTAAGCCTCTGTATAAAATAAAACTCCTTAAGTCAGAGAAAAGGAGAGGTGAGAAGGGCATTCAGTTTGATTTTTTAGAAGGACATACAGAGGCAGGAAATTAGTATTACATTTTTTCCTTCTCCAAACCAAAACATACTGACCAAAGAAGATTGTTCACATTTGCAAAATTTGCTTTGAGCTCCTCGAAGGAAAGATGCTATATAAAATCTAAAAATAAGCCATGAAAAAAAATGCCTTAGAATAAAAAAAAAAAGAGCATTCTAGCAATAACCTCAGAAATGTCAGCATCAGTCCAAGAAATGCAGCAGGAAGTCACACTAGGATATTATTTACAATCCGGTGGCATGTCACATATCAAAATATATCATGATCTATCAAAATTAGGTCACTGTCTCTAAAGCACTAAATACATACAAACTATTAATGAACATGACATTATATTCCTGTTTAAGCAATGAGAAGATGGAAGTAAAGAATTAACCCGGACAAAGTCATTGGAAAAACAACTGAATTTTAGCTCAGTATTTTCAAACAAGAAAAACTCAACAGGGGTCATACTTCATAACATTACAGATGAAATGAGACAAAAGGTCTAAACCACCCATTTATTTGTCTTTCAAGCTACAATTAAGAGCTACTAATTTATGAAGGTGTTTGTTCACTTGTCAACCAACACAGCACTGCATACTGAAATGTGTAATTCACTTCCAAGTCTCTTCTATCATCTAGAGTTATTTCTTTGACCCACTCACAAAAGGCATTTTTCTAACATATTAAATAATTGATTTCTGCTCTCTATTGTATCCATTGTATCAGAATTAAAGAAAAATACAGACAAATACATTTGTTTCTACAAAAGGTAAAAACATATACATGTAAGAATAAATTGTTAGCTAAACACTTCGGGGAGTACCTTGGAAAGCCGGAGACATAGATCACCTTAATTTACTCCAGGCACGGCTAGGTCTTCACTGTTACTCGTTGACGTCTACTCACCTTTGCTTCTTTACTCTTTTCAGCTTTAATAGCTCCCTTCTTCATCTCAACTATTCAAACCCAATCCAGATTTCACAACCCTGCATGAATAGCATTTTTTCTTCAGACTCTTCTTTGAAAAATGCTAGCTTTAAATTGTCCCCCTTCTCTGAATCCTTATTGTAGCTAGATTTCATATAACCCTATTAAAGACTTGGTTGTTTTGCTTTAATGTATGTTAGCTTTGTCATTCATTAATTCATTCCACAAATATTTATGGGATGCCTACTATGTGCCAGGTATAACTCTAGCTGCTGGGTATACAGCAATAAACACAACAGACAAAAATCTGTGCTCTAATTTGTGTTTACATTTTATTGGAATTTGTAGCCAATATACACTATAAATAAGCTATAGCGTCAGGTAGTGATAATGCTAAGAAGAAAAGCTAAAGCAGAGAAGAGTGATTAGAAATCTCATAATGGAGATATATGTGTGGAGAGGTGCATATGTGTGAATAGGGTTCTTATTTGTCTGATTTTGCTGAAAGTTTCCTTATAAAACTGGCATAAGAAAAAGCTTTTGCAAACCACTGCTATATGGTTCTTAACACAGTACTGGACATAATACAAGTATCAATAAATACTTACTAATTAATTCTTTTAGCTCTTTGCTACTGCCTTGGCCTATAATTATAAATAAGCTATTTTTACATTTGACTGTTATTCTCTGATGAAGAGGAAAGCAAAGGATCTTAACTCTGCTTAAAAAACAATGAAGTGTTTTGGAGTCTGAAGTCTTGCATTCTGAATTCACCTTTATTATTCATTAACTGCTTGACCTTGGTCAAATCCATTTTTCTCAGCATCTCTTTTGTCATTTGTAAAACAGTAATAACAATATTTGCTTCGCAGAATAAGGACCAATGAGGTCAGGCATATGACAGTATTTGTAAGATATTCTATGTTATACAAGTGGTGGTTATTTATATTATCAATGAGAAGTTGGGAGAAAAAAAACTTCCCTAATGTCCAGTTAGGAGACATGCATGTAAAAGGAATGTGGGGCTGTGGAGAGCTGAGTTAAGACACTAGAGCTTTAGGAATACACTCATCACATTTTACAAGGCAATATTTTAAAACGTGCCCAAGGGCTTCAACCAATAAAAAACTAAAGTTGCCATTTGCTAGAAGAAATAAACTTCCAGAAGCTATATAGTATCTGTTCCTTGTAGTTTATTCTTAAATGGAGAAAAGCAATTACATACACACAGAAATACCTAGTCAATCAGCCCTGAAGTAGTTACCAGGAACTTGAGACAAGCTACATACTTTTGTTTCAATAACTAACTGAACACGTGCTTCACTCAGGTCTGCTCCTAGATACTTTTATGGCTTATAGTTAACTCTGCTGGGTAAAGGTCTTGCCACTTCCCTGACCTTGGACCTTGATGTCATTGTGAAACTGCTGCATCCAATTCCAACTTCATTCTCAAGTCAGCCTTAACCACACTTACTGTTCTACCCAGCATTTGAGAAAGAGTGTGTCCCCAGAAGCTATGGGAAAAGATCCAGAATGCCTGTGACCATTAACGAGTTGTTAATGGTCTTAACAACTTATATTCTCTTGTATTCAGAACCAAAGCTCTTTGTTTTATGTTTAATGAAGAATATAAAAATGCAAAAATGTCCACAGGACATCAAAAAAGTATACTTGAATCTCTCATCCATTTCTGAAAGAGAAAAAGAAAAAAAAACGATGTTGAATTGTTTGGATTCCATTCAGAGGCATACAGAGAAATAAAAAGTTGAAACTAAGTTTTCGGATTAAAGAGTCTTTAAAGTGTACAATAAAAAAAATCTTGTGTTGTAATAAGGTCCAAAGGAAGAATCTATGTCTTTTCTCACGGCATTAGGAAAACAGGCTCTCACTAGAGCACAATCCACGCAGACCAGCTGTGGAGTCAAAGGGATATTGCTATCACAAATCCTTTTGGTATTCTCAGTGATAACTACTCTGAATTAGATTTTTTTTTTCCCATGGCGGTCTCTTTTCAAGCCAAAATCCTTCTTCAGTGGACCACTGGAATGGTGAGTGTTCAGTGAACCGCACAATTGCCAAAGAGATAAATATTCCAGATGTTGGGAATCAGAGGTTAAACTAGGTTTTGTTTGCATTACTAACAGACACCTTCCTACTTAAATCAGAAAGACTCATGGGCCTACAGGAAGTGACACACAACCTCAGAGGTATTTACTGTCCATAGTCTGTAACAGCATCTCACTCCATGCACAGTTGTAACTGCAGAGACGTTCTTGGACGTGTGTTCCCAGCCCTAAGTAATCTCCATAAACTTAACCATAAATCTAACTACAGCTAAACGTGAGAGTTTCTGTTTTGTTATTATATATCTTAATCTTCCGTGTGGAACATCACTCATTCCACAAGAAAAAGGAGAAGAAAGGCTCTGAACAATAAAATCAGCAATGTGTCTCCCCAAATCATGAAACAGTTAAGAATGAGCCCCACTGAAAATACAACCAGAATGTGAAACAAAGCCCCTCTCAAGCCCATCATAAAACCGTGGTCTGGTCAAGCTGCCTTTGTTTAGTAGTCAGGTCTTTGCTAGTGAAAAGTTGTAAATGCATAGGAATGTTTTATCCTTGGGTGTGACTGTTAGTAGCTTGCAAACAAGGAAGGAGAGGAGATGATAAAAAATATATATCAACCTTTTTTGATACCACTATCTAAAAGTGTTTTTTTCTCTCTTTCTGTAAAACCGTATAGATAGATGCCAAGCCCATAATCAATTTTTCCTATCCAGTGTTTGAATATGAAATCATTATAGTAATAGAAACTTATAATACTCAACCACCTTGACTTACATAAAAACTGACTAAGTCAGAAAAACATAGAAACAAAATTATTGACCAAAGCTGGTAAAATTAAAATAATTGATTTTATCTTTAAGTCTAGCCTTGGTGTATGTGGATATAGGCTGAACCAAATTAAGACAGAGAAGGAATTCCAGATCAATGTGGAGGAATGAAGGCATGCCATTTACCACGTTTTTCTTCCAAAATTGGCAGTAAACGTATTTTAAAAGAAGATAAAAAGCACGTTTAAGAGATTAATGAAAAAGGGAGAGGAGATAACAGGATTTTGTTTTAATAAGAAAATCAAGAAGCAGAAGGATGAGTAGTAAATGACACAGTAGAAACCCCAGACTATTTTAAGAAAACCTTAAAATTGAGCCAAATAACACTAGGATTCTGGGGATCCTTGAAACATAAATCATTAAGTACTTATGGAAGTAGAGTATACAGCTAAAAGTCCATAGGTATTAGCTAAAATTCTGTTTAAGAAACAAATAGAGACCTACACCCTAGGTGCTCAGAGATAGCCCCTTCCCCATCCTTGACAGACTAAAATTTTACTTTCTAACAATACAGAATAACAAAAACCCTGGATGCAAGAAAACCGGGCCCAGATAAGAGCTGTGATTCATTTCTTAAAAAAAGAAGGTTACGTGAAAGTCTATAGTCTGAATATTATTCCAGTCCGCTTATTTGGCGAAGTTCTAGAAAGAATGCTATCAGGGTTATGCCTGCAAGAAGAAGATGGGAGAATTACTAGGGGAGAAAAGCTCTATAAATTCTACCATTTGGGGACCTCCCCCAGTGAAGATTCCCAACCCTGTAATTCTACTGGGAAGTCTAGCATTTAACAAGTTCCACCCATAAATGCACAGTGTCCAGTTAGCTTCTTAGTGTGTCGTTAACAAATGTGCACAGCAAGCTAAATAGTCAAAGATATTTTATGAATGGCATAGACAAAAATAAAGATAATTTAAAACCTTGGAAGACATAAAGAAAAGGAAGATAAAAATAGATTTATAAAATCTATTATCATATTTATAATTTAAAAAATTATATGAATGCAATAAGATAATGCTGTCAAAAAATCTGAGAACAAAAAGAGCTATTCAAAAATTTAAAATATAATATAAAAAATTAAAATTCCATAGAGGATTAGAAGATAAATTTGATGAGGAGCCATAAAATAGAAAAGAAAGAGAAAGATGGAGAACAGGAAATAAATTAATAATAGAGAATCAGCCAAAGAGGTCCAACGTCTGAATAATAGGAGTTTTTGAAGAGAAATTGGAGTGAAAAATTACCCAAGAAATTATTCAAGTAGATTTTTCAAGAATGAAAGGCATGGATTTACAGATTAAAAGATCCCATCAATGAGCCAGCACAATGAATAAAATAAAGAACTACATCAAGGCAAGCTGTGAAATTTTGGATCACCGGGGATATAGTAACAATTCTAAAAAGGTCTATATTTTTAAAAATTGTTCAATTTTACATGAACAACAAAAACCAATTTGGCAGAAAAAGAATCAGAAAATAGAGTAGCATCAGTTTTCTCAAATGTACTCTTGGAAGGTAAAAATGTCTTTAAAATTTTGAATAAAAATTCTTTTCAATCTAGAATTCTATACCCAGCAAACTATCAAACATGTATGAAAGTTACCCAGCAAACTATCAAACATGTATGAAAGTAAAAAGATGTTTTAAGACATGCAAAGTCTCAAAAAATGTAACTCCTATGTATCTTTTCTTAGTGAACTAATAGAAAAGGTATAGCAATTAGATGTGTGTGTGAGTCAAGATAAGGAGCATTTGGGATTCAGAAAACAAGAGACCAACCAAAAAAGACCAGGAGCATTCTCTTCAAAAGGATGAAGGGACATTATGGAATAATAATTGAGGTGTAGATAGCAAGAAACTGGTCCAGGTTGAAGCAACAGGATGGAAAATTCCAGAAGGATGTCTCCTGGGGGATGGGGGAGTGGGGGTGGGGGGTGGATGAAAGCTCACCTGATGCTTTGAATGAACTTTGGCAAAGAATTTTGGAAGAAATCAGTGGTAGGTACACTGATTTCTTATTAATTTCAGGTTAACAAAAAGCTGTATGAACAAGAAATGTAGTCATAGTACACTGTATAGTTAACCTATGGATGCTGGTTAACATAGCCATGACAATGTAAGTACTGAATATTAGTTTAACCTAACTATTGATTGTATTGGGTGAATGGGGAAAACAGTGGAAGGAAGACGGTACTAAGGAAGTGTAAGAGAAATCAAACCTGCATTATCCAGAATGGGGAATTAAGATCTAAAATGGAAAAATCAAGAAATAGTGTCACAAGCATACCATTTAGAAATACAGAGGCAACTAGAAGAAACTACTGAGATCGTACAAGGTGGCAGTTTTGAAGAAGTAGAAACTGAATGTAGACAAGAGTGTGACAAGGAACTTGTTTCTTGTTTAGCATTATAGGACCAGTTGATATGGAAAATTATGTGTGTACAGCTGATAAAAATAACTTTTAGGCCAGGCAAGGTGTCTCAAGCCTGTAATCCCAGCACTTTGGGAGGCCGAGGAGGGCAAATCACAAAGTCAAGAGATCGAGACCATCCTGGCCAACATGGTGAAACCCCATCTACTAAAAATACAAAAATTAGCTGGGCATGGTGGGGCGTGCCTGTAGTCCCAGTTACTTGGGAGGCTGAGGCAGGAGAATTGCTTGAACCCAGGAGGCGGAGGTTGCAGTGAGCCAAGATCACGCCACTACACTCCAGCTTGGTGACAGAGCAAGACTCCGTCACAAAACAAAACAAACAACAACAACAACAACAAAATAACTTTTAATTTTAAAAAGAGAATAGCTAGAGAACTAGTGCTATGAAATGGTTTGGTACATCCAGCTACTAACCAACTGGGGAGATTTATACAACAAACTGTTGCTCAGTTGAATGTTTACAGAGAAGTAGTTACCAACAAGAAATAATTAAGATAGACACTCCTGGCCGACAGTACAGCCCAATCAAATATATAGAGGCAGGACAGGGGAGGACACACTCAGGAACCTACAGGTAATATGAAACGGTCAGAGCAGGGGGGCACAGATGGTGATAGTGGTCTGAGTTGAAGTAGGTGAGGAATGTGTCCAAATGGACATTGGAATCTTGAAATCCACCCTAAGGAGTTTGAACTTTTTTCCGCAGACAGTCGGGAGCTCTCTGCAGATTTAAGCCAGAGAAATAACATAACAGATTTCCATTTGGAAAAGTATATTTGACAGTTTTATGGAGAGTCAATACAAGGCCTGAGACAGAAGGCAAAGAGTCGATGCAGGGGAGTATTACGAAAGTCTAAGCAGAAACAAACAAGTGACTAAACCAAGGTATAGTAAAAGGGATGTAGAAGCATAAGGTTGTGGTAGCTACAATGCAGGAAACTGGTGCTAAGAAGAGAGATGCAGAAAATCTTCCCAATTACCCGAAGACACAAACCATTATCCCTGTTTAAGGGAAAACCATGCTAATTTGTCAAGTAACTTGAGAAGAGAACACAACTAGTAAATGATAAAATCAGAATTAAACCTAGGTCCCCATGAATACAAATCTTGTTTTTTAGCTGGATCACATGGAGAAAAACCTTTACTTCACACATAAAATGGGAATGATGATAGGATGTAACTCATGTGATGACTGGGAGGAGAAAATGAGAATGCACATAAATTTGTTTTTTAACCTAAAAAAAGCGTTACATAATATTGGTAGTTAAAATAACTTTGCCTTAAGTCCAGCTGTTTCCAAACTTCTGTATTCATCATTTCTACTCACTTCTGTACACTTATACTAAGACGTGACAAATATTTGATTTTTACATGTACCGTAATTTCATGCAGTTGTACATCTGTGATGTAATCCTGTCTTTTTGAAAAATTGCCCATTTGTTCCAACTGAATCTAAGTTCCCTGAAAACCAGGTGGGAACTTTAGACCCTTTACATAGAATCTACCTAATGCTTTCTATCTGCTTAAATATATACTGACCCTTTGAATGAAAATCCTTTTCTAATCTCTCCAAATTTCTGTGCAGTATTAAAATACACCTTTCTTTCCCCACCCAGACAGGGAGGACAGACTGAAAGACAAAGACGAGGGTTATTTTTTGGTAATAATCATTTGCACTTGTGGGTTGGGTTAATAACAGTCAAGAGCACACAATCTGTCAGAAACAAAAACACAAAGGTCTTATCTTTGATATGCTCAGAGGTCTCCAAGTTTTTTATTATTTCTGTTTCAGTGTGACACACATTGTCTGAGGGGAGTAGAGGGAGGGGCTCTGCTGGCAGCTCCGTTATCTATGCCTCGATGTTAGCCTGGGGAGAAGATATCATTTACTCTGCCACCTTTGTGTCTCCTGGAAAATCAGATAACCTACTTAATGATTTCTAACCAGTTAAGCAATCTGGACCCTACATAGATGCTGTAACTCCTTGGCACTGATGTCTCAGGCTAAACTGCTTAGTCTCTGAGACTCTATACTATTTCACAAAAATACTGAAGAAAACAGCCTGGTGAAATAAGGTTTGCTGTTTTGTATGGGGGTTGCTATGTTGGTGTTTCTAGGACTTCGTCAGTCTCTCTCCATTTAGGATCATTTGCCTTAATTTTCCTCCATGATTGCACTAGGTTTATTGCTCCAGTAAATTTCTGCAGGGGAAGGGAGGGCGGGGAGGTACCTGAATACCCAAGGGATTGCCAGCCCGCCTGATATCACCTGACTGCTCAGACCTTCTATCACAACAAGCGCATTCCTGAGGATTCAGTTGCATTGGTGGTGCTAATCCCCGGCTAGAGACATCAGAGGAAAGTAAAAGTGAATGTGTATTTTCTATAACTGCAAAGGTAAGGAGCAAAGACAGAAGTGGGAAGAGGGCAGAGCCACAGCTCAACCAGAAACATTCTTAGGGGAAATAAATGAAAAGCCATACTGTGCTTACACCTCTGCCGGAAACAGTCAAATCCAAGGACATGTCATCAAGCTAAACAGTCATATTATTACAAATAAAATTTCATTCTTCACTGGTTTTTTTATTGTTATCCTGACTATATTATTATGCTTAATTATTCATTATCATTTTTCTCCATTATTGCTGTTATTAATGATACTGTGTTTTTAAAAACCCTGTAATAAAGCCACTTCCCTTAATCAGTCACTGTTTATTTTCTGTACTTCTGTCTCCATGGTGCAAGGGACATAATTGCTTTTCATTTTCGGCAGGCAGCAAGGGTGGAGAGAGAGGGAAGGTACTGGAAAAGGAAGGCTCTCCCTAAGCGCCTTGCGCAGGGTACATGGCAAAGCTACTCTCACAGGCATTACACTTTCATCTGACTTTCTCAGCACATTTAAAGTGTGGCATGTGTTCCAGGAAGAGGAACTTAACCTGCAGGAGAAGTTAACCCAGCAAGTTACAAGTCCTAGAAAGCCTGTGCCCAATAGTGAGCCACAAAGCCTACAAGATAAAATTATTAAATATATATCACTGCGTTGGAAAAATTTCTGGCCTTTGATTCCTATCTAAACTTAGTTAGCTTGCTATCCCAGGAAAAAATTTATCTTATAATAACTACCTGGGCAATCTACTGAAAATGTAAAAACTAGAGCAATCTTGTCATTCAAAGTACTTATCCTACAGATGGAAATACTGAGGCTGACAAGAGGTCAAATGACCTCTTGCAAGGTCACACGGCAAATTAGGTGTAGATCCAGGAAAAGAAACCAAGGCCGCAGGATCCTTGTCAGGTTCTCTCTCTTCCTTAAACCACAGTCTTCCTCAATATGATTCTCCAGAACTGACAATGATGAAAAATAACTTACAAGATGACTTATAAACGGTCAGTAAGGCCTATGCTTGCCAATGACAAAAAAAAAAAAAACACTTTAGTTGAATTGGCTTTTCTTCCCCCAAAAATCTGATCATCAAATACAATGTCTGTATATTGCTATAATTTACTGCCAGCAAATTGCATTTAACTTCATATTAGCTGTGGTAACTCAGAAACTTATATTATTCTGATTCACATTCTACCATATACTGAAAGCCGACTATGTGTGAGATATTGCATTAGATGCTGTGGGGACAAAGGCAGCCCCCCCTTTGGGGTTCAAAATCAATGAGGCTGGGATTCAGCAGTTAACCTCTCTGCAAAGACTTTAGGTGGAAATTTGGACATAGGAACCCTTGTAAACCTGTGAGCTTTGGAGCCTTGGGGGCCCACACAGTGATTGTGAAGAGTCTTTAAATCCATATATATATTCACTTGCTCTTTCAATGAATGTCACAAATGTTGCTAACATTAAAAGTGGTCCTTATGGCCGGGCGCGATGGCTCACGCCTGTAATCTCAGCACTTTGGGAGGCCGAAGCGGGTGGATCACGAGGTCAGGAGACCGAGACCATCCTGGCTAACACGGTGAAACCCCGTCTCTACTAAAAATACAAAAATTAGCCGGACTTGGTGGTGGGCACCTGTAATCCCAGCTACTCGGGAGGCTGAGGCAGGAGAATGGCGTGAACCCAGGAGGCGGAGCTTGCAGTGAGCTGAGATCGCGCCACTGCACTCCAGCTGGGCGACAGAGCGAGACTCCGTCTCAAAAAAAAAAAAAAAAAAAAAGTGGTCCTTATGTTGGAAGTTTTAGGAAGCACTTAACTAGAAAAGCTTTTTTTTCCCTTCATCTTTTAAGTTACAGGGTATATGTGCAGGATGTGCATGTTTGTTACATCTGTAAACAAACCAAAAAAATGTGCCGTGGTGGTTTGCTGGACAGATCAATCCATCACCTAGGTAATAAGCCCAGCATCCATTAGCTATTCTTCTTGATGCTCTCCCTCCCTCAGTCCCCAACAGGCCCCAGTGTGTGTTGTTCCCTGCAATGTGTCCATCATCTGCAGGGATGCTCTTATCATCCAGTTCCCACTTATAAGTGAGAACATTTGGTGTTTGGTTTTCCTGCTTACGCATTTGTTTGCTGAGAATAACAGCTTCCAGCTCCATCCATGTCCCTGCAAAGGACATGATCTCGTTCCTTTTTATGTTGCATAGTATTCCATGGTGTATATGTACCACATTTTCTTTATCCAGTCTATCATTGATGGGCATTTGGGTTGATTCCACGTCTTTTCTATTGTGAATAGTGCTGTAATGAACATACCCATGCATATGTCTTTATAATAGAATGATTTATATTCCTTTGGGTATATACCCCATAATAAGATTGCTGGGTCAAATGGTATTTCTGCCCCTAGATCTTTGAGGAATCTCCACATTGTCTTTCACAATTGTTAAACTAATTGAACACTCCCACCAACAGTGTAAAAGTGTTCCTTTTTCTCCACAGCCTCGCCAGCATCTGTTGTTTCTGGACTTGTTAATAATTGCCATTTGGACTGGCGTGAGATGGTATCTCATTATGGTTTTGATACCATTAGAGAAAACTCATTTGATTTCTCTAATGATCAGTGATGTTGAGCTTTTTTTTCATGTTTGTTGGCAACATGAATGGCTTCTTTTGAGAAGTATCTGTTCATGTCCTTTGCTCACTTTTTAATGAAGTTGTTCATTTTTTTCTTGTAAATTTGTTTAACTTTTTTGTAGTCTCTGGATATTAGACCCTTGTCAGATGGATAGATTGCAAAAATTTTCTCCCATTCTGTAGGTTGCCTGTTCACTCTGATGATAGTTTCTTTTTCTATGCAGAAGATCTTTAGTTTAATTAGATCCCATTTGTCAATTTTGGCTTTTGTTGCAATTTTTTTGGCGTTTTCATCATGAAATCTTTGCCTGTGCCTATGTGCTGAATGGTATTGGCTAGATTTTCTTCTAGGATTTTTATAGTTTGGGGTTTTATATTTAAGTCTTTAAACCATGTTGAATTACTTTTTGCACATCATGCAACGAAGGGGTCCAGTTTCAATTTTCTGCATAGGGCTAGCCAGTTCTCTAAGCACCATTTATTAAATAGGGAATCCTTTCCCCATTGCTCATTTTTGTCAGGTTGTTGAAGATCAGATGGTTGTAGGTGCTTGGTCTTATTTCTGAGTTCTCTATTTTGTTCCATTGGTCTATGTGTCTGTTCTTATACCCCACTACCACGCTGTTTTGTTACTGTAGCCTTGTAGTATAGTTTGAAGTCAGGCAGCATGATGCCTCTAGCTTTGTTCTTTTTGCTTAGGGTTGTCTTGGCTATTCGGGCTTAAAGAAGAGTTTTGCTGCTGTTTATCTTTTTCTCTTTTGCTTTTTGATCTGGAAGATCAAGGATGGCACTACTTCATCACTTAATGGTTGTATTCTTATTAACATAAAAGGCTATCAAATGTCCATCCTAGTAATGACTCTTTTAAGTTCTCACCACATGCTATTGGCTTCCAGTCTTTATTTAAGAAAAAAAGGAGGCCGGGCGAGGTGGCTCACACCTGTAATCCCAGCACTTTGGGAGGCCAAGGCAGGAGGATCACAAGGTCAGGAGTTTGAGACCAGCCTGGCCAATATGGTGACACCCCGTCTCTACTAAAAATACAAACATTAGCCGGGCGTGGTGGTGCACACCTATAATCCCGGCTACTTGGGAGGCTGAGGCAGAAGAATCACTTGAACCTGGTAGGCGGAGGTTGCAGTGAGCCAACATCATGCCACTGCACTCCAGCCTGGGTGACAGAGTGAGACTCCATCTCAAAGAAAAGAAAAAAAAGGATGCTATATTCTCATCGTTACAGGTTTTTCTGAGAACAACGGGTAGAGCATTTTATTGGAATATAGCATTCCTGTGGGGAGAAAAGGTTTGTAGGAACTAAATCATGCAGATTTTTAAGTGTCCAATCCAATCTGTCGTGTGAGAGGTTATATAATTTATCCATTCCACAAATATGTAACAAGGGCACACTATCAAAAGAATGATCTGGGAAAGAAGGAGACAGACTGGGTTGAAATTTTATCTTGGATAACTGGAAGGATAGGGAAGACAATAACAGAAATATTAAATTGAAAAAGTAAAGAAAATTAGCTGCCAAAAAAATTTTGATGAGGAAAGGAGATGGCTTAGGAAGAACCTTGAAATACTGACATATTTAATAGTTTGATAGAGAAGAAGGAGCCTGCAAGGGCAACACAGATGGAAGAGAGAGATAGGTATGAGGAAAATAGAGGAATTGTGGAAGATAAGGAAAGAGAATAATTCAAAAGGCAAGAAGATGCCAACATTGTCCAATGCTGCTGAGAGACCCAGTGAGATGAAAGGCAAAGAAATATTCATTCAGGTTGCAGGTATCAAAATGTACTTATATGAGGAGATAAACAATCAGTCTTTAAGAGGGAAGCTAATACAATTATAAATATAAAGAAATAAAGTGGAAATATATAAAGAAAAAAGATACAGTTTTATTGGGAAAGTAAATCATTGATTAATTTTATAAAGGGTAGGTATGAGCTTGTAATTTCTATACTACACAGCCTTTAGTAGAAATGAGAAAATGAAGATAAAGAAACTCAACAAAAAACAACTTGAGTGACCAGGATCATGTTATTCAGTCATATTTTGTGTGTTCGAAAAGAGGGGGTGCAACATTTCAAATTAGATAAAAAAGGTGACCCTGGAGAATCCATATAGAGAGAATCTTGCTTTCTCTATGGTTAAGGGATTATCTATCATGCATCAGATGCCTTTTTGGGTATTTTATACATGACTCCATTCAATGCTTACAATGATAGCTAACACATACTACTATGGGGTAGGCATGTTTCTATGGGCATTATGTGTAACACCTCACTGATAACTTCCATAATGTTGGTAATACTATTCCCTTTTTTAAAATGAGAATAATGAAAGCATTCAGTACGATTAGGTAGTTTGCTGAGAGTCACAAACTAATAAACAGCACATCTGGATTCAAATCCCACTGAGTTCAAAGTCCATGTTACTTTCATTGCATTTATTACTTGGCTCAAAAGAGGAAGAGAAGTGAAACAGAACAAGGAAGTGAAATCAGAGATGCATGTCAAAATGTTTAAATTTAATTAACAAACCAGCGGCATTTTGGCTCAGATATGCCCATAAGGTGCCTTGCAAATGCCTTTGTACTAATATTGCTAAGAGGCAGTAGGTTCTGCTGAAGGCAATACTGTAAGGAAAATGAAAGAGAAAGGCTGTGACAATACAACCATGATTGTCTCCTGAATCATGGTTAACTTTCACCCTTAGAAACACTCACTGAATATAAGCTTTTTGAATAAGGAAGAACAGTTGTATGGTCAAAAGACAATGTTAGGGTCTACCTTTTCCCAGTTATAATTCATTCACATGTATGTTTTTCTGTTCTGCAGCTAATTTCTACAATGGGTACTTCACAGATCCATGGGGAAAATTCAATAAAACAATGTATATACATAGATTTTATGGAATTTAAAGTGCTATACAAATGGCATGCCTCATTATTCTCTGAACATTCAGATTCCAAAAGACTGCCCCATACACCTCAATTCCCTCTAACTTTCTTCTCAGCCTTCTCCATTCCATGTCCACTTCTCACTGTGTTCCAGAAAGGACAGACTGTATGCTCACCAATGATCCTTGTTGATTGCCAAAGGTTAAGTGGCAAAGCATTGTGGGGATACATTATAGATGTTAAAACCCAGGGAATCCAAAAGACCTAGGATTCTGTAATACTGCACTATCACATTCAATCTAAGACGCACATATCTCTGCATTCTAACAACTCTGAAATATGGATGCATCTTGTAATTAACATGATAAGAAACCATAACGTCCTGTCGATCAAATCTAGCTGACCACCTGCTTTTGTATGGCTCTAGCGCTAAGACTGGTTTGTACATTTTTTACAGTTACAAAAAAAAAAGAAAGAAAAATAGTTTTATAACATGTAAAAGTTACATGAAATTCAAATTTCCATGTCCACAATTAAAGCTTTATAGGAACACAGCCATAGCCATTTGTTTACATATTGCCTACGGTTGCTTTCTTGCTGCGATGGCAGGATTCAGCCATTATAATAGAGACCTTGTGGACCTTAAAGCCTAAAATATTTACTATCATCATTTACAGATAAGGCTTGCCGATTCTTATCATACTTCAATTGACAACACTTTATGTTTTTTAGTGGTTGTATTAGAGTTCTCCAGAGAAACAGAAGCAATATGATAGATAGATAGATAGATAGATAGATAGATAGATAGATAGATAATAGGTGGATGGGTAGATAGGTAGATGTTAGATAGAGATATCTCTATCCATCTCTATCTCTATCTCTATCTATATCTATATCTATATCTATATCTATATCTATATCTATATCTATATCTATATCTATATCTATGGCTCCTGCAATTATAGAAGTTGAGAAGTCCCAGGATCTGCCATCTGCAAACTGGAGATTCAGCAAAGCCAGTGGTATAATTGGGTGCAAGTCTGAAGGCCAGAGAACCAGGGCAGGCAATGGTATAAATCTCAGTCTGAGGACAAAAGACCCATGGCTCAACTCAAGCAGTCAGGCTTCTCTGGTACCTTTTTGAAATAATTGCATTATACAGGTGGTTGGAAAATAGTCTTCACAAACTCCTAGAACAAAATTCCAGGTTAGCAGCTGGGAATCAAATGTACATGGGGCAAATCTCTCAGATATTTTAGAGCCTAAATGGTGATAGTGGGGCACTGAGAGAAAAAAATATATATTTCTTATGAAAGAAATAAATCTGGCATGAGAAACTTATTTATGCAGTGGATCCTGGAGTTTGGGGAAGAGTATAAATTACAAGATTAGTACATCTACTTAACACATACCAACACAAGCTAGTTTCTCCTAGTTTAGCAAAAGACCTAAAAATATGCTATTAATAAAAGAATTTTCTCATTAAATGAGGACTTAAGCCACCCTGCTTTTGGACACCACTCTTTGAGGATAGCTGCAGGGGCAGAAAGTATTTGCCGTTATTGATTGCAAAAATAGGAGAGCAGTCATGACCTCGTGATGGACAGCTCAGAGGCTGGGCAGGACTCCTCATAGTTTAGCTCTTTATGTTTGGTTTCATTTTCTCAACTTTCTCTCCTCAAGCACTTCTCGAGGAGTCTTGGCATCCAAGTACTTCTCCCCTCTGGCTCAGATTAGGAAAATCTCATGGAAAGCCTCTGATTGCCTGGTTTAGGTCACGTTCTCACTTCCTGGACCAATCTGCAGGTTAGTAGGTGAGGTTCTACGTGACTGACTCTGCAGAGGTGCATACTTACTCTTAAACCAGTCACTGTTGCTAACCAGGCAGGTTGGGCAGAGGAACTTCCATCTGGCTCTCATGCTTGTGAAATGGAGAGCAGCTGAGGAAGAAAGAATGAAGCTCCTAAAAAGGGAAGGAAGCACAGACATAGCCGTGGGGGAGATCTGAGTCAGCCAGCCTCCCTTGTTCCTGTGTCCTGCCCTAGGTCTGATGTCAAGGCCCTCCAGCGTTCATGTCCACAACACAATATTTCAAGAATACATGAAACAACTTCATCAATGACATCATGGTAAAAATGGTAACTGTGAAATACCTACTGTATTTAATGGTCGGGATCACTGACCATTAAAAAAGTATTTTTCACTAATGTAAATTTATAAATCACAGAAAAAAGATTTAATAGAAAACATAATTTGTTATTATTTGATTGTTGCTCATGACTCAGATTCTTTGATGTCCACCATGTTCTTTAGTAGTCTACAATTTCTATTCATGAGACTTAAGGACTCTGCCTTGAATAAAGAGCAGATCACTTTAGTAGGTGACACAAAGAAAAATGAAATGTCTTAGGATCAGGCAGAGAAAGCTCAGGAGTGCCCCAGCTCTGTATGTGTGAAGGAGACTTGATATTTGGCATATCTGGCACAGTTTAGAGGAGTCTCTTTGGAGTTCGAGTTTCTGGCTGTATTAGTCTGTTCTCATGCTGCTGATAGACATTCCAGAGACTGGGTAATTTATAAAGAAAAAGAGGTTTAATGGACTCACAGTTCCTCATGGCTGAGAAGGCCTCACAATCATAGAAGAAGGTGAAAGTCACATCTTACATGGCGGCAGACAAGGGAGAATGAGAACCAAGTGAAAGGGGAAATAAAATCATCAGATCTCATGAGACTTATTCACTACCATGAGAACAGTATGGGGAAAACTGCCCCCATGATTCAATTACCTCCCACCAAGTCCCTCTCACAACACATGGGAATTATGGGAGCTACAATTCAAGATGAGATTTGGGTATGGACACAGCCAAACCATATCACTGGCCAAAGAGCAACTTATCCCAATATTCCCTTCCTCCTTGTGCACTTAGAAAGGATGTTGTCCCAATGTATCTACATTTTAAACAAGACTCATTTCTTAACTGCTCAGAGAAAATTTTTTTCCTTTCTTATTTTCTTCTATAGTTCTCTAATTTCTTCTTAACATATTTTCCTCTAATTCTCTTTATTTTTAATTTCAATGCCTTAATTTTTTTCCTACTTAGTGATTAATTCCTACTAATCCTTAGTTTTATCTATTTTTATATTGAAATTTTATCTGATGGGTTTAAGTATTTTATCTTATTCTTTAATCTTCTATAGTTTTATAATTTTAATGATCCACTTTTTATCTTTTAAATCTCATTTGTTTAATCTTACTTTCAAACTCAACATTTTGTTCTACTGGAATTTTAATTCTCTTATACGTACTTTTACTTTATTCTTGTTTTTTCAATCTAAATTTTTATGTTAAATTTTTTCTCTAAACCTCTATTGCCTTGACTTTTCTTTTCCCTTTCCTCTTTCTTTTTAAGTTTTAAAAATTATGATTGACAAAAGGAGTGTGAAAGTGGTGAAAATGAGAATGATGATGGAACTGTTAATAATAGTAGCAGAGGAGAGAGGTAGAAGCCCTTCTTTCTCTCCATGGCTCTTAGGGCCTCTGTGTTTGCCCCCAGATGAATTCCTAATTTCTTCTGCTCCACAAAAACCCTCACCTTAGGAAATTTGGGAAAATCTTTAATCAACACCCCCAAGATGACTATTTTCTCTACACAGGAAGAACAACTCATTTATTGAGATGTTTTCACTTCTTGAGACCTCACACTATGTTGGTTTTGGCAGTTTGTAGGCTTTGCAGACAGGAGAGAATGGCCAGGGAGGCACCTTTCCTGAGGGGCATCCACTAGGCGATAATGCTGGCCTAAGCTCCTTACAGTTGACCAGCACGGAGAGTTCCTATCACTAGACCCAAAAAGACACGCAGCGGATAATCCACAGCTGGGTTTCTGACTCTACTTGAACAACAGTCTGCCCTTAGAAATAGTAGTGTTTACCTCATAGACTTTCATAAGTATTCAATGAGTTGATGTTCATAAAACCCTTAGAACTATGCATGGCATACAGTAACTGCTATATGCTAATTCAATTTAAAATTTCTAAGTTGATTCCTCACACTTATTGGTGTCACAGAAGAATCCTCTTGCAGTTCAGTGAACCCTAGTCCCATTTCCTCACTGGGAGAGCAAAGAAAAAGCTAATGAAAGTGAGATTTAATCAAAAGAGGTTTGTTGTTGTTATTTATTTTACTTTTGTTATGGAATCATCTGGCATCTCTGGAAAACCTTCATAGATGCCAGAGACCATATTATTCAAATCAGAAAGTTGTCTGTTTTCCATCTTCTCTTGAGCATAAGAAAGTAATAGAGATTGGTTTCTTTCAGGATCTTTCCACCTTCTTAAGGGACAGATAATTGGGGAAAGTTAGAAAGAACTAATGACCCATTGTATCTACTGCATAGGGATGGTAATCTGTAAGATGGAGCTGATTATATTCCTACTTCAAGAAATTTTCTCTCATCAGAGCTCCATCCTTGCAATGCTCCATGTAGAAGAATTTCCCTCCTTATGACGGCCCTTGTCACATTATTAATGCATGTCCTCCTGCTCAGCCTTTAGGAATTGATACCTCTACCTTTTTCTGCATTAAAGACTGGACCCTTGGGTCTTCTTCAACAATTGCCCAACACTCTTAGGCAACAAATAATCCTTCCTTCGTTGACTCACCAATAAACTCCACCTCAACGCATTTTCCCATTTCCAGAAGGGCCTATCTTGTGTACATGAATTGTCAGGTCTAGGTGAGCCTTCTCCAATTAGGATAGTGGTTTTTAACTGATGATAATTTACCTAGGAATGTTGACAATTATATTTCCTTAGATTTACTAAATTTGCCTGGAGTTTTTCTTTCAAAAGCAAACTGAGCTTAAAAAAATCTTTTTTGTTTCAATAACTTTAAGGGTACAAATGGTTTTTGGTTACATGGATGAATCATATAGTGGTACAGTCTGGGCTTTTAGAGTACCCATTACCCAAAGAGTGGACATTGTGCCCAACAGGCAATTTTTCATCTCTCACCCTCCTTCCCACTCTCCCACCTTCTGAGTCTCCAATGTCCAATGTCCGTTATTACCACTCTGTACGCCCTTACATACCCATATCTTAGTTCTCACTTGTAAGCAAGAACATGTGGTATTTGGTTTTTCATTCCTTAGTTACTTCACTTAGGATAACAGTCTCTAGTTCCATCCAACTTGCTGCAAAAGACACTATTTCATTCTTTTTTATGGATGAGTAGTATTCCATCGTGTGTGTATATACACACACACACACATATAGGTATATATATATACACACACATATGTGTATATATATACACACATATATTATATATATACACATATATGTGTATATACATACACACACACACACACACATTTTCTTTATCCATTCATTGGTTGGGCACTTCGGTTGATTCCATATCTTTGTAATTGTGAATTGTGCTAAAAGCAAATTGTTTTGTTATTTTCATTTTGTTTTTCTCATCTCAGATCTCATAGACTTCTGTATTGTGGAAAACTATTTCTTTGACAGAAGATTAAATTTTAAAATATCCATCAAGTGATATCCACGGTTTTTAGACCATTTATTTTTCTGGTGTTTTTTTAAATACAATACTTACGTTTATTTTGGTACATACATTTCCTAATCAGGGCTCACTCTGTGTGGACATTGGGTTGCTGTTTGACATTCATTTATCCAACTGATCTATGACAAATTTAGTCATTCTTGGATGTAAACACCAAAATTTCTGGTGGCTCACATGCTGAACTACCAGGGTCATTGGAAAGTAGATGGATTGCTTATTCATGGATCACCTTTTAAAGGCCATTATATTTATGAAAATTTTTTTAAACTGCTAAAATTATTCATGAAGTGAATACTGATGGTGCTGAGTGGTAACACACGGAATGAAACACATGAAATGAAACCAGAGAGTATTTGACCCACATACATAGCCTTGGTGTGAGGTTCATAGATAATACTCACAGAGAGTCTCTGTGAGCTGATCATCATCTCTCAGATTGCTATTCTGAACATGGTAAAATGTAATCATTTCCCTACTGTAGTCCCTGGAAGGGCTTTTATGCAGTGTGCCTGCCATCCTGACTGGATTGGGGGAAGCAGTGAGACTCAAACATGAAAACTTTACAGATGAGCAGTTGATCTCCCAGTAATATTTAAAATTATGCATGGGTACCATAAGAGATTTCTTCTCCTATTAATGAATATCTAACAACTTAAACTGTTTATATCCTACTAACAGAGATGATAAAATATTTTTTCCCTTCTGATATATTCACAAGGAAGCAACTGTCTTTGATTAAGAAAATATTTCAGGCCAGGCACGGTGGCTCACACCTGTAATCCCAGCACTTTGGGAGGCCGAGGCAGGTGAATCACTTGAGGTCAGGAGTTTGAGACCAGCCTGGCCAACATGGCAAAACCCCTTCTCTATAAAAAATAGAAAAATTAGCCAGGAATGGTGGCATGCGCCTGTAATCCCAGTTACTCAGGAGCCTAAGGCAGAAGAATCGTTTGAACCAGGGAGGCGGAGTTTGCAGTGAGCTGAGATTGCGCCACTGCACTCCACCCTGAGCAACAGAGCAAGACCTTGTCTCAAAAAAAAAAAAAAAAGAAAGAAAGAAAGAAAATATTTTAACACAGTAGTTAGGGTATCACTTAGGAAACTTGAAAACCTGGGTTCAAAAGTCAATGCATCACATTAAGAGAAAATTGAGAGGACTTTATTTTTATTTCTGAAAAGTGACGGAAGAGAAGAGATAGAAAAAATTTGGGGAGATTAGAGCCTGTCACAGAGGAGGCAGCCAGGGAAAACCTCTGAGGATATATGGTAGCTTGGTGCAAATATCTGCTATAATTTCATCTCCATGAGAGCAGGGATGTTTGTCAGTTTTTTTCACTGATAACTCCCAAGCACCATGAGCTGTGCCCGGCACAATGTAAGGATTTAATGTTTTTTATAGAAAAGAGTGAATGAATGAATGAATGAATACACGAGTAGAAATTTTTAGTGTTCAATTTGAAATAGCTTGATCTTGGAATGTAAACTCTCAAAAAAACATTGGCCAACTTGACTATTTCCAAAGTTCTTTGTGAGTTGGTGAATGTTCTGAGAAAACTGCGGCTGAATTTCACATCTGGTAAAATCATGCCAAACAGACAGCACGTGTGAGAGAACATGATGATCCCTCACCCAACCTAATCCAGCGAAGGCAGATAAAGCCCCAGTACATGTGCAGGGATAATTGCGATATTTTTGGACTTCCATGGGGGCATAGAATGGGCTTCAAGCTGATTTTCTCTAAATACTACATGACCTGAAGTTTCCACCTAATGTCCAGGTTTTGTCCATTCATGTACCACCACATGTAAGAATTTGCCTGCATGTACTAGATCAGGACTGTAAGGAACAACAGAATAACACACACACACACACACACACACACACACACACACACACACACACCAATTTAGAAAACCCTCTCATAATATTAGTATAGTACTAAAGGAAAGGTTTAGAAGTTGATTACCCCAGGAAAGCATTGTGTTTAAGCTATACCAATCCAATGAGAATATACTGTGTCTTTCAAAAATCTTATTACAAAAGAGGCTGGGGGCTGAAAAATGAGATCGGAGGTGACAGATGAAGTGGGAGTAGCAGAGGGGAGCACCATCTCACATCTGGTTGCAGCTCTAAAGCCGTGGCTCAGACTGACCCTTTGCTCACCTGTGTTGATGCTGCCACACACGTAGGCAGCACTATGCCACGGGCACTATGTTTGCCCATGGGCTGCTGTCCATGCTGTTGCAAAATACCCCTGTTCCCATAAACTCTGCCCAGACCATGCATCACTGCCTTATTTGTGGCACTAATTCACCCATGACCTCCAACCTCTTTCAGGATTTAGAGCACCAAGTCCCTCTGCTGCCACTGCCCATTGTTCCTCTTAGTTTTTCTCATTGTCTCTGATGTTCACCCCTCCAGATGGTGGGGAGATGTACTGTTCTTAGGTTTGCACTTTAGCAGAGGCACCACTAGATTGAGGGGCTCTTGAGCCCTAATAATACTGTTTTTATCTTCCACTCAGCAAACTGGATTGAAGTCTAATTTTACAAAGCTTTGATGTTTTCTCTAGCCCTTTCTTTCCCATAACATGCAAAACTTTCTTCCCAAGGCACACAGATAAGGGAAACTGAGGCTATTTGTTTCCCTTTATACACAATTTATTTGTGAAGAGAGTATTTGCCAAACATAATTCACAGAAAACACAAACTGTACTTCATCCCAGGTTTCATCTCATTTTTATATCCTTACTTTCCTTGGGTCTTTTTCCCTAAAAACTTACTTTCCATTTATGTTATCTAGCTGTATTGAATATATTTGTACATGTTCTTCAGTTATTTCTAGAACAAGATGAAGTAAAATTAAGCAAGCATACTACGTACAGGTAGACACTCATGCCAAATGTGGCAAGACTTTTCACCGAGTCACTAGGGAACTTGAGAGCACCATCGTTGTTCCCATTGTACCACAGGTTCATCATACGATCTTGGCTGACTCTCTTCCCCCTCTGTTTTCATTTACTTTGGCATAAAGGAGTATCATAGCAGTTAACCTATCTCTGGGGTGTGTTCAGCTTTAATGAATAAATGTGTATAATGTCTTCGGAGCACCTCACATGAGATGTGCTGTAACTGTACATTATTAGAGCTGCTATTACAGCACCACCTCGGGACCCTTAGCCTTTAAGCTAGCTCGAGACGGGAGGTCTCGGAAATAATAACAGCCATTCTCCCAGTGTGCCTTTCTCCTGAAACCTCAGAGATCTTAAAGACATTACCTTATTATTGTAAAACTCAGCACGAGACGGATGGGAATGACTCCTGAGTATTTCTTGTTTCCAGGTGGGAGACATCAGGCAACACTTTTGCACTAACACACATTTCACCTGAAATGTGAGCACTTAACCGACATTGTTCATGTAAGAGAGAACCCCTAATTCATGGTTTCTCTGCAGAGACCTGGCGCTGGGTGATGCTGCTGCGAAGAGTGGCTCTAGTGTAGTATTACTTACGCCTCTCAAGATAGTAATAAAGGAATCAAGCCACATTCATATATTAATAATCATAGTGGTGATCATATGTTTTTATCTAGCCATAATTTGCAGAAGTTTGCTTAAGAAAGCATCCAATGTTTTTGACAGTAATATCAATGGAATGCACCAGAAGCCTCTATTTGTAGTTATATGGGTTATTGATTACTTTTAAATGGCTGAAACATTGGCTCTTATTTCAAATTATGACACACTTTTCATAGATATGAAATCATTGGCTGAGAATCAGAGTGTATTTGCCTAGAACCTCATTATTTGAAGGATGAAGAGGCCATTGGCTAAAACAATTATAGTATCAGCCTGCTTAAAAGTAATTCAACTACATTTCTTAAAACTATTCTATAAATCAGACAGCCCTTTCTTACAATTAGTCTTAATTGGGAGGCAATAATTTTATGACATTCAGTCTCAGTATTATGCTGTCCTTGATGCCTATATGCCCTGATGAGTTAAACCTTTCTAATAATGCTCTTCAGGCTCTTTAGTAACAAAGTCTTTTTGAATTGAGCTCCAAATGGACCTGGTTATACTGAAGTCTTCAAGAGTATAATTACTATTATTCATGGTGCTTTCAATGTTGAACCCTTTTTACCTTAAATTTTCTCCAACATTTTTATAAGTGATTTTTAAAGTTAACTCCATAATTCCACTACGTAACACTGCCATTACATACGGAGATGATGGAGATTTCAGTGAGTTGTCTGCTCACACAAATATATATTGGAAATAGAACGAGCCCCTGGGCTCTCTGTCACTTGGTTAAACCTCGGGCATTTGGCTGACATCATTCTTTGGCATTTGCCTCTCTGCTCTCACTCTTTTACCAACGGGTAATGGAAATATGGTTTTCAGCCTCAAATTATCCAAATGTGAGGAAACTAACTCCTTATAACATTCTGCCTTTCCCATTCAAGCCCCATCAAACTCCACATGGCTCCAGCACCTCTGTTCTTCAGCTAGTGGGAAAAGAGCCCAGACAAACTCAATGTCAGACGTTTAACTTAGTCTTAGGCCATTGCCAGTCACTGATTCCTCATGCTTCATGTAAAGGCAGAAAAAGACATCAATTTACCCAGGCTAGTTTATAATGATGTATGTTATGAAAGCATTCCTCCTAGACACCTGCAGCAGGTAGCCTAGGCTTTGAAGCATGAGATTTGATTTCTCCATTTCAGCATGCAGGCATACAAATATTGTTATTGATCATAACATTATCCCATCCTTTAAAAATACAGCTACACTATTTGATTAAAGTACTTTCCACTGCCATAAATTTCAGACTGACTCCCCTTCAGTGCAGAAATTCCTTTCCACTTGGTTTTTTAGAGTGTCTGCAATTAATTTCCTTGAGCAATTCTTTAGTCCCATGTCAGTGGATGGTTTAAAAAGGAGGAACTGGCAGGTTCATTATACTGGCAGCTTAGCAGAATACTAAACTGTCACCTCTAGTAAAATACAAAGTTTTGCTGCTTTCTAACCTTCTGGAGAAAAGTACATCATCGTTTCTACTGGACAAGAGACCTGAAATTGGAGAAAAGCCTGTGGTGATACAGTCTCGGTCTCATCACTCACTCATTCATGTGCGGACATTACTCAGCTCTTCCTGAGTCCTGTCTTCTCTTCTCCCAAGGCAAAGAATCAATTCACCCAACTGGGCTACCAATTGTCTGCATTTAGCAAAAGGGCACCATCACTGTTTGGTGGGAGCCAATCCTAGTATTTGTGTTACAAATCAGTTCAAGTTCTGACTCATAGCTTTCTTAAAAGCCAAAGAAAAATATTGGGGCTGGTGTATTATAGAATGAATTTTGAGTTTTCCCAGGAATTAAACTTGATTTACCACTAACCAAAACAGAACACTGCACGCTATTTTTAACAACAGTTCTTTTATTGAAACAATTAGAACAATTTCCCAGTAATTTGAGTCCAAAGATAGGACTTTCCTGGGAATATTTTGAAAATTAGTTTTTAGCATCAATTATTAAGGATAAATTTATATATTTTCCTCTTCGCTACTTTAGATTTGGCCTTAGGAAATCCTTTGGAAGCTTGCCCTAAAAAAAAAATCACTTGGAGCCAGCAATCAATCACAATTTCAGAGTGCTTGATTACCAAAAAGACCAAGAAAGAATAACCTTTCATCACTCTTCATGTTAGCGTGTGTCAACGCTGACAGCAATTTCTACCTATGTTGTGGGTTGGTTGAAAAGATAGATTTGGTAACAATATTTTTTTCCATGTTTTGAACACAAAAAAAATGGCCTTTGATTTCTGGCCATAGACCTTATTTGATGGACTTGATATTGCTTTCAGTGAAAAAGGAGTAGTTAGTAATAATCAATGTAATTTTAAACCCCAGTGTTTTTATTTATCCCACAGATCAATACCTCTATAGGAGCACTGCTTTCCATCAAAGACACTACGGAGAAACTCTGTTCATCAGCTTAACCATATCCATTTCTCAGCACCAATGATTAAATAACTTCAGCCTGTATGAATTTGTTTGGGGTGTACTTAAAGTAGGCTAATTCTGTTCCAGTTGAATGTCCTTGATTATATGGTACTCAGACAGAAGGAGATTACAAACACTAGAAACGATTCAAATGTCTTTGTGTTAATTAAATTGCCAGAAATTTTATCATCAGGTTGTAATGATTCCAAGGCCCTGGCAGGATGTGGCTCCTTTAAAAGGAGCAACACGCTGGACCCGCAACCTCCCTTTGCTGACTTAGCAGGGCTGTAATCAGCCTGCATGCTAGAGCCCCTGGGAAATGGGCAAAGCAGCCCTTTAGTACTAAGTGGATGTACAGAGGTTTTGCAGGAAGATTTTAAAAATGCGTGCTGAATGTCAAATCTCAAACCTGCTCAAATAGGACAAGGTTTTAGAAAACCTCCTTTTTATTTCAAAGTCCAACACTGCTATTAGAACTTGGAAATGCAACTTTTCTCTTCACCTTTACAGCCTGCTAGAACTCATTTCGTGAACAATATTTTAGGAATTGTCTATTGATTCTTATCATTGTACTTTCTTTTCCACTCTTTGGAACTTGATAGGAAATGTCCCATGCATTCTTCTCTCCAGTGCGAACTTTGAAAAACCCTCTGGGAGAGTATTTTCCCCTAGCTTGGCTTTGAATGTGGGAACATTATGATACAATGTGATAATGAACAATGTGAAACTGTTGGTGCAGTGATAGCAGCCAGGTCCATTGAAAACTGCATGTTCTGAAAGAGGCTGGATGGGTTGCTATGAAATATGTCTCCCTGGAGGTTTTATTCTTGGTGAATTGTCTCTTCCAATAAGTTATCCAAAGTAAGAAACTTGGATTTTTCTCAATTGCAAGCAGCCTTCTTGCTTAGACTGTTGAACATTTTACACTGGAAATTTGAAGCCAGGTAAAACTTTCATATTTCTTTTGGAATCTGACACTACCCAGTTTACCAAGAGATTTGCCAAGATTTGACGAACCTTCCTATGAACCTCGGGAAATTTCACGCTAGTGCTGAAACCGGAAACGAGGCACATTTCACCAGGTGTCAGATTTCCTTCTGACCAGCTATCCGGGCTCTTCCCCCAGGTTGTATTAATTATTTCCTGCCTCAAGATGCAAGAGAAAGATTAACTGGCCTCACACACTACCAAATAAAATATTTCTATGGAAAAAGGATTCCTACCAAATACGTATCGGAAGAAGATGACTTCATGATATCACATCATTTTTATCTGGACTCGTTTAACCAGTGGCTTTGTTACAACACGGATAGTGTTCTGTGAAAATGGAAGCACAAATGGGGATTAAAAGTATATTATGACGGTCTAATAATGATAATAACAAGACCTGCAGTAATAGCTTCAGAAGGAAAAGAAGGAAGGAGTGAAGAACTTTTGAAGATGTTCTTAGTAAATTTACCAGTGAATTCAGTGACCCAATAGAGTTGTTGATGTGGAAGAGGAATGCAAAAACAAGCGTGCAACTTATAAAATTTTACAATATTAGTACACCTAGGCAAGCCATTTTGTAATTCTTTCCTTCTTTTCAAATGAATGAGATTTTTATGTGATATTTATTTCTTAGATGTTTGTGGAAACCAGGCTTCCTCAGCCTCGGCATTATTGGCATTTTGGGCTGGATGATTCTTTGTTGTGGAGGCTCTGTCCCGAGCATTGCAGGGTGTTTAGCAGCATCGCTGCCCTCTATTCACTAGATACCAGAAGCATCGCCTCCGCCACAAGTCATGGCAGTCAATACCCATCTCCAGACATTGCCAAATGTCCCCTGTGAGGCAAAATTGTCCCGGTTAGAACCATTTGTTTAAATCTTGTGTGCCCTATGTCTCCAAATGTTCCAAATTCTGCGATTTATGTGTCAGTTTTGTTTGTCGTTTGTTTGTTGTCCCATGCATTCAGAGTACTTTATATATATCAAGACTATAATTGCTCAACGTTTCCAAGGAACATCTAGAAACAATGATAGAATCTATGAGTTTGAAGAGACCTTAGGAAAAGAGGATCATAACAACAGTAGCAGCAGTAGCAACAAACTAAATTCTGAAGTTCAAACCTATCAATGAGGAAACAAAAAATGCCCTAAAAAGAAAGTACAAATATCAACAATCTCTTGAAATTTCTGAAGGGCCAGCATGTGAAAATGATCGCTAGCTTTTTCAGCAAACTACTATGGTTGTGTTGTCCAGTACAATAGTCACTAGCCTATTGTATTTTGTGATTATTTACATTGTATTATGTTGTGATTATTTAGGTTGTATTGTGTGACTATTCATATTTAAATTTAAATTAAGTAAAATTAAATAAAATGAAAATTTCCGTTCCTCAAGTCACTAGTGCTCAAAGCCATATGCAGCTAGTGACTGCCCTATCAGATGGTGCAGATAAAGAATATTTCCATCAGGGGGAAAAAGTTCTGGCCAATGCTGCTGAGAGTGGAGATGTAACAGGTGGAAATTCCAGTAAGATAAGTTTCAATTTAATATATATTTTTTAAAAAACATTTAAAAATTAGAGCTTTGCAACAGTTATTCTCTTCAATAAGGTTTGAGTAGATACCAAGGAAGAATTCTTGCTGAGTAGACTGCTGCAATGGATGAACTAAATCCTCTAGCCCAGACTCAAAGGGCCTGGTACAAGTTTTTATAATGTTTTAATGTAATAAAATTTTCATAATTTCTAAATACAACCCCATGAAATTGAAAGAAACATTCATATTTTAAAATTGAGACATTTCAAATATTACATATCTTCTCGATTAAGACAATATTTACAAAATGAAGACTGCTTATTTAAAATTTTCCCCTGTGCTAAGACCTGTTCATACCTTATCTGCCTTCCAAAAGAAAGTATATATTATTATGCCAATATTCTCAAGTGAATTCCAGCCACTTATAAAATATGAACCTTGGTTGTATGCCATTTCAGTTCATACGATATCCAAACTCAAGATTTAGTTCTGTATTAGGGGAAATGAAAAACAAGGACTCAGGATGCTCAGGGCATGAGAGGGTCATCAGAGTGAAAGTCAAATGCTACACCAGCTTGACAGGGAAGATATTGCTCTTATATGTAGCAAAACAACTTCCGGTTAAAGAAAGAAGTCCTCTGGAAGGCATTTGAAATTCAGGTGATAATTGAGGCTAAATTATCCTCTAAAACTACTCCCAAAAACAAAACAAAAATGCTACATATACAGTTGACCCTTGAAAAACATGCATTTGAACTACCTGGGTCCACTTCCACATGGATTTTTTTTTCAATAAATATATTGGGAAAAATTTTGGAGATTTGTGTAAATTTGAAAAAACTTGTAGGTGAACCATGTGCCTATCCTAGAAATATCCAAGAAATTAAGAAAAAGTATATCAGGAATGCATAAAATATATGCAGATACTAGTGTATTTTATCATTCACTGCCATAAAATATACACAAATCTGTTATAAAAAGTTAAAATTTATCAAAACACACACACAGACAATACAGGGTGTCATTCAAAGTTGCGAGAAATATAAACAAACATAAAGATGCAAAATTAAATCATAACTGCATAAAATTAATTGTAGTACAAACTGTACTACTGTAATAATTTCATAGCCATCCCCTATTGCTATTGCAGTGAGCTCATGTGAGTATCTGCTTAAAACACCATGTGATGCTAATGATCCCCACGTGAGCAGTTCCAATTCCATATTGCGGTAAAAAGTGATCTCTTGAAGTTCTCGCATATTTTCCATCATGTTTAGTACAATAGTGTCAGCTTTGAATAACACCATGGGATCCATAGGAAGCGCCAACAGTGAGGCTGGAAGTGCCCATAAGAAGCAGATTAAAAGTCATGACATTGCAAAAAAGAGCTGAATTGGTTAACATGTGTGGACTGTAGATTGAGGTCTGTAGCTGCAGTTACTGCCATCTTAGACGATTCATCTTGTAAACAGACAATGTAAACTTATAGTATGGAATACAGTACTGTAAATATATTTTCTCTTCCTCATGATTTCTTAATAACATTTTCTTTCTCTAGCTTATTTTATTGAAGGAATACAGTATAGAATACTCATACAAAATACGTGTTACTCAACTGTGTTATCAGTAAGGCATTCTGGTCAGTTAAGTTTTGTGAGTTAAAAGTTTTATGTGGGTTTCTGACCGCATGAGAGGTTGGTACTCCTGACTCCCAAGTTGTTCAAGAATCAATGTACTACTCTCTTTATTTATGATCTTTTTTTCCCAAAATACAAAGTCAATTCATAAAGCATGCACACATGCACATGCACAGTTTACAAATCTAATTCACTGAATTCCAGAGAACCAACTGGTACTTATTGAGGATTTTATTTTGTTTTTATGATTTTTATTTATTTTACTTTGTACTACTGGTAAGGCAAAAAGAAGACACAATTCCTGTCCTCTAGGAAGCTTAGTGGTTTAGGTGTATTGTAGTCACACACAAATACAATGAGAGAATATTTGTAGGTAATACAAACACACAGGGCAATTAGAGTTGACGCAGTAAAGAGATTGCTACAACTACAGCAGTCCATGGAGGCTTCGTGGAGGGCATGAGAGGAGTAGGGCTTAGAAGCATGGATGAAGAAGTGAAAACCAAACTCTGGATGAAAAGCAGAATGTGCAAAAGCAAAGCAATATCCCAATGCAAGCAAAGACGAGAGCTGCAAATCTGGACTAGGATAGGGAAATGACAGTTGAAAAATGGAGCAGGGTCCGCTAGTGTGTGGCCTTAAAAGCTAGGTAGAGGATCATACACCTGATGTGTTAGGAAACAGGAGGTCTTTACACTCTTGTTTAATTAAGTGGTACAATGAAATAGAACCTAGGAATGTCACTGGGCATAGACCATAGAGTTAACTTGAGGATGGGTGGAGGAGAGTGACTACTAAAGGGTGCCTAGTCATAAGGCTATTACAGGGAATCGAGTCATGACAAAATGAGTGCTGGGATTTATTTGTGGATGATGGCAAAGGCTGAGGAGGATCATTCTAGTAATGAAGAATATTAAATATTGGTATGGATTAGAGTCAGGAGCTTGACATATCTTCTGGCTAAATTCACATATAGGCTTCTCTAAAAAGAGGATAGTAGGCTGCCCGTTTCTCAAAGAATCTTTCAGCCCCATGGTGTTCTGATCCTTAGCAAAGGAGAATCAGAGAGGAATTAGGTTCTTTCTTTTCTCTGTCTTTATTCTGCAATTCCTTGCTGAGCTGCTGGCAGCCTGGAGCAGATCACATACTTTCTCTGTGCCTCAGTTTTAGCATCTATAAAATATAAATTGGTTTGTTACCCATCTCACAGCAATGCTGCTGAGCTTGTGAAATATTGGACCCTAGGAAATATTAGACATTGGGAGAAAAAAAACTTGTCATAAATAGGAGACAGAGACCACCTAAAATTAGTACAGACTTTTACCTTTGAGAGCTGCGCATTTCTTATCCTGCAGGTACCCAGAATTCATCAGGGACAAATATATTCATGCACACAAACTCTGAACAGTAGAGAATATTAAAATCCACATATCTTCTAGTGTTCCAGGATTGCAATGATGCGTTATAAATGTGAACCTCAAAAAATATATGGTCAAGGTAATTTTTCTATGTATTTAGTACTCTAGAAAGGAATATGTGAAATGAATGTTAAGACAAAATGACAGATATTCATGAGCAGTTGTTAGAAAGTGAGAAGAAGTAAATCATTTCTTTATAACCAACACCACTGAAAACCAATTACCATCTGCTGGCCATCAAGCACAACACTCCCAACCTAGGAGAGGACTACTGTATTAGTGTATGGCACTAAGAGGCCACACAGGAAATATTATACTCATGGTTGGAAGATACTAATGTCAAATAAGAAAATTTCTCAGAGGACATCTAGTTCAACCCCTTCACTTTAAGTGGGGGAGAATCTGATGGACTGGATGATTAAGTGGCAAGTCCAAGGTCCCAGGGTAATTAGTATGAGGGGCAGAGTGGATTCCTCAGTCCAGGGACACACTGCTCACTTTTTGTGGGTCAGAATTGGCCTGGGTGCCATATTGAGCAATCATGGACGTGCCATTCCTGAAAGTGATATGATTTCTCCCTCTGAGGTTCCAACCTTGCCAGAAGACCAAAGCTGAACAGTGGCAGCAAAGGGATGGAAAAGTAAGAGTAAGACAAAGATATGAAACATTCAGATTATAGGTCTCCTCAGAGGAGGTCTGGTTATCTCTACTGCTTGTCCTCATTACAAATATCTAGTCCTAGCGGCCTGCAGGAAGGAAAAGGAGGAGTTACATCATAACTTGTATTAGAGATAAAATATCTGCTAGAGCAAAACATAAAGAAACTTAACAGGGAAATTTCCCTTTTTGGTGTATTAGAAAATATGAAGGATTGCTACTGAGAAGTCAGAAATAGGGACCAAAAAAATGAAATGAATGGAGCAAACTTAGTATCAAGACTTTGGAGAGTAGAATGTTGTGACAAAGAGGAGAAGAGAAACTGTATCATTGGATTCACATGTTGGGCATGAGAAGGAACCTTTCAAATAAGGTGAATCAAGATCTTCTGAAAAAAATAAATTGCTGGCTTCACAGAATACTAAGAAAGGTTCACAAGTTTTGGATACCCTTGAAGTGAGATAAGGGGCGTCCATCGTCTAACAGAGATTGTAACTCTCGGGAAGGGAGGTCTGAGCTTCTCACGTGTTGACTTGGCATGACAGGAGTGTAGCAGCACAGCAGTTTGCAGTCTCTGAAGGAGAATTTGCTTATGTTTCCTGAACCAACCAACTCTGCCACTTTTGCTTGTTCACTTGAACCAATAATTAGAGAGACAAATAATAAAGAAAAAAATTGAAAGAGACAGAATCTCTACCTGGGAATTTTGATTCCCTGAGAAGGATTAAGAACATCCAGACACATGTACTATCTGAAAATTTTCTTTGAATTTATTCTCATGGCATAGTAAGAAAAAGTATTTAGAGGTTGTTGAATAACCACTCTTTTATTCAGAGGCATATCACCTAGTATATAAAATATAGTCAAAGGGTGCTTGGGGGAGTGTTATTGATATGCTTATTTATAGATTTGACAACATGATCAAAAAAGTATTAACTTGAAATTTGAAAAACAGAGATAACTACTCAGATAAATTGATAAAGATGGAAATTATCAAGAGCAGCAGATAACACATATGAAAAGTATTAATTCAAGAGAAAAGTGACAGGGAATAACATTAAGCAATATTAAACCTTGGATTCTTCTATTCTAATGTACAGAAAATGCTACGGTAAAGCAGGCTTCAAATTTTTATGAAAGAGACTACCTAAACCTTGTGTACTAATAAAATTTTAAACATAGCAATGAACATTGTGTTTACAAAATGAGACTTATCAGAAGTGGTAAGAGTATGGTACAGTAGAAGGAGACACGCAGTTGTACAAAATTTCATTAGCTACCAAGGTAAACTGGAGAAAAGGCCATTTAGGTGAAAATTTTAAAGAGAGAGAGGGAAAGAAAGAATATAACAGTGTGAGGATGCTTTTGATGTGGAATGACTACTTGTCCTTGGCTGTCTTAAATCTCATCTTAAATATTTTTTCCAAGTGTAATTGCTAATAGTATATCTTTCAGTCTCATAAGTGTCCTCGTTTGAATAAAAAGCATGTGGTGTTCCTAGCTAATGGTAAATATAGACTGTAAATTTAGATTACATTTGTAAATGCATAGTATGCTGATTTTTGAAAAAAGTGCTGTTCAAACCTAGTTTTTATACATTTTTAAAAAGACTAACAAACTAGAGTAACCCATGCTAGTAAGGAGCTGTGAATTACATCAGAAGAAAATCCATTTAAGAAGTAAAACAAGAAAAGACTTCAGTCTAGCATGACATTATCTTTATTCTTTTAATAAGACTTTCAAGAAATGATGATTCAGCTTCATCTTAAACATTGTAGTAGGGAGATCTTTGATTAATGGATACAATTTATGGAAAGGCAGATTTCAATGAATTGTAAACAAGTTCTTTCTAGTAGTTAGAGCTGTTGTTAAAAGGGATGAACTACTTTGACAACTTATGACAGCTCAATTGGAGGCTGGATTTCTGCCAGTCATGGATGATACAGAAGGAAATCTCGTTTTCCTGGAAGTCTGGATTAAGTACTCTCAAGATTTTATGTATCCACAACTTAAGTCTTCAGCAAATGAATAGCGTGCCTGTTCTTTGAGCTTTCTGTATCACAACAAATGCACATGGCCAATATCCACTTAGAGATATAGACTCATAAATAAATAATATTTATTGTTTATAAATTTGTAAGCAAATAATATTTATTAAGCACCCACTTTATACCAGAGTCTTACACATATAGCACTATTTTTAATCTTCATAATAAGCACGGGAAAGTCACTGTTAACCCTTCCTAACAGATAAGGAAGATGAGGTTCCAAAGGCTTTTGATGTCACCAAAGTTACTCAGTTAAAAACTGGGAGAACTGGAATTCCAGTAAATATACTGTGAAATCAGTCTATTCAAGTCAACTTTCACTTTGTGCTCCTAACACCCTAGCAGTGTACCCTCCTGGGAGAAGTGCTGAAATGCTGTTTTTTTTTTTCATTTTTCTGTATTTCCCTTAAAATTTCTACAGCTTAGCTGTGTGCTGCAGAAAATTAAGTATCAAGTGATATCAGAGGAATGTGCTCTAGAGTGTCTTCCTCTCCCACTCTGTGTGTGTGACCTCTTTTGGTGATCCAACACCTTTCTCACTCCTACAACTAAAATTAAAGCAGTGGAAAGTGTTTGCCTCAATGTACACGTTCTCTTAAAGAAACACAAGTGGGCTTAAAGTCAATAGATTAACAAGGGAACACAGATAGTGTTTCTTATCTGGTGGGCAGAGTGATGGTACTAGCACTGGCATTTGGGGAATAAGAGAAAAAGAAGTTTTGGGGTTATATGACAGAGAACAGGAATATTGTGTGAGATGAGAGAAAAACCAGGGGGTGGATGAATGAAGCAAGGGAAGTATTTGAAAGTCACATTCAGGGCTGGGCGCGGTGACTCACGCCTGTAATCCCAGCACTCTGGGAGGCCGAGATGGGCGGATCACGAGGTCAGGAGATCGAGACCACCCCCTGGCCAACACAGTGAAACCCCGTCTCTACTAAAAATACAAAAAAATTGCCGGTCGTGCTGGCGGGCACCCTTAGTCCCAGCTACTAGGGAGGCCGAGGCAGGAGAATGGCCTGAACCTGGGAGGCGGAGCTTGCAGTGAGCAGAGGTCGCACCACTGCACTCCAGCCTGGGCAACAGGGCGAGACTCCATCTCAGAAAAAAAAAAAGAAAGTCACATTCAGGCTAATCGTAATCCAGAGAACATCAGTGCTATGATTAAGAAATCATTTGCCCTAGAATCACTGCAAAATAATAAATAATATCACACTTCATAGGTATGCAGCATTTCTGCTTTATGGAACATGTTCACTTGTATTATCTCATTGGATTGTCATGATATTTATGGAAAATATACATAATTGTCTCCCATTTTACCAAAGAGGAAACTAGGCTCCAGGGACATGAATGACTCACCAATGTCCATAAATCAGGAGCAGTCCAGTAATGTTTTTCCACTACATTCCTTTTATTCCACAAATATAGTATCTGCTCCTTTGAAGAGCACTTCTTCTGCCTGATATGAAATTGCATATAAAAATAAGAGTTTTCATTCTTTACAGAAATTCTAAGCCCAAACTTGTTTATAAAAGGACTTGGGTGTCATCTCTGTTTTTATACTGTACATAATTTTTAAGTTGATGTTTCTTTTTTCTTTGTATGATTATTCACAATGAATAATTCCATTTGGTGATTTCAGATTAAAATCTTAAGGACTCTATAATGAAAAAAAATCAAAAAGAAGTGGAAGATTATCTTTCATTCAGGCTCGTGACCCACTCATTCCAAGGTGATCTATCTCTGGGCTGCCAAGCCAATCTTGGCCGGCTTTTATTTTTATTATTGAACCAGGTCATCTGAAGTATTCCACACCAGGGATCAAAGAAAGTCACACTTTTTTTTTGTCAAGATGAGCTTTATGGAGCAAACCGGCCATTGAACTGCTTTTATGACCAAGAAATCGTTTGTCTGCCAGGCAGTGTGATTTGCTGAGTTGAGCCATATGATTTCCAGTAATATTTTCTTTTCAAGATTTTCTTTTAGTCCTGAAACATCTTGTAAATATCAACACAGGTAGCAATATACACAGCAATATAGCACTATATTTAATCTTCATAATAAGCAGGGGAAAGTCACTGTTAACCCTTCCTAACAGATAAGGAAGATGAGGTTCCAAAGGCTTTTGATGTCACCAAAGTTACTCAGTTAAAATCTGGGAGAACTGGGATTCTAATAAATATACTGTGAAATCAGTCTATTCAAATCAACTTTCATATTGTGCTCCTAACACCCTAGCAGTGTACCCTCCTGTGAGAAGTGCTGGTAGTTATTTGTACCTGTTCCTTTGCAAAGGAAAAAAAACAATTGGAGTCATTGGCCTACACATTGACTGAGACACAACACAAAGGACTTTGAGAGGGTTCAGTTACCTTTCAAAATGAGATGAATGGAGTCAAATTAGAAGGTTTTTTGGTGTATTTTGATTTTCTGAGTTTATTCTGTCACTGTTGAGCCTTCTTGAGTTCTTCATATGGAATCATTTGAGAATCAGTGGGGCTTACCAAGCCAGGTTACATAGTTAGAACTGGAGAATTGGAAGAATTAATTTGCTTTAGGAGAGATTTCAGGGTACACCAAAGATGGGGATAAGAGATGTAGCTTTATCTTGGCATAATCTTATAATGGCCTTGACACATGCATTAATGTATTACAAGCAAACACAAAAACACTCCTCTCCTTATATTGTATTGGTTCAGAGATGACGGAGGGAACTGAAAATTGCCCACCAAAATATATACTCTCCTTCTTCCATGAAATTAGCCCATGGCTACATTGCTACACTGTTCTGTGGCCTCCCATGCAGTTAGATATGGCCATGAGATCCATTTCCCACAAATGGATGTCAGGGGAAGTGATGTCTACCATTTCTAGATCTGAATTTTAAAAATATGTTGTAACTTCTCTACCCTCTCTTCCTCCTACCTGCTGGCTGGTACTCAGGATGTGATGGCACCTTTATTTGACCATGCAAGCATGGAAAATGCCCAGATGATTGCAGATCTGCCTCTACAGCTTAAACTCGTCACATTTTACTGGAAAGCAAAATAGACTTATATCTTCTTTACAACACTGAGTTTGGGGCCATTCTGTTATAGCAATGTGACCTTTACCCTAATTAAAACAGAGGCTGACTAAAAAGTTCATGAGCCAATGACTAATATCTCCATAAAGGAAAATATAACAGCTTACATAAAGTCCAAGATTCAGAGCAGCAGTAGTATTTCCAACTTACTATCAGGATTCAAATAGGACTCAGTCCTCAAAGCTAATACAGTATATATAAAGAGGCACCCTGATTCTTTGCAGATTTTTCATTTCTTTTCTTTCCCAAGAACTGCCTCCACTTTGAAACATGCAGCTCATGGTTTGTAGAATCCTCCATTGCTGGGTGTATCTTGGTCATCTGTTCTAAGACTATATGCTATACTTCGCCAGATGCTAGAAACAGCACAGTGACCCAGTCTTCAATGGAGACACTAACTAAATTGAAGGCGATGGCATAGAACATCATTTTATAATGAGGTTTCTTTAAATGAGTATGTGCCAGGTATTTTTTAGCTGAAGCAGAGGAAAGTACTAGAGTTATAAAAGTGCTGAAGTCCTGTTACTTACGTGTAAAACCTGACAAAATCACTTCTTGTGCTCTAAATTGCATGAGGCAAGTTAATTCAACAGTTTTCAGTCATCCACTCAGTGTTGGGCACTGTACTGGGTGTATATATAGGGATACACGGATAAATAAAACACAGACTCTGTCTCGAAGAATTTATATATATATTACAACTTAGCAAGAGAAGAGCCACATGTCAATCACCACTTCCCAATTCTGGCATCAAGACCTGATCCCTGTTGCCCTACTCTATTTTTTTGTTCTCCATAGCTCTTTTTATCTTTTGACATATTATATAATTTACTTATCATATTTATTGTTTTGTCTTCTCACCACCACCACTAGAATTTAACCTCCAGAAGGGAACACCTTTTGTTTTGTTCACTGAGCTATCTCAAGGAGCTAAAACAGTGTCAGACATGCAGTGGCCCTCCAATAACTATTTGTGAAATAAATGTCACCCAAAAGGGTGACAGATTCAAGCACTAGTGTCACATGAGACAGATATAGTACGGATTGGGAGGAAAATTAAAAACACAGAAGTAATAGAGTGCAAGCAGTCATATGAACTCTCTAATCCTGCAGCTTAGATCTGAGCCATCAATGGTCTTCATGTTTCACAGTTGACATTCTAGTAGAGAGGGTTCCTCACTCCGCAATGCATTTATGTAGCAATGGAAGCTTCTTGGTTGAAGAATAAACCATGTTAGAAGAGGGTACCTGATGAGCCTGTGACTGATGTCCTGTTTTTTGGTAAATCTAACACAAACCTGCTGAGTTACCAAAAATAAGGAGGATATGAGCCTTCAGAGTGATTCTAATCTCCTTCTCATTAATGAATTCACAAATAAATGATAAATCAAGAAGGAATTTAGTTTCCATAATCTACTAATACTTGAGCAATAGTTTTTAGTCTACTATAGGACCTGTTTGAGGGAAACAGAGAAAGAGTTAAGAAACATTAACTACATGCTGTTTCCTGACCCCATACTGAAAGCTACCATTTCTACCATAATGGACTCTCTGGCTATTTTTTGTGGAAAAAGACCCACTTCACTGCCAGGATACTGAGTGCCCCAAATTTAATGTTTGCATGACAGAACTAGCAAAATGCTGATGGTGATGCTTCTTTTTTTATTTCATTCTAGGAACTTCAGTGATCTGCCAATATAACAAGAAAGGTAGGAGGGACTGTATTTGAAGATGTTACGATACCAGATCAAAGAAAAATGGTGACCTGTGGAAAAATAACATCAAAAGGAATGAATTTCATTTTGATTTCCAGAAATCAAGGAATAAAATATATACTGAAGTCGATTAATGATTTTCAGTGAGTTTAGCACCAGTATTGGGTACATAGATAAAAAATAGTTTTCATCCTTTTTACTAATACCAAATCTTAATTTTATCTTTGCTCCCTTTTTCTTGGTTTCCCATTTCAATCTCCACCATTACATTTTCCACTGTGACTATAGCAAGGAGGGCAAAGTGGCTGTATTACAAAAAATTCTGGAGGTAGATATTTCACTTACAAGGGTAGAAAGGTATAATTTGTATGAGTAAGGAAGTTCTTGGGTTGTTTGGGTTTATTTTACCCAAAAAACAATTGAATCAACCTATTTGGGTGCAAAAAATAAACCCCCTCCCAAGGACATGATCTGGAAGCAGATTGTAAAATAATAAGATAATAACGTTGGAAATTTAAGATACTGTTGTCAGCACAGGAGAGAAAATAAGGGACAAATGAACATTAAGAAGATGTGAGAAGATTATGGAAAGAGATGAGTACCACCAGTATAATGAAAGTGATAGCCAATAAGAAATATGACCACTGAGAGTGTCCTCATGATGGGGGATGCTCAATGCATTCCTACAACACTAATTTTTGACATCAAATTGGAAATTAATATATGCTTTATTGATTAAATAAACTCACTGATGTGGTTTGGCTGTGTCCCCACCCAAATCTCACCTTGAATTGTAGTTCCCATAATGCTCACATGGGAGGGACCCAGTGGGAGGTAATTGCATCATGGGGGTGGTTACCTTTCTCCCGGCACCTCTCCTTGCTGTCTCCATGGGCAGAAAAACGTGTTTGCTTCCCCTTCAACCACAATTGTAAGTTTCCAGAGGCCTCCCAAGCTATGCTGAACTGTGAGTCAATTAAACCTTGTTTCTTTATCAATTACCCAGTCTTGGGTATGCCTTTATTAGCAGTGTGAGAATGGACTAATATACTCACTAACCATAAATGTTTAGTAAAACAAATACACCAATAACCTTGTATTAGTGTTGAAATTATTTTCTTCTCTGTGTTAGAGTAACTGTCTACCCTCTTCAAACTTTCAGAAAGGACTCTTCTAAATCCTACATCTTGAGTTAGTCATACGTAACAGTCATGAAAGAAGAGGAGGGGTGAGTGAAGAAAGCAACTGCTGAGAGGGATTTGCAATGTAGGAAGCAGACTATGGGTTGGTCTGACCAGAAGAATATAGAAATTACTGAGATTTCCCACAGAGATATGATCCATATTGGATATGAAAGTAAGGGGTAACCCCTGAGGATTAGAGAACATATGGATTTTCTGAGTTACAGCTGGGCCTCTCATCTGGAATTGCTATGAGCACTGGTGCATACTCACCAATATTCTGAACCAGTCAATACCTAAGCTCTGAGCCAGAAGTATATCCTTACCATGGGTGCAAAACAGTCACTGAATGAGCCATGGAGTTCTATCACACAGCAATTTGGGGATGGTGGCAGCAACTCCCTTACCAGATCAATATTGGGATATAGTTTCAGGAATCTTTCCTGTTAGCTTATATCTTGTAATTCCAGTCTTGCCCATGATTCCAAGAACAATATTTCTTGTATAACCAGGTAGAGTGAATTTTGCTCTTTCCAGTTAGGAATCTTAACAAATATAACATCCTAACCCTGAACTTTTTGCATGAGATAAATCTCTTTTTGGTCATTAGGCATGATGGAGGCAGAAGCCCAGGTCATTGCATTTCTATTATAGGCAGAAACTGTGGAAACTGAGATTCACATATAACATTTTTTAAACTATGCATCAGGCCAAGACGGGGAGATCACTGGAGGTCAGGAGTTGAGACCAGCCTGGTCAACATGGCAAAGCCCTGTCTCTACCAAAAATACAAAAAATTAGCTGGGTGTGGTGGCACATGCCTCTACTCTCAGCTACTCGGGAGGCTGAAGAATGAGAATAGTTTGAATCTGGGAGGTGGAGGTGCAGTGAGCCAAGATCATGCCACTGCACTCCAGCCTGGATGACAAAGCGAGACTCTGGCAAAAATAAAAATAAAAATAAAAATAAAAATAAATAAAAAATTCTGCACCAGAGGGAAGCCTTCCCAAAATGCTAATATTAGAAGAAGTCCTGCCCCAGGCTTATTTTCCTCCACCAAGTTCACCATATTTACACAGTTCACTTTAAAAAACACTATAAAATATGACCTCCTCTAAGCCATTTCAACTACATATGCTACTTCCTACATTTTCTCACCCTTCTGCTTTTATTATAACATTTCTACAATTTCATGGTGTAAAATTGTCATATTTGGTTCCATAAGCATAATTCCCACAACTGTTGAGCATTAGTTTAATGTTTAAATGAATTCGCTCCTCACCGTGACTCCATTTATCTTCACTTCTAAATTCCTATTTTGGTTGGCTGAAGTCTGTCCTCTGGTAGTTTTTACAAGGATGTTTATGGAAACAATATTTCTTGATTTCTTGTATGTTTGAAAATATTTTTCCTTGTTTTTTATTATCACACAGTGGTGTAGCTGGACATAAAATATGATGATGTTCCTTTCTATTAAAGCTTTGTAGACATTGCTCCACAGTCGCTAGCGTTGGATGCGGTTCTAAAGAAGTCTGAATCCAAACTTACTGTTTTTCTTCATTAAACATCAGGTTCTTTTTTTCTTTCCTTGCCTGATGGTTCACAGGAGTGTTCTGATATGATTATGTCCAATAACTTTTCTCAGGAAAGACCTGAAGTTGATCAATTAATGTCAGTTTTTTCTCTGACATGTTCTGCTCTCAATTGTGAGAATATCTTTCATTATTCCAAGAAAGATTTCTTTGAATTTATTGGTGGAAATTTTATCTTTTTAATGTGCATTAGTTTTACATCTGTTGAGGCTTTATAATTTTTCACATTTTCCCACTAATTCTTTGAAACTTTCTTTTTTTCCTACTTAATTTTGCTCATTTATGTCAAACGTCTGTTGTCCTAATTGTGTTCTCAGCTGCTTTCAAAAATACTATTTTTAAGGTGGTTTTATTTTTCTCCTCAATTTTTGTTTTGGTGGTGGTGAAATTGGATATGATTTTTACATTTACTGAATAAATAATACGTGAATAATGTTCAAAATTTAGGCAGCAAAAGGTCTATACCCTTGAGGCAATTCTAATGCCTTTCCCTATAAACAACAAATGCTCTTCTATATCTTCCTCCATGTATAAGCAGCAAAAATATTATTTATCTTTTTTACACAAATGGTGGCACACCCTATATATACTGTTCTGCATTTTGATTTTGTTTTATATTTAAATATATCTTGAAGATCTTTCCATATTAATATATAAAGAGCTTATTTTCTTCTTTCTTTGTTAGTTCTTTTCTTTCACACTTGTTGATATTCTTTTGTATTATTCAACCTCTTAGAGACAAATATTCAAGTTATTTTTATTCTTTTGTTATTATAAACTATATTGTACTAAATAACTTCACAGGTATGTCATTTCACACATGTGATATGTTTATTGGATAAATTCTTAAAGGTGTAATTGCTGAACTAAAAGGTATTTGCATTAGTAATTTGCATAAATATTGCCAGGTTATGATCAGTAAGAGCTGTTCTAATTCACACTCCCACCAGTAGCATACCAGTTTTCTCACGCCCATGCTAACACTATGTATTATGAAACTTTTACTCTTTGCCAACTAGATAGGTAAAAGATATTATTTATTGTTGTGTGTATTTGCATTTCTCATATTACGTGTGAGTCAGGCACATAGTTGCACATTTAAGATTTGCATTTTCTTTTCCTTTCATTCTTATTTTTATCCCTAACCCATTTTTATTGAGTTATTGGTCTTTTACTTTCGGTATATATTATGGAAATTATACATAACAAATTTTTTTGAAAGTTTCTTGCTCATCTTTTAAGGTGGTTAAGAAAATTTTAAGTAGATTTTTATCCTGCATAATCTATCTTTTTATGAGTATTGCAATTTATATCTTACTTAAAATTCTTGTCACTCTAATATTATTTATTTCTGTGTGACTGTTTTTTTCAAATGCAATCTGATCAGTAATGCATCTTTTCTCCAATGATTTGAGATGCTACTCAAGTGCACTGAACTGCTTCTGGACTTTTATTTCTGTTCCATTGAGTTATCCATTCATTTATTTGCCATTACCACACTGGTTTGATTTATGTCACTGTATGATATGTAATTCTTCTTATTTAGAATTTTCTCTGCTTGTTTATTTTTTATATGAAATGAAAATTCAAGTTGTTTAGATCCCTCAAAATCATCTTAATATCTCATTGCTATTATACAATAGCAATTAAAGTTAACACATTAATAAAATTGTTATTTATATTATATTGAATCTTTCAATCCAAAAATATTATGAAGTTCTCTTTTTTCAAGTCCTCATGTCACTCAGGAGTGCCTTAAGTTTTCCTTTATAGAGATAGTGCTTATTTCTCAAATATATTCTTAGGTAGAGAAATTTCTGTCCAATCATTAGAAGACCACGAAGGCAACCCAACACAGACTTTAGTAGCCACAGCCAACCTCATAGAATACAGACTTTATGGAATTAGTTCATGAAAGTCATTCAGGAAACAAACAGCACAAAACAAACCCTGAGGAGTGAGCAGAATCTTATTTTCATAATTAAACATAATATTATCTTAAATGTCCAGTTTTTAACAAAAATTTTAGTACATAGAGACATCGGCAAATATAGTTTATAAACAGGGGAAGAAAAATATACCCAATAGAAACTATTCCTAAAGAAATTCAGATATTATATTTACTAGATTAAGACTTAAATTCAAGTATTTTAAATAAATTTGAAGAACTAAAATAAACCAGGTTTAAAGAACGAAAGAAAAATACCAGAAGTATGTCTCATCAAATAAAGAATACTCATAAAGTGATAGAAATTTTTTTTTAATGAACAGACAGAAAATCTGGAACTCAAAAGTAGAGTAAATAAAATAAAAGTTTACTATAGGGCCACAACAGTGGATTTGAGCTGGCAGAAGAAAGAATCAGCAAACTTGAAGATAGTTCAGTTGAAATTACCTTGCCTGAGAAACAGAAAAAGAATAAAGAAAAATGCATGGAGCCACAGAGACCCGCGGGACACCATCAAGCATACTAACACAACCGGAGTCTCAGAATGAGCAAAGATGAAGAAAGGGGTAGAAAGAATATTTAAAGAAATAATGGCAAAAAGATTCCCAATTTTAATTAAAAAAGTAATTTTCACATCAGATAAATTCTTTGTGAATTCAACATAGGATAAATTCTATGAAATTTACACCTGAACACATCATAATCAAACTATTGAAAGACAAAGGTAGTGAATCTCAAAAGCAGTAACAGAGAAATAACTCATTGCCTGTAAGGGATTCCCAGTAAGATATCAACTGATTTCTCATGTGAAACTACGGAGACCAGTAGGCTGCAGGATGACGTATTCAAAGTGCTGAAAGAAAAAGACTGCCCACAAAGAATTCTACATCTGACAAAGGTACAATTTTTAAAACAAGGAGAAATTAAAACATTCTCAGATAAATAAAAACTGTTGCTAACAAAACTTCCCTGTAGCATACTAGACAGTAAATTATATCTACATAAAGAAACGAGGCACGGTGGCTTATGCCTGTAATCCCAGCACTTTGGGAGGCCGAGATGGGCAGATCATGAGGTCAGGAGATCGAGACCATCCTGGCTAACATGGTGAAACCTCATCTCTACTAAAAATACAAAAAATTAGCTGGGCGTGGTGGCGGGCGCCTGTAGTCCCAGCTACTCCTCGGGAGGCTGAGGCAGGAGAATGGCGTGAACTCGGGAAGCAGAGCTTGCAGTGAGCCCAGATAGCTCCACTGCACTCCAGCCCAGGTGACAGAGCGACACTCCATCTCAAAAAAAAAAAAAAAAAAAAAGCAACGAGGGAAACTACATAGGTAAATATAAAAGACAGTATGGGCTCATGCTTATAATCCCAGCATTTTGGGAGGCAAAGGTAGCAGGATTGCTTGAAACTAGGATTTTGAGACCAGCTTGGGCAACAAAATGAGACTTTGTCTTTACAAAAAAGTACATAAGTAAATAAATAAGCCAGACATGGTAAAGTGTGCCTGTAGTCTTAGCTACTTGGGAGGCCAAGACAGGAGGATCACTTGAGGCCAGGAGTTCAAGGCTACAGTGAGCTATGATCTTGCCACTGCATTCCAGCCTGAATGACAGAACAAGTCCAGATCTCTAAAAAACTTTTAAAAATCAAAGACAGTATAAGTGTATTTTGTATGTATAACTCTTTTTTTTCTTATCTGACTTAAAAGACAACTTTTAAGAATAAAGAATAGTTATAAATCTGTGTTGATGGATATACAGTGTAATTACTTCACAATAATAGCAAAAAGGAGAAGGGAGGTAGGGATGAGGCTTTATATAAGCAGCCGTATTATATGCTATTAGACAAACAGAATTGTAATATATTAGATGTTAATTGCAATCTCTAGGACAACCTGTAAAAACAAGTCAAAATATATAATAACAGAAACAACAAGGAAATTAAAATGGTACACTAGAAAGTATCTGTTTAAAACAAAAGAGATAGTAATGAAATGAGAAAGAAGACATATACAGTAAACAAAAAGTAAAATGGCAGATATAAATTATTTTAGTAATTACATTAAATTTAAATGGATTAACTGCTCCAATAAAAAGGCAAAGATTCACATAATGGATTAAAAATATGGGCCAACTCTATGCAGTATGCAGTAGACAAACTATTCTTTTTAATTTTTTTTTTCTTTTCAACTTTTATTTTAGATTCAAGTGGTACATGTGCAGGTTTGTTACATGGGTAAATTGTGTGTTGTGGGGGTTTAGTGTACAGATAATGTTGTCACCCAGGTAAACAGCATAATACCTGATAGGTAGCTTTTTGATCCTTACCCTTCTCCCACCCTTCACCTTTAAGTAGGCCCTGGTGCATGTTGATCCCTTATTTGTGTCCATGTGTACTCAATGTTTAGTTCTCACTTATAAGTAAGAACATGAAGTATTTGGTTTTTTGTTCTGCAACGATTTGCTCTCCAGCTCCATCCATGTTGCTCCAAAGGCCATGACCTTGTTCTTTTTTATGTCTGTGTTATTCCAAAAATAGTATATTTTCTTTATCCAGTCCATCGTTATGGGCACCTAGGTGGTTTCCATGTCCTTGCTATTGTGACTAGCGCTGTAATAAACATGTGTGTACATATATCTTTATGACAGAATAATTTTTATTCCTTTGGGTAAGTACCTAGTAATGGGATTGCTGAGTCAAATGGTAGTTCTATTTTAAGTTCTTTGAGAAATCTCCAGAATGCTTTCCGTAGTGGCTGAACTAATTTACATTCCCATCAGCAGCATATAAGCATTCTGTTTTCTCTGCAACCTCACTAGCATCTGTGATTTTTTACTTTAGTAGTAGCCATTCTATTTAGTGTGAGATGGTATATCATTGTAGTTTTGATTTGCATTTCCTTAATGATTAGTGATATTGAGCATTTTTTCACATGCTTGTTGGCTACATGTATGTCTTCTTTTGAGAAGTGAGGAGTCAAACTTTAGATTTAACAACACAAGTTAATTGAAAGTAAAATGATGGAAACAGATAGAACATGCAAACTGTAACCAAAAAACATCCAGAATGGTTACATACAAATCAGGCAAAATAAACTTTAAAACGAAAATTGTGGCAACAGACAAGGAAGGACATTTTATGATGATAAAAGGGTCAATACATCAAGAAATGACAATCGTAAACATATATTCACTTATTAAATGAGATCTAAAATACATAAAGTAAAAATTGACAAAGTTGAAGGAAGAAGTAGAAAATTCAACAATAAGGGTCGTAGCCTTCAGTAGCTTACTTTATTTTTTATTTTATTTTATTTTATTTTATTTTTATTTTTTGAGATGGAGTCTTGCCCCTGTTGCCCAGGCTGGAGTGCAATGGCACGATCTTGCCTCACTGCCTCCACCTCCCAGGTTCAAGTGATTCTCCTGCCTCAGCCCCCCGAGTAGCTGGGATTACAGGTGCCCACCACCCACGCCTGGCTAATTTTTGTATTTTTAGTAGAGACAGGGTTTCACCATGTTGGCCAGCCTGGTCTTGAACTCCTGACCTCCTGATCCTCCTGCCTAGGCCTCCCAAAGTGCTGGGATTACAGGCGTGAGCCACCGCGCCTGGCCCAGTAGCTTACTTTAAATAATGAATAGGACTACTAGACAGAAGATCAACAAGTAAGACTTGAACAACTAGACATAACTGGCATCAGTAGAACACTCTACCCCAAAGCAGCAAAATACGTATTCTTTTCAAGTATACATGAAACGTTTTCCAGAATAAACCATGTTAGGCCATAAAATACATCTTAATGAATTGAAAAGAATTGAAATCATGCAAAGTATGATCCTTAATCAAAACGTAGTAAAATTATGGATTAATAACAATACATTTTGGGAAATTTACAAATGTGGAAATTAAATAACACACTCCTAAATAGCCAATGGCTCAAGGAAAAAAAATCAAAGAGAAATTATAAAATACTTTGAGATGAATAAAATAAAGACATAATAAACCAAAATGTATGGGATATAGCTAAACTAATTTTTAGAGGTATATTTGGAAAACAAACTAAATTCAAATAAAGCAAAAGAAAAAATAAATATCAGAGGAGAACTAAATTAAGTAGAGAATTTTAAAAATGAGAGAGAAAATTGACTAAAAAAGTTTGTTCTTTGAAAAGATCAATGAAAAAAATTGAAAACTTTTAGATAATTTTACCTACCAATTACAAAGATCAGGAATGAAAGAGGGGATATTACTACTGACTTTACTAAATTAACAAGCATTATAAAGTAATACTGTGAACAACTGTATACAAAACTTTTAGATAACATAGATGAAATAGACAAATTCTTAGAAAGATACAAACTACTGAAACTGAATCAAGTATAAATTAAAAATCTGAATAGAACTATAACAAGTAAAGAGATTGAATTGAATCAGTAATCAGAAACTCACACATGCACACAAAAACTTCTAGGACCAGATGGCTCCACCGGTGAATTTTACCAAATGTTTAAGGAAGAATTAACACTAATTCTTCACACATACAAAAGAATCCCTTCCAAAAAATACAAGAGAAGGGAACATTTCCCAGCTCATTTTATGAAACCAATATTATCCTGATACCAAAACCAGACAAATACGCTGCAAAAAATTAAAGACCAACATATCTTATTAATATAGACACAAAATCCTCAAAAAATACTAAGAAGGTGAGTCCAAGAACATATAAAAGGATTAGACATCATGATCAAATATAATTTAACTCAAGAATGCAAAATTGTTTCAAAATACAAAAATTAGTCAATGTAATACACCATATAACAGAAAGACAAAAAACACATGGTTGATAAGATGACAATAATGCCCAATAGTAATTCAACACAATCAAAATTCCAGCTGCCTTTTCCCTAGAAGTGGATAAGCTCATTTTAAAATATATATGGAAATGCTGAATAGCCAAAACAATCTTGAGAGAAGAACTAAGTTTGAGAATTCACATTTTCTGATTTCAAGACTCACTACAATGAAACAGTAATCAAGACAGTGTGGCACTGGCATATGAGACCATGGAATAGAATTGAGAGTCAAGAAACACACACACATGTACACACATACACATGCATGTGCCCCTTTACATTGATGGTCAACTGATTTTTAACAAGGGTGCTGAAATAACTGAATGGGGAAAACAACTGTCTTTTCAACAAATAATGCTGAAAATAATGAATTTCCACAGGCAAAATAATAAAGTTGGACCCCTGCCTCACACCATACACAGATATTAACTCCAAATTGATCAACAACTTAAATGTGTGTAACTAAAACTATGTAGCTAAAAGTATACGGCTCTTAGAAAAAAACGTAAGCATAAATCTTTGTGATCTTGGATCAGGCAATGGTTACTTAGATATGACACCAAAGCACAAGCAACAAAAGAAAAATTTGATAAATTGCACTTCATGAAAGTTACAAACTTTTGTACCTTAGAAGGTACAATCAAGAAAGCAAAAAGACAACCCACAAAACAGGAGAAAATATTTGTAAATCATATATCTAGTAATTGAATACTACCTAAAATGTATGAAGAACTTGCACCCAACAATAAAAAGACTACACAATTTTTTTAAATGGGCAAAGAATTTGAACAGATATTTCTCCAAAGAATATATACAAATGGCCAATAAACAAATGAAAAGAAGGGAAAACAAATCAAAACTACAATATTATATGGGAGGGAGGATGTAAAGTAGCATTCCTGCTTTGGAAAACAGTTTTGCAATTCCTCAAAAAGTTAAACATAGAGTTACAATGAGACTCAGAAATTCTGCTCTTAGGTGTATACACAATGTATACATGAGATAATTAAAAATATGTGCATGTAAAAACTTGTATGCAAATGGTCATAACAGCATTATTCATAATAACAAAATTTTAGAAATAATCTAAATGTCTACTGACTGATGAATGAGTAAACAAAATATGACATATCCATACACCAGAAGGTCATTTGGCTATAAAAACAAATGAAGTTCTGATACTTGCTAAAACATAGATGAACTCTGAAAATATGCCATGTGAAATAATCCAGACTCAAAAAGTCACATATTATATAATTTTATTTATATAGAATGTTCAGAATGGGTAAATCCATAGAGATAGAAAGTAGATTAATGATTGCGGGGAATGGGGAGTGACAGCTAATGGGTATGTGTTTCTTTTAGGTGACACAAATAAACTAGAATTAAATAGTGGTACTGGTAGTATAACTCTTTGAATATATTAGAAATACCTGAATTGTACACTTTTAAAAGGTGAGCTTTATGGTATATGTATCATATCACAACAGGGGGAAAAAAAACTAGTGTGCTATCTATTAGAATTGTGTATTCTGTGTATTCTGTCATCTATGCCAAAAAGTCTTCAGCAGCTGCCATCTTGTTGATGGCAGTGGTGGCCCAACTGGAGCAGCCACTGCGAAGATGCCAGCTGCAACAGGAGAGGGTGGCTAGGGCTACATGCTCCATGGAGCTCACAGGAGCCAGGAACAGGTGGGAGCCTTGCCCCCTTCCAAGTTGGTGGGGCAGGAGCCCTGCCCTCCTGGGCACAGCTGCAGTCACCCAGCTGTGGCTGCTGACCTGGGCATTCCTGTACTCTTGAGGGCCCAGGAAACCCCCCTGGCCCCCCATCCCCACAGGCTTGGGAGTGCCTGCTCCCACTGCCTGGCCTCTCCCTACTCCCAGCACCCACTCCAATTTCAGAGCAAAATTGGAGGCTGAGCTCCAGCACTGTCACAACCCAGCCAGGTGTGCATGTTCTGAGGGTGGCACTGACATGCCAATCCCTGCCACCTTGGCCACCTCCAGACTTTGGGCACCGATGAGCACAGGAAGGAAGCTGAGAGGGGGCTGAGGATGGCTTGGCACAGGCCTGCAGGCACCCCTTGTCACAAATAGCCTGGGTGCCATAGACAACATGTTGATGGTGGCAGGAGGCAGGCTCCTGGGTGGAAAGGGGAGGGTCTTCAGTTAAACCCCACCTTCAAGCCTGGGAAGGCCTGAAGCATGGGAGCCTGGCTGTCAGTTCAGTAGAGTCTGTGCAAGAGTGAGAACTTAACAGTGCTTTTTCCAGGCCTGCGCATGGATGCCCATGGACCAATCAGCATGCACTTCCTTCCTTCTGAAGCCCATAAAAACTCCAGACTCAGCCAGACTCAGGATGATCTGCCTGTGGATAGGAGGTACCCACTCCAGGTGTCCTCTCTGCTGGGGGCTGCACAGTCATTGGGATGATCTGCCTGCAGATAGGAGCTCCACTCTGGATCTTCTCTCCACTGAGAGCTGCACTCGATGGGATGACCTGCCTGTGGAAAGGAGCAACCCACTTTGGGTTTCCTGAAAACTGTACTCTTGCTCAGTAAAGCACTTCTTCACCTTGCTCACCCTTCAGTTGTCCGCATACCTCATTCTTCCTGGACGCAGGACAAGAACTCGGGACTTGCCAAATGGTGGAGCTGAACAAGCTATAACACAAACAGGGCTGAAACATGCCCCTCCTTGCTCACCAAGTTGCAGGTGATGAGGAAGAGAGAAGAACTGTGGCCCTTCTCAGGGCCCAGACCAAGAAGCTCCCCGAGCCAGGGCTGTGACACCCTCTTTGGGGCTCTGCAGTTTCTGGTGTCTCCAAGCTTCTGGGCACTAGCACATTCCCCTCATCCAGATGCAGGTGCCAGCAACGGAAGCTGCTTGCAGTGCATCTGATCTAGCCACAGGATCTCATAGAGCCAGCACCTGGAGCTGCCCACACAGCTGCAGCAGCTGGCATGCCTGGCTGTGCACAGTGGCCAGATCCTGCACTCACTAGTTCATGCATCCTTTTCCACTCCATGTCTGGCTTGCCCTTGGCAAGCATGGGATCCCGGCCAGTAGCATGAGCTGAGCACAGCCTGCCAGGCCAGGTGGGTGGAACAAGCCCAGTGGGCTCGAGCAAAACTCGGGCGAAGGTGCCACCGGCCACAGAGGTTTCCAGCTGGAAAAGTGACACCTGAAGAATCCTGTAACATTTTGACATCATTTTCTCTTCTTCTACATTAGTCCACATTTTATTACACTTAGCTGTCCCTCCTCATGTTTTAGTTTGGAATTTTAGGTACTCCACAATTGTGTTGAATATAGAACTTCCATTTTTGTTTCTCACTCACTTTGTCATTTTCCAATTGATTTTTGAGAAAAAGTGGAAAATAATTGATTTTTTTCCTCATGTCCTAACAAATGGCTAGACTTTGTTTTTCAAACATTCTAGAGCAGAAGTTCTCAAATTCTTCTATCTCAGGACCTTTGTGCTCTTAAAAATTATTGAGGACCCCAATATGTGTTATTAATATATGCTATGTCTATCACAGTGGAAATTAAAACTGAGAGTGTAAAAAATATTTGTATTACTGGCCGGGCTTGGTGGCTCATGCCTATAATACCAGCACTTTGGGAGGTCTAGGTGGGCAGACCACCTGAGGTCAGGAGTTTGAGACCAGCCTGGCCAACATGGTAAAACCCCATCTCTACAAAAAAAATAAAAAATAAAAAAAATTAGCTGGGCTTGGTGGCTCACACTTGTAATCCTAGCTACTCAGGAGGCTGAGGCAAAAGAATCGCTTGAACCAAGGAGGTGGAAGTTGCAGTGGGCCAAGATCGTGCCACTGCACTCCAGCCTGAGTGACAGAGCAAGACTCCATCTTAAAAAAAGAAAATGTGTATATATGAAAAGTGGCATCGTTTTATATTTCTACAAATATCGTAAATGTCTTGCATCATAGAAGATAGCTGGATTATCATATCTGCTTCTGCGTATAGTCTGTTGTGATATCAAACATCTTGTCAAGCCATTGGAAAACTGTACCAATCATTTTTGAGAAGATGAGTGAAAGGGTAAAAAACATCCTCATATTAGTATGAAAATAGTTCATGAACCTCCAAAATGGTCTCAAGGGTCCTCAGGAGTCCCGAGACCACACTTTGGGAACTGCTGCTGTAAGCTATATTTGTTACATAATACACTTCTTTTCAAGCCCATAAAATTCCATTCTCAAAATTCAAGAAGTCTGTGTCGCCTTCTGATTCTCCATCTTATGTTTTCCCTGTCTCTGAGGGTACATCATAAAAGCAGGATAAATAATCTACCAAGAGTAAAATTCTCATTGCATAATCAATTCTGCTAGCAGAAGACATTTTGTCACCTGTGCAACTCCTATGTCAGAAACAATCTTGGCATAACAAGGACTTGAGTTATCTTGAGGGATGTCCTAAAAGAAAGAGGCATTCTTTCACATTGCTTGGCTCAGGCATTCCCCACTCATCAGCTTCTGAGACAATATGCCAGACTGTCTGACATGCCTCCCTTACACAGCCTCCACAAAATGTTTGGAAATGAAGAACTATAAAAGAAAACAACATCACCGTCACTTGATCTGCAGTCTGTATGTGGTTATTAAGTATCTTACACTGTTCTGCTCTCTTTCCACCTCACCATGAATATGACCACTACTTCATTATAGCTGTTGAAAAAAAGAGAAGAATTTCCCTCTTTTTGAATCATAGCTCCTCATCTGTTCCACCTTGCACTTCACTCCCGGACGTTCTTTGCCTTCAAATCCTGCCTTGGCTCTTGACTAAAGTTTATCTTCCTACATAGCATCTATTTCAAATAATCAACACCTACAGCTTTTCTCAAATACATCTCCTGTTCTTATGTTTTGAGTCTACCCTGCCACTATTTGCAGCTCCATGTCCTGAAACTTCCACCCTGCCCAGGTATATGGAGAAGAAAAATTTTTGAAAAAGCTTTTTCCAAACATGTCTTGCCTTCAGACTCGTTTTTTTTTTCATTGCTCCTCCTCCCGGGTAAAATACATTTGATCCAAAATATTTTAGGTTTTCATATCTTGAAGACATCCTCTCAGAAAGCTTTTATGGTGGAGGAAGAGAGACTAGCATGAGCTGCTACCCTGCTATTATCACTAGCTGTGAGAATACAGGCTCATGACTGGTGGTGCTGTGACTCAGCACCTAGGACAGCATCTTGCATATGGAAGGTCTTCCACTGTATGTCTGTTGAATGGTTAAGTGAATGACTGATTGCCTTCCAGCACCAAAATTAGCCTTCCAATAAAATAATGTAGCTTTCTGGCTTTTCTCTCTACCTTTCCCTACATTAGTCCTATGTGTTCTGCCTTCTTTGCCAGTTATCACTAAAAGCAATCTGATAATGATCAATATAGAATACAGATTTCTGTGCAGGAAATATGGTAATTTTATGGAGTTTCATGGAGATAACACCTTCACTTTATGAAAACAAAGTCTAATGATGAGGATAGCAGTCACTGCAAATGGCAAAGGTAATTCTGGACAGGGAAGTTATTTCTTGTACCTCATAAATCATGGTGGAGAAAAAATACCTCATCCACCTCTAGATAAAACTGTCACAGCTTAATCCTGTGCCTGAGGAAATCTGATAGTTTACTTTTCAGTTCCATTTTCCCCTAACTCTTTTATGGGATTCAGGTCAAAGTTTCTTCCGTGACATTTCTCTTTAAACAATATCTCTCGCCATTTTCATTTTCTTATCAGAACATCCAGGCCAGACCAAGAGCCAGGTACTGATATTTACGATGCTAACCTCAGTGCACATTAATAATGTATTTTTATAATTCAGAGATTTTTTTATCTTGTCATGGAATATTTTAGGTGTTGTACAACTCAAAGTCTACCGGATTCTCTTTTGATCTGTTTATTTACAGGAGGGAAATAAATAATGACAACTTAAATTTATATTTAGCACACATGGGCACACACAGGCTTGATTTTGATAACTGTTATGTTTACATTTGGAAGTAATGAAATGTAGTAGAAATAGTAAGGGGACCTTGAGTCAGAGACCTGAGCTTCATCTTGGGTTTATGTTACCAGCTCTGTAAACTTAGGCAATTTATTCAGCACCCCTGATACTCAATCTCCTTGTTTGTAATATGAATGTAATAACAGTAATACTATCTCACAGTAATAATGAGAGGTTTGAAGGAGATTTTAAAAATGTAAATATGCCATGTAAGCCCTGAAACTCCTTGTGAGTGCGTGCCACAGCACATTCATTCTTGACTTTGTTTCTGCTGTACCATGAGAGAGGGAGGAGCCTTATATACATAAGGAACTCCCATGTTCAGGTTTCAGGATTAGGCAGAACTACATCAGAATCCTTGCTAAGGTTTCATTTCCTCTAAAGGTTGCAGAAAATAAAAACACTTAATTCATGTGTTTTAATGAAATAATGCATATAAACCATAGGGATTGTCACATAATAATAACCAATAGATATTTGGTTATGAATTTTTTTCCAAGCACACTACCTACAACTGCACCCATTCTCTCCTACTTACACACAAAAAAAATCACCGGAAGAAATGTAGGAATAATAATTCTTTGATATACCACTGAATCCATCCTGATTTATTCTTTAATTGGGTCAGTCCAAAACTTGGCAATTTATTCTTTAAAAAGTATTACTTCCAGTACATCTTTTGATCAACTATTATACACCAGAGTGTCTGCCTGTGCGCCGTCAGTGGTCTCTACACTGTATGTCATCGACTGATTAAAAAGCTGTAGGATTATTATATGCCCCAAGTTTTATCTGTAGACTAAATAAATAAAAGTAAAACTCTGATTAAGCGGGATTCCACCACATGTTTTAATATTTAAAATGGTTTAACGTTAAAATATGAAAATGCTGGGTTGCAATAACCTTTCAAAAATTTTCCAAATGACTGAAACCATACCAATTAATTTATGTCATCAAAATCCTAACACAGCTGTAGGCAGGGGGAATCTTTAATCAGTATGGCTTGATGATGGTTTGATGGAACAATGTGAGGTGAGAACAAAAATAGGAATATGAAAACTAGAGGAGATGAAATCTGACCTAGATATCTTTTCTGGTACACATTATGCTTCTCTAAAATTTTGAATTCTTGATTGAAACAGCCTCCACCTAAAGTCCTCCTGGTTAGAATTGTGATTATGTGGTCAAGGTGATTCCAGTTGATCAGTGGGCAGATGCTTAGTTGAATACTCATTTCCATGATAGGACATTATGATACACATGAGAGAATCAGAAGCCAATCTGAAGATAACATAGAACATTTCAAACAGGTGATTACAACATCTACGCAAACATTGTTTGCTTGAATGCAGTGAAAAGTAAAAGGAAGAAAATCAAGGAGCGTGTTATAGGAGAATTTTTCTGTGTGCCAAAGAACCGTTCTGGCTTAATTATTTTCTTTCTTTTTCCAATCAATTGTCTGTGTATCAATGAGTGACAGTCAAAACAAATTCTCTCTTCTCTCTCTTTCTTTCCATATATCTATGTATACATATGAATGTATACGTATATATACATACATTGTGCGTGTGTGTGTGCGTGCACGTGTGTGTCTTTATGAGAGGCACATTGGGGATTTGAAATTTGCTGGAGTTTATGGTACTGGACAATTGATAAGATCATCCCAAGGGAAGTCAGAGAACAGTGAGTGGGAAGCAAAAAGAACAAAGGGGCAAAGCTAAGTCAAAAACTCGACTAAGTTATATAAACTAACTCTTAGTTACAGTGAATTTGTGATGCTTTACTCAGCTGTTATTTTCAAAAGTCAAAAATTTTGAATGGGGGCCAGAATTGGATCCTATTCTGAATCAACAAAACCAAGCTCTTTCCATCTCCATCAAAAAATTTTCATTTTGCCAAATAAGAACATATTGAAAATGTCACCAAAATGTAACGTTCTCCTTCCACCAGCCCACTTGACACAGGGATTATCTCACTTACGGCTCACAACAACTTTTAAAGTAAGGATTAATATTATCCCTATCTTAGACATAAAGAAGCCAAAGAACAAAGTGCCTACAGTCACACATCTCATAAGCTTTGGAGATGAGATCTGAACCTAGACAAGTTTGTGAACACACTTTAGCTCTTAATCACTATATCTATACATCTTCCAAGAAGAAAGAGCTGAACAATAGGCTCCTTGGGAGTATATATACGTATTCAAATCAGTACTATAGCCTAAGAAAGGCTTGAAATTCATTTTAAAATTTTATTCATAGTATTATACCAACTACATATATAAATATATATATAATCACATTACTTTCTTATTACAAGGAAATAAAAGTTCCCTTTTCTTCTATTTTTTTTCCTCTCTTTTTCAGGTTGATCTATTTGCCTCCATAACAAATAAAGAGCCTAATTAAAAAGGTAAGACTGAAAAGCAACATAGGATAAAGGGAAAAGTGAGGTTAAGTCAAGGATAGAAGCTGGAAGATCAGAGCTTGGCCTGTGGTCTGCTGTACATGCTGTTAGGTAGCAGCATGAATGTGACTGGTTGAGTATAATGACTGGGAATATATGGAAAATCATATCAAATCAATGACTAATATTCTAAATCATCATGTGATTGAATGTTGATTTCAGTAGTGAAAAAAAGTCTGTCCAAATCTTAGAGAAAAATCAATACAGTCCTGTGCCACACAATAATGTTTCAGTCAATGATGCACCGCATATATGATAGTAGTTTCACAAGATTATAATACCATATTTTTACTGTATATTTTCTATGTTTAGATATACAAATATCTATTATTGTGTCACAATTGCCTACAGTACTCAGTACAGTAACATGTTGTATGAGTCTGTAGCTTAGGAGCACTAGGCTCTACTATATAGCCTAGGTGTATAGGAGGCTGTATCATCTAGGTTTGTGTAAGTACATGCTAGATGTTTGCACAATGATAAAATCGCCTAGTGATTTATTTCTCAGAATGTATACCTGATATTAAGTGAAGCATGACTGTATAAGAATATTTCCATAATAAGTGGAAATTAAACTAAAATTTACAGTAATGGGAGAGATTAAGAGAAACGAAGAGAAATGGGTATTGAAACTCAAAGTAGTAAGGATACTATGAGAAAAGCCATGGAACCTAAATTAGTACGATATGTTCACAAGACAGAGAAACTATGCACTATAATGTCATGAGAATTGTGTTGGCTAGGAGACGAATAGCGGTTATGAAAATTTGGTCAGAGTTAGATTATTAATGTCAAATATTTCAATATAAGTATTTTGCACTTTCTTTTGTAAGCATATGGAGGCAATGACTGATATTTAATGCAAATTGAATTGGTGTAGTGAGAAACTAGAGTAGGGCTCCAGTTACAAAATGCTTGCATAGTAAAGATATGAGACAGGAAAGATCTTGAATACAGTCGTGGCAATGGATATTGGGACGGCAAGGCAGATGTAAAATGTTAAAAGCATTTGCAGGACTTCTTAGAGGATTAGATATGGACAAGGAAGAAATGTAAGGATTCAAAAATAACTTCAAAGCTAAAAGCCCGAGTATCTGATAAAATATAATAGTGCCATTTGCAGAAACTAGAAAGAAGAAAAGAGAATTGGATTGTGTCATAGTCCATTTTGTGTAGCTATAAAGAAATACCTGAATCTGGGTTATTTATAAAGAAAAGAGATTTATTTGGCTTACAGTTATGCAGGCTGTACAAGAAGCATAACATCAGCATGTGTTTTGGTGAGAACCTTAGGAAGTTTGCAATCATGACAGAAGGTGAAGGGGGAGCAAGAATGTCACATGGTAAGAGAGGGAGGAAGAACCAGGAGAGGGATGCCATGCTCTTTTAAACCACTAGCACTCTTGGCACAGTGCGGTGACTCACACCTGTAGTGCCAGCACTTTGAAAGGCCAAGGTAGGTGGATCACCTGAGGTCAGGAGTTTGAGACCAGCCTAGCCAACATGGCAAAACCCCATGTCTACTAAAAATACAAAATATAGGTGAGCATGGTGGTGGGCTCCTATAATCCCAGCTACTTGAGAAGCTGAGGCAGGAGAAGCACTTGAACCTAGGAGGCAGAGGTTGCAGTGAACTCAGATCGCACCATTGCACTCCAGCCTGGATGACAGAGTGAGACTCCATCTCAAAAAAAAAAAAAAAAACAACTAGCTCTCTCATGAACTAATTGAGTTAAAACCCACTCATTGCCATGGGGACAGCACCAAGGCATTAATTAAGGATCCACTTCCATGACCCAAACACCTTCCACTAGGCCCCATCTTCAACAATGTGGATCAAATTTCAACATGAGATTTGGAGGGAACAAATGTCCAAACTCTATCTAGTTGAGAAGCATATCAAGTACTAGAAATATCAACATTGACATGAAAGAAAGAAATTTATCTGGAATGGCAATATGCCTAATTTAGAGGTCATGGATTGAGATTCATCTTTGGGAAACAGCTTCATAAATGTAAATATTATATTTGTTTGACTTGATGAGTCCTTCAAAGATAGTCATGAATTGTTTGTGACCATGACGGATTCACAGGGACCGGGTTTACCCTTCTATCTTCAATAAGCAAAAATTTTGAAATATTCCAGCACACATATCAAGACTATAATCACTCAGGAAAAGAAACAAGTTAAGTGAATTTTACATTTTACATCACTACCTACAGTTCAAAGAAGCCAAAATCATTGAAATTTATTGGGAAGAATATCAGAGAGGAGGGACACAGATAAAGTGTCCCAAAGACCTGCAGAAGATCCCTTCAGAGAACTGTAAAGTGATACTCAACTAGGGAATGCTTCAAGTCTGAGTACTGATCTGCATATAAATGAGCAGAAACTACCCAAGTCTGAAGAAAAAACTATGGGAAAACAGCAACATTTAGGGCTCCCACAAAACTGGGCATATTTTGTATTTCCACCATCCAAAGTAGAAAGTCATAAAGCACTGGGTAGAGTTCTTGGAAGGAGATTATCTTAGTAGTGGGACCATAATGACTTTAGATTAATGGCTATTCTAGATCACACCTCACCCTTTCAAGAATCTTAAAAGGAAGGCTAAAGTTAGCTGATCCCAAGCAAATGTTCACCAGGACAAGTTCAAAACAAACAAAAAAAAATCATGCAACATCCATCAACATAATATTCACAAGGTTGGATAATCAATCAAAAATTACCAGACCTGAAAAAAAGGTAGGAAATGTAACCATAATCAGGAGGCAAAAAGTAAAAAACAATCAACAAAAATATACATAGATGTGACATAGATAATAAAATTAATAGATCAGGAAGGGCCAGGCATGGTGGCTCACGCCTGTAATCCCAGCACTTTGGGAGGCTGAGGTGGGCGGATCACGAGGTCGGGAGATGGATACTATCCTGGCTAACATGGTGAAACCCCGTCTCTACTGAAAATACAAAAAATTAGCAGGGCGTGGTGGCGGGCGCCTGTAGTCCCAGCTACTCAGGAGGCTGAGGCAGGACAATGGCGTGAACCCGGGAGGCGCAGCTTGCAGTGAGCCGAGATTGCACCACTGCATTCCAGCCTGGGCGACAGAGCAAGACTCCGTCTCAAAAAAATAATAGATCGGGAAGGACTGGGAAGTTAAAACACACACGCACACATATATATGTATATCCATATATCCATACATATATATATACACACACATAGATATGTATATCCATCCATGTATGTTATTCCATATATTAAAGAAAGAGGAGGAAAGCATGAAAGTGATGAGGTGCAAAATGGAGATTTTTAAAAATAAAGCTAAAACTTCGAGAGGTGAAAAAATAGATTTCAAATTGTTAAGACACAAAATAGGATTAACCATAAATACTGTAAAAGAAATGATTAGTAATTTGAAAGATGTAGCAATAGAAAGTATCTAAAATAAATAAAAAATTAAAAAGCCATTAAAAAGAGCTTTAATAATAAGATCTTATGTTGGGAAAAGCCTAAAGATTCCATCTAAAAACTATTAGAACGGATAGATTTAATAAAGTTTCTGGATACAAAATCAACATAAAAATCATTAGCATTTCTATATGCCAACAGTGAACAATCTGAAAAAGGTTATCAAGAAAGTAATCCCATATACAATAGTTACAAATAAAATTAAATACCTAGGAATTAACCAAAGAAATTAAGGATCTCTATAATGAAAACCATAAAACACTGATGAAAGAAATTGAAGATTATACCAAAAAAATGGAAAAATGTTCTATGTTCATGGATTGGAAGGATTAATATTGTTAAAATGTCCATACTACCCAAGGCAGAGCTGCCCAAAACCATGGGAACCCACCTCTTGCATCAGCATGACCTGGATGTGAGACATGGAGTCAAAGGAGATCATTTTGGAGCTTTAAGATTTGACTGCCCTGTTGGATTTTGGACTTTCATGGGACCTGTAACCCCTTTGTTTTGGCCAATTTCACACATTTGAAATGACTATATTTACCCAATGCCTGTACCCCCATTGCATCTAGGAAATAACTGACTTGCATTTGATTTTACAGGCTCAGAAGCAGAAAGGAATTCCCTTGTCTCAGATGAGACTCTGGAATGTAGACTTTTGAGTTAATGCTGAAATGAGTTAAGACTTTGAGGGCCTGTTGGGAAGGCATGATTGGTTTTGAAATATGAGGACATGAGATTTGGAGGGGCCAGGGTGGAATGATATGGTTTGGCTGTGTCCCACCCAAATCTCACCTTGAATTCCCATATGTTGTGGGAGGGACCCAGTGGGAGGTAATTGAATCACGGGGGCACGTCTTTCCCATGCTGTTTTGTGATAGTGAATAAGTCTCACAAAACCTGATGGTTTTATAAGAAGGAGTTTCCCTGTACAAGCTTTCTGCCTGCCACCATCCACATAAGATGAGATTTGCTCCTCCTTGCCTTCCGCCATGATTTTGAGGCCTCCCCAGCCATATGGAACTGCAAGTCCATTAAACCTCTTTTTTTGTAAGTTGCCCAGTCTCAGGTGCATGAAAATGGACTAATACAGGAACCCTTATACACTGTTGATGGGTATGTATATTTGTACAACCACTATGGGAAACAGTTTGGAGGTTCCTCAGAAAACTAAAAGTTGAGCTACCATATAATCCAGCAATTCCGCTGCTAGATATATACCCAAAAGAAAATAAATCAGTATATCAAAGAGATATCTGAACTCCCATGTTGGTTGCAGCACTGTTCACAGTAGCCAAGATTTGGAAGCAACTTAAGTGTCCATCAACAGATGAAGGGATACAGAAAATGTGGTACATATACAGGAGTACTGTTCAGCCATAAAAATCAATGAGATCCAATTATTTGCAACAACATGGATGGAACTGGAGTTCACTATGTTAAGTGAAATAAGCCAGGCACAGAAAGACAAATATTGTATGTTCTCATTTATTTGTGAGATCTAAAAATCAAAACAATTGAACTTATGGACATAGAGAGTAGAAGGATGGTTACCAGAGGCTGGGAAAGGTTGGGTTAGGTGCCGTGTGGGGAGGTGGGGATGGTTAATGGATACCAAAAAAAATAGGAAGAATGAATAAAACTCACTCTTCGATAACACAACAGAGTGACTATAGTCAATAATAATTTAATTGTACATTTAAAAATAACTAAAACAGTATAATTGGATTGTTTGTAACACAAAGGATAAATGCTTGAAGGGATTCTCCATGAACTGATTATTAGGCATTGCATGCCTATATCAAAACATCTTATGGACCCCATAAATATATATATATATATATATATATATATATATATATATATATATATCTCTACAATATACCCCAAAAAATTAAAAATATTTTTTAAAGTGCTTTAGTAACTTAGGGACAATATCAAGCAGATGAACATACATATAAATAGTGTACTAGAAACAGAGGTGGAGTCTTTGAAAACTATTTTAAGAACTAATGACCAAAATTTTTTCAAAGTTGATAACTATAAATTATACAAATCCAAGAATCAACAAACACCAAGAAGAAATATGAAAATTACTATACCAAAGAACTTAATAATCAAATTGCCAAAAAAAAGAAAAAATGATGAAGGGAAAATCTTAAGAGCAGCCAGAGAAGAAGAGACACATTATGTACAGAGGAACAAATGTAATAATGACAACAGACCTCTCACAAAAACAACACTGCCAAGGGCACAATGGAGTGACAATATTAAAATACTTAAAGGGGAAAAATAAGCTGTCAATATAGAATCCCATATCTAGCAAGTACATTATCCAAAATTAATAACAAAATAAAAGCTTTACGGCCAGTCACAGTGGTTCCCACCTGTAATTCCAGCACTTTGGGAGTCCAAGGCAGGCCAATCACTTGAGGTCAGGAGTTCAAGATCAGCCTGGTCAACATGGTAAAACCCCATAATCCCAGCACTTTGGGAGGCCTAGGCGGGTGGATCACCTGAGGTCACGAATTCGAGACCAGCCTGGCCAATATGACAAAACCCCGTCTCTACTAAAAATACAAAAATTAGCCGGGCCTGGTGGCACGCACCTGTAATCCCAGCTACTCAAGAGGCTGAGGCAAGAGAATCACTTGAACCCAAGAGGTGGAGGTTTCAGTCAGCCGAGATCACGCCACCGTACTCCCCTCCAGCCTGAGTGACAGAGCGAGACTCTGTCTCAAAAAAATAAAAAGGCTTTTTTTCCATACAAACAAAAATGGACATAATTAATTTCCAGAAGTATAGTAAAGATATATGTTTTAGTTATTCAGGCAGAAATATATCTAATGAGCAAAATCTGGATATTTACAAAATTCATAAAAATAATCCACTAGAAGACAGCAAACGTAGAAAAAAGGACAAACGGTAAAATGGATTAAATCCAATTATCTTGATAAATGCATTAAATATGGTCCAAATATGCCAGTTGAAAGACAAATGTGTAAGATTGGATTTAAAGAGCAAGACTCAACCATATGCTGTTTATAAAAGCCTACTTTAGTATACATATATAAGTTAAAATTAAATGCAGGGGAAAAGGTATACTATACAATACAAACACTAATCAAAAGAAAATTGAATGGCTAAATTAGTATCAAACAAAAATTTCAGAACAAAGGAATCACTAGGAATAAAGAGAAATAATTTATAATAATGAAGGGAACATGATAATTTTGAACAGTTTCTAAATACAAAAAAGAAGCAAATTTAAGGAAAAATAGGCAAATTCACAAATATCATTGTGAGATCAATATTTTGCTCCCAATAATCAATAGAAGTAAACAAAAACTCAGTAATAATTGAAGATACTAGAAAAGCATTATAGAACTACTTAGCTTACAGGATATTTATACGCATGCCACCAAACAGGAGAATACATATGTGCAAATGGAAATTCACAATATATATTTGGGTTCATGAGGCAATTATCAATACATTTAACATAATTGAAGTTATGTAAATTACATTCTGTGACTACAATGGAATTATAAAAGTGAATAATAGAAATATAACTGGAAGAAATCTACAAATATGTGGTAATATAAAAATAAATGCTTCTAATACCTCATGAGCCAATAAAAATATCATAAGATAAATGTGAATATATCTTGACCTCAGTGCAAATTAAAAATACATGCAACATTTTGTGGGATGTAGATAAAGCAACAGCATTCATTCTCAGCAGAGGGAAATTTATAGCATTAGAAGCTTATATTAGAAGAGATGAGATTTCTCAAATCAGCAAGTTTAGTTTCTATTGTAAGAAACCAGAAAAAGAAAAATAAGTTTTTACAAAGGAAAGCAGAAGAAAGGAAATGATTAAAAATAAAAGAAAAAATTTAAAATATGGAAAAATGATAGAAAAAGTAAACAAAACCAAAGAAATAAAAAACCGGTTCTTTGAAATGTCAATAAAATTAATAGCCCTCAAGCAATGCAAATCAGGGAAAAAAATGACACAAACTACCATTATTGTAAAAGAAGGAAAAGATATTACTACAGATCCAACAAACATGGAAATGGTATTAAAAGAATAATATGAACAATATCAAACCAATTTGACAAAAGTTCTTAAAAGACACAATCTACCAAAGCTCACTTGAGAAAATAATCAATAACTTGTGTAGCTGTATGTCTTTTAAAGAAATTGAATTGTTAGTTCATAACATTTCAGAAAATAAAACATTGGACCCACGTGATTTAACTGTGGAATTGTAGAAAACGTTTACAGAAGAATTAATACCAATTCCGTGCAAACTTCCAGAAAACAAAAGAGGAAACAGTTTCATTTGGTGAGGCCAGTATTACTCTGTCACCAATATAGTAATATGTTCAAAAAAAGAAAACTTCAGACTACTCTCCCTAATGAACATAGATGAAAAATCTTTAACAATATTTTGTTAAATGTAATCCAAGGGCATATCTAAAGAATAAAACTAGATAATCATCTCAATAGATGCAGAAAAAGCATTTGATAAAATTCAACATCCATTTATGATTTACAAACTCTCTGTAAATTACTACTCAAGTTAATAAATGGCATCTACGAAAAACCTTCAGTTAAATCATACTCATCAGCAAAAAGATGAATGTTTTCTTTCTATTACCAGGAACAGGTCAAAAGTATTTGGTCTTACCACATCTGTTCAACATTCACTACTGGAAGTCTTAACCAATGAGACAAAGTCAGAAAATGAAATAAACAACCTACAAATTGGAAAGAAAGATGCAAGATTATCTTCATTCACAAATGACCCAAATGTTTCTACAGAAAAACCCTCAAAATTTTATTTTTAAAAATCCCCTAGAACTAATAAGTAAATTTATTAAGGCTGTGTGATACAAAATCAACACACAAAAATCACTTGTAATCCTATGTACTGACAACCAGCAATTACAAAATGAAATTTTAAAAATTACTATTTACTACTACAGTACCCATTATCATGAATATTTAGAAATTTTATTTACCAAAATACATGCAAACATGTATGCTGAAACTCGTAATTGCTAAAGGAAAATTTTCAAGACCTAAATAAATGCAGAGATATAATATACTCATGGATTGGAAAACTTGAGATTATTTAGATGTAAGTTCTCTTCAAACTGTTCAGTAGAATCAATGCAGAATATTTTGTAGAAAATGGCAAGTCAATTCCAAAATTTATATAAAAGAATGAAATTGGAAGACTCACACTACCTAACTTCAAGTCTTACTATAAGGCTACAGGAAGTAAGAGACTGTGGTATTGACTAATGCTAGACACATAGACCAGTGGGACTAAATAAAGTCTGGAAGTAGATAAATATCTGTAGGGTCAATAGATTTTTCACAAAAGTGCCAAGGTAACTCAATGTGAGAAAGAAGAATCTTTATTATAGTTGGCTATCCATACATGAACAGACATAAACACACACACACCAATTTCACTATTTAATCCATATCATTTAAAAAACCAACTCAAAAGGGATAATAAGCCTAAATATAAGAGCTAAAATGATAAAACTCCTAGAAAATATATGAGAAAAATCTTTGTGACCTTGTGGTAGATAAAAATTTCATGTAAGATACAAAAAGCAAGAAGCATAAAAAGAAAACAAATTGATAAATAGGATTTCATCAACATAAAAATATTTATTCCTTCAAAAATACCACTAAGGTACACACCAAGGGGATTTCAGCCAACATGGCCATCAAGACACAGCCAGGAGAAACATCTGCCACCAAGAGACTAGGACATTGGGATGACTGGAATGCTCCAAACAGATCTTCAAAAGGAAGCCATTGAGAGTAGACAGAGGGAGGATGCAGATGCTAGACTGAAAAGGGAGGAAGCTGGGAAACCTGCATAGGGCTACCAAGCACCAGGACTCATTCTCAAACCCTATATAGTGACTCCTGGGAAGGGGTGAATTGAACAGGTGAGGTGTGTCCTGCTTTCACTGTGGACCTCCAGAATCCTGGAAGCAGGAGACCCTACAACCCCCATGGACACTTGAGCTGGCAGGGTGAGATCCTTAAAGCGGAAGTAGGGGCAGGACTCCAGCCTGTGCAGAGCCCAGAGTTATTGATGCAGGAATGTCTGCAGTGGAGCACAGTCAAGGATGCCTACCTCCCAAGGCTCACCATGCTCTTCTAGGAGACTTTAGCCTTGGCGTTACTGTTGGACTTGGGCAGAGCAAGGTGATCTTGCCTGTGAGATGAGGGCAGCCTCTAATCTGAGCACACCCCTCTCTGTTGGCCTCTTCTAGGGTCCCAGCTTGACCATGCCAACTTGCAGTACAGCCTCAGATGCTGAACCAGCGTGCTTTCCTAGGAGCCCTCATCATAGCTCCTTCACCAGTAGACCATGCCTGACCATTGGAGAGCTACAGCAGAGTGGCCCCTGCCATGCACACAAACCTACCTGCACCCTCTCCCAAAGGCAACTTCTCCTGCACCATTTTGCTGGTACACACTCGCCCATGGCCAATCCCCAGTGCTTTCCCAGTGTGTGTGTGCAGGGGGATTTTACCTACCCTCTCCTGCTGGTACACATGTGCATACACACCCCACAGTGCCACTGTTGCCAGCATGAGCACCCCCCACCACCCCCTCCCACTGACATGGAGGCACCCAGCTGAGTCTCCCATTGCCAGTGTAAATGTGTGCATATATACCAGCAACCCTGCTCCCCCATGCCATTACGGCCACAAATGCAAACATACTCATGGATGCCAGCAACTCTGCCTGCCCCATGCTGACACCACCACTGCTGCCATCATGCACATGAACACTGTCAGCCCTGCCCCCTCCTGTAGCCACCACTGCTGATGTGAACACATGCACTGAAGCCAGCAGCCTCACATCTGCCAAAGCCCCACCCTACCATGCTGCCACCACCACCAGCATGAGTACATGCAGGAATGCCACAATCTCACTCCCACTGATACTCCACCTGAGCAGGCGCAGGTGCATTCTGCTGTGCTGCTACATCTGCTGACACATGAAAACAATTATGGATCCCACTCCCACTGCCCTGATGAAGCATTTTGGTCAGCACCACCCATCAGAGTGTTGTGACACGCAGAGAGTGAACACATTGGCCCCTCCAGCACAGCAGGTTCCTAATCTTGAGGGACCAGAGAACAAAGCTGAAAATACTAGCCCCCCACCCGAGTTAGAATATTCAGCCCAAGAGTGTTGGCCTGAGCCTTGGCCCCCCAAAATCTTCCAGAAACAAATCCAGTTGACTGAACCCACCTTATAACACAATCAGACCCCCAAGGGCATTAAAGAAGATAAAAGAAAAAAAAAACCATAGAAAGCATAGAAACTTCAAAGATTGCAGGAAAAATAGCCCACACAGATGAGAGAGAATCAGCAGAAGAACTCTGGCAACTCAAAAAGCCAGCATGTCTTTTCACCTCGAAATGACCACACTAGTTCTCCAGTAATGGTTCTTAACTAGCCTGAAATGGCTGAAATGACAGATATAGAATTCAGAATATGGATAGAAACAAAGATCATTGAGATTCAGAAGAAAGTCAAAACCCAATCAAAAGAATCTAAGAAATATAATGAAATGGTACAGAAAATGGAAGATGAAATGGCCACTTTAAGAAAAACCCAAACTGATCTTACAGAGCTGAAAAAATCACTTCAAGAATTTCAGAATACAATTACAAGTACTAACAGCCAAATTGACCAAGCTAAGGAAAGAATTTTAGAGTTTGAAGACTAGTTCTCTGAAATAAGTCAGACAAAAATTTTTAAAAAAAGAATAAGGAAGAATGAGCAAGGCCTCCAAGAAATATGGGATTCTACCAAATTTACAACTCACTGGTGTCCCTAAAAGAGAGGATGAGAAAGCAAGCAACTTGGAAAACATATCTGAGGATGTTGTCCATGAAAGTTTCCCCTCCCTCACTAGAGGGGTCAACATTCAAATTCAGGAAAAGCAGAGAACCCCTGCAAGATACTATACAAGATGACCGTCCTCAAGCTATATAGTCATCAGGTTCTCCAAGGTCAAAATGAAAGAAAAACTGTTAAAGGCAGCTAGAGAGAAGGGGCAGGTCACCTATAAAGAGACTCACATCAGGCTAATAGCAGAACTTTCAGCAGAAACCCTACAAGCCAGAAGAGATTGGGGGGCTGTATTCAGCATTCTTAAAGAAAAAACTGACAATCAAGATTTCCATTTCCCACCAAACTAAGCTTCATAAGTGAAGGAGAAATAACCTCCTTTTCAGACAAGCAAATGCTCAGGGAATTTGTCACCACCAGACCTGCCTTACAAGAGGTACTTAAGGCAGTGCTAAACATGGAAAGGAAAAATTGTTACTGGCCACAAAAACACACTTAAGTACATAGACCATTGACACTACAAAGAAACCACACAATCAAGTCTGCATAATAATCAGGTAACAACACAATGACAGCACCAAATCTGCACATATCAATATTAACTTTGAATGTAAATGGTCTCCATGCCTCAATTAAAAGGCACAGAGTGGCAAGTTGAATAAAGTAGCAAAACCAATTGTATGCTGTCTTCAAGGAACCCATCTCACATGCAATGACACCCATAGGCTGAAAGTAAAGGGATGGAAAAAAAAAATCTACCAAGCAAACAGAAGACAGAGTTTGCTATTCTAACTTCAAGAAAAATGGACTTTAAACCAAAAATAATAAAATAGAACGAAGAAGGACACTACATAATGGTAAAGGATTCAATTCAACAAGAAGACCTAACTATGCTAAATATATATGCACCCAAGACAAGAGCACCCAGATTGATAAAACAAATTCTTAGAGATCTACAAAGAGTCTTAGATAATCACAAAATAATAGTATGAGACCTCAACACCCCACTGACAGTATTAAACACATCAATGAGGCAGAAACTAACAAAGATATTCAGGATCTGAACTCAACACTTGATCAAATGGACCTGATAGACATCTACAGAATTCTCCACCCCAAAACAAAAGAATATACATTCTTCTTATCTGTACATGGTACATACTATAAAATCAGCCACACAACTGGCCATAAAACAAACCTCAGCAAATTCAAAAACCTGGGTTTATATCAACTATTAATACATTCCTGGACCCTAGTACAATAAAAATAGAAATCAGTTTCTCAGTGAAAATCACAAACCATACAATTCAATGAAAATTTAAAAACCTGCTTGTTAGCTTCAAAGAATTTCTTGATTTCTTCCTTAATTTTGTGTATGACCTTTTGGGTGAACAACAAAAACAAAAATTAACAAGCTAATATCACACCTAGAGGACATAAAAAACAAGAGCAAACCTAACCCAAAGCTAGCAGAAGAAAAGAAATAACTAAAAACAGACCTGAACTAAAAGAAATTGAGATTAAAAAAAAAAAAAAAAAAAAAATAGGTGGCCAAGATGGCCCACTAGAAGCAGCTAGTGTGCACAGCTCTCACAGAGAGGAATGGAAGGGCAAATAAAATACAGCACCTTCAACTGAAACATCCAGATACACACATTGGGACTAATTAAGGAAACAACTTTACCCTGGAAGAACAAAGAAAAGCAAGGCAGGACAATGGCCCACCCAGGAGCAACACAGAGCTAGGGGAACCTCCGCTGCCCAGGGAAGTGGTTAGTGAATGTGCAACACCAGGAACCCATGCTTCTCCCACAGATCATTGCAACCCTTGGCTCAGGAGATCCCCTCATAAACTCACTCCACAAAGGCCTTCAGTCTAACACACAGAGCTATGTGAAGCCTTGGTAGCATTGCTATACACCAAGAATACCCAAGCTAAGAGCCAAATCAAGAATGCAATCTCTTCACAATAGCCACAAAAAGAATAAAATACCGAGGAATCCAGCTAACCAGGGAAGTGAAATGTCTCTACAACAAGAATTACAAAACACTGCTCAAAGGAATCATAGATGACACAAACAAATGAAAAGACATTCCTTGTCCATGGATAGGAAGAATCAGTATCATTAAAATGCCCATATTGCCCCAAGCAATCTACAGATTCAATGCTATTTTTATCAAACTACCAATGACATTATTAAGAGAACTAGAAAAAAAAACTATTTAAAAATTCATATGGAACAAAAACAACAAAAAAGGCCCAAATAGCCAAGGCAAACTTAAGCAAAAGGAACAAAGCTGGAGGCATAACATTACCCAACTTCAAAGTACACTACAGGGCTTCAGTAACCAAAACAGCATGATGCTGTACAAAAACAGGCACATGGACCAATGAAACAGAATAGAGAGCCCAGAAATAAGGACACATATCTAAGACCATCTCATCTTTGACAAAGTTGACAAAAATAAGCAATGGGGAAAAGCTCCCTATTCAATAAATGGTGCTGAGATAACTGGCTAGCCTGTTGCAGAAGATTGAAACTGGACCCCTTTCTTATACTATATACAAAAATCAACTCAAGATGGATAATGACTTAAATGTAAAACCTAAAACTATAAAAATCCTGGAAGACAACCTAGGAGATACTATTCCATACTTAGGCCTAGGCAAAGATTTTGTGACAAAAATGCCAAGAGCAATTGCAACAAAAACAAAATTTGACAAAAGAGACCTAATTAAACTTAACAGCTTCTGCAAAGCAGAAGGAACTATTGCCAGAGTAAACAGACAATCTACAGAGTGGTAGGAAATATTTGAAAACTATGCATCCCACAAAGATCTGATGTCCAGCATCTATACGGAACTAAAACAAATTTACAAGCAAAAAAACAAAAACTCCATTAAAAACTGAGCAAAGGACATGAACATACACTTTTCAAAATAAGACATACATGTGGCCAACAAGGATATGACAAAATGCTCAACATCACTAATAATCAGAGAACTGAAAATCAAAACCATGATGAGATTCCATCTCACACCAGTTGCAATAGCTCTTATTAAAAAGTCAAAAAGTAATAGATTTTGGCAAAGTTGCAGAGAAAAAGGATGACTTATACACTGCTAGTGCGAATTGTAAATCAGTTCAGCCATTGTGGAAAGCAATTTGTTGATTTTTCAAAGAACTTAAAACAGAATTATCATTCAACCTGGAAATCTCATTATTAGGTATATCCAAAGAAATACAAATAATTCTGTCTTAAAAACATACACATGCATATGTCCATCACAGCACTATTCACTATAGCAAAGACATAGAGTCAACCTAGATGCCCATCAGTGGTAGACTGGATAAAGAAAATTTGGTACAAATACACCATGGGATACTACACAGCCATGAAAAAGAATAAGATTATGTCCTTTGCAGCAACATAGATTGGAGGCCATTATCCTGGGCAAACTAACACAGGAGCAGAAAACCAAATATCACGTTCTTACTTATAAGTGGGAGCTAAACCTTACATACACATGGACACAAAAAGGGAACAACAGACAGTGGGACCTATAGCGTAAAGGGTGGGAGGAGGGTGAAGATCAAAAAATTACCTATCAGGTATTATGCTGATTAACTGGGTGACAAAATTGTACACCAAACCCCCATGATATGCAATTTACCTATAAAACAAACCTGCTCATGTACCCCAGAACCTAAATTAAAAATTAAAAAAAAAAAAGATATCATTAAAATAGAAATGGACAAGTCACCATCTGGGAGAAAATATTTTCAAAACATGTAGCTCACAAATGACATATCAAGTATATATTTAAAAATTATACAACTAAATAATAAGAAAAGAAACAATCTACTTAGAAAACAGACAAAAGTTTGAACAGACACATCTCAAAAAATCATATAAATTGAAAATATGTGTATGAACGGATGCTCAACATCAGTAGCCATTAGAAAAATGCAGATTAAAGCTATCATGAAATACCACTAAGAACCCACAAGAATGATTAAAGTAGACTAAAAAGTGGGTGAGGATGTAGAATAACTAAAAATTGGATATTGCTGGTGTGAATGCAAAATGGCACATCCACTTTGGAAAATATTTTAGTCATTTCTTATGATATAAAGTATATGCTTATTATATATACCAAGAGTAACTCTCCTGGGTACTGTTACCCAACAGAAATGAAAATATATTTCTTAGTTGTTTAGAATATCTTTATTTATTGTAGGCCAAACTACAAATACTCCGGTATCCATCAGCAAGTGAATGGATAAACAAATTTGGTACCTCATACAATGGAATACTATTCATAAACAAATTACCACTCAGAAACATATTACTGCTGTATTCATGATGTGCATAAATATCTAAAACATTATGCTAAATTTAAAAAGCTAAACCTAAAACACTAAATGCTGTATGATTCCACTTATATGAAATTCTAGAACAGGCCAAACTCTAGACACAGATAAATGATAAGGGTTTATAAGGGGTTAGGTTTGTGGGGAGGAGATTGAGTGGAAAAAGGCAGAGGAAACAAAAGTGTTGGGAGTATTCTACATCGTAACTGTGGTTGGTGAGGGTTAAATGGCTGCATGCATTTACTTCAATGCTTTGTACACTTAAAAATGATAAATTGTAGGCTGGGTGTAGTGGCTCACGCCTGTAATCACAGCACTTTGGGAGGCCGAGGCGGGTGGATCACGAGGTCAGAAGATCGAGGCCATCCTGGCTAACACGGTGAAATCCCGTCTCTACTTAAAAAATACAAAAAAAAAATTAGGCGGGCGTGGTGGCGGGCGCCTGTAGTCCCAGCTACTCAGGAGGCTGAGGCAGGAGAATGGCGTGAACCCGGGAGGCGGAGCTTGCAGTGAGCTGAGATCGCACCACTGCACTCCAGCCTGGGTGACAGAGCGAGACTCCGTCTCAAAAAAAAAAAAAAAAAAAAAAAAAAAAAATGGTAAATTGTATTGTATATACATCGTGCCTCAATGAAACTGAAAGATAAAGAGAGTAATAGATGTCCAAGGAGCATGACTTGAAGAAGGTCTACAGTTAAAATTACCTAGGAGAAAGGGGACAAGAAGTCACCAAAGGAAAAAGATGGATCAGAAATGCAGGAATGAACAGAGGAATGCCACTTGGGCTAAAGATAAGCTAATACAGAATAGTAGTTTTCAAGAGGTACTTCACCACCACCCACTAAGAGGTATTTTAGAAATTTTTGGTTGACAGCAATACTGGAAGATGTTTTTACATTTCGTGTTGGGGGAGTAGGAAAGGAGGCTAGATATCTTGCAGTGTATCAGACAGTCCTACAGGTAGAAGAATTGTTTTGCATCAAAACAAACTTTTGAATGACTCACGGACATTCATACATGTAGAAATATCTGTTTAAAATGACTTTAGTCTAGGACCTAACTTATTCATAAAAATCCAAATATGTTTACATGTTATTAAATATACCAAATTTTCCAGAAATACAACTACTATGTAGTTCTTTAGTTTGCTTGGTTTGAATCCTTACCAAACGTTGTTTAAAAGTCCAATAATTGACATTTCTTCTAACAGTGCTGTTCATGGTATTTGAATCACATTTGTATCAATCTGCATTTGTATCATATTAATGATGACTCTGTGCATTGATGCATATTATTTTATCATAAATTAATCCATTTGTATATAGTTAAAGCATTATGCTGAGTTATTAAAATTGTGTGAGTAGGACAATTATATCACCAATGCATTTTATTTCAACATGATAGGGCAGCATTCTAAGGATTAGTTTTAAAGTGGGGTGAGGGTTTGGTAGGATTAAGAATAATTATTCTAGAAGATAGGATTGTTAAAAGAGTTAAATTTTTAAGACATAAAGAAGAATAAGGACTTAGTAGATTTCCCCAAGTTTTGCTGATTTGAAGTTAGTCAAACTTTTAAGGAATGAGCAGGCATTGAGAGATGGAGAAATAGGGTATTTAAAATATGCACTTCAAAGTGTGGACAGTAAAAGAGGAAACAAACAGAATTGTTAGAATATGCACCAGAATCAGATGAAGGATTATCAAGTTTTGTGAACCTGTGCATCCTTGAAGTGAAGGCAAAGGGAGGTATTCATGTAGAGTGGAGAACTAGAGATTTTTTAAAAAGCCAGAGAAAGTGCCAGATAAAAATGAGAACACATCTTTCCTGAGCTAAAAGGAATGGAAAAAGCTCTTCAGGTTGAAGATTTATCTCTGTGGTGATCATCGGGGCAGGCTGTCCATGTATATGTTGACAGAGGAGGTGACCTACTCTGTGAGATCCTGTGCTTTGAGTACCATTGCCCCCCAAATATCTCAGTCATTCACAGTGGTGTCTGATGCCCCACAATCATAAATGTGTCCTTTGGCATGTGGATTCTTTCTCCTATTAAAAAAAAATTAAAAGCTCTTGTATTGAGAAAAATAACATACTGAGTCTTTTTAAAGATTTTTACAATCCTGTGTTTATCAGGTCTTCACCAAGTTCAGGTTTTGAATAAGGATTGTAGCAGTGGTATACAGACCTAGAGCTTCAGAAATAGAGTGGGGGAAATCTTGAGGGCAAAAAAGGACACAAGCTCCAAAGCCAATCCTCAGTGATCCCACCATTTAGTGTAAAAAAGCCAGAGAGGGGCAGCTCTTCTGGCAAAGTCTAAATTATTGCCCTGCCTCTTATTAACTGTGTGACTCTGGGCAAGTTACTTACCTCTCTGGGCAGGGTACTGAGGGAGTGCTGAGATGGGAGTTGGAAGTTGTTATTAAGGTGAAGATGAGGTATCACATGCCAGATGTTCTCATTAAGATATGAGATCATTTACCAGTTGCATTGCGGGCTTGAAAACAGAGAATGCCTGGAATGGCTCCTGGAAGCCTCAGAAAGAGATGACTAGCACAGTCAGCAAGCAGATGTGACCACTCAGGTGTAATTGGAGTCCTTGACGGTGTAGATGGCCAGGGCTACATGGCTCTCCCTTTTCGTTGAAGTGTCCTCCATAAAGCAAAAAGAAACGCAGATAGTAGAGGTGTGATAGGCATGGAAAACACAGTAAAGATTTGGTAGATCTTAGGAATCAATGGTGAAGGTCCACGTGAAGGCGAGAAACGCAGTGGGAACTGTCAGAAAGACACTGGACTGGGCCTCAAAGACAAATTGTAGTCTCATGTCTACACTAATAATCTATTTGACCTTAGACAAGCCATCAGTAGAAATAACATTTTGTTCCTGATTTGATAAGGACCTGAAAGTTTCACTGAGAACAGATGGAGAATTCCCTTAGTAAGGAGGGGAGAGATGCCAGGTTGGTTGCTCCTTCAGAGTCTCCCTTTCAGCCTTTTGCCAAGAGAGTTGCAGATGTAGTTTAAGAGTTGTATTATAGTTTGGGGCTGGGCTTGGTGGTTCACGCCTGTAATCCCAGCACTTTGGGAAGTTGAGGGGGGCAGACTGCTTGAGCTCAGGAATTCAAGATCAACCTGGGCAATATGGCGAGACCCCATCTCTACAAAAAAATACAAAAATTAGCCTAGAGTGGTGGTGCATACCTCTAGTTCCAGCTATTTTGGGGGGCTAAGGCAGGAGGATCACCTGAGCCCAGGAGGTTGAGGCCACCATGAGCCAAGATCATGCCACTGCACTCCAGCTTGGATGACAGAGTGAAACGCTCTCTCTCTCTCTCAAAAAAACAAAAACAAAAAACAAAACCAAACAAAAAAACAGTAATAGGTTGTAAGTTTAAATTCCTGCTCTGCCTCTTATTAACTGCATGACTCTGGAAAAGTTACTTACCTCTCTGGGCTTCAGTTTCTTTACCTATTAAATGGAAATGATACAAATATAAATACACTGTGCTCCACGACGTAGGGCATGTAAGATTCCAAAAACTACTGAGTACTGCAAACACTCTCTATTCTATTTTTTTGTTTGTTTGTTTCAGCTAAAAGTTCACTTCTTCTGATTTCTACAGCACTTTTCATCTTCCCATATTTAGTCATTTACCAAAATGGCCCACAGCCTTTGTTCCTGAAAGGGTGTGTATATGGTTATGTCTTTCGGTCTGTCTATCTTATCTCTTTAAGAAGATTGCCAGCTTTTGGACAGTAGAAGAATATATATTAGATTCCTTGTATATCCCTTTCAGCTTCTAGAATGCACTTAACCATAGCACTCGACAAACATGTATTAGATAAATGAGGTTTACAGTCCCAGATACAAAACTTCCCTATGCTCTGTATCAATTACACAGCTTAGGAAGACACAGGTGTGGAATAATTTATCTAGGGTTTGGGTGTTTTTGTTTGTTTCCAGTTGGTCTGTGACTATACATAGATTCAATCATAATGAAGCTGACAAAGAAGAGATGACATTTTGGAAAACGAAAAGGAATTTTGGATATTACAGCTCAACATTTGTCACCTCCCTGGCTGATAGCAGTGCACGTTCTTTCCCTTTGGCTAAATTTGGATCCAACGCCGGCTAAGTGCACTAAGCAAGCCAGAACTACATTGTACCTCTATTTTGTGACATATGAGCTCCCTGCTTTAATCTCCCCTCTACTGTATAAAAGAGGATCTGAGGCTGTTAGACTTCAATCCGGTGATTCATGCAGCTGGCACACAATAGATTCCACCTCTCTTCTCACTGCTGCACAATATCAAGCTAAACAAAATGTCTTAGAAAGCTTTGGTTCATGTAGTCAGCCTGTCACAGATCCCTCCCCCCACCCCCAATGCCACCCCCACCCCCCACACACCCCTTTTTTTCTTCTACTAAGCAAAAGAGTCCGAATGCCCAGCACCTGCCTTTTTACTGACATTTCCACAAAGGTAAAGGAATGAACCTTTTGTCAATTCCTACCAAACGATCTGTTTTGAAACAATGAGATGAAAAGCCTGGGCCCCTCTCCTTGCTACTGGATTACAGTGCAGAGGATTAAAATAAAGGACATTTGATTTTATTGATTTAATGAGGGATGGAGGCTTTTGCTGGAGCATCCCTCGTGGCAAAGGAACAAGTCTTGTTGGCAGGTACCTCCACTGAGGCACTTCTTCTACATTTGTTTGGTTTTTCAGTGGTGCTTGTTTATGGGTTTGGCTGTTAGAATGACCCACAGTGTTCCTTGCCATGCTGCATGAAGCAGTCAAATGCCTGCAGTGATTTCAGTGTGTGTCTCCAGACAGGGAGAAAGCAGGAGAGACGCGGATGGGAGGATACACAGTTCTGCAGGATAAAGAGCTGCTGGAAGAGGTGACAGGGAAAGCATTTCTTTGAAAAAAGAAGGAGAGTCAAAGAAAGCAGACTGGAAAAGAAATAGTACTTCTACCGGCAAAAAAGATCATCTGCAGAGCCTATTATTTCTCAGCTGCATCTACTTCAGCTAGGTTTTTAAAATCCCCTTTCTGTCCACACCATTCTGTTCCCATGCCCATCCTTGCCCCCTCCCCTTCCATTACCCAAGTTTGAATATTGAGAAAACTAAGGGGGTTCAGACACCATGTTTGCTGTGGATGGGGCTGGGCACAGCTAGATAATCTTTTTGCTTTTGTTCTCTTCTTTGGGGCTTCTTGTGATACTATTATTGACATTTTCATATGGTAATTTTTGCATTATATGTTTCTTCTTTTATATTTGCCCTATTTTTTTCCATACAGCCTGACTTCATTGTCTACTGAGCCGTGTGAAAGGGACATTGCCAGTCACCTGCTGACCAAATCTAAGCAGTGATCTACTTTTAATACCGAAATGTACTGCATGTTTCTTAATAGACATGTGTACACTCAGGATTCCTATTAATATGAGCATATGTCCCTATACACTGTGTACATTTATTGAAATGTATTTATGCAGTCCACCCATAGATTAAACACCCCCAATTCCCTCTGGTGATACTGTCTCTCTGACTGCTAGCTTAAAGAGAAACAGTTCCTAAGAGCATATGGTTTCCAAAACACAGCCCTTCCCCCGCCCTTTTAGTGTACACAAAATGAGCGGCCACCCCTCCCCCACAGCGTCTCTGCTCTCTGCTGCAAGAGCCTGAAACCAGGGGGCAAAATCATTAGTTCCCAATTACCTTAAGACATGCAAGATAACCTCTCTCAAGGGCTGTTGGTAAAATATGCACACAGTTGCCCTGTCTAGACAGTTATGAAATATAGGTGTAGGGCTCGGCCATTGCAGAACACCAATGCATCTCAAATGAAGTGCTTTTATTAAAGAAGTATAATCACCAGGATAACTAATTACATCAATGCCACATAGTTAATTAAACCCATTATAGTTACTATTCCCATGGAGAGAAGGTCAAATGAAGCGACCATCTTTTTGATTCTACTATGCTAACAAAAAAAGAAATTAAGTAAAACATAACACAGACCTCTTCATTTTGTGTCTGTTTTTTAACATTTAATAACTACCTAGGGTGTCATCCAAGATCTTCAAGTATAATCCATAGCCAAAGACTGCCAGGCTGTTCAAAAGACCACCTTGTAACTTACCTGAACTTCCATTAAATGATTACCAACTGTTTGCTTGATTGGTGCAAGAAGTAATGACAAGTAAAACTGAAAGGCAGAATGAGCAGCCACTGTGTTTTTATTAATATCTTACAGAGAAACATGATGGAAGGTAGTGCTTATGTTTCAGTCTACTCTGGCTTCATGGCTAATAAGGGGGAGGTAGCCCCGTGTACCCCTCTAGGCCCTACCAGGGACTGTGAGAGTGACCCGCTAAGGTTAGGTATTAAAGCTCATTAACCAGCCGAAGACACACAGATTGCATATCCTGCGGTTTCAGCAACAACAAAATCTTGCTCTGACACCCAAGTATAAAGGATAATTCAGATATAAACATGGAAAAGGAGAGAATTCAAGAACTCTATTGCATAATGACATTGTCTTCCAGAGGAAGAATGTGGACACACACACACACACATCTCTCAAATATTAATCTTTAGAAAATAAATCAAGAAATTTTGATCCTCCTTGTCTGAAAATTCACCAGGTCATTATATCACTGTCACACCTTCTTCTCAAAGCAGTTCATTGTACAGAGAGAGGATTTGCATTCACTTCTCCTGATTAACAAAGAAAACTTTGTATAAAAGGGCTATGCACTGAGACGTGCAAATGTGGCCAGTCTGACCCCCTGCAGGAGAAGGCAGACAAGCAGTAGGGAGAAGAGGTAGATGAGGAACGAGAAAGAATGCTTTGATCCCAGTACAGCACACACAATGTAGCAGGCGGCACACTCCCAGCAAGCTCTGACCCTAAGCAGGCTGAAGTTTGGCATGGAGTCAAAGAGTGGAAAGCAATATAATGAGTATAGTTTCGTGCAGTCGTGAACAACAGAAGGCTGCAAAATCACTGTTCTTGCTGGGTTTGTTGTGACGGTGGTTGTTGTGATTGTTGCTCATATTATTATTGTTATTGTCACTATTTTCCAACTCAGGAAACTATAATATTGCTTCAATTGCAAGATAAGCCTAATTATTTTAATATAGACTGTAAGCAAAAGGCAGCACACACACACACAAAAATCACATAGGCCCCATGAAAAACAAAGGATCAGGTGTTAAATCCTTTATTTGTCCAGTGGTTTAAGCTGAGGTATGAAGCATTTAGTTTAGATGTAAAGAGATCTTTTCTTTACCATCCATAACCCTCACCTCCACCCCAAAAGCTGCTTCTCAGACTTCTTTGTTCTTCTCATGGAGCCATCATGCTACCAGTCACCCAGACAGAAACACCAGGGGAAGGTGTCATTTTTTTTAACTTTGTCTCCTTTTCCCCTTTCGTCAAATCAGTGGCCAAGTCTGGGAAAGTCCTCGCCGTCATCCACTTCCCTCCAAACCCTTTTCCATTACCACCCGCCTCTGATCTCCTGTCTCTGTCCTTCCTGCTTCCAGTTACCCTCCCCTTTCAATCCCTGTTACTCAACCCACCCAAGACATCTTTCTTTCTAAAGTATTGTCCCCATCTGGTTGCTCTTTGCCTCGAAAATACGCATTGATTCCCCAGAATTGCCCTATAGAGTAATTTGCAAATTCCTCACTTTGGCATTGAGGTTGTCTCCACTCTGCCTCTGCTATGTGTGCAGGTTTACCTCGCAGGGCTTCCCTAGCTGGGACCTGAGCTCCCATTCTGATCATGTCGCGCACTCCAGTGACTCCAGACCTCCGCTTCTTACATGCACTTCACTGCCAGTCCTTCCCTCCCTCACCAGGTCGTTCTTGAACTCCCACACATCCTTTGATGTTCACCTTTTATATATCTGTTTTTAGAGACAAGATCTTGCTCTGTCACCCAGGCTGAAGTGCAGTGGCACAATCATAGCTCACTGCAACCTTGAACTCCTGGCCTCAAGCGATCCTCCCACCTCAGCCTCCCAAGATGCTGGGACTACAGGCATGAGCTACGGTGCCCTGCTCAATGTCATCTTAATGCCTTCTACCAGGAAGCCTTTTCTGATGTGCCTAAGCTACAGATACTTTATCACTTTGATTTTCCAGGACATGTTTTTTACATGTACTTTATGACCAGTATCATAATATGCCTATAATAATCAAAAGTATTGATCATATTATTTCTTCAGATTTTAAACTGTAAAAATGCAAAAATTATATCTTCCTGATCTTTGTATGAGGTTAATTAAATATCCATCTACTGGGATCAAATTAAAAGGTTATTTTACAAAATTATGGAGTCTTAAATATAGGGTAATTATCCATCTACTTGGAAAAGTTTTGTACTATCATAGTTCAAGTGAGTGAAAGAAATGAACATTCTCAGACACTTCTGTCTCCATTGTTGTGTGATCTAAAGAAAGTGAGCTTCATTCTTATAGCTGATTTATAAGAGAAGTAGTGTGGACAAACCAACCCTATAAATTATCCAAAAAGTATTCTGACCCAATAAAGTGTGTTATAATTTGAAAATATTTGTTGATAAGTTATGTTATTATAAATTTTGTGATTTATACCTTGATGCCCAAGCAGGCACAAATACCCACCTTATAACTATAGAATGGTTAATGTTACTCACCTGCCCTGATCTGTGCCTTTGCAATGTTCATGGTGGACTAGATTTGACAACCTAAAATTATTTTACTTAACTTTCACAGACCAAGGCAATTGACTGGGTATACAGTAATCACCCCACCCCGAACCCTTATCCGCATTTTGCTTTTCATGGTTTTCAGTTACCTAAAGTACAAGAAGATATTTTGAGAGACAGAGACCACATTCACATAACTTTTATTAGAATATATTGTTATAATTGTTGTTTTATTATTACTTATTGTTGTTAATCTCTTACTATGCCTAATTTATAAATTATCATCATAGGTATATATGTATAAGAAAAAACACGCCTGGCACGGTGGCTCACACCTGTAATCCCAGCACTTTGGGAGGCCGAGGCAGGTGGATCACCTGAGGTCAGGAGTTCAAGACCAGCCTGGCCAACATGGTGAAACCCCATCTCTACTAAAAATACAAAAAAATTAGCCAGGTGTGGTGGCATGCACCTGTAATCCCAGCTGCTTGGGAGGCTAAGGCAGGAGAATTGCTTGAACCCAAAAGGCAGAGGTTGCAGTGAGCTGAGATCATGCCACTGCACTCTAGCCTCTAGCCTGGGCGACAGAGCAAAGCCCTGTCTCAAAAAAAAAAAAAAAAAAAAGAAAAAAAGAAAAAACAGAGTGTATACTATCCAAATACTCAGGTATACACTGAGGGTGATAGGAAGTGTCTAATGAGGATAAGGATGGGACTAATGTATTAATTATGTGAAGGGCTGAATAGTAGAGGAAAGATAGAAAGATGCGTTAGGACTCAAAAGATCTGAGTTCTAGTCCTGGTTCTGCAAACTCACAGGTTGGATGAATTACTTAATATCTAAATTAATATCTAAAGGGCTCCCCCATGAACACACACACACACATACAAAGTCATACTGCTGGACTTTCTGAATTTTAAAGAGAAAATAGAAGAATAGCCTTAAATGTCTTAAAGTAACCAAATTGAAACTATGATTTAAGTATGATTATTCACAACTTTAAGCTGTATAAAATTGTAATTATTTGGGAGAAGAATATTAATTTTCTACTCATTTGATGTTATAATGCAGTATGAATAATTCAAATAAAGTAGACAAAATAAAATTAGAAAGACAGAACCACAATACAAACTTGGAATAATACAAAACAAAACAAAACAAAACACACAATATAAAATGCAATAAAACTCAGAACAATAACCAAGTCACCACTACCACTTGTATAAAACTACAGAGGCACATGGAGTAATGACAAAATAAACCAGGGCTACCATTCTGGGTGATACATAATTATAGTAACGCAAATGCAAGCAATTCTGAGCCAACATGAAAAATCATTGTTTCTCAATATTTTTGTGCCTATGGAAAATTTTTGTTTTAGTGCTTAAGAAAAGCAGTTTTGGGGCTGAAGTTTATTTCAGTTTATTTTATTCTTTAAAAACGGACTTTTATTCCCATTGAATAAACAGGGTATAAACTACTAAAATACAATAAACTCCAAGTCAAGAAGCTTAGAGGTTTGACTCTGTCTCAGGTTGAAATGAGCCCTGGCTAGTTCATGGTTTACCAGTAAACTCTTCTTCATGGATATAGAGTGTGAACTGCTATAACACCATCTTCATTCAAAAAGACTAACCAGAAAGAAAAAAATATATAGAATTTATGCTCTATGTTGAAGGAACAAGGAAAAAAAAAGAAGGTAGAAGAAAGGGAAGGAGAGGGAGAAGGAAGGAGGGAGGGGAGAGAAAAAGAGAAAGGAAGGAAAGAGACAGAGAAGAGAAGAAGAAAAGATAGACCAAAAAAAAAATTTTTTTTTGAAATGGAGTCTAGCCCTGTCGCCCAGGATGGAGTGCAGTGACGCCATCTCTGCTCACTGCAAGCTCCGCCTCCCGGGTTCACGCCATTCTCCTGCCTCAGCCTCCAGAGTAGCTGGGACTACAGGCTCCCACCACCACGCCCAGCTGATTTTTTGTATTTTTAGTAGAGACGGGGTTTCACTGTGTTAGCCAGGATGGTCTCGATCTCCTGACCTCATGATCCGCCCGCCTCGACCTCCCAGAGTGCTGGGATTACAGGCATGAGCCACGGCACTCGGCCAACAAAAGAAAATTTTTGGAAGAAAGATGAGGAGTTAACAAGCCTGGAGAACTTAAGTGATTTCCCTAATTTCTTTCAGAATCTTGACAAACTTTTTCTCTTCCATACCTGAGTTCTTGGCATCTTACTTTTATTATAGCTTCACTAGGGACGTGATTGTACAAGGATGAGGCATGATCATGAATAAAACGAAGTTGGAACCCTAAGCCTAATAGTAATGAAAGGTTTCCTGTAAATGTCCGAACAAATGTACCGGGTCTGTGCAGGAATACACCAATGATGTTTCAATATACTTAAGGCATCAATACTACAGACACATACCCGTTTCCCTGCCTAAGATGTTCCACTGGTTTTCCATTTTTTACAAGAAACATGATCCATAAGGCTGTCCAAAAACCACTTAGCCCTACAAAATCTTCTACAACAGCACACAAAATATTCTGACGAAATACCAAAAGACATAGTTTCCTGTGTGTGTTCACCGGAGAACGGAGGAGAAAAGATCATTTCAAGTAAAGGATGCAGTGTTGACTGAGAGGTGTCGGAGGGTGTGACCTGCTCTCTGCGAAGTCTCCCCTGACCTCCCGGAAGAGTGAACACTCTCTCCACCAGAAAACCTCTGACCCATAGCTTTCTTATCTTACGGCGCTTATCTAACAATCTTAGATCTCTCATTTATGTAGGTGCCTTCTCTACTGAACTGGAATCATTTCTGAAATAAGAAACTCTTGTTAACAATGTGTCTGATACATGTTCATAATAATAGTTAAAACATGCATCAGGAATTCAGAATAATTCTGCTATTGCGAAGATTGTACTGAGCTACAAAAATAATTCCTTCCATTTGTAAAACATTCATTGCTTAAGAGGCACATTCACAAATCTTATATTTTACCATTAGATCTGTCAAGATATTTTTAACTTCAACTTCAGGTTAAGAAAAGTGTTAATAGACTAGATTAACTAATGTGATTAACTAATTAGATTAACTAGTTGAGAGTTTCATAAAAGTGAATTAACTTCTCTAGGCCTCAGCTTTTCTACTTATAAAACAAAAATATTTCATGTGAGTCTCTTTGAAGTCCCTCTAGCTCTATAGCAAGCAGCCAAATGGAAAAGTATAAGCAGCCAAAATTGCCATTGTTGTATTAATAAAATGAAATAAGGATCAGATAAACTCACAGAATGAGAACTGTCATCATCTGTAGGAGTTGTTGGCTCTTTCTGCAAATCCTACGGATGACAACAAGAACGAAAAACTGTTAGAGAGTTTAGAGAGGAAAGAGGAACCACGAAGAAGGACCAAGTAGTTGCAAAGGACACCAAAAATAAAAAATAAAATAAAATAAAAATTGAGAATGAATAAGCTTAATTTATACTGCCTAGGAATCTCTCTTTTATTTTATTTTATTTTATTTTATTTTTTCTGGAGACAGAGTTTCACCCTGTCACCCAGGCTGGAGTGTAGTGGCATGATCTCAGCTCACTGCAGTCTCTACCTCCCGGGTTCAAGCAATTCTCCTGCCTCAGCCTCCCAGGTAGCTGGGATTACAGGCATGCGCCACCACGCCCGGCTAATTTTTGTATTTTTACTAGAGACGGGGTTTTGCTGTGTTGGCCAGGCTGGTTTTGAACTCCTGACATCAAGTGATCCGTCCACCTCTGCCTCCCGAAGTGCTGGGATTACAGGCGTGAGCCACGGCACCAGGCCTAGGAATGCTTTTTCACAAAAAACACACAGGACACTTTTTTTTTTTTTTAATTATACTTTAAGTTCTACGGTACACGTGCGCAACGTGCAGGTTTGTTACATATGTATACATGTGCCATGTTGGTGTGTTGCACCCATTAACTCATCATTTACATTAGGTATATCTCCTAATGCCATCCCTCCCCCCTCCACCCAACCCACGACAGGCCCCAGTGTGTGATGTTCCCTGCCTGTGTCCAAGTGTTCTCATTGTTCAATTCCCACCTATGAGTGAGAACATGAGGTGTTTGGTTTTTTGTCCTTGTGATACTTTGCTGAGAATGATGGTTTCCAGCTTCAACCATGTCCCTACAAAGGACATGAACTCATCCTTTTTATTGCTGCATAGTATTCCATGGTGTATATGTGCCACATTTTCTTAATCCAGTCTATCATTGATGGACATTTGGGTTGGTTCCAAGTCTTTGCTATTGTGAATAGTGCCGCAATAAACATATGTGTGCATGTGTCTTTATAGCGGCATGATTTATAATCCTTTGGGTATACACCCAGCAATGGGATGGCTGGGTAAAATGGTATTTCTAGTTCTAGATCCTTGAGGAATTGCCACACTGTCTTCCACAATGGTTGAACTAGTTTACAGTCCCACCAACAGTGTAAAAGTGTTCCTGTTTCTCCACATCCTCTTCAGCACCTGTTGTTTCCTGACTTTTTAATGATTGCCATTCTAACTGGTGTGAGATGGTATCTCATTGTGGTTTTGATTTGCATTTCTCTGATGGCCAGTGATGATGAGCATTTTTTCATGTGTCTGTTGGCTGCATAAATGTCTTCTTTTGAGAAGTGTCTGTTCATATCCTTTGCCCACTTTTTGATGGGGTTGTTTGTTTTTTTCTTGTAAATTTGTTTGAGTTCTTTGTAGGTTTTGGATATTAGCCCTTTGTCAGATGAGCACATTGCAAAAATTTTCTCCCATTCTGTAGGTTGCCTATTCACTCTGATGGTAGTTTCTTTTGCTGTGCAGAAGCTCTTTCATTTAATTAGATCCCATTTGTCAATTTTGGCTTTTGTTGCCATTGCTTTTGGTATTTCAGACATGAAGTCCTTGCCCCTGCCTATGTACACAGTACACTTTTTTATTCAAGCACATGGAATGTAAAAAAATAATCTATCATGCAATAAGCCACAAAAAAAGCTTCAATACTCCCCCTAAAATCAGTATCATATAGACTTTTAGCTCTGATCACAACACAATAAAATCAGAAATCAAAACTAAGGGATTGCTTTAGTAATTCCATGATCCATGTTGCTGGAAACAATAAAACATATTATTAAAAAAATGAGGGTTTTTTTTGGTTAAAGAGAAAGACATAAGAAAAACTGTGAAATATTTACAGTTTAATAACAATGAAAGCTTAAAGGTCAAATTTTGGAAGTAAATTAGTACTAATGAAATTTTTAGTTTTAGAGACATTTATCAGAAACTGAGATTTACATAAATAAGTTAAGTGATTGATTACTCAAAGCACCAATAAAACACTAACCAAGTAAACCAAAGAAACAAGAAGAAAATAATAAAAGATAATAGAGGGATTTCCAGTTAAAAATGGGGGATTAGATGTGTGCCTTTGAATTCACCCCCCACAGAAACCCCATAAAACAATGGTAAAAGGATCTTTTAAAGCACAAACTTATAAGGACAAAGAGAAGAGAGTATGGGAGAATAACAATAAAACTTCAGAAGATGAAAAAAAAGAATGAGTATTAAATGACTTCATGAACTAAGAAAGTAAATCCTAAACTGGCAGCAGAAATCTGAGAAACTATTCTAACTCTTTGGCAAAACCTTCCCAAGGTCCAGATAGTTTTAGCACCATATGGCTCTGAAAGTGGGGATAAGGTGAAACCAAACAAAACCAAAGAGGAGTGGTTAAAACTGTTTATGAAATCTAGCTCCAGATACCCTCCTCCAGTCTGTGTCATTTCTACTCCACACAACAAAAGAACTGGAAGCTTATTCTCCAGACATAGGAAAACAGAGACTCTCTGACATGGGGGACATCAAGCCTAGTGGAAAAAAGAAATGGCATAGTCAGGATAGGGGGATTAAGTGAAAGTTTACATACTGAACTTTGAGATCCCTCAGTTACCAGAGTGCTAATAGCTAGCTTCATGCTATCTAGGCTGGAGATCAGAAGATCATTATCTGGCAATACTGATAAACCAGAGAGGGGAGGCCTGAAGATAATGGCATTACAGGCTCTGAGCAGCCTAGCCAGTAAAGGCCATAGGGGAGCCCACAGTTGGCAAGTCCCAACCATGAGCACAGAGCTTCTAATTCACTTTTCAAACCTCCACTCTAAAATATGATCAGGTACTGGGAATAGAAAATATAAGAAGCAAGCTGGAGGAAAAGAGATAAAACTATGATTAATATTTTTGGAGAGATGAAAGAAAATATTACATCCATGAATCAAAAACAAGATGCTGTTACAAAGGAACAATCAGAAAACATGATAAAGACCTTGGATATTAAACTTACAATAGTTAACATTAAAAATGCAATGGAAGATCTTAAATATACTGTTGAGAAAATGGAAAGGACAAAGAGCAAACAGACAAAGGGATGGAGAATAGGAGAGAAAGTATTTTGAAATTAGAAGATTAATTGCTAAAAATCAGCTAAATTTATTTCAACAACTGCAAAGACCCATAAATATCTAAAACAATATTGGCAAGGAAAGCAAAATCATTGCACCTCGTGATAACTAGGCAGCAGCCTATGCTCCTGGAAAAGCGTACAGAACCCGGGTACAGCGCCATGTTTGTAGGAACTAGCTATTTGATATAGGTGGCACCACTAATTTAGTCAGAAAAGGAAATATACAAATATTGTATATTTTTCAATTTTTGAAAATTATAATTAATAGGAAATGGGAATTGGGAAGACATGTTAATTTGAATCATATGAAATTGTTGATATTTGACTGTTTTGACCTACATAATGTCTGTTTCATGAAGTTCAAATTAACGCATGAAACGATTAATGTTTGCAGATGAAAAAAGGAGAATAGATGCAGAAATGGATTAAGGTATATGATTAAACAAAAGAAAAGTCTTTTGTGGATGTACAATAAGCTCTGAACTGGGAAGGAGAATAATTCAGTTCGATGCACCAATAGGTGACAATGATGCAAGGTTTGCAGACAGGCTTACAAAGTCATAACAGATGGAAAAATTACCACAATGGAGCTCAAAGTTGTTATGTTAAGAAAATCAGCAAAAATCTAAAAGAAAGAAGACAGGCGAGATAAGTTATGAGAAAGCTGTCTTGGAAGAGAAAGAAATATTTAAAAGATGAATACTTATAGCTATGAGAAAGTGTAAAATTAGGTTCAGAGAACAAAAAAAAATATCAAAGCACAAGACTTTGAGGACACAATGAAAGTTAAAACCATTTTTAATAATTCTTTGGGATATTCCCAAAACAGAAGAAAAAGACAGACTGCCATCCTTTCCTCAAAGAAATAGTGCTAACAGTGAAAGTGAGGCACATGTCCAACACTTTTTTACACCTCCTACCACCACTGCCATTATACTCATCATCGTGTCAGACACATACTAAGTTCACAAAATGTGGTTAATGGAACCTAGTGGGAGGGGTGATCTTAAATGATTTAATTTTTCCCCTTGAAAGGGATTTTCCTTTGGATCGCACAGTTTCTTAAACTCCAGATTTAGAAAAAGACACAGGCTTCACATATTTTTCTGGATAAGGGTCATTATTCTTGCCCTCTTCAATAGACACTTGCAACAGTGAGAATAAAGCCCATAAATTATATATATTAGACTTGACCATGACGTGATACATCTTCTACTTATAATTTAGGTGATCTTATATAATGTGCTAGACAGTATTGTTATCATTATTTACAGAACCTTGAATGCAGCAGCAATCATCAATCTAAATGCCTGTGCATTGTTTTTAAGGGAGAAGCACAGTGATCTATTAATATTTCAGGTTAATGCACATTGAGTGGGATGGAGGGTTTAAACCAGGAGATAGAAATAGAGATTTCTCTGCAGCTTCAACAGCTATCTCCTGAGCACTTTTCTACTCCCCACCCTTCCTTGGGCCACTCTTTGGTGATCCAGTAAGCTAACTTCCTCAAATATCCATTCACAGTTAATCCTTTGAAATTGTCATGAATGAAGTAAAAGGTGTAGTAAATTACTGAAGACATTAATTTTGCAAGCAGCATAAAATGTTTGCCCATCATCTCGCAAATAAAGACTAAATAGTTGTTCTTGACATTATCCACACCTAAACTTAACTTCTTTTTCTGTTTCAATAGGTTTTAATATTTAACTTGCTCAAATTATGACTTGTTGATATAAATAAGAAATTTGTTTACTCTCCCCAACTGAAAGAGGAAGGCCAAATACTCAGTTATGTTCTATAGTAGGAATCTATGAATCATAGCATAATAATTGAGGCAAATGTCTTCCATCAATCTCATAGTTGCTGACCATTTGCAGCACGAGACCGAAATGAAAAAACTAGGTCCTAGCAGCTCTCTGAGTCATCTTAGTGGGTAAACAGGGTTATCTTGATTGAACTCACAGAGTATCTGACCTACCCAAATGTTAACATGTGTTGAAAACCACTCTCCAGCCATGACAGAAAATGCAGGTGCTTCATAAAACCTGTTGACTGAATCAAATGAGTCTACCAATTGATATTATTTACACCTATTTTGCTCTCCTTAACCGCACAGACTCTTCCACGCCCTTCCTAATCTTTCAGATAAATAATGATGCCCCAAAATAATGTGAATTCTCTAAATATCTGCCATAAACATATTACCTAAAATACAAATGAATTTATGGTTTCTTATTACTTGGGGATTTTCCTGTGCCATTTCTTCTTACATTTGTACAGGTTTTCTTTTCTGCATACAAATGAAATAATTAGGTTCTAGATCTACATCTTTGCAAATTACAAAATGGTTTTCTAGCTGCTTTCAGAGCAATAAAAACAAGTTAGGGAACAAGGATTTAATAAGTAGAAAAAAATTAAATATATTTTTTAAAGGTTTTCAATTAAGCTGTCATTAATGAATGAGTCTTTAAGATACGATTTATGAGGTGAATACACACACACACACACACACACACACAAATGCAGGATTTGCTAATTACTAGCTGTATGATCCTTATCCTTGGCAGTATACTTAATCTCTCTAAACCTTAGTTTCCTGGTTTATAAAATAAAGATAATAACAATTATTTTATGAAGTTGTAGTGAAGTTTAAACAAAAGAATGGACATAAAGGTAATTTTTCATTTTAAAGTCCCATATAAATGAAATTAGTGCTTGTATGCACTACCTACTCTGGGCCAAAGGCTAATCTTTCAGTTTGGAGAGAATATAAGAGGAATATAAGGCATATTCTCTTTCCACAACAAACTTAATATCCATTTGGGGAAGAGGAAATAATTAGAAAAAGAGTTGAGATTGCAGAAAACTAAGTTGTGTGACCCAGGTTATGTGTGCAGTAACAATTCTAAGAAGGAAGAGTTTAAAATGGGCTGGAAATTATGACCATTTTCTTTCCAAATGGAACAGGCTAAGCTTTGCCTGAACAAAGAAGCAAAGATATCTAACAGCTGCTTGCCACTCTCTGTTGCTTAAAATATCAGAGGAGTATGAGGTTTAGGCAGCTCTGAGTCATCTTCCTCCTAACTTGGTATTTATTCAGGACATAGCTCTAACCCTGATGACAACAGCATTCCTGACCTATGAGCTGCTCAAAATGCTAAGATGGTCCTGAAGGTGAAATAGACACCTTCTCCCCGTGCGGTCAGCTGCCATTCCCACTTGTGCTTCTGCAGCCTCCTCATTTTGTCACAGTGTTTTTCTAAATGAAAGAGGTCTGGACAGCTGAAGAAGAGGAACTGAAGCCAAATGAGAAATATCCTAGATTCTCTTCTTATGACAATGCTCAAGACTCACAGCTGAGGCAATTGTAGAAAGAACTGGAGCTTGGGCTTAGACCATGTGACTTTGGAAGCTTGTATATCATGAATGAAGCCCAATAAATTCAATTCAGTTGTTCAAACTCTATGCAGGCCTATTTTGATCAAAGTCCTGTAACTGTTAGATATGCAAAACTTATTAAGGGAGAATAATGAAAGATATGGAGGGATAAGACAATTTAACATATATTTTATGTGTTCTCATCTCATCCAGTGGTATCTGTAAATGGGCTCTGTAATCAATATTTTTGCAGATGAGGAGGATGAGGCCCAGATGGGTTGGATAACTTGTCCAAGGTCACACAATTTATAAGCTGCAGAGGGAAAATCCAGTCCCACAAAATCCTGGCTCTAAAGCCTGTGCTCTTTACACTTACATTGTCAGAGGGAGAAATACAAACACACAGAGAAGCATTTTTTTAAGAGGAGGGCTCAGGGAACAGAATATTTTCACAATTCTAGATGATGGGGTATTTTCGCAATAGGTGAACTGTGGAGGAGTAGGCTGGAAGGAGGTTGAGGCCATATGATGGAGAACTATGCTAAAGATCACCACTTTAGACTCAATTATGTAAACACTGAGGAGTCACCAGTGACTGACCAAGTATGAGGGAGTTCTGGGTATGGACAATGAGGGGGTACCCTGTCTATAAAAAATTTTAAAGCTATAATAAAACCCAGTCATTCTGATTCTAATCATCACTTCCTGCCGACATTTCTAAACAATGAAGTGATAAAATACTCCTCCTCAAAAAAAAAAAAAAATCATTTCTGGTCTTAGTTTTAAACAATTGCTGCCATTACCATTGAGTTTTAATAATACATTGTGTGGTTTGAATTAGCACATTTTTATTATTTGTCCTTTATTAAATATTGTGTTCAACATAAAAGTTAACTCAGCAAATTCCCAGTTAAACAATTGTTCCCCAAACGTACCCCACTCAGCTACAATCATTCAGGATAAATTGGGAAACCTTGGCAATTGCCTTGGGCAGACATAGCTGCAATTCTAAGTCAAAGAAACAGAACTTGAGTTATTATGGGATCACTTGGAGTTTCCTATTTTCGTTTAAATGCAAAATGCAAGTATAACATTTTTTATTTGATAAGTGCAAATTTTAGTTCATATATAAAATATCCCAAATTTGCACAATCTTTAGAATCAAAATCACTTCTTTTCATTTGTTTTAAAACAGAAGATTTAAAAATTATATTGATTGCTAATTACTACATGAAAATAATTGCATCACAAAGTGAGGGGTGTTATAAAAATGATCCAGCCAAGGTGTCAAAAATGCTAGGAATGCCACTGGAAGTCACTGAATGTTTTTGATGGCAGGGGTCACGAAAGAATGGTTAAGGTGAATCATAAAAGGCATCATCATTATACCAATCTATGTTATGTATATGTCTAGTTACCAATATGTTTTCCTAGAGAAGGAAAAAATGTGGAGTTTAAGTTGTCAAAAGCAATAAAAAGTATTAAGTGGTGGAGAGTATTCTGGCATGGCTCCTTTAAGCTGCTGCATTTTCATGGTAGAATATCAATCCTACCCGCAGCCGGTCTATCCTTGAAAGCAGACAGTTCTCATTTTAAACTGCCAGCAGAGAACACTACCACTTCAGGGAGTCAGTAGGGAATGATGCAATTTGGAAATTTTTGTCACCCAATATGTTGGGAAATGACAGTTGAGAAAATCATTATTTAGGTTTTTTTGTTAAGGACACATGGTTGTCATAACCTGTATTGTTGTTTACAATATTCAGTGCACTTCCCTATGGGAGGATTGCACATCCCTTTCTATAGAAGACTGGCCTGGCCTGATGACTGATTTGCTTCAGTCAGCAGACGTGATGACTGTTCTGGGCCAAAGTTTTAAGAGCTACTACGTGGTTTGCTGTGTCCTTTCCCCAAGTCTCTGTGATCATGAAAGCATGAAGCCTCTATTCACCAAGGGTTCCTTAATAACTTCAATGAGCAGAGTCCTTTTTTAACCCATTGTGAACGTGTTGCCTGAACAAAAATTAAATATTGTAGTTTTAAGCAACTGACATTTTCTGGCACAAACTAGCCCTACCTAATTGATAGAGTAGTCCTTCCATTTGGGCAGATACTCTCATATCTATTCCCAAATTTAGACGGACTAGAGGAAATTATTTCATAGAACTCCTGTATAAATATCAGTAGAATTGCTTTTACTGAACTACATTTGATGTGAAGATTGTTCATACTGAAAGACACTGTAAACACACCTCATGAAACTCAAGCTGGTCCACGCTTAAGAATTGTCATGAATGAGAGGCATTATGCAGTCATAACTTGATGAACATCCTCAAGAGGTCTTTGCCTGTATTTTGCATTAAGAGTCGTTACAGTTCTCCTGACCAGTGTGAACTATTTCTGTCACTTAAACACTATCTATTGTGTACCTGATCACGTACCTAATTTATTTCAGGTTAGTTGCCAGGAAGCTTAGGCCCAAATTTTTGGCAAGGGTGCAAGTGTTTGCAGGATCTGTTTTCAATTTAGTCTTAATTTTAACTCTATTTTATGAATCTCGTTTCGTGTTCCTTTTTTTAACAATTTTTAATGATATGTTGTATTTAATCTCATTAATCTTTTCAAATCCTTTAAAAAACAAGAGTGGATATAAATAAATTTTATAGAGAATATCATTGCCATGTGACTGACTCTTTCTAAACATGTAAATGTCCTCAATCTACATCATGTCACCAAAATTGCTCCTAAAAAATATCACAATTTAGTAGACGCTCCCTTAAACCTGAGCCCTGAATAGCTCATGGCCACGTCAAATTGAAGAGGTTGTCATTTGAGAAAAAAAGTTCTGCCAGCTGCGTTTGCTTTAATAGTTTCTGTTTGCTTGTTTGTTTCCAGAAAACCTTCAGGGTTCTAATTTTTTTATCTAATTAATATAATTCTTATACTTAATTGAGCTCCCCTTCCTACTGAGTAAAACTAAGCACTATTAAATCCCATAAAGGAATGGAAGACATATTCCTAGGCTTCTGAAACTTTTCATAGGCTAGCTGGGGAGTTCAGTAACTAAAGCAACAAACAAAAACAACTCAGAAGACACAAAATTTTTCCAGGCCAACTATGGACCCAGAGGCTGGGGAAACTTGGAATAAAGGGGTGGAATAAAGGGATGGTTAGTGAAAGAATAGGATTAATTGGAGGAGGCTTTCTGGAGGAGGTAAAAGTTGAGCCATGTCTATTCATCACTATTCCCTCAAAGCTTCCCTTATCACTTTCCTCCCCCTCCTCCCTTAAACATTAAAAAAAAAAAATCTAGCAATTAAAATGCCTGGCTCAGGGAGACTAAGAGCTCAGCCTTATCCCATCCCAAGGAGCTATCTGAAGTTGGGCCTCAGGACCCCTAAGGCTTCATGCTGGCTTAGGTGCAGATCTGCCATTTGTTGACAGACTCTTTCCCAGCACCGAGTATGTTGGGGTCACTGGGAAAGAGGAAACTTATGAATAAATTTGAAAAGGGGTCTGAAAATTTAGATGAATGCCAAAGGAGTCCTTTGTGAATAAAATTAAGCAGTCATTGCCACAGAGGACAAATGTTTTAACTGACTCTGGTCCACACAGCCTCCTAAGGTTTCCTCCAGGAGGCAGAGGCATGGGTCTGTACTAAATGGCTTAATTTTCTTAATCAACTATTTCATTGTGGGTTTTAAATTTTATTCCCATGCCTATTTTTTTCCATTTTGCCATAATACAGCTCTAAGTACCGTGGCAAACATTTGACAGTTTGCTCAGCAGGTGCTGGGCTCTGCAGAGCTTGCGTAGCTCTACCTTTTATTAATTGGGTTTCAAAATGTGTTCTTGTGTGAACAGAAGCTAAGATGGGACTATTGTACCTGTCAACAGGAAGCTGGGCAAAATAAAATATTTGGAATGTGTTTTAAAATAACTCATTGTGCGCTTGATCAGTAGAGACTTTAAAAGAGAAATATTCTTTAATGTTGAAATAAATAATCATACAATCAAAATTGCAATAAAATTAAAGAAATGATGGGGTTTCTTCAACGTTCTTCAGTATTTGATTACAATGAGAACATTCTCTTTGTGCCCAATAGATTATGCAATGATGAGATATTTCTTAAAAAGCATTTTAATAAAAAAATCTAGAGGCTTGGGGATGTAGTAACTACTTGGAAAACCAACAAATAGGCCTCTCTAAATACGTCTGGATGTTTCCAATTTAATTTTTTATCTCCATTTAAAAGTTTTTTTCCTTATCAAGAAAAGCTCTGGATCCAAAATTTCACATTCCAGCTTTAAAAAGCTCTGCCTAGCCTTGACCGTCTGAGGAATATATTTTTCTTTTGGTAAAGCAAAAGGATCTTTGTGATTCTTTTCCTTTTTTAATATGTGTGCTTCAAATGAAATGAACTTTAATGACATACATTCTAACACTCTCATTTAGGGCAGGGGATCACAGGGAGGTGAAGAGCGAGCAGTAAAAGTTGACGAAAAGCTCAGAAATGTGTCAGGCCCTCTCTTGTCATTATCATTGTCATTTCCATCATTAGCTCTACTCAGCTATAAAATAGTGAATGGTGTCTGTCTTCTCTTGAGGGACTGGGTAGGCAGTTCCCCTAAAAAGGGTTGTGTTCTGAAGTTTAAGTATGGTGAAAACAGAGATGAAGCCATAACAATCTTAAGGTGAAAGGCTGAAGAGATAAAGAAATCTTTATGTTTGTTTCCAATTAATAACATAAGGTATTGTTATTGTAAAAGTCTTGAAGAGTTGTGAAAATGAGGACGATGTAAAAAACAAAAAGCCCCTGAAATTCTACTCCAAGAAATGACCACTAATCAGTCTATTCCTTCGTGAACTTTCTTACATGCATCCTACACACACACACACACACCCCCCCTACACAAAGACACACATATACTTTTTTTAAAAATAAAGATGTAGTTACATTAAGCTGTGTGTCTCAGCTTGCTTTTGCATAATTGTCATTATAAACAAGGACAAGATTTGTGTTTGATGGATAAAACTGCCACATCCTTTTAATGTCTGCCCAATATTTCCCCAAAGGGATGGAAAATAATTTTTTAATCCAATTCTTATTGACAAACTTTCATGATGTTTCTAATATATCACTATTACAATCACTTGGGTGAATATTTCTGGAGAATAAATTTATAAAAACAGAACTATGGAGGGAGAAGTTTAAAACTTTGCTACATAGTTCCAAGTTACTGCCCAAAAAGTTGTAACAATTTATATCCCTGTCAGCAATATATGAGAAAGTACACTATTCCACATATTTTTAAGCTTTGCTAATCTGAAAGATAAAAATGTATCTAATTATTATTTAAATTTACATTTTTAGCTGCACTGAGGTAATTTATACATTTACTTGGAATTTTTCCAGTACTAAATCATCTCACCGAAGAATACAGCGCAGTTTTGTATTTATTAAGTCCTCCTTCATGATTGTCAGGAAAGTTATTTTATTTTTCTGGTAGACGTCTTGCAAAGAGCTTATTAAATTTTGATGTATTATATACTTTTATCACTGATGAACTGGGATTGTTAAAAATTATATTACCAAGTAATTTTGCAAATATAAACCTATTGACATTTAAATTTATTTTATATCTAGCCACTTTCCTGAATTCTATTAGTTTTAGTACTAAAAGTTTCAGTTAGTTTTTTGTTTTGTTCTTAGGTAGACTATAATAATGCTGCAGGTAATAAATTTTGCCTTTATTTTCCAATAAATACGATGTAATCATAATGGTCATCCTCGTCTAATTTTGGAATTCAGTGATAAACTGTCTAGTTTTTCACTGCTTATGATAGTGTTTTATTTTATCATCTGTTTTGGGCCTTAGACCACTTTGAGAATCTCAACAAATCTTTCTTTCAAAGCACATGTGCTGCACAAACAAGCAAAATTTTCATATATTTTTAGTTGATTCATACACCCCTTGAGACCGATGAACCCACTCACACAAAAACACACCACGGAACAGACTCAGCTGACATAACTAAAGTTGCTTCAACGGGACTGGCCAAAAAGAACATTTCCAAGTAGGTGAAGGGTGTCAACTTAATGCAGCAAGCATTTGTCCAGTTCTCTTTCATCAGGGGTTCTAGTTACCCAACAGAAGGGTTAGCTTTCCAGTGCAATTAAAAACAGACATTCTGCAAGGCAATGGCTGTAAACTCTCTTTGAATTACTCTCAGTCTATCCAGAAAGAGAGGCAGATAAGTAAACAGAGCAACATGAAAGTGATATTAAAGATGTGTGTGTTCTGGATGACAGCATACCTAGATACTGCCTTTCATCAACTGCAAGATGTTTAACAGAGAATGTGTCTTTTGGAGTGAGACTAAAAAAATGATATTGAAGACATAAAGACATTCAAAAAAAAAGCAAAGGTAGTTTGGGCTGATATATTTTTAGAATGATAGGTAGTCCCTTGAGCTTGGAACACAGAAAAAGTGCAAAGATTTTCGGTGCACTGTTGGAAATGACTTTGTTTTTATGGTATCCTCAGCCAAAATAACATAGTGTTACAAATCTTGCAAAATAAAGATTCCTCAGAAACCTCACACAAATTGCATAACTCTTCAACTATTTTGTTTCAGGGTAGGAACCTCATAGATATTCTCAGTCTTACCATTGACTTACCAATTTAATCCTTTTGTTCCTTTCTTATTTAACTGATCCAGAATATTATGGCCTGCTGAAAATGCCTGATAGCTCTCTTTGTCTGGTACCAATTTCAGAAACTTCTGGATGAATGCACAGTGGGAGTTGTTAGCAGTGGCTGGAAATTTAGTGTGAAAAAGCCAGGTTTGGGAGATTTACCAAGAAATATCAATAATCTACTTTACATCCATACATAGGAAAGTATATGTCTCTTGGGAATATTAACTCATCTTCTATTTACCGCAGTTAAGCTCCTTGGATGGTTTGTCCATGAACTGCATGCCTCTTTTCCCATTGTTTCTGTCAATTCATTCTCTTTCTTGTCTCAGTCCCTTCTATATTAAGATTTCCTCCATGCTTTTCCCCCATCTTCACTATTTCCAAGCAATCTTCAGAACTAGTCATCAGATCAGTTTGCACACCAAAAATCTTCCATATTTTGTTTGTCCTCCACTCTCAATTGAATCAGAATATGGAGGGTGGGGTGTGGCAGAGAGGGGTTTGTGGCAGACATCGGTACTTTTTAAAGGCTCCTCAAAAACGAATCTCATGAACAGCCACCACTGAGAATCACTGGAACCAACAGCATCCCTCATTAAATCCTCATTGTACCCCTCACTACTTAGTTCCCTCGTTCTGCCACCTGTTTCCAAATAGGCTTTGAGTCTCCCTTTTTCTAGTAAACAGTCAATAGCTGCATTCTGCTGTAGAAATGACCACTATTACACCAGATTTTCTTATATTATGAATGCCCATGAGTTTTCACAATTAAGATGCTGAAAGCATATGTGAAAAAGAAAAACATCTTCAATGGAAATATAGTTTCCCGTGTTTTTTTCCCCTCCTTTATCTCCCCAGTGTAAAATTACTGAGCTCTCTTTGTGCCTTGTCCATTCGTCATTTGTTACTTCACCCTAATTTATGAATTCATGTGATGGGCAACATATTTATATAGTATGATTACAATGGCACTGATACAGGAATTTTGATGCTCAAAGCATATTAAGAAAAGAAAAAAGTAACAATAATGATGAGGAATTCCTAAAAGAATTCCTCAGGTCTTTAGAAAATGATTATGTGTAAAATATTTCCTAAAGTATTCCATCTTATAACTGCTAAGATACTCTACTGTGAATGCAAAGCACATCTATTTGATTATTTTCTTTTCCTCGTGTCCTTAGTTGTATCTGTATCCTTTAAATCAGTGTTGCTTTAGTAAACTCTTTGTTAGTATTTGCCAAATTATCCTTGGATTCAGCTACCTTCCATTGTGTTATTATTGTAGTCATATCCTCAAAGTGTATTTGTAATACATTTTTCACAGATGATCCTAAAACAAGCTGTAATTAAGTATATAATTATAGCATATATAGTAGAAGGATTATTTTTTTTAAAAAATGCCAAGTAGCTTGTAAGGCCTCTGGAGAATTCTGAAATACACAAAACAAAAGCCATCATAAACTTGCTCCTTTTTTTTTTTTTCAAGACTGGCTCCTTTTAGTTCTGCTGTCTCCTGATTCCTCATTCACGAAGTGTCACACAGTAGATGATCACTGGATTCATGATACATGTGATGGCAGAGTCGATCTTTTTTTTTTTTTTTTTTCTGGATTGTGTTTTGCTCTTGCTGCCCAGGCTGGAGTACAATGGCATGATCTTAGCTCACCGCAACCTCTGCCTCCCGGGTTCAAGTGATTCTCCTGTCTCAGCCTCCCGACTAGCTGGGATTACAGGCATGTGCTAACACGCCTGGCTAATCTTTTGTATTTTTAGTAGAGATGGGGTTTCTCCAGGTTGGTTAGGCTGTCTCGAGCTCTTGACATCAGGTGATCTGCCTGCCTCGGCCTCCCAAAGTGCTGGAATTACAGGTGTGAGCCACTGCACCCGGCCTGAGTCAAACTTGTATGTGTTGACTTTATCAGGCTATATTTCTCTTACTACATTAATAATTTCATTGAATAAGTTCCAGTTAAGTGATAGTGCTTTAAGGGCAATACATTTCCCCAAACCAAAATGTCATATTTATACTTTAAAGTAATTTAAAACAATTAAATATTATAGTCAGTCAGAAACAATTTTTCTAATCTCAATTGATATCATGCCTACAAATAGCATAAATTTATTTCCATGCAAAAGCTCTTCAATCCTGTACTAAAAACAAAAACCTGAGCTCTATTTTTGGCTTAGCATTAATTTCCTGCTGTAAGTCTTCCAGTTTCCACGTTTATGAAACCAGCAAACTAGAGAAAAATAAACGGTTGTGTCCTTGAAGCCTAAGGACCTCAGGAATTAACGAGTTAATAATTTACACACTGCACATGTTCCTTAGGGGGAAATAGCCTTCATAACACACCACAAGTATAAAGTTAAAATAACTAAGGATGATAGAAGCAGTGAACTCCATTTATTGTGTGATGTGTATGGCATTTTGATTCTACAAATTCTGCCTTAACATATGGTAGCATTTAGCCAATACTCCTAATAATATTTATAAGTAGATTGAGAATTAGCTCACAAATACAATTCAGGAAGTTTATTCTGGTGATTTGTTTTTCATGTTCTGTGAAATGAATTGCATTAGAGGTCAGAGTAAGGGCCTTAAAGGGGCACTTCTTTAATATTTACAGTGAAGTTGATCTAGTTGAACATTGTAATGAGATACACACAACTGGCATCTCTTCTGGGAGTCAAATGCTGTCACTTTCTGCCCAGTTAGCCAAATTGTTGCATAATACGCAAAGATGGAAAAGGTCAGAGCAAATGGTCTCTGTGTTTACTGTTTTTCATTTTTAGCCACGGAAAAGAGGTAAACAAACTACTGTATGTGAGGACAAAGCAGGAATCGGAACCTAACTCCATAGCTGGCTAAATCTGTTCTCAGAGATCATTGCAACATGAATGCAATTCCTACCAAGTGTACTTAATTTGATCCTGCAAACCCTTAACCATTTTAGTGATTTGAAAAGAAGAGAAGAAAGAAAAATAACTGTTATCAGTCAAGCTGAAGGCAGTCAGCTCTCAAGGTTGATATCAACTCCCCAAATACATCACCAAATACCTTCATATCTCAATTTTCTCCTCCACAACTCACCTCTCATATTCCAGCTACCTCAGCCATCCACACACACACACACACACACACACACACACACACACACACAGTGAGAGAGAGAAGCAGATGGAACCACACAACTATCCCAACAACACTGGAGCAAATTAACAACTTAGAAAAGATGTACAAAAGGTTAAAGAGGAACAATTTGGGCTGAATAATTTTTTTAAAAGAAACACAAATTCACATATACTTTTCTAGGACACTTTCCTAAGTCTTTGCAAAACTTCTATTTAAAAAAAGAATGAAAGTACTTCATATTAAGGGTTTTTAAAAGTTAGTAATCATTTGAACATGTTTTTAATTACAAAATGCAATTAAAGTTTATTTGTGACCTACTAAAGAAGCTTCCTGCATCAGAAAAAGAGAATGAAAATGCTTGTTAAGGAGTCTATGCCTTGGACATCAGAGCATTCTAGGATTTTAAGATGGAGAATTCTCTTACAAAGGAAAGACTGTTATATTAGGTGTGACTACGTCAGAAAAACATTAAATTTTTCATTTGCTCCCGAAGGGGAAGCATTTTAATTCAAGTGACTAAATTTTTTTTTTCACTCAGCAAGAGATTCCTCAATCCTCTCAGGCTTGTAAAGATTTTGAGATTTTTACTTCTCTCTCTATGGCAATAAGTTGTCTATCTCTAATTTTCACCTAGCTTATTTTTTTCTCTGCCAGTGAAGTTTGGCTTAACTCCCCTTTTTAGAAGGTGTAAACAAATACATTGATTATTATCTAACCCATTTTAACTAAAAATAGCTAAGTTCATATTAAAATAAAACATATACACCACAATACTTATGTGTCAATTCTTTGAGCATTCATTTTCCTGACAACTATACATTTTCTTTGCACTATAAGCACCTCAGAATGTATGCTAGGATGTGCATTTTGCATGCCTAAAAGCACTTGTATTATTACGAGTGTGTTCATTCTACATTCCGCAGAGAATCAAAGCACCTAGAACATTAGTGGTGGAGTTATCAGATATCAAAGAATTTCCCCATGAAAAGAGTCTGGTGTCATCTGAAAGCAAATAATTTGTGTCCCTCCACTACATAAGCAAATAAGGCCTCTGGGCAAGAGAAATAGTTTTCCTGACATCCAGACGGTAAAGCTCATTCACTGCATAAAGCATGTTTCTCCTGTTTTCACAAAATTTTAAGAATGCTAGCTATGTGCTTCCCAGACCATAGCAGATTAGAAACTGCAAAAGGAAAAGAGATGGAACTGAGTAATAGAGTAGGCACCCCAAGAATGGCAAGGATTAATAGCTAACAGAAAAACTACTAAAAGCAGACAAATAAAATATAGTAATTTGAGATAATACAAAGATTTATTGAAAAGGTGAACTGCTTCAAACTTTTAATGGGCCATAAGTGCATTGGTACATTTATATTTATAGTTATACCTGAGTCATAAAAATAGTTATGTTTAATATACCGTTTAAGGTGTTTAAGAAAGCAGAGAAATTTCAAGTATAATTATGTTTCCAATAAAAATAATTCAATTTTTTAAAGGTTTGAAGTTCAAAAATACAACTTTCAGATATTTAGGAAGTTTAGTTTTGCAGCACAACTTCTTTTATTGCAATCATAGAATTAAATGAGGTATTGGCATAATATAACTTTAAAGTTTGACTATTTTTGTTGAGGTAAAAAATTATCAAGAGTTCAAGTAAAAGACTAGGAGAAGTTTTATCTAGAAGAGACTAAGCCTGTTGTCACATTGAAAATGTTTTCCTGGTCACCAGATAAATGCAGTGAATAAGAACAGATTTTGTCAATTGTCCTGATTTCATTGTATTTTACTAAATTAACAATGTTCACACAGAGAGGATAACAGCTGAGTGAACCCCTAAGTTATGGGGGTTGTCAGAGGAGAGGATGCCTTGCCACCACATTTATTGCCTCGTTTGTCGAGATCTTGCATTTTTCCAGGCCCAGGAGATTGTTAGTTTTAAAAGCCTGTGACACTTTTTAGACAATTCACTCTTACATAAATGCATGCATGCCCATATAGAAGTGTAAACCATTTCTGGTCTCATATTTTTGCAAGGGGCAGAGAAGGAGGAGATGGAGCTGGATAGTAGTGTCTAGGTTAGATATATTAGGAACCATGCAAAACTGGTTAAATATGAGTTTTCTTAACCACAGCAATCTGAAAAAAAAAATAGCTAGCTCATGAACCCAATCCATAGTCAACATTCACTAGCTGTTTAATTTGGCCATGTTTCTCTCAGATGAGACACCTGGGCTGCTGATTACCATTATCCCATTATCTCACCATTATCCTATATTGTGTGTGTTTAATCCCGTCATATTTTGTGGCAGATTGGCAAACTAATATCACAAAATACCAGTAACACAATAACACTTAATGTCTATTGCTCAAATGAGGGGAATATTCAATGCAGGTTGGATCACACTGGCCAAGCTGATGACTTAGATCTGATCCAGATGTCTGAAGTCATTTATAGCCAATTCTCTAGTCTGGCCAATTAGTCTTAACACTGAAGCAATTGACTTACCTGATGACAGTCTGAATCAACAGATAATTTATGACCTGAACTTCTGTAATTATTTTAATAGCCTTTTCATACCCTTTTTATTCTATTTATCGTAATAGGAACATTTAAAATGAGAACCTTCACTAAAGGAAAGAGATGTGAAGTTTTTAAAGAAATATTTTTTTAAAGGAATCAGAGACTTGCCCTTTGAAGAAAGTCTATATTGAAAAATGCCCACATTCTTCCTTTTAGCGCATTAGTTTGGAAATATTTTGGACTCATTTTCACCATTTTGAAGTATTACTATCTCCTAAATTGCAACTTGTTTATTGCCTGTACTAAGAAAACCTTCAAACATCTCGAAGATTAATTTCCTCTTCATTATCTTACTATTACTAGCAATGGGAACTGAAAGAGAAGTCGTTCCTATAATCCTGAATTTTTCCTCACTAATAGGCCAAGGATTCTTGACTTTGAGAGGCCAGTTTGCAGCCAAAATGGTGCCAGCCCGTGGGCACTCTGCGTTCATTCACCCCCTACTACAGGAGGGTCTCTCAGAATCACCAACATTGATGACAGGCAAATGTCATGACCACACAGTGGTGGCCTAAGAAAAAACATGGGATAAGGCAAGTTTTTGTGAAGAAAATGGAATAAATAAGTTGTTTTAGTTCACTTAGCTCACTAAAGAAACTCTGACTCAATATTAAACTGCTATACTTTCAACATACCATTGAGAATACCAAAGAAAATATTGCCTGGGGAGATACATGCTCAAACCTTCTCGTCTGCAGCTGCTATCAATTATTCTGCCCCAATGTGACCAGAAATCTCAGTTTTCAATAGAGAACTATGAGTTGTAAAAGAATCCTTATTGGCCACCCCTACATTCCCCTCCCCACCCCCACCTCTTGATTCTGTTTTGCTTTTCAAACCTTTTGAGTGTCCACGTACTTTGTATCCTAGCCCACTGGGAAGTTAGAAAAGCAAACTTAGTTAGTTTTAGGGCACAGGAGAGGTTTTGTGGCTTTCAGAGATTCTCCGTTGGATTACAAAAGCTCATAAAAGGGTACCTTCACCCTAAATGTTATATAAACAGAGTTCTGACGGTGTGTGTGTGATTTACACTCTTACAGAAGATCTTGAATCTTCCTTTTCTCCATGCCGGAAGATAAGTGAAGGACAAAAAAGCTATTTAGAAGAGTTAACCTGATCATTTTTTAAAAGATGTGTGCAAATCATTGAGGCTGGGATCCCGTTTGTCAACCAGATTGTCAGGAAATAATGTATTACTGACAAGAACAAAGTGTGCAGCTGGATACCCCAAACAACAGCATGCTAAATGAGCCAGAGACTTGTTATAAATATCTTCCCCAGGACTGCATTTCCTATAGCCTAAAATTATTCTAGAAGCAGCATGGTATAATGGAAAAAAGAACAGTCCTAGGCCTCGGGATGTTGGGGTTTTCTTTTAGCTGTTCTAATAACTAGCTTTGTTATCAAGTTATTCCACCTCCTGCTTTTTGTAAAATAAAATAAAATTATGAATGTATATACTCGATGATCTCTGAATTTCCTTCAAGCTCTAAAATTCTATATTGACAACAATGATATCTTACACGGGGAATGTTGCCACTCAAATGCTATACAAATTAATCTATGCTCACACAAAAGATAGGAAAACAGAATTTTTTTAAAAAAGGAAATAAAGGGCAATTGTAAAATAGCCTTTTTTATTTCTGCATGAATTATATAATCAAGAAATTATTCTTTTGGTGCAGTTAGTACAGTAAATTCAAGAAGTGAAAAGAAGTTAATAACAAGAAGAGACAAAGTAATTAGGAATTAAGACTTCACTTTGGCCAGGTGCAGTGGCTCACATCTGTAATCCCAGCACTTTGGGAAGCCGAGGCAGGCAGATCACCTGAGGTCGAGAGTTGGAGACCAGCCTGAACAACATGGAGAAACCCCATCTCTACTAAAAATACAAAAATTAGCTGGGCTTGGTGGCACATGCCTGTAATCCCAGCTACTTGGGAGGCTGAGGCAGGAGAATCACTCGAACCCAGGAAGCAGAGGTTGTGGTGAGCCAAGATCGTGCCATTGTACTCCAGCCTGGGCAATAAGAGCGAAACGCCATCTAAAAAAAAAAAAAAAAAAAAAAGACTTCACTTTACAAAACAGATTCTTAAAAATGAAATGGTAATAAACTAAATCTCTCTTCTTTAAATCTCCCAGCCTTTTGCTTTCGTTATATTCCCCCTTGTTTTACAGGTTTCTGCGTCGCTGTCTTCTCTTTTAGAACATAGGCTGCTGAATGGCAGAGGACCTACTTTATTCATGTTCAGACCTTCACAGTGCTTTGCCCAGAAAGGCATTCAATAAATATGTATTAAATTAAATTATATTTTTAATATATTGGATGAATGTGGTAAATGCTTAGCTGAAGTAATCAATCCAACACAATTTAGCTTTTTGTAAATTCGAATTTAAGATAAATCCCTAAATTCCCTTCCCTTATAAATGACATGGAGGATTATGGTTTCATGTAGAATCTGTGAAAAATCTAACCAATAAGAGAAGAGTGTTCTTATCTTGAAAGAAAGAAAACTATCAAATTGTAAGTATTAGTTTTATTCTGATCTATTAGAATTTCTCTGTCACTCATTCATTTATTTATTCATTCATCATATATTTAATGGGTATCAGATATGCCAAACCTTTGTTTATACCACTATAAATAAGATATAGTTCCTTCTCTCAAGAGTAGAGTGTTTTTATGGTCTACAGAGAAAAAGCATCAATTACAGTACAGTGGAATAATTGTGGTGATACTAATATGCATACAATACATCGTAGCATGTAAGAAGGACACCTGAATGAATGTTGAGGATCATTGGAAGCTTCTCAGAAAAGGAGCTGGCTAAGCTGAATAGCACAGGCCAAATTTAGGTCAGTCAGGGCAAGGGCCTAAAACCTGTAGGAAAAGCCAGTGGAATTTTACATTTATTTAAGAAACTTTATATATCACTTATAATATGCCAGGCATTCTTCTACTTAAAAATAGTAACTCCTCGAATACAACAATCATAAGAGGGAACGATTACTATTCCCATTTTACAGATTAGGAACCCAAGGCACAGAGAGGATAAGTAACTTCAAAGATCAAATAGCTAACAGGTGACAGTACTGGAATTTGAACCCAGGCATTCTCAGGTAAGAGTTTATGCTCTTAGCATTCCTGATTACATGCTGCTGCTCTAAGGCCAGCTAGAGAGCCTGGCTCCTCTCCCCTCACCTCTTCCCCATTTATTCCCTATCTCAGCATTCTACGTGTTTGATTTTGCAACACTTTGCTTATCTGTGTCCTTGCATGCTATCTCATGCTGTCTGTCTTCCTTATTACATTCCAAGCATTGCACGAGCAAGGACTCTGAGAACTCATTGAGGAGTTTTAAGCAGGAGAGTCAGGCAGTCATATTTGTACTCTAGAAAGAGCACTCTGAAGTAGAGGAAAAGGACGTCATTTTCAGGATAATATCTATGATTTATCTGATGTTAAACTGGAGGTTTCAGCCCCAGCACATGCCAGAGTGTGTGGATAGACCAAGAAGCAAAAATGTTTCAAAGTGAGTGACCGAGGCCTTTTAGATGACACTTAGATGCCTCAACCACATCAAAGGTATAAAAGGGCCTATCATTGGAGATTAGAAGATAATTTTTGGAAGGGAGAGGATTTATTTTAAGAGGGCTTTGCTCTGAGTCACAACCACCCTATCTCTGCTCCAAGGGAGTGGGAGACACCCCTAACCTCCAGCCCATAAACTCAAGGAAGAATTTTCTGGAGAGAGCAATAGCAGGTGCTGGCCCCTCAGCTCATGTCTGTGAATAACAACTTCAATAGGACTACTCCAAGAACTTAATGTTTGTCCTCTGCAGTTTAGGTTTGTGTCTGAGTACCACCTGAAAACCTAGAAGGCATGAGATAAACTGATTAACTTTTCTGACAGAATGCAAAGAAAAGGGGCTGTGCTGAGAAGGGGTAGCAGGTTTGGAGTCCCTGGAATCCAGAATTTGTGAGTGTAGAGCAAGGATCTGGATGAGGCTGTGCATGAGATGCGCACACAGAGCTGAGCCAGCCAAGGCTGCCCTAGGTCCTTCTAAGAGGAGTGCCCAGGGAATCACTCACACCTTGACAGAAGCCGAAGGTTTTGCTGGTTGCAGAGGGACTAAGGGATCAGCCTAAGCAGGAAAGTGCACTGATCTGGCGGCAGACCGGAGGAGGCAGTCTTCTGAGAATCCATGAAAGCACCCATGGTAGAATGAGCCTGCTTCACCTACCTGCCAAGTCCAGAGAGAGAGTGATGCCAATCACCAGGTGAGTGTCAGGCAAGTGAGAACTTCCCCGCCACCCTTACAGATTCAAATGTGACAATGTCTTGAGACTTAAAGTCTCAAGACTTTATGATCTGAATGTGACCAGAGAATTTCATGGAGGCTGCCAATCGTTATAAAGGGAAGAATCCCAGCTGAATCCATTTAAAGGGACAGTGAGGGACAAAAATAAAGATGCTCTATGATTACATTAGTTAATCATACTAGACATACACCCAAGGTATCCTGCCCCAACCCTGTGAAAAGCCAAAGCCACGACCTATAAGAGCTTCAGAAGCTCCAGTCACCCCTCAAATTGCCCAGGAAATCCCAGGTGCCACTCTAAGGTAATTCGTAAAGCATTTTAAGTCTGCAGGTTTCCTGCAGCAAATTGCCCCATTCAACCCGTGGCCTTGAAGCCTCAGTGTTCTCTCCTAGTCTCAGCCTGAGGGCCTGACACAGCCACCTTCTCCAAGAGGTTACTAATGAGGGCTGAGGACACTCATGCCACTCTCTGGCTCATGCACAAGGAATAAGATTTAAGCCACACAGTGCTGGGCCTGCAAACCCACGCCAGGCCTGCCTGCATCTTCAGCCTCACCTCTTGCCACGTTTTTTCCAACTTTGTTCCCGCAATACAGCTACTAATATTACTCACAGTTGCTTCAACAGTGGAGAATTTTAGCTCCTTTACACTTGAAACTCCTGTACCCTTGGCCATTTGCATTGCTGTTCCTACATCTAGAACCCTCCCTCTCTGCTCCAACTTGCCTTTTATCTGGAAGTGAGTGTGCAATTATGAGCATAACTCCTGCAAAACAGGCTGGCTCCAAATCAGACTATTAAGTATTTTTCTGACCTTGGGTAAGCGACTTAGTCTTTGTAACCTCAACTTCCTTATCTGTACAATGAGGATAGTAATATTATCCATTAGGTTTTGGTGAGGATTCAATGACATGAACAAAAAATATTTAGCCTATGGCCTGGCGTGTTTAAGTACTCAACAAACATTTCTTGAACAAATTAAATAAGTGAGCAAGTGGGCCCTGGTCTATCCGGTTTCCTCATATTGGAAAGCTATTCCCGCTACCATCTGCCTGGAAAATTCCTGCTGACCTGCAAAATCTGGACCAAGTGACTAGGTTCATTACTGAAAATGCATAAACTCATTATATTGACATCTTGATTTCCAAGATGCATTAAGTGAGAAAACTGCAAATTGGCACCTTCGTGAAAGAAAATTATCACATTAACTTCTGTGTAGAAAGAAGGGGAAATAACATGTAATAAGTATGTGTGTGCATTTCTGCTAAGTGGAAACATTGAAAGAATAAACCAGAAATTGCTAATAGCGATGTCTGAATTCATCCTTCATAAAGGATAAGGTCCTCTTTAACCATGCATATAAGTGATATAGAGGTTTATACACTGGAATCATTTATTGTTTAAGACTGTAATTCAATGTGAACCAAACCACTAGGTGACTCAGTTAAATTTATTTAAAAATCCACTTTACAAGAAAGAGAGGAGGAGAAAGCCAGGGAAAACAGAATTTGCTTTGTGCCAAGCACCAAGTTAAACACTTCATATCCATGAATTATTGTGATCTTCACAGTCCTGCAAGGCAGTTACCATTTTGCAAATGAAAAAACTGGAGGTCAAGGGCCAAGCAGTTAGTAAGTGAAGAAGTGGAATTCAAACTCCCCTAGGAGTTGCAAGCCCTTCATTCTTTCAGTCACACAGTGTGGCCTCTGTATATTGCCAAGTTTGGTACTTGACACAGAACGGATATGCCCGACTTCTACTTCATCATTACATTTATTGATAAAAACATTCAACAGTTCCAGCCCAGTACTAAGTCTTGTTGCAAACCAATAGAGACCCCCTGACACTGGACACAAATTGTCTTATGGTGGTTCTTGGTTATAGGTCTTCAGCCAGTTATTAATTCACATAAACTCACCATATTTTATTTCCATGTATTTCTATATGTATAACCCAATACTCCATTAAATTCTGCACTGAAGACTATAAAAATGCAACTAATTTACTTTGGCATGAATTGTTTTAATAAGTCAATGCTGATTTCTAATTATCACCACTTTCTATGTTCAATACTCACAGTCATGAAAACAAGCTGATAAGCTCAATACAATTTTCTAGAAAGTTTTTAAAAAATTGTATTAAGATCACTAGCTTCTTTTTTTTCTGCAGTCTACTTAAAAAAAACTGGAGCAATATTAACTTATATCTATTTTTCTAGGGTAAGGGGGAGACATTCCCCATTTTCCATAGCTTTCCATATTTTGGAGAACGAAACAGATTTTGCAAACCAAATATACAAAATTCCTATGTTATAAAAATGAAATTTTCTGTTTAGATACTTAACATGAGTTAAAGAAAGTGAATGTTTTCCTACCATAACATTACCAATCTTGGGCTTCAATTCCATCATACTGGTGATGTGAAGATCCTGGATAGAGAAGATTTATAAATACAGTCAATAATTATACATTCTCTGTGATATATTTTTAAGGTAACACTATCTGTGCCAGGACCAGGTCTCCATTACTGTACTTTCTCTGAATATTGCTTTTAAAATCATTTTTGTGTTAATCAGTATTTTTCACAAGACTCAGATCATTTCTAGCTTTATACTTGTTAAGAGCTTTGAGGTATTTTTGTTGTCATTTTTATTGGTCTGTGATAATGTGTCCTTCCTCCCGTCTTATTTATACACCCTTTTGAACTCTGGCATCAAGGATAAGTGAAGTCATACAAGTGAAAATATTTCTGGAAGCCAATGTTATTAGAGCCTTAAATTTAAGTGACATGGTCCGATCGGTAGAAGAACTTAGGGTTTGAAAATATTATAAAACATCGTAACATTAGCACATCCTTCTCTGCTTCCCTTCCTCCTGTTTTTCATTCCCTGTAATTCATGAATGATGACATTAAGAATTAATCTTCTAAACAGAGCCTATTAACCGAAATATTACAGTTGGAAGAGGGTATCTCTGTTTCTATAACCTAGACACTCACTCATCAGATGTTTGTAGACAGGGTCACTTTTATAATTGTCAGTTGGAAAGTCGGCATGCCTTTTTCAGAGGTGGACTAATTTGTTTTGAAAACCAGATTTTGGAAGAGTCAAACTATAGGGCAGAAGCGAATCATTTGCAGGGCTGGGAATATTATTTTCTCCCCTGGGACCACTTTTATTTGCTTGTCCTACATCTTCTTGAGTGTCATATGGGATTCAGTTCATCTTTCTTCTCTTGTGAAGAATCTATGTTGAAATTTCAGTATAAAGGGAGATCAGTAGGAATTCAGTTGCTTTAAACCCAGAAAGCCATTGATTTGCTTATTTAATCTTGTTCAGATCAGTGTTTTTTAGAAAACAAAACTAATAGTAAAAAGAGTTTCAAGAGGATATTTTTCCTAGACCAGATTTAAATGAAAAAAACTCTTTTTTATTATTCTTAAAAGACAATCCTCTTTGCCATACTGCATCCAAGAAGCCACAATTTCTTCCTCAGCTAAGACATCGTCATATCTGCTTTGACTTGTCTTACAACGAAGCAAGTATTTGCAAAAGGATTAAGAGTATTCAAGACATTGTAAGAAGCATGAGCAGCTCTCCCATCACAGGCATTGACTTTGACACCCAGTTCCCTGGACTGTGCTATTATAAGTGGTGCCTTTTTCAAAGCCCTTTTCCATATCCATGCACAGGTGGAGAGGGAGTTAGGGTCTACTGTCATTTCCATTTCCTGCTCCCTGAGAAGCCTCTCCTTCTATCTTTTAGTCTCAGATTGAAATAGAAGACTCCCAAGTAGTAAAAAGCTCATTAGCAGAGAAAATTTCTATTTCCAAGACAGAATCTGTTTATTTCATGAGAGAAGAAATTGATGGTAGTTAATGTCTAATGGAGGAAATTGTCCTTTGGACTGGGCTACACCAAGGCTACTATAGGAATGAATCATACACCGGACTCCTACTTTTTTATATCTGCATACCTTTACAATGTGTTGCCTTTTCCTGACTAAGCAGATTGCTCAATGTTAACAATGTGAAGGAATGAAAACAAAAATCTATCCAAGGACAACAAGTGCCTTGTAGCAAGTTTGTATTACCAATGCCCAACAATGGGTACTGAATGGCTAGCACATAATATGTTTGTGAAATTAATTCCTTTTTTGATTTATTTAGTTTCTACAGACAAGAAATGAGGGGGCATTGACAAGGCCTCTTGAAAAGTAAGGCACCAAGAAAATAAGATTACCTTCTGCCACTTAAACTCAAAAAAAAGCAAAATAGGTCAAAACAAACAAACTTGAATTCCCCAATGGCTCACAGCCTTGCAAATCTAGTGCTAGCTCTCTCACACATTATATAATTTTAAAGAATTTGTATAACTTCCTTGAGACTTTCTTTTTCCATGTGTAAAATTAAGAGGTTAATCTAAAATATCTTTAAGCTCCTTCTCAATTCAAGCATACCATGTATCCAAAGCAGCTCCCATAAATGTCTTGACAAGTATTGTCCAACAGTAATTTTTCTGGGGAGTCTCTCCCTTTGAAGAGAATACATATAGGAGGCCAACAATTTCAGGGTGTCATACATTTCAGAGTACTATACTTCCCACCTCATGGGCTCAGTAATCTTTTCTACTATTCCATTTATATGCCTGCCCTCCCCTTCTAAGCATTTGGTTCTTTTTATGAATCAATTGAAGAGTTCAGAGGGGTAAAGTAACCTGTCCAAAGTCATACAAAGTACCTAGGGATGAGGTCTAGATTTTTGTTTTGTTTTCTTTCCCAAGTTTCTCCTTGTGTTAAATGTGACCTTATTAAATGGTGTCATATTTATCACCATGACAAGACTTTTTGGGTTCCTGCTGGGCACACAGTAAGTTACCAGACCCCATGAGAATTTATGTGGCTTACAAAAGGCATGACTCCCACACATGAGCTTTCAATCTAAAATAATCCCATCTGTTCGACCTTTTGAGTACAGTATGTAAACATCTCTTTGTCCTTCACTAAGTAAATAGTACCACTATATTTCAATTTAAATAGTCTTTACAGATGAAGAAACAGAGTTTCAAAAGAAGTCAATTAATTTGTCCAAAACCATATGTCTAGAAATTACTAAGACTAGCACTAGAATGCAAGGTCTTCTTTCTTCTTGTTCAATTTATTTTGACCTAAACTATTTTACTTCTGAGCTGCATGGTACAGGGAAAAAAAATCAAAATCCTGTACAACTCAAAACCTTTTCTCTTATACATTAAAAACAGACTTCCCAAGTCTCAGAGATAACAGAGCCATTTTAAATCTAGCACAGTGAGTATCACAATCTCTCCTGGATAAAACAAACGGTAGACTTCAATCATTAACGAGCATCTTCTATGGTTAGGCAAAGAAAAAGCTAGGATCCCTGAGGATCACAAGACAGGGTAAGCCATGAGCCCTGCCCTCCATTTGGAGAGACAATGCAAATGGACTTTTAAAAGGACAACTTGTAGTGTAAGATAGTAAGTGAATAGAAAGTGGCAACTCTCCAGACTCACTAACACACATATTTATTATGTTCTATATTTAAGTTACTGAGTGTAACAATGACTGCTGAACTTCTTTTAACAGTGTTAAGTAATCCCTAAGAGAAGACTGAAGAAAGAACCAAACCGAGGCAGGCAGATCACTTGAGGTCAGGAGCTCGAGACCAGCCTGGCCAACATAGAGAAACCCTGTCTCTACTGAAAATAAAAAAATTACCTGGGTGTAGTGGTGGGTGCATCCCAGCTAGTCAGGAAGCTGAGGCAGGAGAATTGCTTGAGCCCAGGAGGTGGAGGTTGCAGTGAGCCAAGATCACACCACTGCACTCCAGCCTGGGCAACAGAACGAGACTCCATCTCAAAAAAAAAAAAAAATTCTTGACAAAGGAGCATTATATAGTGTTCCATGGGTCTGCGCATGCACATGTGCATTTGCTCCCTCTTCTCACTATCACTGCTATTAATTAAATTACTTATCCTGTCAAGGATGCCAATATAGTAGCAGAATTGCCCAAACAGCACCTCATTATAGATGAGAAGGACCTTATTGGATTCTGCTATGGTTTGAATGTGTCTTCCAAATTTTATATATTGGAAACTTAAGCCTGAAATTTATTATGCTGATTGGAGGTGGAGACTTTGGGACGTATTTAGGACTAGATGAGGTCATCAGAGTGGGCCCCCCAGGATGGGACTGGTGGCTTTATAAGAAGAGAGACCTGAACTGACACACACGCTCTTGTTCTCTAGCCATGTGATGTCTTGATACAGCAAGAAGACCCTCACTAAATGTGGCCACCTTACCTTGCACTTTCTAGGCTCCAGAATCATGAGCTAAATAAACCTCTATCCTTTATAAATTACCCAGTCTGTGGTGTTCTGTTATAGCAACAGAAAATGGACTATGACAGATACTTAGTCCACACTTCTGCCTTTCCTTCAAACAGAATTATTTCCCTAACATCCCTCACATAGGTGCTGAGCCTCTGTTTGCATATTTCTATTGGAAGGAGGGTTATTCTTTCTCGAGCTACCACATTCCACTTGAGAAGCTAACTCTAACTATTAAAACATTTTTCCTTATGTATCAGAATTCTAAATTTTAGGACATGTGCTATGACAACCCTAGGATTCAGATGTGTCTCTCAAGCCAGTGGAAGTAGTAGAGTCAGGCTAACCCATGGAAGAGAGATTCAGGAAACAAAGGTTTGACTCAAAGACAATAAGATGGTGTCAGAGGGTGGGGCCAATTTGAATACACCACATCACATTGTCAGTTTTTCATATATTCCTCTAGCCGCCAGGCACTCAATACTGAGTTCTTTGACACAACATGTACACTGAAGAGAAGAAACAATAACGCAAATCTCTACATAAGATGTTAGGATCACAGGTTAATCCTAATCTACTGTATACAGCTTATATTGGGGTTTAGACACAAGTCGACTACAGGCAGCATATCAGGGCTAGAATTCTTCTTTGAGTAGACAGCAGGAGTAGCCTACAGCTGCATTTGGAAAGAAGGAAGTATGTCATGAAGTGGCTCTAGGTTTTTGATCAATCAGTGGCCTCAACCAATGATATTGCCACAGTGAATCAGAACTAGAGAGGAGACACATGCTGGACAGAACACAGAGAGTAGCTGAGAAGCCTCTTCCAAACATGAAACTTTGTCCAGAGGATTCTCAAAGCTATCTGAAATGAATCTGAGAAGATGAGACATTCTCAAGAGTAAGAGGGAGCTGAAGTAGGAAAATGTTTCACCACTGCATTCCAGCCAGGGCAACAGAGTGAGACCTCGTCTCTAAGAAAAAAGAGAAAGGAAGAAGAAGGAAGAAGGAAGGAAGGAAGGAAGGAAGGAAGGAAGGAAGGAAGGAAGGAAGGGATAAAGAAAGGAAAGCAAAGAAAGGAAAAGAAAAGAAAAGCCTTTGATTTAATATTTATATCCATCCACTGATCTGGGTGCTGTCTTCTGAAGAAAACAGTCTTTGTGGGCTGCTTCTTCCTCCCTAGAGTAGCTCCTCAGAGGTTGGAAAGCACGTATTAGGAACGCCACTGAATCTTCATCTTGACCTCAGGTAGCCTAGTGTCCAATTTCCTCCCCAGCCTATTCTTCATCCTCTGGGAAGTCTAGTTTCTCAATGTTTCCAACACTGTAGATGTTCTTTGGCTTCTAGTAAAAATAATTCCTATACCATGGTGCTCTCCTGAGATTTCAAGACTCCTACACACTGAAACAGCCCTCATTTTCCCAAGATTTGACAAGGAACATCATCTCATCATCACCCTGAAGAGCCCCTGAAGGACATGGGGCAAGGTAGCCAAAAGTCCAATATGCCATGTGAATTAATGCTCTGGAGCCCAGCTTACTGCCATCCTAATGCAAATGTTATAATAAAATATTAAACTGTATGTGTAATTGATGCTTACTTTATAGTAAGTCAGGGTCTTGCTTGTTTGAATAAAATTCATTATTTACAATTTTCTACTAGAAGTGATTTCTTTGTTGATATCTCCCCTAATTGTTCAAACCGTATAACACATTTTCCTAGGGAGCATTTAAATAATTACAATATTCCTCTTGGTTTAGAGTTAGCATCTAGGTTTCTGATAGACAGTGTTATAAATATTCTTTTTTGCATAATGAAAAATGCCTACATCTATGTTATTCAGAGATATTTATAGACAGATATATTTAGTCTAAGTCATGTTCTACCCATTATAGTAAGGAACCCAAGTTCTAGATCTTGCATATCTGAATTCTACTACCATTTATTCAGGGCTCCAGAAGACTATGGTCTATGTTTAGAATAAAGGGCATATGCAAGTAGAGTACATTTTGTCCACTTAATTTGTCTAAGTTATCACAATTTAAAATATTAGCATCATTTACATTGAAAAGCAATATAAAGGTTGGAAAGTATACTCTCAGTGTCACTGCCTTTGTAGTGCAGGAGGCTGCAGGTAAATTGACATAACCTGGAAAATTTGTCAAGTCATTCACTCAGTGGAGGGAAAAACCCATGAGAGGATCCTCTTGGTTACTCACTGCAGTAATATATAAACCTCCTTGCAAAAGAAGACGAGAGAAGGAGGCCTATTTCTCTCCATTCAGGAGTACATGCAATTCCAAAATACAAAAAAGGAAATTCATGCTTACTGATCTAAGTTCTTTTCTACCACTCACAAACCATCTGAAGAGCTGAACTTTTTAGAATTGTTATTTACTTATGTCGTAGATAACCTAATAACGAATAAAGACTAAGAGTCACACAATCTCACCCAAAAGAAAAGTGTTTTAGGCAAGACATTAAATTTTCTGGCCCTTGTTCAACTACAAGTCAACTGGGAGATTAGTCATTGTAAAAAAAAAAAAAAAAAGGAAAGATGTTTCTTAATAATTTTGTATATTTGGGTATGGAGAAGATATAATTATTAGTGTATTGCTTTGCTGATTAAAAATTATAAAATAAAACCAAGTAATTTAATCATATGAAAGTGTATATTTAAGCCATTTGATTTTTCTCAGTATTTTTTTATTTCTGATGAACAACGCTACCCCAAAAGCATTAATCATGTTACCCTTTATTTAATAAGTACACTGAACCATGTGACATCTATTGATGTCCTTTTTTAGTTTTTAAATATGCACTGTTAATTGGCTTTTTGCATTATAATTATTCATAACATCTTTAAGAGCAAATACTATTTCTCACACTACTTTGTATCTTTCCAGAACACCTAAAATACTGTCTCCAAAAATTATTCATTTGCTTGGCCGGGCGCAGTAGCTCACGTCTCTGATCCCAGCACTTTGGGAGGCCAACGCAGGTGAATCACTTGAGGCCAGGAGTTCAAGATTAGCCTGGACAACATGGTGAAACCCCATCTCTACTAAAAATAAAAAAAAAATAGCTGGGTATGGTGGCACACGCCTGTAATCCCAACTACTTGGGAGGCTGAGGCATGAGAATCCTTTGAACTCGGGAGGCAGAGGTTGCAGTGAACCAAGATGATGCCACTGCACTCCAGCCTGGGCAGTACAGCAAGATTCTGCCTCAAAAAAAAAAAAATCATTCATTCACTTATTCATTGAACAGTCTATGTGTTCACCATGTGCCAGGAGCTGGGGATGTAGTTCTTGCCCTCAGAAAGCTTGAAATAACTGACCTCTGAAACAGACGGAAGGAGCCCTAGCCCAGATCACCTGAAACAGGGGATAGGGGACACAGATGAATGTCAAGGAAGTCTATGTAAAGCAGGTGATGCTGGTTTCTTTTCTGGAAAAACAAATGAGTAGGAATTCTCAATGGAAGGCAGGTGGGCAACTGTTGCACAGGGGGCTTTATACATAGTAAGCACTTGATAAATAATTATCTACTTGTTCTGGAATCAGCAGTACTGACTTGAAATCAGTGACCTTTCAACCCTGAGAATCTATGGGTCTCTGACTTTTTTAAGTCATTAAAGGCCTATTTATTAAGTCAATGCTTCAGGCTTTCTTGTCACCAAAGACCATGTTTCTTCACTAACAGAACAGAAAACAGGACTTCTTTTTAAGAAAAGGAAGAAACACCCTCAGGCTTGATGTCCATATGTCCATTCTAAAAGTAATATACAGTAATTTGGGCATTTTTGAAAAATGAAGAAAAAGGAAAGGAAAAAAATCATACATCCCACTACTAATAGTCATTGTTAATAAAAATTGGTGCATTTCTTTCCCGTCTTTATTTTGCAAAGTTTTTGATTTATAATTTTTACATAGTTGCAATGGTATTAATTAACAGTGCATATTTTAAAAGTTAAACCCACAGTACTAGATGTCACACAGCACAATGTGCTGAATTGTTAATTAAATGGTAGCACATTATTACTTTAGGAATTGCTTCTTTCATGGGAAACCAAAAGTAAGCTTTTATATTAACATTATGACAAAGCATCATTATAAGTATCAGTTCTATTGGCCCCATATACCATGGAGATTTCATAAGATGTACAAAATGTAATCAATCATTCTGTTGTTAGAAATTTAGGTTATTTCCAGGATTTCAAGGTTCTAAGTAATTCTGCAATGGGCATGTTTATATACAATGATTTTTCCTCCTATATTTTGTATTCATTTTAGGATCAAGTCTTAGAATTGGAATGAATGGATCAAACGGTAGAATGTTTTAAAGGCTTGTAATACATATTGCCAAATTGCTTTTCAGAAAGAATATCAGTTTTCACTTCCACCACCCATGATAGTTTGTTGACTGTTAACAGCAGTAAATATTGTCACTTAAATCTTTGTTGATTTGATAGTTTAAGAAAATTGTCCAAATTTGCATTTATTTGATTATTAGAGAAGTTAAATATTTTTCCCCTTTGTTACTTGCTTGTATTTATTTGAGGGCTTAAAGTTGAATTTATGTTAGGTCAAAATCAATAGCTTAGGCCACCTCCATATAGAACAGAATGAAGACTCCTGAGTTTCTGCAATTGCCACATCACCACTCCACATGAAAACTAAAATTATCTCTTTGACCACAAATTTGCAATAAGAATACTTCTCAGAGGTTACACTATGTTTCAAGAGAACTCTGGGCCAGGTGCCCCCAGGCCTTGAGCACATTTTCACTAGAACCTGTCATGGTCTTCTGCACTTCCACATCCATAAGAGGCATCTCTCTGTGCTGTTTTTTAACAGATGTGTTTTCTGTTAGACTCCATGCTCCATGAAAGCCGGAACTTGGAAGTTCACTGTGGTATCCTCATTGCACACTGCAGAGCTCGAGAGGCAGCACCTCCTTCCTCTATTTGTCAGACTTGGTGTAATGAAAAAGAAGAGACATCCTGGAGTACATCAGAGGAGCATCTTCCAAGAGAAAAGGGTTCTGAATCCTGCCTCCCCCACAGCCATACCCTAGAACAGCTTCTATTACATTTCCACTGCTTGGGAGCACTTTTGTCCTTCCTCAAAGAGGTATTTTAGCCCACTGAATGCTTGTATCTATTTATCTGTAAACACAATTTGACCCTCATAATCATTAGGCACAAAGCAGTAATCTCTGTGCTACTGCTCCAGGCATAGGATAATTAGCAAACAGAAATTCCTCCCTCCATATGCCCTGTGATTTCATCTAACTTCTGGGTTTTGTCTGACTGTTAAGCATCTTAGTTTGTATCGTAAATTCATCAAAATTCATATATAATACATTATTTTGATCTCAGATTTATGTAGAATATACTACTTGGGGAAAGTGCATTCAATGCAGCGAAAGAAATTATTCCAGTTTTTTGGGTTTTTTGTTTTGTTTTGTTTTTTTGGAGACAGTGTCTTTTTCTGTTGCCCAGGCTGGAGTGCAGTGACGCAATCTCGGCTCACTGCAACCTCCGCCTCCTGGGTTCAAGCGTTTCTCCTGCCTCAGCCTCTCAAGTAGCTGGGATTACAGGCACCCACTACCACGCTCGGCTAATTTTTGTATTTTTAGTAGACGAGGTTTCACCATTTTTGTTGGCCAGGCTGGTCTCAAACCCCTGACCTCAAGAGATCTGCCTGCCTCAGCCTCCCAAAGTGTTGGGATTACAGGCGTGAGCCACCGTGCCCAGCCTATTCCACTTTTGATAAATACTGCCTCACTCTGTGTTTCTGGTGGACCTCTCTTGAAATTACCTCTTGGGAAGATCTAGTGTAGTGAACTATTCATATGTCTCAATGATTCGACTAATATTTATTCAGATTTTGTGCATGCCTTTTACTGTGTTAGTTGCTCTTACATGCTATTCTATTCCATTTTTTGCAAAAACCATATTAGGTAAATATAATTTTCCCATTTATTTTAAATGTGATTTAATGACTTACACAACTTCATCCAGGCCAGAATGTAAACCTAGATCTCTTCATGTTCAGTCCAATGCTTTTTTTGTAAGTAGGCATGACCTGTCCCATGTATCTTTGCACGGTGATACTCCTTCACTGTTTGTCATAGCATGCTGTGTATGCTATGGAATATTCATCACAGCATTCATTACACTGAAATTGTTGAATTGGTTGCTTTTCCCTCCCCATAGGCTATAAGTCTATTGAGGGCAGGAATCATGTTCTATTTGATATAATATCCCCAGAGCCCAGCAGACTGCCTAGAATTAGTGGGTATTCAATAATATTGTTAATTGCTGCATAATTAAATCAGTAAGCCAATTGATAAATTGATAGAGATGGCAATGTTTGGGTTATATGCTGCTGTGTTTTGCACATGAGAAAGTCTAAGAACAACTTACAGTTCACTTTTTATTAATCTAAATAAAATGTATTTTAAATTGAGTGTTTATTTATTAAATTTTATCTCCAAACTCTGTTATCCCACTTGGCCTCTGCTAGTTCCATTATCCAACAAGTTGTAGAAAATTGCTACGAGTACCCTATTTTTGTTTTACTTTTTGTTTTTTATTGCTGTATGTGAACTATCACCAAAAACAACTCATTTATCTCTATAGAATAGAATACAAGCAACAGAATTTTTCATCTTTCCTCCATCTTGCTTTCCCTGTACTCTCAAAGATAAATTGGAAAAGAATTCTAAAACCTCACTGACACTTCAAATACTCAACCAAATTTGACTCAATAATCTCTTATCCAAGTGAATTTCCAGCACCTACTAAAATGCCTTCAGCGACAGGAAACTCTCTTCCTCCTGATGGACTTTGTTCGAAATTTAGACTTCTCTAAATACGAACTGGAAATGAATGGAATGTGCTAATTGGTAGAAGTGTGAATTGGTACAAACTTAAAATATAAATCACGAAGCTTTAAAGTGTGCATACATTTCTAGCAGGTAATCCTAACAATCTGTCTAAGTGACCAGAGATATACACCATGATCTATGTTTAAGGATATTCTTCGTAGTGTCATTTATAATAACAAAAAAGAAAGAAAACTGAAAATCATCTGATCGCCCAACTATACAAAATTTTTACTAAATGATGGTTCAAATGTATAACAGGGTACAGTGAAATCATTAAAAATGATGCTGTATATAGTAGTTAATGAAATGAAGAAACAGTCATTGGTAAGTGAAAAAGTCGAGTTACAGAACAGTATAAAAATATCTACATAACAGAAAATAATCTGCTTCCTTTTATAAAATGTATATTTGCATGCACAGAAAAAAAAGTCTGGAAAAATAAAGAAAAATGTTGATAGTCATTTCCTTTTTAAAATTTTTGAGCAGTGGATTATGAGTAGTATATTTTCTTTATACTTTACTCTTTTCTTGCAGATTTTCTAAAAGAAACATTTGTTACTTCTATAATCAGAAGAAAAGCAAGTTTAGTGTAGGTCTTTTCTTGAACCGAAATGTCTTTATTTTTTAAATAACTTCAGCATATTTGTACATGACAATATATGAAAGAAAAAAATCCTTCCTACGCAGGAAATTACTTTAAACATTTGAAGCAACTGCATGCCTCTCTCCCTGCCCGACGCCTTCTCTTATTGGTTGAACATCTATGGTTTCTCCCACTCCAGCTCTCCTACAATACCTTCTCTGCACAGCAGCTAGAGTGATCTTATGCAACAGATCCACCATTTCCCTGTTCAGAACCTTCCAAGGGGTTCTCCTCATGCTCAGAGCAAAAGCCATGCGCACTAGGCTGCCTGTCTGATCCTATTTCCTGCCACTGTTAATTGCTCACTCCACTTTGGCCTCGAAATCGTCTTACTCTCATATTCCCACCTCAGGACCTTTTCACTTGCTAGTCTTTCTACCTGGAATTTCCCTCCCTCAGATAATCCGTGTCTTGACCCCTCCCTGCATTCGGGTCCACTCAAATGTCACCTCCTTGGAATAGGCTTCCCTAAACACTATCTCAAAACTCGCACCCCTGTGCCTCTCAGTCTCCCCACCCTGCCTTATTTTTCCTCCTAGCACTAATTACTACAAGATTGTTTCTGTTTTATTTGTCTTACTTCTTATGGTCTGTCATCCCAACCAAAATGTGAGTTCCATAAATTCCAGGGTTTCTCTGTTCGTTTTTTCACTGCGATAATCCTCATTGCCTAAAGAAGACAGAGATTAAGGGTTCCATGCATAGGTTTAAATTAAGGAAGGACATTGTTTTTTCTCTCCCAGCTGCTGGAAGTCCAAGCTTCCCATCCTGAAATCAAGGTCATGCCCAGGAAAGACCACCATGCTCCAGGTGTGTTCTGGCCATGAGGAGCAGCGTTCCCTTCCTGCTTCCCTCTCCCCATCCTCATCCCTCATGCAGCTCTCTAATATGCCTCTACGTTCAAATGACATCTCTAGCAACCACACTGCACTTCTCACTCACACTGAGCATCTAATGAGCACACTGCTGAGAATCAGGTATGCGCCAAAGCTTCCAATTAATATTTATTTGCTCTATCTACAAATGAAGAGACCTGAACTTACATATATTATATTAAGGGAAAACTTCAACACAGAGAGTTTTCCTTCTAGAAAAGTATTTGAAACAATTTTTTTCTGAGGTCAAAAATGCTTAAAATGAAAGAATGAGAAAGAGAGAATTGAATAACACCTGAAGCTTGTGGAAGCTTCAAGTCCTGGCCCCACTGACAGATTTAACAATGAACAACTTGTTTGTGCACCGTCTTGGCAAAAACACACAGCTGGGGAAGGCATGACTCAGAGAACAAGGAACAGGACATGCAACAGTTATTCAGGCAGATCCACCCAGGCAGGCAGACGAGCACCCAAGTCTCTAGAACTTTGTGGAACAAACAGGTAGATGGACATGAGGCCACTTATAAACAAACAGGTAGATGGACATGAGTCCACGATATAAAACAAAACATGCACTAATTATATGACAAGCTAAAATAAGTTTGAGTCCATGAGTGAATTGTAATAGAAGGGAAAAACCTCAGTGATGGTATCTGTGGCTCTGTCTTTCATAAGATCTTAAACGTCTCCATTTAAGAAAACTGAATCAGATACCAACATAATATGAACATGAAAATGTATTCATTTCACAATTATCTGTGAGACTACACCATTAAAAATGGAGTTGTTAAGACTATTACTAATGGAATTCTTTGTTAAGAAGTTAATTTTGATCAAAATGCAACTGCCTTTTTCTCAAAATCTATTATGTCATTCAAAGTCATGGTGCTGACTTGGCTCTAATAAAGTCTATCAAAAAAGACCAACCAGGCTTGGGAAGGAAAGTAGTATTGAGACGTGGATAAAGGGGAGACTTTTATTTTTATCCCATTAACTTAATTTTTAAAGTTGTGTTAAAATACACACAACATAAAATTTACCATCATAACCATTTTAAATGTACAGCTTAGTAGTGTGCAACACACTCACACTGTTGTTCAATCTCCAAAACTTTTATCTTGAAAACCTGAAATCCATTAAATAATAACTTCTCCATTAGCTCTTGTGTGGCTAGAATTCTTAACAATTAGAATATAGCACTAGGCCGGGCTCACGCCTATAATCCCAGCATTTTCGGAGGCCAAGGCAGGTAGATCGCCTGAGGTCAAGAGTTTGAGACCAGCCTGGCCAACATAGTGAAACCCCGTCTCTACTAATAATACAAAAAATTAGCTGGGCATGGTGGTGGGCACCTGTAATCCCTGCTACTCGGGAGGCTGAGGCAGGAGAATTGCTTGAACCCGGGAGGCGGAGGTTGCAGTGAGCTAAGATCACGCCATTGCACTCCAGCCTGGGCAACAAGAGCGAAACTCCGTCTCAAAAAAAAATAAAAATAAAAATAAATGAATAAATAAATAAATATATATATATATACACACACACACACACACACACACACACACAGAGTGCTAAAATTAAAAAGTACAACAGGAAAATCTTGAATTCATATGTGAAAGAAGATAATGTTTAATTCATACATGCATGGAAAATTCAACCCTTGAAATAATAACATGATCTTTGTTTTTTTTGTTTTTGTTTTTTTTTTTTGAGACAGAGTCTGGCTCTGTCGCCCAGGCTAGAGTGCAGTGGTGCTATCTCAGCTCACTGCAAGCTCCACCTCCCGGGTTCACACCATTCCCCTGCCTCAGCCTCCAGAGTAGCTGGGACTACAGGCACCCACCACCACACCCGGCTAACTTTTTTGTATTTTTAGTAGAGACGGGGTTTCACCATATTAGCCAGGATGGTCTCAATCTCCTGACCTCGTGATCCGCCCGCCTTGGCCTCCCAAAGTGCTGAGATTACACGCGTGAGCCACCGTACCCAGCCATAATAACATGATCTTAATAAGACTGGTCAAAATCTAGAAAGAAGACAAACCAATTTTTTTGAAAGTTTGTTCCACAAATGTGCCTATCTACTAGAAGTTATTTGGATAATTAACAAATATTTAAAGTACAGATTCATAGGGTAAATACTAAGTTGTTCCATTCTTCAAAATGCAATGCCAAATTCATCTCCCTGTTACTAACAATTTCCACTGACTACAATTACTCATAAATATTTGAATAAAAACCTATTTCTAGTGGTAACTTGAAGAACCATGGTCAAAGCCTCCTCTCAGCCGTGCACACATAGCCACTGAAAGGACATTTTTATATCAGAGGACACTGTTGACTAATCCTTCCAAGGAACTTGGCTTGGGAGTCTACAGTTCACCAATAAACCTGGATTCAAATACCTACCTATGGGTTTTCCCTTAATATCCAGCTTCCCTGGAATTTCCCAAACACTGAATCGTCACTTTCTTATTGTATCATCTCTGCCAAACTCTGTATTCACAGTGATACCACCTTGTTGAAGTGGAGGAGGAAGTAGTACATCTAAATATATCCCTAGACTTCAGCCATTTTCTTACCTATTCCCATGTCATTTTGGTACAAAATCCATGGCTAGGTCCATGTTACTGGTGAAAATACACTTTTCACTGCCCCCTTGTCCTGTCACTTGAAAAGAGCACTTGGATAAAAAATACTTTGGTGTTTCCTCTGTGACGGACTGGGAGAAGGAGTGGTGGGGGAACCAATTAAAATCCATTAACAGTTGCCTAAGCTTTTACACCTAAGAGAGAATCATACACAACATCCCAATCTAATTAACAATGTCTCTCTATCAAAATTAAATAATACAATTTTTCTTTAACAGAAAGTAAAAACCTGCATGTTCTCTCTTGCAAGTGGGAGCCAAACACTGGGTATGCATAAACACACGTTGTGGAATGACAGACACTAGAGATTCCAACAGGAGGGAGGATGGGATGGAGGAAGGGATGAAATGCTACCTATTGGGTACAACATATACTGTTTGGGTGATGGGTACAAAAATAAAAGTAAAAATTATAAACCGTGCTGCCACTCAAAAAAAAATGCTTAAACTTCCTGTGAACTCAGTTAATCCCAAGAACTCTTAATTTGCAATTAGTAAATATAAAAATAGCACTTCATATTTATATAGGGCTTTAGACTTTTCACAGTGCTTTCCTGAACATTACCTCACTTTGATCTTCAAAACCATTCAGGGTGGTAAATATTGTTATTTCCATGTTACAGATGAAGAAATGAAGATGCAGACTATTTGAGTAAATTGTGCCTAGATTACACATCAAGCAGCACGTGTGAAGGCCGGATTTTAAGCCCAGGTCTTCCAGTAACAATTTCAAGCCCTTATCACAATTCTAGTCTTTCTTTGCAGTTTCGTGCATTAAATGTTCGTTTTTGGCAAATTCTAACACCATTTATAACCAGTAGGAAAAAAACATACAGACTTTTTTTCCTTAGGCTAAATCACCCCATTCATATGCAGACATCAGATTTATAAAATGATTGATGCAGACTAAAGGCACGAAATCTATTATCCCATTCATACTTCTCCTTTTGTTCCCACTTATATAGGTTGTCCACACATCTGATTTATGCAGATGTTATGATTCTCTAATCTCTGTATATTTGAAATTAGTTTAAAATGTCAAAGAGTTTTGATATTTTAGGTTTTACACTTCATGTATTTCTCCTTGTGTGTTATGGTTTCTGCCAAGCACCAAATTTAGCAGCGTCTCAGAGCTTTTTCTAGCCTGTCCCAAACAAGAAGCACTAGAAATTACTGAAGACAAGTTGGCCTTGTGAAATTTCCAAACTAGTTTCTAAACCAACGAAATTGAGTGAGATAAATTTAGAACACTTGGGAGCTTTGAAAGTCTATTTGGATAAATTTCAGTTACTGCCAATGTGAAAGCGTGTCCTAGAAAAGGGAAGGGTGATCAAAGTCTCACCTCTGAGTAACATTCAGCCATCATAAAACGCAAAAGGGCAAATTTCGCTTTGTTGGGAAAGGATAACACTTTCTTTATTCAGAGACCAAAACATTTTCAGATGGGTTGGTAAGAAGATTTTTGCTTTTATTGTCATTGTTACAGTTTTTATTATTTTGTTGGGCTTTTAAAAAAAAAATTTATATTTCCCTGGGGTTTTTATCTAGACTCACAATCAGATCAATTTTTAAAATAATTATTCTTATGGTAAGTAACTGTTTTGTGGCTTACAGGTGGAATAAAAAATTTACTGCACTGAATCATTAATGGTAGTGAATTCATTCCAAGGTGATCGATAAAGCACTATATCTGTGGCCCATTAATCAAAGGTAGGAAATCTTTTCAATGAAGAAAAGTGTTTACTGTATGCCAGAAATGCCATGTTTATTTCTGGAAAGCAAAATGTCCATATGCTAAGAATTTATGCCATTTGGCCGAATATGAATTCTAGGAATTTCTTGTAATACATTAGTCCTAAATTCAGGCAACGACATATATTCCCAAGATGTTTACAATGACATTATTTATAAAAGTGACAAATTGCACACAACCAAATTTGCCAAGGAAAGGAAATATTTAAATAAATTATGCTATATTCACACAATGAAATATTATGTAGCAATTAAGTAGCATTATGAAGGCTTTAAAAGTTCTAAGGATATACTTTGGAACAGAAAGACTTGAGTTTGAATTCTGATTCTAATATTTTATTCAACTTTATAAAACCAATTTCACCTTTTTAATTTATAATGATACTTAGAAAGATACAGTAATTTAGAAATAATACACATAAAAGATGGTACAAAGTCTGGTACATTGCAGTCAAGTGTAATTACTATAAAATATTAAGAGGGAAAGATGAAAATATTTCCCTCTTATTTACATATTACACATGTAATATGTAAATATTTCCCTCTTATTTACATATTACAATCTACCTATGTAAAAATACATATGAATATTGGATAAAGACTGGAAGGGGCCAGGCATGGTGGCTCACGCCTGTAATCCCTGCACTTTGGGAGGCTGAGGTGGGTGGATCACTAGGTCAGGAGATGGAGACCATCCTGGCCAGCATGGTGAAACCCCATCTCTCCTAAAAATACAAAAGAATTAGCTGGGTGTGGTGGCACGCGCCTGTAGTCCCAGTTACTCAGGAGGCAGGAGAATCGTTTGAACTCAGGAGGCAGAGGTTGCAGTGAGCTGAGGTCGCACCACTGCACTCTAGCCTGGGTGACAGAGCAAAACTTCATCTCCCCCCCCCCACCAAAAAAAAACACTGGAAGGAATTATTAAGAAATCAAAACGACAAAAGAGATTGTCTCCTGAAAGAAAATCTGTATATTATACAACTGTATGTGTAAGCTTTTCTGTATTTTTCCAGATATTTTCTAGGTAATATTAATTTCTTTATAATAAGAATAAAGAGATACTATTGCCATTTAAAGAAATATGTCTATTCAGGGGAAGAGAGCATGAGTGATATGGTCATCTAGGAGAGGGAAAATAAATATACTAGGGAAATGTACCCTAGACTGTCTGGCAGAACTGAAGAATCACTTGAAGTTATTAGCCTTGAATTTAAAATGAGATGATTGGGTGCTTTCCTCATGCCTGTAGAGAAAGCTGCCTGCATAGTTGACAAGAGAGTTGGATGATAACTGGGCTGGTTTTATCAGAACAGTGTAAGGGAGAGAGAAGTGAGAAAATTGATGGTGAAAGGTGAAAAGTAATATAAGGGAGTAATGGACAGTGAAAAGAGGTGGACTACAGGCCCTAGTAAGTCCTGAGTAGTATTGCTGAAGTAAGAACATTAGAGAAAGTGAGAAGGAAGACAGGGGCTAGCAGTTGGAGAGTAGGTTGCTTGAAATGATGATTATGGAATGGTTAAAGGTATTAGTATGACAAGGTCTATGGTATTAACATGAAAGTGAGTTATTGAGATTGGAAGGTGGACAAGTAACTGACAGGCCAGAAGTTGAAGCATCATCTATGTGGCATTAAGATCACAAGCAATGATGATGGGTGTAGTGCTAGAGAAAATATAGGAATGAGATAAAACCCTCAAGGAAAATGTGAGTGAGAACAGGGGTTCTACAGATGAATGCAACAAATAAGAGGTGACAGCGTGCTGGCAGTCCTCAGAGCCCTCGCTTGCTCTCGGCACCTCCCCTGCCTGGGCTCCCACTTTGGTGGCATTTGAGGAGCCCTTCAGCCCCTCTACTGCACTGTGGGAGCCCTTTTCTGGGCTGGCCAAGGCCGGAGCCCACTCCCTCAGCTTGCAGGGAGGTGTGGAGGGAGAGGCGTGAGCGGGAACCGGGGCTGCGTGCGGCGCTTGCGGGCCAGCTGGAGTTCCAGGTGGGCGTGGGCTTGGCGGGCCCCGCACTCGGAGCAGCCGGCCAGCCCTGCTGGCCCCAGGCAATGAGGGACTTAGCACCCGAGCCAGTGGCTGCGGAGGGTGTACTGGGTCCCCCAGCAGTGCCAGCCCACCGGCACTGCTCTCGATTTCTCACCGAGCCTTAGCTGCCTTCCCGTGGGGCAGGGCTTGGGACCCGCAGCCCGCCATGCCTGAGACTCCCACCCACTCCATGGGCTCCTGTGCGGCCCGAGCCTCCCCAACGAGCACCACCCGCTGCTCCAAGGCGCCCAGTCGCATCGACCACTCAAGGGCTGAGGAATGCGAGTGCACAGCGCAGGACTGGCAGGCAGCTCCACCTGCAGCTCCACCTGCAGCCCCGGTGAGGGATCCACTAGGTGAAGCCAGCTGGGCTCCTGAGTCTGGTGGGGACTGGAGAGTCTTTATATCTAGCTCAGGGATTGTAAATACACCAATCAGCACCCTGTGTTTAGCTCAAGGTTTGTGAGTGCACCAATCAACACACTGTATCTAGCTGCTCTGGTGGGGCCTTGGACAACCTGTGTGTGGAAACTCTGTATCTAACTAATCTGATGGGGACGTGGAGAACCTTTGTATCTAGCTCAGGGATTGTAAACGCACCAATCAGCGCCCTGACAAAACAGGCCACTCGGCTCTACCAATCAGCAGGATGTGGGTGGGGCCAGATAAGAGAATAAAAGCAGGCTGCCCAAGCTAGCATTGGCAACCCACCCGGGTCCCCTTCTACAGTGTGGAAGCTTTGTTCTTTCGCTCTTTGCAATAAATCTTGCTACTGCTCAGTCTTTGGGTCCACGCTGCTTTTATGAGCTGTAACACTCACCACGAAGATCTGCAGCTTCACTCCTGAGCCCAGCAAGACCATGAGCCCACCGGGAGGAACGAACAACTCCAGACGCGCTACCTTAAGAGCTGTAACACTCACCGCGAAGGTCTGCAGCTTCACTCCTGAGCCAGCGAGACCACAAACCCACCAGAAGGAAGAAACTCCGAACACATCTGAACATCAGAAGGGACAGACTCCAGCTACGCCACCTTAAGAGCTGTAACACTCACTGCGAGGGTCCACAGCTTCATTCTTTAAGTCAGTGAGACCAAGTACCCACCAATTCCGGACACACAAAGGGCAGCAGATAATATATTGAACAACTTGAGATTCAAATGTGTGATTTGGGGAGAAATCATAATTTGGAAGTTGAAGTGAGGAGCAACAAGAACATCTCTCCCACTATAGAGTGGTGCAAGGGTGAAGAAAAGAGCTACCCCACAGAAAACTGCAGAGGAATTATGATCCTGGCTTTCGAGTCCTAACTCAATTTAATATCTCAAGCTGACTTAGAGACTGATAATGAACTGAGCTAAAATGGCACCCTCTTGTCTGTGTTGAAAAAGAGGAAAGAAATTGCAACAAAATGGTGTTTGAAAACCACTCCAAAATTATGAGTGAATATCCTAGTGTGCTGATAAGCCACAGTATATCACAAATGGAAATGTAAAGGCTCTAAAGTTAGCAATCATTTATTAAACAAGTCAGAGGCTATAAGAAATATCGTTTTAGGAAAGAACTCAGGGAAGGAAATGGGGAAAACATTAATATCTCCATTAATAATGAAATCATAGCAGTGGAAGCCAGATTAATGGTATGGGGCTGGTAGAATCCAAGTTCCCAAGAAGTCAAGACAATACTCTGAATGAAGACAATGCTTTGGTTGTAGTGTTTCTTCTATTTTTCCTAATCCCAATCATTCCTTTCTATGCCAAAGAGAAGGAGCTATGTGATGTTCTAGAGCTGGGCGATATAATAGAATTTTCCACCATGATGTAAATGTTCTGTATATGTACCATCTAGCATGGTATCCACTAGCTACACATGAATATTGAGCCCCTGAAATTTGGCTAATATGACTAAGGAAATGAATTTTAAATTGTATTTAATTTAAATTAACTGAATTTTAAATAGTGCTATGGTTTGAATGTCTTCTCCAAAACTCATATTGAAATTTAATTGCCAAGGTAAAGATACTGGGAGGTGGAACCTTTAAGAGGTGATTAAGTAACAAGGACACTGCCCTCATGAATGGATTAACGCTGTCATTATGGGAGTGCATTAGTTCTCGCAGGAGTGGGCTTCTGATAAAAAGTTGAGTTTGATCTGATTTTTCTGTCTGCCTCACAAGCACACTCTCTGACCGTATCATGCCTTTCCGCCATGTTATGATGCAGCAAGAAGGCCCTTCTTGGATTTCTTGGCCTCCAGAACTGTAAGAAATAAATTTCCTTTTCTTTCTTTCTTATTTTATTTTATTTTTTTTTTTAGACAGAGTCTCGTTCTGTCGCCCAGGCTGGAGTGCAGTGGCGCCATCTCGGCTCACTGCAAGCTCTGCCTCCCGGGTTCACGCCGTTCTTCTGCCTCAGCCTCCCGAGTAGCTGTGACTACAGGCGCCCGCCACCATGCCTGGCTAATTTTTTTTGTATTTTTAATAGAGATGGGGTTTCACCGTGTTAGCCAGGATGGTCTCGATCTCCTGACCGCGTGATCCACCCGCCTCGGCTTCCCAAAGTGCTGAGATTACAGGCGTGAGCCACCGCGCCCGGCCGTCTTTACAAATGACCCAGTCTGTGGTATTCAGTTATAGCACCGGAAAACAGACTAAGACAAATTGCTGCAAATTCTCTACCATATTGGACAGCACAGTTCTAGGGCTTTTTAGCAAGACAGGATAGGAAGCAAGTTGAAGGGTGAGGAGAAGTCAGAAAATTCTAGGCAAATAAAGGTAGGCCTTCCAAACTTGCCTTCTAATTCAGGCTTATGTGTTGGCTGTATTCATTCTGGAGCTCCAGGCCTCCAGAGTACTCAGCTACCAGGAAACTGTTTTTATTCCTGCTCACCCTCCTACAAGAGCCCTATCAATATATGCTTATTAAATAGACATTTTTGCATCTCAATCTGGTTAACCCAACAAAGCTATTACATGAGCTTATTTTAAATTAAGTTACTGCAAAACAAGAAGTCCAAAATGAAGCAAACAGTTAAACAATTTCATAGAAAGATTATTTATATTACAAACTAACAAATTAGTCATAGGAGTTATTAGAAAAACACTATAATTTGACCAGTGGTGGTGGAAAGTCATTTTTAATGATGGAAATGGGAAAAAAATACAGGTTGTTTTAATGAGAGTTTATTTGATTTTCCTTTTGCATAAATGGATTTTATGTACTGAAAAAGTAGCTAATTTTGATAGATATGCCTGGAATTGGTTTTCCAACTGATGGCTATTGGAGCCAGCTTTCTCATTCTAATTTCTTTTCTGAAACTTCCAATTGAAGATAACATCAATATTTATGTGAACTGGGAAGAAGAAATGAGGCACAAGGTACATAAAGCTGATTAATGTAAACTGGAAAGGAAAACCCTAAAATCAAACCTAATGATCCATCGAACAACAGCCACTCGTCTTCTTAACAATGTGAATGCTATCAATTTAAAGTAACAACTTAAATCACATAAGACACCAGAAGATAGCAAATAAGTTATGCTTAAGAAATAAAGTATAAAAAGCTTATTTAAAATCAAAGAGCAAGAGAACGATAGTGAACTCTTTGAACAAAACTGCAGAATGAAAACATCATTCTCCAATTAACTCAATACCTTAGAGAGTATATTGTGTGCCTGTGTGCCATATTTAAATTAGCTTTACTTGTAAAATCACTATATGCCACAATTCAAAATGCAGCTGAGAAATCACTCTTTTTGCAGTACAGACGATAACCTAATTCCAACTATTTTTATCTACTTTGTAATTCAAGTGATGCATGCTATATATTATTTCCCTAAGAGTCAAAATTATATTTAGAATTAAAATTGGTTTTATGTAGTTCAAGTTATTGCACCCGAAAGCAATGAGTCATGCACCAGAAGTACACAGATTTGAGAGGCAAATATGGAACCATTAACTGCTCAGCAAGAGCTTGCTCAGCCCCTTAGCTCAAAGAATAAGCTTTAAAAATACCGTACAGTTAATGTGGGTTGGAACAACAAGGTCACCTCTATTCCTTTTCAAAAGTGCCATGGGCTCTTAGTCTTCTATCTTAAGGCCATGCAACAGAATCAAGGTTGAAGAAAGCTTCAAACAGCTTGCTGTTATGCTCTTCATATGTAAAGGTAATGCTAATAATTAGCCCACCTTGCAGGCACAGTTATTGTTTCTTAGGGTGAAGGCAGATATGCAATGGTCCTTGCCTACATTTTCACCCTATTACCTCATAACCATAATGAAGACGGAGGGAGAGAGAGAGAGAAAGAGAGAGAGAGGATATCTGGTTCAGGCAGATTTGCAGATTTTTTCACCCATAACCCTGCTCTCATTACATTGCTTTAACTAGCTGCACCAACCACCCAGACATCAAACAGCCCTGCAGTGATAGTGTGCCTTTCTCCTGGCTCACTTTTCACTATCCACAATTACACCGCTGGAATGGAAGAGATGGTACAGGATTCGCATTCACCAGGCATCTACTCTGGGCCATGCATTGTGCTCATTTCTTTTTATAGATCTCTCATTTAATCCCCACAAAAGTCCTGTGAGAAACAGCCACTTTACAAATGTAAAAATAGAAGTCTAAGCAACTAAAAATTTTTTCCAAGGTCACACAACTGTTAGGAAAAGGAGCCAGGATTTGAATGCAGGCTAGTATGATCATAAAGCCCTTGCTTTGTCATTCACGTCATTCACAGATCATTATATATATCAAACAATGTATTACTAAGTGTGGCTCTCTCTCTCTACGTATATATACACACACACATATATATACACATATACATATATACACATATATTTTCATATACATATATACACATATACATTTACACACACATATATATATATATATACGTACAGGCAAATGTATTACTGACAGTGAGGTATCTGGAGCACTTTTTGGACACAAATTTCTGTGAAAATTGTATCAAGAGCTTTGAAAACTAAAAGGGCCCCATCAAATCACGTGGAGAATTCAAAACATTAATCTGTTACCCTAGTCCCAAAATGTCTTTACTTTCAGATATGCCACAACCCTAGATAAGATGTCTCAATGTTTGAGCATTAAAATCAAATAACAAAATGCTTAGCTATTGTCAATCTATGAAAGCTGAAAAAAGAAAACCTACAAAATTACACTTAATATAACTGAAAGTTGTATTTAACATCATGAAGATGGAGCTAAAAACAGCCCCCCAAATGGGTAAAGCTGAGAAATTCTACTTCCAGCTGTGACAGAGCACCTTGCTCGACTAACTTTCCTGTCTGGAACCGATCAATTCTCCTATTCAAAAGCAAAAAAATAGATAAAATGACAAAAAAAAATTTGAAGGCATCAGAGATTTATGAAGACATTGAGACTTAAGAGAACAATATTTTAGAGAGAAAGGCAGTGCACAGAGGTAAGCATGAGCTTCTCTGCCACATTTCTTCTTAAAACATTTGCCTAATAGTAAGTGGAATGAAGCTGAGAAACCAAGCAGAAAATGGTAGCCTAGAGGTTCAAGCAAATTTCAAAGCTGTACAGACAAAAGTGGACTATGAGGCTACTGTGCTGGTCAAAATGAAGGGCTAAGATTCTGGAAAAAAATGCAATCACAGGAAAAAGAGTTCAACATTTCAACCTTATGCACGGAATTTTCTCTCTTAGCATTTAAAAATGCTAAGCTGTATAAGGTGAAAATCAGAGAAGCCAAGCAAAAATCCATAGCTAAGAGGCTAAAAATATAATTGGGGATTTCTGCAATAGTATTATGTTAGAAAGTCAAAAATTGAAGAATAGTGCATGCCAAGAAGAGGCCCTGGAAAATGCCTCAGATTTTCAGTTGAGACTAATGAAGAAATAGATCTAAGAGTAATGGCAAAATGGAAATAGACTAGCCCAAAAGGACTCCAACATGACCTGGAGTCATCTCAGTTCTTCATTGGATCAAAATCGTATTCCTTTCCTCTAATTACACAGTAAAAGTAAAGCAAATCCTCTCTGGAAGTAAAAAAAAGAATATAGACACATAAGATCTGGTATTCAATCTAAAATTACAAGACATACCAGAAGACAGGCCCAAATAGCCAAAATCTAAAGCAAATAGGCAGACAATAGAAACAATCACACTGCTAACAAAAATAAAATTTGAGTTAATCAGACATTGATTTTAAAATAATTATGGTTACTATATTTAAGAAAATAGATCAGAAGATGGAAAACTCATCAAATAACCAGAATCTATAAAAATGAATCGAATGAAAATGGTATAAGCAAAAAAAAAATGAAATTGATAATGAATTTAATAAATTTTATAGCAAATTAAGTGCAACAGATACATGAAATAGTAAACTAGAAATTGCAGTGGTAAAATATAGCACAGCAAGGAAAAGGATGAAAAATACAAAAAAAGAGCATATGAGACATGAAAAGGTCTGACATGTCTGTAATTGGAATTCTGGAAGAAGAATACCAAGAGAATGGGGCAAAAGCAATATTTGAGAAAATATTTGCCAAAATAACATAATATTTCAACCCATAGATCCATGAAGCCCCAAGTGGGACATAGGCAAAGGATATCCAAAATGAGGCATGTAATATTCAAACTACTAAACACTGAGGATAAAGAAGGTCTTAAAAGGAGTCAAAGAAAAACACACATTATGTGAAATGAGCAATAATAAAACTGACAATTGACTTTTAAACAGAAATTAAGTGAACTAGGGGAAAAAAACAATTAACAACTTTAAAATGCTGAAAGATAATAAGTACCAACCTAGAATTCTATACCAGCAAAAATGAAGGCCATATTTTCAGGAAAAAAATCAGAAATTCATCGCCAGCAGACCCATATGAAAAGAACATTTTCCTGGCAGAAAAAAATAATCTCAATAAGAAGTAGAAAATGCAGACAGAAATGAAGACCAATGAAAAAAGTACATAAGCCTTTTGTACTTTCTAAGATAACCACTAAAGTGATTATTTAAGAAGCATAACTAAAATAAGAATAACTAATGAATAGAGAGGGAATTACAATCAGAAAATTTTTGATTAGCACAAAAAATAAGAAAAGTGGGAAAAATACAAATGGGACGGATGAATTAGAAATAAAAAGATGATCCCTTTAAACCCAAATATATCAAACTATATAAAGTGTAAGCAAACGTAAAACTACAATTGAAATGCAAAGATTATCTGAAGAGATTTTCTTTAAAAACTCAATGGTACACTACTTACAAAAGACATACTCTAAGTATAAGCATACAAAATATTGAATATAAAAAGATGAAAAAAATATACCATGAACACATTGACCAAAATAAAATTGACATTACTATTACTAGTCAAAGCATACTTTAAGGAAAAAATTGCTAAAAATAAAGAGAGACATGTTATTAAAATAAATTTTAAATCCACCAAAAAGATATAATTCCAAATGCATTTAGATTCAAAATATATAAAGCAAATATTAATAGTATGAGAAATGAAAATAGAAAAATCCACAAAATATTTGGACAATTCAGAATATCTCTTTTAGTATATAGTAGAACAAGATAAATACACAGAGGAAGAAAAAAGAGATACAGAAGCTTTGAATAACAAACTTTGCCTAATTTACCTATATAAAATTCTATTCCCAACAATTCTAGAATATACTTTTTTTTCAAATCCACATGGAACATTTGCCAAAGTGTCCAGCCCAAATCCTGGGAAATTTAAAAATTCTCCAAACATTTTAGAGGATATAAATTATACACAGTAGAGTATATTTACTGACTGGAGTAAAATTAAACTAGGAATCAGTAATAAAGGAAGAATTAAAACATTTTATAATGTTTTAAAATTCATCAATACTTCTCTAAAATAACGTAAAACAATTAAAAAGGAAATTAGAAAATACTTTGAATTGAATAATATAAATTAAAAAAGGAATATATCAAAACCTGTGAGATGCAGCTAATGTAGTACTTGGAGACTTACAACAATAAATGCATGAGTTGCAAAAGAAGAAAGGCAAGCAAGCCATGATGCAAGTGTTCATTTGAAGAAGTAGAAAAAGAATAGCAAATTTAATCTAAAGAAAGTATGAGTAGGCCGGGCGCGGTGGCTCACGCCTGTAATCCCAGCACTTTGGGAGGCCGAGGCGGGCAGATCATGAGGTCAGGAGATCTAGACCATCCTGGCTAACACAGTGAAATCCCATCTCTACTAAAAATACAAAAAATTAGCCAGGCGTGGTGGCGGGCGCCTGTAGTCCCAGCTACTCAGGAGGCTGAGGCAGGAGAATGGTGTGAACCTGGGAGGTGGAGCTTGCAGTGAGCCGAGATCGCGCCACTGCACTCCAGCCTGGGCGACAGAGTGAGACTCCATCTCAAAAAAAAAAAAAGAAAGTATGAGTAAAGAAATGATAAGGATAAAAGTACAAATTAATAAAATATAAAACAATGTATAATTATAATAAAGAAAATCAATAATACCCAAGGTTATTTCATCAAAAAGATAAACTTCAGCAGGACTGAACCAAAAAAAAAAATTAGATACTAAATACCAAATTTCAGGAATAAAAAGAAAAACACCATTACATACCTCAAAGACGTTAAAAATAACAAGGATATTATGGACAACTTAATGTCCATACATTTGAATAATTAGGTAAAAACTTTAAATCCTTTAAAATACACAATTTATCAAATCTGACACATAAAAGGAAGATAAAAATGAGTAGCTTATTAAATAACATAAATCCATAATTTAAAATCTTCAAAGAAAATTCAAAGTGCAGATATCTTTACCATTGAATTATTTCCAACATTTAAGAAAAAAAATCTTACTCAAACTCATGAAGCGAACAGAAAAAAGGAGAATGTTTCTCAACTAGTTTTATTAGTCCTGCATAACCTGAACATCACTTGGCAAGGACATTAAAAAAGGAAAAATTATAGGCCACTTTCTCTCATGAATATGGACAAAATATGGGCAAACAAATCCAGCTACATATAAAAAGAATTATAAGTCACTACAAGGTTTTTTTTCCAGAATGCAATTTTTTTTAGGTATTTAAAAATCAACCTATATTGATTGAATAAAGGAGAAAAAAATGTGACCAGTTCAATTGTATTGATAAAAGTCAACATGTTCAAGACAGAAATACAGCAAATCAGGAATAGAATACAATATCTCTTAACCTGATAAAGTATATTTCCAAAATTCCTAATGCAAAAGAAAATGTACTTAGCTAAATATTGAATTGTATGATTTGGGCATAAGAATAAGAAAAAGAATGTCTGCTGCCAAATTTTGTAAATTATGTAACTGTGGTTCCTAGCTACACAATAAAGTGAGAAAAATGAATAAAATTTATATAGATTGAAAAGAAAGATCAAAAAATTATCACTATTCATGGCAATATGATTGTGTGTTTAGAAAATTTGAAAGAACCTACAGCAAACTATTAAAATTACTATGTGATTTTAACCAGGCTGCCGGCCGTTATGCAACATAAAAAAAATCATTTGTATATATGAACAAACATAATTACAAAATGAAATTTTAAACTGATACTATGTACAGTAGCATTAAAACATCAAATACTTAGAAATTAATCTATTGAAATATGTAAAAGTCTACATTCCAAGTAGTATAGCATTACTGAGGGAAATCAATAAATCTTAAATAAATGAATGGATACACCTTGTTTGAGATACCATTCAATATTGTAACAATGTCAGTTTTCCCCAAGTTAACTTACACATGTAATAAAAACTCAGCCAAAATCCTAGTAGGATTTGTGTGTATGTGTGTGTAAATCAACAAGCTGATTCTAAAATTCATGAAAATGCAAGAAGCAAGGATAGCTAAGATGATCTTGAAAAAGAAAGAAATGGAAAAATTGAAGCTACTATATATTGAGATTTATTATAAAACTCCTGTAATTAAGACAGTAAACAGTAAGGTCTTGGGACAAGGACAGACATTAAACCCATGAATCAGAATAAAGAGTCTAAAACCAGACTTGATTATGGCAATGATGCCTCTGAATTGGACTTGAAGAAAGGATAATCTTTTCAAAAATTGGTGCTGGGTTTTCTACCTATATAAGACTAAATAATAATCTCTATAGACAATATTTTATATCATCTATATTGTCTTATTGTCACTATTCTGTAGACAAAAATCAATTCCGGGCAATTATAAACGTAAATTTCATTTTAAAATAATAAATATTTTAGAACTAAACATAAGAGAATACATTCATAATCTTGGGTGAGACAAACTTTTTTAAACATGACACAAATAGTACTAAGTATTATATAAAGGAAAAGATTGATAAATTGGACTTTATTAAAATTAAGAACTTCCATTCATTGAAAGTTATTTGATTAATGAAAAGGTAATCACAGAAAAGGAAAAGATATGCGTAATACATATATTCCACAAAAGATTATACTCTAGACAGATATATATGTACGTACATACTCAGATATTGTATGTGTATATATATATACACCATTTTCACCCTACGGAACAGCAAGGAAAAACAGAAAACCTAATTGTCTTACTCTATGACTTAGAAATTTTTTTCCTCCCTACATACACAAGAAACGAATACATATGAGTGCCAAAAGGTATACACAAGGGTGTTCATAGGGGCATTCTTCATAGTAGCCAAAAACTGGAAATAACCCAAATGTTAGTCAATATTGGATTGTACAAATAATAGAATACTACGCCACAATGAAAATGAAAGAAATACTCTTGTATGCAACAGCATAGATGAATCTCACAAGTATAATATTGAACAAAAAAAAAGGCAGGCACAAAAGACTACCTACTATCTTATTCTATGTATATAAAATTCAAAAATAGGCCAAAAAAATGTAGTCGTGGAAGTCAGAAGAGTAGATATTCTTGATGAAGTATGACTGGTAGAATGACAAGGAAGTTTCTGGGGATACAGAAGCTTCTTTTTCTTGATTTATGTAGTGTTTGCATAAATATATTCACTGTAAGAATGTTTTGAGCTGTTCACTTATGATTTATAATGTGGTGAGTAAATATGCTTCGCTAAAAAGCATACTTTTATAAAACTACTTACATATCAACATATATGTGCATACCTACATACACAAATAAAGCTTATGGGGTTATATTGAAATAATTTAACTGTTATTCACATTAGTGGTTGATTAACTGTAGTCATCAATGGCTATTGTAAGAATGATAATATCTTCACAAGAAGGGGGCTTTTCTATTCAACTCCACTACCTGCCCTTATCTAAGAACTTTATGTATTTCATTTGTTCCTTACCCCCAACCTCTGAAGTAAATACCACTGTTTTCCCCACATCAGAGATGAGTAAGAGTAAATAGAAGTATGGAGAATTTAAGTAATTTGCCCAAGATCACAGTCACAAAATAGTACAACTAGGATTTAAGTAGCAATAAAAAAAATCATTCGGTCAACTTTTATGAGGCAAGTCCCTGTCTTTTGCAAAGAATTTCTTGCTGAAGAAGCATCTCTAGATCAATAATACTCCATAATACCCAGTAATTGAAGGGTTATGGTTGTTGACCTTTAGATAAGTTAAAAGCAATGAGTATTTACCGGGTTTATATTAACCACCAAGGTTTGTAACAGATCCTGAGGGTTCAAGACTAAATAAGATACCATCTTTATCTTCAAACAGCTCACAGATCCAGTAGCGAAAACATATATATATATATATATGTTTATATATATATAAACAGATAAATCAAAGTTCAAAATCGATATGGCAGTTTTAAAACATTGCTGTCCTTTTTATGAAACTCTTTCCATTGAGGGGGGGTATATGCCTTATACCTTGAATCTGGGTGGGCTTGAGACCACCTCAGCAGTTTGAGCAAAGTAAAGCCAAGTCATAAAAGGCAAAGCAGCTTCTATCTAGTTCTTTTGGCATGCTTACTTTCTTGGAGTGCTCCCTCTCAGAACCCAGCTCCCATGCTGAGAAGTCCAAGCCACATGTAGGTGCTCTTGTTGACCACCTCTGCTGAACCCAGTCTTTAACTCATCCCAGCCCAGTAATCAAGGATGTGAGTAAGAAAACTATAACACGAGAGATCCTACAGCCCATCTATTCCAGTCCTCAGCCATTCAAGTACCCCCTAGACATCTGAGTCTCCCTCCTTCCCCAGACATCATAGGGCAAAGCCAAGTCATTCCTGCTGTGTCATGTACAAATTCCAGAACTTCAGAATCCATGGGCATAATAAACAGTTGTTTTCTATTTCCTCCAAGTAGTTTGTTTATGTCCCTGAGGGTGGTTGGTTACGCAACAATAGATAACTGGAAAAGTCAGTTTCTCAATGTTTATTCCTCATACACCTGTGTCACAAGTACCTGGGGTGCCTGTGAAAACAATGGATTTCTGGATCCCTCCTCATTGCTTTTGAATCAAAATTTCTGGGAATGCATTCCAAGAATTTGAATATCATCCAACATCTGGGCAATTCTTACATTCAGTAAGTCTGAGTATCTCTGCCCTAAGCCAAGCACATGGTTAGCCACAGTAACAGTGGCTCACACATTTACTGATCTTTGAGACCATCAGGAATTTTCAAACATCAGTGTGCCTAAAGAGAAAAAAACACGATTCACGTCTTAAATACGAAAAGCTAAATCTGTAGGGAGTCTACAGACCTGTAGACAATTTGTATCATAATATATTACAGGGTTGTGAAAGAGGTATACACAGGGAGCCGAACAAAGAGTAGTTATGTTTGTCCCATTGGGTCAGGAAAATCCTCAGAAAGCGTGTGACATGATATTGAGTCCTAAAGGAGGTGTATTTATTTGTTCTTCAAGAGACAAAGACCCAGAAAATACAAGATGCAGACGTGGTAGAAGCAAGTGTGAAACAGCCTGATGTTACAGAGTATACATGCCCCCAGGAGAAGACATTTGAAAAGTGAGGTCATGGAGAGAGTTTGCACTTGTGCCTGAAGGCAATAAGAAATCTCGGAAGGTTGAAAATTAGGGAAACTGTGGTCAAATCTGCATTTCTCAAAACCTTTCTTTGCAGTGACTGTGTGAAGGAAAGAATTAGGCAAAACAATAAGAACACTATTATAATAGCTCAGGCAAAAAAAAAAAAACTAAACTAGGAGTGGAAGCTTATTAAGAAATAGTGAAATGATACATGTCAAAGAAGAAACTCCACAAGATTTGGTCTCTAATTGAATGAGGAAGGCCAAGCTAAAATCTATGATGATTTCTAGGTTTCTGCCATAAATTAAAAAAAAAAGGAGGTATCAATCCCCTTCTTCCAGGGGCCATGAGCCAAAATAAAGAAACCAGGTAAATGTACTCAACATTTATTCTACAGAAATAATTTGAAATTAGGAAAAGAAGTGTATTTCTGAATTTGGATGGCTCTATTTAACCATTCATCCAACTGATGCATTCTTGTTGTGCAAAGGGGGATGATCCTTGAGCTGTTTTTAAAATGACACGAGAAATATATGATGAAATACATATTGTCCTTGATGGGGCTGTCCACTCAGATAACTAAAGACAGGATATGTGTGATGACAAAATCTTAAATCTGTGAAAGTAATTGCTTCTGACATCACCAACTAGGCAGCAGGCTGCCCAAACAGTGCTGTTCAGTCACAAATTCTAAGCCTAATGAAGTGAGAAGCATACTATATAGATACAAATTAAAATCTACTTACCAAGAACAGTCAGTATTTTTTTTTGTAGACTTCCGTGTTTAACGTAAAGAAGAAAATATCTGTTGGGAATAATCACCCTTTTATGTTTTAAGTCAACACAATAGATCTGTTATTAACCACAAGAAATGGACATCCAGTAATTCTAATCTGTTACTGAAACCTTTGGCTCCTATAGGACTATTTTTAGATCCTTTTAATTATTAGTGTTAAGCAGGTGAAATACAGTTGTGAGAGAAAAAGATTCTGCTTAAAATAATGGCTGTTTATCCTATTGTGTTTATTTTTCACCTTTTTCTCCAGCACATTCAAGATTTTTGAAAGCTCAATTTTCCTGTCAACCACAGGACAATTGATATTGTATATTTGAGAAGAGTTGAAACTCTAGAATGGGGATTTCATGTAACTGAATTGTAATGAAGTATGATGTAAATAACTAAAGATTGTGAGAAGTCCCATGAATTCCCTTTCCAATGACCATATGTTTTGTTTCTGGTGTGAATTGTTTGTGAGTAACCTTGTTAACTCAGAAAAAAATAGACAAAAAACCTCTAATAATATATGACTCAACCCAAAATATGGCTCACATTCTTTTATATCACCTCTGAGTGAAATAGAAGTTGAAATGCATCTTCTGTAATATAGAACCTTCAATAACAAGGCATTATTAAACATATTATAGCAATAAGTCATCTATCATTCAATGACCAATTATTCTTTGGCAGCTGTACTTTAGATTTCTGCAGCTCAGATAAGTCTCTCTGGCTGTGAGAAATCAGATGGAAAGTCTTACAAACAATTCTACTTGCATTAAAGCAAGTAAGGAATCTCCTGTATAACTATTTTCCAAAATGTGAATGCAACACTATATGTGCAATACGTGTTTCAAATATAAATTTGATCATTGTATTGCAAGTGAGAAAGATAGCAAGATACGAGAAGAAAAAAAATGGGTTGGGACCAGATGGCTTGGATATGAATCATTGATTGCTTCAGTACTTCCTGGGTTCTGAGTTTCTCTGAGAAAGTCAGTTACCCTCTCTGATATCAGTTGTGTCATTCTTAAAATGAGAAAATAATGCCTACCTAAATACTATGTATGAAAATTAAATGAAATGATGACATAAATGCATCTGGTACTAAATTGGCTCTTCAAAAATGTTAGTATCAATATGAGAGCCTGGGCTGGGCATGGTGGCTCATGCCTGTAATCCCAGCAATTTGGGAGGCCAAGGCAGGTGGGTCACTTGAGGTCAGGAGTTCGAAGCCAGCCCGGCCAACATGGTGAAACCCCATCTCCACTAAAAAAAAAAAAAAAGAAGAAAAAAGAAAATTAGCTGGGCAGGGTGGCAGGTGCCTATAATCCCAGCTACTAGGGAGGCTGAGGAGGGAGAATCTCTTGAACCCAGGAGTGGAAATCACACCATTTGAGCCAAGATCACACCATTGCACTCCAAACTGGGCAACAAGAAAATCTGTCTCAAAAAAAATAAATAAATAAATAAATAAAAGAGAGATCCTGATGGGTTGCTGGAACAGAAAAAGTACGAGGTAAAATTTAAGGAAATTTGAATAATATATGGACTTTAGTTAAATAACATATCAGTATTGACTCATTGATTTTGACAAGCATACCATATTAACATAAGATGCTAATAATACAGTAAATAACTGGGTGCAGGGCTTATGGGAATCCTCTACACTATCTTCGCAAACTTTCTGTAAATCTAAGCCTATTCTAAATTTTTTAAATTATATTAAAAGTTTAAAAAAAGCTAATACCCGTCCCTTCTCTTTTCCTTTTCAATGTTAACCCCCAAAGGTTAGATTTTCTTCAAAGTGACTGGTAGTGTTACTAGTTCAAGTCTACATTTAGTTCAATTCTACAGAGAAAATATGTCACATATTGTTCTCCACGCAGGCTGAATGTTGTGGTGTCTGCCATTTCTCCTAATATGTTAAATTAAAAATATGAACCAGTCATAAGCATCTACTAATATTTGATGAAGGATGCTTTTTTTGTCCTTCCAAAAAGCCTAAAATTGGACTTGGAATCTCATACAGTCTTTCTAGTTAGAGTGATGACAAAAAAGAAACATCTGCACTGTGGCAGCCACAGGGCTGCTGTAGATCTTGGCCCTGGAGGTTGTCCTATTTTCAACCCCCTTCCTTGCTTCTACTCCACCCTGCAGATACTGCTGCCAAAGTGTTGATTGTGTGGGTGCATAGCTCAGTTTCACTCAGGATCTTATTGATAACTATGAAGCTGCAAAGACAGAGGTAGGCTAGAAGTGCATATTGTCCCTTAAGCAAATTATCAAGATACATGAAGTGCTCACATCAACTGGAAAGTCAAAAATAATGAATGTTGGTTTAAGAACTCTATTCCTATGTGCATTCAAGTACTTTTTTTTTTACTACTGTCAAAAGTCCTTACAATGCAGAGAATCAAATTTTTAAGAAATCCTACCAGACACAGAGACTTTAAAAAAATCTTCTGGTGTTATTTACATTCTATGACTTTCCAACAAACATAAAAAACGAAGGTCTTAGTCTGATCATCACCAAAGAAGAAGTGTTCTGTGTAACTGGCTTGAAAGTGGAATAATTTCAAAAGAAATAACAGGAACTAACAAATATTTATTGACTGCTTGCTATGTCCTTGGCATTCTTCTTGGCATGAGAATGTAAAGCAAGAGAAGCTATGATTTCTGTTTTCAATAAATTTGCAGTCCATTTGGACAGGTAGAATAAATAGGGCAAGTAAAACCATACAAGAATTATTGAGTTCTTCCTACTTCTTATTATACGAAGGGCATGGTATGCATTTTCCCCTTTAACATAACATGCAACATCCAACAGTCGGGAAAGGTATTATTCTACCCATTTTGCACATTAGGAAACTGAGGCTCACAGATGTGAAGATAATGACTCCAAGTCTAACAGCTAGTAAATTATAGACCTAGATTCAAACCCAAGACTATGATGCCAAACCCCAGGTGCTTATTAAGCACTGCACTATGGTACTCCAGTTTTTAAAGTCAAATTCAAGCACTCCTTTGCAAACATTTAATAGTCCCCCCAAAGCCAAAATAAAAATATAGGCATTTTCTGTGGCACATCTGATGTCCAGAGTAATGAATGGGTGTGGCCAAACAGTATTTATGACATGACATTTAGAATGACATTTCAAGGTCAAATGTTACCCAACTGTGCAGGACCATATTCAATTCTTGGATTATGAAAGTGCAGACCCAGTTTCTCAAGGTCTCTGGGATAAAGTTCAAATTAGGTTGTTTAACAGAGTGCAGTGCTTAATAAGCACCTGGGGTTTGTCATCACAGTCTTGGGTTTGAATCTAGGTCTATAATTTACTAGCTGTTAGACTTGGAGTCATTATCTTCACATCTGTAAGCCTCAGTTTCCTAATGTGCAAAATGGGTAGAATAATACCTTTCCAGACTGTTGGATGTTGCATGTTATGTTAAAGGGGAAAATGCATACCATGCCCTTCGTATAATAAGAAGTAGGAAGAACTCAATAATTCTTCTATGGTTTTATTTGCCCTGTTTATTCTACCTGTCCAAATGGACTGCAAATTTGTTGAAAACAGAAATCATAGGAGAAAAATAAGAACTAACTACAGACTTGCTAGCCAACACTTTGAAAGTGACCTGGTAATGAACGTCAGTTCTGCAGCATATGTGCTATAGCAGTCTTCTAGCGACCGACCCAGTGAGCTGGTAGCAAGAGCCCAGCATACTTGAAACTGCTGTGGCATTCAAGCTCCTCAACTATTCTGCACATTCCTGAAGCGTTACTATGATAAAGTGTTCACTGATGCACAGATAACAGCAAAGCCAGCAAGGGGGAAACACGACTTTTAGAACGACGTTTCAAGGTCAAATGTTACCCAACTGTGCAGGACCATATTCAATTCTTGGATTATAAAAGTGCAGACCCTGTTTCTCAAGGTCTCTGGGATAAAGTTCAAATTAGGTTGTTTAACAGAGGGCTCTTATCAGTTTTATGAGCAGCTTTCTCCAGAATTTAGCTAGCTCACTTGATAGCATAAGGCAAGAGGAATTTTCCAGCAGCAGACCCAGGCACCAAACAGTGACAAGAGCTGTGCTCTGTTCTGATACAGATTTAACATTTATCCCAGGAAGCTCTTCTCCAAGGAGTTTGGAGTATACAATTTTCTCTAAGACTCATTCAAACCCATTGGAAAATCCCCCTGAAGTGCCTCACCAAACTTCATCCTCTGTGACCCTTAATATAAAATAAAGAAGGCACTGGTTGGTACTCCCTAAAGGAAGTATGCCCAGACTAATGAATGGGTGTGACCAAACAGTATTTAAGAAGACTTTATACATGTTCTTCAACAATTGAACTTCTGCTGGACTGGAGCCAATCTGGACATGTTACCAATTTTGGCATCTGCTTGCCAGGAGTCTGTACTCTGATAGTGCAATGGGTTAACAAATTGAGACATTAATTTAGGTTTTGTTTATCCCTGCATTTTTTTTGTTCCTACCTACCACCATCCCATTCCAAAAAAAAAGGCAGTCAGGTGCTCTGTGCTGCTGGTCTCAGTGGAGATTTTTGTTACAGACATTTCCTGAAAACATCCCTGTCCTCTTCCTGTTCCTGTCTCCTTCCTGACTTTTGCACAGAAAGCCTGGATTCCTTGTGGGGATTAAGCTATGGTTCATGGAGAGGCAAGAAAATAGGTGGATGCTTTGGGAAGGAAAGGTAGGAAGCCACAGTGGGAAGCTCAATGTTTTCCTAGGAAGGGAATAGAATGGAAGGTCCCATTGGTGGTGAGGGTACATGTCTCACTTTCTTGCAGTACTTTGAAAGGTAGCAAAAAATTTCAAAAGATATGGCTGTGTGGTGAATCCAGAAAGCTAGATCCTAGGAACTAGCGCTCCCAGCTCAGGCAAACACCATTCATAGCCTACTTGGTATTGGGACAACGGAGCCATCCACATTTGAGGACCTGTTGGGCATGGACCACGAGGATATCAACAGCAACCCAACTTTTCAGGCAGCATTTTAGGTTTTTTTGATGACCCTAGAGTACTCAAAATGACTGAGACAGAATCTACTGCTCAATTGGCAGGAGATTTAATTTGATTTAGAAACACATGACTGTTCTCCCATACCTGAGTTCCTTCCAACTCTAACAATAATTTGAGCTTCAATATTCTTATGGTTCTATTCTGTGACTCTTCCCCCACACTACCTCTGCCTTCCTGAATGCCCCTATAACTCCTCTCCCTCCCCCCGCAACCCACACACAGTCACACACAGCTATACCTGTACCATTCTTGCTTGTGGTTGATAGAGGGATTTTTAATTTCCAATAAAAGAGAACAGTCACTCATAACTTTGATATAAAAACCATAAAGATTTATCTTCACTTAAATATGCAACTAGAAATGCCAAATAATTTGCCAATTCATTACCTTTTGAAGAGTATCCTGGAAAATTTGAGCTAAAATTAAGTGAAACTTTTGCCAAAAGGAACATTTGAATTTTGCTTTATTGAGCTATTACACTAAAATATTCTCTTCTTTAAAGTTTCTGTAGTGATATGCTGGATTCAAAGCAATCTTCCAATTGTTTTATCATTAGCTTGAAGCAAAAGAAAATGAAAAGCATGACAAGGCATAAAATTGGCCTTAGCAATATCTAAGCTTGGTTCAGCCGTGACCATTATGCTCAATGCTCTTACAGTGTGAACAAAACAGCCATAAAATCAGTTTATTGTTTTTAATTTTACGATCCATGATTTATTTTGTTTAACTTTAGTGACAGCCTGCGATCCCAGTAAGTGTCTTCAGTTAGGAAATGCAAGCAGGAAATCAAGACCCAGAAGTCATTAGTTGTAGCATGGACTCATCTCATTTATCTTCCTGTATAACTACCAGAGTGTGATCTATGTGATTCCTATTACACAAATTAACAATGGCAATTGTGAAATAAGAATCGTTTAAAGAATGAAATAGATCTTACGTTGTTAGCTTAAACCTTCTTGGCACTCTATAGACCCTGGACAACTAGAACCTACGTCCTATATTTTAAATATTTTAAATTCAAGCCCTCCCCAAAGCACAATTTTCAAATAAAGAGGTAAGACACAATTCCTACAAGTTTTGTAGTCAGGAAGACCTGACCTTTAATAGCTGTATATCCTTGAATCACTCCATTCAACACATTAAACAACAACTTCCTCATCCAAAAAATGGGAATAATAATATTAGCTGTATCATCGCGTTGTTATGAAGAATAAATGAGACAATGCATGCAAACTATTTAGCAAAGTATCAGATATAAAACCCCTCAGTAAGTGAATGAATGAATCCTTTGGTAATGTCAAATTAATGGGATCTTTTATAAAAAAAAAAAAAGAGAGACATTCCCTTCTTGCATTTCAATGTTGGTATTTCTTGGCATTGTTTAAGATTGTGACCCAAACTTCCAGTATATTATTCTGAATTTGTTCTAAGTAAATAAAGAAGTGTATAGGCATCATTTATTAATCTTTATACCCCATATTACTTCTCTACCGGTGTAAAACAGATCACTACAATGCTTAATGGCTTAAAACAACACTATTAATCTGATCAGTTTTTATGGTTCCTCTTGGTCAGGAGTTCAAAAATGGCTCATTTGGGTGGTTATATATCAAGCTTTCTCACAAGGTTGGAGTCAGAGGTCATCTGGGGCTGCAGTCACCCAGAGGAAATTGAGAAATTATTTTCAATGTGGTCTACATGTGTTGTCAAGTTGGTGCTAGGAAGTCTTCTCCATGTGGGCCTCTCCACAGGGATGCTTGAGTGCCTTTACATACCACCAGCTGGCTTTCCTCAGAGCTGCAGTGCCTTTTATGACCAACCTCATAAGACACAAATCATCATTTCATTAAGTCACGTGGTCACAAGTTATTGGCCACACAGGCTAATACTGATTCAGTGTAGAAGGGGACTGAATACCCGAAGATGCAGATTGTTAGGGGCCCCCTTGCAGGCTAACTGCCATAGCCCATTTTCTGACGCCCAATGATACACATGCACACACACACACACACACACACACACACACACCACTTACCCCAGACCAAGGCCACCAAAATTCTAACCCCATTACAGCATTAACTCATGCTCAAAGTCCAGGATATTGATGTTTAGATGAGGTCCAGGTACAGATGAGGATCGTCAGGTGTGCCGTTCTTCAAATAAATCTCAAGTATGGTTCCTCTTAATCTAAAAACTTATGAAATAAAGAGACACATTATCTGCCCCAAACACACCAAATATGAAATGGTGGGATGGGCATAGGATAACCACTATAGACACTCTCATTTAAACAGGGTGAAACAGGAAACACACAGAAGTCATTGATCCATAGCAGTTCTGAAATAATAGATGGGCACATGTTGCCAACTTCTTGATTAGGGCTCAGTCCTACTTCTGCCTGAAAATGATTTCCCATGATTGTTGGCTCCTCCCTCTGGGCTCTCTATTTTTGTTACAGCATCACCCCAATTTACAGGTACCAAATTCTATATTAGTTATCTATTGCTGCATAACAAATCACCCGAAACTTAGAGGCTTAAAACAATAATTATTTATCAACTCTCATGGTTTCTGTAAGTCATGAATTCCAGAGTAGCTCAATTAGGTAGCCCCTACTCAGGGGCATCCATAAGGTTGTAATCAGGCGTTGGCTAGGGTTATAGGAACCTGAAAGCTTGACCAGGGCTACAGAGTCTATTTCTAAGGTAGCTCAAACATATGGCTGGCAAGTACGTTCTTCTCCATGTGAGCCTCTACACAAGACTGCTTCAAAATATGGTGCTGGCTCTTCCCAGACTGAGTAATCTAAGAAAGCAAGGTGGAAGTTGCAGTGTAATTTATAAGTTTGTCTTGGAAGTTACTGTCTTCTTGCATTTAGTATTGCTATAACAGAATACCCGAGGCCAAGTAATTTACAAAGAATATGAGTTTATTTGTTTCACAGTTCTGCAGGCTCTATAAGAAGCATGGCACCAGCATCTGCTTAGCTTCCGGTGAGGTCTTTTGTGCTATGTCAAAACATGGTGGAGGAGGTCAAAGGGGAAGGAGGCACGTGTGAAGAGGGGATCAAACCTTGCTTTATAACAATCTGCTGTCTCAGGAACTAATCCATTCCTGTAAGAACTAATGCAGTCTCACGAGATCAAGAACTTACTACCTTGAGAACAGCACCAAGCCATTGATGAGGAATCCACCCCCTTGATTCAAACACCTCTCACCAGGCCCCACCTCCCAACACTGCCACATTGAAAATCAAATTTCAACATGAGTTTTGATGAGGACAAAAAAACTATAGTAGTTACACATTACTATTTCCACTATGTATAATTTGTCACACAAGCCAGCCCTCATTCACTTGAAAGGGACTACAGAAGGGTATAAACACTGATAATCACTGGAAGCTGACTACCACTACACCTTCCCCAATGAGAAGATTTAGTAAGCCTTTTCCCTAAGTCGAATATAACTATACATTTACATCTTACAAGCAGGTGTATTATTAACAAATAAAATTTCTACGTACAACCCCTAAGAACTTTATGCCAGAAAAGGAATTTTTGCCCCTCAACAAATTAAGGCATGGAATAAGGGTAAGCTACAAGCCCTACGTCCCAGGGAAGGCTAGTCACCCAGCCAAAAGTCACAAAGCTGACATCAACTTGGAAATTCGTCAAGGGTCTGACCATTAGCCCTTAAGGTAAAGAAACTAAATTTGTCAACCCATAAAGAAATGATTCACATTTCAAGGATGGACTTATGTTAATAAAGCTCACAGAGAATAATGTATATAGAAAACCACATTGCCAATTCATTTATTTAAAATGTGGCCCAAAATGCTAATGGAATGGTTATCTGTGTGTGCTGAGCATGGTCCACCCATAGATATATCACATTGGGAGTAAAAGTATTCCTTGAAGAAATGGTATCATTTGTTGAGCATGGAATCACATAAAGCAAGAGGATTTAGTTAGGCTGACTGTCATTAAGCTCTGAGAGCTATATACTTTCATCTCTGCTTATGGGGCTAAACCTGCAAGAAACTCAGTCGTAGGTCAGGTGGCCCTGAACAGTGCATGGATGAAGAGTACTGCTGCTTATCCCTGTTCCTCAACCTTTTCAGTGTCAGTTTCCATGGCAGACTGCCATTACATTCTTTCTTTATATCTATTACCTTTTGTCATATTCCAGGCAAATCTATAGATATTCAGTCACTTGGAGACAAGGGAAATCACAGGATTTTGTTTTGTTTTGTTTTTCCCCACACCCCAGCATACCTGAAAAGAATGACACATTACCACCAATAACTTGGGTAAATGATAGTAGTGAATCTAGGTAGGGGTGTGGTGGGGTGGTTAAAAAACAAGATGATTCCATTATGGTAGTGGTTAGGAAAAAGCTCACCACTGCCACCATTTTAAGAATTACACTGTAGTATAAATTTGCATATTTCTAATGGGATTCATGAAATGTGTTTACATTTTAATTCTCAGAGTTATTTTCCTATGTTCAAGGTTTAATGGGGTATATCATTTTTGCCTCTAAATCCTGCCTACGCACCCCAACTCTTGGCTTGAGCTTAGAAATAGACACGTATTTTCTTCCATTGGACTGGATTATGTAATGGTTGGGTGTGCTAGTTTAGAAGCAGAAATCAGTGAGTTGGCCCTGTCTCAGAAGCTACTGCTTCTCCATTTCACTGAATGACTTATATATAACCACCCTCATCCAGGGGTCTTCTGTGAGCTTGTTCCTCTCATCTATAACTCACCTACTTTGTGGTCTTAGGAACTGCTTTATTTTGTGGCTGCCTTTTCTGCTAAAATGCAGACAGCCACAATCCTCCCTCCAGTTTCTAATCAGAATTTGAAGCCATCTAATTCTCTGTGTTTTCTGGAATTCCCATTCATCACACTTGGCATCTCTTCCTGCTCCCCAGTTGAAAGTCAAGCATAAGCTTTCCTTGGCCTTATACATTTAGGAGACTTCTGGTATCTCTCAAACATTCAATGTAATTTGCATTAACATTGTGAAATTGCAGTAAATTTGCCTTAACACTTTCCTCTCCCTCTTTCTCTTTTTAAAAAATTTTAAATGTGTGATCTTTAAAATAAATGTATATATCACTCGGTCACCAGTTGGTCTCTCCACCTTTCTAATTACATTGATATTTTTTCCTCCAAAATAACACTCTCCTATTTTGAAAAGCAATAAAAATAACAGTTTACAATTGCAGCTGATCTTTGAATAACATGGATTTGAACCGTGTGGGTACACTTATATTTAGATTTTCTCCCACCTCTGCCATCCCTGAGACAGCAAGGCCAGCCCCTTCTCATCCTCCTCCTTGTCAGCCTACTCAATGTAATGACAAGAGGGAAGACCTTTATGATGATCCACTTCCACTTAATGAACCTAACTATGTTTTCTATTCCTTATAATTTCCTTAACAACATGTTCTTTTCTCCCACTTCCTTTATTGTAAGAATAGAGTATATAATACATACAACATACAAAATATGTGTTAATTAACTCTTTATGCTTTTGATAGGCTTCTAGTCAACAGTAGGCCATTAGTAGTTAAGTTACAGGGAATGCAAAAGTTATATGTGGACTTTCAACTGCACAAGGTGGAGGTTCAATGCCTAATTGTATATAAAGACCAAGCCCACCAAAATTTTTTATGGAAATTATGTAAGTTGATCTAACATCCAATAATAGGGAACTCCGAATTTTAAACTACTACGTTTTATTTCATTAGGAAATGTCCATCATGGCTAGTTATTTATGTATTTTTTTTTTAGTCTTCCAAAATTTAAGGCATATTTCAAGGCACCTCTACAGAAATACTAAATTCTCCTCTTGTTGCCAGTACAAAGTGAGGTGCTTAGCTCAAGAAACTGCTCAGGAAGTACATATGCATACCGCCAAGTAGCATAATAGGAGCATTCACCAGGGGATGTGATATGGTTTGGCTGTGTCCCCACCCAAATCTCAAGTTGTAGTTCCCATAATCCCCACATGTCCTGGGAGGGACCCAGTGGGAAGTAATTGAATCATGGGGGTGGTTACCCCCATGCTGTTCTCATGATAGTGAGTTCTCACGAGATCTGATGGTTTTATAAGGGGCTTTTCCCCCTTTTTCTCAGCATGTGAAGAAGGATGTGTTTGTTTCCCCTTCTGCCATGGTTGTAAGTTCCCTGAGGCCTCCCCAGCCATGCAGAACTGTGAGTCAATTAAACCTCTTTCCTTTATAAATTGCCCAGTCTTGGGCAGTCCTTTATGGTAGTGTGAGACCGAACTAATACAGGATGTTAATATCATTCTGAGTAAATGTGTAGAGTTCCCACTGAATCTTTGTCCAGTTACCATCCACACAATTGTAAGACTCTCTCAGGCAGAAATCAGCTGTGTGTTCACCCTTCCCCGCTCCCTAAGCTGCTATATGGGCTCAGCACAATCTAATGTGGCAGCTCATCACTAGTATCACAACCAGCAAGGTCAATGCTAGTTGTTCAAAAACAGATTTGATATCAAGGCCTGCTGTACATTGACTCAGTGGAAATTTCCCAAGGACTGGAAAAATACTCCACAGTACCACCAGTTGTTAAGAATAGTGGTGTCTTTCATGTTAAATGACATATAAAAAGTCCATAAAGCAATAAAATGTTAAAATTCAGCCAGCCCATTTCATAGACCTCACAGTCCACTATGATGAGAAAGTCTTGTCTTGGCAATCTGAGGCTGATGTTTCATGATGGGCTTTGTCTAAAAGCTGCATTTGATTTATTCTCATTCACATTCAAATGTCCAGTTTGCACAAAATCCAAATTACAAAAATTTTCAGTCTGCATTTATTAATACAAGATGTCAGCTTGTGACTTTCCCTTCAATACCATCACCAAATCTCTTTTGTTTTTATCATGGGATTTCCAGGGGGATCAGGGATTCCTCAGTGCTCAGGATAATTGTACTGCTGTTTGCCTCTGAGAAAGCACTACCAGCCCTTGATGGTAGCTGCCCAGAGCACTCTGGGGAAAGAGTTGTGTCCTTGGTGATGGTAGGCAGGGAAGCTGTGCGTGTGTGTGTGTGTGTGTCGGCAGGGGGATGGGTATGTGTATGTGATGTGTATGTGTGCATCTGTGTATGTTGGGGGTGGGTGTATGTGGCTTCTTGTTCCCAAGCCCCCCTAGCTGTCTCACATCTACCCCTTGAGCCAGTGACCTGGATGGAGCTGCCACTGCCCATTTCTCTTCCCATGCTCCAGACCAGCCCCTCATGTCCAGATGGGGAGGAATGAAATGCCATTTCTCTAACCCTCTATATTTTCTTTCCCTTGCCTCCCTCTCAGGTGGCCCTGCATTCTTCCCCATCATCAAATTGCCTGCTACTTACTCCTTTAGCCCAAGAATAAAAGCACCCAAACATATCAATAAATATAATCAATAGGACTCAGAAAGGGAGTAACCCAATACCAGATGTATAAGTCTACGTTCCAGCCCAGCTAGGACATTGTGTGACACCAATCTCTCCATTAACAAAGTAATTTAATTCTTCAGTAAACAATCTTAACCTCTTAACATGTGTTCAACAATGAACTGGAAACTGGGGAGGCAATCATAAATAAGATAAATGAGAGGTTTGTGGGGACTTTAGTTTAAAGGGAGATACACACAAGGAATAGGCAAGTACAATGTCATGCTATGTGCACCTGGCTGGAGGAGAGAGGGTTCTGATGGAGGCAATGGGAGAGAAAATTCTAACAGGGGCTTCAGCAAAGGCTTCACTGAGAAGGGGGTTTCTAGGTAGAAATCTGATCAGCCCACAAATGTAGGAGAGAGATTCAGAGAGCAGGCCCGGCATGTGTGTTAAGGGCCTGGAACACTACAAAGCCTAAAGAAATTATAGTAAACCCAGAGAATACAGTGTAAGGGGAGAGTGCAACAGATTAAACCTATCAAAGAAAAAAGGAACTAGGTTGTTTTTTCTCAAAACATTGTTCAAAGACCACCTAAAACACAATGACCCGCTGTAAGCTTCTTGTTGTTGTTGTTAAAAAACAAAACCAAAAAAAAAAAAAATGTTTTTCAGCTACTATCCAGATTCATTCCTTTTGAACCAGGGGCACAGGAATCTTCCTTTTTAACAAATTATCTAGCTGGTCCTTACCAGAGTACAGTTTGAGAACCACTGGACTAAATTAAATAAGGCCAGATGAGCCACTTTCAAGAGTTTGGGCTTAATCCAGAAATGGATGAGAAGCCATGTTGTGCAATGCAGTGGCATGATTAAGATGTGTGTTTTTGATAGCTCACTATAATGGCAACCTAGAAAATCAGCAAGTTGAGCAATGGAGAGATCTCTCCGTTTTTAGCTGAGAACATTAGATTGATGTCCAAGATTTCTGCATAAATACATTCTCAATTTATGTCCACCTGCTTCAGGGTGACCAACTGTCCCATTTGCCCAGAGCTGAAGGATTTCCTAGGATATGGAACTTCAGTGCTAAAAGTAAAAATTTCCCAGGCCAACTGAGATGAGCTGGTCATGCTATAATTGCCAAAATAATCAGTCAAGTTACATACAGTTCTCAATATAGCACTTTTTTTAAAATTATGAGGTGAAAAAATTTTTTTGAAAGTAAAAAAGAATTAAAATGAACAGAATTAAAGCAACCCTTTGTAGTTTAAAAAAATAATCCCAAGCACACTGTTACTTGATGCAAATTTAAAACAAAAACAAAAATTCTGGCAGTGCCTTTTAATTTGTAAGAACAGAGGCTCTCAAGCATGGTGTTGCAATCAGTAGAGGGGCGTGTTGCAAGGAAATTGTTTTTTACTAGTCATAATTAAAGGACTGAGTTTGTAAATGATTTACTCTTAAAAATACAGAAAATCAAGGTTAGCTCACTTGCATTCCATTATACTTTCTTTAGCAGGAGAGAAAGTGGTGGAGTTACGGAAAACCTGTCTAGAATAACCAAAAGCCCAAGTTGGCTCAGAGATTTGCGCTGGACAGAAATATAGCCATAATTTCTATATGAAGAAAAACAGATTGAGAAACACTTGAATGGTAACTTTACAAGTTATTGCACCATTTCCACATTCTAAAAGGGAGAGAAAGAAGAGGAGAGAGAGAAAAATTTAAAATACTTTAAATGCCCCATTGTTACACCAGGACAGTTTTTTGCCAATGTTGGCACTACAGATGTTGGGTGGTACCAGGATACAGCAATTTAAATTTCAATACTTTGGTACTTATCTTACTAAGTAATGCAAATATATAAAGCAATATACAAAGCTAGTACATCAAACCTATGATTTCATGAATACTGTTGAGAGGTGACAGCGTGCTGGCAGTCCTCAGAGCCCTCTCTCACTCTAGGCGCCTCCTCTGCCTGGGCTCCCAATTTGGCGGCACTTGAGGAGCCCTTCAGCCCACCTCTGCACTGTGGGAGCCCCTTTCTGGGCTGGCCAAGGCCGGAGCCGGCTCCCTCAGCTTGCAGGGAGGTGTGGAAGGAGAGGCGCGAGCGGGAACCGGGGCTGCGCGCCGCGCTTGCGGGCCAGCTGGAGTTCCGGGTGGGCCTGGGCTTGGCGGGCCCCGCACTCGGAGCAGCCGGCTGGCCCTGCCGGCCCTGGGCAATGAGGGGCTTAGCACCCAGGCCAGCGGCTGCGGAGGGTGTACTGGGTCCCCCAGCAGTGCCACCCCACCGGCGCTGCGCTCGATTTCTCCCTGGGCCTTAGCTGCCTTCCCCTGGGACAGAGCTTGGGACCTGCAGCCCTCCATGCCAGAGCCTCCCACCCACTCCTTGGGCTCCTGTGCGCCCGGAGCCTCCCCGATCAGCACCGCCCCCTGCTCCAGGGCGCCTAGTCAACCAAGGGCTGACGAGTGCGGGCGCACGGGGCAGGACTGGCAGGCAGCTCCACCTGCAGCCCCGGTGCAGGATCCACTGGGTGAAGCCAGCTGAGCTCCTGAGTCTGGTGGGGATGTGGAGAACCTTTATGTCTAGCTCAGGGATTGTAAATACACCAATCGGCACTCTGTATCTAGCTCAAGGTTTGTAAACACACTAATCAGCACCCTGTGTCTAGCTCAGGGTTTGTGAATGCACCAATGGACACTCTGTATCTAGCTACTCTGGTGGGGCCTTGGAGAACCTTTGTGTCAACACTTTGTATCTAGCTAATCTGGTGGGGACGTGGAGAACCTTTGTGTCTAGCTCAGGGATTATAAACGCACCAATCAGTGCTCTGTCAAAACAGACCACTGGGCTCTACCAATCAGCAGGATGTGGGTGGGGCCAGATAAGAGAATAAAAGCAGGCTGCCCGAGCCCGCAGTGGCAACCCGCTGGGTCCCCTTCCACACTGTGGAAGTTTTGTTCTTTCACTCTTTGCAATAAATCTTGCTGCTGCACACTCTTTGGGTCCACACTGCTTTTATGAGCTGTAACACTCACCGCGAAGGTCCGCAGCTTCACTCCTGAAGCCAGCGAGACCACGAGCCCACCGGGAGGAACGAATGACTCCAGAGGCGCCGCCTTAAGAGCTGTAACACTCACTGCCAAGGTCTGCAGCTTCACTGCTAAGCCAGCGAGACCACAAACCCACCAGAAGGAAGAAACTCCGAACACATCTGAACATCAGAAGGAACAAACTACAGACGCGCCACCTTAAGAGTTGTAACACTCACCGCGAGGGTCTGCAGCTTCATTCTGGAAGTCAGTGAGGCCAAGAACCCACCAATTCCGGACACACTGTTGCTTAAGATAAGGTTAAGTATAAAAATAAGTCAATTTTTAAAATATCTAGTAAGTAATTGTGTAGGTGGTAGACAGCAAAAATGTGTGAAAGTGGTATGGGAATGACTCAAAAACGGGAAATATTATACTTGTCTAAGTGGAAGCAGAACAAAATCCTATGTCTTTAACTTTTCAAGGTGAAGAGCAACAAAACTTTCACATTTCAAAGTTGAGTCCCTCAACGTGTTGGACACATAGAATGTCCAACTCTATTTCACACCTCATATAGTTCTACCACTTTAAGTTTTTATCTGAGTTGGATATTTCCAAAGCAACTGTTCAATTATAAGAAGAAAAGAGCAAAACATAAGAAAGCAAGATAATTAAACAACAGAAAATTTTAATTGTGATTTTAGCATCAATCAAATCACAAGAAATCTGATTTTTCAGCAACTGTGTGTCACGGTCATAACATAATAGCAGCTCAAATTTTCAGCTTGGTTACATAAATGGATATCACCCATCTAGGTAGGACAAGAAACAAAACCTTTTAAGTCAAGACAAAAAAAAAATACCGAGATAGAAAATCATTAAGCAATTAAAGTGCTTTAACTATTATATATGCAGCTCATCTCTTTTATGGGTATTAAAACACAGAATGTGTTTGGGTAATAAGACGCATGGATTTGTTAACAACTATGATTTAAAATCATTCCTGATATTTCTCCAAATATCTTGCAAGTTTTTCCAAAACTCTATTGCAAAACTCCATAAAGGAAAAAATAAGTTTTAAAATTTCAGCTGTCAGGTTACATTTTCTCTCCTTTACAATCTAATTATTTATCATGAGACTACATCTTCAGTTGAACTCTCTGCTTTATGATTTTATGGTTGAATAAGTACAGTTCTCCTGGATTTGAGCAAAATATACCAACTGGACTTCTATGCTCAAAAACTTATTTTCTTAAGTTACAGAATTTTTTTTTTTCCTGGAGAAGGTACCATTTCTTAAATAAAATAAAACATAAGGCATTACAATCTAGCCCTCAGTTCTCTAACTGCTTCTGCATGCTATTATCAGTTTCAGAAATCACGTTTTCTTGGTTTATAGGAAGTCAGCAGTTGAACGACGATTCTGAATTCCTCACTAGTCAATTTACTTCTAATAAAGTAAAAACCTTCGTATTGCTGCATACGGATTCTAATTTTTCAATGCAATTCCTCAACTTTCAGTGTTCCTATGGGGTTACAATGCTTTGATGTCAGATAATCACATAGAGAGCTTTAAAGTGTCCTTGGGTGTCAGGTTTTACACAGACAGCTGTACCATAAATAAGACCTCTGAAAAATATTCTTATTTCCAGTAACTAAAATAGTCTGTCTTCTTCTAGAAAAGCATAGCATGGCATAGTAATAGCACTGTAAAGTGCTGAAAAGCAGATACTATGGTTTGAATTCCATCTCTTGCATTTACTCACTGTTGACCTTGGGCTATTTACTTAACCTCTCATTTTCCTCATCTGTAAAATAAGGATTATAATAGTACCTGCCTCATAAGGTTGTTATGAGGATTAAAGAGTCAATGCATATAAAGTGCTTTGAAAAGTATCTATCACAGTTTACTCAGTAAATTAGCTTTTATCATAATCACTAGCCCATCACTCACCACCCGTGTACAAGCTCCCACAGATGTATCTGGAATCACTATTTTCAAAGCCCCATTTCCTTAAAAACAAACTGGAAAATGCTACCAAAGGGTTTTCTTTTAAGGCGACCCATGGGCACCAACAGTATGATGATCGGCCCAGATGACTCTGGACTCTTTCCTAACTTTGACTTTAAATTAACATAGGGGGTGTTACGGGAAAGTGAAAGGGTTTTCTCTGGTTTTAATGTCCTTAACCTAACCACTCTTAGACTCACATCACCCATATTGATTTCTTAAATGGGATTAGTTATCTTTAAGGGGAAGAGGGAGAGGTACTCAGAAGGTCTCAGAAACCAGAAGGAAGATTACAAAAACCAAGACTGCCTTCATTTCTCAGGAACAAGCCACATTAGCCAAGCTCTTGGAGACATACACAGGAAAACCCAAAGGGACTGAAAGCCTTGAAATATTAGCGAACTTATTAATATAACCACAACATCAATAAGCTGAGGATGATGTCTTAAAAGATCTCATTTCAATTTATGTAGCTATGGATTGCACACTTCTTGGTGAGTCATTATTTTTTAGTAAATGGGGATAAAAAATAGCTAATTTTGAAGATAACTACACAAGAGCAAACAACCTACATCAGTTCCTATTTTTATACTGAATTTAGAGAAGACATATGGAAGTGTATTTAAATAAAATAATATTTAAAAATACAGTTTCAGATGGTATTACTAGACTTTTATTAAAGTATCATCAGTTCTAAGAATATATTTAGCAGTTTGTGCTATGATGTGAATTGTTCCCACAAATATCTACTTCTCTTTTGTATTTGTTTCCACTCAAAGATTGCCATACTCCTCAGAACCTTACAATTATAATAATAAGGATCTCCAAATGTTTTTATCATAGACAGGGTCCAAGATGGGTCTACTCTCTACTGCATTCTAAGGATAGCAGAACATACAACAAGTTCTCATGGCTTTTTGTCCCTTTTGTGGAGAGTACAGTAAAGAAAGAAAATACTCTGCACACTAATGACCTTTGAAATGAGGACTGTTGCTCCAACAGACTTTTCCTACCATGTGAAAAGTTTAAATAAAGAAAAAAAATGTTCTCATACATTCCACATTGACACAACAATAGAAATAAAAATAATTCTGTCCTGTCGGGGCATCTCAGTCCCCAGCCTTTGATTCAGTTTAAACCTAGTCTTGATGCCAAGAGATTTCAGGCTTTGGTGGAGGGGAAGAGAATCAGAGCCCATCATTGGTTCTGGGCAATCTTGGATGAGGCCCAAAGTATTCAACTGGATCAAGGATTGGAATATAGGATCATGCAACCAATGTTCTTGTTTAAAAGCAACTTTTCACGATTTAATTGTATAAATTCCCTTCTTATATTTCAGAAAAACTCCAGATCATGAAGCATTAGTACTAGCTAGCTATAAGCTGACATTCCCATCACAACAATGTGTCACCTACAGGTTCCTCCAGAAAATGAAGACATTAAAGCTGCAATGATACTTGTCAATTATCCAGAGAAAGCAGACCAAAACTGTGCTTTGTCCTCAATTAGCTAAGTAATTCAAAGTAAAGGCTCACTTTCACCTGAAGTAGTGGGGATAATTAGAGTCTAAAATAGGTTTGGCTTCAATTATCTAGATAATCTACTTGTGTGTTTATTTAGCCCAAAATTAGAAGCTTAAAAATGAATCAACTTTCAAGCAAAAGCTAAATGACTTTGAAAACTCACTGACAGGAGAATTTGACTTTAAAATGACTTCTTTGGGTGGGCTACTTATAAATGTACTTAATAAACATCGTTCTTATTTATTTTAGATTTGCACTTTGAAATTTTAAAATATTAATAAATTCAAAAGCACCTTTATAACCTGTATACCACTAATCCACTTCCTTGACCTAGGATTAGGAATTGCATAATTTTTTACACACACACACACACACACACACACACACACACTCTCTCTCTCTCTCTCTCTCTATGCCACAGTGTTGCTACCCACATTACTTTCATTCTCAGAGAAGTACTAAGAAAAATCTGTGATGAGGACTGTGAGACTATTTTGTCTGTTCATGAGAATCACCTGGGAAGCTAACACTCAGCCCACAGTGAACACCAATTAAATCAAAGTCTCTACAACTGAGACCAAGGCATCCTGTTTATAAAGGATGTTTATAAACTCCCCAAGTGAATCCAATATACAGCCACAATTCGAGACTCACTCTTTCAGGAGTTGGATAATTTTTCTCCAAAATAGCCTGGAAAAGACAAATCAGAACTGTCCCATTTTTCTCCTCATCCTCACTCCTAGTTTCTCCCCGTTGGTTGGTTTATCCCATAGTGTGTGCTTAACTGAATTCAATTACTCTGGGTGTAGAAATGTCAGGTCCCATATCATTTCAATCTTTTTCATTTATTTATTCAATTAATAAATATTTTCTAAATGTCTACTATATAAGTCTAGGCTATGTAAGAATTTTCTAAAACATAAGCCTTTCCCTGAGGGATCTCATAACATAACAGGGAAGATGGTCAGAAACAAATTTAATGACAGTATTTGGTGACAAGTGCTGAAACTAGGGTACAGAGGTAGAATAAAGAACTATTTTCATTTTAAGCATCAGGGCATTTGAGCTGATCAGGAAAGAGAAGCTGGTGCCTTAAGCTAGCAGAGGGGAGAGTGGACTGGTATTCCAGGCAGAGAGGAAATCTTTGCAAAGCCATGGAAGCATGAACAAGTCAGATGAGTCCCAGGAGCCCCGACTAGCTTTGAGTGGCTGGAGGCCAGTGAGGTGTGTGTGTGTCTGTGTCTGTGTGTGTGTGTTGAAGGGGAAGGTGGGGATCATGGCATAGGAGGCTGGAGAAGAAAGCAGAAGAGGACTCCATGTATCTAAGATGAATTGGGCCTGGAATTAGCCCATAAGGTTACCATGTAAATTTATTGCATATTTTACAAACTCTTAAGACCATTAAGAAGTTGGATTATTGTTGACTGTCTATCATTCTGATGAATATTTTGGAATACTTTTCATTTTTAAACTAATTGTTATGTGTATGTTAAATTATGCCATTAGTGTGAAGAGCAAAGATGTGATACTGACAGTTAGAAATCAGGTAATTCTTCTGAATTTAAATGTTCAAAAATCACCTCCTTTTGGAGTCTGGTCATTGGGTGAACTGACTGCAGTCTCAGATCAAAAGTTAGTATCTTAAATCACATAGCATACACTGAGAAGACATAGATAATATTCTCAACATAAAGGATGGGTACACAAGGGTGGCTAAACTATTTAAACTTCCCTGTATGTGCTACATGAGAGCTCACTTTACTGATTTTCCTTTTTTTTTTTTTTTTTTTCAGACGGAGTCTCGCTCTGTCACCCAGGCAGGAGTGCAATGGTGCGGTCTCGGCTCACTGCAACCTCTGCCTCCCTGGTTCAAGTGATTCTCCTGCCTCAGCCTCCCAAGTAGCTGGGATTACAGGCATGCGCCACCACGCCTGGCTAATTTTTGTACTTTTAGTAAAGACGGGGTTTCACCATGTTGGCCAGGCTGGTCTCGAACTTCTGACCTCGCGATCCACCCGCCTCGGCCTCCCAGAGCACTGGAATTACAGGGGTGAGCCACCGCACCCAGCCACTCATGATCTTATTTCAGTCTAGACTAACCTTATCCATCTTCTCATGTAAAAATGCCACTCTGCTCAAATGTCTGTTCCTCCAGCAAATTTCATCACTCCTGGTCCATCACACATCCTGATAATCAGCCAGCATCCATTTATCTGTGTCTCTTTCTGTCTCTTACAGGAGTAATAGATGCATGTGTTTTATTCTTCATTTAAGGAAGGATCTGTTTCTACTTTTTAAAAACAGCCTTTATTAAGAGCTCAGTGCCATTCATAAATATCATCTTATTTCATCCTAACAATGGTAGGTACTATAACTTAGAGGCTAGTATCCAAATTTCCACATAAGGAAATTAGCTCAAAAGGTTAAATGACTTCCTCAAGATTATACAACTAGCAAGTTGTATCCTAAACATCAAAGTCAGATTTTGAAACAAACTCTTCAACCCAACTACTATGCATTTCTCATTTCTATCACTAAGAGAAAGACTCCACCACCAAGTTTATAGAGAATAGGTACACAATAAGTATGTGTTTAATAAATAGCTTCTATCTTGCTTTTGCTATATTTCTGTGACTACATGTTTACACTTGAGTAAACACACTCATACATTGTGTAGATGTACATATACAGTGCACAATTTTCAATGTATGTGTTCCAAATGTTTAATTGTAACTCAATTATTTGAGATGCAAAACACATTTTCTACAATGTCACATAAAGAGGGTATGATATTACATATACCACTGAAGGCCTGCTAAACACAAAAAGTATCACAAAACAGGTAGCCACCAAATATGCAATGTTTTATTTGAGCATATATTCCTAGTATGGTTTTCTGTTGAGCCAGGAGCCCACACTTTCCATTGTCTGACTACCCCAGCTTATGAGGATGTGAGGATAAGAACCTTCCCAGGTGTGTAAATGCTCCAGATATATTACAGGCCATAACTGCATGTTGACAGGGACCATAAATACATGTGGTACATGATGAGTATGATACGTGACACCTGTCATGTAAGCTCTAAGAAAGCAGAGATTCTTGTTTTGTTCATTTATGTATCCCAAATCTCTAGAACAGTGCCTGAGACTTAACAGTGTCACTTAGTAGGCACTTAATACTAAATATTTTTAAATAATAAAAATGAACACTTTATGGACCTTGTTAGCAGCTTCTTCCCTTTTTACATTACCAGAAAAAATGGCAGTAACTAAAACACTGGATGTGGTAATTTCCAAATGAAGTCTTAAAAATCTGAGTGCAGTGGCATGTACCTGTAGTCCCAGCTACTTTTGAGGCTGAGACAGGAGGATCACTTGAGCCCAGGAATTCGAAGCCAGCCTAGGCAACAAAGCGAGACCTAAGAGTATTCAGACCCACTCACATGCAGGCATAATCTTGACTCCACTGTATAAGGAAGAATGAGTAAATGACAAAATTCTAAAAGAGATCATTAAAGTGGCTTCAAGAATGGAACACTGGACCCAGATAACAAAAGGCTTTAAAAATGACATGATTTGGTCTAGTTGAGAGCTGACCTAGAACATGTATTGAATCTGTGAGTCATTTTTACACAGAGGTGGCTGACCATGTGAGCCTTGTCCCTACTGGGAACAGAACACAGAGTTCTAGACTGAAGTTACCAGATGGGAATGGAAAAGACAGATTTAAGTTAAATGGAAGAATATATTTTGAGGTGGAGCGTATGGCCTTACAGAGATTTAGGTTACCAAGGTAAATTGTGAAATTTGAAGAATAGCAGAAATGCTCTTTTTGAATTGTTTAAACATCACACACACTAGAGGCAGGGGCTGGAGGCAGTGATTTTTCAGGTCATTCACTAGCCCATAAAGCTAGGAATAAGACCAAGTTGCAATGAAATCTCAAACAGCTTTGTTCTTGTTTCTCTGGAATTAATATGTTAAATAAGTGAAAACTTGCATATATGTGGTGTCTTATCAATGTCAAGATCTGAAATAATTTACCAAAGGAAAAAACAGTATTTCACTTGAGTTCCTGGAGCAACAGGAAGTGAAAATACATAAAAAACAATTGCCAGATTGAAAAGCCATTCCCCTAAACTCTAGTAAATCCTAAGTACTACTTATGATGAGAATGTTCTTGCAGTTCTCCAAAATAGTGTATTATTTACCTACTAAAGAAAAATTAACGGAACATGAAAATAGATTCCCAATTAAAGAATTCCAACTTACTCATGGTTTTGTATCTCAACGTTCGTTACTCTATGGCTGTAAAACAATTAGAATAAAATACAGCAATGCAATCAAAACAGACCCCTAAGACATTTTCTACCCAGGGCTTATGCAGTGGGGTTTGGCAGTTGGGGAAAATCACAGTGAACAAAACTCTTCTCTCCAGTGCTTTTGAATGATAGTAAATTTACGGAAATTAGCATAATAAAAAGAACACTGGATTGGAATCAAAAGTCTTGAGTTCAACACACAAGCAGTGTCACCTTGAGGAAATCACAGCTTCTCTACACCTCATTTTTCTTTTTAATTATACTATTAAGTTCTAGGGTACATGTGCATAACGTGCAGGTTTGTTACATATGTATACATGTGCCATGTTGGTGTGCTGCACCCATTAACTCGTCATTTACATTAGGTATTTCTCCTAATGCTATCCCTCCCCCTTCTCCCCACCCCACGACAGGCTCCGGTGTGTGATGTTCCCCACCCTGTGTCCAGGTGTTCTCATTGTTCAGTTTCCATCTATGAGTGAGAACACGGGTACATCTCATTTTTTTAAATATGCAAAATGAAGATAATACTAACTCTATTAAAAAGTTATTGCAAGCCCGGCCCTGTGGCTCATGCCTGTAATCCCAGCACTTTGTGAGGCCAAGGCGGGTGGATCACGAGGTCAGGAAATCAAGGCCATCCTGGCTAACATGGTGAAATCCCATCTCTACTAAAACTACAAAAAAAAATTAGCCGGGCGTGGTGGTGGGGAACCTGTAGCCCCAGCTACTCGGGAGACTGAGGCAGGAGAATGACGTGAACTCGGGAGACAGAGCTTGCAGTGAGCTGAAATGGCGCCACTGCACTCCAGCCTGGACAACAGAGTGAGACTCCATCTCAAAAAAAAAAAAAAAAAGTTATTGCAGTGGTACACGCCTGTAATCCCAGCACTTCAGGAGGCTGAGGCCGGCGGATCACAAGGTCAAGAGATCGAGACCATCCTGGTCAACATGGTGAAACCCTGTCTCTACCAAAAATACAAAAATAAGCTGGGCATGGTGACAGGCACCTGTAATCCCAGCTACTTGGGAGGCTGAGGCAGGAGAATGGCTTGAACCCGGGAGGCGGATGTTGCAGTGAGCTGAGATCGTGCCACTACACTCCAGCCTGGGCAGCAGAACGAGACTCTGTCTCAAAAAAAAAAAAAAAAGTTACTGCAATAACTTTTAAATTCATGTGTGCATACACCTAGCAGAGAGGGTACTCAATGTTATTTGAGTGTTGTCATCAACTCATTTTTTTACTTTGTCTTAAAAATCACAACCTCCTCTAATAACAAAAGCAGAGAAGAGTGATAAGCAATCTTTAGGGACTTTGTAGAAGTTCATAGTAACCGGGTTGGGGAAAGAATCAATTTAATGACCAAATATATATACCCAAGTTCATGAGTCCCGGGTTTCATGTCTGTATCCAATGCCTTGTAAGCCACTGACCATCCGTCTAATCCAAGGTAATTTGGGGCCCAGGGCACATTACCTTGCTGATTCTACACCTAGAAACAGCCCTAAGCCGATTACAACCAAGGTAGCCTCCAATTCTCCAGCCTTCTGGTGTAACGGTTCAATATCCAAGAAAAGTGACCCGAGCCCCATTCCTGGTGCTGCATAAATCCCGGTGCCCTCTTTAACATGTCAGGATTTCTAAGGCATGGGATGAGGGCTGCACTCGTGTTTTCCATCACTGCCCATTAAAATTTCTGCTCTCAACTCAATTGCCTGTTCACTGCTTCTCATCTCTTCTTGACAAAGCTGCTGTTTCCTTTCTGGTCTGATTCTCCCTGGCATGGGCACTTTACTGAAAGTTGGGGGCATAATGGGAATAATTACAGCACAGAGCTGAAACATCTGCATGGCTTTAAATCCAGATGTTTCTTTTCCCTGAAACTTGTCTCCCCTCAGTGAATAGAAATTTCTCACCAACTATATAAATTTACATTCTAGACTGCAGCCAGGTTGTTGGGACCCCTTCTTTCCAACTCTCCTTAGACTTTCTTCTTCTCCTCTCTTTTCCAGAGCTACCAGCAGAGAAGCTCTAAATTCCTGTTGTATTAGAGAACTCTGAGTCTCTTTTTCATGCTCCCCCATCTACACTGACACCAGGACCTTTAGCCCACTATTCATAGTACAATTAAGGTATTTTTTGCAGTGGGGGGAAATTGTTCTCCCTAAGGAGAACAGTTTAAACAGAAGAAAGCTTTGCAAAACAAACAAACAAAAAAACACACAGAAACATACACACACACACACACACACACACACACACACACATACATACATACACTTCTTCCTACTTCATAGAATTTTGGGTAATATACAGTCGTATTATCAGATATAGATAGAAGGCACTACACTAGGAGCCTCTGCCCAGGGAAAACATTCCTGGCAAGAAGATGGAATAGAAAGATTGTAGACAAATGTTTTCTTTAGCTTTGGTTTTTTGCGGTGGGAGAATTGTCTTCAAGGTTTTCCATTACCTCCAGTACATGTCAACATTTGACATTATAAAGAGCCCACAGCCTAAGCCCAACCTCGGCAGTAGTGATAAAATGGAGAAGAGATCTCCGAAAAAGGAAGGAGCCAAAAAGTATCCTCCAGAGAGTGAGGTCCTGCTTTGCCAGGCAGCTTCTAAATAATCCAGATAAATCTATGCCCACCCAAAGTCAATTGGTTTTAAACTCCCCATTTCCGGAAGCCAATATGAAGAAAGCAAAAATAAGGACAGCTATAGAAAACTTCGGCTATTTCTTATGCTATCTGGAGTTCCAACATGGGAAAAAGGGAATATTCTACTGAAGTATAGGAGTTGCTATAGTTGCCTTCATGAAATATACCTAAATCTGGACAGGCATTTGCTGAAAAAATCTGATCACTCTTTCAGCCCTGGAAACCCAGCCACTTCTTTTCACTTCCACCGTTACCTTTCTAGTCAGTTGCTATGAACTTTCTCCTGGAGTTTTGCAATCATCTTTTATCTGATCTAACCACATCCAAACTGGCGCCCCTCCCATTTGTTTTCCAAACTGTAGCCTGTGTCATCTTTCTAAATTTTAACTATGATAATATAATGTCAGCCCCACCACCACCTCCCTGCTAACAACTAAAACAGCTTGCTTAAAAACTTCAGTGACAGCTGGGTGCAGAGGCTCACGCCTGTAATCACAGCACTTTGGGAGGCCAAGGCGGGTGGATCACGAGGTCAGGAGATCGAGACCATCCTGGCCAACATGGTAAAACCCCATCTCTACTAAAAATACAAAAATTAGCTGGGTGTCGTGGTGCACACCTACCTACTACTCAGCTACCCGGGAGGCTGAGGCAGAAGAACCGCTTGAACCCAGGAGGCAGAGGTTGCAGTGAGCCGAGGTCACTTATTGACTCTTACTCTTTCTTAAGATGACAATAGAGATGTCACTTTCTCAGGGAAACCTTCTCCCTATCCTCCTTGAAGGATCAGATGCTTCTAACATCACAGTGGCAATTCCACTTTCATATAGGTATTTATTTCATAAATTTCTGACCTTCTATTAGACTAAACTTTATGAAGATGAAGACAAAGTCTGACTTTTTTTTACCATTATATTCCCTTATTAAAGGAATGAATGAATCCACTTATTAATCAACAGACAGGTTTTATGTACCAGAAAAATTAAGAAACATATCAATTGTTTAATCACGTTTCAAATAGCCATAATTAATGGAGCTCTTTATCACGAATGGAGGAGTGCTTTGAGTATAAAGATTTGTTATGATTTGGTTTGTTACTATTATCATCATTATCATAACTGGTTTGTTGTCAGTATAATTGCCTTTGTAGCTCAGCACTTTATAACTATTATTACATTTTTTAATTATTTCGATTTTATATTTCCATTATTTATAAAATGTTTTAGTGAAAACCAATCCCATTGAAAAGAGAGCATACGAAGACTCCAGAAGTACCATACTGTGGCTAGAGGATAATTTTAAAACTAAGGGTTACCTATAGATTTATGGTAGTATTTCCAGAAGGTACAGGCCATTTGAAAAACTAAGGCCTTGAGAAAGATCATAGCAACATTTATAGCCACTTAAGGAGTAACATTTTCTAATGATAAACTCATCATATTAGACTTGGATGGGACCCTAGAGGTCATTTACCCACATTTCTTATTTTGCACATAATAAAGCTAAGATTGGCCTTCCATGAGGTCTTAGAGCCAAGGCAAGCTCTGGATCTATTTTTATGCAGCTCCTCTAAAACTATCATATTTCAAATTAACTGCAAACCTATCAAAATTGAGGGTCCTAGCTATTCATAGCCCACTGTCATGGAGCCAGTTGGGATGTAAATAACCTTCCAGGTTTTAGGACTTGAATTCTATATAGATGGACACTCATCTTTGCCATTTAATGCCTATCTATATTTAGAAACTAGCTCTGTTATGTAATTCTATACATGAAGAAAAAGATACTTCAAGGTCATTTTTATAAGTCACTTTCTCAAAGAAGCCTTCCACCTTAAATTAGAAATGTTCTGCCACTATGAAAAGGGTGAATTTCACTGTGACCCCAAGGTCAGTTTCTGTATCTGCTGTTTTCATCCACATCCAGATGCAGAACTCAATACGTATTTGATCTCACCCAAAAGAGGGTATTCACTCTAATGTTAATAAGCAACGCAGCCTTTATTGAAGATATGTAGGGGAGGAACAAGGTGCATTAATTCTCAATAATTTCTGCAAACAACTCAAACACCTTATCAGAAATTTCTATTAAGTCCCTGTTCAGGCAAGCTGCTCCAGAGGTTTTGATTTTTTTTTCCTCTTTTCCCTCTAAGGAATACAACCTAATTTCTCCACCTCCCCTTTCCACATTAACCCTTTCTTCAAGAACATCTTGCCAGGCATGGTGGCTCAAGCCTGTAATCCCAACACTTTGGGAGGCCAAGGCAGGCAGATCACTTGAGATCAGGAGTTGGAGGCCAGCCTGGCCAAACTGGCGAAACCCCATCTCTACTAAAAAACACAAAAATTAGCCGGGCATGGTGGCTTGCTCCTGTAATCCCAGCTACTTGGGAGGCTGAGGCAGGAGAATCGCTTGAACCCAGGAGGCGGAGGTTGCAGTGAAATTGCTCCAGCCTGGGGAACAAGAGTGAGACTCCGTGTCAAAAATAATAATAATAATAAATAAATAAATAAAAAGCCATTTAGGTTTTTTTTGCTTGAGTATATGTTTGTTTGTTTGTTTGTTGTTGCTCTTCTGCCAAACACATACCTAATTATCCCTTGGAGGAATACTGGCAATTGAAATATTCCCCATAGCAGTAAAAAGAAACTTTCCTATAGTGATTCCTCCCAGGGCATGTTATTATCATAAGGAGGTTTCCTATGGTATTTTTGTTTTTAATGAATATTGTAAAAATTTAAAAATTATTTAGAGTGAGAATAAAGCATAACAAAATAACTCCAATTTTTTCTAGTCCTTCAAATTCCTAGGAATTGGTGCCCATTGGGGGAAAAATTCAATGAGCCTCATAATTGAAATATGAAAAAAGCTATAGCTTTTCCTCCAGAAACCTCATTCTTAGAAAATGATCATAAAAGTTCAAAGTGGAGTCCAGGCAAGGTGGCTCACGCCTGTAATCCTAGCACTTTGGGAGGCCGAGGTGAGTGGATCACCTAGGTCAGGAGTTCGAGACCAGCCTGGCCAACATGACGAAACCCCATCTCTACTACAAATACAAAAATTAGCCAGGCATGGTAGCTCATGCCTGTAATCCCAGCTACTCGGGAGGCTTAGGCAGGAGAATTGCTTGAACCCAGAGGACGGAGGTTGCAGTGAGCCAAGATTTTGCCATTACACTTCAGCCTGGACAACAAAGCAAGACTCTTGCTAAAAAAAAAAAAAAAAAAAAAGTTCAAAGTGGAAATACTTGTGCCTGGAATACAGAGGCAAATTTGTTTCTGATTTCTTGTTTTGTTTTGTTTTGATTTGATTGGTTTTGTTTTGTTGTTTGAGAAGGAGTCTCACACTGTTACCCAGGCTGGAGTGCAACGGCACGATCCCGGCTCACCAAAACCTCCGCCTCCCGGGTTCACGCAATTCTCCTGCCTCAGCCTCCTAAGTAGGTAGGATTACAGGTGCACACCACTACACCCAGCTAATTTTTTGTATTTTTAGTAGAGACGGGGTTTCACTATGTTGGCCAGACTGATCTGGAACTCCTGACCTCATGCCCACCTCGGCCTCCCAAAGTGCTGGGATTACGGGCATGAGCCACTGCGTCTGGCCTATTTCTGATTTCTTTAAGATATTTTTCCCTTAATGAAATTATTAGACTGGGCACGGTGGCTCATGCCTGTAATCCCAGCACTTTGGGAGACCAAGGAGACTCCTGAGGTCAGGAGTTTGAGACCAATCTGGCCAACATAGTGAAACCCCGTCTCTACTAAAAATACAAAAAATTAGCAGGGTGTGGTGGTGTGTGCCTGTAATCCCAGCTACTCGGGAGGCTGAGGCAGGGGAATTGCGTGAACCCGAGAGGCAGAGGTTGTGGTGAGCCGAGATCGCACCATTGCACTCCAGCCCTGGCAAAAGTGCGAGACTCCGTCTCAAGAAAAAGAGAAATGATTAACCAATTATTTTATACTCCTCTTTGCAAGTGGCACAGACACCAGCTGCCTTCATCCCGTAACTTGATAACTAACAGATCCCCAAACCCTAGTGACACCACTATCAGGCCATCCAGAGAGTTCATGATAAACCTCGGAGGGAAAAAATATTTTCAAGCAAATGGTCTGCTGGCAATCATTGCAGTTAAAGAACCTTCTCTCATAAGTGTTCATGCGACGAGAATAACAAGAAAAATAGATTATATCTACAAAAAGAGAAATTGTTTTTCACGCCTCTTCTGAGGAATTTTGGAATTGTAAACATTTTTGTTAAAAACAAAGATACCTCTGGAACTCCTTTCATGAGATGTAAACAGTGCCATCAATATTAGTTTTCACAAGTAGAGGGTAGGTCTCATGGAGTTAAAAAAACTGGTAAAAAAATAAGTTAGATGAAAAAAATTCGTAAGTCCTATTTTGTGCCACTCTTTTTCAAAATGTTTTCCAATATAATATTTGATTAGACAAGAAAATAAACAAATATTAATAATTTATGAAGATAAAAATAAGACCTGGCCAGGCGCAGTGGCTCACGCCTGTAATCCCAGCACTTTGGGAGGCCAAGGTGGGCGGATCACAAGATCAGGAGATCAAGACCATCCTGGCTAACACGGTGAAACCCCGTCTCTACTAAAAATACAAAAACAAAATTAGCCAGGTGTGGTGGCGAGCGCCTGTAGTCCCAGCTACTCGGGAGGCTGAGGCAGGAGAATGGCGTGAACCCGGGAGGTGGAGCTTGCAGTGAGCCAAGATCATGCCACTGCACTCCAGCCTGGGCAACACAGCAAGACTCCATCTCAAAAAAAAAAAAAAAAAAAAAAAAAAAAAAAAAAAAAAAAAAGACCTGTTCACACTTTACCTTCTTGTAGTTTAGAATTTGATATTGGAATATTTATATGTATGTCCAAATATTTTAGAAAACTTTAAGATTATCAAGATTTTAAAATATAAACTTTTTGTGTGCTTCTGTTGATATTACTGCTATTATGGTACTTAGATATAAATGAATCAATTTTTCTTATTTTTCTATGTAGAAAGGTAATTTTAAAACTTTCTTTTGAGACCAACCTGGGCCACATAGCAAGGCCCCCGTAACTATGCTTTTTTAAACTTCTGTTTACTTATTTCTTCAAAATGTATAAGATTAAAAAGTGTGATTTTAAACGTTGAAAAATTTGAAATTCCAAATAAATTCAGTAAACATATCTTATTTCTTTATTCAAATAAATTAAGTAAATATATTTTATTTATAACTCTCCAAAATAATAATGTTTTGCATTAAAAACATTTGTTTCAGTGGTTTCTTATAGCATGACATTATTTCACAGTACCAAAAAACCTGAATGGGCCAAATTTGTTAATCAAGCAGAATAGCTAATTTGAAATGAGTCCTAAAGGCTTCAATATTCTATCCTCTGTAGCAACATAGAGTCATTCCTATTTAATTAGGTAAGCCAATGTATTTGCAAAACAATTAAGAATGCAATTTAATTTGGGGTTTGGTAAACATCTAGGGATTCATTCATTATGACCTCCACATTGAGTTTACTTTGTAAAGCAGTATAAAACTAATCACTTAGAACTATAAAATGTAAGACCTTTTTTGAAAAAAGTAGATGTGTCTGGTCTTATGCATTATATGTACCTTCCATGTTGATGATGACTCTGTTTTACTGTTCTTTCAGAACTACGGTTTGAGTGAATTAGCTAAATTACAGCAGCAATGGCCAGGAGTAACTGACAAGCCCCAAGTGGCCATGTGGAGGGAGGTGGAGGAGATGCCGGGCAACCCTCGCACACAGCTGTCAGCACGTCCCAGCCATCACTAATCTGTAACCCACCTGCTGACCCAGTGCTGGGATTTTCCTCAGGAGAAACAATCATCATGTGATTTGAATCAAACTATTTAAAATATGTATTGTTTTAAACCAGGGAGAGAGCGGGAAACCAACCCACCACAAACAATCCACTGCACTAGACTCATTTTGAGACAAGATGTTTATGTAAACTCCCAGGTCAAGATGCTAACTCCTAGTGAATTAACCTACGATGTCACCTAGCCCCTCATATTGATTAGTCATTATTTTTACCCAGCGAAATGAGAATATGGGTCCAGAGGCCATGCACTTTCATACCCTGAGAAAAGTCAAGTGTCCTCTTATTCTCAAATACTTTCAGGACCGCTATTAGCTTCAGAGCATTGTGAAAAAGATGTTTTCAAATGACAACTGAAATGGACATTTCAAATTGGCTCTTGTCTCTGAACCAGATAACAGATTTAGAACAACAATCCGTGAAGGTGCATTTTGAATTTAGTGCCAGATAGCTTGATAATGCTATTAGACAGTTAAATACCACAAGTATAGATTCTAATATACCATCCTGAATGAATGGACATATTTTATTTCTTTGTTTTTTCTATTGAGTTTAAGACTGATGAGGTAGGTGAAAACAAGCCTTTCAGAAATAAAGACTAATATGTTTAGAGAAGAAAGTCTTCCAGTACCTTATTAACACATTGCCCTATACCCCTAGATGATCAGTTTGTATTTTGAAGTGCTTGGTGTCACTCTTAAAGTTTTGCAAGTCAGCTTTAGAAATAGCACCTGTTTTGCATACTGATCATATATATTAACTTAGTATACTTGCAAGGAAACTTAATACTATCCAAAAAAGAGGGTTTAAATGTTTTGCTTTACTTTCAAACATGGGTTGGTTAGGCTATAGCAAACATAATCTAGGATATAGAATGTGTCCAACAGTACCATACCATTATACCTTCATGTAGCATCATTATCAGATCTACGAGCAATTCCTCATCGTCTACAGTCATACACATAGAGCTGGCACCTGCAGGGCTATGGGCTTTATATTTCTACATACACACACTGGAATGCGAATATTGCCTGTATTTGTGTGTACAGAAATTCCTTGTTCACCCAAATTGTCTTTGTGAAACAGGCTTGCCTATTTAAAATACAGTTAAGAGCCCAAACATATGCCACTAGACAGCAAGTTACATAAGTTTAGGGACTTTGCCTTACTGTCCTTTGCTGCATTTCTTTAACCCAGAATAGTGTCTGGTATGTGATAGGAAATTGCTAAATATTTGTTTTATGAATGACTGTTACATTGCATATGTACAAAAGGTCATGCAATTTTCTCATAGGAGAGTTCCCCAGGCCCAAATCTGGAGACTGCTTGTCTTATGTAAGATTCTAACAAGTTTAGTTATCTTGTTTCCTAGGCCACCAAAAATAAAAAGCAGCAAATTACAGGGACATGGGGGAGTACTGCTAGAAGCAGGCATACTCAACATAATGAAAAATGCAAGCTAACATTCTATAAACTGGAAAAGAGAGAAAAACTATAAAATTTAGCTACAAGTCCTCAAAGAAAACACAAAAAAGTTTGTTTATATAACATTTGATTACCTCAATGTTCCAGTATACATATAATGTCTATATATCTCCAAACAAAACTTCTGTTTACTTTTGACATGCTTCTCAATGTTCTATAAATGGAATCATATTGTACAAAGTCTTCTGAGACTGGTTTTTATTATTCAAAATTATCTTTGAGATCAATCTGTTTTGATGTGTCGTTTGTTCATTTTTTCTACTTATAGACCATGATTTATCCATTCAAATACAGACACACATTTAGATTATCTGCAAATCTTTGCTATTCCAACCAATGTTTCAATGAACATTCCTAAATATACATGCTGCATATATGTGGCACAAGCATCTATGTATGGATGCACCTACATATGAATGTACCTATATATGGCGCAATAGATTATCTAAGGTTTCTTTTTATTTTATTTTATTTATTTTTTTTTTTTTTTGAGACTGAGTCTCGCTCTGTCACCCAGGCTGGAGTACAGTGGCGCGATCTCGGCTCACTACAAGCTCTGCCTACTGGGTTCATGCCATTCTCCTGCCTCAGCCTCCCGAGTAGCTGGGACTACAGGTGCCCACCACCATGCCCGGCTTATTTTTTGTATTTTTCTTAGTAGAGACGGGGTTTCACCGTGTTAGCCAGGAGGGTCTCGATCTCCTGACATCGTGATCCGCCCGCCTCGGCCTCCCAAAGTGCTGGGATTACAGGCGTGAGCCACCGCACCAGGCCGATTCTCTAAGGTTTCTACTTAGAAGTGGAATGCCTGGGCCGGGCGTGGTGGCTCACGCCTGTAATCCCAGCACTTTGGGAGGCCGAGGCGGGCAGATCACGAAGTCAGGAGATCGAGACCATCCTGGACAATACGGTGAAACCCCGTCTCTACTAAAAGTACAAAAAAATAGCCGGGCGTGGTGGTAGGTGCCTGTAGACCCAGCTACTCGGGAGGCTGAGGCAGGAGAATGGCGTGAACCCAGGAGGCGGAGTTTACACTGCGCCGAGATTGCGCTACTGCACTCCAGCCTGGGGGACAGAGCGAGACTCCATCTCAGAAAAAAAAAAAAAAAAGAAAAAAGAAAGTGGAATGGCTGGACTATAGAAAGTGCACATCTTCAGCTTTACTAGGTATTACCAGGTTAATTCTCTAAATGGTTGTACAACATTTTACACTCATACTAGTAGTAGAGTTCAGATAATTCCATATTCTTATCAAAATTTTTTAATTATCTAATTTTTAATTTTATCAATTTTGTGGGTATGGCATGGCATCTCATTGTGGTTTTTTTAATTTTCCAGGTTGTTAATGAGATTGGACATCTCTTTGTGTACATATTAGCCATTTTCTTTTCTCTTTGTGACATGCCTCTTGATGTATTTTGAGTACTTTTATATTGAGTAGTAAACTCACTTTTATTGATTTATAGGAAGTCTTTAATCTATTGCATATTAATCCTTGGTTATTAATATTGTTTTTCTAAACTGTGGCCTTTCTTTTCACATTTTATGATAACATTTCTAAACAGAAGGTTTAGTTTTTCTAAAATACAATTTATCATATGCATAGCTTCATGGTGTACAACCTTTGTGTACTGTTTAAGAAACCATTACTTACTTAAGGCCGGGCGCGGTGGCTCATGCCTGTAATCCCATCACTTTGGGAGGCCGAGGCAGGCGGATCACAAGGTCAGGCGATCGAGACCATCCTGGCTAACACGGTGAAACCTCGTCTCTACTAAAAATACAAAAAAATTAGCCGGGCGTGGTGGTGGGTGCCGGTAGTCCCGGCTACTCAGGAGGCTGACGCAGGAGAATGGCGTGAACCCAGGAGGCGGAGCTTGCAGTGAGCCGAGATGGCGCCACTGAACGCTAGCCTGGGCGACAGAGCGAGAGGACGTCTCAAAAAAAAAAAAAGAGAGAGAAATCATTACTTACTTAAGTCATTAGATAATTTTTTTCTTCTAAATATTTTAGAGTTTTGCCTTTTACATTTAAGACATTAGCCCACCTACAATTGATTTTTATATATTGTATTAAAGAGACTTCACAAGGTTTTTTAAAAATAAACTTTTGTTTTAGAATAATTTTAAATTTATAGGGAGGCAACAAAGATAGTACAGAGGGTTCTCATATAACCCGTACCTGGTTCCTCTATTTTTAAAATCTTCAGTTAGTATGGTACTTTCGCCACAATAAAAGAACCAGTGTTGATATTTATTAACTAAAGTCAACATATTGTTCAGATTTATTTAGTTTTCATCTAATATCCTTTTTCTGTTTCACAATTACATGCAGGATGCCACATTACATTTAGCCTCATGTCTCCTTAGGCTTCTCTAGATTATAACAGGTTTTCAGACTTTCCTTGCTATTGATTGTCTTCACAGTTTTCAGGGGTGATGGTTAAGATATTTTGTAGAATATCCCTTGATTTGAATTGGTATAATGTTTTAGTCCTGATTAGTCCAAAGTTGTGAGGTTTGGAAAAGGAAGCCACAGAGGTAAAGTGCCATTCTCATTACATCATACCATGAGTACATCCTATCAACATGACTTATCACTGTTGATAATTTTGATCACCTGGCTGAGGAAGTGCTTGTCAGTTGTCTCCACTATGAAGTTACTCTTTTTCTTCTTTCCATACTGTCCTCATTGGAAGAAAGTCACTATGTGCAGCCCACACTTAAATGGTGGAAATTATGCTCTACCTCCTTGATAGAGGAGTGGCCACATACATTATTTAAAATTCTCCTGCATGGAAGAGGAATCTCTCCTCTCCCATTGATGTATTTATTCAATATTTATTTATATCAGTATGGATTCATGGACATTTTTATTTTATATTTTGGGTCAACTATTTCTTCATTTTGCTCAAATTATTGTATGTTTGACCATTGGGAGTTCTTTCAGTTAGCTGTGGTTTGGTATCTGTCATTAATTTCTGAAAGTTCTCTGCCATTTTTACTTCAGATATTTCTTCTGTTTCATTCTCGCTTGGTTCTCTTTCATATATTACAGCTGTACTTATGCTGCACCTTTTGATAGTGTCCCACAGTTCCTGAAAGTTCTATTTTTTCTGTTTTGTTTTGTTTTTCCCTTATTTCCTCTCCTTGCATTTCAGTCTGAGAAGTTTCTACTAACCTATCTTCAAGCTTATTTATTTTCTCCTTGGCCATATATTGCATTTCCCTTTGATTCTTTCTTATAATTTCCATCTCTCTGCTTATGTTATCTATCTGTTATTGCAGGGTGTGGGGGAAGAGGAAAGTTCTATAAGTTTCTCATAAAGACTCAGTCTTTTAGCGGGCTTGTGACCCAGTGCCGTGGCCTTCACAAGTGTTTCTGTCCCTCCTCCAGTGCTATGGCTTCCCTCACATCAACCTCTTTCTTCTCTGGATGCAATGTTCCCAATCCATGTCCTTGAAGCAACGCCCCTTGTTCACCAGATCAGATATTGTTGTTGTTGTTTTAAGATTTGTTTTTTATCTTAGATCAAAGGGTGTCCAATCTTTTGGCTTCCCTGGGCCACATTGGAAGAAGAATTATTTTGAGCCACACATAAAATATACTAACACTAATGTTAACTGATGAGCTAAAAAAAATCACAAAAATATCTCATAATGTTTTAAGAAAGTTTATAAATTGGTGTTGGGCTGCATTCAAAGCCGTCCTGTGCCGTATGTGGCCCACAGGTCACAAGTTGGACAAGCAGGGATAGGTATGGGGAAAACTTCTTTATCTGGGATAAGATTTCAAAATTGTGCTCTAGAAAATTCCTCTCACCTGGAGAGTAGGCCTTTGGCATGAAGAATGCTCTGGGTATGTTTTAGAATAGACACTCTTTCCCTCTTTCTGCCAGTGCCATAAAGAGATCTTTCTTGGATCATCTCACATACTGTGAGAACTGTATGCACATTGTCATACAACAGATCTCTAGAACTTTTTTATCTTTCACAAGTAAAATTCTTAATTTGTTAAAACAGTTTCCCCTTTCTCCCTACCAACAGCCCCTGGCAACCACCACTTTACTTTCTGTTTCTAACAATTTGACTATTTTAGATACCTCATTTAAGTGGAATTATGCACTATTTATCTTTTTATGACTGGCGTATATCACTTATCATAATGTCCTGAAGGTTCATTCATGTTGTAACATATAACAGAACTTTTTAAAGGCTGAATAGTATCCCATTGCATGTATATAACACATTCACTTTATCCATTCATCTGTCATTGATGTCATTAGGTTGCTTTCACCTCTTGGATATTCAGAATAATGGTGCAATGTACATGGCCGTGCAAAGATCACTTCAAGATCCTGTTTTCAATTCTTTTGGCTATAGAGTTAGAAGTGAGATTGTTTGATCATACGATAGGATGATTTTTAATTTTTCGAGGAAGCTCCATATTGTTTCCCATTGCAGCTCTGCTATTTTACATTTTCACTAACAGTGCACAGCGATTCCAATTTCTTCATATCCTCTGTAACACTTCTCATTAACCATTTGTTTGATAGTAACCTTTTAATAGATGTGAAGTGATATCTCACTGTAGTTTTGAGTTGCATTTCTCTGATGATTAATAATGTTAAGCATCTTTTCATCTGCTTGTTGGACATCTTTTTCATATTTTTTAGTTATTGTTTTTAAATGTTTGTGGGTACATAGTAGGTGTATATATCTATGGGATACATGAGATGTTTTGACACAGGCATGCAAATGTGAAATAAGCACATCATGGAGAATGGGGTATCCATTTCTTCAAGCATTTATCTTTTGAGTTACAAACAATCCAATTACATTCTTTATTTTTAGGTGTACAGTTAAATTATTATTGACTATAGTCACCCTATTGTGCTGTTAAATAGTGGGTCTTATTCATTCTTTCCATATTTTTTTACACATTAACTATCTTCGCCTTCCCCTAACCCCCAAACTGTCCTTCCCAACCTCTGGTAACTATCCTTCTATGCTTTATGTCCATGAGTCCAGTTGATTTTATTTTTAGACCCACAAATAAGCGGGAACATGTGATGTTTGTCTTTCTGTTGCCTAGCTTATTTCACTTAACATGATGGTCTCCAGTTCAAACCATGTTGTTGCAAATGACTGGATCTCATTCTTTTTTATGGCTGATTAGTACTCCATTGTGCTTATGTATCATATTTTCTTTATCCATTCATCTATCGATGGACACTTAGGTTGCTTCCAAATCTTGGTTATTGTAAACATTGTTGCAACAAACATAGGAATACAGATATCTGTTCCATATACTGATTTCCTTCCTTTGGGTATTTACCCAGCAGTGGGATTGCTGGATCATAGAGTAGCTCAATTTTGAGTTTTTTGAGAAACCTCCAAACTGTTCTCCATAGTGATTATACTAATTTACATTCCTGCCAACAGTGTACAGTATTCCCTTCCTTTCTTTCTTTCTTTTTTTTTTTTTTAAGTGTTCCCTTTTCTCCACCTCCTCTGCAGCATTTGTCATTGCCTGTCTTTTGAATATAAGCCATTTTAACTGGAGTGAGATGATATCTCATTGCAGTTTTGATTTGCATTTCTCTGATGATCAGTGTTGTTGAGCACCCTTTCATGTGCCTGTTTGCCATTTGTATGTGTTCTTTTGACCAATGTCTATACAGATCTTTTGCCCATTTTTAATTGAATCATTAGATTTGTTTTCCTATTGAGTTGTTTGAGCTCCTTACATATTCTGGTTATTAATCGCTTGTGGGTAGGGTAGTTTGCAAATATCTTCTCCCATTCTGTGGGTTCTCTCTTCACTTTGTTGACTCTATACTTTGCTGTACAGAAGCTTTTTAAAGTGATGTGATCCCATTTGTCCATTTTTGCTTCAGTTGCCTGTGCTTATGGGGTATTGCTCAAGAAATCTTTGCCCAGACCAATATCCAGGAGATTTTTTCCAACTTTTTCTTGTAGTAGTTTCATAGTTTTAGGTCTTAGATTTCAGTCTTTAATCCATTTTGATTTGATTTTTTATGCATAGCAAGAGATAGGGGTCTAGTTTCATTCTTTTGCATCTGGACATCTAGTTTTCCCAAAACCATTTATTGAAGAGACTTTCTTTTCCCCAGTGTATGTTCTTCTTACCTTGGCAAAAATGAGTTCACTGTAGTTACGTGGATTTGTTTCTGGGTTCCCTATTCTGTTCTATTTGTCTATGTGTCTGTTTTTATACCAGTATCATGCTGTTTTGGTTATTATAGCCCTATAGTATAATTTGAAGTCAGGTAGTGTGATGCCTCCAGTTTTGTTCTTTTTGCTTTGGCTCTTCTGGGTCTTTTGTGGTTCCATATATATTTTAGGATTTTTTTCTATTTCTGTGAAGAATGTCATTTGTATTTTGATAGGGATTGCATTAAATCTGTAGATTATTAATACTTTGGGCAGAATGGACATTTTAACGATATTGACTTTTCCAATCCATGAACACAGAATAGTTTTCCATTTTATGGTGTCCTCTTCAATTTCCTTTATCAGTGTTTTATAGTTTACAATACAGAGATCTTTCACTTCTTTGGTTAATTTCTAGGTAATGCCTTTTTGATTTATTTTTCACATTATTCACTTTTGGCATATGAAAATGCTACGATTTTTGTATGTTGATTGTGTATCCTTTAACTTCACTGAATTTGTTTATCAGTTCTAATAGTTTTTTTGTGGAGTCTTTAGGTTTTTCCAAATGTAAGTTCATATCATCAACAAACAAGGATGGTTTGACTTATTTCTTTTCAATTTGGATGCCCTTAGTCTTTCTCTTGTCTGATTGCTCTAGCTAGGACTTCAAGTACTATGTTGAATAACAGAGGTGACAGTGGGCATCCTTGTCGTGTTCCAGATCTTAGAGGAAAGGCTTCCAGCTTTTCCCCATTAGGTATGATACTATCTATGGGTCTATCATACATGGCTTCTTTTATGTTGAGGTATGTTCCCTTCTTTCTATAACCAGTTTTTTTGTGGGGTTTTTTTTTTTGTTTGTTTGGTTTGGTTTTTGAGACAGAGTCTCACTCTGTTGCCCAGGCTGGAGTGCAGTGGCGCGATCTTGGTTCACTGCAAGCTCCGCCTCCCGAGTTCATGCCATTCTCCTTCCTCAGCCTCCCAAGTAGCTGGGACTACAGGAGCCTGCCACCACGCCCGGATAATTTTTTGTATTTTTAGTAGAGATGGGGTTTCACCGTGTTAGCCAGGATGGTCTCGATCTCCTGACCTCATGAAACGCCCGCCTCAGCCTCCCAAAGTGCTGGGATTACAGGTGTGAGCCACCGTGCCTGGCGTGTTGTGGGTTTTCTTTCTTTCTTTTTTTTTTTATCACAAAGGATGTTGAATTTTATCAAATGCTTTTTCAGTATCAGTTGAAATGATCATATAGTTTTTATCCTTCATTCTGTTGATATGATCTATCATTCTATTGATTTGCATATGTTGAACCACATTTGCATCCCAGGGATAAATCCCACCTGTTCATAATGAATGATCTTTCTAATGTATTGTTAAATCTAGTTTGCTAGGATTTTGTTTTGAGAATTTTTGCATCAATATTCATCAGAGATACTGACCTGTAGTTTTCTTTTTTTGATGTGTTTTTATCTGGTTTTGGTATCAGGGTAATACTGGTCTTGGAGAATGAGTTTGCATGTTTTCTCTTCTCCTCTATTTTTCGGCATAGTTAGAATAGGATTGGTATTAGTTCTTTTAAAATGTTTGGTAGAATTTAGTAGTGAAGCCATAAGGTTCTGGACTTTTCTTTACTAGAAGAATTTTTATTATGGCATCAGTCCCCTTACTTGTTATTGGTCTGTTCAGGTTTCGAATTTCTTCCTGCTTCAATCTTAGAAGGTTGTATGTGTCTAGGAATTTGTCCATTTCTTCTAGATTTTCCAATTTATTGGTGTATAGTTTCTCATAATAGCCACTAATGATCCTTCGAATTTCTGCAATATCTGTTATAATGCCTCCTTTTTCATCTCTGATTTTTAGTTATTTGGGTCTTCTGTCTTTTTTTTTGTTTGTTTCATAAGCTAAAGGCTTGTCAATTTTAACTTTCCAAAAAACCAACTTTTTGTTTCATTGATCTTTTGTATTTTTTTTTCAATTTCATTTATTTTTGCTTGCTCTTTACTATTTTTTTCTACTACTAATTTTGGGTTTTGTTTGCTCTTGCTTTTCTAGTTAAGATGCATTATAAGATTGTTTATTTGAAGTTTTTCCTCTTTTTTGATGTAGGCATTTATAGCTATAAACTTCCTTTTTAGTGCTGCTTTTGTTGTATCCCATAGGTTTTGGTATATTTTATTTCCATTACCATTTGTTTCAAGAAATTTTTCAATTTTATTATTAAATTCTTCATTGATCTACTGGTCATCCAGGAGCATATTGTTTAATTTCCATGTATTCTTATAGTTTCTAAAATTCGTCTTGTTACTAATTTCTAGTTTATTCCATTGTGGTCAGAGAAGATGCTTGATATTATTTCAATTTTTGAATGTTTTAAGACTTGTTTTGTGACCTAATATATCATCTATCTTTGAGTATAATCCATGTGCTGAGGAAAAGAATGTGTATTCTGCAGCTCTTGGATGAAATGTTCTATAAATATCTATTAGGTCCATTTGGTCCATAGTGCAGATTAAGTCCAATTTTTCTTTGTTGATTTTCTGTCTGGAAGATCTGTTTTTGGACATCTTATAAAGATCAGCTATAAGCTGATTTGGAGAAATCTTTATTCATGTCCTTTGCCTATTTTAAAATTGGATTGCTTGGTTTTTGTTGTTGAGTTGTAGGAGTTCTTTATATTTTCTGAATATTAACTCCTTACCAGATATATTGTTTGCAAATATTTTTTTCCCATTCCATATGTTGTCTTTTCACTCTCTTGGTTTCTTCCTTTCTTGTGCAGACTTTTTAAGTTTGATATAGTCTTATTTATCTATTCTTGCTTACATTGTCTGTGGGTCTTATATACAAGAAATCAATGCAAAATCCAAAGTCATGAAGTTTTTGCCTATGTTTTCTTCTAGGAGTTTTATAGTTTTATGTCTTACATGTAGGTCATGTATCTATTTTGAGTTAATTTTTGTATGTTGTAAGGAAAATGTCCAACTTTATGCTTTGCATTGGATATTTCAGTTTTCCTAACACCATTTGTAGAAGAGACTAACTTTTTCCCATTGTGTAACCTTGATCCCCCTGTTGAAGATTATTTGATCATATATCCAAGGGCTTATTTATGAACTCTATTCTGTTCCATTGGTCTTTATATCTGTCTTTATGCCAATACCATACTTTTTATTACTGTAGCTTTATAATATATTTTGAAATCAGGAAGTTTGAGACCTGTAGCTTTGTTTTCTTTGTAAACGTGTTTTGGCTACTTAAAGTTCTTTAAAATTCCATATGAATTTTACTATTTTTTTCTACTTCTGCAAAAAAAAAAAAAAGTCATTGGCATTTCAATAGGAATTGCACAGAATCTGTAGATTACTTTTGGTAGTATAAACATTTTAACAATATTAATTATTTCAATTAATGAACACAAAATATATTTTTCATTTATTTATGTCTTTTCAAATTTCTTTCAGCAATGTTTTGTAGTTTTCTGTATATACGTCTTTCACTTCTTTGATTAAGTTCTATTATAAGTATTTTATTCTTTTTGATGCTACCATAAATGAGATTGTTTTCCTCAATTCCTTTACTGATTATTCATTGTTAGTGTACAAAAACGCACCTGATTTCTGCATGCTGATTTCATATCCTGCTACTTTGCTGAATTTGTTTATTACTTCTTTTTTTTTCGAGATGGAGTCTTGCACTGTCACCCAGGTTGGAGTGCAGTGGTGCGATCTCGGCTCACTGCAGGCTCCGCCTTCCGGGTTCACGCCATTCTCCTGCCTCAGCCTCCCAAATAGCTGGGACAACAGGCACCCACCACCACGCCCACCTAATTTTGTTTTTGTATTTTTAGTAGAGACGGGGTTTTACCATGTTAGCCAGGATAGTCTTGATCTCCTGACCTCATGATCCACCCGCCTCAGCCTCTCAAAGTGCTGGGATTACAGGCGTGAGCCACCGGGCCTGACCTTGTATATTACTTTTAACAGTTATTTTACAGAATCTTTAGGGTTTCTATTTATAAGATCGTATTATCTGTGAACAGCGATAGTTTTACTTTTTCCTTTACAATTTCTATGCCTTTATTATTTTTTCTTAATCAATTGATCTCGCTAAGACTTCCAGTAATAGGTTGAATAAAAGTTGTGAGAGTGGGCACTTTTGGCTTGTTTCTGAGCTTAGAAGGAAAGGTTTCAATTATTCACCATCAAGTATGAAGTTAGCAGTAGGCTTTTCATATATGGCCTTTATTATATTGAGGTAATTTCCTTCTGTTCTCCGTTTGTTAAGTTTTTTTATCATGAAAGTGTGTTGGATTTTGTCAAATGATTTTTCTGCATCAACTGAGATAATCATATGGTTTTTGTCTTTTATTCTGTTAATGTGGTATATCATATTGATTCATTTTCATATGTTGAATTATCCTTGCATTAATTCAAGATAAATCCCACTTAATCATGATGTATAATCCTTTTAATGTGTTGTTACATTTGGTTTGCTAAGATTTTGTTGAGGTTTTTGCATCTATATCCATCAAGGATATTGGTCTACAGTTTCCTTATCTGAAAGTATTTCTGTCTGATTTTGGTATCAGGGTAATGCTGGGCTCATATAATAAGTTTGGAAGTGTTTATTCCCACCCTTTCATTGTTTGGAAGTTTGAGGAGTGGTGTTAATTATCCTTTAATTGTTTGGTAAACTTTTCCAGTGAAGCTATCTGGTCCTGGGCTTTGTTTACTGGAAGGTTTTCATTACTAATTTAATCATCTTGTTAGTTATAGTTCTATTCGTATTTTTTATCTCTTCATGATTCAGTCTTGATAGGTTGCATGTTTCTAGAAATGTATTTATTTATTTTAGTTTATCCAATGTGTTGGCATACCTAAATATGCTTTTAAAAGCAAATTCTCCTGCTACTGGCAATATATGAGACTATTTGTACCATGACCTCATCAACATTTTGTATTTTTTATATTTTATGTATTTTATTTTCATATTTTTTATTTTTTACAGTTTTAATTGATGAAAAAAGTAGTACTTTTGTGACGGTACTTTGAGCAAATGTGAACTTTTTTTTTAATATTTGCTTCAAATGTCCTAAATGAAAATCATCACTATCTATAGAAGTGAGAGAATGTGATAATGGTGCTGTACACATACCAGGAAATGGCTTTTGTACAGTGCTTAAAAAACATTTTATTTGGGTATCAAATTTTCCTAAGGTACCCTCACCAAGTGCACTTTCCCAAGAACGCTTTTCCAGGTAGAAGTGAAGCAGAAAAAGCTGTTTTCTGACAGTTAAAAGGTGAATTATGACATAACAGATAACACAAATCAAATAAATTTTACTTGCTCTTAAATTATAGACACACATAAATTTATACATATTAAACTCCCTGTCTTTAACTGTAATGCACTTTTGTTAGAATTCTTTTGTCTGAGTTAAGAGACCTAACTAGGCAATAATATCAGGAACGGAGTCACTGTGGATCATGCACAAAGTAGATAAACCGTAGATGATCTTTAAAAAACTATGTTTATACTCTTAAATAAATATTCATATGCAGAAAGAGAAGAAGGAAAGTAGAAGGCACATCTTTAAAAGCACATATTTATAAATTGAAAATATATCTTCAGATCTAGGGGAAACTTCCAACTATGGTAGCATGAGGTCAGAGAAATCTTCTCTTCATAAAGCAAGTATAAAACAGGACAAAATTCTTTGGGAGGCCGAGGCAGGCGGATCACGAGGTCAAGAGATCGAGACCATCCTGACCAACATGGTGAAACCCCGTCTCTACTAAACATAGAAAAATTAGCTGGGTGTGGTGGTGCCTGCCTGTAGTCCCAACTACTCGGGAAGCTGAGGTAGGAGAATCATTTGAACCAACGAGGCGGAGGTTGCAGTGAGCCAAGATCATGCCACTGCACTCTAGCCTGGTGACAGAGTGACACTCTGTCTCAAAAGAAAAAAAAAAAGGACAAAATTGTCACAAGTAACCATACCAATGATCTGTGAAGTGACCAAAAAGCAGACTACAAATTGAGAAGCATTTATTCTAGAAAATTTCTAGAGCCCCTGGTTAAAGCAACTGGTGCTTGTGAAGTTCTTGACTGAGGATATTTCCATCCATGTTCTTCTCCCTGACTCATTTGGTGATCAAAGCAGGTTGAGCAGAAAATCCGCTTCTCTGCTGCCAGAGGGAAGAGACTTGCTTTGGGAGGCTGGAAAAAAAAAAAAAAAAAAAGTCAGGGCTTTAGCAAATATTATAAAGGAAAACAAGAAAAGCCCACAACTTTACTAGTTTGAGATAATGGTCCTATTTGGGGCAAGAAGTGCACAGACAGTTATTTATATGGGGAGATCCTGGAAAAGAGAGCACCATTTAAAGGCTATGGAAATGTTCTAACTCCTCATGTTTGGCTGAGAAACTACAGGTATGCACAGGGGAAACCTGAGAGAGCCTAGTTAGAAGTTAAAACCAAAAATGACTCGAGAACAAGCTGATTTTGAATGTGATCCCCAAACCACATGCATATTGATTGCTAGAAGATAAAACCCTCATGGATTGGGGGTGTTTGAGTACAACCTTTACCCAAATCATTGGCTGACCCCTAAGTATACAGATACAGAGATGACCCCTAGTCTAGTAATTTAGGATAAAAAACATATATTTTTAAAAAGCAAAAATAAGAATAAAAATCTAACTAGAGATATCAGCAGCTCCCCATTTGGGGAGACATTTTGTATTTTAAATCCAGGCAAGGTACAAAAGGAAAAAAGCAGAAAAATCAGAACTCTGAGTTGGTGTATTATCTATCACAGTCTATAAAATGTCCAATTTTCAACCAAAAATTACTAGACAATCAAAAAATATGTGACCCATACATGGGGAAAAAAGTGGTCAACAGAGACTAACTCTGAGGGGCACAAAATTTGAGTTTAATTCATGTTCAATGAATTAAGATAAAATATCACAACAATGGCTCAACTAAAAGGGAATCTCAGTAGAAAAATGTGTACTATTTTAAAAAGAGGAATTTTAGAAATTCTAGAATTGATAATGAAATAACCAAAATGAAAAATGCCGAAGATAGGCTCAACAGCAGATTGAAGATGACAGAAAAAGAATCAATAAGCTTGAAGATCAAGTAATAGATATTTATTCTAAAGAATAAAGAGAAAAATGAATAAAGCCTCAGAGACTGGTTGGTAATATTGAGCATAACAGCATTCATTTAATGAAATTATTAAAAGCATAGGAGAAAAAGAAAACGGCTGAGAGCCCTGCCAGTTTATTAAAGAAATTGACAAGTTTATCCTAAGAATTACATGGCGATCCAAAGGACCTACACTAACCAAATCAATTTCTAAAAATAATGAAGTTGGAAGACTTACACTAACTGATTTTAAAACTTTCCATAAAGCTACAATAATCAAGATAGTGTGGTATTGGTCTATGAATAGATATATCAATCAATGAATCTAAATAGACAATCAAAAATAAACTCTTACTTCTATGATTAATTGATTTTCAACAAAGATACCAAGATAATTCAATGAATAAAGTGTAGTCTTTCCAACAAGTGGTGTTGAAACAGTTGGATGTTCATATGTTTTAAAAATGTAAATGTAAATCTTAGACAAAAGTTAACTAAAAATGTAAGAGCTGACACTATAATCTTTGTGATCTTGTTAGGCAAAGACTTCTTAGACATGATACCAAAAGCATGATCCATAAAAGAAAAACATCATAAACGATGACATCAACAACTAAAACTTATTTTTCAAAAGACATCATTAAGAAAATAAAAAGACAAGCCACAGATATATGACTTGATTATTTGCAAATTATATGTCTTATAAAAGAGTTGTATATATACAGGAAACATAAAGAACTCTTCCAACTCAATAATACAAAGAGAAAAAATAGTTTAAGATTTAAGTAGATATTTTAACAAAGACATTCAAGTGACTAATTAGCTCATGAAAAAATGCTCAACATCATTAGTCATTAGAGAAATGCAAATTAAAACCACAATGAAATACACTGCACATCTACTGAAATGGCTATAATCCAACAGACTGATAATACCAAGCATTGATGAGGATGTGGAAAAACAGAAACCCTCATAGATTTTTGATAGGAATGTAAATGGCATAGATGCTTCAGAAAATAGTTTGATAGTTTCTTAAATAGTTAATCACACTTACCATATGCTATGATTTAAGTGTGTTGCCCAGAATTCATGTGTCGGAAATTTGGTCCCCAGTGTGGTAGTGCTGGGAGGTGGGGTCTTTAAGAGGTGATTAGGTCATTAAGAAGGTTAATACGGCTGGGCACAGTGGCTCATGCCTGTAATGCCAGCACTTTGGGAGGTCGAGGCCGGTGGATCACAAGGTCAGGAGATTGAGACCATCCTGGTCAATATGATGAAACCCCGTCTTTACTAAAAATACAAAAATTAGCCCGGCGTGGTAGTGCATGCCTATAATCCCAGCTACTCTGGAGGCTGAGGCAGGAGAATCACTTGAACCAGGAAGTCAGAGGTTGCAGTAAGCCTAGATCATGCCACTGCACTCCAGCCTGGCAACAGAGTGAGACTCCATCTCAAAAAAAAAAAAAAAAAAAGAAGAAGAAGAAGAAGGATTAACGCTACTGTCACAGGACTAGGTTAATTCTCAAGGGACTGAGTGAATTTGAGGGACAGAATTAGTAACCACAAAAGCAGGTTATTATAAAGTTCATCTCCCCCTAGTGTTTTTTCCCATTTACATGTGCCCACTTATCCTTCCTCTTCTCCATCATGTTTGGATGCAGCACAAGGCCCTCATCTAAACCTGACCAGATGTGGCCACCCAATTTTGGGTTTCCCAGCTTCATAAACATTAGCCAAAATAAATCTCTTGTTTTTTTGAGAAATCACCCAATCTCAGATATCTGTTATAGCAACCGAAAATAAACTGTCACCATATAATCTAGCAATTTTACTCCTAGATACCTATCCAAGAGAGTAGAAGGCATATGTCCATACAAATACTTACCTGTGAACATTCATAGTGGCACTATTAATAATAGACAAAAACTGGAAATAATACAAATGTTCATCATTTGGTGAACAGATAAAATATGGTATATCTATACAATGAAATACTATACAGCAATAAAAATGAATAAACTTTTGATATATCTACAATATGAATAAACTTAAAAAACATTACACCAAGTGAAAGAAGCCATGCACAAAAAATATATAGTGTGAGATTTATCTTATATAAAATTTTTGAAAAAGACAAAACTATAGAGACAGAAAGCAGATATTGGTTGCTTGAAGCTTAATTTTGGAGTGGTGATTGACTACAAAAGGGACCAAGATATTAATAATTTTTTGATGATAGAAGTACTTTAAAACTGAATTGTTGGTCGGGTGCGGTAGCTCACACCTATAATCCCACTACTTTGGGAGGCTGAGGCCGGTGGATCACCTGAGGTCAGGAGTTCAAGACCAGCCTGGCCAACATGGTGAAACTCTGCCTCAACTAAAAATACAAAAATTAGCCAGGCGTGGTGACACACACTTGTAATCCCAGCTGCTTGAGAAGCTGAGGCAGGAGAATCACTTGAACCTGCCTGGGAGGCAGAGGTTACAGTGAACTGAGATCATGCCACTGCACTCCAGCCTGGGCAACAGAGTGAGACTCTGACTCCAAAAAAAAAAAAAGAAAGAAACTGAATTTTTGTTATGGTTGTACAGTTTATAAAATTCCTAGAAATCACTAAGCCATACTTACAGTGAGTAAACCTGTACAGTGAGTAAATGATTAGTATTAAATTGTGTACTTCTATGAAACTATGTATATACAGTTGGCTTTTGAGTAACATGGAGTTGAACTGCACTGATGCTCTTATACAAAAGTTTCCTATAAAAGTTACACTGAGTGTGACTGCTCCTCCTGCCTCCCTTCCCACCTCCTCCACCTCCTCTGCCTCTGCCATCCCTGAGACAGCAAGACCAACCCCTCCTCTTCCTCCTCTTCCTCAGCCCATTCAACATGAGCACAATGAGAATAAAGACCTTTATGATAATCCAGTTCTACTTAATGAAGAGCAAATACATTTTCTCTTCCTCATGATTTTCTTAATAAAATTTTCTTTTCTCTAGCTTACTTGATTGTAAGAATACAGTATAGAATACATATAACATACAAATATTTGTTAATGGACTGTTTATGTTATGAGTAAGGCTTCCAATCAATAGTAAGCTATTAGTAGCTAAGTTCTGGGGAAATCAAAAGTTATACCCATATTTTTGACTGCACAGGAACTTGGTGTCCCTAACCCCTACATTGTTCAAGGGTCAAGTGTGTGTGTGTGTTCATCGTTTGTTAATGATCTTTTTGTTCTTACATTATCTCAAGGTAAATTTTAGAAATTCTACACCCTGCCCTTCTAATTCTGTGTCTCAAGCCCCTTCAAAGACGCATGACAATAGTTATCACTATAGTCTTTCATTTCTCTACTGCCTGATCCACTTCATCCACTTTAAAGTTGAGGCATCTCCTTTGCATAAGAAAAAGGGGATTCCCCTACTACCTGACCCCAATTTGAGTATTAATATTTTTTCTTTTTCTTTTTTTTTTTTTGAGACGGAGTCTCGCTCTGTCGCCCAGGCTGGAGTGCAGTGGCGGGATCTCGGCTCACTGCAAGCTCCGCCTCCCGGGTTCACGCCATTCTCCTGCCTCAGCCTCCCAAGTAGCTGGGACTACAGGCGCCCGCCACTACGCCCGGCTAATTTTTTGTATTTTTAGTAGAGACGGGATTTCACCGTTTTTTAGCCGGGATGGTCTCGATCTCCTGACCTCGTGATCCGCCCGCCTCAGCCTCCCAAAGTGCTGGGATTACAGGCGTGAGCCACAATATTTTTTCATGTATTTCCAATATGTGTAGGATGGTATCATCTTAGCACAGATTTGATAAGGTCTTTAAGAAGTATTACCTAATTTAATCTATAAACAATAATGAGTTTAGTGAGTAACAGAGGTTATATTAAAATTTGGGTCTATCTGACTATATACCTCTTGCTCTCAACCAGTGTCTTATACACCACGCTCCTCTTCCTATTTTCATGTTTTGCCATGATCCCACTTGTATTTTCCCATGTCAAAAAAAAGATGAGAAAATTTTTTATCTAGAAACCCACAAGGTTGTAGCCTCAGTAACCTTCAAATAATAGGAAATACCCTGAACTTTTTTTTCAAATAGTTTTTTATAAACAATGTATTCAGGCTGGGCACGGTGGCTCATGCCTGTAATCCCAGAACTTTGGGAGGCCAAGGCAGGCGGATCACGAGGTCAGGAGATAGAGACCGTCCTGGCTAACACGGTGAAACTCCATCTCTACTAAAAATACAAAAGATTAGCCGGGCGTGGTGGCGGGCGCCAGTAGTCCCAGGTACTCGGGAGGCTGAGGCAGGAGAATGGCGTGAACCCGGGAGGTGGAGGTTGCAGTAAGCCGAGATCGCGCCACTGTAATCCAGCCTAGGTGACAGCACGAGACTCCATCTCAAAAAATAAAATAAAAATAAATAAATAAATAAATAATGTATTCAAAGATTTTGAGCCACTACATAAGTAAGAATCCTACTCCTTAAGAAAAATATACAGATTTTGGTAAGAGTTTAAATTCTGAGAGATTCAAGCCCGATGCCAAGCCTTTAGATTTCTACTGCTTCAATTCCAAAAACCTAGTGGATGGCAATTTTAGTGTACCAAACTCCACTGTGCTGTATGGTTTATTTTCTCCTGAGTCAGAAAGCTTTATTCTGCTTCATTTACCTCTTCTTTGCTCCTTAATGGATCTTGGAATCCAGTTTCCAGATTTTTTTATTTCCTTTAATAGGAAACTTCACAACCATTTCCTCAGGACTTTTGCAGATGAAAACAAGTGGAGAACGTGATTCTTAGCTGATGTCTGGAAACTGCTCCTTAAATTGCCTCTGAAACAAGCAATTAGGTCCAGACAGCCCAAAAAACAACCTGATGGATAGTCACTGGGGAATTCCACATCTTTTCTATGAAGAAGATGATATGTAGCCCGGAGTTCTGAGACTTTTTGAAGGCAGAGGGAGGTTTTGGCTATGACTACTATCCAAAGTTGTCCTCTGTGGCAGATGTACCAGGATCTGTACTCCATCATTTTCTAATCCCTCTAACAAGCTGAGAAACCCAGGGCTGATGTATAGAGAGACATGAGCCACTGTCCAACCTCCCTGAAAGTCTTGATCCTGGATTCACAAGAGGTACCGAAATGAGTTGAATTCTAGTCCCAATCCTGCTGAATGGAAAGCCTTCTTCTGTGAGGCTGCACCTGTGTGGTCAACCCACTGGGGAGGGGACTCGTATGTGCTGAGATTTACCAGAACTTCCAAAGGTTCTTCAGGAGATATATCAAATGTGATCAGTGTCTAGTTCAAGGTTTCCTTAGCAATGGCCTGTATTGTCTCATCTAGTCTGCTGTGATATTCTGCTAATGGATTTTCTTCTTCCAGGATCTTCCTGCTGTAAAGTCAATGGTGACCTTCTTAGAGAGTACAGAGGCATGTCGAAGTTCTCTCAGCTCTTCTTCTCACTTCTCATTTCGTTTCCCACTCAAGTTTGGACAACCACTGGTTAGAATCACTGGCAAAAAATCTGATCATCAATAACTTGGGTCCTTTGAAAACTAGCTCTATCCAACTCTAACAGCCTGTCTTTGTGCTTGATATCCTTCTCCAGACCAGACATAATTTGAAATTCTCGATGACATAGAAAGTCCTTGGCAGAGTTGTCCACCTTTCCAGAATTCTCCATCAATGGCATGAGCTTCTTTAGCAGTTTCTGGCTCTCATTTGAGTTATGCTGTAAAATATCCTGTTCTTCATAGTACATATGGTTGTCACACAGAATAAGCAAGGATTGGAGCCCTCTTGTTCACAAACAACAGGCCCACAGATCAGACAGCTATTGATGAGCTTGTGCTTCTGGCCCAGGCAAACACAAGGGTGGCAACTGGGGAGCAGACTGCAGGCCTGTGGGTCCCTCTCTTGTGTGTAAATTGACAAACTTTGTCTTCTTCTTAAAGGAGTTGCTGTTCTCTCGTGCCTTGGGCAAATCAAAAGATGTTTTACCTCTGCAGCTGTGTCAGGTTCAGCAAATACGGGAACTTCCTCTCTATCTCTCCCTTTCCTCCTACCCAGCTTTAGCTGGTCCCTTGATTTCTGCCCATGTAAAGTTTCATCTTTTTGGAAGCACTGTGCATGATCTCCTTGCTGACATCCAGGCCAACACTTTTCCCTACCTGCTGGGTGCACCATTACACCAGTGGCTCCTTGGACACTGCCCCAGCCACTGCCATCTTTCCCGGACAGAACCAGCTGGGCTTAACGTTTGTTTTTTGATATAATTGAGTGCAAATATAGAGTTGTTTTGCTCCAGAGGCCAAATTTTAACCTGGGTGAGTTAATGATTCAAGTTAATTTCCAAACACCACAAACTAAATACAACCTCAGTGAGAATTTAAAAAGACTAGGATAATATCTTACTAATTTACATAGTTATAGTATTTTGTTATGTACAAAGGAATTTCTCAGGAAAATTTTTTGATGTTTTATAAGAGTCTTGTGAAGTGGATATCATTAGACTTGTTTTACAGATGTCAGAAAAAAATACATGGAAGTAAATGGTAGATTTGTCTCCCGATTTCAAATTCACTTTTCTTAAAGTTAAATTGTTAAATTCATTTAATGTTTACCTTCGAAAAATTGGGTAAATAATAGTGGCTCCTTCTCTACTGGAGTATGAAGAAGGTTGAAATATACCTCGTCTGCACTTCAACTCTAGGTTTTGACAGCAGAGAAGCTGGAACATCTGGCAAAACCTGTTTGTTGTCTCATATCCACAGTAGTGTGACCAACAGAGACCCAGTAGTATCTGGTCAGTCCAAGTAGACTGTGTTGATCAAATGCTATTATCTTGATGTAGCTAACATGGAAATACAGCACAGTTACAAGCCCAAGAGGCTTTTTGGGAATGCCATTTATTTCCACAAAAATGTTAAAGGCAAAATTTACCATGTGCTGTAATTTCTTATTAAAAACAAATACAGACATGTGCCAGTTAATGACAGGGATGCATTCTAAAAAATGCATCATTAGGCAATTTCATCATTGTGCAAACATCAGAGTGTACTTACACAAACCTAGATGGTATAGCCTACTACACAAGTAAGTATATGGTATAGCCTATTGCCTACTACACAAGTAAGTACATGGTATAGCCTATTGCCTACTACACAAGTAAGTATATGGTATAGCCTATTGCCTACTACACAGGTAAGTATATGGTATAGCCTATTGCCTACTACACAAGTAAGTATATGGTATAGCCTATTGCTCCAAGGCTGCAAACCTATAAGGCATGTCACGGTACTGAATACTGAATCCTGTAGGCAACTGTAACATAATGGAAATACTTGTGTATCTAAACATATATAAACATAAAATGGTACAGTAAAAATACAGTATTATAATCTTATGAGACCACTGTCATATATTCAGACTTAGTGACCAAAATGTCATTATGCAGTGCATGCACTGCACAAGTCAACTCTTTCCATTGAAAAGAATACTTTGAAAATGTAGTAATCTCCACTTGCTCTTGGACTGATTATTTGTTTATTCTAATGCTCTGGTCTTCTTTAGACACTGCCTAATAATATTTGAGTATTTCATAAGTATGTACAATTTTATATCCTTTCTCCAATTGTATGGCCAGTTGGTGGTGCCTTATACAGACCTGTAAAATCCATTATTTCACTTCATCCTTTCAATAGGAATGGCTATGACAGAATGCAGTCACTGAGATAGACTTTCCTCTTAGATTAGGAAACTCAGGGTCAGGATATTAGTTATTTGCTCAAGTGCTTATATTTCTCAGAAGAGGCATAGATTAGTGAAGTCTTCACTTGACAGTTATAATTAAGGAATGATGTATTACTTAAGCTAGCAAATGATTATTCTATAAAATAAAAATCAAAGCAGGACATTGAATAATGAAGCTGAAAACCAGTTTGCCTTGCCATAGACATTATTTTAATTACTTGTTTTACTTATTTATTATTATTAATAGCTCTATTATTGGAGAGATTGAAATGTGCCAAATATTTTGCTATACATTTTATAAGTATTATCTCACATGAGTTTATCCTTCCTATGAAAGAGTATGGCCGGGCGCGGTGGCTCACGCCTGTAATCCCAGCACTTTGGGAGGCCGAGGCGGGCGGATCACGAGGTCAGGAGATCGAGACCATCCTGGCTAACACGGTGAAACCCCGTCTCTACTAAAAATACAAAAAATTAGCCGGGCGTGGTGGTGGGCGCCTGTAATCCCAGCTACTCGGGAGGCTGAGGCAGGAGAATGGCATGAACCCAAGAGGCGGAGCTTGCAGTGAGCCGGGATAGCGCCACTGCAGTCCAGCTTGGGCGAAAGAGTGAGACTCCGTCTCAAAAAAAAAAAAAAAAAAAAAAAAAAAAAAAAAAAAAAAAAAGGAGTATGAAGACATGGTTATCCACATTTTAAATATGAGTTACCTAAGATTTAGCAGGGAGCTTGTTCAAAATCACATGACCAATAAGATAATAAAATCAGGATTTCAAGTGTTGCGGATTCTGAAGAAATTACTTCTAGCCAGTAAGCAATAATATATCAAACACCAGAGTTCAAAATACCACACACCTATGTGCACCATCCACATACTTTTGTGCACATGTATGTACACACATCTAAACAATATATAAATGTCAGTTGTTTGGTATGTGAAATGCCTTTTTTTCCTTGATGTTTTATTCCCCAAACAGGCATAGCTGCTTTAGAATTATAATGGCTTCACTCTAGGAGACCCATGATACAAGGGACTGCGAAGACTCTAAAGGAGTTATTTCATTCCATAGGGACCATATTATGCATGTTATGAATGTTTAAGATAGAGTGCACAGTCTGTCATGTCAACTCTGATCTACTTCAATGACAGATTATTTTTCTTCCAGCACTAGTGGTTTAAATATATCAGCTACCAAAAAAGAGGACATTTTTCTTGGAGTTTAAACACACAAAAAAATCATGATAGAACCACACAACAGAATTCAAGTAGCATTAAAACTCTGACTTAAACCCACAAAAGCAAAGAAATGCAACATTTAGACAAACAATTCAATAAGCATCAAAGTCCTTAATTCACCCTGGATAGACAGTAGTAGTTACATGTAACACACACAAACTTACATTTGTGGAGTATTACTATGTGCAGGATACCATGCTGAATGTTATACATGAATTATCTCATTTACTCTTCACCATAAGCTTGTGAGATAAAAATGATGATTACTACTTTTTTCAGTATGAGAAAATTGAAGCTCAGAAAGGTAACATTAACTTGTTCAAGGGCACTCAGCTAGAAACAGACAGAGCTGGGGTTCCAACATAGGCTTCAGAAACTAAGCTCATAATTTCCACGTCTATGTACACATATAATGTATTTGCATTAAAGCAGAGAAACCAAATTTTAGCACTAGGAAAATTCAAATTTGCATGAGGCAAACATCAAAATGTCCAGAAGTCAATTTGTATGACAAAATATTCAAAAGGTGATATTCATTCATGAAACATATTCAGGCTTCTAAAAAATCTTTGCTAGACTCTCGCTTCACTAGATGATGACTTCAAATAACATTTGTCTATTTTTGCTTGAGGCTCTTGCTGAGACTAAAACAGTGGGGGGTGGGGGTGGAATGTTTTAAAAGGTTAAAGGAAGTATATTTTCTAGTATACTTTAACCTTTTTTAAAATGGAAAGCCATATTTGATCCATTTGTGTCCTAGATTTATGTTGGCAAACAGCTCTCGTCACTTGAGCCAACTCTAAGCAACCCATGCACCTTGAAATGAATCCTGAGATCGTGCCCAGAGAGCAGTGATTGATTAGCATTGTCTGTCATGGCAGGGGCGTGGCAGCATGCATGACCTGTATTTGACAGCCCTGCCCTAGACAAACAAATCCACCCCTCCTGAAACATACTCCAGAGAAGTCTGTGTCTACAAGCAGGCAAAGTAGAAGGGAGGGACAGAGGGAGGAAAGAGGGAAGAAAAGGAGAGAGGAAGGGAAAGGCAGGAGGGAAGGGAGGGAGAAAGGAAGGAAGGGAGAGAGGCAGAAAGGAAGAAAGGATGAAAGAAGGTAGGTAGAAGGAAGGAAGGAGGGAGGGAGGAAGGGGAGAGGGAAAGAAGGAAGACTTAGGATAACTATCTTGATAATTGGTTAAAGGATAAAGGAGTAAATTTTGACCTGAAATGTCCAGACTGATTAACTCCATGGATAAAACTGACTTGGTAATGGTTGAACTTCGCACATATTTTGTTTTTGTGTCACCTATCCATCAAATGTCTCCTTACTATCCCATATAAGCAGCACACCCACCCTTGCCACCATAACTGGACTCAACTATTTCCCTGTCCATATTTCCCTTCTCCTTTCCCTCTCTGTTGCTATAGTTCCTTAGTTTACATCATGCCTCCTTGACGAATCCTGCCACAGGTGGCCTAGGGCAAGATCTTAAAGGTTGTCTCTCAAGTGACCCCAGAAGGGCTTTATTGTGGTGATTTTACCACAATCCCCGGGGAGTCCTTAAAGCTCTACAGATGAGGACACGGAAGGTCGCCTAGCTGGTTAGTGACAAAACTGGCGATTTAAATTCAACTTTTCCACACTTCAGATGTGCCTGACTATCACTTCCTGACCTGCCCAATATAATCATTTTCTAGCAACTGGAATACTGGGTTTTATTCTCTAACCCACCCCTTTACTGTCTCTTTCTCTTTATTCACTGGCCTTTACATGTGAACAGACTGTCTCTCCACTGAGCCTGGGAAAGCTCTGTGGGCTGAATTCTTGGAGGAGCAGTGTGAGTTGGGAAAGAAAAGCAAGATTAGCCATCAGAAGATTGGGCCTCCAGTTCTGGCTCTGCCACATTCTAGCCAGGTAACCCCGGTTAAGTCATCTCTCTGAAACTGAGTTTCCTCATCCATAAAGCGGGGTGAATAATTACCCCTTCTATTGCCCAGGGTTGTTCTAAGGACCAGTAAGGTGTCGTGTTTGCAAGCAGTTGGTAATGTATTAAATACTATATGCCTGGAGGCACTGTTACATTCCCTTTATGCCCTGCACAGCCTTAGTTTCACAGAAGGGGCAGATCTGGCCTCCTGGACTTTTGTACTTCAGCCTCACAAATGCTATTACCTGAACAGACGTTACCCCAGAACAGACTGGGCTTTTCCTCAGGATCCCATTCCCACGTCCTCACTCCACAAAACTCTGCACAATGTAAATATGGCCACTGATACAATATTGGTGAGGCATTTATTTTGTTTTCTAGCCTTTGTCAGTGTTGACATTCGTAAAGAAGAGGGATTGTTTTAATACCGACTCAATACTGTGTGGTATATGATGAAACAGCACTGCTGCCGTTTACAACTTTATTCTGAAGAAAATGTAGTCCTGTACCTGCCAACATCTGAAAGCTATAAATAGTGAGAAAAATCGAGAAGCCCAAAAACTCCATTGAAGTGTATTGGATTTGGAGATTTTCTTGGATGGCCAGAATGGAAAAATATTTTGCTAAAAAATAGGGAGTGTTGCTCCGACTGGCATACAGGCTGAAGGTTTAGTTAGTATTTACTCAGCCTGTGGCAAGGGAACACTCGGCTGTTTATTTCAGTGGAGGGGATGTTGGTAGACGCTGTTTGTCTAGTCAGAAATGCCCTTTGAGACAGCAAGGCTACCTGTGACCAATTTTCAACTAAATTTATCTTTGGACTTTGTGTAAGTAATCCAGCCTTCACCAAATCCATTTGGTCTTCTGTGTCACCATGTCACGGAATCCTTACCAAAAATCTCCCAGCTTTGGCCCACAATGATGGCTTCTGATTATTCAGCCAAAGCTGAGTTTGAGACTGAAATGTGAGCTCTGGATAAGTAGACCGAGTTTTGTTTAATGTAGGAAATAGCTATCACTTATTAAATAAAATAGACTGATATTTAACCGGTCATTTTCAAACCTCTTTGCCCCTTGCTCCATAGAAGAATAAATAACACATACTATTATTGACCATTGATCATTGTAACTAGCTTCATTTCATGAAAGCAATTTATGTTTTACTTTATTTCTTACTTGAAAGTGCAGCTAAGGTTTTTAATAACTACTTTCATTGCCATTCTGACACTGACATGGTGAACGCTCGAAAAATGTATTATTTTTCACTCTCAAGCACTGCAAGTGTATGTTCTTTTGACAAAACACAATAGTTTAAAGGACAGAATGGCTGTAATAAAGGGCAAAAATGTGTTTCCCAAATTGTGATTAAATATCAATTACTCTTTGTTAATCAATTTTATTTATTTTCCTTGGCATTCATTTTCATGTGTAATCCCACAGTGTTTTGGGGGCATTGTTATCAAACTGCTCAGATTGAAAGATAGCTCTTTTGAGCCTGGCAAAATACTCAGGCAAAGACTATATCTCCATGACAGTTCACAGATATTTGACTAGGGCAAAAATCAGGCATAAGAATTTGTGAAGCAGGGCTATGATTTGTTTTGTTTTTGTTTTTGTTTTTTGGGTTTTTTTCCCCCATTGTTTTGCTTGTATTCCTCTGTTTATCTCCACATCCTTGTTTCTGCATAATTAACCATTTAATTTTCTCTAAAACCCCGTGAACAGTCATTATTACCCCATTTTATAGATGATAGAATTCTAGCCAGGGGAAGTAAGATCCTAGTGCAGGAAGTTGCATGGCCAGGATTTACCCCCACACCCTCCCATGAGTCTGACTCCCATGCCTGGGCTCTTTCTGCCGGGCCTCAGAGTCTCACAAGGGCAGGAATCTGCAGCCCAAGCTCCCTGTCAAGTTGACAAATGTGTTAAATTCAAAGATAAAAGCCTCCATGTTAGGCTGTCAAGGGGTCAGTTCGCCTGAGCCTTAGCATCCTCCTTAGCTCTATTCCCATACAGAGGCTCTTCTTGAGCTCGTTGCTGCAGCAACAGTACTCAAATGTAGCGGGGAGCCACAACTACAAAGATTTTGACAGTGGGGCTGAAGCATATGCAGAATGGGCCCTGCTTCTGCAAGTCCCAGGGAGGTCAGTGTAACTTACATGTGGTGGCACCACATCAGAGTATCAAGGCATCCTAATGAAGAGCTACTGTCTGGTGGAGAATGTGCAGAGAAACTACTCCTTGGGATTAATCCATGTAGAAGAATTGGCAGTTCCACACAGAAAGAAGGTACACACTGCAAATAAAAGAAATGTGGGGAACCCAGGATGAGAACAGCACTAAATCGGATGCTTTTATTTTCAATTTGTTGTCAATTTGTCTCCTATTACTTCTCTACTGAAAGCCTCATACTATAAGTTTCAGTATTAAAAAAGAATAATCTTTAAACACTTAAGACTGTTTTTTCTAGACACTCATCGTTGGAAGTTTTAAAATTATAACCCAATATCTCTTCAGCTACATCAAAGCCAATAATTAATAATAATAATAAATAATGGTTCTGCTATCCAAAAGTCAGCCACTTATTTCTTTGCCTTAAATATCAATACCAAGAACCAAATCAAAGCCAAAGATATTACCAGATGCCATTGTTGTCTAAGTCATGGAAACAGAAAGAAAGCAATGTGGAAATCTACAAAGAGAAGAGAAAAAGAAAGTGAAAAAGTGGGTACAGAATCACAGATTGGAAAGTAGCAGAACATCATAGAACATTTTGGGCTTGGAGGCCAAGTAGATCTAAGTTCAAATCTCAGCTAAGAAACTTGCAAGATCTTGAGTATTCAGCAAATTATTTCACCCGTCTAAGCATCAATTTCTTCACTAATAAAAATAATATCCATCTCATAGAGATAGTATAAGTAATAAAGTAGAAAGAGTGGCAGGTTTGATAAAGATGTCTACTAGCCTAGAAGAAAATATAAAATAACATCTTGTCCAACTCTCCACCCAGTATAGAAATCTCTTTTTAGCATCTCTGTTCGAGAAAGGCAACCTGCTGAAGATGGACTGTACAATCTAACAAAATGGCCATTCTCTCCATAGCTATACCTATAACAAATTTATTCTTAAAATTAAGCCAAAGTTTAGTTTACCCTAACTTCAAAATAAGCCTCTTAAAAGGTGGGACCAAGACCTGTCATGATGCACCGTTGGGAACTACTTCCCACCTGTTCTGGAGGTTGTCCTTGTCTCAGACAGAGCTACTTGGTCTTTGGTCCTTGGTCCTCGTCTCAGATATGGCTGTTCTGAGACTGACAGTCACCTCAGTCCCCGAGTCTTTCCTAACAAGAAAAGTTCACAGGTCGTCCTTCTCCCATCCTGTAAAAGTGAGTAGTTGATTTGTATTAGTTTTTTTTCGACCTACAAAAGTCATAAGGAGTCAAAGCAGCAGCACAGTTCGAAAAACATAAGGAAAAAAAGGCTGAAATATTATTTCTACTGTTAACATGTTGGTGTCCTTCTGCTATTTTTCTTCCATGCATGAATATATATTTTTCAGCAAAATGGTATCATGCTACATACATCATTTTGTAGCCTTGTTACTATGTTCAGATAATTAGAAGACAGAGATACTAGGCTCAGAGGCTCATCACCTTTCAGGATACTGTGACAACAGACTGGTAGAGAAGTGAATAAATTAGACACCCCCTGTATAATCAAATCAAATTATAATTCAATGATCCAGTCTTCTGCCTATGAATCTTCATTACTGTTTGTAATCTTAAGAGTGCTTTTTAAACTTGTAAAACATTGGGAGTTTTTCAGGTTTATCTAATTAAATAGCAATTAATGTCAAAGAGGCATATTCTCATATTCATCTATAATATCTAAATGTCTGTCATATTCTCTGCTAAAATACAGAGACACTAAGACCCTGTGTTATACCTAGAAATACTTGTCTAATAGCTTCATCCATAAAAGAGGATTGGGTTAGTTTTGTAATCTCGGGGATTATCAGTGCATCTTGGTTGTTTATTCACAATAAGACAAGGCAATGTGGATAAGCGGGCCTAAGAACATGACCCAACGACCAGATGTGGCAGGCCCTGGGAGAGTCTGGCTCCCAGGAGAGGTTCAGCAGGGAAAGTGGCGTGTGGTGTCCAAGGCCTGCAGCAATTCTAACGTCTGCTCAAACATAATGACTGGGCACTTCTGGGAAAAGGACTTTGTTAGAATCATCTCTGTGTTCCTATGGCATTCCATGGAGACTGGCATATCATAATAACCCTTCATGTTATTGTGTGCCTGTTCTATTCCCCACTCCGCTCTAGTCACCTTACCTGTGTAATCCCATTCAATGCTCACAAAATCCCAGTGAAACAGGAGTTGCCAACCACATTGTAAAGATAAGGAACTAAAACCCATGGAAGCAATTAGTTCATAGCCATGTAGCCCAGGAAGTATGGAGCAAGCATTCACTGATTCGTTTTATTTATTGAGTACCTACTACATACCAGAAACTGTCTAAGGGCTGAGGATAGAGACCCTGCTCTCATGGAACTTACATTCTGGGAGGTCAAGGCAAGGGAAATAAACAAAGTCACCAAATAAATGCACAAGGTAATTCTAGAGGATATTAAGTGTCACAAAGACAAAACAGCACAATAAAGTGCCAGGAACTAACTGGTAGTGGGAGAAGAGGACTGATTTAGACAGGGTAGTCAGGAAGGTTCCCCCAAGAAGAAACTTTAGCTCAAAATTTCATGAATAGAACAATCCAGGAATGTGATGATCTGAGGGAAAAGAGTATAAAGGCCGGGAGGCAAGAACAGACCTGACATGTTTAAAAAACAGAAAGAAGGCACATATATATATATAAAGGTAAAGAGTGGTGCGCAGTGATGACAGAGGTAAGCAGTGGCCACATTATCTAGATCCTTACAGGTCATGGTAACAAGTTGGGATTTTATTCTAAACATGGTGAAAACTTTGTGGAAGATTTGAAACAAGAGAGAAATATGATGTGATTTATAACTTTTAGAGATTAAAAAGCACAGTCTTACTCCAAAGCCTAGGCTCTTAATCCTGGGGTAATGATGTGTTTTGAAGAGTTGGTGTCCAATTAATATGGAATGGAGGAATAATGATGACATAGTTCAAGAAGCAGAAATGAGCCCAATGTGTGAGAAGGGAACTGGAATTCATAGTAAGTGTAGTTCATAAGGACAGTCTGCATCGGAGGGATGGATTGCTCAGAGGTTCCTGGTCCCAGCTGTCAATCAAGGATCCAGACCCTAAGAGGAGTCATCTGACCAAAGCAAGCAAGCAGCCAGTTCTTGGATGGACAAATGTACTGGGAAGATTATCAGAACAGGAACAAGAGGGAGGTGGATAAGGAAGAAGCCCAGGATTTATGGGTACTGACAGAAGAAGAAAGGGAAGAAAGCCTCGGGATGAGGAACTTGGAAAATAGAAATACAGTTTGGGGACCGACAGGCAAACTCTGTGATCAGCACTGCCTTTTCTTCTGATCCAATTAGCTCCTGGGAAATACTGTGTAGAACTTGCAGACATTCACATTCTGTTTGGTGTAGGTAGTGCTGCATCTCTGGGTGAAATCAAAATGGAGGGGGAATTTCTCACACTGGGGAAACAAGAAAAGACAAGACAAAGGAAGTTGGGAAGGAAAAAAGCTCCAAGTTTAGCACAATTTTTTCTTATTAACCTCTGGTTCTGATTAACCATCTCCTTTATTTTCTCAAGGCACATATCATGCTTATTTAATTGGCTGTTATAAAATTTTGCAGGATTATTGAAGTCACAACCATAGGTAAATTGAGCAGTGCAAACTTAATGTAATTTTCATAAAGCTAATAAATTTATTCTCCCTTTTCTATCTTTTCTGCTCTGTTTTCTCTCCCTCTTTCTCTGTCTCTCTCATTCCTTCATTTTCTCTCTCCCGCCTTGCTACCTCCTTTCCTCTTTGTATATTTGTATGTACGTGAGTAAAATAAAATAACAAAAAAAGTTTGCAGGGAATCAATATGAACTGGTATTTTCTGTGAGTTTATCTTTTATATTTCTTTGAATATGAGAGCAACATTTACCTTTCTCTAGGCTTGAAGCACATTTTAAATTATCCAGAAATTCTTTTTGAAAAATCACTAAAAAGAATGTCTCCTTCGTGGCTCACTGGTCTTTTCTGTAAGTTCTTTCATTATTTGGGTATAACTCACTTGGATCTGAACACATGAAACCATTTAAATCAACCAGATAGTGGGTTCCCTCACTATCTCTCACGGACTTGTGTTTCAGTTTCTTCTTAATGATGTTTCTTTCATGCTATTTCATTTGAAGAGCCTTGCTGGAGAATGTAAAAGGAAAATAGGAGCTGAGGAGTTCTGCTTTCTGTGTGTCATCTGTTAACGTCGCACCATCTGCCCTGGGCAATTGGCCTATTCCTTCCTCGTTTTTCTGGGTAGTAAACAGATTTACTCAAAGGAAGAAAGAAAGGGGAGAACAAAGGGTGTGCTACATCAGAGGTGGGGGATGGGAGTGGAACGACACCCACTGGTGCAAGATCACAGGCTGCTTACCACATGCCACTGTTAGGCCCCAAATCCACTTGCTTGCTCCCATATCTGTTAAGGCCTCTCTGCACAGCTCCCACCAACGATTTTTAAGATAAACTAGGGGTAATATTGGACAGCAGTTGGCTTTATCTGTGACTGCCATAACCCCCATAGAGAGAGATCAGTCTTCATCTTTAGCTTTCAAAACCTGACTCACGCAGCCCTTCTTTGCAACCTTCCTTTCGCCAGTGCCCCCCGCTTGTGTAGATCTCCTTCCCAAAACTCACACCAATCCTTCTCTTTTCTGTGCCGCACCTGTGTGTTGCACAGATACCACTATTAGCCTCATCACACTGCAACATACCGTTTTTTTATGCCTGTCTCTTAGTTCACAGATTAGTGTATGCATTTGCTAAAACTGCTATACCAAATTGCCATAAATTGGGTGGCTTAAACAACAAAAATATATAGTCTCACAGTTCTGGAAGCAACAAGTCCAGATCGAGGTGTCAGCAGGGTTGTTTTTTCCTGAGAACTGGGAGGGAGAATCTGTCCCATGCCTCTCTCCTTGCTTCCGGTGGTTTGCTGGCAATCTTTGACATTCTTGGCTTCTAGAGGCATCACCCCGAGCTCTGCCTTCATCTTCACATGGCATTTTCTGCGTATCTGATTCTTTGCGTGGCATTCTTTCTGTAAGAATGCCAGTGGGATTAGGGGCTCACCCAACTCCAGTATTGCTTCATCTTGAATTATAACTGCAATGACCTGATTTCCAAATAAAGTCATATTCCAAGATACTGGAGGTGAGGACTTCAACATATAAATTTTGAGGGAACACAATTCAACCCATAACAATCAGGTTCCATGTTTAATTCATTTCATACTTGACATGTACTACACTGCCAAGTCTTCGCCTGAAATCCAAGGCCCTCAAAAATATACATTTAATTGGCTTAAATTAAATATCTCTTCCACTTTCAGTATAGATGCAGGCCAAATTGAGTGTATGAGTTAAATTTTTCTTTCTCAGAGGTAGCACCATTAGGAAACCAGAAAAGCTCTGAAAACAGAAAAGTCTCTGATCTCAAGAGACTTATTCTATTTTATGGTTTCTTGATGGTGCTACCTCTTAGAAAACGAGTGTGGCAAATACTACAGTGGTGTGAGCCCAGGGTATAGTGGGAAGCCAGAGGCCATAAAGATTGAGCTGGATCTTCAAAGGTAAGATTGGTCCCCTCCTATGTGCCAGATAATGGGCTGGATGTACATTTAGTCTCCTAAATGTGACGATGTACATCCAGCCCATTATCTGGCACATAGGAGGGGACCAACCTTTTGTTTTGACTCCCTTGGCCGAACTCTTGAAGAATGAGGCCCATGAAACTTAAATCACATTCATTCTGCAGATCCCTGCAAAGACAGATTTCCTGCTCCTCCTTCAGTTCACTTTATCCTCTAATGGAATTCAAGAATGATGCAATGTAGATGTGAACAGGGCACAAGACTCTCTTAAAGAGGCTCACAGTCTGGTGGGAAAATGACTGTGGCAAATATTACAATGGCATGAGCCCAGGGTACAGTGGAAAGCCAGAGGACATAAAGAGTGAGCTAGATCTTCAAAGGTAAGGAACGGGGAGCCAGGTGAGGAGGTGGGCAAAGATTTTCCAGACAGTAGGCATAGCATTACAGAATTCCAGAGGTCAGAGAGCAGCAAGTCATACCAGTGTCTTAATCCATTTGGGCCACTATAACAAAAATATCATAGACCGGGTGGCTTAAATGACAAATATTTGCTTCTCAAAGTTCTAGAGGCTGGGAAGGTCAAGATCAAGGTGTCAACAAATTCAGTGTCTGTTGAGGGCCCTCTTCCTGTTTCATAGAAGGCCCAGGATTTTATTGCCACATTCCCACATGGCTGAAGGGGTGAGAGAGCTCTCTGGAGTGTCTCTTATAAGGGCACTAATCTCATTCATGGGGATTTCACCCTCATGACTTAATCAGTCTCAAAGGCTCTGTCTCCTAATACATCACCACAGGGTTGGTGTTAGGATTTGGGGGCGTGATTATAAATATTCAGTCCGTAACACCCACTGTGCTGTATGAGTACAGCCCTAAGAGTTTGGGGTCAGATCAAGGGTATCAGGCAAGTTGCGCTAAGCAGCTTGGACTTTAGGCAAAAACTGAAGGGTTTTGAGCACTGGACTAGCACTGCCAGATTTGTGATTTAGAAAGATCACAGATGGCCAGGTGCTGTGGCTCACACCTGTAATCCCAGCACGTTGGAAGGCCGAGGTGGGTGGATCACGAGGTCAAGAGATCGAGATCATCTTGGCCAACATGGTGAAACCCCATTTCTACTAAAAATACAAAAATTAGCTGGGCGTGGTGGCGCGTGCCTATAGTCCCAGCTACTCGGGAGGCTGAGGCAGGAGAATTGCTGGAACCTGGGAGGTGGAGGTGGCAGTGTGCTGAGACCGCACCATTGCACTCCAGCCTGTCTCAAAAAAAAAAAAAAAAAAGGAAAAGAAAAAGAAAGATCACAGACTCCAACAATAATTTATGGATCAAAGGATATCAGTTAGGAACATATGGTGCAACCCAGAAGAGAAAGAGTCACAGGGACTTGTGCTGAAGATACACAGTAGAGACAGAGAGAATCAAGACAGGCTGTGGACACTCTCTAAGCTCCACTGAGATCCCCTGTCATCCTTGGTAACATCTTCTGTGTGCCATCCTCCAGCTGCACTTTTGCTTGCATGCCCACATCCACCTCACACCTGCAACTTTCCTTTGGCGAACACTTCTTGGCATTGGAGTGCCTTGCTCACAGGCATAAAAAAGCCCAAAGTGCCTACAAGTTCACTTTCTACACACCACCCCCACCACCACTAACCCCTCAAATCCCACAGCCTTTAGACAGAGTTTATAAAATATAAAATCTTAAAGCCCAGTTGCTTTGATCATGCTTGGGACAAATCCCAAGGCCCCAGTTACATTCCAGTATTTTCCATGGGCTCAGGCTGAAGCTACTCTCTGGGACATGCTGCCTGAAACTGCACCCTTCCCTGTCTTGCTTCCCTCACTCCTTTCCCAGGTTCTCCTGGAAGCACTTCCTTCACAAATCACTTACACACGAAGCCTTCCCCTGAGATGTCCTTCAGATGAACCTGTACTAAGACAGGAGATTGAGAGCTATTGAAAAAACTGGAGGTGTCCAGAGCTTAGTAAGTGACTGGATGTGGGAAGCTATATTATTAACTAAAAGAAAAAATATTCAGTGAAACTCAAACTATGTTTACAAACAAGTATGCAAGAACTAAAAGGACAAATACTACTCAAGTAGAAAGTTAATTTCATAAGTCCAATTTTTACTGTTCCTTTGACTCTGAGGGAAGAAAGAGTTTTTGCACCATTCAATTGCTCCAGCTTTGTTACTCTAAATTTAGGACACAAATAGGGTGCTGTGGAAATCCATCTTTCTTTAGAAGAATTTTAATATAATAGCCTTTGTATCAAGTAGCTAAGAATGGATTGGAATCCCAGCCAGATCCCCCGGCTGCTTCCTCACTGCCTGCCTCTTGCAATCCCCCCTCCCTTCCTTGTGTTCCCTGGGTCTTCTCCAAATGTCTCAGATTCTTCACGCCCCAGGAATGGGCCTGCACAATGTTCTGCACTGACTGTTTTCATTCTGGTCACCCCCCTCCCCTGACTGTCCTGAGCAATGTTCTTTCTGTCCTTTTTGTCTTTTTTAAATATGTGAGTGAACAAATGTGGGACACGTGGTAACATTCTAGGAAGCCTGAGCTCGCGAGGTAGGACTCTAAAGCACCGAGAAGGATGCTTGTTGTTACTGGTGGATTAAGCCTCAGATTCTGTAAACATATCTTAAGCATACATAGTTTACGATTGCAATCAAATAAAACTTACTGCAAAGGTAATGTGATACAAATGTAATGACAAGTATAATAAGTATTAGTTTGCTATGTGTTAATCTAAGCAAGTCATATAAATGCCATTCAATACTTTTTACATAGGCAGCGTAAATATGTCATTTTTATGCTCCTTTTAGAGAGACTGTAATCAGTATTCAGGCAAATCAACAATTCCCCAATCACACACAATTTAAACAACAAAGTTCCTAAATTTTACTCCTCAGTAATTATCATCCACCTACATTTGAGGGCCTATTTTATGCCGAGCACTGTGCTAGGTGCTGTAGACACAAGGAAAATGACAACATCGTCTCCGTCATCAAGCAATCTGGGTTCTCACTCCCAGCCCCTGCACCTGGGACTAAACATTTCTGGGTTCCACTCCTACTCTCCCAGTTCTTTCATCGCCAGACTTTGCCCTTCATCAGAACATTTCCTTGCACAGTAGCTCATGGTCTCTGTCCCCCAACTCCAGCCTCAGGCCCCAAGACTATAGAAACTGTGGCTCATATCCCCACAGCTTATCTGCTAGGTAAGGCAGGGTGCCAGCAGAACTGTTACTGCAGTGATCTTAGGATAGAGCACATACAAAAAAAAGAAACATGGCACGGTGAAAGGGCCTCAGACAATTAGGGGTGGAAAGTACACAGGAGATGGGGCAGGGCTATGAGAATAGCGAAGAGCAGGCACGGGACAGAGAGGGGCAGCTTGTCCTCTCTTAACATGGCTGTCCCTCTGGGCCCAGGAGCCGTCCTCACTGGGAAGGGATTAGGAGGGTTCTTCCTTCTGAGCAGAACTGAAAGGAATCCAGCAGTGAGGGCAGAGATGATAAAACAAATAATAGTGTGTACTAGGAGCTTGCTAAGCCCCAAATCCATTATTTTGTTTAATCTTCAGAAGCACTCTGAAGAGTTGCTACTGCTGTTTAGCAGATGAGAAACCCAAGATTTAAAAACATGACCAAAATCAAGAAACAAGTAAGTGGCAAAACAAGGGTTAATTCAAACTTCAAACTCAAAGTTCTTTTTTTTTTTTTTTTTTTTTTTTTTGAGACGGAGTTTTGCTCTTGTTGCCCAGGCTAGAGTGCAATGTCACGATCTCAGCTCACCACAACTTCCACCTCTGGAGTTCAAGTGATTCTCCTGCCTCAGCCTCCCAAGTAGCTGGGATTACAGGCATGCACCACCATGCCCGGCTAATTCTTGTATTTTTAGTAGAGACGGGGTTTCTCCATGTTGGTCAGGCTGGTCTCGAACTTCCGACCTCATGAGATCCGCCCAACTCGGCTTCCCAAAGTGCTGGAATTACAGGTGTAAGCCACTGCACCCGGCCCAAGCCCAAAGTTCTTAACTGCTTCATTCTACTGTCTCGGTGAAAGACACCCAGATCTTGCTGGGGATCTTGCTTAAACTTACACCAAACCATAGTACGATTTTAGACACACAGATATGACACCCTTCCTTATCACTTGCTTTCAGGTTCTTATAATACAATTAAAGAAAGAATATTTTATATAAAAGAAGTTAAGGAGAAGTAAAGCTTCAATGTGAATGAGATTTGCTCTAAATATAAATGCTGAGAGGAAAGGTCATTGAAAACAGGAGGGATGAAAAGAAGTCAGAAAGCAGATCAGCAACGCCAAAGACATGTAAGTTTCTGAGCTGACCCTTTTACCAAGGCCGGTGTTACTTATATGCGGCCAAACACAGGCAATCACAGGCTGGATCCATGGGTTCTTCATGCTTCATCTGGGCTCCTGGGCCTCAAGCCCTGGTGCAGAGCCCCTGCCGAGGAACTTGGCTTTAGACATTGGGGTAGGCATTAGGCATAGGGAGGGTTTCCCAAAGAAGAGAAGAAAATCCACCTTTTTCCTTTTTACCATGTTAAGACTTGCTCTAGGGAGAGGCTCTAAAGAAAAAAATGAGGCTGAGATCTGAATTTCCAAATAATTAGTCCCAAATTCTTTACCTCTCGTGCTGAGAAATAGAGATGGTGACTTGGATTTCACTTACCTCCATCCCTTTAGGTTAGAAAGGTTCAAAATATTGCCCTCAGTTAAGTCACTGACCTGTTTCATGGATAGCAGATGGACACTAATTCAAAAATTCAACTAAAATTTTTGGCTCAGTTCTTGTGCCTCCCTTACAAGGTCTTCAATCCCTCATCCTGGTGAATTTATCAGGATCCAGCACATTGCTGGGAATCTAGCCAGCTCAGATGTATGAATTGTCAGCACATCTCTTTTAGGAACTACTCACATTTACCAAGCTTATGGGATAGACACATAAACCTGATGCCAATTTATTATGCGTGATGGGCAATGATCATCACTGGGACTGAAGGACTTCAGGTTCATAGGTACATTTCTCATGGCGGGAGAAATGTGTGCCAAATCACATTGCAAAGTTTGCTTGGTGGCCTGGAAATCAGAACAAAGAGACTTCAAGAAGCAGATAATTGCATGAGGTTGAGATGACCAGATGCAACCATTCCACAGCAGAGTGGTATGTTGGTGGACCCTTCCAGGATGCACGGTCCTCGGATGTGTAGACAGGCACCGGTAAGGTTGCATCCAAAACTCTTCTTTTCTACTTTCATGGTTGACCAATGCTTTTAGTTGTATTTTTTGCCCCTGATATATGATAATACATTTTATTCATTTCAATCAAATCTTGTAAACCTAGGAGCCACTTTATCTTACTTAGATAACTTCCTTTCTCAGTTTTTATCTATCATTTGTTTATCTTAAAAGTAAATTTTCTGATAATCTTATTTTGCTCTTAGAGGAATCCTTTCCACCCTTGTAGAAAAACCCCCATGTAAACCCTTATACACTAGCAACACTATGCATTTTAATATCATTGGTGAACAGAAAGAATACGAAAGGCAGAATATTAAGACCAAATAACTTTTCCTGGGAAACAAAGAATTCAATACTGGTAGAATATATCTATACTTTATTGCTCATTCATTTACTCACTTGTCATTCCGCAGGCATCTATTATGAACCTAATATTGGCTACACATGTTGTAGACACAAGGAAATAGAAATGAACAAGACAGACAAAGTCTCTGCTTCCATGGACCTTAAATTCAAGTGAGAGGCAGGGAGACAGACCGCAAACAAAACAAAATGAAGTAAAATAGGAGGAAGTGGCAAGTGCTCTGATAAAAATAAAACATGTTATGGAGTGATTGGGTAGGGTGGTCAGAAGAGTCCTCTCTGAGGGAATGATGTATAAACTGAGCCCTACATAGCAAGGTGGAAATAGCTATATGTGAATCATGGAAAACAGCATTCCATACAAAGGATACATCTGGTGCAAGCCATACGTCTATCTATTATGCTAAACATCTTCCACTTGTGAGAATTTCTATAGGCAGAAATTGCATTATAGATATTCTCTAGAACATTGAGAAGTTAGAGCCTGAATTTTAGATGCCTGTTGAGTCTGGATATCTGGATATAGTTTCCATCCCTGGAAACTATAAATGTTGAGACAAAGCAATTTTGGCAACTTTCCCATGTTATTCACCAATCATTATATATGATACATGATGAAGATGGTAAAAGAGAAGTTCATATTCTTTGGCTGTTTTCCTGTTGTTAAACTCCTCCCTCCTCCACCAATAGCCTTAAAAGCTCGGCACGAAGCCAAATCAGTTCCAATGCGTCTACCAAAGTGTCGATATTGACCATTGATTCTCTCACACATGCATTTAATTTTCTGAACAAGGAGAGACTTGCTTGATTGGATTTTTGTTCTTTCATTAACTCTTGGTCCTCACAACAGTACCAAAAAGGAGCAAAAGCTATCAAGTTTTGGTGCCATGCTTCAATAGATATTCCATATCCAGATTCTAGCCTCCGGATTTTAATAACTGGGGTCACGCTGAGTTCTCATTTCTCACATAAAATTGCAGGAGACAAGGAAGAAAAACAAATACTAGGAAAACAGAGTAGATACATTTTTAGTGCTCTGAGTTTTTTATGTCAATAATATCTAGTATCGAGCTAAAAGCAGCCCTTGTGAGAGGAAAGGGAGTGAGTATTTTGTCATGGTCAGTCCACATAGTAACAATGTCTTAGCCTGTGGTTTGTGGGTTTCCTTTGGTGTATTCTGTGTCTCTAGATACTTCGCTGTTGTTTCCTAATTTAAAACTCAACATCTTAAAATGCTCTATGTTTTCCTACTAAGTGTAAGAAAATACTTCAAATGTTCTAGTTTAATACCAATTTGTTATTTAAAAAAATTCAAACTGATAGTTTAGATGCTTATTTCACAAACATCCAACATCTTCATCAATCATAGTCACTTTTTTAGGACATTGTTACTGTCATATTAAAGTGTGATGGAATTCACCAGACACAAACCTCTCCAAGTATCTACAAGAGTGATATTCTGATGGGAATTAGCCACCACCATTAGAATGATTGAACCATTCTAAGATTCTATGTTACCAGATAATAGGCCATAAACCTCCAAGTTCTTCTGTACACTCACCTTTTTTTTTTTTTTTTTTTTTTGAGACAGAGTTTCACTCTTGTTGCCCAAGCTGGAGTGCAGTGGCACTATCTCGGCCCACTGCAACCTCCGCCTCCTGGGTTCAAGTGATTCCCCTGCCTCAGCCTCCCGAGTAACTGGGATTACAGGCGTGCACCACCACGCCTGGCTAATTTTTTGTATTTTTAGTAGAAACAGGTTTCACCATGTTAGTCAGGCTGATCTCGAACTCCTGACCGCAGGTGATCCACCCGCCTCGGCCTCCCAAAGTGCTGGGATTACAGGCATGAGCCACCACGCACTGCCACTCATCCTTTACTTCTACATAACAAGATGTAGTTTTGTTTACTCTTCATTAGAGCTTCAACCATAGTGAACTGAAATTTTGCTGGGCCTACACTTGTATTTGCATCAGTTATATAAGTCATCCTTCCCTACTTATGTGCCTCTCTGACTCCTTCTTGAACAGCTAAAGTGTGATAAGCAGCGGCAAAGCCTTTCTAAATCTACTCTGGAGTACTTAAAACTGGACTTTATATAAGAAGTAACAATGTCTTCATCATTCTTTCCGAGAACTTCACAGGAAATTTAAAATTCCTCTTGCGTAACATTGAAATAATCAGACTGTCACTTCAGTCGGGTAATTCAATTTTGTATTTAGCAATTAAATAAAAATATTTAAACGTAAAATTTACAAACACACATGCTTGGTCAAATGGACTTTATCTGAATCTTCAATAATTAAGTTGCTTTATAAAATATCCAGATTTTCAGCCTAGGAAAAGATACAAGCATTTCAAGACTAGAGAATTGTGAGAGCAATAGAAATATTTATAAATAAATGTTAAAAGTGAATATCCAAATTAGAAAATTAGAAATTCAGGCATCAATTTAAAGTATCTATCTAAATTGACAAGGCCTCACTCTGTAGCCCAGGCTGGAGTGCAGTGCCACAACTGTAGCCCACTGCAGCCTCAAACTCCTGGGCTTAAGTGATCCTCCTGCCTCAGCCTCCTGAGTAACTAGGACTACAGATGCACACCACCATACTCAGCCAATTTTAAAATTTTTTTTATAGAAATGGAGTCTTGCCATGTTGACCAAGCTGGTCTAAAACTCTTGGCCTCGAGCAGTCTTCCTATCTTGGCCTCCCAAAGTGCTGGGAATACAGGTATGAGCCACCACACCCAGGCATCTCCTTTTTAGAAATTTTAAAACTAGAATATTGCATTAGCTTTCCTGTGCTTCAACTGATTTACTAAGACCTTGGAGAAGTCCGTTTTCTTCAGAGGCAACTTATTTCCATTTATGAAACAGGAATGGGAAATAGCTGTAAACAGATCTGTCCATAAAGCTCTGAAATTACTTCAAATGAAGGAGTCACATAATCAGAAAACCCCCCTAGTGGTGTTGTTTTTATTAGGTGACCCCAGAGAAGCACTTTTAATGACTACAATTCAATCTCCTGTTAGACACTGGAAGATACTGTCAACACAAACGAGTATTGAACTCCAGTCTGGGCAGGCCTATCTCATTCGTTGCCAGGTTATCAGAGCATTTCTCAAGGAAGTGCGTTGACTCTTTCAAGGGAAGTGATATATTGAATGGGAACTTAGTAACCCATGTGAGTAAGTATACACTTTCAGGCGCCTCAGCAAATAAGAAAAACACTGGGCCACTGAAGGCAACTTGTGTCTGATCCTGTATTCTTGACTTTGACATCATGCTACCTGCTGTGGTTCCTGAGTAGGCTTTTCACCAAAACTCTTCTGGCTTCTCCCCTGAGAGTGGCTCAAAATGCTTAAATGTGTGAAGGCTCTTTATCTACCCCAGCCCTACCTTTATCTACCCAGCCCCTCCTTCTGGAGTTCATTTTCCCCTGCACAGAAGGTTGACAATCAAACTGTCCAATTTGTGGAACAAACAGGTTTTCTTATTTGATAAATAAAGCTCATTCTGATTTATACGTCCAATACATTATTGTGTTCTCAGTATATATGGACTTGCCACAGGTTAACAAACACTGATTGAGCATCTCCCATATGCTAAGCATTTACCATCTTAGAGTAAGGTTGTCTCCTTATGATGCCTCCATGTAACACTTTATATCTTTCAAGTAGAATTTAGATTTTTCTGCCTTATCCACCAAGTGTTGTGGTAAACAGAATTCTAACATAACCCACAGACCCTCATTGTCATATGATCCTTTCTTCTTGAGCATGGAAAGAACCTATAAATACTGTGGGATGTCAGTCCCATGATTAGGTCACATTTTTTGTCATAGTGTCATAAACCTAACCTGGCATAATCAGTGAGATCTTAAAATGGACAGGGTTCTTCCTAGTAAAAGGAATTCAGAGTTTCAGAGCAATTCTCCATTGCTGGCTCTGAAGAGGGAAGAAGAACATGGCAAAGATGTGAGTGGCTTCTAGGAGCTGAGAACAGCCCCAAAAGTCAGCAAGAAATAGGGACTTCAGTCCTACATTGCATGGAACTGAGTGAGCTTGGAAGAGGACCCAAATCCCCAGATAAGAATCCAGCTCAGGCCAAGCACAGTGGCTCACACCCTGATATGGTTTAGCTGTGTCCCCATCCAAATCTCATTTTGAATTGTAGCTCCCATAATTCCCATGTGTCATGGGAGGAACCCAGTGGGAAATAATTCAATCATGGGAACAGGTCTTTCCTATGCTCTTTCCATGATAGTGAGTAAGTCTCAAGAGATCTGATGGTTTTATAAAGCCCTTACACAGGCTATCTTGCCTGCCACCATGTAAAACATCCCTTTGCACACAGAAAAAGCACCTTCATAAGATCCTAAAATCAAGTGAGCACTCATAGTAGCTGATTTTAACTTCATATGACTGAAGAAAAACACTGGAAGAGTGAAGGAAAGACAGTCTTGAATTACCAATGCTACCTCTCCCCCATCCCACAGCAGTGACTGCATGGCACAAAGAGAGAATCTGTGCAGTTAAGAAAGGGAGAGTAAAGCAGCTGTGAAACATTGCATTGAATTCAGTACTGCCCTGTCACAGCAGAAAGCAAATCTGGGCTCAACTCAACCGATGCTCGCCCACCTAGGGTGTATATAAATCAGCCCTAGCCACAGTGGAATTGTTCATCCTAGAAGTCAGAACTTGAGTTCTGGCAAGTCTTGCCACCACAGGCTAAAGTGTCCTGGGGCTCTAAATAAACTGGAAAGGCAGTCGAGGACACAAGGACTACAACTCCTAGGCAAGTCCTAGTGTTAAACTGAACTCACAGACAGTGGACTTGGGGGGCACATGACCTACTAAAACATCATCTGGGCTAGCTAAGGGAGTGCTTGAGCCATCTCTCTCCCAACCCCAGGCAGTGTAGCTCACAGCAATGAAAGCGACCCCTTCCTTCTGCTTAAGGAGAGGAGAGTGAAGAGTAAGGAGGGCTTTGTCTTGCATTTTGGATACCACCTCAGCCACAGTAGCATAGGACACCATTCTGAGCCATAAGGCCCTCCTTCCAGGCCCTAGCTCCCAGACAACATTTCTAGACACACTCTGGGCCAGAAGGAAATCCACTACCTTGAAGGGAAGGACCCAGTCCTGGTAGGACAGATCACCTACTGACTAAAAAGCCCTTGGGCCCTGAATAACCAGCAGTGACTCCCAGGTAGTATGCTGTGGGCCTTGAGTGAGACTCTGAAACTTGCTGGCTTTGTGTGACACTCAGCACATTCCCAGCTGTGGGAGCTACAGGAAGAGTCTCCTGCTTGAGAAACGTGGAAGGAAAAGTAAGGGGACTTTGTCTTGCACCTTAGGTACCAACTTAGCAATAGAGGGTTAGAGCAACTTGCAGGCTCTTGGAGTCCCCACTTCCAGGCCTTGGCTCTTGGACAGCATTTCTGGACCTGCCCTGGGCCAGAGAGGAGCCCACTGCCCAAAAGGGTGATTCCCAGACCAGGCAGCATTCACCAGAAGCTGACTGAAGAATCCTTGGGCCTAAAGGGAATATTGCCAGTAGTCTGGCAGTACTCCCTGTGGGCCTGTGGTGATTATGACCACAGGGTGAGGCTCCTCTACCTGTGGAAAGGGGAGAAAAAAGTGAGGACTGCATCTTGTTGTTTGAGTGCCAGCTCAGTTGCAGAACAAAAAGAACACCAGGTAGACTTCTATGATTTTTAACTCCAGTAGCTCGCACCCGAGCAGCACCTCCGGACCCACCTGGGCTCAGGGAGAACTTGCCTCCCCAAAGGGAAGGAAACAGGCCTGGCTGGATTTGCCAGCTGTTGACTGTAGAGCCCCAGGGCCTTGAGTGAACGTAGGCGGTAGGCACGTAGTGGTTACAGCAGGCCTGGAGCAAGACCCAGTGCTATGCTAGCTGCTAGCTTCAGATCTGACCCAGTGCAGTCCCAGTGCTGGTGGCCACAGGGTTGCTTGTGTCACCCCATCCCTAGCTCCATACAGCTCAGAAGAGAGAGAGACACCATTTGTTTGGAGGAAGTAAAGGAAGAGAACAAGAGTCTTTGTCTGATAATCCAGAGATTTCTTCCAGATCTTATTCAACACCATCAAGATGGTACCTCTATGTATCTGCCAGAACCACAACATTGCTGAATTTAAGGTATTCCCTAATGCAGATATGGCTTCGATTACAACACCCAAGTCCTTTTGAATACCTGGAAAGCCTTCCAAGGAAGGACAGGTACAAACAAGCCTAGACTGCAAAGATTACAATAAATACCCCATTCTTCAATGCCCAGACAAAGGTGAACATCTACCAGTATCAAGACAATCCACGATAACATGGCCTCACCAAATGAACTAAATAAGGCACCAGGGACCAATCCTGGAAAAATAGAGATATGTGACCTTTCAGACAGATAATTCAAAATAGTTACTTTGAAGAAATTCAAAGAAATTCAAGATAACACAGAGAAGGAGCTCAGAATTCTAGGAGATAAATTTAACAAATAAAACAATTAAAAAGAATCAAGCAAAAACTCTGAAGTTGAAAAATGCAACTGACATATGAAGAATGCAGTAGTCTCTTAACAGCATAGTTGATCAAGCAGAATAAAGAATTAGTGAGCTTGAAGACAGGCTATTTAAAAATACAGTCAGAGGAGACAAAAGAAAAAATAATAAACAAACAATGGAGCATGCCTACAGGATCTAGAAAATATCCTCAAAACGGCAAATTTAAAAGTTGTTGGCCTTAGGCAGGGTGCAGTGGCTCATGTCTGTAATCCCAGCTACTTGGAGGCTGAGGCAGGAGAATCGCTTGAACCCGGGAGGCGGAGGCTGCAATGAGTCAAGATTGTGCCACTGCACTCCAGCCTGTGCAACACAGAGAGTCTTTCTCAAAAAACAGAAAAAAAAAAAAAAAAAAGGGTTGTTGGCCTTAAAGAGAAGGGAAGGTAGAAAAAGAGATGGGGTAAAATGTTTATTCGTAGAGAAAATAACAAAGAATGTCCCAAACCTAGAGAAAGGTATCAATATCCAAGCATGAGAAGGTTATAGAACACCAAGCAGATTTAACCCAAGGAAGACTACCTTAGGTATTTAATAATCAAACTTCCAAAGGTTAAGGATAAAGAAAGGATCCTAAAAGGAGCAAGGGAAAACAAACAAATAAGCTTATAAAAAGGAGCTCCAATATATCTGGCAGCAGACTTCTCAGTGGAAGCCTTACAGGCTAGGAGAGAGTGGCATGACATATTTATTTATTTATTTATTCATTCATTCATTCATTTATTTATTTGAGACGGAGTCTTGCTCTGTCACCCAGGTGGGAGTGCAGTTGCGCGATCTCAGCTCACTCCAAGCTCTGCCTCCTGGGTTCACTCCATTCTCCTGCCTCAGCCTCCCGAGTAGCTGGTACTACTGGCGCCTGCCACCACGCCTGGCTAATTTTTTGTATTTTTAGTAGAGATGGGGCTTCACCGTGTTAGCCAGGATGGTCTCAATCTCCTGACCCCGTGATCCGCCCACCTCAGCCTCCCAAAGTGCTGGGATTACAGGTGTGAGCCACTGTGCCCAGCGACATGACATATTTAAAATGCTGAAGGAAAAAAATTTTTACCCTAGAATAGTATATCCAGCAAAAATATCTTTCAAACATGAAGGAGAAATAAAGACTTTCCCAGACAAACAAAAGCCTAAGGATTTCATGAACACCTGACCTGTCCTACAAGAAATGCTAAAGAGTTATTCAATCTGAAAGAAAGACATTAATGATCAGTAACAAATCATCTGAAAGTGCAACACTCACTGGTAATAGTAAGTGCACAAACACAGAGTACTATAACACTGTAACTGTGTGGTGTAAACTACTCTTATCTTGAATAGAAAGATTAAACAATGGGCCAGTCAAAAATAATAACTTTTCAAGATATAGCCAGTACTATAAAATATAAAAGAAACAAGAAAAAGTTAAAAAGTGTGGGGGATGAAGTTAAGGCGTAGAGTTTTGTGTATTAGTTTTCCTTTGCCTGTTTGTTTATGCAAACAGTATTAAGTTGCTATCAGCTTAAAATAATGGGTTATAAGATAGTATTTGCAAGCCTCATGATAACCTCAAATCAAAAAAAATACTACAGATGCATAGAAAATAAAAAGCAAGACATTAAATCATACTACCAGAGAAAATCACCATCACTGAAAGAAAGATGGAAGGAAGGAAGGGAGGGAGGGAGGGAGGGAGGAAGAACCAAAAAACACCCAGAAAACAAATTAAAAATGGCAGGAGTAAGTCCTTACTTATCAATAATAAGACTGAATGTAAATGGACTAAACTCTCCAATCAAAAGACATGGAGTAGCTGAATGAATTTAAAAAAAAAAAAGACCCAATAATCCATTGCCCACAAGAAACACACTTCCTCTATAAGCAAACACATGCACTGAAAATAAAGGCATGAAAAAAAGATATCCCATGGCAATGGAATCCAAAAAAGAGCAGGAGTAGCTATATTTATATTAGACAAAATAGATTGCAAGACAAAAACTATAAGAGGTGACAAAAGTCATTATCATAAAGGAGTCAACTCAGCAAGAAGATATAACAAAAATTTTAAAGATATATGCAACCAAAACTGGAGCTCCCAGATAAATAAAGCAAATGCTATTAGAGATGAAGAGAGAGATATGCCCCAATACAGTAATGGCTGACAACTTCAGCACCCCACTATCAGCATTGGACAGATCACCCAGACAGAAAAATCAACAAATAAACATTGGACTTAATCTACACTATAGACCAAATGGACCTAATAGATATTTACAGAACATTTTATCCAGTGGTTGCAGAATATACGTTCTTTTCCTCTGCACATGATCTTTGTCCAGGACAGACCACATGTTAGACAAATAAGTCTTCAAACATTCAAAAAACTTGAAATGATATCAGGACCTTCTCTGACCAAAATGGATTAAAACTAGAAATAAATAAAAAGAGAAATTTTGGAAACTGTATAAACACACAGAAACTAAACAATACACTCCTGAATGACCAGTGGGCCAATGAAGAAATTAAGATTGAAACTGAAAAATCTCTTGAAATAAATGATAATGGAAATGCAACACACCAAAACCTATGTGATACCACAAATGCAGTACAAAGAGGGAGGTTTATAGCTATACGTGCATACATCAAAGAAGAAGAAAAACTTCCACTAAACAACCTAGTGATGCATCTTAAACAGCTAGAAAAGCAGGAGCAAATCAAACCCAAAATTAATAGAAGAAAAGAAATAATAAAGATTAAAGCAGAAATAAATGAAGTTGGAATGAAATAAACAAAAAAGATCAATGGAACAAAAAGTTGGTTTTTTGAAAAGATAAATAAAATTGGCAAGCCTTTATCCTGTCTATGAAAGAGAGAAGACCCAAATAAATAAAATCAGAGATGAAAAAGGAGACATTACAATTGATACTGCAGAAATTCAAAGGATCTTTAGTAGTTATCATGAACAACTATATGCCAATAAATTGGAAAATCTAGAAGAAATGGATAAATTTCTAGACACATACAACCTACCAAGACTGAACCATAAAGAAATCCAAAACCTTAACAGACCATTCACAAGTCATAAGATTGAAGCCATAATAAAAAGTCCCTTAACAAGGAAAAGCCAGGACCCAATGGATTCATTGCTCTAGTCTATCAAACATTTAAAGAACTAATGCCAATCCTATTCAAAATATTATGAAAAATAGAGGAGGAGGGAATACTTCCAAACTTAATCTGTGAAGCTAGTATTGCCCTGATAACAAAACCAAAGACACATCAAAAAAAATAAAATTACAAGTCAATATCTCTTATGAACGTTAATGCAGAAATCCACAACAAAATACTAGCAAGCTGAATTCAACAACATATTAAAGTGATCATTCATTATGATCAAGTGGGATTTATCCCTGGGATGCAAAGATGGTTATACATATTCAAATCAATCAATGTGATACATTACATCAATAGAATGGACAAAAAAAATAATCATTTCAATTGATGCTGAAAAAAATTGACAATATTTAATATCCCTCATGATAAAAACTCCCAAAAAAACTGGGTATGGAAGGCATATACCTCCACATAACAAAAAGCCATTTACGACAGACCCATAGCTAGTATCATACTAAACGGGAAAAAACTGAAAGTCTTTCCTCTAAGATCTGGAACATGACAAGGATGCCCACTTTCACCACTGTTATTCAACATAGTACTGGAAATCCTAGCTAGAGCAATCAGGCACAAAAAATAAATAAAGGGCATCCAAACTGGAAAGGAAAAATTCAAATTATCCTTGTTTGCAGATGATATAATCTTATGCTTGGGAAAAACCTAAAAATTCTACCAAAAAACTATTAGAACTGATAAACAAATTCAGTAAAATTGCAGGATACAAAATCAACATACAAAAATCAGTAGCATTTCTATATGCCAAGAGAAAATAAACTTAAAAAGAAATCAAGAAAGGAATCCCATTTACAATAGGTACAAATAAAATAAAATAAAATGCCAAAGAAGTGAAAGATCTCTACAATGAAAGCTATAAAACATTGATGCAAAAAAAGAAGACACACAAAAAAAGGAAAGATATTCTATGTTCATGGATTGGAAGAATCAATATTGTTTAAATGTCCATACTACACAAAGTAATTTATACATTTAATGCAATCCCTATGAAAATACCAATGACATTCTTCACATAAATAGAAAAAGCAGTCCTAATATTTATACATAACCACAAAAGATCCAGAATAGCCAAAGCTATCCTAAGCAAACAGAAAAAAACTGGAGGAATCACATTACCTGACTTCAAATTATACTACAGAGCTATAGTAACCAAAACAGTACAGTGCTTGCATAAAAACAAGACACACGGATTAGTGGAACAGAATAGAGAACCCAGAAATATATTCATACATCTACAGTGAACTCCTTTTTTTTTTTTTTTTTGAGACGGAGTTTTGCTCCTGTTGCCCGAGCTGGAGTGCACTGGCGCGATCTTGGCTCACTGTAACCTCTTGTCTCCCGGGTTCAAGCGATTCTCCTGCTTCAGCCTCCCAAGTAGCTGGGATTACAGGAACCCACCACCATGCCCAGCTAATTTTTGTATTTTCAGAAGAGATGGAGTTTCACCATGTTGGCCAGGCTGGTCTCAAGCTCCTGACCTCGTGATCCGCCTGCCTCGGCCTTCCAAAGTGCGGGGATTACAGGCGTGAGCCACCGCGCCCGGCCCAGTGAACTCATATTTGACAAAGGTACTAAGAACACACATTGGGAAAGGACAGTCTTCAATAAATGATGCTGGAAATTAGATATCTATATGCAGAAGAATGAAACTATTTCCCTACCTCTCTCCATATACAAAAATCAAATCAGAGTGGATTAAAGACTTAAATGTAAGACCTAAAACTATGAAACTACTACAAGAAAACATTGGGGAAAACGTCTAAGACATTAGATTTGGCAAAGATTTCTTGAGCAATACTCCATAAGCACAAGCAACCAAAGCAAAAATGGACAAATGGGATCACATCACATTAAAAAGCTTCTGCACAACAAAGTATACAATCAACAAAGTGAAGAGACAAACCCCAGAATGGGAGAAAATATTTTAAAATCACCCATCTGACAAGGAATTAATAACCAGAATATATAAAGAGCTCAAACAACTGTGTAGGAAAAAAATCTAATGATCCAATTAAAAATGGGCAAAAGATCTGAATAGTCATTGCTCAAAAGAACACATACAAATGGTAAACAAGTATATGAAAAGGGGCTCGACATCATTGATCATCAGAGAAATGCAAATCAAAACTACAATGAGATATCTCGCCCGAGTTAAAATGGCTTTTATCAAAAACACAGGCAATAATGAATGCTGGCTACGTTGTGGAGAAAAGGGAAACCTCATATACTGTTCATGGGAGTGTAAAATAGTACAACCACAATAGAGAACAACTCAGAGGCTCCTCAAAAAACTAAAAATAGAGCTATCTTATGATCCAGCAATCCCACTCCTCAGTATATACCCAAAAGAAAAGAAATCAGCGTATTAAAGAGATATATGCACTCCCATGTTTTTGCAACACTGTTCACATTAGTCAAGATTTGGAAACAACCTAAGTGTCCATCAACAGATGAATGGATAAATAAAATGTGGTACATATTCACAATAGAACACTACTCCAGCTGTAAAAGAATGAGATCCTGTCATTTGCAACAACACAGATGGAACTGGAGGTCATTATGTTAAGTGAAATAAGCCAAACGCAGAAAGACAGACTTCACATGTTCTCACTTATTTGTGTGAGCTAAAAATTTAAATAATTTAACTCATGGAGATAGAAAGTAGAAGGTTGCTTACTAGAGGCTGGGGAGGGTGGGGAGGAACTAGGGAGAGTTCACGGGTACAAAAATATAGTTATATAGAATGAATAAGACGTAGTATTTCCTTGCACAACAGGGTGACTATAGTCAAAAATAATTTAATTGTACATTTTTTAATAACTGAAAGAGTGTAATTGGATTGTTTGTAACACGAAGAGTAAATGCTTGAGGGAATGGATATACCATTCACCCTTATTTGGTTATTACTCATTGCATGCCTGTATCAAAATATCTCATGTAACCCATAAATACATACACCTCCTGTGCACCACCAAAAATTAAAAATAAAAATAATAAAGAAAAAAGAACTCAGCTCAACTAATACTTGAATGTGAGACCCTGAGCAGAGAACAAGGTTGAACCATGCCCAAACCTCTGAATTACAGAACTATAAGCTAATACATTTGTGTTGTTTTAAACCACTAAAGTTGTGGTAATTTGTAACAACAATAGAAAAGTAATATTAGTGCTTTATCCGAGTACTTGATGGTAAGCTATCTGAAAACCAAAGTTGTGTCTACTTCTGTATAATCTTTAGGTAACTTTGGAAATGAATGTTCCAGGTTGACCTCTCCAGTGAAAATACTTCCTGTGTTTCCTGAATTTCCCATTATACATAAAAGATATTAAATGAGTCCCGCTACTCATTACTTTTAGGACTGTGCTCTTTCTGGTTTCAGAGAGAGACACAGGTCAACATTTTCTAGAATAAAAGAGAAGAGGTCATTAGTGCAACCAAGTACCACATAAAAAAGAGGTAAAGTGCAAGGAATTGGAAGGTTTTGTGACGCTTTTATTTCTTCCCAATGATTGTTTTATTTGTTCATTCTGCCAGTTGTGACATTATATAGGAAGAACATCTAACAGAGTTTTCAAAGGCTTCAGAATTAATTGGATGTAAGAGTCAGCCAAGTGGAAGTCAGCCAGCATCAAAAAGGGGAAGAGCATTGCAAACTAAAGGAATATTTTGTGAACTATCTAGGGAAAGAAGAGAGCAGGCTTTTTGTCCAGTGTTTCTGTATAACTCAAGCAACTCCAGCATAGGAGGAGAGGGGGCAAGTCCTAGGACATGAGAAATACATAGGATCCAGGAGACTTTGATTTTTCCTCTGGTTCTAAGACTACCTTTTACTGTGGGGAGCCCAGAGGGCTGTCATCCAAAGACCAATGGGGTATGTATTCTGGTACCAGATAAGAGCTAATAAGCTTGAGTTCCTTATGAATGGGTGGTTAGTGCAGAAGATTTCTTGGGCTTTTGATGGCTTGAGGAAAATGCCTTAGTTGGGTTCAAACAGCATTGAGCGAAACCACCAAAAACCACTCCCAAATGAAGCCCTTTCATGACTGCCTTCTGATCTTGGCACAATTTACAGGGAATAAATGGATTTGGGTTCCCAAGATCTTCCCAAAGTGCAAGAGTAGGAATAAGTTCCAAGGTTCCCCAACCCTAGAAGAACAGGAACACGGAATAGAAGAGCCTTCTTTGTGTCCACTTCAATTACCCATTCATCCTATTGGATGAGGATATCAGGAGACTGTCTATAGATAGAAGACAAGTTAAAGTATGCTCACTCCCCCCATATAAATTCTTCTATTAGCCTGCCATGAATTTACCCAGCTGTGTGTAGTGGTCTCGGCATTTCCATTTTTCCTAAGGAAAATCTACAGTTTCACCAAAGAATAATTCTTATTTCTATGTTTACAGCAAGAGATAGCAATCATTCCTTCTTACAACAACTTGATTTTTTTTTTAGGGCAATTTAACTGCTCTTATCCCTCATAGAATAAAGCTGGCTTTTTCTGGGGATTCGATTTCTAAATCATGTTTTGTTCCTTGCCATGGTTATTGTGGAACAGGGCTGGGAAGGAGGGAGTTAAGGTGATTCGGGCAAAAACAAGGCAGAGGGTGGAAGAAAAAGAGGCTTTCTCTCCAGAGAGGTCTTTGACATGGAAATATGCCTCCTGAAGAGAATGGAAGGGGAGGAATCCTGCTGGTACAGGAGTTGAGGAAGGTGAGACCAAAAAACAAATGCCACATACCTCCTGAAAAACAAACAGTAAGGATGAAAGAATCAACTGTTGTGCTCATCAGCACCCCCTCAAAGGAGAGAGGAGGTGACAGGGCATGTGCTCTGCACCAAGTCCTTCAGAAAAGAGATTTGAGGCTACACTCTCAAATGACAGTCTCTCATACACAATTAGCACAGTGTAAAGCTTAGGTAAGTTGGATGTCTTACTTTTCACATTCAGCATGTGAATAAAAGGGGCCCTGAGAGGGGAAAAATAGACTTCTGTTATTTTATCAATGGTTAATCAGTGAAATTCTAGAGAGAGTTTCCCACACTTCGTTCCACCCCAGTTAGGATTTTCTTGCTTTGACCAGCACCTTGTCTCTCTCGTTCAAATTACACTGTGCCCTGCTGTTTCTTTGCTTCTTCAGAAGGCACCCAAATGTCAGTTGATGAACAAACACAGTCACCAGCCTGAGGTTTCCTCATCTCCTCTTGTGTAACTGTTAACTGCTACTTTTGTTGTCAGTTTTAAAGTCAGCTTTATAAAGAGAAAGCTATCAGGGCAAGTGCACAGGTCACTGGTCATAGAAAGGCAAGGAGAGGGAGAGCTTGGAACCTGACCCAACACGGTGGCACTATTGATTGAAAGTGTGTAGGATAGAACAGGATACATACTGAGGACAGATTCTTCCAGCACCCCCACCCTCCACCCAACACTTTCAGGAAAGGGGATATTTCGCCAAGTGTTGGGAGTTCAGCCCATCTTTCTTTTCTTGCCAAAGGGATGTTGGCAGGAAGCTGGGGGAGGAGTGGTTTCTGCAGGAAGCTGATTGACACATGGAAATGTGGGGAGGAAGCCTCCTCAACCTCTTCTTTTCTGCACTGGTTCCCTCACCCACACGCCAGGATCCTTGTTAGGAAAGGAGGAGGCTGCTACTCCATGCTTTCTGTGCAAAAGAAGAGGATACAATAGAAAGAAAAAGGGAACAGGCACTGCATTATTTCCCAGAGATCTCTGTGGAAGCTGCATCACTTAGCTGCTGTCATGGGTTGATATACTTCTTATTATGAAAATTAAAAATGACTTTCATTGATAGAAAAATGATAAATGCACACACACCCACACACTCACACACACACACACCCACACACACACACACACACACACGGAGCAAACCTCACATTCTCTTCCCATCAGAGATGGCCCTGATGAGACTTGGGTAAGCCTCCCTGTAAGCACATGTGTGATGTTTATGGTTAATTTGGTTTGGCTCACAAGGAAAACTCTTACTGTACATGATGTTTACTATATGCTTTTTGTACTTAACAGCATTTCTTGAACAAATTTTCATGCCAGGAAATATTCATCGATATTTACTTTTAAAAGACTGCATGTGAGTTCATCTCTTTTTGATGCTGGATAACTTCTCCTCAGCAGGGTTGAGACAATGGCATCAAAGGCATGTCTTAAACACCATCATTGCTTTTGCCTCTGCTGTTGACTTACCAGAGTCAAAAGTCTATGAAGGGTGAGAACTAAGGCAGGTCTCTGCTCTTTCAGCCAGCCTAGTGTCTACTGCTGAAGAGAGGACCCTGAAGCAGGAAGGTCCAGGGTGCACCGAGAAAGAGGTAGCAAGCTATGAGCCACAAGAACACCCACACTCTGTTCTTCCCTTAACTGTGCTTTGGCTATTCACAGGTGGTCTTTGCCATTCCATTGACACTTACCTATGGTTTCTTTCCTAGGTCCTAGATTATTACTAAAGCCCAAAGTAGATCAAGGTAAATATTCTACAGTTAGCTGTTGACTACCGATGTCTGTTATCATAACCTTCACATTTTCAATGTGGTCTAGACCATAGATAAGTCCACATGAAACTCAGACTGCACAGGAAACAGCAAAGGAGAATTGCTTACCGCCCTTTGTTTTCCTCTTTGCCTTGACCCTAATAATGAGAGCTGCCTCTTTGTTTTCTCTTGTTCAGCCTCATTCTGCCTCATACCTTTCTCCCAAGGTCTCCAGGGAGGGAACTTAAAGGAACACACAGAGCAACTAACCGGAGGAGGCCCTCCCGGTCCCCTGGCTGTTTCTGAGTGACTTTTGGAGGGGAGCTCCCTCTGTTCTGCAGTGATGGTTTAAGTAGTGAGGGTAGAGCAGAGGGAGGAAAGAAAATCCAGGCAGGGACTGGTGGAACTACGGTTCTAAATCTCAATTAATATGGCTTTTCCTGCCTCCCAAGGGTTAGGAAGGTTATATCTGCAAAATATATTTAAGTTATATTGCACAGTTATATCTGAAAAAAATATTTAAGTTACCATAGGTTAGGTGCTATGTAAGAAAGTAAAAACAAACAAGAAGTATACATATTTATTAGATAGATACATAGATAGATGACTGATAGATATAGAGAGATGATAGATACTATAGATAAAACTCAAGTTACAACTAAGTCTGACTACATAGCTCAAATAGCCTTCTTAAATTTTCAAGCTCCTTTTTAAAACTAATATATGTTGGGGCAACCTAATATATATCATCTCAAAGTCTGAGATACATTCCAGCAGAAATCACAAGAAATAAACAAAATGTAGTAAGTACTATGGTAACAACTTGATTTCTTGCTTTGCTTACTAAATGACAGAATTATGTTTAATAGGCAAATAGCTGAAAATAACTCCATAATAAATAATGACATAATTATATAGTAGAATAACTTTCAAACCCACTCCTTATTGTCTCTTGTTATCACTGCCTTACTAATATATTCTGGAGTGCTTACCGTTTGTTAGATGCAGATCTAATTTCTTTATACCTGTTAACTAATTTAATCCTTACAATTCTGTGAAATAACTCCCATTCCAATCCTTGATTTACAGAGGAGGAAGCTGAACCATGGAAAAATTAAGTAACTTCTCCCAAGGTTATGGCTCATCCGTGGCAAGTCAAGGTGTCTATTAATGCACAAGGTCATCCAGCTTCTATGGCTTCACTCGTAACCACTATGCTTAACCCTAAGATCTGGCTCTTTCTTTTCTCTCCTCTTTTCTGATTGGTCTCCCAGGCTGCTAACTTCCCACTCCATCATTATTCAGCTGCCAATGCAATTATTTACATGCATAATAATTCACATTATCACCCCTATTGAAGTCCATCAATGATCGCCTTTTGCCTACAGAACAAAGTCCAATCTGCTTAATGTGGATCCCAGCGTGTCACATACTCTCATCTGAAATGTCCATTCAACTCCATTGTTCTTCCATCACTTTCTTTACAAATGTCTTCTGCATTTTCTTATCTCTATGCTTTTACATAACATTCCCTTCCTCAGTCTTTCTCACTATTGAGAACCAAGATGAAATTCCAGGCTTCATGAAGCCTCTCTTAACCTCATAACAAGAAATCATTTCTCACTCCTCTGAGCTCCCCCTGTACTTTGTGCTTCTTTTCTGACCCTTACTCCTTTTTTGGCCACCTCCAGTATGGCTTTTTATGTGTTTCTCTAGACTATAGCTCCTAAAAATCAAAGACCATGTCTTGTGCAACTTTAAACTCAATCATTCCTTACTCTCCTTGGTGTGCAGTAGTTGTTCAATAGGTGTTTGTTGAATTGCATTGAAAATCTGTTCTATTCTGTATTTGGATGAGAATATCATGTGTTTGCAAATTGTGTCTCTGTCAGCCCACAGAGAAGGGTGGGAGGAGGTTGCTGTGGGCATGTGGAAAGGAATATTCCCAAAGGTGCATGAGACCATGACTCAAAATATAAGGCCACTGGGTTATCACTCGTGGTCTCATATTTCTGCTATATGAGCGAGGAGGGCGCCTACACTGCTGCAAGCACAGCTTTTTTCTCTAGCTCCTGTTTACTATTCCTTCCAATGGCCCCATCATGACTAGGCCTAACTGACTGCAACAGAAATGTCTCCCCGTTCCATACAGTGCACATTGGTTGCTGGAGAAAAAGCAGGTTAGTTCATGGCCTATTAGTCCCTCTTCTCCTTCTCCCTGTACAAAACCCTCTTTGCTCCCACGGTGGTACTGTCTGCAAAGGTGGCAAGCAAAACATGATTAGAAGGAAATGAATACTCAGGTAAACATTCAAATTAAAAGAAAAGACAAAGAAAAAAGAGATATAAAGCATTAAAAATATTGGGCTAGGAAATGAAGAAACAAGAATTATACAAAGTGGTTTTTAAGAAGCAAAAATAAAGGGCCGGGGGCGGTGGCTCATGCCTGTAATCCCAGCACTTTGGGAGGCCGAGGTGGGCGGATCATCTGACTTTGGGAGTTCGAGACAAGCCTGACCAACATGGAGAAACCCCGTCTCTACTAAAAATACAAAATTAGCTGGGCTTGGTGGCACATGTCTGTAATCCCATCTACTCGGGAGGCTGAGACAGGAGAATTGCTTGAACCCAGGATGCAGAGATTGTGGTGAGCTGAGATCGTGCCATTGTACTCCAGCCTGGGTAACAAGAGCAAAACTCCATCTCAAAAATAAATAAATAAATAAGAATGGGACATAGCTCAGGGAAAAAAGAAGCCCATTTATTTTTCTTAGAGTAGTACTTCCAGCCTTTGCTATAATCAAGAGCACTACATCCATCCTTACTCCCTAAATCTGGCCTTCTCAGATACAGCTGTAATAAAAACTGATATCCGTCTCCCAAAGAGGTAAAACTCTTGCCTCCAAATGACAAAGCAACCTCAATGAAGACCATGATCTAACATTTAGATAACTCCCTACTTTATATTGCTTATTCATGGTCAACTTTGCATGGACATTATCCAGACTAATGAAAAGAATGGCATTGCTTGCATTAGGTTGATAGACCTGGGTCTTACCCTTTTTTCACTCTCTCTCCACCAGTGTAACACATCCTGCCAACCATCACAAACGGTTGCTTCAAATATACACATATATGTTAGTTCAGTTGAATAACACTAATTATCACAGATAAAATGAAGGAAATCCTAACTACAGCCTTCACATGCATGCAATCATTTTGTCACAAGTTCAAAATGCCAACAACCCTTTTTAGCAATTCTTTTTCATCACTTCAGTATTAGCTCAGGGAGTTTCTGGGTCCTTGTTCCAGATCCTGCAAACTAGTACATTCCATTTGGAGGCTTTTATCTCACTTTTTTCCTCCTTGATTTCAACCACCATATGTTCCCTCTAGATCATCAACTTGATTAATCTTTCCTGAGCCCTGTTCCTAACAAACTGGTTTTCTCTGTACTCCTTCTTCTAGCCTTTGATACTAGGTACTTCTTAAAATATGTTCTTCTATGATGAATTAGCAAGTTCTAGTTCAAATCTAACCAAATGGGCTGGGCGCAGTGGCTCACACCTGTAATCACAGCACTTTGGGAGGCCGAGGCGGGCGGATCATGAGTTCAGGAGATCGAGACCATCCTGGCTAACACAGTGAAACCCTGTCTCTACTAAAAATACAAAAAAATTAGCCAGGCGTGGTGGCAGGCACCTGTAGTCCCAACTACTCGGGAGGCTGAGGCAGAAGAATGGCGTGAACCCAGGAGGCAGAGCTTGCAGTGAGCCAAGATGGCACCACTGCACTCCAGCCTGGGTGACAGAGCAAGACTCTGTCTCAAAAACAAAAGAAAAAAAAAAAAGAAATCTAACCAAATGAAATTCAGTTTTAAAAAATTAAAAATCTGGCCGAGTGCGGTGGCTCACACCTATAATCCCAGCACTTTGGGAGGCCGAGGCGGGTAGATCACTTGAGGTCAGGAATTCCAGATCAGCCTGGCCAACATGGTGAAACCCCATCTCTACTAAAAATACAAAAATTAGCTGAGTGTGGTGGCACACGCCTGTAATCCCAGCTGCTCCAGAGGCTGAGGCAGGAGAATGTCTTGAACCTGGAAGGCGGAGATTGCACAATCATGCCACTGCACTCCAGCCTGAGCAACAGAGTGAGGCTCCATCTCAAAAAAACAACAATAACAACAACAACAAAATATATATATATATGATCTTGTAACTAGAAAGAAAAAATACAAACAATTGTACAAATACAAGATAGGGAAAATACCCTGTAGTTATACAAGTAAGGAATATTTCAGTGTTCTACTTGTTTGCATGTACATTGACAGGATACATTATAATGAGACTGAATTTTAAAATGTGTTCTTAGGCTCTACACACGAGAGGATCAAGAATAGATTATAAACCGGGCGCGGTGGCTCACGCTTGTAATCCCCAGCACTTTGGGAGGCCGAGGCAGGCGGATCACGAGGTCAGGAGATCGAGACCATACTGGCTAACACGGTGAAACCCCGTCTCTACTAAAAATACAAAAAATTAGCCGGGCGTGGTAGCGGGCGCCTGTAGTCCCAGCTACTCGGGAGGCTGAGGCAGGAGAATGGCGTGAACCCGGGAGGCGAAGCTTGCAGTGAGCCGAGATCGCGCCACTGCACTCCAGCCTGGGCGACAGAGCGAGACTCCGTCTCAAAAAAAAAAAAAAAAAAAAAAAAAAATTAGCCAGGTGTGGTGGCGGGCGCCTGTAGTCCCAGGTACTCGGGAGGCTGAGGCAGGAGAATGGTGTGAACCCGGGAGGCGGAGCTTGCAGTGAGCTGAAATCTCCCCACTGCACTCCAGCCTGGGCAACAGAGCAAGACTTGTCTTAAAAAAAACAAAAAAAAGAATAGATTATAATGAATAAAGTTCTGCTTTCCTCTGTATTTCTCAGAATTTACCCAGAATTCTGGTAGGTGTAGGAAACACATTTGAAAGACAAACTAGAAAATTTCCAGAGCAGAGTAGTAATGAATAAGAAAAAAACTGATAAACTTCTGTCCTGACTAAGATGATAAGGAATAGAGTTACCATCCCTACCTAAAATCAAACAAACAAACAAACAAACAAAAACCTAAATAAAATATATGAAACAACAACTTTCTCTTTTTTTTTTTTTTTTTTTTTGAGACGGAGTCTCCGTCTGTTGCCCAGGCTGGCGTGCAGTGGCGCAGTCTCGGCTCACTGCAAGCTCCGCCTCCCTGGTTCACGCCATTCTCCTGCCTCAGCCTCTCCGAGTAGCTGGGACTACAGGCTCCCGCCACCACGCCCGGCTAATTTTTTGTATTTTTAATAGAGACAGGGTTTCACCATGGTCTCGATCTCCTGACCTCGTGATCCGCCCGCCTCGGCCTCCCAGAGTGCTGGGATTACAAGCGTGAGCCACTGTGCCCGGCAGAAACAACAACTTTCAAGACATGAGACATCAGGCAAGAAAGACGTAATTCCTGCTAGACGGAAGACAGGTCGGATTCTCTGATTACTCTGGGTTACCGTTTTGAGGGAGATGCTAAGTTGTGATTCAGGGAGGATAAAGCCAGCTGGAACGTGTGGATTCCCTGAGTTGAGGTAACAGAACTGAGAATCCAGTGAGACCAAGGCAGACAGAGTTCACAGAACAAAGTACTGGAGGGGAAAGTAATGAACAGAGAAGGCACTATGGAGGTCTCCAGAGGATCTCCTTCAAATACTCAGCAGAGTCTGATCAGCGTATACATGTGATGAGACTGCTTGATGTTGGAAAAAGAACCACCTAAAAGGATTAGAGAAAACAGAACCTAGTGCTCACACTGGGCTGGGAATAGTGCCTGTTCCCACAAGCCAGACTACAAAACCTTATAATTCACTGGGCATGGGTAAATTCAGAGGGTCTTGACTCAGTAGTAAGGAATAATTAGCCCAAGAGAAAACACTGCGCTAGTTATGACTAACATCTTAAAAGAAAGTCTAGAAAAATGCTGTCTGTTTTTAAGTTACTTAACTGCATCCCAGAAGAAAGCGCCAGAATATTTTTAGGAACACAAAAATATCTAGCACCCAACAAGTAAAATTCACAATGTCAAAGACTAGCAAAGATTATCAAAGATTAACAGGCATAAAATAAAGGAAAATAGGAAAAAAAATGAAAGGATTAATTGAAACAGGCCCAGAACTGAGAGAAATTGGAAATATCAAAATAGAACATTAAAACAGTCATTATAACTGCATTTAATAGACTTTTTAAAATTATGTGGAGGCATAATCAAACTTTTTGAGAGGGGAACATTATAATGTCTTTGATAAAAATACAATACATGAGATTAATGACAAATTACATATTATATAAAGAAAAGATTGGCAAACTTGTAGAAATAGCAATAGGCACTGTAAGAGAAGGCACAGAGGCTGGGCACAGTGGCTCATGTCTTAATCCCAGCACTTTGGGAGGCCGAGGCGGGTGGATCACCGGAGGTCAGAAGTTTAAGACCAGCCTGACCAACATAGTGAAACCCCATCTCTACTAAAAATACAAAATTAGCCAGGCTTGGTGGCACGTGCCTGTAATCTCAGCTACTCGGGAGGCTGAGGCGAGAGAATCGCATGAACCCAGGAAGCAGAGGTTGCAGTGAGTCAAGATCGTGCCATTGCACTCCAGCCTGAGCAACAAGAGCAAAAAACTCCATCTCAAAAAAAAAAAAAAAAGGCCAGGTGCAGTGGCTCATGCCTGTAATCCCAACATTTTGGGAGGCCAAGGCTGGCAGATCACAAGGTCAGGAGATCAAAACCATCCTGGCTAACACGGTGAAGTCCCATCTCTACTAAAAATACAAAAAATTGGCCAGCCGTGGTGGTGGGTGCCTGTATTCCCAGCTACTCAGGAGGCTGAGGCAGGAGAATGGTGTGAACCTGGGAGGCGGAGCTTGCAGAGATCGCGCCACTGCCCTCCAGCCTGGGTGACAGAGCAAGACTCTGTCTCAAAAAAAAAAAAAAAAAAAAAAGAAGGCACAGAGAGAAAAACAAAAGGAGCATCGGTGAGCTGTGCAGCAATTTCAGGTAACCTAGCTTACATGTAATTGAAGTCCTCGAATCAGAGAGTAAAAAAAAAAAATTGAAGAAATTAAAACTGAAAATATTTCAAACTTGATAAGAGCAATAAACACACAGATTCCAAACACATACAAAAATCTTCAACAAAATAGTAGGTAACCAAATCCATCAGCATATCAAAAAGATAATCCGCCATGATCAAGGGGGTTTTATACCAGGGATGCAGGGATGGTTTAACATATAGAAGTCAGTAAATGTGATATACCACATAAACAGAATTAAAAACAAAAATCACATGATTATCTCAATAGATGCAGAAAAAGCATTTGATAAAATCCAGCAACCTTTGTGATCAAAACCCTCAGCAAAATTGGCATAGAAGGGATATACCTTAAGGTAATAAAAGTCACCTACAACAAACCCAGAGCCATCATTACACTGAAGGGGGAAACGATGAAAGCATTTCTCCTGAGAAATGGAACAAGACAAGGATGCCCACTTTCACCACTTCTACTCAACATAGTACTAGAAGTCCTACCCAGAGCAATCAGACAAAAGAAAGAAATAAAGGACATCCAAATCAGTAAAGAGGAAGTCAAACTGTTGCTGTTTGCTGATGATATGATCATATACCTAGAAAACCCTAAAGACAGGAGGCTGAGGCAGGACAATCACTTGAACCCAGGAGGCGGAGGTCGCAGTGAGCCGAGATCGCGCCACTGCACTCCAGCCTGGAGACAGAGCAAGACTCCATCAAAAGAAAGAAAAAGAAAGAAAGAGAGAGAGAAAGAGAGAAAGAGAAAGGAAAGGAAGGGAAAGGGAAATGGAAAGGGAAAGGGAAAGGGAAAGGAAAGGCAACTCTAAAGACTCATCCAAAAAACTCCTAGAACTGGTAAGCGAATTCAGCAAAGTTTCAGAATACAAAATTAATGTACAAATCAGTAGCTCTGCTATACACCAACAGCAACCAAGCTGAGAATCAAATCAAGAACTCAATCCCTTTCACAATAGCTGCAAAAAATAAAATCGAATACTTAGGAAAATACCTAACCAAGGAGGTGAAAGATCTCTACAAGGAAAACTACAAAACACTGCTGAAAGAAATCATAGGCACAAACAAATGGAAATACATCCCATGCTCTTGGACAGGTAGAATCAATATTGTGAAAATGACCATACTGCCAAAAACAATCTACAAATTCAATACAATTCCCTTCAAAATACCATTGTCATTCTTCACAGAAATAGAAAAAAAATCCTAAAATTCATATGTAACCAAAAAAGAGCCCATATAGCCAAAGCAAGACTAAACAAAAAGAACAAATCTGGAGGCATCACATTACCCGATTTCAAACTATTATAAGGCCATAATCACCAAAACAGCGTGGTACTGTTATAAAAATAGGCACACAGATCAATGGAACAGAATAGAGAACCCAGAAATAAACATTTACGGCTAACTGAGCTTCAACAAGGCAAACAAAAACATAAAGTGGGGAAAGGTCACCCTATTCAACAAATGGTGCTGGGATAATTGGCTAGCCATATGTAGAAGAATGAAACCGGATCCTCATCTCTTACCTTATACAAAAATCAACTCAGGATGGATCAAAGACTTAAATCTAGGACCTGAAACCATAAAGATTCTAAAAGATAACATCGGAAAACCCTCCTAGACGTTGGCTTAGGTAAAGACTTCATGACCAACAACCCAAAAGGAAATGCAACAAAAACAAAGATAAATAGGTGGGACTTAATTAAACTAAAAAGCTTCTGCACAGCAAAAGAAATAATCAGCAGAGTTAACAGACAACCCACAGAGTGGGAGAAAATCTTCACAATCTATACATCTGACAAAAGACTAATATCCAGAATCTACAAAGAACTCAAAGAAATCAGCAAGAAGAAAAAACAGACAATCCCATCAAAAAGTGGGCTGACATAAACAGACAATTCTCAAAAGAAGATATACAAATGGTCAACAAGTATTAACATATGGAAAAATGCTCAACATCACTAATTATCAGGGAAATGCAAATCAAAACCACAATGCAATACCACCTCACTCCCTTAAGAATGACCATAATCAAAAAATCAAAAAATAATAGATGTTGGCATGGACGTGGTGAAAAGGAAACAGTTTTACACTGTTGGTGGGAACATAAACTAGTACAACCACTATGGAAAACAGTGTGGAGATTCCTTAAAGAACTAAAAGTAGATCTACCATTTGATCCAGTAATCCCACTACTATATGTCTACCCAGAGGAAAAGAAGTCATTATACAAAAAAGATACTTGCTCACGCATGTTTATAGCAGCACAATTTGCAATTGCAAAAAATGTGGAACCAGCCCAAATGCCCATCAATGAGTATTTAAAGAAAATGTGATATGTATAGAGATAGAGATAGAAATATACCATGGTATACTACTCAGCCATAAAAAGGAACGAAATAATGGCATTCACAGCAACTTGGATGGAATTGGAGACTATTATTCTAAGTGAAGTAACTCGGGAATGGAAAACCAAACAGCTTATGTTCTCACTCACATGTGGGTGCTAAGCTATGAGGACCCAAAGGCATAAGAATGATACATTGGACTTTAAGGTCTCGGGGGAAAAAATGAGGGGTGGCAAGGGATAAAAGACTATACATTGGGTACTGTGTACACTGCTTGGGTGATGGGTGCACCAATATTTCAGACATCATCACTAAAGAATTTATTCATGTAACCAAACACCACCCGTTCCCTCAAAACCTATTAAAAAATAAAAAATAAAATAAATATAAATAAATAAAACATAGGAAACCAAACCTAACACAACTGTAAAAAGAAATGCACAAATCCACAACTATAGTTGGAGATTAAAATTCACCTCTCTCAATATTTGATAGAACAAGTAGACAGAAAATTATCTAAAACATGGAATACTTGAACAATACGATCAACTAAGTTGACCTAATTGACATTTATAGAAGAATCCACCCAACAACAGTAGAATACACATTCTTCTCATGTGCATGTGAAATATTCATGTGTGTGTGTGAAACATAGACCATATTCTGGGACATAAAACCAGTCTAAATAAATTTAAAAGAATTTAGGTCATACAAAGTCTATTCTGTGACTACAGAGGAATAAAATTTTTAAAATGAATAACATAGAAATCTCTAGAAACCAAACAACACACATCTATATAACCCAAATATTAAAGAATTCAAAAGGTAAATTGGCTCTGGTTGGAGTCACAGGGATGCTAAGACCACTGCCTGGGCCTTCGCTGACCATGCTGTCCCAGGTGGCACATTCTGCCACCACCATGGTGGCCCCCTCTCTGAAGAATACAGCCTTCATAGGTCCAGGGATATTGCAGGCAACAAAGACCTTTCACACAGGGCAGCCACACCTTGCCCTTCTACCACCTCTTCCTGAATATGGAGGGAAAGTTCATTTGGGGCTGATCCCTGAGGAATTCTTCCAGTTTCTTTATCCTAAAACTGGTGTAACAGGACCCTATGTGCTCAGAACTGGGCTTATCTTGTATGGTTTATCCAAAGAAATATATATGATTACCCCAGAGACCTTCTCTACCACATCGATAGTATGGTTACTTGTCTAAATAATTTTAAAATATCGCGCCTCTATTGGAGATTTTGCTGAAAAATTCAATGAGCAAAAAATTGCCCAACTAGAAGAGGTGAAGCAGGCTTCTATCAGACAAATCCAGGATGCAACTGATTTGGAGAAGTCACAGCAGGCACTCGTTCAGAAGCACCATTACCTTTTTGATGTGCAGAAAAACAACATTGCTATGGCTTTGGAGGTTACTGGGAACGACTGCATAGACTATATAAGGAAGTAAAGAATCACCTGGACTATCATATAACTGTGCAGAACATGATGCTTCGAAAGAAACAAGAACACATGATAAATTGGGTGGAGAAGCACGTGGTGCAGAGCATCTCTGCACAGCAGGAAAAGGAGACAATTGCCAAGTGCATTGCCAACCTAAAGCTGCTGGCAAAGAAGGCTCAAGCACAGCCAGTTATGTAAATGCATCTATCCCAATTGAGACAACTAGAAACAGTTGATTGACTAAATGGAAACCAGTCTATGTGACAAAATCTTTCTGTATTGTAGTATTTTTGTATCCTGTATTCTGTATTTTTAGGAGACGTAAACTATAACTTCAGTAGAAGTTTCCTCTCCTAAAAATGAAAAGTTTGTTTCATATAGTGAGAGAACTAAATCTATTGGCCAGTCAGATGGCTCTCATCCTTCTTACTCTGCATTTCAGTTGTTCCGTGATCACTTTTGAATAAGCGTTTGCCTTTATTAAAACTTGCTGCCTGACTCAAGATTACCAAGTTATAATTTAAACTTGTAATTAATTATACCATCTTGCAATATAGTGATAATTGAATGAAAAAATGGCAAATTGAATTGGAAAGTATTTTAAACTGAATGAAAATGAGACGGCAACATACCTAAATTCGTAGAATACCACAAAAATCATTTTAAATGGGGAGACTTACAGCACTACATGACTGTATTAGAAAATAAGGTCTCAAATCAATGAACTCAGCTTCAACTATGAGAAAAGAGAACAGGGCTTGGCAAACTACAGCCCTTCGATCAAACCAAGATCACTGCTCATTTTTAGAGATAAAATTTTATTGGCACAGTCTTGCACATTCTTTTACATCCTAGAGGGGCATACACACTTCAGTGGCAGAGTTGAGTGGTTGTACAAAGACTGTATGGCTCACAAAGCTAAAATATTGCCATGTCATCCTCTGCATAAGAAGTTTACTCACCCCTGAACTGGAAAAAGAAGTGCAAATTAAACCCAAAAACTATGGAAGAAACTAAATAAGGATTACAACAGAGTTCAGTGTAATTTAGAAAATACAGAATGAATACAGAAAAGCTTTGGTTCATTGAGAAAAATATATGAAAGTGATACTAATCAGAAAAACAGAAATTATCAATATGAGAAATGATAGAGACCTCCCTACAGAAACTACATATAATAAAAGAAAAATATGGGCCAGGTGCAGTGGCTCATGCCTGTAATCCCAGCACTTTGGGAGGCCGAAGCAGGCGGATCACGAGGTCAAGAGATCGAGACCATCCTGGCCAACATGGTGAAACTCTACTAAAAATACAAAAATTAGCTGGGCATGCTGGTGTACACCTGTAGTCCCAGCTACTCGGGAGGTTGAGGCAGGAGAATAGCTTGAACCTGGGAGGCAGAAGTTGCAGTGAGCCAAGATCATGCCATTGCACTCCAGCCTGGGCAACAGAGCGAGACTTCGTCTCAAAAAAACAAGCAAACAAACAAACAAATAATAAATGGAAAATATGAAAATAATATGAACTTCCTGCTAATAAATTCAACAACTTAGATGGAATAAACAAATTTCTCCAAAGACATAAATGACCAAAACTCACTGAACTAAGTAATCTGAACAATTCTATATTTATTAAAGAAAATCAATGTGTAACTAAAAAATCTTCTCACAAAGAAAATCCCATGCCAACATGTCTTTCCAAAATTTAAGGAAGAAATAATATGTATTGTTACATGAACTCTTCCAAAAAAATTGAAGAGTTTGAATTCTCCCCATCTCAATGTATAAAGTTACCATTACCTTGATACCAAAACCAGGCAAAGACATTAACACAAGAAAATCCTATACCAATATCCCTCATGAATAAAAATGCAATTTTTTTAATTTGACAAATCAAATCCAACAATACATAAAAATGATAATACATCATGAAAGAGTGGGATTTATCTCATGAAAACAGTGTTGGTAAACAATTTTGGCTTAGCATTTGAAAATCAATCAACTTAATTTATCTTATTAATACACTAAAAAATAAAATCCATGTGATTATCACAGTAGAAGCATAAAAAGCATTTGACAAAATCCAACATAAATTTCTGATAAAAACTCTCAGCAAAATAGGAATATAAGAAAACTTTATCAACTTCATAAAAGACATGATGAAAAACTACAGCTAACATGGTACTTAATAATGAAAGATTGGTTATTTTCCCCTTAAGACCAGAAAAAATGCAAAGATATCTGAACTTATATCTAGTTAACATTGTAGTGAAGGTTCCAGCTAGTGAAATAGGGAGAGAAAAAGGAATAAAAGGTATCCAGATTTGAATAGAAGAAGTAAAACTCTATTGTGAAACAACATTGTGCAAAAATAACCCAGGAAACCTACAAAAAACCCTGCTAGACCTAATAGTGAATTTCTCAAGTATCTTTAGTTTGTTCAGCATGCTGTAACAAAATACCATAAACTAGGTAGCTTATAAACAATAGAAATTTATTTCTCACAGATCTGGATGTTGGGAAGTCCAAGATCAAGGAACCAACAGATTCTTACAGAAATATATGTAACCAAGCTAAATCCATGATCTCTGTTGTCCAGTGTGAGATTGGTGCAGTAATCAGGGTACAGTCTAGCTAACAAAAAGTAACATAAGAATAGTTCAATTTCCTCCCTTGAGTTTTCTGAATGCCATGAATTGTATAGTCTCCAGCGAGGCTTCTCAAAATTTCCATTTTCCTTCCAACACTTTTGTCATACTATGTTGGTTTTGGGCCACATTTTACGGAAATGTCTTCCCCTGGCCCATCTGCTTGTTATCCTTTTTCTTGTCATTCCTGATTCTGCATCACAAAAGGCTAAGCAAATAGTCTGGCAACAGCAGATCTGTCCATGGGAGTCAAAGAAAGGGGTAAGTCTGAGTGGGCAACAGTAGAATTCTTTGACCAATTCAAGGATGAGGAAAACCTGGGAACATTCATGCATTGAAAGGAAGAACACTGATGTGCTTAAAAGCACAGGCTCTAGAGCTAGAATTCTAGGATCCTGTGTCAGGCTCCGTTATTTACCAGCTGGGCGACATTGATAAGTTTATCTAACCTTTCCGAGCTTCATTTGTCTTATCTGTAAAATGGAGATAATAATCATAACTTCCTAAGATGACTCTTTGAGCATTAAACGATTTAATACATGTGAGGTACTTAGAATTACACGTGGCACATATGAGGCTCTCTAAGCTAGTACTTAATTGCTATTCATATGTATAGTAATAACTTCGGCACTTTCAAACATAGGTACTTTTTGAGACCCAAAATGGAATGGGCAGTCTCAAGAGATAGTGATCTCCCTATTTCTAGAAGTGACCAAACTGATATTAGAGGAATGCTCCATCAAGAAAGTACACATCACATTCATTAATTTGATACTGATTGGACCAGGACTGCATAGAGTCCCTTTCATATATAAGGGTCTATATTTCTGTGCATCTTTTCTGCCTTGGTTATTTTCTTCCTGTTTCCACCATTCATCCACCCCAGATCAGAGAATTTGAATTCTCTTAATCCTAGGCATTTTTTTTTTCTTTCGCTTGAAGGTGTTTTGTAAAAAAAAGCTTTCTTTCAGATAACAAAACTGACAATTCACAAAATAGGGAAATAAAAATATGTTAACCTCACAGGAAATCAAATATTTGATAATACAAAGAATGTCCCTGCCTTGTGTACACACAAGATTGTAAGCACTGAGAATTTTGTAAAAAAATATATAATGTTTTTAGCCAACTGACACCCACACAAAACAAGTCTTTCTGCAAGATGGATAAAACAGAAAAACGAATTCGAAGTTAATATTTTCTAAGTAGAGAATTTACAGGTATTCCACTATAAAATATGTTTCTCTGTTTTCTTCTTTTTCTACTTCTTTTGCATTCAGGGAAATTCTAATAAACAGTTCAGCTTTTTATCCTGGTGGTCAAAGGAAAATGTATTTTCTAATCAAAGGAAAATCAATGACAATTATCAGAGTTTTTTCCCACATCTAACCTTATCTCCTTTACTCTACGTCCCCAAATGGTGGGGTATTCTTTCAGTTAAAGGCCACCACCACCTTCTTTGAGAACTTGCCCCCCTCTTCCTATACCTTTAACCTTCCTCTCCTTTCTGACTTTCCCACTTCAACCTGCAAATATTCCCACATGCTTCACATTCACTACAAACCCTCCTTTGACCTTGGATCCACCTCCTGCTACCAACCAGTCTATCACTTCTGCATCTCTATTCATACAGAATATCTCTCTCCTCTTCCCTCTCACTCTGCAGACATTTACTCCTCCTTTTAGAATCATTCCATAGTTGTAACACCATCCATCTCCCACCCCCCAATAAGAGTAGTAAACATCCCTCATTGCCTCACAGAATTACCCCAAATACCCTATTGGTGTTATCAGTTTACCTCAACAGCCTTGAAAGTAGACCTAGGAGGCTTGGCCGACAAAGAAAGAGATATACATTGATTCCTTAGGGAATAAATGAATGCACCAGTTCTAGACAAACACATATGAAAAAGAACTAATATGATTATGTGTTATAACCTTGATAGGTACATTTTGTTGTTGAAACTTAAAATTTTTCAGATGAATAAGGCCAAGTCAGTAATCTCTTTGGCCCTGAATTCTGTGTAGGCAAAAATGTGTAAACTCCCACATGGAAATACTAGCCATAGTCTCGGTGCCCTCCAATCAGTAATACAATTGATAACACATATTTTTCCCTGGGCCATTTGGTCTAATCTTTCTATGATCTACATAACTTCTCTTGACTTTTTCATTCTAGAGTCTATACTCTAGATATTCCATACACAGACCAGCACACTGCCATGGGCATCCCTGGACTGTCACTTAGTCTTTCTATCTATGCGTACTGTTTTACCCACTGTCACAAAACTTCAGACACAGAACAGTCTGGAGAGGTAAGCTCTGTTTATCCAAGATCACATATTTTGTTGATTTTTTTTTTAGTTGGGGATTTTTTGAAAGTTTAAAATTTTTTATTTTGTATATCTTATTTATTTATTTGTTTATTTATTTGGAGTGCAGTGGCGCCATCTCAGCTCACTGCAACCTCTGCCTCCTGAGTTCAAGCAATTCCCCTGCCTTAGCCTCTTGAGTAGCTGGTGCACACCACCATGCCCAGCTAATTTTTTTTTATTTTAGTAGAGACGGGGTTTCACTATATTGGCCAGGATGGTTTTGATCTCCTGACCTCGTTATCCACCTGCCTTGGCCTCCCAAAGTGCTGGGAGTACAGGCGTAAGCCACTGTGCCCGGCCTGTATATCTTATTTTTTTAAGCCACCCTTCATTGAGACTTATTGTGGGATAGAACTAGAACATGAGCTTGGCTTACATTTTCTCATTCAGACTTTACCACAATCCTATCAAGTTCACACTACGATTATAAATTTCATCCCCATTTTACAATTGAGAAAACTGAGGTATAAGGAAATTAAGAAAGTTAATCTAAACCACATAGCTGGTAAGGTCTTGAGTCAGAACAGCTGTTTCCAAAGCAGACACTCTTAACCAATACTCTACAATGTCTCATGGAAAATCCGAGAATAGATATTCAGAGGAAAAACTGATGATAGATACTCATGTGTATTTAAAAAGAGAATGAGGCCTGGGAATATATTTCCTTATTATTTATAGAGTGTGTAAGTTTTTAAAAATGTAGAATAATAACATAGGGAACAGAAGAAAAGAAAAATACCCTAAAGATTTCTAAAAGAACATTTTGACCGAAAGAGGCTTTTCTAAGCAAGTAGTTTACTCCTGGGCCATTAGTCATGGATTTAGATTTTCTTTTGAGCTATTGATTAGCAAGTGAAATGCAATTTACAGATTTTGTTAATCATTGTTCTCTTGGTGAGCAAATTTTTCAATCTGTTTCAAAAACAGTCAAGTAATAGAACTAAAAAACCCCAAGCCAAGTTGGATGGGAGAGAAGAGTACTCAAACATTTGCACTGACATCATTGTTTACCTAGTGGAGACCCTCCTAACATTCTAGGAAGAATAACTCCTTCAGGAAGGGTTTCTGTTCTCAGAAAAACATTCCACAAACCTTTATAATTAAGAAGGAAATGCAAGGCCCAAGAGACTTTTCCTTATCAGCAAAGTCATCCTAAATGTATATAAATTTATTCTCTAAAATAATCAAGAAAGAGGATATTTTAAATATAAATAAATGAAGGATTTTTTGTTTCCTATTACATGAATCCATCTCCATCCTGTCTTTGAGTTAATCATCATCAAATTGCACTAAATCAGAGATGGCAGGGGCTGCGCCTGGCTGGATACCAGTGTTTCTCAGTGTTTGGTTATACTGGAAATGTCTTTGGAATGAGCTTAATCTGAAAGATTTTTGACCAGTAATTCTCTTAGAGTTCTAAACAGCAGAGGTTTTTTTGGTGGGGAGAGTAGGGTGGGGAGATGAAGGGATCTCTGTGTGTGATACATATTTTCTTCTTAAATCAAAAATAAGATGGCATCAAGAATTTCTCTCCAATTTTCTCTGTCTCTCTCATGCGCGCGCGCACACACACACACACACACACACACACACACACACTCCCTCCTCCCATCACAACACTTCTGCTGTTGGGAAGTCTAAGAGAATTGGGAAAAGGAGGAAGGAGTGGTGAGGGGAGGGAGACATTTACTTTCTGCACTGTTTGCTTTTTTAACCATGTTTATGTGATTCTTTTGGGGTAAAATAATAACTTTTTTGAACCCTGAACAAAATGAAAAGGCAAAAAGACTCACAGCTACACAGTCAGCTGTTGTAATAAAGAAGGTAGAAGGGAAGTACAAGCAAAATATTCCAGGTTGGCAGTGTCATCTGTATTATTCTTTGGCTGAAAGGCGAAGTTTCTCCTGAGGGTTTAGGTTGTTTGCCCAACTAAGGGGTGGGGTGAAGGATAAGGAAGGCAGATTTGCGTCTATAGCTGATTGGCAGTTTCTGTGAGGAATTATCCACTCCAATAAATTTTGTTATTTCTGCAGTTTCTTTCTCAGAGTTGATGGTACTCTTTACTCTTGGGTGGGGGGTGGTGTGGGGAATGGGATGTTGTTTCTGGTGACTGCTGGGAGAAGAGAGTAGGGGGTAGCTGTTTGAGAGACTGAAAAGGTTCTGGGAGAATGGAATGTTGTTGTTCCTTCATTTTTGAAACCACTCTTCTTTTTGATCGTGTTTGTACTTTAAAATTTCACACTGTGGTCAAACTAGGCAAGGTATAATTTAACATGTCCCCTATAAACACTGGACAACTGCACTTGCCTGTATGCACACAGGCACACAATTTTTATATAGACATTTGTGGGGGAAAAAAATCACATTTTAATTAACAACCAGAATGTGAAAAGGCAAATATTTTAAATGCCACCTATTTTTTTTTTTGCTTTTCCTACAGTTTTTCTATTTAATGGAGATAACATATAAACCCAAGTGCTGTCTTTCTCTCCTTCTCAACTATAATTTAGAATCACACTGAAGAAGAAAGTTGTAAATAAGACAAAGTTAAAATTTATATTTCACATCAAGCATTCAACTGTAATGTAAAGAAAAGCAAACTTTAAGTTTACTGAAAAGGAATATTCCAGCAATTACCAAAAGATTCCACAGCTGTTAAACTAGAGAAACTATTTTTTCTTTCTTGGATTCCAACTCATCATCTCTCACAATTACCTCATAACTAATCAAAGCTTTTATGAAAACGTTAGTAGCCAAAAGAGCCACTTTGATTGCCTTCATTCCATTGACACACTATTTACAGGCGTGTTTATTGCCACTAATAACTTTCTTTTTTAATTTTAAAATTTCTTCACTTGAAATCTGCTTTAAAAACAACAATAAAATATATTCTAAAATATTCACATAGTATTTAGATAGAACATCAATTTTCTAGGGCATTTCTTTACAACATGTAAGGAAAATGTACTCAGGGAAAGGGATGCAGTTCTTGATCTTGAAGACGGCAGCATCAAGCTTTCTTCGAGCATCTTCTTCTTTGAGGACGCACTGCTTGGAAGAGCTATTATAAGAATGTATGCACCGGGCGCAGTGGCTCACGCCTGTAATCCCAGCACTTTGGGCAGCTGAGGCAGGCGGGTCACTAGGTGAAGAGATTGAGACCATCCTGGCCAACATGATGAAACCCCATCTGTACTAAAAATACAAAAATTACCTGGGCATGGTGGTGCGTGCCTGTAGTCCCAGATACTGCAGAGGCTGAGGCAGGAGAATTGCTTGATCCTGGGAGGTGGAGGTTGCAGTGAGCCAAGATCGTGCCACTATACTCTAGCCTGGTGACAGAGTGAGACTCCATCTCAAAAAAAAAAAAAAAAAAAAAAAAGAATATGTGTATGTGACTTATAGACATCTATGATAAATAGCCATGCCTAAATTAGACTGTGTCCGTCCATGCTTTCATACATTCACCAAGTATTTGACCAAGACTTTATGCTGTTTTGCTAATACAACCATGTATCAAACATAAATACTACTCTTAATTTGCACGCAATCTAATAAGAACTTTAAAGAATAGTGTTTCTTGGCTAGGCGCGGTGGTTCATGCCTGTAATCCCAGCACTTTGGGAGGCCAAGATGGGTGGATCATTTGAGGTCAGGAGTTCGAGACCAGCCTGGCCAACATGGTGAAACCCCGCCTCTACTAAAAATTCAAAAATTAGCTGGGCGTTGTGGCGGGCGCCTGTTGTCCCAGCTACCTGGGAGGCTGGGGCAGGAGAATCGCTTGAACTTGGGAGGTGGATGTTGCAGTGAGCCAAGATCACACCACTCTACTCCAGCCTGAACGACAGAGCGAGACTCTGTCTCAAAAAAAAAACAATAAACAAAAAAAACCAGAATAGTGTTTCTTGCCACTAGATCCTAGGCCTTTGCATCAGTCGGCTGTTAGCACAATGCTGCATAACAACAACAAAACCTTGACATTTTAGTGGTTTGCAAAAGTAAGCATTTATCTCTTGCTCAATATCTGTGGATAGGGTTCAGCTTACGTAGGCTTGAGTCAGCTGGACTTGGCTCCAAACTTTGAATTGGGTCCAAACGTGCTAATTCCTCTATAAACCAGTGGCTATCCAAGGCATGTTCTTTATGAAGCAAAAGGAAAGAGCACAAAAGGGAAAGTTCCACTGCACAATTCAAACATCTGCTCCTGTCACCTCTGCTGACATCTCACTGGCCAAAACAAATCACATGGCCAAGGCCAGCACCAATGGGACGGGGAAGTATACTCCATAGGAAATAATAGCCATAATAAAGACAGAAGAGAGTGAATACTTGCTGGACAAAATCCAATCTCCCCAAAATCCTCTTCTCTTTTCATATCATTCTTTCTCTAAGAGATCTCATCAAATCCAGAGATTTCCTTCCTATCTATGTATAGATAATTCGCTAATTTATATCTCCAGCTGAGAACTCTCTTCTCAGTTCTAAACCAAGTTTTAAAACCAAGAAACTACTTGATAATTGTACTGGGATATCTCAAAGATACTCCAAAGTTAATATGTCTTAAATAAAAATCATGCTAACCCCCACCATCTATCATAGACCAAAGTGGTATTCTCCTGGTATTCTCCATGTCAGTGAGTACCACATTATCTATTCAAACCAGAAATCTAAGAATCTATACTATTCCCTCTCCTTCAACCTTCAAATCCAATTGATTGCCAAGACCTATTTTACCTTCATCTTTTCTCTTCATCTTTATCAGCATCCTACTCTACCCTACCAACATCTCACACCTGATATCACTTAATATCTATTAACCAGTGTACCCACTTTCATACTGGTCCTATTTAATTGGTTTTCCATTTAGAGTATCATTTTTTTGAAAGGCAAATCTAATCATGTGACCATTCCTGCTTAACTCTCTTTAACGGTTTGGTGGTTTTTAAATATGCCCCAAATTATTTGATGTTACTTCTTTTAAAAGTGAAGCCTAGTTCTCCTCTCCTTAATAAAATGTGGAACGGAATTAGCTACTTTTTTTTTTTTTTGAGATGAAGTCTCGCTCTTGTTGCCCAGGCTGGAGTGCAATGGCATGATCTTGGCTCGCTGCAACCTCCACCTCCCAGGTTCAAGTGATTCTCCTGCCTTAGCCTCCCAAGTAGCTGGGATTACAGGCATGCGCCACCACGCCTGGCTAATTTTCGTATTTTTAGTAGAGATGGGGTTTCCACCATGTTGGCCAGGCTGGTCTCAAACTCCTGACCTCAGGCTATCTGCCCATCTCAGCCTCCCAAAGTGCTGAGATTACAGGTGTGAGCCACCACGCCCGGCCCTAGTTACTTATTTTTAACAAATAGATGTGATGGAAGTGCAATGTGACTTCTGAGGCTAAGCTTTTAAAAATATACCTTTGCCTCTCTCTCTCTCTCTTTCTCCCTCTCTCTGTCTCTGTCTCTCTCTCTCTTTCTCTGTTTCTCTCTTTCTCTCTCTCTCATTACTTACTCTCGGAGAAGACAGCTACCATGGCATGGAAATTCAAGCAGCCTTATGGAGAAGTAGCTCAAGCTTCTCACCAACAGTCAAAACTAATTTTCCAACGACGTGAGCCACCTTATAAGCAGATCCGTCGCCCTAGTCAAGACTTCAGATGACTTCAGCCCTGTAAGATATCTTGTCAGCAACTTTCTGAGAGACCTAAAGCTAGAGCTGCCTGGCTAAGCTGCTCCTGGATTCCTGACCCACAGAAACTGAGATACTAAATGTTTATAATTGTTTTAAGCCACTAAGTTTGAGGATAAATTGTTATGCAATAGTGGATAACTTCCCATTCCTCTTAGGAGAAAGAGCAAAATGCTTAACCCCCTTCTCCAGACACATCCCATAACCTTTCCCACCCACTCTCTGCCTCCCAGACATGCAGATCTTCCTTCCGTCCTTTGGACACACGATGTTCCTTTCTCCCACAGAGCTTTTGCTCATTATCTTCTGATTTTGCAATAAAGGTATTTCTTTCTATCTTCACCACATTATACCCTATATTGCCACTAAATCTTCGCAACCTTCTTACTTTTCCTGAGATATTTTTCCAGATATTAGTGAACTGGTTAAACTCATATATCATAACCTTTCTCTGCATCATGTAACTCCCCCACTCCATTTACATTAATCATGTGATAATTTGATTTCCATTTCTTCCTCTGTAGACTTCCTGAGAGTTCACTTTGCCCACCATTGAATCCCTAGTACCTGTAATAACGACTGGCTTGGAGTTGGCAGCCAACAAAAATTTGTCGAACGGATGAACGAAATGAAGGAACGTGAGAGGTACACAGGAACCACAATCATATAAGGCAAAACTTGCCATGTTTGGAGTGAGCAGAGCTGGAAGGCCGTACAAATAGGTATCAAGACAGATTGTCTAGTTTACCATTTATGTCCACAATTCCTGTTGCCTCTGTCCTTTCACCTCCCCTTCAAAAGCAGCCTTCCTCTTTCTCCCTGCTTCCCCTTAAAAGTTTCCAAATCCCTTATCTCCATTTTCCTTGCTTGTCAGTATTCACTGGCAACAAAGGGTCAAATAAAGTCATTCACATTGAGGTGCTTATTGTCGGCAGAAAGTCCAACTGTGCAGGGAAGCCCTGGAGGGAAATAGAGGTAGAGGAAATGAGCTGGTTAAGTGGGACAAAAACCCAGGACAGAAGAGAGGCCAGGGTGAGAGTGGACTAGGCTGGAGTCAAATGGAAATGAGGGGGTGGGAGGTAAAGGATAAGGGAGAGGGCAGTGGGGCTAGTTCAGACCCCCGCCCAGCAACTCTCCTAATCCAAGGAAACAAGAAACAGACACAGCTTCCAAGCCATAGGGTGCAATCCGGAGTGTCTGTTGCAAAGCTAGACTGTGAGAATGCCTGTCTGAGGTGACTGAGATAAGGAATAGGAGGCAGGGTCTGGCATTGAAAAAAAGAAGCCTGCAGGAACAGGGCAGGATAAAAGGCCTCCAAATAGTAAGTTTTAGTGGAGACTAGGCACACCTCTGGATGCCAGAAAATTAGAGGAAACAGAGAAACTCTAGATGAAGGAAGAGGGGCCCTTTTATCTAGGGCTCAATAATCTGTAGATTCACCATCTCCATGGGCCTCCTCCCCCTCTACGAGCATGGAAGGCTGTTCTCAGCACTGCATGGCCAGGGGAAGCTCTGGGGGTCTTGTCCAGATGTCCTTACTATGGTTCCACTGGGATAGCTATAGATGATCAAGTATTTACCATCAGTTAGCGGGCTGAGGCATGGGACTGGCTCAGAGGTATATACAGGTAAATGACTAAGAAACTTCTGTTTTGTTTTGTTTTGTTTTGTTTGAGACGGAGTCTCACTCTGTCGCCCAGGCTGGAGTGCAATGGTGCGATCTCAGCTCACTGCAATCTCCGCCTCCTTGGTTCAAGTGATTCTCTGCTTCAGTCTCCTGAGTAGCTGGGATTACAGGCGCCTGCCACTGCACCCGGTTAATTTTTGTATTTTTAGTAGAGATGGGGTTTCACCATGTTGGTCAGGCTGGTCTAGAACTCCCAAACTCAGGTGATCTGCCCGCTCAACCTCCCAAAGTGCTGGGATTACAGGCATGAGCCACCGCGCCTGGCCAGAAACTTCAGTTTATTGGTTGTTTTTTCACTTGAAAAATATATTTAAGTTAAATTAATAAATACTGATTATGGACTTCTGAACAAAGTAGCCAAGAAGAGCATTGCAGCATGCATTAGAAACACACGTGAGTTCATAAACACTTGCTGACACTCCTAGGGAAGTAGCTCCCTTTCTTCAGCAGCTCCAAGTGTGGTTCTGCACCAAGTCACTGAGCACTTCTTCCCAACCTGAGCCAGCTAACGAGGGCCAACATCAAACAATATTCAGTGCAAAGTTTAAGACAGATGGCAAGTATATTCAAAGAATCAAATTTTTGAGATATGCACAGTGAATTCATTCCCTGCCTTTTATTTACTAAGCTATAAAGCTTCTCAATGGCTTTAGTATACTTTATTTGTTTAGCAGAAATAACAGTGGCATCTCAATGACTAAAAGAAGTGGACCAAATGGATCTTCCAATCTTAGGGTTTTTAGCTTCCAGTCTTAGTGACTGAAAAAGATCAACAAACTGTGCCCTCAACCGATTGTTGTTGATTGGACTGTGCAAAGATAAAAATGAAAAACTCTGAATTAGTAGTTGGTTTTATAACAGCGTATCCTGTGGTGTGACCAGACATAGTCCTTTCAACCTACAGAGTAAAGGGAATATTGCCTAGTCTAGCACATCCTCTAATCTTATCACCCAGGCCTACAGATTCTAGAATAAGCCATACTCCACCCCTACCACCACCACCTCTGGCCTAATTACTCAGCTACATCCTCTGGACATGTTCTGTTGGAACTCAGGGGCCTTCTAAAGAACTGCTATAAGACCATCAGGCTTGCCTTCTAAATTCCCCTCTGGGGCTCTATTGAACTGCTGTGTGACAGAGAGGGTACTTCCCCAGCCATAAATAAGTGTTGAGTGCAACCACACTTTCTCATTCTTAATGTTGGAAAACTAGGAGGGCAGTTGCAGTTGTCAGCCTATATGTGGCTGATGACACCTAGAGTCACTAAGAATAAAATTATAAAATTAAATTCATTTTCTATAATTTTTTTTGAAGTGATGTGTTAAAACACCAACAGTCTTACCTTAGGAGAATGTAAACTCCTTAAGGATGCCTTTGCAAGCTTTTTCAACAAGTCATGGTCAACTGCAATGAATCAACACAACCGTCAATATCTATGAAATCTGTCACTTATCAGGTGTAACTAAGTATAAAATTTTCAAAATATCTGTTTTTTAAGTAAATTATGTCAAATTTGGTATATCCCATACAATGTCACTCTCATTTAGTTGCATCCTTAGATGTTTCCTCAAAAGAGAAGAAGGGTATGTCATTACAGCTAGTGGGAGGGCAACCCACCAATCAACAGCTGCCAAATATCTTCCTCTCTTCCTTTAGCCTCTCCAGGAAATCTTCCTCCTCTGAGAAATATGTGTTCAAACACCTTATTTGGGTATTTCCATGATGATATATACTTGTGACAGTGTCATCAATCACGTGCATCTCAAAAGAAAAAAAAAATAAAGTGATCTCAGACATTAAGTCTTCTGTGAATTTTAAAGAGTATCTGAAAAGAGCCGGGTGCAGTGGCTCACACCTGTAATCCCAGCACTCTGGGAGGCCGAGGTGGGCAGATCACCTGAGGTCAGGAGTTCAAGATCAGCCTGACCAACATGGTGAAACCCCATCTCTATTAAAAATACAAAATTAGCCGAGCGTGGTGGCACATGCCTGTAATCCCAGCTGCTTGGGAGGCTGAGGCAGGAGAATTGCTTGAACCCAGGAGGTAGAGGTTGCAGTGAGCCAAGATTGTGCCATTGCACTCCAGCCTGGGCAATAAGAGCGAAAACTCCATCTCAAAAAAAAAAGTATCTGAAAAGAGCGATCTGTCTTCAGCTGAGCTCCTAGAGAATTCTGAACTAATGCAGTATCACAGCAATCATTTCCCTCATGCTTTCATGGCCTGTCCCCTGCAGTGGTCATTTTACTAGATTATAACAATTTATCACATCTATCTCTTTATTAGGATACCAGCCTTGAGTCTATGGCTGTGTCTTTTTATCTTTGTGTTCAGGGTCCAGCACATTGCCTGGCACATAGTAAGAATGTGGCACTACGTGTTGAAACTGAATGAAATGGTTAGATGAATGGATGGACAGAGGGACAGGCGGATAACTCGATGGATGCTATGTAGAATAAATAGAGTGGATTAATGTCACCTAAACTACAAATGCTGCCCCGTTATTGAACTTTAGAAGTTCTGACAATGTTTTGAGAACCAAGGTTATGTTTTGACAAAACTAATTTAGTGTTTCGCAAAGCATAATTTTAGAGCCCAAATGACCACATTTGACAGGATTTTGTTAAGCAGGGCTGCATTTTATTTAGGCCAGGCCCTCAAGACTGACAAGTTATATACTTTTTGTTTGTTTGAAGGTCTTTGCAAAAATGTATGACTGCACCAGCTATGGATTCTTTCTGGTTTCTGCTGCCCTGTAACCTCCAACAGAACAACGCTGCTTCCAGGAGGTGCAGTGTCTTCATGGGTTTCCCAGAATCTTTTCGATGTCATAAGAAGGCAACAGATTTCTAAGGAGCACCTGAATTCCTTGAAAATGGCTTTGAACAATATGAGTTTCTTTTCTTTTCTTTTCTTTTTTTTTTTTTTTTTTTGAGACGGGATCTTACTCTGTCGCCCAGGCTGGAGTGCAGTGGTGCGATCTAGGCTCACTGCAAGCTCTGCCTCTCAGCTTCATGCCATTCTCCTGCCTCAACCTCCCTAGTAGCTGGGACTACAGGCAACCGCCACCACACTCGGCTAATTTTTTGTATTTTCAGTAGAGACGGGGTTTCACCGTGTTAGCCAGGATGGTCTTGATCTCCTGACCTTGTGATCCACCCGCCTCAGCCTCCCAAAGTGCTGGGATTACAGGAGTGAGCCACCGCGCCCGGCCATGAGTTTCTTAATTTAATATTTGTTTCTTTAAGGGATCAGGCTGGCAGCAATGTCATGGAGATATCGATGTGCTTCACTGAGAGGAAAATAGTTGTGCTTCTTTGAGGAAGGGGCTTAATTCATAAGGTAGTTCACTAAACTCAATGCAGATCCTCAAACCATATGACTTTGTAAATTTGTCTAAGGATCAAATCATTTGTTCCAATTTAGTGTTTCTGACTTTCTGAGAATAGTATTTCCAAGAACACCCAGGAGAATGCAAAGTATGAATAATCCCATATCTGTCTCTCCTTTTTTAAATTAAAAAAAAAAAGATAATAAAAGACAAATTAAAATATTTGAATTTTATGATTTAACTTCAGCTTACAGATTGATTCATTTGTGGCAAATTATGACTTGAAACATTTAAGAAAATCAACCCCAACTTTAAAGAAGATGGTGCCAGGAAATGGAAGGCAGAATTTAGCTTACTCTTTGGCTTTAGCATCTTTTTCCTGTGCTATCTTTATAAAGGCTGTAAGTAGCAGCTTAGAAATGCTGGAGAGGTTTTTCATTTTTTCGTTCTTTTTTTAAAAGAAGGATTTGGCCAGAAACTTAGTTATTTGCATATAGTAGGATCTTGACATCTCCTGTGCTTTATCTTGTTCACATTGTAAAATGTTGCATATGAACTCTAGGATTTAAGACACATCAGCAGTTGCTGAACACTGCATTGAAAATGTATTCATTCCAAAGTGAATTATCATTGTTGGTGACGTTCTCTTTTCTAAACCTTAAAAAGCTGAAAAATGGTAATACAAACCACATGCTTGCTTCATTCCACCACCATTCTTGGCAGGACGAGAGCTGCCTGGCAACCTTGCCGTCAGCTGGGCCTGTGGTAATCAGGGCAGTATTGCCCTGTAGTTAAATCTAATGCTTTCTTTCTGAGAACCCATCAGTGGATGTTTTTTCTTCTTATCAGACTTCTTAGTAATGTTTGAAAAGGGCTTCTGTGGATGAGGAGAATATGTCCTCATAGAGCGAGCTGCTGAAATAGTGGGGAAAAAAAAAAAGACAATAAAGTATTCTAATGACTCTGCAGAGAAAAAGCCTGCAAGAACTGCCTGCCTGTTGCTTTGGACTTCGGCCCTACAGAGGCGTGGGACCCAGCCTGACTCAGCTGGCTGGGCTCCATTTCTTTCAGAGGCCTTGGGGAGCCTCATTCCCTATGGAAACTCCAACAGCAAGGATCCAGGGTATGGAGTTCAGGGTCTGAAGACTTAAAACACAAGCATGGCCTTATGTGTTTGGCCCTTGAACATTGACAATATTTTAATTCCAACATACTTAGGAGAAAAATATGTATTTGGAGCAACACCAATGATGAAAACATCCCTTTAAGTAAGCCTAATTATAACTGAGATGACACAAATTTGTTATGATAACTGAGCCTGTAAAAACTGAAACTTCCAGGAAAGAAAGATCACTGGAGCAGCCATAGCCACAGGGACAGTCTCTAATGAGACGCAAAAGTCAATAGGAAATTGGAATTCACCAGGCAGAATTTTACTTTATAGCCAAATTACATAAACAAGGACATTATTCAATTCTTCCTATTCCCTGCTAATTAAACAAAATGATGACATATAAAGTGCCTAGTAGAGTTGCTTCACATGACTGGCACTTAAAACATATATGAGTTTGTTCCTCCCTGGTCAAGCAGATTTGCTTTGAGATCCCTCTTCCAAAGGCCCTCTTAGCCAGCTCTTAAAAACACAGCTCTGTGGGGCCTCTTTCTTCCTTCAAGCACCTTCCATTGCTTCATCCTCTTTCCTGAGACCTATAATCACTAAGAAAAAGAATCTCAAAAGGAGTTGATGAATCCAGCCAGTAGCTCCAGCTACTTAATTTGAGTAAGCCCTAAGAAAGTTAAGATCCTTCTGTGATCCTTAACTTCAGGGTCCTAGAACCCAAGACCTTAGATGAACTTTATTCTAAAACAGAGAATATTATTCCCCAAAAGGAGTAAGTAAATTATTCCTAGTTACATAACCAAAGGACAGCCTCATTCTAATCTTATGATTTAGAGAGCAGTGGCCCTCTATGTAAGTTAGTTAGTTAGTTTTACTTTCCACAATGGTTAGAGGTGCTTTGTGAATGGACAAGAAATTATATACATGCCTGGAACTAACCAGATGCACACATTGGAGGTTGTACCATAATGAAAACATACAAATATTTTTAATTTCCATTATAATGGGTAGAAAAGAATTTGGGCTGTACTTAATGTTCTCATTCCAGCCCTTCCTCTCACAGACCCTGAAATACCTAGAAGTTCAGCTACTTAGCAAACTCGCAGGATGGTCACATTCTCTGTCTTCCCCCACTGCACTTCCCTTCAACTAGCCAGTAGGAAGAGTAAACCCTGTCTCAATACTAGTTGTAATAATTCCCTGTGTTTAAGTTTATAGATTTAACTTTCAGGGACATCATTTGCCACTCAAATAATAAATAAAATTGCTTGTATTTGCATATGTTCAAGAGTTTTATACTTGTTTTCTTGCTTGTCACTTCTGTGAAACATGCTGAGATAAATATAGATATTATTGACTTTATTCTAATGATAAGGGGACTGAGATAGAAGTGTAAAAATGTCTCAAGAAAATACATTTCAAGTAGACTGTCACCAGGTGATGGAAGGCAGCTGGATGATATGTTCCTTTTTAACTGAGATTCCTACGTGGCTATAAATGGGCCAAGGTTAATGCATTTTAAAATCCATATCCCATTATTTCAGTTACAGTGAATTTTGAACAATCTTTAAAGAGCATAAATTTGAATTTATCATAAGTACCTTTCTCAGAAATCTGTATTTATTTATCACAATTTAATCTAACCTTGGTCTTCCATCTAAAGATTTAAGCTGTTTTTTTGTTGTTGTTTTGTTTTTGCTCTTGTTGCCCAAGCTGGAGTGCAATGGCACAATCTCAGCTCACTGCAACCTCCGCCGCCCAGGTTCAAGTGATTCTCCTGCCTCAGTCTCCCAAGTAGCTGTGATTAGCACCACCATGCCTGGCTAATTTTTGTTGTTGTTGTTGTTGTTGTTTTGTTGTTGTATTTTTAGTAGAAACGGGCTTTCACCACGTTAGCCAGGCTGGTCTCATACTCCTGACTTCAGGTGATCCACTCGCCTCAGCCTCCCAAAATTCTGGGATTACAGGCATGAGCCACCACGCCCAGCCTAGGCTGCTTTTTAAATCCACACTGTATCCACTGCCTTGAAGCTAGATTCCTCCTAGGCTTATCTCCAGGTGCACCTCTTTTTATCTGCATGTGGTCTCTTTTCTTTTATTAGCTTTCTAGACACAATTAAATACACAGCTTTAATTTCCTTTCTAGCTCCTGTGCATGAGCTGCAAGGGCTCTGTTCTGTCTTGAACTGTGTCTCCCAAGAAGGATGGAGCACAGATTGATCACTTTCATTTAGGGCATCCCTCTATTCTGAGAGCCCCGCCCCATTACCAACCCTCCCCCATCCAAGAATGTTTTCTTGGCATTGTTCTTTTTGGAATATGAGGGAAAGTTTTCCCTCCTTTTCTTGATTCTTTCCTTGATTAGCAGCTGCAAGTTAGGTATGATGACTTTTAACCACAAAACATCTCAGAAGCCTGTTGCTAGCGGTAACACAACATACAATTTTTAAACAACTCTGTCTGATACAAGCTGTTCCAGCCAAAGAGTTCCTCTGAACTGATTTCTAAAATAGGTGATATTCTTCCAGAACAAAACATTTTATGAGAGATTTTTTTCAATGGTGATTTAAGTCATCGCATGACCCATTTATCCTTAAAAGCTCAACTTCTTTCCTGTGGTGCAGTCAATTAAATAATGATTTCTAGCACAACCATACTGTAAGGGTCTCCTGCTACTTCCAAGAAGCTCAAAGAACTTATGTATTTGATATTGGAAATCATCACAGGATCCTTTTTAGGGGAAAGGCTATAGGTAGGTGTATCTGTATAGTTTTGGAGAGAAGCCAATAGATAGTTAAACATTCTTTTTCATGGATTTTAACTTTGTTAAGACTTGTAAATTTATCTTTCTAGAAGATTATGTGTTTACCTTACATTTTCCCTATGTTAAAATCGCATTTGTCTGAAACTCAGTTACTTCTTCCTTTAGTTCCAAACCATGTAAGTAGTTAATTATTTTCCCAAGCTCCACCTATTTACCTTCTTTATATCTTACTAGGCCCATCTCTTCTGGCCTCCTAGAGCTGAACTATACAATTATGTGACCACATGTAGCTATTTAAATTTAAATTGACCGGGTGAGGTGGCTCACGCCTGTAATCCCAACAGTTTAGGAGGTTGAGGCCAGTAGATCGCTTCAGCTCAGGAGTTCAAGACCAGTCTGGGTGACATGGTGAAATCTCATCTCTACAAAAATACAAAAATTAGCCCAGCACGGTGGCACAGGCCTATTGTCCTAGCTCCTTGGGAGGCAGAGGTGGGAGCATGGGAGGCTAAGGTGGGAGGATTGCTTAAGCCCAGGAGATGGAATTTGCAGTAAGCTGAGATCGTGCCACGGCACTCCAGCCTGGGTGACAGAGTGAGACTCTGACTCAAGAAAAAAATTTTTTTAATTACAAATAAACTTGAATTAATTAAAATTAAACTAGGCCGTGTATGGTGGCTCATGCCTGTAATCCCAGCACTCTGGGAGGCCGAGGCGGGCGGATCACAAAGTCAGTAGTTCAAGACCAGCCTGGCCAACATGGTGAAACCCCATCTCTACTGAAAATACAAAATTTAGCTGGGCATGGTGGCAGGTGCCTGTAATCCTTGCTACTGGGGCAGCTGAGCCAGGAGAATGGCTTGAACCCATGGGTGAAGGTTGCAGTGAGCCAAGATCTTGCCACCACACTCCAGCCTGGGTGACAGAGCAAGACTCTGTCTCAAAAAAAAAAAAAAAAAAAATTAAAATTTCAGATTTTCAGTTCACTGGTCACATTTTCAGCGCTATTAGCCATATGTAGCTAGTGACTAGTATGCTGGACAGTGCACACATAGGACATTACCATCATTGCACTGCTGTTGACTGTATGACCCATACATTTCCCGTATCTGTCTTTCCTATGGTATCACAGGGCCTTGAGTGTTAGTAAGAACACTAGAATACTTGTTGAATAAATAATCTATCCAGAAAGATGTCTCACTATTCACAAGATGAGAAGACAAAGAATGGGACTTTAAAAAGAATCCCTCATTGGAAGCAAAGAACAAAAAGGTGAGAGTCTAACTAAAGTAAAATGTGGGTAAGAATAATGGACATAACACAAACACAAGCTTGTGCCTGTTCAGTAACTACAGAGAGATTAACGGTTCACAATGAGTTAGATTTCCATTCCGCACTAAAGTTTATAAAATTTTTACATCTGGCTATTTTATCAAAACTAGCAATTCAAATCACCAATCTAACCAGCGCCTAGCCAGAGGTGAAACAAAAAATATATATATATATCATTGGGACTAAAGAGTTCTCCATTAATTTCTTTATTAATTCAACATTTGCTTGAGTTCAATATGCAAAAGATGAAAGAAAAGAAAGTGCGAGAGATATTATTAAGTCACCCACCACACAAAAACGTATTTATATAAATAAAGGCAGTAGATAATAAAAAAATGCATTTGGCTTACAAGTTTGTTAAAATAACGATTCCCATAGAAACAAAACACATTCTATGATATGAGGCTCAAGGGCAGCCTTCCAATGCCAATGTCAGTCACCCCATAGGTGAGTCAGAACCTTAAGACTGTGTGTACCCCTGATTCTGTGGGCAAATACATTCAAAATTCTAATTCAAGGTGCCTGGATCCTCTCTCAAGAATGCCTCACCTGTATATCCCTGACTGCCTTAACTCTGAATTAGTAATGGGGGTTTTGTGGCCTTGGGCCAAGAGAGCAAGAAGCCCAAGGGGGTAGAAACTGAGATAAGGGGAAGCAGGGAGCCAAGGTGAAAAGGTGGCAGGAGCTCTGGATGAGCAAAGGGTGAGGAGCAGATATAGGGCATCTAGGAGATGCAGAGGTTAAGGGACAATGGTGGGGAAAAGGGCAGTAATGGGAGAATTCCACTTGAATGGTGCCTGTCCAACTGCTGCCCAGCACTGTAATAAAACCCTTAGGCAACTTCTCCGTCTCCCAAGATAAAGAGAAGAGTCCTACTTTGACCTCAAGGCTCATGTGTCTGGCCCTCTCCTGCCTCGGCTGTCACCAAGCTGCCGTTGGCCTCTTCTCTGCTCCCCCGACCATCTTTCTGTCATTCCCTTGCCCCATCCCAACTCAGGCCTCCAAATCTGCTACTTAACCTGGAATTCTCTTCATTTCCTTCTTGAATGATTTTGTTTCCCTTCAACCTTCACCTTTCAGCATTTATCACTTCCTCAGGAAAATCCGCCTTGAACCCTGGATTAAGTTCAATCTCTCTTATTATCTGTACTCATAGCATGTGCTTTTACCTCCTTGCACTTATCAGAGCTGTGATTTTACATCTATTGATGTAATTGTTTGATTAAAGGCTATTTATCCCTCTAAGTCTAGACTGTAAACTCCAGGAGGCCTGTTCCAGGTCTATTTCTGCTCACCAGTGTGTTCTTAATGCCCTGTCTAGTGCATGGCACATAATAGATATTCACTAAATAGATGTGGAGTGAATAAATACATGAATGAAATATGACGGGGGGGTGGTTCTCTCAGGCTCTAGATAAGGTATTTTAGGGGTTAATCCTCCCTGAGCATGGGAGACATGATGTTTATGTGTACATCCAGCCATTCACAAATAAGGAATGACCACAAGTGAGGAAGTCCCTGTATTCATCTGAAAGTTAAAATATTTATGCAACTCAGTGTGTTTTTCCATCCTTTCTCTCCAGCTATCCTCCTTTCCTTTCATATGAGATTTATTCTAAGAGCCTTGGACTGAATTTTTTAGTGTAATTGAGAAGACAGGAGGTTCTGTCCTCCAATAGAACACATACTTCCTCTCCTTAAAACAGAAAAATACTTTAGAAAGCTAAACTGTTCACAGAACACTCGATTTAGAATTGTCAGGGAGAAAAAAAAAAGAATCAAATCAGAAAGTAGCCTCTTTGCCTTACTTTCACGGTTCCAATTAAATAACAGTAGATCAGGAAAATAAATGTGCCTAATTATAAAGTTTGTAGGACCTTGAGGGGTTTCATGACAGGGAGCACTTGTCTTCTTAAATGGGATTTACTCTAATGGGGTTAGCCTCCTAAGAATAGACTTGTATTTGTGCTTTGTGCTTCTTACCCTAAGGGGTTAACACAGAATGTGGGAACTTGTTCAGTACCCACTTCCGTGTGTCCTGCTAAAGTAAAAAAGAATTGCTTATAAGGGCAGAAAATGTCATCATTTTTGCACTTGCCCTGACCCTAGCATCTAAAAATACAAAATGCTGGAGTTTCCATAGCAGGTGACTTTTAAAAAAACGTGAAGAGGGCTAATTGTTTAAGGTCTAAATGTAGTCCATAGAAGAGAACAGAAATAGAGAGGTGTCTCTCTAAATGACCTAGCTTGTATAAAACCAGGCATACAATTCATTTAAAGGACTTTTTGTCTCGGCATTTTTCCTCTAGATTTAAAGAGAAGCATTTCTTTTTCAGCACAATGGATAATAGTGTCATCTTGGCTACCTTCTGTCTATAAGTGGGGTTAATTTTAGCCTGATCCTCATGTTGAGCACATGGAAGAGTTTATATTACTCATCAACCTTTGCTAGAAGCCTAAGATAGCCTTTAAGTCTCGGAAAAAGTAGCTCCTGTTTGAAGAGATTCTCCTGCCACATGCTGAAGTCAGAGAGGGTAGCTGTGAACCTAGAAAAGGCTGCACCTGTTATTGTATACACCATTGCTGCTAACTTTGGCCTTTCCTTTCAGTTTAAATTTTTTCCCTTTGATATATACTCTATTTCTTAGTTTAAATACACATTTCAAAACACTTCCTTCGGGTAATTGAAGTGAAATTGATCATTCTTCAAATGTAAGTTTTTAATTGACTTCCTCCTTCCTGACTAGGAAATTAACTTTCAGTCCTCCCTTATTTGATCTGTTTAACAGGGCATGTAACACCTTCCAGACAGCAAGATTTAATGAGATCCTAAATGCCGAAGACTTCACCTGATAGAGGCTCAACATTCCCACCTAACTTTTAAAGATACAACAATCAAACTTACAACTGAATTCTAGCTGCAAAACATATTGATTGACATCATTGTCCATAATATATTGAAACGGTCAGCTATTGTCTTGCTCCTCTCCGCCAGTTGCAAAGCACTCTTTAAAAATCAATTGCCTTCTCCCTGTGCAGAATTGCCAGAAGTAGATATCTGATGCCTGAGCTGTAAGCATATTTATTCATTTTCAGTCTCATTTCTGTTGTTTATAATGATTTCAATGAAAATTGAAATCTAATGTTTGAACTGAAAGGGATCAATAACATCTGAGAACAACTATGCTCAAAGATTTCACAGCCCTTTCCTTACAAGAGGTTGTTGTTTTTCATGCTGGTTGTTTGCCAAACTGCCACCTGGACAACCAGGTTGGTGACCAAACAGGTGATAATGCTCTCACAGTTTCACAGAAAACGCACCCAGAACTACCATTGCCACACTGCAGTTCCTTGACTTTAAGTGCTTTATAGATTTTTCTGTTGTTCATGTGGTTATAGTCCAACACTATGAAAAACAAGCTCTAGGATCCCAGATCTCAGTCTACAAAGGTAGGTTTTACTTCTCAGAAGGAAACAGATCTCCAAATCCCAGAATGTAGTACAGTTGTGACCTTCGGGGAATTCTACTGCCTACAACAGCTTATTTTCCTAGGAAGGAAACTTCTAGATTTTCTTTGGAGATACTCCTTACCATGGGGAAAATTTTCTGACTGTGACCCCCTAAATGCTTCCATAAAGTAGTCTCAATCAATGACATAAATATATTTGGTGACACTGTACACACACACCCAGTGTGCACATATACTCTGACCTCCACCAAAGATAGAATTTTTCATGGAAATAAGATTTTTCTTAGCGATTGATTTTCCTGGAAGGAATTTAATTAATTAGCATTCTCTTCCTCCAACGTTTGCTTCATTTGCTTTTCTTTCTCTTGCCAACATTCTGTCCTATCACCTGTGTTAAAGACACCGAGATTTACACCCCTGACTTTTTTCTACGTATTTTATCATAATTTCATTATTGTTTTCATTTTCCATATCATATATTCCGTTTGGTTTTTAAATAGGTCTTTTAATATCTTGGAAATAAAGGGTCAGCTGGGCAATAGAAACAGGAGGAAATAGAGCCTTGTCATGTTTGTAAAAAGAAAAGATGAAGCCAGATGAAAATTGCAAGATCTGTTACCTTATTACATCCGTATTTTCCCCTGACCGAGTGTAATACTTTAAACTTTTTTCCTCCCTGGTTCTCATAGAACTGACACATTGCAGGTGCCACAGTTTAGATTTAACAATGAAAAAAAAGTCCATCTCTTTTCTAGTTCAGCAGGAAAGACATCACAAAAGATAGAGTTATCATGAGCTAATTACAGTCCTTGAAAATTACCTTTGTGCTTAGCAAATATGCATTTTTTTTCTTTGCTGGTGATGAAGAAGTTGGCAGTTTAAATAAAAAACACTATTTAAAGTAACAGAGTACAGTTACATAACCTTTTCACATAAATCACACAATAACTCTTTGTGCTTTGAAAAAAAAAAAAAAAGAACCGCAGTGCGTGTTAAGAAGATTTATTTATATAATAATCTATGCAAAGGATTTTTTTTCTCTTTTTATAAAAGTGGGATGTTCTTTTTTTTAAACCTCTGGAAGTTGCAGAATAGAGGGCAGGAATACCCTCCAGTCACTACTTTTAGTAGCACACACTCCAGCTACTAACGACTTCAATTCAAGTAGTGTTTTGGCATTACCACACACTTTTATTTCTAAACACACAGATAGAAAACTTCATAAAGGAACAGTCTCTGCTTATAAGTAAACAAAACTATAGGGTCAAATTCCAATCCAGTATAAAGATTCTTTTGCATCCACAAATTGCATCATGGCCTGAGATCATTTTTCTCTGTTTTGTAGGAATACTATTCCTTCAAGTATGTTTGATCAGTCATGGGGGTGGAGAAATTCATGGGACCATTGAAGCCCTGTAGTTTCTCTACTGATTCTCTATGGAATTCTTTAATCTTTTTTCCCCCTTCCTGTCCATCCCTCTTTTGTTCCTTTTAACCTTATTCCCTGATTTAAATCTAGAAGCAATAGTCTTTCGTTATTTACAACATTGTACCCACCGTTTAAAAACATCCCCCATATAAAATGTCCTGACACCAAATTGATCTTATCACTGACCAGTTCACTCTGAAGGGTTTCAGAATTGAAGAGCCAAGGAAATACGTAAGTTGCTAAATGCTAAGCTTGGCTCAAGCTTACCCACTTAATCCTCAGTCCACAAGATCACTCCGGGAAAAGTGATCTTTTCACAGAGATAAACCTAGTAGAAGCATTTCACTGGTCACATATATCTATTCTGATCCTTGCTGAACAGTGGGGGTTCTCAAGACAGGGCAACCCACAAGGGCTTTCTTGTGTGTCCTTATCTTTCATTGAGATGCTGACCTAACTTTTAAAAGCTATCTCCATGGAAAATTCTGGGCTCCACTCCAAAACCAATCAGTAGGAGGTGGCTCTCTTAATCAGTGGCTGTGTTCCGTCTTTATATAAACAGGTTAAGCCAGCTGCCAGGGCCTCTGTGACCAGTTCCAGCTCACATTACCTTCAGCTGGAAAGATGGGCCTGTACCAAAGCTACATTATGAAAGCTGAGAACTCTACCTCTCCCAGGTCATAGCAAAAGACCTGGCTGCTGTATGTGGTGATTAGAGTCACCAGTAATCTTACTCTTGTTCCTGAAAAAAAAGTGAATAAAATGTGGCACACCCTCATTGCCAGAATGGGTAAGATTTTACTAACCTGGCAATTAGCGGTAGCAACTCCAAAAGGAAAGATTTTTTAAATTCTGATTGATACATAATGTCGAGCTACTCATTTTCCTAACACAGTGGAAAAATAATAGAAGTAGAGATAACTTCTTGGTTAGAGGTGGAATAGAGTGCTTGTTGTGGTGAGATTTGATTAACTGGAGAGACATCCTCCCACCAGCTAATCCGAAAAGGGCTATCATTGCCCAGGATGGAGCTCAGAGTATCAGTTTGAAGAATCAACAGGCATGACTAATACTGGAAAGACACTGCTGACAAAAATCTGTTACATTCCTCAAATACCCATTCCTCTCCTTTGACCCTAAGAATGTTGCTCAGAATGATGTTAGTCCAAAGTAGCAGCAAACCACATGAAATACAACCTAAATAAATGGAACAATAAAACAGGCTTCTGGCCAGGCGCGGTGGCCCACGCCTGTAATCCCAGCACTTTGGGAGACCAAGGCGGGTGGATCATGAGGTCAGGAGATAGAGACCATACTGGCTAACACGGTGAAACCCCGTCTCTACTAAAAATAAAAAAAAAAATTAGCCAGGCATGGTGGTGGGCGCCTGTAGTCCCAGCTACTCGGGAGGCTGAGGCAGGAGAATGGCGTGAACCCGGGAGGCGGAGCTTGCAGTGAGCCAAGATCGAGCCACTGCATTCCAGCCTGGGCAACAGAGGGAGACTCCCTCGCAAAAAAAAAAAAACAAAAAAAAAAAAAACAGGCTTATACATGTTGACCAAAAATAATCCAGGCAGAAGAGGTGACACCATCATGACACCCTAAATTTTGAAACTTGCTTGTCGTCCAACCAATAAAGCAGGATCATTAAAAGAAACAAAGCAAACAAATGAAAGCCTTCCCATACAATGTATTTTTGTTAGGTATTAATGAAGAATAGTCTGTTCTACATTAATCATTACAATGGTAATAATTAGGGATTCCGGAACTCACTTCCAAAAGAAATCCATTCCCAGAGAAAGTATTTTAACATGATATCACATTGATTTAAAATCACTGAATTAAAGCCACTGGTTTATACGTCAAGCCATATTTGAATGGCTTGAATAACTTTTCTCTTTTTTGCTACCAGAATTGAATGCAAAGTGGGGAGGGCTCTTATGCTGATTTTATTTTTAAGCGCGTGCAATAGCCACTGCAATTCCAGTAGAATTCTTCTGTTTTTTATTTTTGACAGCATAATCCTACACCCATGGGAGCTGAGCTTTACAGGTGTTAAAGAGGATTTGTTGTAAGAAAATGATTATGATAGGATTTAATGTAATTGAAAGTCAAGGTACAGTAGCCATACAGTGTATCAGAGAGAGTGTCAAAACTTGCAGCGAGGGTGGAGTGTCTTTTGTTAAGTAAACAACAAAAGTAGAGAGCGAAGAAGATATTCTATCACAATAGGATCTACAAGCTTGGCCAACCTGATAAGCCTGTCCCACCACAGTGGATATCAAACCCACAAGTGCTAGAGTGCTTCCCTGGCAAGAGGGGCCAGGAATAGCTGCAACATTCCTACTACACAAGAATGTTTTGAAAACAAGTTATATAATAACCTGAATTCTTGTCTAGAACTTGCTAAGCAACAACCATAGGCCCTCTCAGGCTCCAGGGGAGAAAGACTCATCTCTCAGCCATCACCCTGGCCCTTCCAGTTCCATGACCTAGAGCCACTCAGTCCTTTCACATCTTCGCTAAGTTTGTCAATATGGTGGCTATGAACACATATGCATTGCACGCACATATGCACAGAAACACATGAAGCAAGAATTGTGTGGCTCCCCAAGTTTCTCACCCCTGTTCTTGAAAATGTCATTCTCTCTCTAAAAATTATAGGTGGATCAAACATGTGAATACTTTTCCATTAAGATATGGCTATAAGGATTACAAGCAACATGACTTACTTTAGGCTCATAAAGTAATTATAAGCACTCAGGACTAGAATTTGGTGGTAGCAAGCAAAAGGGCAAGAATAACTGAAGGCCTTTTTCCCTGTAATTATAGTGCTTTCTTTTACTTCTGACTTTCTTCCCTACCATCCCAGGGTGCCATTAGCTCATTTTGATCATAATTAATATTACTAACTATATTTTGGTTGGCTTTTCACTGCTTATGGTCCATGAGATGGGCAGAAGCAGAACCTGAAGTCTAAGGCCATATTTATCTTAGACAAACAACTGGAGAACATTTTTTCCAATCATTAATTCCAGTTCTTTAGTACCGTGGAATCCCATAACAGCCTTTGCAACAGAGACACGTGAGTGCAGACAAGACCAGGAACTTACTATTGTTGCTATCCGCATCAATATTATTTATGTATATACTTCATTTCTCAAGCATGAAAGTGATTTACGAAATGACACAGGATGTCAAATAATGTGCATGGACTTGTGAGTAACGTCTTTTGAGGCGTTGCTCTTTCAGCACACAAATTTCATTTTCACCTGCATTCCCAATATCTGTTACAGATTTAAGCATCACTACATATATTTTTTAATATTAGGTTTTCTTTTTGTTCTAAATCGTGCTGCCTCAAAATCATGAATTTCAGATTTATATCACATATCACACATAAGGAATTTTTCTCCTCCTTTCTCCTTTATTTGTGTGCTAGCCAATTCTCTCCCTAGACATACAAGATAAAGGACAATAGGGAAAAAAATTTTTTTTTCATTTATTTATTTTTTGAGATGGAGTCTTACTTTGTTGCCCAGGCTGGAGTGCAGTGGTGTAATCTCGGCTCGCTGCAACCTCTGCCTCCGGGTTAAAGTGAGTCTTCTGCCTCAGCCTACCGAGTAGCTGGGACTACAGGCGTGCACCATCATGCCAGACTAATTTTTGTATTTTTAGTAGAGATGCAGTTTTACCATATTGGCCAGCCTGGTCTCGAACTCCTGACCTCGTGATCTGCCCGCCTCAGCCTCCCGAAGTGCTGGGATTACAGGCGTCAGCCACTGCACCCAGCCAAAAAAATATTTTAAAGTGGAGATAAATTCAAACATCACCAGTCAGCCAGCACTGAACAGCAAACATATACACATGCATATCTGACCCTTGAACAACATGAATTTGAACTATGTGGGTCCACTTAGATGTGGATTTTTCAATAAAAGTTACATTGAGTGTCCCGCCTCCCCTCCCACCTCTTCTGCCTCTGCCACCCCTGAGACAACAAATCAACTTCAGTACTTCCTCCTCCTCAGCCTACTCAATGTGAAGACAATGAGGGTGAAGGCCTTTATGATGAGCCACTTCCACTTACTAAATAGTAAATACATTGTCTCTTCCTTATGATTTTCTTAATAACATTTTCTTTTCCCTAGCTTATTTTAATAATACAGTATATAATACAAATAACATACAAAATATGTGTTAATGGACTGTGTATGTGGTCAGTATGGCTTCCGGTCAACAGCAGGCTATTAGTAGTTAAGATGTGGGGCAGTCAGAAATTATACATGGATTTTTTGCTGTAGGAGAGATCACCACCTCTATGCCCCAAAACGTTCAAGGGTCAACTGCTTATATATTTTGAATTATAGTTGGCATTTTGAATATGTTTTTATGCTTATATCTGAATATATGGTTTTGAGGATTAGAAATTAATATTTTACCCTAAGTCATGATGTCATTCTAAGAGCATTGTATTCAAAGAGTCAATAAAGCCACTCTATTTAGGACTCTTCACCTCCCAGACTGATAACAGAATACCACATTAAAGTAAAGTTGTTACTTCTATGAAGCAGGTAATCAACTAATTACATGCTTTAATTAAACTATCTCTCTAGTAGAATTTTCATTTGTTGGTCGGGCTTGGTGGCTCATGCTTGTAATCCCAGCACTTTGGGAGGCCGAGGCAGGCAGATCACGAGGTCAGGAGATCGAGACCATCCTGGCCAATATGGTGAAACCCCGTCTTTACTAAAATGCAAAAAATTAGCGGGGCATGGTGGTGCGCACCTGTAGTCCCAGCTACTCAGGAGGCTGAGGTAGGGGAATTGCTTGAACTCGGGAGGCAGAGGTTGCAGTGAGTCAAGATCATGCCACTGTACTCCAGCCTGGGTGACAGAGCGAGACTCCATCTCAAAAAAAAAAAAAAAAAAAAAAAAAAAAGAATTTTCATTTGTTCTGCTGGGAAAGTGAACTGCATAGTGACAGTGTCGGTAAGTACTAAATGTTGAGGTATACCACTAGCAAAACCAATGTGTATGACCCAACATAAAAATTCAGATATTCACTGTACTTTCTCTGTAGACTTGTTGTTAGTCCTATCTCTTCATATCTGAATGCATTTCTTTCATTCCATACCTGTTGACTCATATAGGATACTCTATATTAAACACAAATATGACTTTGACTTCAGAGTCCTTAGTAAAGAAGTTCTGTCATAAGCCACTCGTTCCTTTGATCACAGCTCTACCTGTGTTCTTGTATGCTCCCTGACCTTTAACCCCGTTAATTTTGCTTCATTCCTTTTGTGCATTCTCACTGCCAAGAATTCTTACCTGCCAGTTCTTCTATCATGGGTAACTTACCAATCAGCACTGCCAAATATCCTTCTCTTTCTTCACCTTCTCCAGGAAAGCTCCCTCTTCTGAGAAATGTGTATGGTCAAATCCAAAATCAGCTTGAGTGTGTTCATTGTTTTGCATCTTAGAATGATCACTATCTGGAATTATAATTTGGATTTTAGTCTCCAAATTTAAAAATGAGCATGCTAATAATGGTATGTTTGCGAAGACCTAGTGTCACAAATATTCAAGATATTCTCATCTTGGTCTCAAGTAGAATTGCTATTCTCCACCTCACCCCAACCCCTGTGAACTTAGTCATCATCACGTAACCTGCATTAGCCAATGAAATGTGATTCTGAGACAATGTGCAGTTTACAGTATCCTCTTTTCCCTCCTTCAGGGATATTGAAACTGTGAGTCTAGATGGAGTTCCCAGCAGCCTGGTCCTTTGCTGACTGTGATGAGCAGAGCCCCTGCCAACCTGCAATCACCTGTGCAGTGAATCTTTGGGGTTGTTTGTTGCCACAGTATACCTGTATTCCTGACTAATTAACTTAGAAATATTAATTTTCCCTTTCACTGCAGGGCTCATCTTTGTGATAAAATTTCTGTTGTATTCCAAAGCTTCTCAAACTTATGTTCTCACTGATTTTTACCTTTGGTTTTGTTGTTGTTGTTAACATTCCTATATCTCAGATAAAAAGCCTAAGATGCAAAGAAGGAGAATGATTTCATCAGCTTTTCCGAGCAATCACTTCTAAAGGAAAAATAAGAACAGATCTGATGTCTAGCCAGCGCTCTCTCTTCTGAACCAGAAATTAAAAAGAAATGCAGGTTACAATTCCAGTTAGAGGAAAAGTCATAGAGGTGTAGACTATTAAAGCTGGAAGAGTTTCAGAGCTCATCTGGTCCAGGCACCTTATTTTAGAACAAGACTCTGAGGCCCAGTGGATTTAAATGAGTGTACTGGCTAAGACCACACACCAAGTTAGGGGTTAAAGAAGATAAAAATTCAGATCCCTTATACCATGTTTTTCCACTTGGTAATATATGGATCCTGAATGAAAGGAAATCTGAAGAGTCTAAGACTATGTAGGCATATTCCTACACATCAGGCTAAGAAATTTAATCTTTAATCATTGATGATATCTTTCACATATGAGTTACTGCTCTACAAAATTTTTCCTTTATAACTAGTAAAATTACCATTAAAAATATATTATTGGGCCAGGCACGGTGGCTCACGCCTGAAATCCAAACACTGGGAGGCCGAGGCGAGTGGATCATCTGAGGTCAGGAATTCAAGACCAGCCTGGCCAACATGGCAAAACCCTGTCTCTACTAAAAATACAAAAATTAGCTGGGCGTGGTAATACTTGCCTGTAATCCCAGCTACTCAGGAGGCTGAGACAAGAGAATCTTTTGAACCCCAGAGGCAGAGGTTGCAGTGAGCCAAGATCATGCCACTGCACTCCAGCCTAGGTGACAGAGTGAAGATGGAAAAATATATATATAAAATATATATATTATATATACACACACACATACACACACACACATATATACACATATATATGTATATATTATTGAAACAAAAGCAAAAAAAAATTAGACTTCTGGAACTTGCAATCCCTGAGAATTTTTGGAATTCTCCAATTGGGAAATACTGTATGAGGCTCACTCTGCAGTGTGATCTTGGATTTCTCATCTTTGTCTCTATTGCATGCAGCCCAGTGGCTGGAACAGAGTAGGTGTTAATGTAAATTTGTGGAACTGATGCTTCTCTGTGTGGCACCCTGTTCAGTTTTCTTTCCAGGATAACATGCTAACATTACTAAGAAATTGATGAGACTCTGTCAGCAAGTCAACTGGATGACAGAGGTGATGAGCTGGTGCTGCACCAGCTTAATTGATTTCTTTACACACACTCACTCTTATGAGACAGTTTTAAAAAAGAGAGAAGAAAAGCTCTAGCATATTTCTAACAAGTTAGAGTAAAAGTTCATTATCTTCAATGACTATGAACACCATCCCCCAAAATATACAATCTCCACCTCCCAAACCTGTTGTCTCCACTATCTCTGGACATTAAGTCATTATCCAAATATCATATTCTCATCCTTCAGTGCAGTTAATCGCTACACAAGATGACGCTGCCTGTCCCAGGATGAGGAAAGGGGTGCTAGGTGCCAGACGCTGAATACAGACTGGTTCAGTCAAAGGCTCTATGTCTCCAGTTACAGAGAAAGAAACAGAGGACACAAAGTTAGATGTAATTTTCCCGGGCCCCATAGCTAGAATATGATAAAGAAGAGCTTTGCACCCAAATCTGTCTAAGAGCAGAAACAGAACGACAGAATCACCCTTCACTAAAACTGGTTGCCTCCGACTGCAAAGTAGCCTCATTTTATGGCCCCTCAGTTTGCAGCCTTTTGGGGGAACTGTCACGTGACCACTATCCCTACTTCAAGAGAAAGATTTGGTCACTAACATCATCACTAACACTTCACTTTTATTTCTACCAGGGCAGTGGGGAAAGGAGAACACAGAAAGGAGTGTCTGTCTCTACGGTTAAAGTGTCAGAAAGCCAAAGACTCATTCTCCTGGCTCTAATCGTGTAATTCTTGTGTGGGTGAAGTTAAACTCAGTAGTTAGCCTAATGAGAATGCAGATTTTGCTGTTCTGGGACTATTTAAAGGTTGCTTTCTGGTTTCTGTGGTAAAGTACCTTGAAGTCCTACTTTCAAGTATAAGTGGGTGGGAGTTGAATTGGCACAAAAAAAACCAAGAGATTTTATCAGTCTTCCTATCTACCTTTGCCTGGTAGAAGAGAAGCTCAGAGGCTTACACTAAACTGTCTTTGGAGACTCAGTTTCCAAAACTTCATATAATTCATCCTGCAATGTCCCCATGAGAACTTCCAACACTACAAAAAATGGACAACTTGAACCAGAAGGAGGGTGGTGGGAGCAGGTTTCTCTCTGCTCAGTATTCTAACAACCCTGCTTCTCCTCCTGCGTCTATCTTTCTGTTTCTCAACCCAGATCCGAAGGAAGTTGGGTGCATGGAGGGAGACTAGTAAGGAGTTGGAAGGTTTAAACACCACATCGACCAGAGAAACTTTAATGTTAAAAATAGGCCAGGCGCAGTGGCTCACGCCTGTAATCCCAACACTTTGGGAGGCCAGGGCGGGCGGATCACTTGAGGCCAGGAGTTCGAGACCAGCCTGGCCAGCGTGGTGGCTAATCCTGAGCTCAGTGGCTCACTCCTGTAATCCCAGCTACTCGGGAGGCTGAGGCAGAACAATCGCTTGAACTTGGGAGATGGAGGTTGCAGTGAGCTGAGATCACGCCACTGCACTCCAGCCTGGGTGACAGAGTGCGACCCTGTCTCAAATAATAATAATAATAATAATAATAATAATAACAACAAGTATTCCAAACAACTGAAAGTCTAGATTTTTAAAAAATAAAGAATGTAGAAAAAGCAAGCTATTTTTCTCCTGCTGTAGAGGGAAGACGAAATAATAATATGGGCTCAATACAATTCTTGCAGACCTGGTATTTCCACTTGTTCTACTCTTTGATCTCCCTACAGTGAGGAAGCACTTCAGAGGCCTGCCCTTCTCTCAAGCAATCTTATTTTCCCAGCACTTCCTTCTGATGGATTTCTGCACAACAAATTTATCAGGACATTTTATCATAGGCTGCCTTTTATGTGGTGAGATGGAGAGACCCTTAAGGAAAAGAGAATGTCCAGGAAGTAAATAAGTTTAGGCTGGAAGCAAGCAAAAAGCAAAGGACTAGGAAGAAATTCAGGAGGCCTGGGTCTGGAGCAGCCCACCGACAACCAATCAAGGAGGCCACGAAGCCAGTAGGGAAAGTAGCATCAACAAAAACAACATGGTGTCCTAACCGTGTGCCAGGCTTCATGTTAACCTACCTTCTTTTTATTTATTTTTATTTTTTATTTTATTTATTTATTTATTTATTTATTTATTTATTTATTTTGAGATGAAGTCTAATTCTGTTGCCCAAGCTGGAGTGCAGTGGCACATCTTGGCTCACTGCAACCTCCACACCCTAGTTCAAGCAATTCTCCTGCCTCAGCCTCCCGAGTAGCTGGGACTACAGGTATGCGCCACCACGCCCGGCTAATTTTTGTATTTTTAGTAGACACGGGGTTTCACTATGTTGGCCAGGCTGGTCTTGAACTCCTGACCTTGTGATCCAGCCCCCTCCTCGGCCTCCCAAAGTGTTGGGATTACAGGCATGAGCCATGGCGCCTGGCCCAACCTAACTGCTTTAAACCCATTATCACATTTAATCTGCATGATAACCTATGAGTTGGTGCTATTATTATACCTATTTCAAATATCAGAGGCTTAAAAACGTTACATGCTTGCTTGGGCTCGAACAGCAAGTAGGTGACAAGGAGGAGGAATTTAAACCTTAGTCTGTCTGAACATTACTTACATGCTCAATCAAGAACCTGTACTACTAGTGTAACAGAAAATTCATTAGACGCTCAGTTTCATGGACTAACTTAAGGAGTAGATAAATCCTTTGAAACTCTATAGAAAATATTATGTATCATTTTGTTTTTCAAGAGAAATGGTCTGTAGCCCTTACTGGATTCTCTGATGGGTTTGGGGGTCCAAAATACAGCCTGGGTTGTTCAGAGTTTGGCTGTGTGATTTTGCACTGGCTTAGTAGCTCTGAATTGTCATTGCAGGCTTCCAAGGCCTCTTCTGTCTTTAAAAAGCAATGGTTCTGTTATCCTAAATGTCATAAAGAACATTAAAAAGTATGAACAACTTTCCTATTACCCCTCATGACCCCTCCCCTCCCCACCCTGTACCCCCCAGCTTTACATTCCCACCACCTACTACATCACCTGCTTTTATCACTCCCACGATGGGACAAAATAGATCCAATTGCCATGTGCATTCTTCAGAGCCTTTCCAAAGCCTGGTTATATGATGCATGGAGTATGAGTCAGGCTCAGGGGAAAGGGGGCCTCTTTTTAAAGTTTATATGTAACCGTGAGAGCATTCAAGCATGTGCTGGCATGCCAACCCTCTGTTTAAAAAAATATAAAAGCTGTTAGCAATAATGTTTTCCTGTTACATAGTAGTTCAGGGACATCACAGCCCTTCGAAGTGGGGAAAGGCATGTCTACTTAGAGGGCAGTGGAGGGCATTGTAACCCCCAACCATTTCTCCACCTTCCATTTCTGCTACAAAAAGGTTCTCCAACCTCATTCCTCTCTGAAGTTGAAAGCTCCAGTTTGAATTCCTTACTTGGAAGGTCACGCATTTTCTCATAGCCAAAAAGCCTGTTTGCTTTTGTCTTCCCACTTGCTTTCAAATGAAAATATCAGACCACAGACCATTTTGCTTCCCTGATTCAAAAATTAATTACATCATGTCCAGAAGTGAAGGTTGTTGAAAGTCATTAATGTATTTGTTGGGAACACTGCATTCCGATAGCTTTTACATGAATGCTCAGATGCCTGTTCTCAGCCTGACCCCATCAGCAGTTCTGTATGGTGTAGGGTAAAAACCATGGTCACATATTGTCCACTTCAGTCCCTCACTGTGCTCATTCAAAAGCACACTGTCAAGTACATTTTTATTATCGGAAAGTGTATCTATTTATTTCCCATTGTTTGTCGACATCTCCCAGAAGCTTTGGAATAGGACTTCTTAATCTGCCAATTCTGACCCTTTCTGCCTCTCGACCATTATTTCTACTGCCTTGTGATTCTAATAGACCTTGAAATTAGCACTGTGTTTCTGTTTGTGGTGCGTAGCACACTCACCGGTGGTAGGTAGCAAGCCAAGTACATCAGCTGCACAACAGTCATATGTGGCCTGGGTACCTGTCCTTGCCACTCCTGGGCAGGGGTCCAGCCCCATGCCTGGCAATCACATGCATCAGCAAGCTGCTGCTCTGGAAAGAAGAAATACAGGCTCAATTGTTTGGGACAGGGCTCTGCAAATGTGACGGAGGGAAACAGCCAAAGCTTGCAGGTAAGTTTTTAGACATAGAGATCAGAGACATTATTTTTCACCAAAGCCATCAGTCCAGATACATAATTCCTCTATAGTGAATCAGTATGAATTGGTGGTTACCCAGAATGCTCTGTGCTTCCACCAAGAACACTCCCAAGCTTAGGGAGTAGGCTTGGCAACTCGGGGAGAGGGTGACAGGTTGATGTATAGAAACACAGCATGACAGATTGAAAATTCTAAAACTTTGTCCTTCACCACAAATTGGGCACTTTAGGGAGGTGTATTTCCCAAGGGCATGAAGGACACCAGCATGAGATATTATACATTATATGTCACTAGGAGTCATGATAGTCAGAGGAACTGAACTGTGGTGACAATAGGGCAGGGTCTGACCTTGGGGGCAGATGAACTTGGTTTGAGCTCAGCCTCTGTCCTTTGGAGTTAACCTCTAGCACATGATTTAACTCCCACACATCATCTGACACCTCTCACCTCATATATAGCTCTTGCACCCAGTTTGCATAGTGGTCCAGGCACAACTTCCTTCTTCAGATCTTTCCAGAACTCCATGGGTCCATGTTATTATCACTGCCTGACACACGCCCCCCACCCATGACGTTTCCCTCGTGGCATGTTTCTGCGTATACAGGCAATCGCTTTGCTTCACTGGATTCCAAGCTGGATGAAAAAAGGAACTGTGTCCATTTTTGTGCACCACTGTATACTCAGTACCTAGCATCTTGCCTGACATCAGTCAGTATTTAAGGAATAGTGTTAAATAAAGAGATGCACTCTAAATCTGTTTTCTCTGTAAAATAGAGATAATAGGCCGGGAGCAGTGGCTCATGCCTGTAATCCCAGCACTTTGGGAGGCCGAGGCGGGTGGATCACCTGAGGTTGGGAGTTCGAGACCAGTCTGACCAACATGAAGAAACCCTGTCTCTACTAAAAATACAAAAATTAGCTTGGCATAGTGGCGCATGCCTGTAATCCCAGCTACTAGGGAGGCTGAGGCAGGAGAATTGCTTGAGCCTGGGAGGCGTATGTTGTGGTGAGCTGAGATTGCGCCATTGCACTCCAGCCTGGGCAACAAGAGCGAAACTCTGTCTCAAAAAAATAAATAAATAAATAAAATAGAAATGATAATAGTACCTACTTCAAGTGGAGTTGCAGAAATTAAATGAAGTAGCACATATAAAGTCTTCAGAATAATGCCTGGAACATAGCAAACACTCAATAAACAAACACAGCTGGCATTGGTATTTAGAACATTCATTCACAGCCCAGGGTCTTGCCCTCATATTGAGGTGTTATGTGAATCACCTGAACCTGCAAATTGTGTGTGTACACAATTTTTTGAGAAGAGGATCCCTGAGAGTTTTCAGACTCTCGAGTGGGGACAATTACTCCACCGTCTAAAGGAAATCAGAATCGCTGCTATAGAGACCGATACCATTGGACTACAGAAAATAAGACAGCAGCCTATTTTACGTAAGAGTCTAAGGATCACAGATTTTAATTCTTATGCAGCCTTAGTTTGCTTTAATGCTCAACTGAATCACAGAGCACTGAATTAGGAACTAGGGGACATGGTCTCTTGTCTGAGTCCTTTTCCTTTGCTAGCTCTATAGTCTTGGTTTATTCACCCACCCTCTTACTTTATAAACGTTTTTGCCCTGGTTTGGGCAGAGATAATGCCAAGAAGAATAATGCTTTTAAAATCCTAAAGACAAACACAGAACTACATGAAAAGTATAGGGTCTGCAAGTCAGGAGATGTCTTGCTCAGAGCACCCTGTTTCCTAATGTGCAAAATAAGTGAGTTTAATTAGATGACATTTAAGATTTCTTCTAACTGCTCACTATAATCCAAAGATTTGAAAATAAATTGCCTCTGTTCCGAGGATTTGTTTTCTGTCTGAGTCTTCACTGTACTAATTTACACCCTTGCCCACACCAAGGACACTATTTTTACTGACCCATTTGCAAAATTGAAGTAGAGGTGGCATCTTAGTCCATCCGGGCTGCTATAACAAAACACTTTAAGCTGGGTAATTTATAAACAACAGAAATGTATATCTTGCCACTCCGGATCCTGGGAAGTTCAAAATCAAGGCACCAGCAGATTTAGTGTCTAGTGAAGGCTCTCTGCTTTATAGAGGGTACCTTGTGGCTGTGCCCTCCCATGGTAAAAGTGGGGCAAGGGAGCTCACTGGAGACTCTTTTATAAGAGCAGTAATCCCATTCATGAGGGTAGAAGCCTCTTGCATTGATCATTTCCCAAAGTCCCCACCTTTTAATACTATCACATTGGGTATTAGATTTCAACACATAAATTGGGGATGCGAGGGAGGATAAACCAACATTCAGACCATGTGAGATGGGAAAGTAAGAGACATTCTCTGCTCTTTGCTGATTTTGATTCGGTATATTTAGCCCTTTAATGGGCTTCTTGGACTTGAGCTAAGTTGGATAGCAAGAGGAACTTAAGACTTGGTGAAGCCAATTATTAAAAAGTCAAAAAAATAGGCCGGGCACAGTGGCTCATGCCTGTAATCCCAGCACTTTGAGAGGCCGAGGTGGGTGGATCACAAGGTCAGGAGATCGAGACCTTCCTGGCTAACACAGTGAAACCTCGTCTCTACTAAAAATACAAAAATTAGCCGGGTGTGGTGGTGGGCACCTGTAGTCCCAGCTACTCGGGAGGCTGAGGCAGGAGAATGGCATGAACCCGGGAGGCAGAGCTTGCAGTGAGCCGAGATCACGCCACTGCACTCCAGCCTGGGTGACAGAGTGAGACTCCGTCTCAAAAAAAAAAAAAAAAAAAAAAAAAAAAAAAAAAGCAGATGCTGGCGGGTTGCAGAGAAAAAGGAATGCTTATATGCTGTCGGTGTGGGTGCAAACTAGCTCAACAGGAAAGCAGTGTGGCAATTCCTCAAAGACCTAAAAACAGAATTGCCATTCAGCCCAGCAATCCCATTACCAGGTATATACTCAAAAGAATATCAATCATTCTATTATAAAGACACATGCATGCATGTGTTCATTGGAGCAGTATTCACAATAGCAAATACATGGAATCAACCTAAATGCCCATCAACAGTAGACTGGATAAAGAAAACGTGGTACCTATACACTGTGGAATACTATGCAGCCATAAAAAAGTACAACATCATATCCTTTGCAGGAACATTGATGGAGCTATAGGCCATTATCCGTAGCAAACTAATGCGGGAACAGAAAACCAAATATTGCCCATTCTTACTTATAAGTGGGACCTAAATGATGAGAACTCATGGAATCATAGAGAGGAGCAACAGACACTGGGGCCTATCAAAGGGTGGAGAACGGAAGGAGAGAGAGGATCAGGAAAAACAACTAATGGGTACTAGGCTTAGTACCTGGGTGAGACAATAATCTGTACAACGAGCCCCTGTGACATGAGTTTACTTATCTAACAAACCTGCACGTGTACCCCTGAACTTAAAATAAAAGCTAAAAAGGAAATAGCAGGGACCCAGTGAAGGCAAAAGCACCCGAATTCCAGCTCAGAATGACTTCCCCACTGAGCCCAGCAGAGCACCAATGGGAGATGAATCTAACTCCTCTGGATGTGTAAATTCTGTACCCTTCTCGCCCATCCCCTGGGAATCTTTGAGTTTTACACACTGAGGTATCAATTTCTTTGATTGGACTGAAGATCCATCTCAGTAAATGTGAATTTAGGAAGAACAGAAGGAGAAGAGCCAAGTGAAGGATGTTAACTTTCAACAATAGGATACTGCCACGCAGGAGAAGTCAAAGCCTTTAAATGGCAGGAGACTGAGAAAACGAATCTGCTGGTTCATAGGAAGGTAAAGGACATAGAAAGTGAAATGGAACCAGAGCTCTATAAGGTGGCCTAGGCTTCTGGAAGCCCATCTCTGGACATCAGTCCTGGAGAACTCACACAGGCCAGTCTTTTTGTTTTGTTTTAAGACGGAGTCTCACTCTGTCACCCAGGCTGGAGTGCAGTGGCACGATCTCCGCTCACTGCAACCTCCAACTCCCAGGTTCACACCATTCTCCTGCCTCAGCCTCCCAAGTAGCTGGGACTACAGGCGCCTACCACCACACTTGGCTAATTTTTTTGTATTTTTAGTAGAGACGGGGTTTCACTGTGTTAGCCAGGTTGTTCTCGATCTCCTGACCTTGTGATCCACCTGCCTCGGCCTCCCAAAGTGCTGGGATTACAGGTGTGAGCCACCACACCCACCTCACCTAGGACAGTCTTAAAGGACTGAAAACTTAAGCTCATCTTGGCTGACTGGGGTTTTCCAAATAGAATCCAGGCTAATGAATCTAGTTACATTCAGATAAGTAAGTCTCTGCGATGCTGTTCAGTGTCTCTTAGTCCAGGTCCTTTATCAATGGCCATCATTTGGGGACACACGGATAAACCTAATATCATCTCAGGTAATGGTGCACCCAAACCTCCCAAGCAGTAAGTCAATTTTCAGCATTCCACTCTGATTTGACTCCTATATCATTTCTTTGCCGCTCTATTTCCTCATTGAGGAAGATTGTATTCTGATCTGATACCTAAGTTGAGCCTGGAGTGCAGTGAAACCTTATTGCCTATAACTCACACAGTCTCACTGACCTGATTTCCATAAATAGATAAACTCATCAAGGAGAAACACAGGATCAAAATCTAAAAGCCATCTCAGGAAATTATTCATTTCAGATATTTGCCTCAGGTCAAATTAAAATTCCAACCATCCCTAAAACTCATGTCTGTCTGTATTTTTTAATAGAGATTCAGATTAAATAAGCTTCCTTGATAACTTCTAATATATGATTAATTTTTCTGTCATTGAGTCCTTTTTTATGAATGTGGCAGAATAGATGAGAACTAGATAAATCTTCTAGATGGTAGTGAATGTCATTTCACAAACGACAACACTGAGGACTATAAAAAATATATGGCTTTCCTGAGGTAACATATATTCATGTATTCTTCCATGTATTCATTTATTCATTCAACACTCATTCAAAAAATCTATTTATTGAATGTCTGCTCTATTTAGTCACAGTTGTAGATACAGGGATAAACAAAATATTTGTTTACTAGAGCTGCTGTTAACAAAATACCACAAACCAGGTGGCTTAAACAACAGAAACTGGTTTTCTCGCAGTTCTGGAAGCTGAAAATCTGAGCTCAAGGTTTCCTAGTGTTGGTTCCTTCTGAGGGCTGTGAGCAAGAATCTGTTCTATGCCTTTCTCCTAGATTCTGGTGGTTTGCTGGCAATCTTTCACATCTCTTGGCCTATAGGAAAGCATGGCCCCAATCTCTGCCTTCATCTTCACATGGAATTTCCCCTGTGTGCATGCCCACATTTCCCTTTATAAGAACACCAGTTCTGTTGGACTAGGGGCTGAACCCTATTGCAGTATGACCACATCATAGCCAATTACAACTGCAATGGCCATATTTTCAAATAAGGTCACGTTATAAGGCAGCGGTTCCCAGCCTTTTTGGCACCAGGGACCTGTTTCAAGGAAGACAGTTTTTCCACGGACTTGGGGTCGGGTGGGGGGGCGCTGGTTTCAAGATAACTCAGGCGCATTACATTTATTATGCACTTTATTTCTATTATTATTACATTGTAATATATAATGAAATAATTATACAACTCAGCCAGGCATGGTGGCTCACGTCTGTAATCCCAGCACTTTGGGAGGCCGAGGCAGGTGGATCACGAGGTCAGGAGATCGAGACCATCCCGGCTAAAACGGTGAAACCCCGTCTCTACTAAAAATACAAAAAAATTAGCCGGGCGTGGTGGCGGGTGCCTGTAGTCGGGAGGCTGAGGCGGGAGAATGGCGTGAACCCGGGAGGCGGAGCTTGCAGTGAGCGGAGATCGCGCCAGTGCACTCCAGCCTGGGCGACAGAGTGAAACTCCGTCTTAAAAAAAAAAAAAGAAAAAAAAAGCAGAAAAGAAATAATTATACAACTCACCATAATGCAGAATCAGTGGGAGCCCTGAGCTTGTTTTCCTGCAGGAAAACTAAACGGTCCCCTTTAGGGGTGATGGGAGACAGTGATAGATCATCAGGCATTAAATTATCATAAGGAACACACGGCCTAGATCCCTCTTAGGCGTAGTAGGGTTCGCGCTCCTATGACTATCTAATGCCACCACTGATCTGACAGGAGGCGGAGCTCAGGCCATAATGTGAGTGATGCGGAGTGGCTGTAAATATAGATGAAACTTCCCTCATTCGCCCACCTGCCGCTCAGCTCCTGCTGTGCGTCCTGGTTCCTAACAGGTCACAGACTAGTACTGGTCCATGACCTGGGGGTTGGGGACCCCTGTTCTAAGGTATTGAGGATTTTGACCTCAACCTATGAATTTCAGGGGAATGCAATTCAAATCATAACATGCAGGAACAAAAGAAATTCCCTGCTGCCAAAAAACTTAAATTCAAATGTCAGGAGACATTGAATGTATGTGTGTATTTCTGTGTGTTTCAGAGGCAGTGAAAAATGCCCGAAAGTACCAGAGCAGTGACAGAGTTTAAGGGATTGCTACTTAAGATCCTCTCTGAAATGCCTTTTGAGCAGACCTGAATAAAGCCAGAGGCTGGACCTCGTGAAAATCCAAGTGGAAGCGTGGTCTGAGCGAACAGCATAGTGAGTGCAGATGCTCTAGACTAGAACCTCTCATTGCTGCCTCCCGCTGCAAAAGGGTCTGGGAAGTGTTAATTGTGCCAGGCACGATGTGTGCTGGGAGATATTTCACTACCAGCCCTTGGTAATTTCCTCTCCCTTTTGAAGACTTATTTCAATATTTTTTGAGCATCTACTATACTCAGCCTGCTTGGAGCTAAGTGAAAATCAAAATGAGACTGATCTTTGTCTTCTTGGAGCAAGGTTTTAAACGACTACATAATATTAGATTGGACAAGCCATAATAACTCATTGTAATTTTACTTTTCACCTCACTTCTAAGAGAAAGAAAGACCAAATAGCCTCTGAGAGAATTTTTCCCATGATAGGGTATTAAAACTTCACAAGACTCATTCCATTGGCAGCTGCTCAATTGCTGGAATTGGCTTTTATCTCAAATTAAAATCTGATACTTACACCTACTGGACGTAGAACAACACAGAACAAATATTTTTTCTCTTCCGTGTGATCATTCTTAAAATTTTGAAGAAAACTTGAATGTTTATTTATTTCCTCATTGCCTTTCACTCTCTATGTACCCCACAGTCCCTGCAATATTTATTTGCCTCTGGGTACTCTCTACTTAGTCCGAGTTTTCACTAACTGCTAGGCCTAGAGAATATGGGTTGCATGTAGGTTTTGAACATTTCCATGTTCAGTGGGAGTGTTGTTTATTGTGATGTAGATGTTATGCTTCCATTAATCCAGCCCAAGATTAAGTCAGCATTATTTGTAATCATAATGAAATGCTGGCTTCCATTAAACATTCAAATGAACATATTTTTACTTCAGCGTTAGACTTTACATTCACCACCTTCGTATTTCATCTTACTGGTTTCGATCTTCCATCTGCATGTCTTGATACTTTTTCAAATCATGACTCCATATCTATTGCACTGTGACAGAAAAGAGAAGTCCTCAGATTATTCACCGTATGACTCTGACTGAGTCACTTGATTTTCCTGAACCTCAGTTCTGCCCACTGTAAAAATAAAGGAGAGTTGGGATCTAGCAATAAGTCTGTTCTGTATAGTTGTGAGAATCAAACATGACAATCTAGGCAAAACTATTCTTTAATATGAGAAACACTATGCAAGTGTTAGTTAATAGGATTGATAGGATTGGCTTTTCTTCTTGATTTTTGTCAACTGTAAAAGTGACAAGTGTGTTTTCTATGTCTTTAGCCAACTCATTAATTCAAATGCCAGGCAAATTAAGACCAAAATATTAATCAATGTGCTTTAGGTTTGTTTACAACCTGTTGTGAATCTATCTAAAGGTATTATGACCCTATTGGTATATTCAGTTTACCTTAACCTCAAAGATCTCATCAGCCTGGCTGTGTGTCAACACGATATGGTGTAGTAGTTACCATCAACTGCTTTGAGTCGGACAAATTTAGCCTCAATTCCGGCTCAGCCACTCACTGGCAAGTAATTCGTGTAAATTACTTGATCTTACTGATTCTCTGTTTCTTATCTTTAAAAAGGGAGATAAACAAAGTACTTACCTACTGGAACTATTGTGAGGGGTAAATAAAGCAGAGCCTAGCATAGAGTAAACGTTCAACAGTGGTTGCAATTTTTATGATATTATGAAAATTAAGTCATCCTAGTCAATCCTCTGATCTTATGAAGTAGCTCTATTTCAAAAACAATAAAATAAATTAAGCTAGCATAACATGACATTCCCTGTGAACCTATGTTCACTCCCAGTAACCACCACATTCCTTTGTTAACAGTCATGAACCATTAGCTTAAAAATCCATTCTTGACTTTTTCTAGGTTCACCATCTGAGAATAGCTGATCTGTTTGTGAATTATGGAATCTGCTTCCTTTTTGTGAAAAATTAATTGACATTTCCCTTATTCATTCATCTCTTGGTCTCTGAAAGATCTCAGTAGTTACTGATATTAATCCTCAGTTCATATTCACTCATTCAAAATGAATATTCTGAGTATCTACTATTTGCCCAACATTCCAGTTTTCTCAGCAGCCTGGCATAACTTGCGCCTGTCCTGTGTTCTCATTTAAAGTGACCAGGCTTTGTCTTACTGTCCACTTATCTATGTAGACTTGCAGTCAACTCCCTCTTTACATTGTTTGTGAATGTGGACAAGTCATTTAATGCTAAGTCACAATTTCCACCCCAGTAAAGTAGGATAACTACTGTGACTACCTCACAGGGCAAAAATAAATGAGACGAAGTGAAAAAAAAAAGTCCCCCAAACCCAAAGCACCCCCCAAAATTAATTCAAGGCATAATTTTCTTTTCCTTCCAGCCAGCAGACCACTTTCCTTGCTGCTGAACGTGAAAACAGAATATGAATTTACCAGTTCTGTTATCTGTTATTATTACACCATCTGCCCCAAGCAGTTTGGAATCACTTCCTTGTTCTACTTTCAAACACAGATGAAAATGACTTTTTGTGGTCTTTAACATTTTCAATAAACCCAAATTTTGTTATTTTTTGTTATTCATTTGTTATTTATACCCCTATGATATTCTGTATTAAAATACAAGTACAGTCAGATCCAGCCAAACCAAAAAAGGATGAAGAGATCAAGCATGAAAAGGAGGAGATAGAGCCTTGCTCTGACTGGATCATAAACCTGCCTGGGAGCAAGATGACAGAATGGAAGTCTCCAGTGCTCATTGTCCCTCTTCCTTACAGGAACATCAAACTGCACAGCTATCCAAACAAAAAAGCGCTTTCCTTAGAACCAAAACTCGGCCGGGCGCAGTGGCTCACGCTTGTAATCCCAGCACTTTGGGAGGCCGAGGCGGGTGGATCACGAGGTCAGGAGATCGAGACCATCCTAACACGGTGAAACCCCATCTCTACTAAAAATACAAAAAATTAGCCGGGCGTCGTGGCGGGTGCCTGTGGTCCCAGCTACTCGGGAGGCTGAGGCAGGAGAATGGAGTGAACCTGGGAGGCGGAGCTTGCAGTGAGCCAAGATCGCACCACTGCACTCCAGCCTGGGCAACAGAGCGAGACTCCATCTAAACAAACAAACAAAAAGAACCAAAACTCAGGTAAGCAATCACAGTACTGGGTTTTAACATCATATTAAGGAAAGAGGCACAGAAGAGAGTAGGAAAGACAGTCCAGAACTGTTGACACCACCCTTCCTCCATCCCCTGGCAGTGGCTGCATGGCACACAGACAGCATCTGTGTGCTTGGGGAAGGAAGAGCACAGTGATTGTGGGACTTTGCGTTGGAACTCAGTGCTGGCTTGTTGCAGTGGAAAACAACACAGGGCAGAACTCAGCCCGTGACCATGGAGGGAGTGTTTAGACCAGCCCGAGCCACAGGCAAATCATTCATCATAGCAGTTGGAATCTGAGTTCCGGCAGACCCCCCACTCACTGCAGGCTAAAGTGCTCTGGGGATCTAAATAAACTTGAAAGGTACTCTAGGCCACAAAGACAGCAATTCCTGGGCAAGTCCTGGTGCTCTTCTGGGCTCATAGCCAGTGGACTTGGGGGGCACATGACCTAGTGAGACACCAGCTGGGAGTGGGAAGGGAGTGTTTGCACCACCTCTCCCCCAACCATAGGCAGTGCAGCTTGCAGCTCTGAAAGAGACTCCTTCCCTCAGTTTGAAATAAGAGTAAAGGAGACTTGGTCTTTCAGCTCGGGTACCAGCTCAGTGACAGTACAATAGGATAGCAGACAGGGTCCTGAGACCCTCATTCCAGGCACTAGCCCCTGGATGACATTTCTAAACACATGTTGGGCCAGAACCATTTCCAGCTGTGGTAGCTATAGGGAGAGAATTCTTCTGGAGGGAAGGAAAAGGAAGAGTAAAATGAACTTCATCTTGCAGCTTAGGTACTAGCGTGGCCACAGTAGGACAGTGCACCAAGTGGGCTCCTGGAGTCCTCAATTCCAGGCTTTGGCTCCTGGAGGGCATTTCTGGACCTTCCCTGGGCCAGAAGGGAGCCCACTACACTAAAGGCAGAGACTCAGGACTGGCAGGATTCACAAGCTCACTGAAGAGGCCTTGACCCTTGAGTGAACATGGGTGGTAGCCAGGGAATACTTGCCACAGGCTAGGGGTAGCGGTGGCCATGGAGAGAGACTCCTCTACTTAAAAAGTGTGGAGGGGGCCGGGCTCAGTGGCTCATGCCTGTAATCCCAGCACTTTGGGAGGCCGAGGCGGGTGGATCACGAGGTCAGGAGATTGAGACCATCCTGGCTAACACGGCGAAACGCTGTCTCTACTTAAAAATACAAAAAATTGGCCGGGCTCGGTGGCTCACGCTTGTAATCCCAGCACTTTAGGAGGCCGAGGCGCGTGGATCACGAGGTCAGGAGATCGAGACCATCTTGGCTAACACGGTGAAACCCCGTCTCTACTAAAAATACAAAAAATTAGCCGGGCATGGTGGCGGGCGCCAGTAGTCCCAGCTACTCAGGAGGCTGAGGCAGGAGAATGGTGTGAACCCAGGAGGCGGAGCTTGCAGTGAGCGGAGATCGTGCCACAGCACTCCAGCCTGGGCGACAGAGCAAGACTCCGTCTCAAAACAAATAAATACAAAAAATTAGCCAGGCAATGGTGGCAGGCGCCTGTAGTCCCAGCTACTTGGGAGGCTGAGGCAGGAGAATCCCTTGAACCCAGGAGGCGGAGCTTGCAGTGAGCTGAGATCCAGCCACTGCACTCAAGCCTGGGCGACAGAGCAAGACTCCGTCTCAAAAAAAATAAATAAATAAGGATGGTGGGGGAGGGAAGAGTGGGAAGGACTTTGCTTTGCAGCTTGGGTTCCAGTTCAGCTGCTGTAAAACAGAGCACCAGGTAAATTCCTAAGGTTCCCAACTGCAGGCCCCGGCTCCTAGACAGCATCCCTGGTGATATGGTTTGGGTTTGTGTTCCCACCAAAATCTTGTGTCAAATTGGAATCCCCAATGTTGGAGGTGGGGCCTGACAGTAGGTGATTGGATCATGAGAGCAAATTTCCCCTTTGGTTCTGTTCTCATGATAGTCAGTGAGTTATCACAAGATCTGGTTGTTTGAAAGCATCTCCCCCACCCTCCTCCTGCTCTGGCCATGTAAGAGGTGCCTGCTTCCCCTTTACCTTCTGCCATGATTGTAAGTTTCCTGAGGCCTCCCCAGCCATGCTTCCTGTACAGGCTGAGGAACCGTGAGCCAATTAAATCTCTTTTCTTTATAAATTACCCAGTGTCAGATATTTTTTCATAGCAGTGCAAGAACAAATGAATATACCTGGACCCACCTAGGGCTGGGGGAAACACACTGCCCTGAGGGAAGGATACAAGCCCAGCAGGATTTGCCCCCTGCTGATTGTAGAGTCCTTGGGCCTTGAGTGAACATAGGCGGTACCCAGGTGTTGGTCACCATGGGCCATGGGTGAGACTCAGTGCTGTACTAGCTTCGGGTCTGACCCAGTGCTACAGGGGTGCCTGTTTTATCCTTCCCCCAGCTATAGGCAACACAGCTACAGAGAGAGAGATTCTGTTTGTTTAGAGGAAAGTGAGGGAAGAAAACAAGAGTCTCTTCCTAGTAATCCAGGGAATCCTTCCAGGTCTTACCCAAGACCACCAATGTGGTACCTCTACAAGTTGGCAAAAGCCACAGCATCACTGGGCTTGGAGTGTCCCCTAACGCAGATATGGCTGCAGCAACCAAAGACATAGATCACAACACCTAAATCTATTCAAATACCTGGAAAGCCTTCCCCAGCATGATGGTTAAAAACAAGCCCAGACTGCAAAGACTACAATAAATACCTAACTCTTCAATGCCCAGACACTGACAAACATCTACAAGCATCAAGACCATCCAGGAAAACATGACCTCACCAAATGAACTCAATAAGCTGCCAGAGACCAATCCCGAAGAGACAGATATGTGACCTTTCAACAGAGAATTCAAAATAGCTATTTTGAGTAGCTCAACGAAATCCAAGATAACACCAAGAAGGAATTCAGAATTCTATTAGATAAATGTAACAAAGGGATTGAAGTAATTTAAAAGAATCAAACTGAAATTCTGGAGTTGAAAAATGCAACTGACATGAATGCATCAGTCCCTTAACGGCAAAATTGATCAAGCAGAAGAAAGAATTAGTAAGCTTGAAGACAGTTTATTTGAAAATACAGTCAGAGCAGACAAAAGCAAAAAGCAGAAAAAAAGAATGAAGCACACAAACGAGATCTAGAAAACAGCCTCAAAAAGACAAATCTAAGAGTTATTGGTCCTAAAGAGGAGGCAGAGAGACAGATTGGGAAAGAAAGGGATAATAACAAAGAATTTCCCAAATCTAGAGAAAGTTATCAAAGTTGCAGTACAAGAAGGTTATAGAACACCAAGCAGGTTTAACCAAAATAGGACTACATCAATGTATTTAATAATCAAACTCCCAAAGATCAAGGATAAAGAAAGGATCCTGAAAGCAGCAAGAGAAAAAAAAACAATATACAAAGAAGTTCTAACACATCTAGCTGCAGACTTCTCAGTAGAAACCTTACAGGCCAGGAGGGAGTGTCACAATATATTTAACATGCTGAAGGAGAAAATCTTTTACCCTAGAATAGTATATCCAGTGAGAATATCCTTCAAACTTAAAGGGGAAATAAAGCATTTCCCAGACAAATAAAAGCTGAGGGGTTTCATCAACTTGGGATCTGTCCTACAAGAAATGCTAAAGGGAGTTCCTCAGTTTGAAAGAAAAGCATTTTAATGAGCAATAAGAAATCATCTAAAGGTACAAAACTTATTGGTAATAGTAAGTACCAGAAAAAAAACAGAATATTACAACACTGTAATTGTGGAATGTGAACTACTATATCCTGAGTAGAAACACTAAAAGATGACCCTATCAAAAATGATAGCTACAGTTTTTCAAGTATTCACAATACAGGAAGATAGAAATAACAGGAGGTTAAAAATTGAGGAGATGAAGTTAAATTACAGCATTTTTATCACTTTTCTCTTTGCTTGTTTGTTAGTTTACAAAGTCAGTGTTAAGTTGTCATCAGTTTAAAATAATGGGTTATAAGATATTATTTGCAAGCCTCATCAAAATATCATACAATACATATAATACAATATCATAGCCTCCAATCAAAAACATACAATGGATGCAAACATCAAAATATACTACCAGAGAAAATCACCTTCACTAAAAAGAAGATATTAAGGAAGGAAAGAAGAAAGAGGAGACCAAAAAACACCCAGAAAACAAATAACAAAATGACAGAAGATAAGTCCTTACTTATCAATAATAACATTGACTGTAAATGGGCTAAACTCTCCAATCAAAAGACACAGAGTGGCTGCATAGATTAAAAAAAAAAAAAAAAAAAAGACCTAATGATCTGTTGCCTATCAGAAACACACTTCACCTAAAAGGACACACATAGGCCGGGCGCGGTGGCTCACTCCTGTAATCCCAGCACTTTGGGAGGCTGAGGTGGGAGGATCACAATGTCAGGAGACCGAGACCATCCTGGCTAACACAGTGACACCCCGTCTCTACTGAAAATACAAAAAATTAGCTGGGTTTGGTGGCGGGTGCCTATAGTACCAGCTACTCAGGAGGCTGAGGCAGGAGAATGGCATGAACCCGGGAGGCAGAGCTTGCAGTGAGCTGAGATCAGGCCACTGCACTCCAGCCTGGGCGACAGAGCGAGACTCTGTCTCAAAAAAAAATAAATAAATAAACAAAGTCACAGATAGACTGAAAATAAAAAGATGGAAAATGATATTTCATGCAAACAGAAACCAAAAAAGACCAGGAATAGCTATACTTACATCAGACAAAATAGATTTCAAGACAAACACTATAAAAAGAGACATGCACACACACAAAACTATATAATGATAAAGAGGCCGATTCAGCAAGAGGATATAACAATTGTAAATACATATGCACGAAACACTAGAGCATGCAGATATATAAAGCAAATATTATTAGAGCTAAAGAGAGAGATAGATAGACCCCAGTGCAATAATAGCTGGAGACTTCAGCATACCACTTCCAGCATCAGACAGATCATCCAGACAGAAAATCAACAAAGAAACATTGTACTTAATCTGCACTATAGACCAAATGGATGTAATAGATATTCACATTTCATCCAATGGCTGTAGAATACACTTTCTTCTCCTCAGCACACGGATTATCCTATATATGGATAAACCATATATATGTTATGGATATAGATAGAGATAGATAAGTAGGTAGGTAGATAGATGATAGATGATAGATAGATAGATAGATAGATAGATAGATAGATAGATAGATGAACCATATATATGTTAGGCCGCAAAACCAGTCTTTAAAAATTCAAAAAAATTGAAACAATATTAAGTAACTTCTGTGATCACAATGGAATAAAACTGGAACTCAATAGCAACAGGAATTTTGGAAACTAAAACACATGGAAATTAAACAGTATGCTCCAGAATGACCAGTGGGTCAATGAAGAAATTAAGGAGAAAAGTTAAAAATTTCTTGAAATAAATGAAAATGGAAACCCAACATATCAAAGCCTATAGGATACAATGAAAGCACTAATAACAGAAAAGTTTATAGCAATAAGGACCTCTATGAAAAAGTAGAAAAACTGTAAGTAAACAACCTAATGATGCATCTTTTTTTTTTTTTTTTGAGATGAATTTTTGCTGTCACCCAGGCTGGAGTGCAGTGGCGCAATCTAGGCTCACTGCAAGCTCCGCCTCCCAGGTTCACTCCATTCTCCTGCCTCAACCTCCTGAGTAACTGGGACTACAGGTGCCCGCCACCACGCCCGGCTAATTTTTTTTTTTTGTATTTTTAGCAGAGACGGGGTTTCACTGTGTTAGCCAGGATGGTCTCCATCTCCTGACCTCGTGATCCACCCACCTTGGCCTCCCAAAGTGCTGGGATTACAGGCTTGAGCCACCATACCCAGCCCTAATGATGCATCTTAAAGAACTAGAAAAGCAAGAGCAAACAAAACCCAAAATTAGTAGAAGAAAAGAAATAATAAAGATTAGAGCAGAAATAAATGAAACTGAAATGAAAAAAATACAAAACATCAATGAAATAAAAAGTGGGTTTTTGAAAAGATAAACAAAAATCAACAAACATTTAGCCTAACTAATTAAGAAACAAATAGAAAAGACTCAAACAAATTAAATCAGAGATGAAAAAGGAGACATTACAACTAATGCTGCAGAAATTCAAAGGATCGTTAGAAGCTACTATGAGTAACTACATGCCAATGAATTGGAAAACCTAGAAGAAATGGAAAATTCCTAGACACACACAATCTACCAAGATTGAACCAGGAAGAAATCCAAATCCTGAACAGACCAATAACAAGTAATGAGATCGAAGCCATAATAAAATGTCTCTCAGGAAAGAAAAGCCTATGACCTGATGGCTTCACTGTTGAATTTTTGCAGACATTTAAAGAAGAACTAATACCAATTCTACTCAAACTATTCCAAAAAATAAAAGAAGAAAAAATACTACCAAACTCATTCTATGAGGCTGTTTTTACTCTGATACCAAAACCAAACAAAGACACATCAAGAAAAGAAAACTACAGGTCAATATCCCTGATGAACATTGATACAAAAATCCTCAACAAAACACTTGATACAAAAATCCTCAAAAAAACACTAGCAAACTGAACTCAACAACACATTAAAAAGATCATTCATTATGACCAGGTGGGATGTATCCCTGGAATGCAAGGATGGATCAACATATGCAAATGAATCAGTATGATACATCATATCAACAGAATGAAGGACAAAAACCATATGATCATTTCAACTGATGCTGGAAAAAGCATTTAATAAAATTCACCATCCACTTATGATAAAAACCCACAGAAACCTGAGTACAGAAGAAACAAACTTCAACATAATAAAAGCCACATATGACAGACCCAACCCTAGTATCATGCTAAATGGGGAAAAACTGAAAGTCTTTCCTCTAAGATCAGGAACATGACAAGGATGCCCATTTTCACCACTGTTATTCAATATAGTACTGGCAGTCCTGGCTAGTGCAATCAGAGAAGAGAGATAAAAGGCATCCAGTTTGGAAAGGAAGAATTCAAATAACCTTTCTTTGAAAGTGATATGATCTTATATTTGGAAAAACCTAAAGCAGGTGTCCAATATTTTGTCTTCCCTGGGCCACAATGGAAGAAGAATTGTCTTGGGCCACACATAAAAAACACTAACAGTAGATGAGCTAAAACAAAAAAATTTCAAAAAAATCTCATGTTTTAATAAAAATTACAAATTTGTATTGGGCCATATTGAAAGCTGTCTTTTGAGTCACATGTGGCCCACTGGCTGCAAGTTGGACAAGCTTGAACTAAAGACTCCACAAACACTTTTTAAAAGACATACATGTGGCCAACAATCATATGAAAAAAAGCTCAACATCATTGATCATTAGAAAAATGCAAATCAAAATCACAATGAGATACCATCTAATACCAGTTAGAATGGCTACTATTAAAAAGTCAAAAAACAACAGATGCTGGCAAAGTTGTGGAGAAAAAGAAACATTTATACACTGTTAGTGGGAGTGTAAATTAGTTAAGCAATGGTGAAAGACAGGTTGGCAATTCCTCAAAGACCTAAAGACAGAAATATCATTCCACCCAGCAATCCCATTACTGGGTATATACTCAAAGGAATGTAAGTCATTCTATTATAAAGACACATGCACACATATGTTCATTGCAGCACTATTCACAATAGCAAATGGAATCAACCTAAAGGCCCATCAATAGTAGACTAGATAAAGAAAATGTGGTACATATACAACATGGAATACTATCAGTCATGAAAAAGAATGAGATCATGTCCTTTGCAGGAACATGGATGGAGCTGGAGGCCATTATCCCTAGCAAACTAACACAGGAACAGAAAACCAAATACTGCATGTTCTCACTTATAAGTAGGAGCTAAATAATGAGAACACATGGACACGTAGAGGGGAAGAACACACAGTAGGGCCTTTCAGAGGGTAGAGAGTGGGAGGAGGGAGAGGATCAGGAAAACTAACTAATGGGTACTAGGCTTAATACCTGGATGATGAAAAAATCTGTACAAAAACCTCCACAACACAAGTTTACCTGTGTAATAAGCCTGCACATGTACCCCTGAACTTAAAAGTAAAAAAAAAAAAGACTCCACAAAAAAACTATTAGAACTGATAAACAAATTCAGTATTCAGGATACAAAATCAACATACTAAAATTAGTACCATTTCTATAGGCCAATAGTAAATAATCTGAAAAGGTAATCAAGAAAGTAATCTCATTTACAATAGCTACAAATAAAATAAAATACTGGCCGGGTGCGTTGGCTCAGGCCTGTAATCCCAGCACTTTGGGAGGCCGAGGTGGGCAGATCACTTGAGGTCAGGAGTTCAAAACCAGCCTGACCAATATGATGAAACCCCATCTCTACTAAAAATACAAAAATTAGCCAGGCATGGTGGCATGCACCTGTAATCTCAGCTACTAGGGAGTGTGAGAGAGGAGAATCGTTTGAACCTGGGAGGCGGAGGTTGTGGTGAGCTGAGATCCCACCATTACACTCCAGCCTGGGCAACAAGAGCGAAACTCCGTCTCAAAAAAAAAAAAAAAAAAGAAACACCTAGGAATTAACCAAAGAAATGAAAGATCTCTACAACGTAAAAGATTGATGAAAGAAATTGAAGAAGACATAAAAAAATGGAAAGATGTTCCACGTTCATGGATTAGAAGAATCAATAAGTTTAAATGTCCATACTATCCAAAGCACTCCACAGATATAATGCAATCCCTATCAGAATACCAATGACATTTTTCACAGAAATAGAAGAAAACAATCAAAAAATTTATATGGAATCACAAAAGACCCACAATAGACAAACCTATACTAAGAAAAATGAATGAAACTGGAGGAATCAAATTACTTGACTTCAAATTATACTACACAGCTATAGTAACTAAAACAACATGGTACTGGCAAACAAGATCCCCAAAAATGTCTTCTTTAGGAAGTAACTTCTGCCTGCCCAGAGCACTGGCTATGGGAAGTCAAGGCCTCAAAGATCTTGATGCTGAGCATAACCATACTCATTTTAGCCTGGATTAAAAAAAAAAAAATCAGTAAAGGATCAATGAAACTTATTTTCTTTATCTCTGTAACACAAGGGATAAATGCTTGAGGTGATGAATACCCCATATACTCTGATGTGATTATTATGCATTGTATGCCTGTATCAAAATATTTCATGTGCCCCATAAATATATACACCTACCATGTACCTACAAAAATTAAAACTAAAACTAAAACTAAAATTTTACAAAATTCTCCCTGAGGAGGCTGAGCATGAGCCCAGGAGTTCAAGACTAGCCTGGGCATCATGGCAAAACTCTGTCTCTATTTTTTATTTATTTATTTATTTATTTATTTATTTATTTATTTTATTTTTTTTTTTTGAGACGGAGTCTCGCTCTGTCGCCCAGGCCGGACTGCGGACTGCAGTGGCGCAATCTCGGCTCACTGCAAGCTCCGCTTCCCGGGTTCACGCCATTCTCCTGCCTCAGCCTCCCGAGTAGCTGGGACTACAGGCGCCCGCCACCGCGCCTGGCTAATTTTTTGTATTTTTAGTAGAGACGGGGTTTCACCTTGTTAGCCAGGATGGTCTCGATCTCCTGACCTCATGATCCACCCGCCTCGGCCTCCCAAAGTGCTGGGATTACAGGCGTGAGCCGCCGCGCCCGGCCTCTATTTTTTATTAAAAAAAAAAAAAAAAATTCTGCCTGAGGACCAGAGGCCAGCCAGTGCGTGCTATAGAAATGAATGTTGACCATTACTTCTGCTTGGGGCTTCTAAACCTAGGCTGAATACAAGCTGTGCAATTGAACATATACTTAGTTTCACTTTTTGGAAACAGAGCTTAAAATATATATACAAGGGGTAGCATAAGAGGAGTTACATTGCACTCCTTGGTAAACAACAGGAAGCACAAGAGATACAATTCCATTGTCCCACTAAATGCTAAGGGTCACACAGAGCTTTACTTCCTAAATGACGTAAAACAATCTAATGAAAAGTGTATTCAACCATAGTTTTTCAAAAGAGGAAAAGTGTTCTCCAAAAAGTCACTTTTACATATAATCCTTTATAAAAGATGGGCCGGGCATAGTGGCTCACATCTGTAATCCCAGCACTTTGGGAGGCCAAGGCGGGTGGATCACCTGAGGTTAGGAGTTCAAGACCAGCCTGGCCAACACTGTGAAACCCCATCTCTACTAAAAATACAAAAATTAGCTGGTGTTGGGCACCTGTAGTCCCAGCTACTCAAGAGGCTGAGACAGGAGAATTGCTTGAACCCAGGAGGCGGAGGTTGCAGTAAGCCAAGATTGCGCCATTGCACTCCAGCCTAGGTGGCAGAGTAAGACTCCGTCTCAAAAATAAGTAAATGAAACAAAAGATGATGGAGTGGTGTGAAACTGCAATTCTGCAAGGACACTTCTAGAGGAGGGAAGGTAATGTAGTACATGTATACATATTCTTAATCATGTGGCTTGATACAAGTCTGAACATTTAAAAATCTAGAGTAATGAATTATTATGCACATTAAGTTATCTTTCTTATCTCTCTGCATCAGCCAGGCCTTTACAAGTAGCTATGCTGTCATTTATAGTGGTTGAAGTTATATGGGGAGCCTAGAATGTAGTTTTTCTGTGTTGTTGATAAAATGGAGAGCTTCGTGTTTTAGATAACTGGTATGTAGGTGGCAATGATCTGTTTCAAAAATCAAAGCTTCTTGTCTAAAAAGAGAGCCTACCCATAATCTTCAGGGAGGTAGATGGTCAAACCAAAATTTCTCTTTGAAAACAGTTTTGAATATAGTGAAAACTTTAAACAAGAACATAAAACCCCATAGTTCTACAACATAAAGCAGGCAAACTATAGCTCATTAATTAACCAAATTCCCTTGCCACCTGTTTTTGTAAATAAAGTTTTATTGAAATGCAGCTATCCCCCTTAGCTTATACACTGTCCATTCATAGACATTACATCACAATGGAGAGTTGAATAGTTACAACAGAGAACATTTGGCCCACAAAACCTAAAATATTTACTATCTGGCCCTTTACAGAAAAAGTTTGCCAACCCCTGCCAGACAGCAGAGAGATCATCCAATTCTGAAGGGGTTTGAGGGCCGTAGTTACTTCCCCATCATCAATTTTCACTATAAAGTCATTTAATATAGCCTTTGTCAACTTTTTTATTTTAAGCGTTGCAACATTGTTATGGGCTCCCACTATGAATTAGATGCAAAATTCACATCCAGAAAAGCTAAGTGAATTACTCTTCAGATGGTGATTTCAGTGGAATAAAAACAGAGACTGTGCTTCATCCAACCACTAGTTTCCATCTAATTTGAATCAATAATTTAATGATACTTTTCTATAATTTTGACTCATTTCTTTCTGTTCTAGAGAATAGAAAAATAGATATTCTCTTATAAGGAGACACCAAATTAATTGGCATGAACAGCAAGTGGCTGCAGGTCAAGCTTGCCCTGACCAATGCCAAAAAAGACAACAAATGGATAGTTTTAAAACCAAAGGCATCTTTTGGGTAGGCATCCCCTTCCGCATACCTGATTTATAGTTAATCAGCCTGTGCACCTAGTTAGTCATCAGTTGTATAAATATAAATTTGGTGGCTAGTATACTAGCCAGTATATCAGACAGTTATGTTTCTCAAAAATGAAAGTTTCACTGATCCTTTTTTTAAAAAAATAATTCAGGCTAAAATGAGTATGGTCGTGCTCAGTGTTAAAATCTTTGAGATCTTTATGTTCCATAGCCAGTGCTCTGGGCAGACAGAAATTACTTCCTAAAGAGGACATTGTGGTCAGGCACATCGGCTCACGCCTGTAATCCCACCACTTTGGGAAGCCAAGGTGGGCAGATCACTTGAGGCCAGGAGTTCGAGACCAGCCTGGACAACATGGCGAGACCCCATCACTACTAAAAACACAAAAATTAGCTGGGCATGGTGGTGCACACCTGTAGTCCCAGCTACTCAGGAGGCTGAGGCAGGAGAATGGCTTGAACCCAGGAGGTGGATGTTGCAGTGAGCCAAGATCGTGCCACTGCACTCCAGCTTGGGTTACAGAGTGAGACCCTATCTCAAAAAAGGAGATTGCAGGTGACCTTGACTTACAGACTTTTCTGTATTAATAGCAAGAAAGCTTAGAGACACTCTCCCGGCCAGCCTCAGTGGGCACACAAGCCCTTACAAAGCACAATGAGTCTAACTCACTCCTGCTGTCACTTAATTTTCTGCATCTTATTTTCCTGGTGTCCTACTTTCCTCACCCACTTATTTTTCACTTCATTTTATCTTGTGTGGTATTAATAGGTAATCCACCTTAAATCCTTTCTGGAACAAGGCAGGGTATAAGTAAACAAGTAGAAGTGAACTGGCCTGTTGAATAGAGTTATTTAGTATTGTCCATCTGAACACTAAAAGAAAAAATCTACCAAAAACAACTATTTTGTTTTGGCATGGTAGCTTCTGAGGTTTTCTTTCAAGTAAAATTGCTCCACAGGTTCAGGGGCTTCTTGTTGCTCCCGCAGGCCCGTAATATTAGGACTCTACAGCTAGAGAGAGGAAGATGTTCATCTCTGCTGTGGCAGGAAAATGGGCGAACCAATCCCATTGCAGCTGCAACAGATGAGATACAGAGTATAAAGATTGCTGCATACATCCTCTCTTCAGTCTCTCTTGGGGGACTGAGGGTAGAGGAGAATGGGGGTCTTAGGAATTAGCATTTGAATAGTGCTCTACAGTTTGCAAAGAAGTTTTTTGTTTTGTTTTGAGACGGAGCCTTGCTCTGTTGCCCAAGCTGGAGTGCAGTGGCATGATCTTGGCTCACCGCAACCTCTGCCTCCCGGGTTCAAGTGATTCACCTGCCTCAGCCTCCCGAGTAGCTGGGACTAAAGGCACCCGCCACCATGCCCAGCTTATTTTTATATTTTTAGTAGAGATGGGGTTTCACTATGTTGGCCAGGCTGGTCTCGAACTCCCGACATTATGATCTGCCCTCCTCGGCCTCCCAAAGTGCTGGGATTACAGGCGTGAGCCACTGCCCAGCCTGCAAAGAAGTTTATATACATGGCTTCTTAATCCTTACAATACCATGTTAATTTGGTTTATGACATTTATAATAGTTTACATTTGAGGGAACTGGAACTTCCAGAAGGCAAGTAAAGTGAGCAGAGGAACCAGGATTGAAACCTAGTATATGAGGCCACAGCATACACGCTTTATTTCTCTGTGCTTTCCCTAGCCTTTCAACCTATTTCTAATCATTTGATCCAGCTATTATAAAGTCTAGAAGCCTGCGATATGATGGGTCATCATAAAAGGCTTTGGAGTGACACCCGAGGCTAAACATCAGATTTTTCATTTTCTATAAGTTACTTTAGGTCACTGCATTAGTTTCCTAAGGCTGCTGTAACAAATTGCCACAAACTGAGTAGCTTAGAACAACAGAAATTTATTCTCTCACAGTTCTGGAGGCCAGTCAAGCCTGAAATCAAAGTGTCGGCAGGGACACACGCCCTCCAAAGGCTTTAGGGGAAAACCCCTTCCTTGCCTCTTCGACTTCTGGTGGCTGTGGATACTCCTTGGCATGTGGCTGCATCACTCCAATCTCTGCTTCCATAGTCACATCGCCTCTTCCTTTTCGCTATGTCTTTCTCGGTGCATCTTTCTTATAAGAATATGTGTGATTGCATTTAGGACCTCTTTAGGATAAGCTCCTCTTCTCAAGATCTGTAACTTAATCACATCTTTTTTTGCCATATATGTTAATAGTCACAGGTTCTAGGGACTGGAATATGGATATATCTTTTGGGGGACACCTTCAACCCACTAAAGTCACTGAGCTTCAGTTATGCCCCACCTTCCATAAAAATTAGAATTTCATTACTTAAAATAATCTAAATAAACCAGGTGCATTGATTCACACCTGTAATCCAAGGACTTTGGGAGATTGATGTGGGAGGATCACTTGAGCTCAGGAGTTCGAGACCAGCCTGGGCAACACAGTGAGACCCTGTCTCTACAAAAAAGTCAAAAAAATTAGCCAGGTGTGGTGGTGTGCACCTGTAGTCCCACCTACTCGGGAGGCTGAGGTGAGAGGATCCGCTTGAGCTTGGAATTCAAAGCTGCAGTGAGCTGAGACTGTGACACTGCCCTCCAGCCTGGGTGACTGAGCAAGACCTTGTCTCGAAAACAAAAGATAATCTCAATAAAAGTGCCTACATATAAGAGTGCTCAATAAAAAGGTTTTATCCCCTTTTTCTCATCAAGAGAGCTTCTAGTACAATCACACTGCTTTTAAAATTATTTTCCTCATTTGTTCCATTGGGATAATTCCCAAATATATATTCACATTCTCCCTCTTTCCTTTTCTCAAGCTGTATTCACGGTCAGGACAAAAGGCAGTAAAGTTTTCTAATTCTATTTTATTATGAACTAGGAAAGTGCCTCTCAAAGTATCTGTGGTAAGGGATCAGTTTTAGTTTCATATAATAAAATAAAAATGTTGTGGTGATAAAAATCACTGTAAAAGTTTCCAATACTTACTTTCATCTTGATGCAGACCAATAAGAATTTGTGGAACTATCCTGTCCAAGAACTTCATTTCAAGGAGTACAAGCAGGACCACATACATGACCTTCTATAGTCTAGGCTCCAAGACTTTGGTTACTCCCTCGTTATTACCCCTCAGAATCTCCATATTGACATTCAACTCTCTTGTATGCTCTCTTATTTATAGAGATTTAAAATGTCAACATTAAAAGTTAGGCATTTACCAAATACTTTAATTTGAGCAAAATTAACTTTTTCAAAGATAATCAAATTCTCCCCTTACTGCCAAGGGTTACTCGTACCAAGATGTAACACCAAAAACACAATATCCATTTCCTCCCTCCTCCACCATGGTCTTGAGGTGTATATAGCAGTATAACTAATTTCTCATTTGCTTTATTTGCTTTACCTTTTTTTGCTTTGTCTCCACCTTGATATATATCTTAGTTATACATGGCACTAATCTCGTTTCTCCTATAGAATAAGTTTTTGAATAAAGTATGTCTTTCTCTTAATTTTTTTTTTTTTTTTTTTTTTGGAGATAGAGTCTTGCTCTGTCGCCCAGGCTGGAGTGCAGTGGCATTATCTTGGCTCACTGCAACCTCTGCCTCCCAGGTTCAAGCAATTCTCCTGCCTCAGCCTCCCAAGTAGCTGGGATTACAGGTGCCCGCCACCACGCCCAGCTAATTTTTGCATTTTTTAGTAGAGATGGGGTTTCACCATGTTGGACAGGCTGGTCTCAAACTCCCCTCAGGTGATCTGCCCACCTTGGCCTCCCAAAGTGCTGGGATTACAGATGTGAGCCACCGTGCCTGGCCTCTCTTAATATTTTTTTAGGCTGAATTTTATCCCATTCAGTCTTAGTGCTCTCAATAACATTATATTTACTTTTTGCTTTAAAACTTTGAGCTCATTTTGTCACCTCCTTTCTGTTGACATAAGATAGCTTCCTAAAGACATAAAGATTATTCTAAGCGAAATTCTCTGTTATTTGTCGAATGAAGGAAAGAATGATCATTACCAGGGACCACTTTCACTGTACAAATTCTTTTTCTGTCATGCTCACTGTCCTTGTTACCTAGCTGGTAGTTGGTCTTGATTTTTCTCCCTCCCCTTTATCCATTCATCCTTGTTAAATATGCTCTCCACTTTGATCTGTTGCCCTTTCCATCTTCAGTAGTACATCTTTCTGATGTTGCTGTCATGATCCAGAAGACGAATTCTTTCCTTTAGATGCCTTCTACGTAACCAGCTATTACCCTCCTTTCTCCTTTCCTTTCCAGTCACGACTACAAATTGGAAGCAAAAAAAACAAAACAAAACAAAATCCCAACCATCTCCCAGCTTTTTTCATTTTTCTACCTAATCCTAGAGATGCACTGCAAATCCTTATGACTGTAGCATTTGTTTCTCATGAACCATCAGAGTAGTGGAGACAGGGGAGTTTGGTAAGTCTTGGCAGGCTCTCTATGCTATCCAGAGGCACATCCTCAGATCTCCAAGAAGACAGCACTCAGACTGATGACCACACTAGGTTTGTAGACAGGCCCCTTCACCCAGCCAGCAGAGAGCTACAAATCATTAGGAAATGTGTTTTTAGTTGATTGAGACGATACAGTTCCATCATTTAAATGCTTAGGAATCTCTTCGAATCTCTTGGAGGCTGGAATAATGCCTTCTCTTGAGTATGTCTGAAATCACTGTTCAAGAGAAGGGCCTCCATGCCCCCTAATTTCCTCTTGCTCATCCCCAGCTGTGTCACAAAGGGACCTTTTCTTCCTCCCTATACACCCTAGGTATTTAACTTGCTTTAAGAAAAAAAAAAAGCTGTCCCCTCCTACTCTATAACCCATGATTTGTTTCTCTTCAAGGTAGGCTCTCCCCAGGGTAGACTGCAATGTATAATATGATTCTCCAACCTCCTCCCTTTCTTGTTATAACCCAGAATAAGCACACAGGTTCTTCCATTTTTAAAGATAGTATGGAAAAGTAGATGGAGATAATGACAATAAACATGAAAAAGTTACCCCCCAAAAAATCAAGTAATTGAAGAGTTATCCTAGTTATGTTCTTTGGTATGTAATTACTGACTCCCTTTTTATCTAGGATACTCAGAGTGAAGTCTTACCAATTTTTAATATCTTCTACAACCTATGTTATAATATTTGTTCCTGGTGTGGGGCTTTCCAACTTGATCAATATGGCATTCCTATGGGAACCTTATTTGGGGACAAAGATGATAAATAGCTAAAGATTTATTTTCTGCACTTCAGGATATCCTACTCTGAATTTGCAGGTACGTCCTAACTCTTCTTGAGTCTAGCCCAGTCTTCTAATCCTTCAAGTTCTTCTTTGTGTCTGTTTTATTACCCCAGAGGGAAAAGGGCCTTACTAATTTGCTCCCTGAGGACTCTTCCCCAGTATGCCTGTCTTCCCTGACCAGTAGTCCTGTTGTTCCCCATTCTGTGAAATCTGCCCTATGCAGTGCTGGCAGCAAACTCACCAACCAGGTGAGGTGAGTTCTACTTATAGCCAATGTTTGTTTTGTCACCGTCTGTTCTGAGACACCGTCTGGGTGCAGTTTCACTGGTCTTATTTATCCCTGATGATTCTCATCATTTTACTAGCAGCTAAGACCAGCTGCTTAATTTGCAGGCCAGTGCAAAATGAAAACGTGATAGCCCCTTATTCAAAGAGTGTTAAAATTTTCCAGACAGCGGCAGGGCTCGGTGGCTCACGCCTGTAATCTCAGCACTTTGGGAGGCCAAGGAGGGCGGATCACCCTGAAGTCAGGAGCCTGGCCAACATGGCGAAACCCCGTCTCTACTAAAAATACAAAAATTAGTTGGGCATGGTAGCGTGCCTGTAATCCCAGCTACTCAGGAGGCTGAGGCAGGAGAATCACTTGAACCCAGGAGGCGGAGGTTGCAGTGAGCTGAGATCGTGCCACTGAACTCCAGCCTGGGCGACAGAGCAAGACTCGATCTCAAAAAAAAAAAAAAAAGTCCAGACAGCAAGAGTACAGCATTAAACAAAGTACAGAGTGTATGTGACTGCTCAAGTTTGCACTCCCACAAAGTCGGCCTTACTAGAAGCATATCTTTTTGGAATCCTGTTCTAATAGTCTTCAACCTTGTGTGATCTTCTTTGCCTCAGGGTACTCTCTTTGGCAAACGTCACCATAATCATGTTTCAGATTGAATGAATTTGCAGTAAGAAAGGTTGACCTCTCTTTGACTAGTTAATCATCTAGCCCTATTCAGGTCAAGTTGTTGGTTCTGCTACCCCCTAAATTCTCAGAGATGACTCACAGTGTGTTTCATTCTCAGGAGAAAGATCCTTGTAGAATTAACCGTCTTTAATATGAAAGTAATTTTAGTCGTTCAACAATCAAGGTGTTGACAGCTGGAGAAGCATGTATCCCAGAATATGAGCCTGCATGTTTCACAATTATAGTGGAGTTGGAACCACTCCCACACAACCATGAAACTGTTCTGATCATGGGGTTGAGATCGTCTAACTCTCAAGGCCCTATGGAAAGATCACAAACTGAAGATCATAGGAAAGCTCAGGCTGATTCAAGATTGTGTTACTATACCTGATACAACAGTGCCAGTACATGCTTCATCCTCCCTCACCTCAAATTCTTCACCATTGGCTGAAATTCTGGAATGCCCCTCCAAGCTGCCCATTACTCTTGGACAACACAATGAGGAGGAGGAAAAGACACTCTGCTCATCCTAGAAATTCCTGAAGAGACAGGTTATCCAAAGGCAATGACCTTTCCCACCTCTCATTGACAGACCATTGGAAGGGATAATATTCTCAGTGAAATTTGCCTGTCTACATAGGCAGTAATGGTGGATATCAAATTAGCCTTTTCACCCTTTGAAGGCAATAGGTTATCATGGAAAAGAGTATGGATTTGGAGTAATATAGACCTTCCTAGGCTGCTAGCTGTTACATTTTTGACATTGGTTGGGTCACCTAACCCCCCTAGACCTTTATTTCTTCATCTGTGAAATGGGGATAATGATACCCATCCTACAGGGCTGCAAGGAGAATATACTGGGATCCTGGCACATAGGTAGCTCTTAACAAATGCAGTTCTCTTCCCCATTAATTCCTTACTCGAATGCCGTATATAAAATTACAATGTGGTGCACCATTAAAATTGTTACTCTAACACAGAAAATGAGTAATTATTTAAATTCTTATTTAGATTCCAAATATTCTAGTTAAACTCCAGTGCAGCTAGCTCCAGAAGTTAAGTCCACCAGAGAGTAAGTTTGGGGCTCTTCCTGATCAACACAAGTTTTTTTGTTTTTTGTTTGTTTGTTTGTTTGTTTTGGGATGGAGTCTCTCTGTCACCCAGGCTGGAGTGCAATGGCACGATCACAGCTCACTGCAACCTCTGCTTCTCAGGTTCAAGTAACTCTCCTGCCTCAGCCTCCCAAGTAGCAGGGATTACAGGTGCATGCCACCACACCCAGCTAATTTTTGTATTTTTAGTAGAGACAGGGTTTTCCTATGTTGGCCAGGCTGGTCTCAAACTCCTGACCTCAAGCTATCCACCCACCTCGGCCTCCCAAAGTGCTAGGATTACAGGCATGAGCCACCACAACTGGCCTTCAACACAAGCTTTTGAAGCGACTTTTATACATGAAGGAGAATGAAGCTCTCTTCCGTATGATATTAAGAATGTGGGTTTGTTACGATAAATACTTACTAGGGCCCTCCAAATCAAGTATTCTATTTATTCCTAGAATTATCAATAAATGAATTTATACTATTCGTTCAACCACGTATATACTACATTAAGAACAGCAGAGGAAAAAACAACATCTTATCAACCTATTGTGTGAACACCCAAATAATACTTAATGTTTTGGGATACACTTGTAAACTTTTCCTGGCAATGTGACTGCAAAGGTCCTTCCCAAAATGGTCTAATTTATCTGTGCAGTTCCAAGAATAAAAGGTTTTGGCTAGAATATAAGCTTTTAAGACTTCCTCAAAACAAAATCCTATAGCCCAAACCCAGCAAAATAAAATTCCTGAAGTAGTAAGAGTTTTCCATAGATCACAGCAAACCAATCATGCATAGAAGAGCTGACACAGCCAAAGACTTGCTAAGGAAAGGAAGAGAGACAAGAGGGGGACTTAAGAAAGAAAAGAAAGGAAGGAAACTTACTTTCTCCTTTCTGGTATATTTAATTTTTATGAAAAATTTTCAAACTGCTCAACCCTAGGTGAAGATTCAATCAGATAATTAACTTTGAAAAGCTTTTCCAATCCTGGACAGTAATGGAGTTGGGCAAGATGGTGTTTGTTTGGGGACCCCACTGGGAAATAATAAATTATTGGTGATTAGTGGCACTTTATATGCTGTTGGCCATTAACATTTTTTATTCTTGAGTCACAACGGAAGCTACAGCTTGAATTTTATTGTTCAGTTTGCTTTTTTCTTTCCTGGGTGAGCCAGCATTGGATTTAGGAGTTGAAAGTTTATAGAGTCAGCAGGACCCCAAGGGACAGAGCTAAGCCGAGCCAATGAGGATAATGCCCAAGATTATCTATCCTCCATGGAAATGCAGGATTCAGAAAGAAAAAGAAAGTAGAGCGATTATAAAGAATGACAGCCTGTAACTTCAACAAAATTTCTTGGCTAGCTTGATAAGTCTTCTTTTTTAAAAATAAACAAACAGAAAGTTTCCTGGTTGACAGTTGCTTAAACTCTTCCTTTTTCCACTTTTGGCACACTGTTGAAAGAACAAACTGGTGACTTCCCATAGGACTGCAAGAATGAATCTTCAGAAGCTGCAGCAGCTCTAACTGTTAGAAACAGAAGGTGGAGAGTTAAGGCGCTTCAGGGGGTAGGAAGGAGATTTTTGCTCAGCAAATGATAGGTTTTGTTGGTGTTGACATTTTTTCTTTTTCCCTCTGTGTCCTTAAAGAAGTCCTCTAACTTGGGCCTTGGGCCTCACCTAAACAATATTTTTGTGATGTTTTCAAGCACATTTTCATTACACTTTAAAAAACCATACTTGTCATTTTTCCCAGCCTTCACAGTGACTGAAAATAGAGCAAAATACAAGATTTTTACGGTAACAGTTGATCATACTGAAATCTAATATGGTTATTGCTTATTCCGTACATGCTTTTCTTTAGCCTTAGTTTCTCCTCTGTAAAAGGGAGAGCACTTCTAGGTTCATGAAGGCATCAGGTACAAAGTATGAGATTTACACAGACCAAGACCGAATATCTTTCAGGAATCTGAAACAAAAGCAAAAATAGTAAACAAACAAAAAATAACTCCAGGGAGTATTTGATTATAGTCCCTTGTTTCACCTACTGCAGCTGCTGCGATAAAGGAGATTCTGTACCTCCAGGCCCAGAAGTGGAGTTGTACCTTCTCCCCTTGAGTAGTTCTACTTAAAGCTTGGGTAGATTCCTCTCTATTTTTCTCTGTGTCCCAATTTCCTGTAAACAATAAAACTGTAAAACAAAGAGTAATATAAGATCTGAATCTTCCTGCTGGGGACTTGATGAAGATGAATTAGGCACTGACAGTCAGGAAAAGATGGAAGGCTCTGCATGACAGAGGGCAAACTAATTCAAAATGAAAATCATCAATTTGACTGTGTTCACATGTTACTTAAAAATCAATGAAGAAACAAAGTGAAGGAACCCTGAAGCCATTTTAGCACCCCCGCTTTTGCACTCAACTCTAACTTAGCAGCCTTGAAATATCTTGGCTCTGAAAACCCAGTCAATCATCATTAATAATGATATTTTTATAGCACTTTAAAAATTGGAATTTCCAGAGCCACTTTGATAGATGCCTTGTCACTACCTTGCCATTTGCGTAATTTTTTCTGGGCTGCTTTTCCCCCCCTTCTTCCATTAAAAGAATGTTTTAACAGAAAAAGAAGGAGAAATTTATTTTGATTGAAAAATTCATAAGAGATGACACAGTTTGCCCTGTGCTATGAATTCCTTATAATAAGGAAAGTATTTAGTGATTTGTACAAGGACTTTCGACTTTAATGATTCTAGAACTTGAGTTTACTTAAGGAGTTAAAACAAATGCCTGCCTGTTGCCTTCAGTTGTGGAATAAGAGTTCACTGAGTTTGCACAAAGATGGAAAAGATTAGAAGCAAAGGCTGGGTTGTTTTCTCTAATATGCAAGCATCTCAAGCAACTTACCTCTTTGTTATCTCACTACAAACCACAGAAATTACTTGCTACCTTTAACGTGTCCTTCTCATAGAGCTCAGAAATAGTCCTTCCAAAGATTTCAATTCATTATGTTGTAAATAAAGTAGTTGAAATTTCCTTGGCTTCTGGCTGTATTTATCTGTCTATCGGTCTCTCTCTCTCTCTCTCTCACTGTCTCATACACAGGCACAGATACAGACACACACGCACACACAACTGAGTATTCCTGGCCTTTGAAAATGCAGATGAAATTTCTTATTTCTCTTGTAACTTCCACAAAACCATGCAAGCTTATGAGATTCCTTGGCAAACTCCAACTTTGAAAGGGAACGCTAACAATTCATGTTTAACCTCTGAGCCAAAGAAAGCCTGAATTTTTCAAAAGTTTGTGTTTGTTTGGTTTTGTTCTTTTGTTTTTCTTTTTCTTGTAGCCTCTTTTCTTCTTCCCCTTCCAAAAGACTGCACAGTAATTTTTAGCACCATTGGGGGCCTAATACTGGTGGTGAAAAAGCAAGTTCCTGTCCTGGTGTTGAACTAAAAAGAAATAAATGTCTTAGACATATCAAGTTTCTTTGTCAAGCAAACAAAAATAAAGGGATCTAGTTTACTGGAATAGTTGCAGTGCTCATTAAAATTGATGACTTCGAAGATTCTGTGCCTCCTTCCTTTAACCAGGGCCATCAGCCAAGAATCTGCTGTGCTATTAAAGACATCATATTATTGGGGTGTCGTAAAACTGGCCACTGTTGTTGCCTACACTCACCCTTCGGGTTACAGAGTGACTGCAAGAGAGATTTGGGGTGACTAGAGGCCAATGGACCTAGCCATTTGGCCAAGGGGCGTCAATGGTATGGGACCTAAGATGCAGCCTGGTATTTTCTATCCATAAACATCAAGTTTGAAAAAGAAAGAAAGGAGCTGGATTAGCATGGGGTGGAGTTCAGTTTTTCTTAGAAATGTGCGACTCTGCAAAAGTGTGCCTTTATTTTTGGCACAAATTGCTATAGCAAATTACATAGCTTATCAGATGTGGTTTTTTGGGCTCAGTGGAGAAACCACTGCAGGGACTTGTCTTTGTTCTTCATTCCCAGTTGGGAATTTGGGATAAATCAGTGTCCTGTTATAATTCAGGAACAAACTTGAATAATAAGTGCTAACAATATTTGTGATGCAATTAAACTCACATTACTCTAACTTAACAAAGTAGACCTTAGTCTTAAAGAGATTTCCATTCTCCCTAAGAGATGTGAGATATAACATTTGGGCCAGGCGCAGTGGCTCACGCCTGTAATCCCAGCACTACGGGAGGCCAAGACGGGCAGATCACGAGGTCAGAAGATCGAGACCATCTTGGCTAACACGGTGAAACCCCGTCTCTACTAAAAATACAAAAAATCAGCCGGGCGTGGTGGTGGGCCCCTGTAGTCCCAGCTACTCGGGAGGCTGAGGCAGGAGAATGGCGTGAACCCAGGAGGTGGAGATTGCAGCGAGCTGAGATCGCGCCACCGCACTCCAGCCTGGGTGACAGAGCGAGACTGGTCTCAAAAAAAAAAAAAAAAAAAAAAGAAAAAGAAAAGAAAAGAAAGAAAACATTTGAATCTCCATGTCACAGATTAGCAAAGGTAAACCTTGGGGGCATTGAAGGAGGCAGAACAAGGCAGGCAGCCAATTCCAGTGAATAAGGAGTTTCAGAGAGAACATTCTCATCACTTCTGACCAACTCCTTCCCTTATTTTTTGGCCAGGTATGTGGATTCCCCCGCATCTGGCAGGGAAACCCAAACAGAACGTCACTTATGATATATTGATTATTTCTATTTATCTCATTGCTGAAAATGGCTAAGGATAGATTAGAACCATAATTTTATAAACAGAAATTTCTCACTAGTTAAAAGTACCACAGAGCATTCATGTGTTCCTCAAGTTGTTCATTCATTTATGCAATAGTAAAGCACTTTAGGGAATGCAAAAGAAGTAGAAAACAAGACTCAAGGAGGCAAATTTATTAAGAGTTGAATGCTTAAAACACCACACCTCATCTAGGAGTACAGTTACACCACTCTGGAGACTGAAGACAGAGGAGAAAAGTCAATGTTGGGAGGAAGTGGGTGATGAGGGTAGATGAATCTTAACTGGAAACTTCAACAGCACAATGATTTCAAGTTGTTGTTGTTTTGCCTTGGACCCCTTTCCTCAAATGAAATTTTAAGGAAATCCAGTGCAGAGGGTTCTAAGACCTGAGCCTACCTCCCAACACTCTCTACCTCCCCTATTCTTCCCCTGTCATCCCCCACTCTCCAAGTGTTGAGGGCTTGAAAACCACTGAAATATGCAAGGTGAGGGGTACAGAAGAGAAGAACTGCAGCACTCTGAGTGTAGGGAACAGCATGTGTAATTCTGAATAGGAGGTGGTGATAGATTTTCTATTAGCACAATGAACACACCTAGGCACAGTAATATGCTGAAGTAAATTCAGTGGATTATTGGGGATCACTGGAGATTAAGTTGAGGAGTGATGTGAAAAAAATGAACATTTAAGAATATTAACATGACAGCCGTGTGCTGATGATCTACAATAGACAGAGTCCAGTGAGGATCTAATTAGAGTAATTCATGCTAATTGGAGGGCAGAAATAGAGGGCCCTCCAATAGAGCTGCAGCTATAAAAATGGGGGTGCAGCCAATAGGTCTTAGTGATTGAGGGAGTTGGGGATTTAAAGGAAATGCAGTCTAAAAAGTTTTTCTTTTATTTCTTATTGATTGATTGATTGATTTTTTGAGACAGAGTTTCACTCTTGTCACCCAGGCTGGAGTGCAGTGGCATGATCTTGGCTCACTGCATCCTCTGCCTCCCGGGTTCAAGTGATTCTCCTGCCTTAGCCTCCCAAGTAGCTGGGATTATAGGCGCCTGCCATCATGCCCAGCTAATTTTTTGTATTTTTAGTAGAGACGGTGTTTCACCATGTTGGGCAGGCCGGTCTCGAACTCCTGACCTCAGGTGATCCACCCACCTCGGCCTCCCAAAGTGCTGGGATTACAGGTATGAGCCACCTTGCCCGGCATTTTTTTTTTTTTTTTTTTGATCAGGCTATGTGAAGTCTTTATATTGTACATTTGTAGGAATTTGTAATTTTTCTCATGACCATTATCTCTATTATAAATATTTGTGTGATCATTTTACTAATACCTTTCTACCCCTATACTATAAAGTTCCATGACATCAGGGCTCTGCCTGTTTTGTCACCATCGTATCACTAGAACTTAGCATAATAGGTTTATAATAGACAAATACTAGTGAAATTTAAAAACTCAGTAAATGATGGTGTCATCGATATTGCAAAAGAAAAGTAGATGAGTTTGATTTTTATCAGTTTCTTAGATGAGGAAAATAGATCTAAGTGCAAATTCTCACCCTTGCATAAGACTTAGGGATGAAGAGTAGTTGGAATGTCAGTGCCGGGTGTGAAAACTAGGCCATCAACAGCAACTGAAGCCATGAGAATGAATTAGTTCACCCGAGAGGGTGCATTTAAAGACGGAAGAGCACAGTGAGCTGAGGATTCTCATGCAAAAGTCAAATGGAGAACCAGAACAGTCAAAAAAGTAAAGAATACTTCTCTGAGGGTAAATTTGGAATGGTTTGCCATACACCCACACTTTGAGACATTTATAAACTGTAACAGGAAGAAATCCTCTTTCAAAAAAAGTTTAAAACATTAGGGATTTTGGAAGTCGAAATAAAATGTACACTTAATCAAGAGGAGTACAACTCATGTTTAAGTTCCTATCAGAATTCTTCTTCATTTTTATAAAATATGGTTAATCACCGTACCCCAAATGCGAATAGTGCCCTGTTGGAAAACACTGACCATGACACAGAGATTTTTCTTTCCTTGTCTTTCTTCTCTTTCTTCTTGTTCTCTTCTATATCCCACTTTCCTTTAGTAGCAACACATAAAACATCTCTTTCCTAGAATTATAGAAACCACATGAAATTCCATAATCTTATTTGCTGATCTAATTTTTATAGCATTCCACCTAAATCCTCTTATTAAGTATTTTTGTTGTTGCTGCTATTGTTGCAGTGATTTCTTTGTTTTTTGAGTTTTTGTTTTGTTTTGTTCTTTGGTTGGCAGAAAAAGGAGAGAGAAAAATGTTGAATGACACAAAATATAATTCCTTTTTTGTCAAAGAAGGTGCCTGTATCCCCCACCCATTTTTCCCTAGTCCATGCGACAAATAGTTCTTTCTTTTTTTCTTAAAAAGAATCATAGATCCAAGGACATTATTATGACAAAGTTACAATGTGGATTTTCTTCTATGTGATACTTTTTGCTATTTATTCTTATGCAAAATAATGTGTATTTTACTTAGAAAGTAAATAGTTGTGGATTTTGAATACTCACATGTTAAATGCTATAATTTATATATAAAATTTAAATGTCGAAATTCTACAGCTATACTAATATTAATGGCAAGGGGTCTCAGAAAATAAAACTCTAGAAACAAAAAGACCCTGCAACCACCAACAGTATTTCTCCAGGAAAAGCTGCACAGGCGCTTGATCTCAGGCCTCACATAGTGGTTTTATTCCAAAGGAAACACCAAATGACCAAAACTTGCAGTCAGTCCAGGAACAATTCAGAGCCACAGTGATTTTCTGCTAAACCTAGAAGTTAAGCCTCAGAAGACTATGGCTTGGCTCAAAGTTACTTCTTAGCCATGGAAACGTTTTAGAGTTTGTTCATTTATTCATGCATGCAAGGCTCTAAGTGAGCATTTACAATGCATCCAGCAGAGAGGAAAAAGAACCAGTCACTGCTCCCAGGAGATCAAGCTGATGGGAGAGCCCCTCCTAGCCATTCCATCATCTTTTCTGCCTCAACTTCCCAAAGACTTGGCAGGTGTCTGACTGGAAGTGGTTGTTCTTTGCTTCTATCAGTTGTGTTTATGAGCATATACAAACCTTAGAGAGCTATGATTGAACCTCGTTTTCCAAGACTAACACCATTTTTTAGTACCCACATTTATATTTTCTCTCACTCTCATTCTAAATTACAGACGCAGTCAACTCACCTGCCAGAGTTTTGCTTGCCCCAACACTTAGCAAGAAGCTGAATGCATCCAAGGATCCCCACAATCCCAGAACATTCTAAAAATATTGCAGGATGAGAAAGAATTGTCAGCAACTGAGGGAGGAAGTTGTTCAACTTCCACCAAGCATCAGGCTGAGGTGGAATGAGTGGAGACACATGATCAATGAATAAGAAAGAAAATGAGAGAGAAGATGGAGAGGATTAAGAAATAATGATTGAACACATCACCACCGCTTTGCTGGAGCAAGATCAAATACAATGGGCAACGTGACAAGCAAACAGGAAATACTGTGGCGAGTCGCCTGCTCCCCCAAGGCTGAGTAGGCCTCTGTTGCATCAGGGGAAGCAGAGTCAAATCGTGATTTCAGCTTTTCCCAATGTTGCTTTGCACACACACCAACCTCACAACTACCCCACCCTTGTCAACAAATGGGGCATGTCACCCCAGCTTCTATTTATATTATGCTGGTTTGTATGTTCTTTCTTAAAACGTGTAGCTCTCCTATTCTGTAAACATTTATTCTCGTGACCTGTGTGTTTTATCCTACGTTCATACTGAGAATGATCTTCTGGCCAGGTATCTTGCATGGTCTCAACTTGCTTCATAACCTTTCTTAATGCCTAGCAAACCAAAACCACTCAGTAGACGTTGTTGATCACCAAGTAACTGTTTACAGAAAGGAAGAGCGGGCCACACTGTGTATTGCGAGTTAATAATGTGTTCCCAGGCATTGCTCATTGCAGCTGCTCCCTTTAGAAGCAAGAATTCCTGAGCAATGACTGAGCAGACCCTATCGGTGTTCGAGCCAATGACGGCGTCCCTGGAAGGGATGCCCGATCTTGCCTTGCAATCCGGCCAGTTCCCATTGGCTGGGCATTCCGGCTAGCCAGGATTTCTTCTCCTTCCTCAGCATGGCTTTGCTCTTCTTGCTCTACACCTGGAATTTTTTCCCTAATTTAAAACATAGTCATTCTCCATGATATGCTGCCTGTGAAGCACTTCTGTGAGTTTTTCAGGTCTCAAGTGACTAATACTTTTCTCAGCACTTATAATCAGTAATGGTCTGTACTTAGCATCTTAATTTATTTACTTTCCTTCTGTATTGTTCCTTGTTTTCTGTGTCCTTGTCTTCTTCATTTTCTTTTTTTTTTCCTTTCTTTTTTTTTTTTTTTTTCTGAGACAGAGTCTCGCTCTGTCGCCCAGGCTGGAGTGCAGTGGTGCGATCTCAGCTCACTGCAAGCTCCGCCTCCTGGGTTCAAGCCATTCTCCTGCCTCAGTCTCTCAAGCAGCTGTGACTACAGGTGCCCACCACCACGCCCGGGTAATTTTTATATTTTTACTAGAGATGGGGTTTCTCCATGTTGGCCAGGCTGGTCTCAAACTCCTAACCTCAGTTAATCCACCTGCCTCGGCCTCCCAAAGTGCTGGGATTATAAGTGTAAGACACAGTGCCTGGCGTTACTTCCTATCTAGATTCTAAGCAACTTGGGAGCTCACTGCCTTGCAGCATAGCATTATGTTTATATAGGATCAGCAAATGATTGGTGGAATGGGTGGCTCCTCAGTGAACCAGAAACTGGGTAATATTCAAGTGCACCCACACTTGTGTGCGCTAGCCATGCACATGCACATAGTATCATCATGTGCTAGTTACTTTGCATGTTATCTCATTTAATACTCACAGCAACCCAATGGAGGTAGTTACCATTCCCATTTCCGTTTAATTAATGAGAAAAATTTAGAGAAGCTACCTATTTTGCCAAGAGTCACTGTGTTAGAGACAGTGATAGCCTATATGCTTTATTGCTTTTTAACTCCGGTCCATGTCTCCTGTCCCACAGATGTAATCATAACAATGTAACAGCTAATGCTCTTTAAAAAAAAAAAAAAGAAAGAAAGAAAATCTTGATAAAAGTATAACCTGTCTCTCCCATTTACCCTTCCAGTAGTCCACCACCCCCCGAGCCTTTCCCTTTCGCCGTTGCAGTATTGACTGTTCTGAACATATGGGCATTACCCAGTACGCTAGGTCTAAGCCAGGAAATGTCGCTGCGAATAATAATAACAGGATCAACTTCTCAGTGGTGTTAGTGTGAATACGACAACACACTGTATTTTCCAGCAAATGTGTCATCCTTCCACTCATTGACACGAGGACTTGTTCTTCCTGCCTAACTGAGTCAGTCACAATCCCAGCATTTCAACGGATGTGTTGTGAACCTCCTGTGAAGAAAAAATGTCAACATAAACAGTACCCAATAGTGAGAACTATAAGGTTTTCAGGCTCTCGACAGGGATTAGATTGCTTGATTCTGAAGCTTCTGAGACATAGATACCACAAAGAGTGTGACAATTGCCAATTGACAGCTGAAAGACACCAAGGCTGAGGGAAGTTAAGTGATTTACGCAAGGTGAATAAGTTAGTAAGTGGGAGAGCCTTTACTAGAACCAGGTTTTTTGTTTGTTTGTTTTTTTGAGACAGTCTTGCTCTGTTGCCCAGGCTGCAGTGCAGTGGCCCGATCTCTGCTGACTGCCACCTCCGCCTCCCAAGTTCAAACAATTCTCCTGTCTCAGCCTCCCAAGTAGCTGGGATTACAGGCATGCACCACCATGCCTGGGTAATTTTTGTGTTTTTAGTAGAGATGGGGTTTCACCATGTTAGCCAGGCTGGTCTAGAACCACTGACCTGAAGTGATCCACCTGCCCCAGCCTCCCGAAGTGCTAGGATTACAGGCGTGAGCTACTGCGCCCAGCCTAGGGTTTTGTTGTTGTTGTTGTTGTTGTTGTTGTTTTAATTTTTATTTCTTTATTTATGAGACAGAGTCTCACTTTGTCACCCAGGCTGGAGTGCAGTGGCACAATCTCAATTCACTGCAGCCTCAAACTCCCCAGGCTCAAGTGATCCTCCCACCTCAGCCTCCTAAGTAGCTGGGACTACAGGCATGTGCCACCACACCCAGCTAATTTTTTATTTTTTGTAAAGATGATGTCTCACTATGTTGCCCAGGCTGGTCTCGAACTCCTGGGATCAAGTGATCCACCCACCTCGGCCTCCCAAAGTGAGGGATTACAGGCGTGAGCCACCACGGCTGGCCTATGTTTTTCAAATTGTCATCTTTCTCCCACATGTCTGGAGAGGAAGAGTCGAATGAAATAGAACTATTCATACGACAGGGCCTGGACAAGGGTAAATGTGCACAAGAAGCTAAGAGCTCTCAGGAGTGTGGAGAGAAGCCCCCTTTAGCAAGAGAAGAAAGATCCTAACACAGCCCAGGGCAGGAGACAGGGAGGGAGGGCAGAAGAGTGGGCACCTGCAACTTGGAACTTGGCAGGAGAGACTGTTCTCCAATGTTCCTGTTCAGAAAGCAAATGTATTTGAAATGCTGAGGACTCCACATATATTCTGTTAATAATTTACCAACTGAAACCATTAAAGATGTTGACAAAAGACAAAAGCTTTTCCATTTACTATGGGTGTCTGTGGGTGATTTGAAACCACTCATTACCTTTATAAGCTCCTGGGTTAGTTCTGGGTGTCCCGGCTAATTGGCAACAGCAAGAGGCACCTTGGACCAGCAGCGGATAGAGTTTTGGTTTGAACATGCGACTACCCTGATTCCACATTCAGGCGTTTTGTCATGAATTCACCGAGGGACTGTTGGTCCAGGCCTCTGTAGGCAAATTATATTTGCCAATAGATGACATTTATAGTGTAACTGGATATCCCTGGATGAGAAGCTAAAAATGAAAAAGTAAATATGTTTTCCCAGAAGAAGCCCATCAAGATGTCACCAGAGTTGAACACACAATGGAAGCAAGGAAGTAGAACATTCCTGTAATCAAATAATGTTATTCTTTCAGAGACTTCGAAGTATACAGGGACCAAAATTCCTGAAGTGAAAGGAACAAACTGCTCTTACTGAGCAGGATGAATGAATTCTCTCAAGCTATGATTTGTAAATAAGGCCCAAGCAGTACAGTACTTGCTATTTTAAAGTTCTGGATTCTTGTTCCATTTCTGCCACCCCCAGGCTCCTTGGATAAGTGTATCAGTTAGGATGCATTTTGGCTACAAATTACACAAAAATGCAACTAAAGTAGTTTAAACAGTGAGAACACTTATCATTTTTTATGGCATGAGGGCCAGAGTTATGAAAGTTCCAGGACAGTTAGGTTGGCAGCTCCATGATCTGTGACCATCTTTCCAGTCCGTCACACCTCATGGACAAGGTCATCCTTACAGGCTAGCTTCCTCCATGGCCCTAAGACAGTTACTGGAATGTCCACGCCACACAGAGATACTGAGGTCCAGAGGTGGGAAGGGAATGTCCACTAGGTGTGTCTCTTTGGAAAGTGAAGAAAACTTTCCAAAAAGCTTGGTCAGACCATATTACATACCTAAGCATAAACCCAATCATTTAGCAAGGCAGATAGATAGTATCTCCATAGTTGACTTACCTACTCAAGATGCACCGCCCCGCCCTCATCCTGAGGCTGAAGAGGGGCCCTAGCCTGCCTTCAGGCACATGGGCACTCAGAGGAGGGAAACCAAATTAGAGGAAAAGAGGAGAGATCAGTTTTGCAAGCAACGGGGTGATCTGTCACATCAAGCAACCTACCACCTTCTTTATGGCTCAGTCTCCTTATGTCATTGGGTAAAAACTAGACTAGAGCTGCCCTCTAAGTTTCCTCCTCCTGCTAAAGGTCCACAATTTGAAGATGAAGATGACAATATTACCCCCTATTTAATGGGAGAAGCAACACTATTTAATGAAATAATAGAATTTTCCCAGAAAATAGAAGAGATTAGAAGGAATTAATATACAATATGTCAAATCAATGACCTCACTCTTAAAGTCCAGAATGAGGTATATCATCCATTAATCTCTACATTTCTGTAAGATAAACAAGGCTATATAAGGAGAGGTAAACTGAGGCAGAGAGAAGCATAATGAGTAGCCCACAGTCACATCACTATCCCACCTATCCCCCTGCAAGAGTTCAAAGGAGGGGAGCTCTGATTTTGCCCAAATCATTAAGTTACAGGTGGCAAAAGTCATGCCTATAGCGGCAGCCTCCAGCTCACCCACATAGGGTGCAACAATGATCTGCTCAGGCTTGGGGAGAAAATATTGGAATTTCTTTTCTTTTTTTTTTTGAGACGGAGTCTCGCTGTGTTTCCCAGGCTGGAGTGCAGTGGCATGATCTTGGCTCACTGCAAGCTCCGCCTTCCGGGTTCATGCCATTCTCCTGCCTCAGCCTCCCAAGTAGCTGGGACTTCAGGTGCCCGCCACCACACCTGGCTAATTTTTTTGTATTTCTAGTAGAGACAGGGTTTCACCATGTTGGCCAGGATGGTCTTGATCTCTTGACCTCGTGATCCACCTGCCTTGGCCTCCCAAAGTGCTGGGATTACAGGCGGGAGCCACCACGCCCGGCCTGGAATTTCTATTTCTGTTTTTATATCATCTTCTTTTAATTTATATATATATATAATGTTTTATAATGTACATGATATGCTAACACAGAAGTGCATGCAGATAATTGATGGCTATATAAAAAGAGAAGATGTGGGCTGATAAATTTTTTACTTATAGGATGCAGTTAAAAACTTTCCAGATAACTAGTATAGATCATACTAACATTTTGATGGCTTCAACTGTACCACAGAACTGAAAGGGAAAGAAATACGTGCAGAAACTGGAACAACTGCATTTGTGAATGCTCCACACTGATAAAGTAAGGTAGCACCTAATCTGGATTTAGAATACTGTATTTGCAGCCAAACAGAGATTATCAGCTTGTTTTTATTTGTTGATCCTTTCAAAGGCTCTTACTTCTGTTTACCAGGAGACCACTTCTATCATTGTTTTCCTCTCCTCACTCCCCTCCCTTTTTCAAAGAATCTCCTATTTTAAGAAGTGTTAGGCTTGGCCTATCTGGTGCAACATAAATTTAGCTTACCAGGGCAGTCAGGAAGTCAGAACAGCTTTGTGGGTTCCCACAGTTTGTTTGCTCATTCGATTAACAATCGTGCATCTACTAAGTGCTAGACATGAGGCTGCAAAGATATTCCAAGACTCCTGGAGTCCAGTGTCAAGAAGGAGGACTCCCCAGTCGAGAGAGAGACTGAGAAAGTGGTACACTAGCTGGCTACAAAGAAAGAAGACGAAGAGCAGCCCATTGAGGGGGGGTGCCAGGAAGTCAGAGCTGGATAGGAGTGGGTATCAGGAAACCTCTCTAGGAAGAAATGGCTCTTAACCCTTGACTGAGAGGAGCAGGCCAAGTGCCACTTTTCTTTCATCAGAAGAAAAATAAAATGGCAAGGCACTGCACTCTCACCTGAGCAAGCAGATGCAGCTTGGAGAGAGGAGTTTCTTTCTTCCTTTCAGTGTACCTTATCTCTGTCTCCTTCCAGCTTTGCATGGCTCTGAAGGTGTGGTCTGGGTGTGTATCTTACACTCAGCAGACTGCAGCTTTCCCGGGACACACGAGCTGCGTTGCCTAGCCCAGCCCAGTGCACTTAAAGACACCCAGAACACGCAGCTCCCACCAGTGCCCAAGCGCTTAAAGGCAAATGTGTCTCGGGGGCCTTTGCAGAAAAGAAAATCAAACAGCAATGATTTTGACAGATGTGAGGCTAGGAGAGTGAGTTGAGAAACAACTGAATTTCATTCTGTTTAATCCCATGTATACGTCACTTAACGGGTTAAAAAAAGGCTGATTCAATGAGTTTAATCGTAAAATCTGCTGTAAGCAAATTGTAACCTAACCTTCAAATTCATTCCAATGAGCCCACATTTTTAAACTGTACACTGGAAGAAAGACTAAACTTTTTACTCAGAAAAGGTTGTTTTTCTTCCATCCTCTTCCCTTCTTCCACACTTCTTTCTTTCCAGGGCTTAGTGCAATAGTGGCTTAGAATCAGGCTTCCTGCTTTAATTCAAAGTGTTCCGGGTGGTGTAGAAAAAAATATCTATGTCATGATTCAGCATAAGGGCTCTTGAAGTCACTGTTTTTGCTACTTTCAGAAGAAACATGGCAGGATTGCCTAATTGTTCCTTCCTGAAACATGGAAGAGAGGCATGCAGGGACTCGGAGTCAGAAGGGCAAGATTAGAGTTTTGTCAGAAGCAGAGAAGATATTTTTTGTAAGAAAAACAAGGATTTTACCATCAAAATAGGAAATCCATCAAAGGACCATGGTGCTTAGTCCCTGTTAGTTAAAACAGTACGGGAGGGGATAGAGTGGGCGAGAAGTTAATCTATATCCACAATTCTTTAATTACGTGGTTAAAAAACAAAGCAAAACAAAACCAAGCAGAAAAATAAAAAATAAAAAAACAGCCCTTACAGCCAACTCTTGCATGTTGTTCAAGTTGAGCAAGGAAACTGGAATTTGAACTTAAGGTGCAGGGATCAGCATAACATCCCAAAGTATGAGGGCAACAACCAGGGAGCATTCTAGAACCTTCCCTCACTGCTGGAGTAGTACACATTAACACCTTTATCTTTTCCAATATCGAGGTGAATTTTTTAAAATAAATAAAAATTTTTAAGACAAACTCAGGCATTTTTGTCTCAATTTACAAAGGTTTCACCCAAAATGCAGTCATTACAAAAGTCTAGAATCAGTCCCTCTGAATGGAAGGCCCTTATTCCTTTTTATTCACGCTACCCTTCATTCTCATACCAAGTATGTGTCAAACCCTGCCTTTAAAAGACAAGGTTAAGGCTGGGCTGGGTGGCTCACGCCTGTAATCCCAGCACTTTGAGAGGCCGAGGTGGGTGAATCATAAGGTCAGGAGTTCGAGACCAGCCTGGCCAACATGGTGAAACCCCATCTCTACTAAAAATACAAAAATTAGGCCGGGCGCAGTGGCTTACGCCTGTAATCCCAGCACTTTGGGAGGCCGAGGCAGGTGGATCACGAGGTCAGGAGGTCGAGACCATCCTGGCTAACACGGTGAAAACCCATCTCTACTAAATATACAAAAAATTAGCCAGGTGTGGTGACGGGCGCCTGTAGTTCCAGCTACTCAGGAGGCTGAGGCAGGAGAAAGGCGTGAACCCGGGAGGCGGAGCTTGCAGTGAGCCAAGATCGCGCCAATTGCACTCCAGCCTGGGTGACAGAATGAGACTCCATCTAAAAAAAAAAAAAAAAAAATAGCCGGTTATGGTGGTGAGCACCTGTAGTCCCAGCTACTTGGGAGGCTGAGGCAGGAGAATCACTTGAACCCAGGAGGGGGAGCTTGCCGTGAGCCGAGATCACGCCACTGCACTCCAGCCTGGGCAACAGAGCGATACTCTGTCTCAAAAAAAAAAAAAAAAAAAAAAAAGACAAGTTTCAATGCAAGGAAACTGCAATTTCATTGATAATTTTAAAGAGTAAGAGGGGAAAAAGTCTATCTTGGGTAACACAGAAGCGATAGTCATGGAAAGGTAGATCTCTGAAGGTTCATAACTTTAATGTAGACACTTCAGTTCCAATCATGTCTCTCTCTCAAAGTACATTTTAATTTGTAGTTGAAATTCTCTGTAATTTATTTACCTGGTTGATTAAAAAATCTCTCTCTCTTTTTTTAATCTAAAGCAGACATGGTGTTGACTGCATTTCTGAGTAGATTCCATCTCAAGAACCATCCCTGAGAGACACACAGAAGCAACAATTCAAAGGAGTCCACGTCTGAGGGGCTGAGGTTCCAGTTAGGTGCCATTTAAAGTACCTAACTAAGTTTTAAAGATTAAACAAGACTATGTTGTTCTTCACTGACCTTTCATTCCTTTTTGTGACTGTAGCCAGAAAATCTGAGGCTGAGGTAAAAATAAGAGGAGGATGGGCTGACTGTTTTATGGTAAATGTGTTTCCAATTTTATACATTTTTCCAAAGCTATGTCTTTAAGGTGGATGTCAGTTTACAAGAATAACAAAGTAATAGTCACAAGCTCAGATTCTAATCAAGTATTTGCCTTCCATTATAAATTCTTTTTGGCTGGTGCCCGCTTTTTAAAATTATTTCTCTGTTTATTTCTTTGAAACTATAAATTTAATGGAAGTGGAAATACATAATTACAAAATTCTGGACAATTTCTTTCTTCCTGTTTCTCTCTTAGGTCAGTCTCCCACTTTCTCTCACTGTTGTGGCTGAAAAAGAGTCACTTACTTATGAGGTAAATGGCAAAATAATAATAATAATAATAATAAGATATTTTAAAATGCCGGTGCCCAGAAATGAGAAATATTGATGAAATTTAGAAAATAATTTCCTAAATTATAATTTTCTGGACAACTGTCGTAGCTGAATTCACCAGGGTGTAGCTCTACAGCTCTGACTGCTGACCTTGTTTTAGCAAAATGCACATCAGTGTCACACTCAGTCTTTGTGGCCAGGTCACCTGACATGTCTGATTTAAACAAAATGGGCAGGGACTCTGAAGTTCTAGGCAATATGTGAGTCATAACAAACACATTCTACTTTGTCTTTTATTCAGCTCGTCATTTACATCGCGGAAGATTTATTTGAGAATTGTTGTGCAGTTGTTGTTACTTACAGTATGTCTTGTTCCCTGGACTAAAGCGTTCTCAATCTAGGAGATCAGAAATGGCAAAGAAACCCCTTCTCTTCTCACATTATGGGAGTCAAAGGATCATCAAAAACAGATCAAGTAACCACAAACAAAATTCAAAAGACAAATACGGGTGATAACTGTATCATTGTAAGCTATTAAGAAAAGGTAATCAAGAAATAATATGTAAGCTGCTGCAAAACTATGCAGTTTGTGAAGATCCAGTGAAGTCACAGCAATTTCCCACCCTGCGTATAAAGATATAAACATAAACTCAGAGCTGAGCCTGAGAATTGCAGCTCAGAGTAAAATAAAATTGAAACCCTCAACATCCTTCAGTCTAACGGAAGAGAAACGCTTTTTTGAGCACATCAGAAGGCACGTGGGGTCATCTTAATTATAATAACAGCCAACATTTTTTGACTGCCAGTTATATGCCAGGCCCAATTGCCCAGGGAAGCATGATTATCTGCAGTTGGCGGGTGAAAAATCTGCAGCCCAGAGGAATTAAGTAACTACTCAGTGAACTGTAGCGCTGGAATTTGAACCTGGGTCTGTCTGACTTCAAAGCAATGTTGGACGACTTCAGTATGTTTTCTCTTTGTTTTTTAGAAACACTTGGCTGGGTAAAGTGCATAACTACCCTCCCTGGCATCACTCTTGAATGGTGGATCCATTTCTATCTTCAAGAATTGTTTATAATTATTTCCAATAATTTGTTAAACACAGCAAAATGTATGATATGTTGTGCCCATACTAACTTTTGGGGTAGTAATGGCATGTGTTTATTACTAAATGAGTTCACCACTATTTCCCTTTTATATCCTGAATTTACTTTGCCAGATATTTCAAGAATAACATTTGTATCCACTTCAGCCATGCCAGTTATGATTTCATAGATATTCATCTCGGCCTGTTTTCAATCTTTATTCTTAAAGTAAGTCTTTCTCCCAAACTTCCTTTTTTTTTTTTTTTTTTGGACAGAGTCTCGTTCTGTCGCCCAGGCTGGAGTGCAGTGGCTTGATCTGGGCTCACTGCAAGCTCTGCCTCCCGGGTTCACGCCATTCTCCTGCCTCAGCCTCCCAAGTAGCTGGGACTACAGGCGCCCGCCACCATGCCCGGCTGATTTTTTTGTATTTTTAGTAGAGACAGGTTTTCACCGTGTTAGCCAGGATGGTCTTGATCTCCTGACCTCATGATCTGCCCGCCTCAGCCTCCCAAAGTGCTGGGATTACAGGTGTGAGCCACCACGCCCTGCCCCAAACTTCCATTTTCATCTGTTCTTTCATTTTTCTCCCCTGTGGACAGCAACTGACTGCATGTTCTGCCATTTTCATTGCCAATCTCCTTCTACTGGTTCTTTCTAAACTTACTTTGACCAGAACTGCTCACAATAATGCAGGTGTAAATACATCCAAATTATAAATAAATAAGACAACATTTGGTTTGGTTTTTCAACACCTTATCTGGTGCTCAGCTTTTTTCTATTTGTTCTTCCTGGAAGAGTTTCCTCTTTGAACAATACTCCAGATCTCTAGTTTCTTTCTCGGTTTCTATTCCCTTCATTTCTGTGTATTTGATGAGGCTCCATAGGGAAGTGATAAGGCACACAAGCTGTCAGTCAGGCTCCCTAAGTGTAAAGCTAGCTTCACCATGTACTATTTGTGTGTGATCTTGGGCAAGTTAACCTCTCACTATCTCAGCTTCAGGATTCATGAAACCAGGATAATAATAGCACCAATTGGGCAGATGCAGTGGCTCATGCCTGTAATCCCAGCACTTTGGGAGGCTGAAGCAGGAGGATCGCTTGACCCCAGGAGTTTGAGACAAGACTGGGCAACATGGTGAAACCCCATCACTATAAAAAAAATACCAAAAATTAGCCAGGCCTGAGCATGTTAGCACGCCCTTGTGGTCCCAGCTAAGAGGGAGCATGAGCTGGGAAGATCACTTGAGCCTGGGAGGTGGAGGCTGCAGTGAGCCAAGATCATGCCACTGCACTCCACCCTGGGTGACAGAGGGAGACCCTGTCTGAAAAAAAAATAATAATAATAATAATAATAATAGTACTGACTTCATATGGTCGTTATGACGCTAAGTAAAATAATAGATGCCAAGTGCTTTGAACAGCAGCCTGTACATGATAAGCTCTTGATAAATATTAGTTTTTGCTCTTACCTAAAACCTCTCAAATGTGCTAGTTGCCATTTTTAAACCCACTTATACAGATTCATTAACTTCCTGCATTTATCTCTTTTTTTGGCTTGTCTCTCAAGTCAAAAAAGTTTTGTGTCAATCACACATTTGAGAAGTTTGCTGTACATTTTATCCTAGACCAAAAATCATTTATAAGGAATTTGGTTAAAACAAAGGCTTGAACATTGTTCTCTTTATATTTCCCCATAGAGAGATTACCTATATTTACCATACCCTTCATTTCCTGTTTTTAAGTTGGTTCCCCAACTCTGACTAATCATTCTCTCCCCCAAATGAGAATTACTGGGATATTCCACTAAAAACTGAATTATCAAATACATTATGAAAATCTATATATACTCAACCCACGGTTTTCTCTGTATTTGTATGAAAATTTACATCATAATGAAAGCAAGTATTTAGGGCTTCTGGTTGCCTACTGGAAAAATCTTTTCTTCCTTTTTTCTATATATAAGCGTTCAGTAATCCTAGCTTTATAGTCTGCCTAAACAGAGGATAGTTGAAGATTATAATTTCCTAGGTTCTATGCTAGAGTTCTTCTTAGTTCTGTGTATAAATTATAATTTGTTTGAGATTACAGATATGGCCAAGCAGTTCCCCAATTCCTCCTTCAAAGCTCTGAGGAGTCCCTTTTGCCAACTCAATCTTCCTGTTACCGGTTAGGTTAGAATGGTGACTTTAAGGCAGAGCAAGGAAATGAATTTGATACCATCTAGACAAGAAACAGGGAGACGGAGGAAACAGATACCCTAGGAAAAACATTATCTAAAGAATTCCTTAGCTCCTTTTTTAAGACTATATTTTAGGAGCATTTTTAGGTTCACAGCAAAATTGAGAAAAAAAAATACAGAGATTTCCCATCTACCTCCTTCCCCCCACACATACATAGCCTCCCCTCCTCACCCATTATCAACATTCCCCACCAGAGTGGTACTGATATCCTACGTTTATCCAACTGATAAACCTATGTTGACATACCATTATTATCAGTATCCATAGTATACACTAATGTTCAATTTTGGTGTTATATATTCAATGGGTTTGGACAAGTATATAATGACTTATATTCACCATTATTACAGCATACAGAGTAGTTTCACTGCCCTAAAAATCCTCTGTGGTCCATGTATTCATCCCTCCGCACCCACCTGCCCCCTGTCACCCCTGGCAAACAATGATTGTTTTACTGTCCCAATAGTTTTGCCTTTTCCAGGATGGCATATAGTCAGAATCACACGTACAGATTGGCTTCTTCCACCTGGTAATGTGCATTTAAATATCCTCCATGTCTTTTCGTGGATTAACAGCTTGTTTCTCTTTAGTGCTGAATAATATTCCATTGCCTAGATGTACCACGTTCATTTATTCATCTACTGAAGAACATCTTGGTGGCCTTCAGGTTTTGGAAATTATGAATAAAGCTACTATAAGCATCCTTGTACAGATTTTTATGCAGGCATTCCTTAGTTCTTTTCAGTGACCAAGGTACCCATGAATTAGAGGTGCTGTTACCTAGTGGCCCTCATCACACTCCAGAATGTTCCTTACTCCATCATCCATTCAGCACCCTTTGGGGCTGGGTACTGTGCTAGGTGCTGAAGATGCAGACAGGAAAAGAGAACGAGTCCTGACCTTCATAGAGCTAAGATTCAGGAGGAGAAATACAGACAAGGGAAAAGAAATGAAACAATTTTAAGGCAGTATTGGTGATTAAGTGCTATGAATAATTAATTATCAGGTAAATGTAATAAGTAAAACTAAATACTTCTGGACAGGAAAATCTACCACAAGCCTTTGAGCTTGGAAATGTTGAAGAAGTAACTGTCTCCAATGAACAATAAAATAACTTTTGGCCTGATAGGCTTTCTAGGTCACCAGCAAGAAATTGGACCAGATCAAAGCAAACAGCAACATTAAGTCTAAAATGATAAGTCAAAATTTTATTGGCTGATAAAATTTTAGCGACTGAGCAGCATTTGCATATAGAGGTGTCTTAGTCAGCTTGGGCTGCCATAACAAAATACCATAGGCCAGGTGGCTTAAATAACAGTAATGCATTTCTTACAGTTCTGGAGGCCAGGAAGCCCAGGATCAAGGTGACTGCCAATTCAGTTCTCCATTGAGGAACTTCTTCCTGGCTTATAGATGGCCACCTTCTCACTGTGTCCTTACATGGCAGAGAAAGAGTGAGCTTCTGGTCTCTCTTCCTATTCTTATAAGGACACTAATCCCATCATGGGGCCCCACCCTCATGATTTCATCTAAGTTTAATGACCTCCCAAAGGCCCCACTTCCAAATACCATCACATTACAAATTGGAACTTCAACATATGAATTTGGAGGGAAGACGCAAACGTTCAGTCCATACCAGCAGATGTGAACATCCTACCAGAACATGCTTGGAAATGCCTTGTCCTATGTTCAGAGGCCAGAGCTTCCATGCTGCTGTCAATGGTTTGCTCCAGTGGTGAAGGTGGTCTTTGCCTCTCTTCCAGGACACCACTCCCATGGAAGCATCCAAATGGGTCTCCAGTGTTGCCCAGCCTCAACTACCAATGCATTTGTGGTCCCAAGTTTCTATGACAATTTCCCTGTCACCATCTGGCATGATTCCTGGGGGTGAGAGGTGGGTGAAGTGCTACACATAATTTTTCTTTTAATATTGCAAATAAGGAATATTACTCTTAAGAACAGTATTTATTACATGACTGAGAGAATAAAATATTTAAGAGGGTATTCCAATTAACCTTGATATAGTTGCAAAGTAATCTAAAAGCCTATTTATTCTAATCCTGAGAAATACTAATCTGAGGCAGGGCGTGGTAGCTCATGCCTGTAATCCCAGCATTTGGGAGGCCGAGGTGGGCGGATCACCTGAGGTCGGGAGTTCGAGACCAGCCTGACCAACATGGAGAAACCCCGTCTCTACTAAAAACACAAAAAATCAGCCGGGCGTGTTGGTGCATGCCTGTAATCCCAGCTACTTGGGAGGTTGAGGCAGGATAATTGCTTGAACTCAGGAGGCGGAGGTTGCAGTGAGCCTGCACTCCAGCCTGGGCAACAAGAGCAAAACTCCGTCTCAAAAAAAAAAAACAAGAAAGGAAAAGAAAGAAATACTAATCTGGGTCAGACATGTTGCTGTGCTTTTAATATAACAAGGGAAAAAAAGTACATCCTACATACATTTATATTTATGGGCTTTGATTCTTAGGTGCTTACAGAGCTATGAAGAATGTTCCAGTGTTGCAGCATCAGGGATAAACAACAGAACACTTCATTCTTTGTGAACACAGATGGATGATAAGCCCCTGCTCAGAAAGAATGTCATTTAAAAGAATACTCCTCCTCTTCTTGGTTGTTTTCAGAACTATGTAGATGGACTAAAAATAATGTCAAAATTATTACCCTTGGAAAGTGGGGGTAGTAGCACATGGATGATGCAAACCAATTATTAATGACAATCCAACATGACATCGTGATACAAACAGGGAACAACATGTCCTTCTGTTGAATGCTTCAGAAACTATTTATGATCCGTATTTTAAAAGCAATTCTAAAATAAATGCTATAAGTCCATCATGGCCAAATCTGCAAAGGCCTGAAAGAAATTGGGGCATGTATAACCAAATCAAGATGTGCACAAATAAGAAAACTCAAACAAGTGAAATTCCACCGATAACTGAGAGAGCAGCTGACAATCTCAGATGCCTCATCGTTGTTGTTGCCAGAAGTGCCCCCTCAAGAACGAAATGGGGTGCACTGGGAGATGGGGCAAGGATGACAAAAACTTTGCAGATAAAAAGCATCAACGATGATGAACAATTGCCAGACACTCCCAGCAAATCTGTCTTAAATCACCACCATTCTTAATGTGTTTTATTGTGGCTAAATAGAAGAAATGAGCCCAACCTCTCCTCCTGAGAGTTTTTACGAATTGTGGAGCCCATTCAAGCTGCCATCAGAGTTGGGCAGTGAGACCTGAGGAGGTCGTGTGCTTATTTGTATTCGTGCACTCAGAATTCTGTTAGAACTCTGGGCATTGCTAGTATACATTTGAAGTTTTCTGGCCCCTTACAAGCTATTTTGGAACATGGTTTCAAAACAGGAAAACCAATTTGCACCTACACTAGAGCCATTGAGCTGGTGCCAGAGAAGCCCTGTGGGTTGGCCGAGCACCACTGCAACACAAGGAAAATGAGGAAGGGGCTCTAAACCCAGGAATCACAATTTTCCTTATATAGAAAGTAGAGTTGGCTCTAGCTACCTTTCAGGGTTGTCATGAGGCAGTCACTCTCTAAAGAAAATCCGAGGCCAGGCGCAGCGGCTCTCACCTGTAATCGCAGCACTTTGGGATGCCGAGGCAGGTGGATGGCCTGAGCTCAGAGTTTAAGACTAGCCTGGGCAACATGGTGAAAACCCATCTCTACCAAAAATACAAAAAATTAGAGAGGCATGGTGGTGCACACCTGTGGTACCAGCTGCTTTGGAGGCTGAGGCAGGAGAATCACTTGAGCCCGAGAGGTAGAGGTTGTGGGGGGCCAAGATAGTGCCACTCAAACCTGGGTGACAGTGAGACCCTGAAGAAAGAAAGAGAGAGAGAGAGAGAGAGAGAGGAAGGAAGGAGGGAGGGAGGGAGGGAGGGAGGGAAAGAAGGAAAGAAGGAAGGAAGGAAGGAAGGAAGGAAGGAAGGAAGGAAGGAAGGAAGGAAGGAAGGAAGGAAAAAGGAAATCTGAGCTTATCTTCTTCCCTTTTGCCCAAAAGGAGCCAAGAAATTTTCCCCGGTGGGGAAAGGTTAAGCCTCATAACCTGATGTCATCAGAAGCATTCAAATAATATTTTTAAAAGAATCTTCTAATAAACTATCTCTGGAAAAAATAAAATAAAATGATAAGGATGATTGTCTTTGAGGAGAAAAGCTCGGTGGTTGTGGGCAGCAGACTGAAGGGAAATGGACTCACTGTGTATGTTTTAATATTGGGTATCATGTGTCTTTCAACCTAGTCAAACATTAAATAAATAAAATGTAATTTTCTAACGTAGCCTTCAAAATCCATCATTTTGTGTGTTCTGCTTTATTATAGGGTTAATAGTGACTTAGAGCTTTGCTCTGCTCCTTAGACATTATTCAACATAAAAGGCATCCCATATGAAGATTAGAAGATCATAGGTTCCTACTTAAAAGAAGGAAGCAAGCTCAACAATTATTACAATTTCTCTTAATAGAAAAGAAACATGGAATGTGTTAGTGAAATCTTGACATTTTATAATTAGTCCATTATATCCTAATTTTTAAAAATGTAATGAATGAACTTTCCCACCCCTCTTCTCCAACCAGCTTTGTTTTCTCTAATCAGCTGCCTTGTCTCTTCTACAATGAAAGCACGCCCATACACCTCCTCACCTTTCCTCACGCCCATACACCTCCTCACCTTTCCTCACCACCAAACACTTACTTGCAACAGAAGAAAGAAAAGATCAGTGTCAGAGGGCAGAGAATAAAAAGGTACAGTCTTCTAATTTCTTTTATTTGGAAAACAGAAATAAAAATTACTATACAGGTTGCCAATCATGTTGTCTTTCAAACTTTAATTTCCCTAAAGGGAAAGAGTTTTAATTTTCTTTAGCATCTTAAACATTGTCAAGTCTACCTAGGTTTAAAAACAAATATTGTTTGACAATAATGCCATTTTTCCTTTCTGTCACTGAGGAGCAACATTATGTAACAACGATTCCATGGCCAAGCAAAACTCTCACTGATATTTCATTCAACTTTCACACTGCCAAGGGGTCACTGGTCTCACCATCACTACAGACACCCTACTCCAGTCCTGTTTAGAACAAAACGTTCTTAGAACACATTCTAAACACATTCCCATACCTCTCACCTGCTTATTGAAAAATCTCCTTCAGGGGAAATGACATTCCTCAACTTTTCCTTTTTTTCACCTTTGGTATATTTACTTACCCATGTCTTAGTCAGTCTATGAATACTCTGGAAACTTGAGAAGACCTCTTCAGGAAGATAATGAGAAGGAACAGATTTTTAGGAAAACATTCCTATGTTTTAGGGAAATGAAGATGATTTGTTAAGGCAAATTTCTGTACTTATGGTGCCTAGGTCTCTATACTGGAAGTCGGTATAAGGCAGGGAGCTTTGTGAAGGAAATCTCTTAATTCTAGCAATAAGGGCTGCTTTGAGTTAATTGTGTTAAGGAAGTAGTGTTTTAGTGATTCATGTTTAAATGAAACCATTATTTTCTAAACCCTGCCAAAAACTTACCACAACTCATTCATGTGATTTTATTACAAATTAAGATTTACATAATTTTGGAAAAGAGATGTACACTTTGAACTATTTTGGGAAGGAAGACCTGTGCCTGAAGGCAATGAATTTTCCTGAAAAGTGGAACAAAAGAAGAGGAACTGCCATAATGCCGGTGGCCAGGGGACCAGGGGTCACCCTCAATTCAGTAGTTCTGTGATGGTTTAAAAGAGGAATGTCACACACTACGATGTGCCTGAGGAACACAGCCAAGACCCAGTGGGATTTGTTCCAAGGAATGTACACAGGAGAGAGGGGTTACAAAAGATTTAGGGGTTTTAGTTTGGGCGCAGTGGCTCACGCCTGTAATCCCAGCACTTTGGGAGGCCAAGGCAGGTGGATCACGAGGTTAGGAGATCGAGACCATCCTGGCTAACACGGTGAAACCCCACCTCTACTAAAAATACAAAAAATTAGCCGGGTGTGGTGGTGGGCGCCTGTAGTCCCAGCTACTCGGGAGGCTGAGGCAGGAGAATGGCGCAAACCCGGGAGGTGGAGCTTGCCATGAGCCGAGATGGCGCCACTGCACTCCACCCTGGGAGACAGAAAGAGACTCCATCTAAAAAAAAAAAAAAAAAAAAAAAGATTTAGGGGTTTTGTTTTTGTTTCTGTTGTTGTTCTTGTTGTTTTTCATTTGTAGACCAGTTAACCATCTCCATAGCCTAATCCCCATAAAAAAATAGGAAATAAGATATATGATCAACTAAAGATTATTTCCAAGTTTTTTTTTCCTTCAAATTTGAAGAGAGGTGTTTTACCTCTTCCCTAGACTACAGACAGGAACTTCTGGAACTCTCTTGAGGAGTTGGAGGATGGGAATAAGAGGATGAAAGGAAGAGCAAGACAACCTCTCACTGTAAATAAGCCAGGAGCACAGCTGTTGGAATCCCATGGCCAAAGGAAGGCACAGAAAGCTGAAGATCTGTCCTTCCTCCACCTTTTCCAATCTTAGGGCCTTCTTCCCACATTAAATATTTGCTGATACCACATTTGATTTTCTTTACTCACTGAAGCCTATGGGCCAGGTTAGTGATGGTTTGGCACTACTTGGAAGAAGAGCTTTCATTACAGTGTCTTATTACTTTACATGCCAGTACATGTGTGCCATATATACAAGCACGTGTTGGTTATGCCCACAAGAACACTCTGTAAATGTGAAAGCATCAAGCAAGCCACCAAGAAGACTTCTACCTAAATAGGCAAAACTCAAGAGCTTCTCAACATCTCCCTGCCTTATGTTATTCTCAGTGGCAAGAGCTCATGGGGGCGGCAGGGCCTGGAAGCAGGTGGCCTGGGTTGGCACAACGTTAGCCATCTAATCTTAAACACGTCACCTTTCAAAGGGTCTGTTTCCTTACTTAGAATACGAAGGCACTCTTGGGTTTCTCCTCGCTCTTAATTTTAAAATCTCTATTCCCATATTCCTACTGATAAATCTGAATAAAATATAAACCCCTACATTGACAATTACTACAGGAACGACAGTAATGAAGTGACAAAAATATTACTGCAATCATCTTTCTTCCTCCAAAAAACTACAGATTACAGCAACATCTCCAAAATTTAGTGTTAGATTTTCTCAGCATTCCACATCAAAGGAAAAACAGTTTAAATATATATACATATGAATGTATAAATTTGGTACCTTCACTGCAAAAAAAAATATCAGTGTGCAAAAATGAGTGCAAAAGAGATCACTCCTCATGCATGGAGTGGTGATTTCCCTGAAGTTTGGAGTAGACTTGGCGATTCAGAACATCACTTATCTTTATCCAAACTCCATAATCCATAAACTGTGGACCTATTTTCACCCCTAACCAATGAAAGACAGCTGGCTCCATGTATATAAAGAAATTGTATAAAACTCTATCCAAGTTTTCAGTTCGTTAATGACAAAGATTTGACTCCAGATTTCATCACTGTAACATCCCACCATTGTTCCCCCATGACTCACTGTACCTGATTTACAGGAAGATACAGTCTGAATATGAAAGGACATTTCATCATCAGCAACAACAGAAAGTATCCATTAAGTCATAATTATATGACTTGGTGTTTCATTAGTCACCTTAAAAAAAAAAAAAGAAAAAGAAAGAAAAGAAATACGGTCCTTCCATTCTAACTGGGTACATTCTACAACTAAAAAGAATGTTTTGAACCAGCATGATAAGGACATACAGATGGCAAAATGCAACATCACAGTTGATCACAAAGGCATAGATTTCTATATAAGGGTGACCAATAAGGAGCCAGCAGGGTCAACATGCGATGACGGCAATCAACATAGAGGTCTAGAAAAGTTGAGATAAGATAAAGCATGTGTTCTTATCACTCTGGGAAGACTTCCTGGAACTGGTAGCGTTTTTTGGTAGGGAAATATACATTGGCTGGTGGGCTGGGGGCTCAGGAAAGGTTCATAAAAGCAAGTGGAATAATTATTCAAGAGGGTGCTCACCTTGTGATCTGCTTACGGAGGTCCACTCACCTGGGACCCTAGATCTGCTGCACAATATTTGAAGGAGAGGATGCCGTTAGGGGACAAAAAGTTTGACAAGGACACAGAGACAGTGGTCCTGATAAAAGAAGACAAAGTTCTGCAACTAGGCAGACAGCAAGGAAAGCAGTGCATTCAGATGCTGGAAAGGAAGACATTCTCTCAAGCAGCAGATGGCCTCTCGTGGATCTCACTTGCACCGTACACCATGGCTTTAACAAGACATTTTGCAATGGGTAGCTTAGAATCTGGTATCCAAGAACAGTGACCCATTTCAGGGTGTCTTAATATCCTGAAATTTACCACAAACTTGGTAAGTTGAAGTTTCTGTGGGATATTATTGGGAAATGCTTCACATCCCTAAGTCATTCCTTCTCAACTGTTCCTCAAAAGCTTAAAATAGCACTTAACTCCCAGAGTGATTCAACTGGCTTAAAATAATTCACAAACATCTTCCTCAAAGGAAGTAGGGAAAAGATAGGAGGTGGAATGCAAATCAGCTAACAGGTTTTGTGAACACTGAGAGGTGAATAGATTAGCGCTAACAGATCGGGTAGAGTCTGGAGGCAGCCGTGAAGCTGATTGTGTCTCGATCAGGTTATTTCAGCCAATAATTGTTTGTTGGAGTTAGAAAGCATATAAAGGTTAACAAGGCTAAGGAAGACCGGTCTCTGGGAAATAAACTACATAGCCTAAGGAGATGATAATCAAGGGAGAAAATTCCTCTTATCCTTGCTAAGCCATATCTACATGGAAATAATAGTCAATAGGCTTTCTATATCTAGATGGTAACGGTTTCTTTTCCCAAGGATTGGCACCAGATAGGTTGTTTGGGGAAAGGGGTAAGAAGGGGAAGCACGTGGATTTGCCGCTCACACCTACTATAAACGCTACAAAACAACATTCTTCTTTTATTTTGAAGCCACATTCTGTAAGCTTGTGAGTTAATTCATTAATTCACCAGAAATTTATTTTACACTCATCACACATCAGACACTATGCCAGGCCCTCAGGATATAAAAGTGAATAAATAATATAATTAATCATAATAATAGCTTCCATTATTGGGTGGCTAGCATGTGCCAGGAATTCTACCTCCGTTATGCAATGGAATGCCCACAACTAACTTCTAAATGAGGCATTATGTTCCCATTTGTCAATGGAACACTAAGATGAAGAAATGAGCGTTCTGAGAGGCTAATAAAAGTGGCAGATGGCTCAAGGAACTCCAGTGTGAGAGCGAGATAAGCACTCCATGTTTGCAATATTCTATGGGAAATGCTAAAACAGAGATTACAAAAATAATAGGAGGAGCTTCTAACTCAGCACAGGGGAGAGGAGATCGATAGGCGAGGAGAGGGGAAAGTAGGAGTGTGTATGAGAGCCAGAGAGATAAGGTATCTCTCTGAGGGTGTGTGTGTGGGGGCGGGGGAGAATGTGTGTCCGTGTGTGTATGTCTGTGTGTGCGTGGGTATACATGTTTCTTTCTGTTTGTTTTTTGTTTTTTTGTTTGTTTGTTTGTTTGTTTTTGAGACAGACTCTCGCTCTGTCGCCCAGGCTGGAGTGCAATGGCACGATCTCGGCTCACTGCAACCTCTGCCTCCTGGGTTCAAACGATTCTTCTGCCACAGCCTCCCAGGTAGCTGGGATTACAGGCGCCCACCACCACACCTGGCTAATTTTTGTAGAGACGGGGTTTCACCATGTTGGCCAAGCTGGTCTTGAACTCCTGACCTCAGGTGATCTGCCCGCCTTGACCTCCCAGAGTGCTGGGATTACAGGCGTGAGCCACCACGCCCGGCCCTGGGTATACATATTTGTGTGTGTGTGTGTGTGTGTGTGTGTGCCTGCGCGCAAGTGCACATGTGCCCTGGGGGGGGGAGAAGGTCATAGCACCCCAGAGATATACAGTCCAGGAAAGGAGATAGGGGTAATATGAACTGTCTTTCAACCAACCATACCCACAAAAAGCTTCCCTCTGCATTTCTGCAGGATGAAGCGTGTTGCAAGAGAAAACAGCAGGGCTTACGCACAGTGTTTGGGGGATGACACAAGAGGCCCTGACAAGATACTTTTTATCAGCTTGAAGAAGAGGGGGCATTTATCTTGACAGACTAATTACCCGCTTTGAGTTAGATATTGTTCCGTCTATCCGTGTACCCAATGTGGCTATAGTAATGACAGGTTTTTTAAACAAACAAACCAAAGCTTCTAGGTCCAAATAAATGCTGCAAAGTAGTCACCTTAAGTTTAATTGCTTATTTCATTGTCTCTCTCATTGCTCAAGGCATTTCAGAAACATCTCTTTTGAAATTGCCTTCATAGCTTACGGTGCATTTTTTTTTTGAATATCCTTAACGGTGATAAATTTTCACCAGTTAAAGGGTAGTATTTTTGGTTTTGTTTCAAGTCAAAAAAATCATTTTGAGCTAAGTCCATGATGACTGATTAAACTGGATAAAAATAATCAAAAACACCAATTAAATGCTAGGCACTAAACTGTTTTTCATGAATCATCTCACCTAATTTAATTCTTAACACAAATCTATAAGGTGAATATTAATGTCCCTATTTGATATATATTTAATAATTATAAAATTAGCACATGTTATTGAAGGAAGGTTGAAAAATCTTGAAGAGTAGAGACCAAAGCTGCTTCAGTGTCCCACTTACCCACATCGAATCACTACTGATATTACTGCGCTTATCTACCTAGTGTTTCTTCTATGGGTAAGCATAAGAATACATTTTCCCCAAAAATTAATAACAATGTGTATAACCTTATAATTTTTCACTTACTATTATATTGTGAACAATTTTTCATGTCACTAAATTTCTTCCACAAAAATCTTTACTCCCTATTTGGTATTCCTGTTTGTGGATATATCATAGTCTACTCACACAATTCCAATATTTCAATGCTGCAAAGGAACATTCTTCATAGATAAAACTTTGTGGATTTTTATGATCGTTCCCATCAGATAATTTCCTAGAAGTAGAACCACTAGATCCAGGACATGAATCTTTTTGTTAAAAGTTTCCCATTTCTTGGATGAGTAAATCAAAACTCATTAAGCACTTTCCAAGATCATAAAAGTACAATCTAGCGGAAGTTAGATTTGATGCAGGTCTTTGACTCTCTAAAGCCTGTGGGGTTTTTTTTTTCCCCCAATATGATAAATTAATTTTGATGGAAAATGAGAAATATCAATAAAATAAAGAATTTTCACACGTGCAACCAAAACTATTCATGAAAGGCTGTTTTTAAAGGAGTTAAAAAATGCTTTGGATTTGCATTGTTTCCCTAGGTGACTCTTCCAGGAATCAAGCTCGTTTCTGAGTTTGTGTTTTGTTATATTTCTTCCTAAAGCACTCATTTTACTTCATTGTTACATTCTTTGAAGATGTCAGTTCTGTCCTTTATGAATCTACAATATTATGAATATTCTGGCCCACGCACTGGGATTTTGGTTAAAGTGACAAAAAGCACAGTCTCTCTGGCATTTAGGTAACCAGTTTTGGACAAACTTGGTTACAATTCAGGCAAGCCGCAGGCAGGTTGGGAGTCCACACCCACGTGTTTAGAATACCAAATGACTAATAGATAACCAGTCTTCTTTAAGCCTGGCTACATTCTGATAACAAGGAAAAAAAAAAAAAAAAAAAAAAAAAAAAATCTTCCACCCAGAGCTCTCTAGTTTGTTATAAACATGTAGCCTGTTCTCCTGGAAGGATGAGTGGAATGAGCAATACAAGAACAACCTGCTCCCGGCCGGGCGCGGTGGCTCACGCCTGTAATCCCAGCACTTTGGGAGGCCGAGGCGGGCGGATCACGAGGTCAGGAGATCGAGACCATCCCGGCTAAAACGGTGAAACCCCGTCTCTACTAAAAATACAAAAAATTAGCCGGGCGTAGTGGCGGGCGCCTGTAGTCCCAGCTACTTGGGAGGCTGAGGCAGGAGAATGGCGTGAACCCGGGAGGCGGAGCTTGCAGTGAGCCGAGATTGCGCCACTCCAGCCTGGGCGACAGAGCGAGACTCCGTCTCAAAAAAAAAAAAAAAAAAAAAAAAAAAAAAAAAAAAAATTGAGATTCAATGTATTCATCTTGTTGTCTAGAAAAAGTATGCCTTTATACGAAAAACATATATATTTATACAGACACACAGAAATGCACACAGGTAAGAACATACTAAGCCTTAATGAGTTTGCTGTACACATGAGACTTTCTGCAGCAGAATAATGCATCAGTGGCAAAATAGGTCAAATGGTGGGAACCTCCACATCTTTGAAATCTTTATGAATACAATGCTGTTCCCACATTACCTCTTGCCTAAGAGCTTCAAAACAGAGCCTTGTGAGGAATGTGAAGCAGAATAAAAATCCCAGCTCTTGTGTGGCACATTAAAGAGCCCCACATTCTGGGACTCTGGTGTCATGTTCACAGGGACACATTCTTGTGGCTAAAACAGTGCTTGTAGGTCGTCTGCTCTGAATGAAAAGGGATTTTCCATATGTGTTTTCATAATGAGTGTTAGGATTTGGTTACATGTTTTATCCAAACTGTGAAAAGCTGATGGTAGCAATTCAGAATTCTAGCAATGATCTAAACGACATGCTTACGTTTTCATAGAAACATTGTGGGGAACACTCTTCAAACCACTCTCTTGGTGCCATGCTTATTTTTTAATTTCACAGTCTATTTCAACACATTTTTCCCACGTATGAAGCTCAGCTCCTTCACTTTCCCCCCATCATTTCCGTAGAGCTATGTTCATGTCAGATACAAGAAAAAAGGTATTGAGAGTCAAGGAATACAGCAGGTTTGTGCAGGAATAATTGTGGTAGCTCGGATGTTCCCTGAGTAACACTTAGACGTTGAACATTCATTTCTGTAAAGTCTCTAATAAAAATGTTAGCAACCACAGGGCTCGTCTTTCTGAGCGTTACCTCTTCTCTCCCAGGTCATTTTGTGCTTTTATCAAAACTGATTTCTCTGGCCATGTCTGTAGCATATGTTGCTTTATTGTTTGCTAATATCATGCTAACATTACACTCACAAAACAGTCTGTGGAGCCTGACTTCTGTCCACACAGTCTGTGTTACAGCACAAGCTGGAGATTGTTCCCAGCTCTAGTCAAATGACTCCCTTTAGGCAAGTTGCTTAACGTCAGTTTCCACATGTATCAACTGGGATCCACGCTATGATCTATCTGAGGTCTTTGGAGGAAAGGCCACATTCCTTGTTTCTCAAACTCTCTCCTTGCAGGGGACCAGTCTTCTGACTTTGCAGACAAAAGAAAGACCCATCATTTTTAAATGGCCTTCTTTTGCCTGGTGGGCCAAGCATTATCAGATCCTTACTTTTTAAATACTTCTTTATCTCTCAAATACACAACTGTCTCCTGAAACTTGTAAATATTTTCCAAAACTTGAATGTGTGTTTACTCAAAAACATCCTATCAAGGTGTAATTTTGGAGGTAGAATATATTACCAATTTATTTTACTAATGCATGTACAATCTGTTGTTCTACACGAGCAAAATGAATGTTTATTCTTTGCTTTAAGGCTGAGGTTCAAGTCAACAGTTTTTAAGCACAACCCACTGCGAACGATAGTGGAACTATAAATACAAACAAGGCCTTGTCTCTTCCCTTAAGGAGGTGATGATCCAGGAGAGACAGGGACTTCTAAAAGACTACAGCCCCATAAGTAAAGACTAAATTGAAATACAAACTTACTCTGAGCCAGGGATTGAGATTATTGAGACTGGGAAGGCTTCAAGAAGACAATAACTTTTAAGGTGGATCTTGGGTGAAGAACTGCATTTTAATACCGAAAGCAATGACCAAAGGCTTAGACTCTTTAAAAAAAACAAAACAAAAAAAAAACAGAGTTTGGCTCTTGTCGCCCAGTCTGCAGTACAGTGGCGTGATCTCGGCTCACTGCAAGCTCCGCCTCCCGAGTTCTCGCCATTCTCCTGCCTCGGCCTCCCGAGTAGCTGGGACTACAAGCGCCCGCCACCATGCCTGGCTAATTTTTTTGTATTTTTAGTAGAGATGGGGTTTTACCGTGTTAGCCAGGATGGTCTCGATCTCCTTTCTTCATGATCCGCCCCGCTCGGCCTCCCAAAGTGCTGGGATTACAGGCGTGAGCCACCGCGCGCAACCAGACTTTTTTTTTTTTTTTTTTTTTGAGACGGAGTTCCGCCCTTGTCGCCCAGTCCGGAGTGCAGTGGCACAATCTCAGCTCACTGCAACATCCACCTCCCGGGTTCAAGTGATTCTCCTGCCTCAGCCTCCCAAGTAGCTGGGATTACAGGTGCCCTTCACCACACCCAGCTAATTTTTATATTTTTAGTAGAGACGGGGTTTTGCCATGTTGGCCAGGCTGTTCTCGAACTCCTGACCTCAGGCAATCTGCCCACCTCGGCCTTCCAAAGTGCTAGGATTATAGGCGTGAGCCACCATGCCCAGCCAAGTCTTAGACTCTTGAAGGAAGTAGTGACTTCTGGTTTTAGGAAATCTGTTCTTTGTTGTGCTATGCTATTTTTAAATGCTAAATATTGTGGTATACTACTCTTATTCCCAAGTTATTGAAAGTCTCTAAATTCAAATCATTTGCATCTTAAAATTATTGCTGCAACTAAAAATTCAAAGCAAACAAAAGTACATTTATTTAGAAAGATCTTTGATCACATCCCTCACCTGTTTGAAATTCTTCCAGGACATTTTATTATTGCTTTAATTTCCACTGTTGGGATTTATGTTTATTAGTGTTTTGCATTTCCTTCCAGAAGACAGAAGTTTGGGAAAGGTAGGAGTGTATTATAGGAGATTAGGAGAGGAGAGGGAAAAAAAGTGAGATTATAAGATAAAGAAGAAGAACCCTAAACCCCAATTCCAAGCTCGCCCCCACCCCCTGCTTTGCCAAGCCTGACCTTCTCTTTTCTCTCAGAGTTGGATTCTCCTGGGCAGAGCCATTCTTTGAGACTCTTTCTCCCTACCAGGATCATTTATGTCGGTAAGCATCTTCTCTCTTAATCATACTGCCTAGGGAGAATCTAGCAGAAGCAGGTAAAGTCTCAGGCCTGGAGACTGGTGGAAAAACATTTGGTTAGAAGGAAATATAATCACAGACCCCTGTTCCATAAATGTATCACGCAAACTAAATAGCAAACTTTCCCTATCTTTGTTTCATTCCAACATCATAATCATTATGAAGGAATTATTAATATAAATACTTGGGGCATTGATGGCACTTTGTGCTTGATTGTATTTGGAGAGAGGACGTAGGGCAAATATTTGGAACATAAATTGGGATATTTGGGACATAGTTATACTCAAATGTTATTCTTTGCTTATCTAAAATTCGAATGTAACTGCAAATTCTGTATTTTTTAAAGCTAAATCTGGCAACTCTAATTAAGAAGCCATTCAATTTGGAAATTGCAAGGTCATTGCAACCTTTGAAAGATCAGTTTTCAAATGAGTGCTGGGGAAAGCCAGATCACCCGAGGATAAGAAGTAAGTGATTCCAAGGAAGTGGCGACAAGTGTAGACTACTTTTTCCAGAAATTGGATGCTGGAAGGAAAGAGAGAGATGTGTTGCTATTTGATTTTTTACAGACTTTTTGGATATGCCTGTAATGATGGCAGGATTCAGTTAAATAAATAAAGGAATCCATTTGGTTAAGACTAGATATAATCCTTTCAATAGATTTCCCAGGAGAGTCTGTCAGGAAACATATCTTTGCCATTTTGCCTTTTAAAATAATTAACACAAATGTATTGTACCATTTCTGATTCTTATGTTTGAATTAAAATTCTGAGTAGTTTAATTAATCTAGTTTTACCTCTCTTTAAACAGTGAGCAGAGAATATTTGTTTACCTTGGTAAAAATTTTGAAGAAATAACAGACTATGTTAAAAGAAATTGAAAAGATCATTTGGGAGCAGATGTTTGGAATATATATAACCAAAAAAGCATTTGCACCCTGATAATATATACAAAGAACTCCTGAAAACAGATAGAAAAAGTCAACAACTCAGTAACAAAATGGCCATACAAAGCAAACAGACATTTAACCAAAGCAGAAACATGAATGACTGGAAAACATATAATCCAAAGCTAGAGCTTTTTATTTATTTATTTATTTATTTATTTATTTATTTATTTATTTTTATTTTTTGAGACGGAGTCTTACTCTGTCACCCAGGCTGAGAGTGCAGGGGCGCGATCTTGGCTCACTTCAAGCTCTGCCTCCCAGGTTCACGCCATTCTCCTGCCTCAGCCTCCCTAGTAGCTGGGACTACCGGTGCCCGCCATCACGCCCAGCTACTTTTTTGTATTTTTCAGTAGAGACAGGGTTTCACTGTGTTAGCCAGGATGGTCTCGATCTCATGACCTCGTGATCAGCCCTCCTCGGCCTCCCAAAGTGCTGGGATTACAGGCATGAGCCTCCACGCCCAGCAGCTAGACCTTTTTAGTAACCAGGAAAATAATACTAAATAAACAAATTACCATTTCATGTCCACTGAATTGGCAAGAATTTAAAAGTCTGACTATCTCAGATGTTGGAGAGAATGTGGAGCAATGAAAACTATGATCCACTGTTGGTGAGAGTGGGAACTGGCTCATTGATTTTGGAAAACGATTTAGCATTATGTAGTAAAGTTACAGATGCATATATCGCACTATCCAGCAATTCCACTTTCTATATCCTCTAGAAAGCCTTGCTTGTGAACAGCGGGAGACATCCACAAGAATGTTCCTGATAGTTTGGAAACAACCTGGCTGTCAGTGGTAAGGGGAGTAAATAGATAACTTGTGGTCTATTTATACAATTGAATACTCTGCATCAGAGAATCAACTACATGCATATGAATGAATCTCACAAATAAAATTCTGAACAAACAAGGCCAATCACAGAAGGCATAAAATAGTATACCTTTCATATAAAGTTCAAATACTTGTAAAACTAATACTATTTTGTTAGGGATTCATATATATAAGGAGTATATATGTGTATGTGTGTGTGTATCTCTGTCTACCTATATCTATATGTAGTAAAACTTATTGAAAAGGATGAGAATAATAAACACAAAAAGTCTGGACAGTTGTTATCTCTGAAGTGAAGGAGTGTGAGAAATAACTCATATGAGTGCCAAAGGCATTAGAAAAGTTTTCTTTCTTATACTAGGTGATAAAAACAGGGATATAAATTTTACTGTTATCATTTATACTTACTTCATATTTATTATTTTATATGTATGAAATATTTCATAATTTTTAGAAGCCAAAAGAGAAATATATATAAATTCTTATTATCGAATAACTTTTGCAGAAACTAAGTTTATTTGGATAAAGATTAAAAATGTGTAACACACACTATTTAGCACTCTTCGGGCAACATAAGGTGAAAGACGTGTTGACCCGGCATGGGTTTAGAGCATTCCTAACACAGCGCACATTCAGCATAGCTGTAAAATTGTTGCATCGATACTAATCACTGGTCTTACTGCTCTGTTTTGTGTTTAAGATTGAGCCTTTTAGAAACTGCCCCACCCAGAATGTTACACAGACTCTCCAAAACATGTTTTCCAAGTGCTCTGAGAGCTAAAGTTTATTTGGCATGTTGACAAATGATCCAATGAACATCAGGTCCAAAATATTCTGTGCTTTCTTTAAAAGACTCAGGTACAGGATTGCAGAAAGGGCACAGTTTTCTCCTTGGAATATGTTCGTATATGGATATTAAGGAGATGATCAAACAGAATCCTTTTTTATCTTTATTCCATGCCAAGTAGAGACCATAAAGTTTGGATCCTGGAATTTACTAAGGGCCAGTTAATGGGGCTCTGGCTGGCACCGTGTCTACTGTTCTCTCACTGCACCATTGCAGTGAGATCTTCATGCCTTCTTCTCTAGTAACACTCACCTCTGTTCCTATCACCAGCTGTTCCTGTCAACAGATCATTAGCAGCTATGTCAAGACCTTCTGACAATTGTCAGAGGGCCTGTATATATCTCACTCACTGATTGGCTCCATACGTATACTGGATAAAAGATAATTAATTCCCTTTTAGAGGAGACGATGAGCTCTTCTTTTCCTGATACATATTACTTCAAGGACTTCTTTTTTTAACTATTTGTGATATTCGTCTTTAAAATACAGTTACAAATATCTTATACACAGAATATAACTTTAATTGAATCTAAGAATGATCAGCACATCAGACTAACCTTGCTTATTTATCACTGCCATTTTATTTCTCATCTCAGAGCTGTGTAAGAGAGAGAACATACTCCAAACTACTGTGACAAATAACTAGAAACAAGATAAACAAGATAAACAACTAGTTTATTCTCATTTAAATGGCCTTTTTCCGGAGAATATTCAAAAGCCCTCATATAATCTTACCACTCATAGCAAACTGCTTTTTAAAACTCTCCCTCCGTTGTCAATTGTCATTTCTTACTGATGTCAGTGGATCTACGTCCTGTTACCACTTGCTCTACTCTACACATTTCCCTTGGGTGATTAAACTGATGCTATCTTCTGCAAAGCAAAATTCAAGGATTTTGTGACAGCTGTTACTGACCTACGGCTAGTGTTAGTTCAAATCTGAGATTGTGGCTGTATTTCTGGTAGTTAAGATGACTATCCCAAAGACTGGAAAGGGTGTGGAGCAATGGAAACTATGATTTATTTAGAGAAATGTAACCTCTAAATAAATGGGGTAGGCCAGGCATAGTGGCCCATGCCTATGATCCCAACACTTTAGGAGGCTGAGGCAGGAGGATTACTTGAGCCCAGGAATTCAAAAACAGCCTGGGCAACATAGCAAGACCCCATCTCTACGAAAAATTTTAAAATTAGCCAGGGGTGATCGCATGCACCTGTAGTCCCAGCTACTCAGGAGGTTGCAGCTACAGTGAGCTAGGGTTGCACCGCTGCACTCCAGGTTGGGCAGCAGAGTGAGACCTTGTCTCTAAAAATATAAATAAATGAATAAATAAAGTAAAACAAAGCCCTGTTCCAATAAAATTTCTGTGATAGTAGAACTTTGGTGGAAGTTTAAAGAATGATGCAGAATATTATATCTCATAATACAGAATATTCATGAAAGTTTCTATATGATAACTTTTTAATGGTATAATGCAAAGAAAAAATGACAAAAGCATAAAATCAGAACAGATGTATAGCATTAATTCAAGGCTAAGTAGAACATATTTTTGTGGTCACATAGACCATTGACTGGTGAATATGAAGTTCAAGCCCTCTCTTTTCCAATTTTTCCATTAGTTAAATGGGGACAATAACTCCATTCACCTCCTAAGGGTGCTGGAAGCATTCGTGAAGCAATGTTTATGAAGCACTCAAAGTTCTTTCAATGAAAGATTCTATGTAAACACAACCTTGTACTATTCTATCCAACCATAACCACACTCTGCTTGTTGAAAACTCCACCTTTATACCCCAAAAAGGAGAAGTCACATTTCTAATACTATACTATTTGTAGTTAGCTTGCTCTGAGAAATCGGATCATATAAATAGATGGATAAAATTAAAACTATATCTTGAGGTATATGATATATCAATTTATTTCTCTCTCCACAGATTGCCTATGTAAATATTATTTTTAACACCAAGAGCTTATTTTTAATTAGTGACCCATTTTCACTGTTTCTAATTGAAGTGTTATGGGCAATATCAAACATCAATCAAAAGTGCTTTGGAAAGCACCACTGTTCTCATTTGACTTGACTGAAAAGAAGATATTAGTTACTGAAATGAGGCTAAGGTACATGGAAAAAGAGAAGCTACATCTTGATAAGAGTGAAGCTGCCTGTATAGAATAAGGAAGCTAAAACCGGTGTCGCCTCCACTGTAGGATGGAAAAAAAGACTTATGGTTTGTTCCAGATTATTGCCCCACAGCTGTGTTTTGAATTACACCATGGATTTGATGTCACATCATCTGATTACATGTGCCAGGGTTCTCCTCTCCACCCTCAGGAATTCCTGACTATTCCTGCCTATGTCTCACAGGATATGGCCATTCCCTTATGGGGGCACATTCCATCTTTAGTTTTAGAACCTTATTTAAGGAATCCTCAAAGATCTTCCAATGAAAATTGTGCCGGGAAAGAACATAAATGATTTCATTAAAAAAACCATAGTTAAATATTTATTTACATATGAAACCCTCCTATACCAAACTTGAAAAGCTAGAAAGACAGAAAGCATTCACAAAAATGTCAAACAAATTGGCAGCTTGTATTCAATTGAATTTATTAATGATTTATTGAACTCCAGGATTAAGGATGATGCTTCTTGTTTCAAGTGATACAAAGATGATTGAGGTAAAATCTTGCTCTCACAGTTACATTCTATCAGTGCAGGTGAAAGGATAGGGAAGAGAGGTAAAATGGTGAAATTGACACACAGTAAATATAATCAATAGATACCAAGGAGAAGTACAAACTGCATTGGGATAACTAATGAAGAAGAGATGACATTGGGTTGAGGTACGAGGAAAATCTGCATGGAGAATGTATGGGTTTTAAATTTTTATTTTATTTTTAATTTTTTTGGTCACATAGTAGGGATATATATTTATGGGGTACATAAGATACATTGATACAGGTATGCCAAGAATGAATATTGCTCTCACAATGGACCTTAAGCCTGGCCAGGAGCAGTGGCTCACGCCTGTAATCCCAGCACTTTGGGAGGCCGAGGTGGGTAGATCACAAGGTTAGGAGTTTGAGACCAGCCTGGCCAATACAGTGAAATCCCGTCTCTACTAAAAATACAAAAATTAGCTGGGTGTGGTGGGGGGCACCTGTAATCCCAGCTACTCGGAAGGCTGAGGCAGGAGAATCGCTTGAACCCAGGAGGCGGAGGTTGCAGTAAGCCGAGATCGCGCCACTGCACTCTAGCCTGGGCGACAGTGCGAGACTCCATCTAGAAAAAAAATGAAAAAGAAAAAGGAGAATGGACCTTGAAATATGGTTCAAATTTTATAAAGAAGATAATAGAAGAGAACATTTGGAACAAATATAGGAAAAATGAATTTTTACAGTAGATTTGGAGGATTGCAAATGTTCTAGTTTAAATGGAGCGGAGCATACTTATACTGGAGTAGAAGATGAGAGCTGAAAATAGTGGGGGCTAAATTGGGAAGGGTCTTGAAAATCACAATAAGGAGTAAGAACCTAATTAAATAGACTGGGGGGCCACCAAAGTTTTTGAGCAGGAAAACAGCATAAGAGCTATGATCTGGGATAAAAAAAATTAGTCTGCTGTTGTGTAGACTGATTATAGGAGAGCCAGTGAGCAAAGAGAATAGTGATAAAGCTTTTGCAATATTCCAGGTAAGCGGTAATGGGGGCCTAAACCTGGATGGTGGCAGTAGGCATGAAGAGGAAACGCCACAGATGGAATTCTCCAGGAAACATACTCTGAGCCTCTGAAGTGTTTATGCATGAAGTTTACTGAGGAGCACTCCCAGAAACATTTTTTAGGGAATAAGGAAGTTAGGACTGGGTAAAGGGAGAAGTTAAACTGAAATGCAGTTGCAGCAGAGTACTGAGTCCATCCCATGCGAGGTTCTGAGGCTGGGATCGCCCTTCACAGGTCTCCAGTTGAAACAATGGGTCTGGGCCTTTGTACCCACAAGTAGACCAGCCACTGAATATTGGGGAAAAGGGGAAAAGTTTGCTGAATTAAAATCTGCATGAAATACCAGCTGATATGATCTAAAGGTGGAAGGAGAAAGGAGAGCAAAAGCCAAGGTTTAGGAACACCCAGGAAATACCTAGGAATGAGGTGGAAGACCTGGTTTGGAGGTGAAGGTGACAATGTCATTTGGGACACATTGATACATTCCTTGTTTTAGGTAACGCTCTCATTAGAATCATACCTAGAAGGGTGTAAGCCTGTAATACATCATGCTTGTGTGAAAGGAAAATAAATCTTGGGGCCCCCAAATCACTAAGCTAAAGGGGAAAAGTCAAGCTGGGAACTGCTAGGGCAAACCTGCCTCCCATTCTATTCAAAGTCACCCCTCTGCTCCCTGATATAGATGCATATCTGATTGCCTCCTTTGGAAAGGCTAATCGGAAACTCAAAAGAATGCAACCATTTGTCTCTCACCTATTTGTGACCTGGAAGTCCCCTCTCTGCTTCCTGCCTTTGCTTCAAGTTGTCCCGCCTTTCCAGACCAACCAATGTACTTTTTACATATATCAATTGATGTCTCATGTGTCCCTAAAATCTATAAAACTAAGCTGTGCCCCGACCACCTTAGGCACATGTCAGGACTTCCTGAGGCTGCCACAGGTGCGTCCTCAACCTTGGCAAAATAAACTTTCTAAATTAACTGATTTAATTTCTCAGATTTTTTGTCTCAGATTTTTTTGGTTCACACTTGTGTTCATTTGGGTATCTTAATAAAACAGAAAAGACAGAGATACCTTAAGTATTATATTAACAGCAAGGGCCGCATGGAAGAGGGCAAAAAGTGAGAAGGGATTCCAGACACATGTGACAAAAATTGGAAAGTAAAAATTAAATTCTCTCTATTTATAGATGATATGATATAATCCTTGGGAAACCTTTAGCCATTCAGTGATAAAATGCAAACAATAGGCTGGGCGCGGGACTCACCCCTGTAATCCCAGCACTTTGGGAGGCCGACGTGGGCAGATCACCTGAGGTCAGGAGTTTGAGACCAGCCTGGCTAACATGGTGAAACCCCGTTCCTACTAAAAATACAAAAAACTAGCCAGGCATGGTGGCACGTGCCTGTAATCCCAGCTACTTGGGAGGCTGAGGCAGGAGAATCACTTGAACCCAGGAGGTAGAGGTTGCAGTGAGGCAGTGAGCCGAGATCATGCCATTGCACTCCAGCTTGGGTAACAAGAGCGAAACTCTGTCTCAAAAAAAAAAAAAAATGCAAACAATAAAATAATTCAATAATATATCAGGATACAAAATTAATATATAAAAATCAATAACATTCAAATATACAAACCATAGTCAATTAGAAAATATAATTTCTTTGTAAGAGCCACAAAAATAGGTAAGATAATTAGGAATAAACTTAAGATATATACATATATATATATATATGTGTGAGTAAAATTGTAAAGCTTTATTTATTTATTTATTTATTTATGTTTGAGACGGAGTTTTGCTCTTGTCGCCCAGGCTGGAGTGCAATGGTGTGATCTTGGCTCACTGCAACCTCTGCTTCCCGGGTTCAAGTGATTCTTCTACCTCCACCTACTGAGTAACTGGGACTACAGGTGCGCGCCACCACACCCAGCTAATTTTTGTATTTTTAGCAGAGACGGGGTTTTCACCATGTTAGCCAGGCTGGTCTCGAACTCCTGACCTCAGGTGATCCACCCGTCTCGGTCTCCCAAAGTGCTGGGATTACAGGCGCGAGCCACCGCACCTGGCCATAAAGCTTTAAAACACTTCTAAAAGACACTAACTTAGACTTCATACAGTAAAAACACTTCTCTTTCTCTTGGATGGAATGCCTCAACATTACAAAGATATTGACCATTTCATCTCAAGTTAATACATAAATTTAATTGAATCTTAATTAGAATACCAATAAATCTTTGCTGGAGTTAGTCAAGTAGATTCTAAAATGTATATAAAAAACAAATACACCGGCTGGGAGTGGTGGCTCACGCCAGTAATCCCAGCACTTTGGGAGGCCGAGGTAGGCAGATCACGAGGTCAGGAGATCGAGACCATCCTAACACGGTGAAACCCCGTCTCTACTAAAAATACAAAAACCAAATTAGCCGGGCGTGGTGGCGGGCGCCTGTAGTCCCAGCTACTCGGGAGGCTGAGATGGGAGAATGGCGTGAAGTCGGGAGGCAGACCTTGCAAGTGAGCCGAGATGGCGCCACTGCACTCCAGCCTGGGAGACAGAGCAAGACTCCCTCTCAAAAAAAAGAAAAGAAAAAATAGCTAGGAAAATCCTTAAAAAAATGTAATGGGAGGGGGGGAACTAGCCCTACTGATATAAAAGCACAGTATAAAACCTCTGTAATTAAAAAAATGTGGTACTAGAATATGAACAGAGAGATAGGCCATGGAATAGAACGGAAGATAGACCCAAAATAGATAATAAAGATGATGTTGCAATTTAATAGAGAAAAGAAAGACTCATTAAATGGTGCTAAGAAAAATGTAACCCTGGCCGGGCGCAGTGACTTATACCTGTAATCCCAGCACTTTGGGAGGCCGAGGCGGGCTAATCACAAGGTCAGGAGATCGAGACCATCCTGGCTAACATGGTGAAACCCCGTCTCTACTAAAAAATACAAAAAATTAGCCAGGCGTGGTGGCGGGCGCCTGTAGCCCCAGCTACTCGGGAGGCTGAGGCAGGAGAATGGCGTGAACCCGGGAGGTGGAGCTTGCAGTGAGCCGGGATCGCGCCACTGCACTCCAGCCTGGGCAACAGAGTGAGACTCCATCTCAAAAAAAAGAAAAATGTAACCCTATTTGGAAAAAAATAAGGCTAGATTCATACACCAGAATAAACTTCAACAATTACAGATTCAATCATAAAAGATGAAATCACTTAAGTAGTAGAAGAAAACAGAGGAGTAAATATCTTTAAAACATGTTGTAGAGAAAATCTAACTATGATTCAAATACAGATATGTAAAAATACACAAAGTGGATCTAAATAAAATTTTTAAAATAGCTTGGCATGACAAAAAAGTCGTGAGCAAGATTAAAAGACAAGTGACAAATTGAGAGAAAATATTTGAAACATATATCACAGATAAAGACCTAATCTGCCCAATATATTAATATCTCTAAAAAATGTCAGGAAGGAAATAATGGGAAAATGAGCAGAAGACATGTACAAACATTTCACGCACACAAAAAAAAAAGATATAAAAGGATACAAACATATGTAAAGATGTTCAACCTTATTCATAATTAAAGAAATACAAATCAAAACTATACTAAATCTATACTGAGATACTTTCTTATTTATCAAATTGGCACAAATTCAAAGTTTAATGACACATTTTCTTACATCTTGCAGTTGGAAGTGTAAAATGGTATACCCTATGGATGAGAATGTAGCAGTATTTAATAAAACTACATATGCATTTACCCTTCAATCTAACAATCCCATTTCTATGAATTTACCTCAAAGATGCACCTCCACAAATCTAAAACAACATATGCACAAAGGTATCCATTGTGGAATTATTTGTATTGGCAAAGTACTAGAAACAACCTAACTGCCCATTCCTAAGAGATGGCGGAATCAACTATGGAAGAGCCACACAATGAAATACTAAGCAACTGTTTTTAAAAAGTGAGGAAAATCTGTATGAATTATTTTGGAGTGATTTCCAGGGTATATTATTACTTTTATTTTTTATTTATTTATCTATTTTTGAGACGGAGTCTCACTCTGTCGCCCAGGCTAGAGTGCAGTGGTGAGATCTTGGCTCACTGCGACCTCCGCCTCCCGGGTTCAAGCGATTCTCCTGCCTCAGCCTCCCGAGCAGCTGGGATTATAGGCGTGCGCCACCATGCCCAGCTAAATTTTTTGTATTTTTAGTAGAGACGGGGTTTCACCATGTTAGCCAGGATGGTCAGGATCTCCTGGCCTTGTGATTCACCCACCTCAGCCTCCCAAAGTACTGGGATTACAAGAGTGAGCCACCGCACCCGGCCTTCCAGGGTATATTTTTAAGTAGAGAAATCAAAGTTGAAAGAGAATATATACCATCTTACATTTTATGTAAGAAAATTCACGAAAATAGTTATCTGTAGATGGTGGGTTTGGAAAAGGGTGGCAGCGATAGGGATGAGAATAAGACTTTACTGAGTCTATCTTTTTTTAATATTTTTTTTACATTGGAACCAGGCAGATGTTTTATTTATTCAGAAAAATAAAATTTAATTTAAAGCTGTAAAAGGAAATTCTAAGATTGAATATAAACAGAAATAAATGACCAAATATATAAAATTGAACAGCATGATAAAAATAATTCAAGTAGCTTTTGAAAACAATAGTCAGGCTGTATGTACCCTCTTAGTGGAGTGATTCTCAACAGAGGACAGAGGACATTTGATTATGTTTGAGACATTCTTAATTGCCATAACTTGGGGGTGGGAGTACTGGCCACCCCCAGTACTAGAGGCAGGGAGGCTGCTAAACATTCTGCAATGCACAGGGCAGCCCCTACAACAAAGAATGATCCAACCCAAAATGTCAGAGTGCTGAGGCTGAAAAAACCTATCTTAGTGAGAGATAATCTAAAAATCAAAACACAAAAATTAGGAAGAAATTTTTTTTTTTTTTTTGAGACAGAGTCTCGCACTGTCACCCAGGCTAGAGTGCAGTGGCACGATCTCAGCTCACTGCAAGCTTCACCTTCTGGGTTCACGCCATTCTCCTGCCTCAGCCTCTGGAGTAGCTGGGACTACAGGCACCTGCCACTATGCCCGGCTAATTTTTTGTATTTTTTAGTAGAGACGGGTTTTCATTGTGTTAGCCAGGATGGTCTTGATCTCCTGACCTCGTGATCCGCCCACCTCAGCCTCCCAAAGTGCTGGGATTACAGGTGTGAGCCACTGCACCTGGCTGCAATTTTTTAACTTTACTATGGTTTTGTTGTTGGGAGAAGTACTGATGTAATCACTCTAAAACAATTTTGTGTAGATTACGGAATACAGCAAATAAGCAAATGTATTCACATTGTTGAGAACCAAGGTTCTCACTGTAAGAGGAGGAAGCTATAACTAGGGAATAGGGGAAGACAAGGAACCCTGTAATTGCTGAGTATGAACTCCTGATTTAACAAAAAGGAAAAAAGAGATCTCCTAGCTTTCCTCACTGAAAAGGCCTAAAGTAATGACACCTCAGTGGCCATAGCACACTTAGTATTCAGATCATGGTTACTAAATACCATTGTTTACAAAAAGTAGCCAGGTGTCCTTGGGAAGCTGCTGACTCAAGGGTTAAGGGACAAGGTGAGTCAGAATATCTAGCTGTGCCAGAAAGCAAGAAAGTGCTCAAAGACCAATGAGAGTATACTAAAAGAACTACAGGAACCATCTCGAAGGAGCTCTATTGGCCAAATTAGAATAATATGAAAAAGAATAACAATGATAATAAATTATAATACATTGAATCCAAAAGAATACATGAGTTCACAGTTATTCAAAAAATGGAGGATTAAAGTTCTTATTCACAGAAGAATATCAACTATAGACAATATGTTAATATTAGAAAATCTCATTTTGCAACCACCAATGTAATAATTGATGCAGGCAAGATCAGAAGTGGATGCTAAAACCTTTTGGGGGGTGATAGGCCCAAACAATCTCAAAATACTACCCCGTATATTGCTTATTAATTATAAAAGGGAAGAGTCCCCCTTACTGTTGTAACATCTGGCAGACTTCAACTTAACCAAAAAGTCAAGCTTTGCATCACCAATATTGGAGTAAGTGACAAGATATGCCATAATAAGAAGTAAACTGCATCACTTCTGTAATATACATGCACCATCCCCCAGGAAGCAGGATAAGGGGCTCCGGGTCAGGCAAATTTCAGTCGCTATCCCAGCAAGATGAGATAATCACAAGAATTTTAAAAAGAGACATGACTAAATAGTATGCATAAGCCTTCGCTGAGTTAAAAAAATCACAATTTAAAAAGACATTATATTGGAACAAGATGCAATTTGAATATGGATTAATTATTAAATACTATTAGTTTATTTATGTTAAATTTCATTCCTATGCTAATAGAATTGTGGTCAGGTAGACATGTGCTTTTCCTTAGGAAATATATGCCAAAGTATTTAGGAATAAACTGCCATAATGTCTGCAACTTACTTTCAGGTGGTGCACATAGATAGATAGATATAGCAGATGTGGCAAACTGTTAACAACTGAAGCATTAAAGTAAGGGGCATACTCTGTCAACTTTTCTACAGATTTGAATTGTTTCATTTAAAATGAAAGTGATGGAAAAAGATCAGATTGAATCCATAAGTTGATAGGGAACCAATACATTATTTTAAAACTGGTAAAAGGAAGGCATCAAGCATTTATTCTCCCTTCCCTAAAAGAACTGTAACGCAGGGTAACCAAACAGTTCACTAAGGAATTTTCTTTATATAGACATTTTCTGTACAATAAATGGAGTAGAAGTTGAGTAGCACCATTTGTAACTCCTAATGGATTAATGGATCTAGACATAACTGCCAACCAGCATGCTAAAGAGAGAAACACCAAAATATACTTACCACCTGATGGAAGTAGACAGTACCACCCATGACGTAGTCTTGCCAAATCAAACAAACAACAACAACAAAACTCTGATCTTACCAAGTTTCTACATTTGACTGTCAATATAGAGGAAACAGGGAGGTGGGAGGTGGGGGATGGGGAGTGGGAGGCGGCGGGGGTGGGGAGCGGACAGAGCAATATGGTAAACATCACCATGGGGATGCAGTCATTCACATTTGGGAAGAGGTTCCTGGGAGACCTACAGGCCAAACAACCTAGTTCTTGCCCAGTTAAATTACTAGAGGAAAAATGTGGAGAAGGACAACTATTATCTTAAAAGAAACTTAGAAGACGTTGTGATTTATAGACCTTATTTATAATCTTCATTCATGTAAATAAACTTATGGAGGAAAAAAGTATGAGAGAAACGAGTGGAAAATGTAAACATGGCTGGGATATTCATGATGTTAAGGAATTATTTTTAGTCATTTTTAGACAGATAATGGTATTTGTGTTCTTAAAAAGAGCTCTTATCTTTTAGAGATATCCTTTGAAATATTTATGGATGAAATAATATGATGCCGTGGATTTACTGCAAAATAATGGGGTATAGATGGAGCAAGAATGTACAAGTTGATAATTGGGAAAGTAACTGGTGAAGGGTACAGGGCTATGCCTTACATTAATCTCCTTGGAAAATAATTAGAAGTTTGAATTTTTCTGAAATCAAAGATTAGTTGAAAAAATAAAATGAAGTCAGCTTTGGAGAAAAAGTCAGACAAAAGTCAGCTTCGGCAAGTGCCTCCTACTTTGCTTGAGCCCCTACCATGGGGCACTTCCATTCTCTCATTTAATTCTCACAGTCACATCCTCACACAGCAGGCGTTGCAGAGATTCAGCATGTATCCTCTGGTGTCAGGTCTCCTGGTTTCAAATCTCAGTTCTGCCAGTGGCTACTGGGCCAATTAGTCTCAATTTCCTTATCTCTAAAATGGGGTGACAATAATATTTGCTACTTCACAGGATTGTAGTGAGGATTAAACAATGAATTAGTGACACAATTTAGCTATTAGGGCTTGTTGTTAGTAAGTGATGGAGCTGGGATATGATCTAATTTGTTTGGCCTAGAAACTATCATCCTGCACTTCGCTGCCTGGAGGATAGTGGGTATACATGTACGTGTGCATCAGTTTTCAGTACTCTCTGCCAAAGCCACTTCATCCACCCTGTTAGGCACATCTTAAATTTTAAATATCAGCAGCAAAATTTAGGATATGCCAAGAAAAAGGATTGTGCTGTTAACAGAATCATATATAATAACTTAGGTGAATACTCATGGATTTATTGATTCATTCAACACATATTCACTAAACTTGGCTCTGCAATAGATGAGAACAATTTAATAACGTAGATACAGCCACTGTTCTCACAAGTTTACTAATCAGGAACCATGTTGGGACTTCAACTACAGAGCTAGCTGGGAGGTAGAGGATGCCAAGTGGGGCAGAAAGATCCATCCTCTGAGGCTGGCCCAGCAATGACCAATGAGCAGTAAGTCCAGGATTTAATCAACTCTAGCATAATTCTGGAAATCATCAGCAGTTGTAGGAGTAAACCAATAGGCAGATCTCAGCCACAGTGACTCCAGGCAATGATCAAATGTGTGGGAACCAGCCAGGGAGCAGAAGAAGTGTTTCCTGGAACTCTGTCCATCCATAGAAGAATTTTTTTTTAAGAAGCTGGGGAATGGAAGGGAAGATTTCAATTTCAGAAACAAGGTTTGAGGCTGGGTGCCGTGGCTCACAACTGTAATCCCAGCACTTTGGGAGGCTGAAGCGGGCAGATTGCTTGAGCTCAGGAGCTCAAGACCAGCCTGGGCAAATGGTGAGACTCCGTCTATACTAAAAATACAAAAAATAAAAATAAAAAATTGGCCGGGCATAGTGGTGCACGTCCGTGGTCCCAGCTACTCGGGAGGCTGAGGTGGGAGAATCACTTGAGACCAGGGGGCGGAGATTGCAGTAAGCCAAAATCGTGCCACTGCACTGCAGCCTGGGTGACAAAGCAAGACCCTGTCTCAAATAAAAAAAAAAGAAAAAAAAAAGAAAGAAGAAAGGAAAGAAAAGAGGTTTGGCAAGAATAAGAAAGGATATTTGCGCTCTATCATACCAGCAGGGCCCTAATTCTGAGGGATCTGTGGTCCCAGCCAAGAGAGGTAGGAAGACCATGGAGACTATGGGAGATCAAGGTCAGAGGCAAGTTCTGAAGCCTAGACCATGAAGGGTGGGGCCAGGGAATCCTGCCCTAAAACTGCTATTTGAATATTCACTGTGGCCCCTTATCTTACTCTGGTTTCCCAGAATGGTACCCTGAGATAAGAGTTCATGTGCAAGTGGCTTATGAAGAAATTCTCCCAAGAGAAGCGAGGAAGGGAATGGAAGAAATGAGAACAGGAAAGAAGGAGAAGAAGAAAAATATAGCCAGACAAGGATTGCAATTTCAGGCAAAGTCTCAAGGGATAGCTTCGACTGGATCCTTCAGAACTTCTGGAGTATATATTTTGCCTGTGTTTGTTTCAAATGGAGGCAAGAAAGCTGGGCTTTTCTGCTCCTAGATAAGACTGTCACAGGCTCAGGGCTTCCTGTGAGAGATCTACGTTCTCAGGCACTTCCAGGTCTTTGCCTTTCTGGCCAAAATGGCTGGGATAATTCCAGGGCTGACCTCTGAAAAGTGTCAGGTGCAGGCTTGTCAAAGCAAAGAAACCCAGAAGCCAGTTGAGGAGCATACAGACCATCAAATGGGTTCTGAAGAGCTCTGGGCAGAGTACCAGTCATGTCCAGCTCACATCTCTACTCCCAGTTCTGGGCTTACTTGTCAGTAAAGGACCATCTGGGAGATGCCCATGGGTCTAGCCATTGTGAGTATGCTGCAGAGCTTTAGTGCACATGTTGCAAATTACTTTCAACTTCCAAGTATGACAGAGCTAAACAGCTGGTAAACTCAGGGACTTTGATTATTGACTCAAAATTGGGTAACATGGAGCCAACAGGTTCAGAACGCAGGCTCCCACCCATGCCTGATGCCTGTGGATGTCAGTTCTGGTTATTAAGGGTGGCCTGTTGGCCTCAGAGCCACTGGGAGCCCTGGCTGCAGGCTCTCAGCACCACTGCTCTCTCTGCCTCTCTCCAGTATTTCCAAACAGCAAGATCCCAAATCTGTTCCCCACTCAGGTCTCTCCTCATTCCTTCCAGATCCATTCCTTGAAGCTAGATGCTGTTCCTGATCTTCATTGCCTCATATAAATAGGAGGCCTGGCAAGGCACGGTGGCTCGGGCCTGTAATCCCAGCACTTTGGGAGGCCAAAGCAGGCAGATCACCTGAGGTCAGGAATTTGAGACTAGCCTGGCCAACATGGTGAAACCACATCTTTACTAAAAATACAAAAATTAGCCAGGCACGGTGGCACACACCTGTAATCCCCTACTTGGGAGGCTGAGGCAGGAGAATCGCTTGAACCCTGGAGGTGGAGTTTGCAGGGAGCCTAGATTGTGCCACTGCACTCCAGCCTGGACAAAAAAGCAAGACACTGTCTCAAAAAAATAAATAAATAAAAATAAAACATAAGAGTGCTTCACATTAGACCTATGGACTTTTATATCGGAAATTAGAGGAATCTGTGATAACTAAATGAGAATGTGCTGGTTTGCATGTATTTGTCCAGAACGAGGAGTGGGGGCTGAGAGTGGTCCTAATCCTGGAAGGCAAAGGAGAAAGGATTGTCTAATTTATCAGTCAGACCACAGCCACAGATGAAGTGGGCAATAATAACTCAGGCGTGTACAGGATAAAGGGGAGATGGAGACTCCCAGGAACTAAAATGGCTACAGCCAAAGATTATACTTATGAAGACAATAAAGTCCAAGCCACAGAGGCAATCCCGTAGACGCTCAAAGGATGAAAACACTCATCAAAAATCTTGTAGCCTTAAAAGTTTTTCCTACCATATAGCATTGGGAAATGCAGTGCTTTTTTTTAACCTTAAAAAAAAAATCTTTAAGAAATGGCTTCAATCCCTTAACCTCAACATTGATCAGTGTAAAAGACTCCAAATTATTCCACTAGGACCCCAATTAGCCAATTAGAAATGACATCATTTAACTTATCTGTACTGCCAAGATTCCGGAGTCAGAATTCAGTACTGTAGTCAGTAATGTTACTTATTGAAAAGATTATGGTCATGGTATAAACATTTTTTTCCAGGGTTATCCTCACAAATGCAAACCAGGTGTACCTGTTTTTATAGCCATTTTTCCAAAAGGATTGTCAATAAATCACTTACATCTGTCCTTTGACTCCAGGGTGGTAAATAATTAAATTATTTAAGATAAGACTGTTACATTACAGATCTCCTGATGGATGTGTGTAATACAAAAAAAAAAAAAAAAAAAAATCAAGCCTTAGTCTCATCAAGCTTCCAAATCTAGTTACCAATTTAGAGAAAATTCAAGGGTCAATGGAGCATAAGTATCTGTATGGTGGAGGCCGGGCGTGGTGGCTCAAGCCTGTAATCCCAGTACTTTAGGAGGCCAAGGCGGACGGATTACGAGGTCAGGAGATCGAGACCATCCTGGCTAACATGGTGAAACCCTGTCTCTACTAAAAATACAAAAAATTAGCTGGGCATGGTGACGGGCACCTGTAGTTCCAGCTACTCCGGAGGCTGAGGCAGGAGAATGGCGTGAACCCGGGTGGCGGAGCTTGCAGTGAGCGGAGATCGCGCCACTGCACTCCAGCCTGAGCGACAGAGCGAGCCTCCGTTTCAAAAAAAAAAAAAAAGTATCCGTATGGTGGAAATGCTACATCATGTTGCGCTACTGCACATCTCTTCCCACCTTCACATTATGTAACCTCATGCTGGTAGATTGAAACTGGCCATGGTGGGAATGCCTACACCACAAAAAATGACCAATGCTGCAGTCTAAGGTTTTTATTTCCTGAGAGCCAGTCGTTAAACATTTACCGGCATACCACTGCGTTTGTCAATTCCGAAAATGCCCGTGGCCAATACCACCCAATACAAGGAGGAGCATGCCAGAAGGGAAATTGAAAAGGAAAGGGGAAAGCCCAGATTGCAATTGGTCTTAACCAGTTGCAGTTCAAATATCTTACTTTGCAATCTTAAAAAGTCATAAGGCCACTGCTAGTGAGGGGGCCTTGAAACATAATCTTCATTAGCTTCTTGGTCTGCTTGGCTGATTCTTTCAGGTCATTCAAATCTTGTGCAAATGTCAACTCATCAGAAAAGCCTTCCATAACCATTCTAGCTAATCGCTCTCTTTGTCATTCTCTACACTTAATACTGTTTCATTTTTCTTCGGGGTGCTTACCCCTATCTATTATAACAATAAACTTTCTATTCATAATGAATGTATGCTCCATGAGCACGATTCTGTTCTGTTTTTCTCAGTGCAGTGTCCCAGCAATAAGCACAGTTCCTGGTAGGTGCTCAACAAACATGGGATGAATAAATTAAAGACCATAGGCAATGATATGGAAAGATGTGCCTACATTATTGTTGAGGAAGGAAAAGAAAACACATTATAGAAAGATAAAGAGTTGATCCTCATTATTCATTGATTCTGTTTGTTAATTCACCTACTCACTAAGCCAATTTGTAATCCCAAAAGCAACACTCATGACACTTTCTCTGTTATATACAACAATGTGCATTCCTAGCTGAGGCTGAAGAAGAAAATGACACTCTGCCTTCTTGTTTCAGCTCTCATACTGTAAACAAGTGTCCTTTTTGCAATCTATTTAGTGCCATGTTTTTGTATTTTCTTTTGCTGTTTATAATGTCCCCAAACATACTGCTGAAGTGCTATCTAGTGATTTTTGTTTTTTTTTTTTGAGATGGAGTCTCGCACTGTCTCCCAGACTGAAGTGCAGTGGTGCAATCTCAGCTCACTGCAACCTCTGCCTCCCGGGTTCATGTGATTGTCCTGCCTCAGCCTCCCAAGTAACTGGGACTACAGGTGCACACCACCACGCCCAACTAATTTTTGTATTTTTAGTAGAGACAGGGTTTCACCATGTTGGCCAGGATGGTCTCCATCTCTTGACCTCGTGATCCGCCTGCCTCTGCCTCCTAAAGTGCTGGGATTACAGGCGTGAGCCACAGCGCCTGGCCACTCTAGTGTTTTTAAGGGCACAAAGTCTGTGATGTGCCTTACAGGGAAAAGGACCATTTGTGCCATTGGAGAAAATACGTGTGTTTGATAAGCTTTTTTCAGACATGAGTTATAGTACTGTTGGCTATGAGTTCAATGTTAATGAATTAATGTTCAGTGTTGATGAATTAATGATATACACTGAATAAGCTGTCTTTAAACAGAAATACACATAGAACAAGATTATGTATTGACAAGTTGGTGATATGGTTTGGTTGTGTCCTCACCCAAAATCTCATCTTGAATTGTAGTCCCCATAATCCCCCATGCTGTTCCCGTGATAGTGAGTGAGTTCTCATGAGGTCTGATGGTTTTTTGTTTTTGTTTTTGAGATGGAGTCTCACTCTGTTGCCCAGGCTGGAGGGCAGTGGCACAATCTTAGCTCACTGCAACCTCCGCCTCCCGGGTTCAAGCAATTCTCCTGCCTCAGCCTCCCAAGTAGCTGGGATTACAGGTGCATGCCACCACACCTGGCTGATTTTTTTGTTTTTTGAGACGGAGTTTTGCTCTTGTTGCCCAGGCTGGAGTGCTATGGTGCGATCTTGGCTCACTGCAACCCCCACCTCCCGGGTTCAAGGGATTCTCCTGCTTCAGCCTCCCAAGAAGATGGGATTACAGGCATGCACCACTGTGCCTGGCTAATTTTGTATTTTTAGTAGAGATGGGTTTTCTCCACGTTGGTCAGGCTGGTCTTAAACTCCCGACCTCAGGTGATCCACCCGCCTTGGCCTCCCAAACTGTTGGGATTACAGGTGTGAGCTACTGTGCCCAGCCTACCTGGCTGATTTTTGTATTTTTAGTAGAGACAGGGTTTCACTGTGTTGGCCAGGCTGGTTTCGAACTCCTGACCTCAGGTGATCCACTTGCCTCAGCCTCCCAAAGTGTTGGGATTACAGGCGTAAGCCACTGCACCCAGCCTATCTGATGGTTTTATAAGCGCTCGGTAGTTCCTCCTGTGTTCACTTCTCTTTTCTGCCGCCTTATGAAGAAGATTCCTTGCTTCCCCTTCACCTTCCACCATTATTGTAAGTTTCCTGAGGCCTCCCCAGCCATGCTGAACTGTGTGTCAATTAAACCTCTTTTCTTTATAAATTATCCAGTCTCGGGTAGTTCTTTTTTGAGATGGAGTCTCCCTCTGTCGCCTAGGCTGGAGTGCAGTGGCGCAATCTCGGCTCACAGCAAGCTCCGCCTCCTGGGTTCACGCCATTCTCCTGCCTCAGCCTCCCAAGTAGCTGGGACTACAGGCACCCGCCACCACGCCCCGGCTAATGTTTTGTATTTTTAGTGGAGACGGGGTTTCACCGTGTTAGCCAGGATGGTCTCGATCTCCTGACCTCGTGATCCACCCACCTTGGCCTCCTGAAGTGCTGGGATTACAGGCGTGAGCCACCACGCCCGGCCTTTTTTTTTTTTTTTTTTTTAGATGGAATCTTGCTCTGTCGCCCAGGCTGGAGTGCAGTGGCACTATCTTGGCTAACTGTGAGCTCCACCTCCTGGGTTCACGCCATTCTCCTGCCTCAGCCTCCCCAGCAACTGGGACTACAGGCACATGCTGCCACGCCCAGCTAATTTTTTGTATTTTTAGTAGAGACCGGGTTTCACCGTTGTTAGCCAGGATGGTCTGGATCTCCTGACCTCCAGATCCGCCCGCCTTGGCCTCCCAAAGTGCTGGGCTTATAGGTGTGAGCCACCATGCCCGGCCAATCTCAGGTAGTTCCTTATAGCAGTATGAAAACGGACTAATACAGTGGGAAAAAAATGTAACCATAGGCTCACAGGAACCTAACTCTGTATTTCCCCTAGGAGCAATGTTTTAGTATTAACTAATTCAGTGTTCATGGCAATTTTATAAAACATAATTACTGTAAATAATGAGAATTGATTATACATAGATGTTACATTTGCTAAAATATATACATATATAATAGATATAACAGATACAGCCACAGTTATAGATAGATTTGTGTAGACATATCTATCTATTTTCTACATAGCAAAATATCTGGACGTATATAAACTATTAATAGCAGTTACCTCTGGAGAGTGGGATTAAGGACCTATTAGAACAGTTTCATTCTTTGCCATTTTTTACACTTTTATATTTTTGATAATTTTTTCAACAAGTAATTACTACTTTGCTAATTTTTCACACTAACATTTTTAACAAACTAAAACAATAAATTTTTCCTTAAAAAATAAAAACACAACCTTGCTCTCTCCCCCCCTCCACAAAAATAAATAAATATATTCATAAACTTCAGCAAGATTTAGGAAAAAGCTCATATCCTTGGACAGTTTCATTTTAAAAGAAACATCAACAAGAAAGTGCAGGCCTATAAAGAAATAAAAAGTAGACCAGATAAGTGATTGAAAGGAAAAGTAGTATGTGAAAATAACATTTTTTAACCAAATTGCTAAATCAATAATTATATAAATAAATAACAAATATATGCAGGAATGAAGCTGCCCTTAAGCTAGCATGAAAGCAAATGAAAGAGAGCATGAAGGAAAAAAAGAGAGTCTTCAGGTGTGACATGATTGTCATCAAAGAACCAAGTTGGAAAAGCAAAATAAAATACAAAAGCTTAAAAGAAACAAAAGTGTCCAATTCACAATGTAGTAAAAAGAAACAGGTTCACAGCAAAGGAGGTTTTTTGTTTTTTTTTTTTTTTTTTTTTAAGATTGGACTCTTTTCAGCATTCTACACTTAAATAACTGGAATATTTATAAGTAGAATCCTAGTCAACTCTTTCAAAACGATTGGCCCTTTAAGTGTTAAATTAAGTTTGGCCTAAAGCTGCTTCCTTACACATTTTAAGTTTGCCATAAAGGTTTCTCCATACATAGTGAACTGTTATCTAACTGGATGTGTAAACAGACTAACCTACTCTTGCACCAATCACTGAGTTTCAGCCAATCACAGGCAGCCAACTGTTCAAACTGTGTTCAAATAAGGCAAATACCAAGCTGTAACCAATTCAGCTGTTTCTGTACCTCACTTCCGTTTTCTGTCTGTCACTTTCCTTTTCTGTTCATAAATTTTTCTTCACCACCCGGCAGTGCCACAGTCTATTCCGGTTCAGGAGGCTGCCTGATTCTTGAACTGTTCTTTGCTCAATTAAATTCTGTTAAATTTAACTAGTCTAAAGTTTTTCTTTTAACATAAGAAATGTGCTTTTTATTGTCTCCAAAGAAAGAACACCATGTCCATGATGGCTTCGTTACTTTCTGTAAGAGCAGGGTATCTTTCATACAGTGTAGAGTACTGAGTAAAAGTCAGGGATTACTGCTAATTCATTCCAGGCATAAGAGACTTGGGGCATGCACAGGTAGATGAAGTAACAAGAGTTAGCACCCATTTCTAGCATAACACCTGAGAGGTAAAGGCTGTTCTCAGAGATGCAATCATTCTTCACGTTTCATAAACAGAAACCCATGAGGCAAGAAGAATTTGGGTGATATTTTTCCTCTTTCCCAGATAGCAGCAGTATAGAATAGAATAGCACTAATTGGGCCTTAAAATCGCAAAAGTTTAACTCTATTCTCCCTACCTCCTCACCCCTTCATCCTCTCACCAGCCTCAGCCTCATAAGCTCCTTTTTCTGTGGAGCTCCCTATAAGATGTTTTTGTTTTTTGTTTTTAAATAGAGACAGTGTCTCACTCTGCCACCCATGCTGAAGTGCCGTGGTGCAATCATAGCACACGGCAGCCTCAAACTCCTGGGCTCAAGCAATCCTCTCACCTCAGCCTCCCAAATAGCTGGGACTACAGGTGCCTGCCACCATGTCTGGCTAATTTTTTTACTTTTTTGTAGAGATAAGTCTTATGATGTTGCCCAGGCTGGTCTTGATCTCCTAGCATCAAGCAATCCTCCCACCTCAGTAAAGTACTGGGATTACAGGCATGAGCCACTGTGCCTGGCCAGATGTCATTTTTTAAAAGAATTCTGGGGACTAAACATTTGAACTGATGATCAGTTTATCATCAGTAACCAAGTTTAAGAAATTCTAGACAATCAAATGAACCATCTTGAAGTTTTTCCCCTGGAAGGAAAGAAGTTGGAGGAGTAAGTCTCCATTGAAAACTGCTGTAGTGTGAGGGTGTCACTTGAGAAAGCGGCCTTATAAAATGATGGATCAAGGTTTTTACCACCATAGACTTGACTGGCATACATTTCAATCATCAATGAGAAAAAGCCATATAGCTACATTTTGCCCTTTAGAGTCAAGCATACCATATCACAGAATAAGAATTAGGAATCTTCAAAAGGGAGGCTTTTCCCAAAAGGGCCACAGGTAGCATGAGTATATGTCTGCTCAATGAGCATGAAATTGTACTTTCTTTCTTTCTTTCCCAAATGCATTTTGTTTCCTTAAATAAGGCAAAAATTCACTTAAAAAAAAGAAGGCTTCCACGGCATGTATTGATCCTTTAGCATGAACATTTATATTAATGGTTAAGGATAAAATTTAAGCATTTAAGGGGAGAAAAAAAAATCAGTATGCAAGCTAATCTCATGCTAAGCCTGCAGCCCATCTAATTGAATTTTAAGTACAGTTGTGAGTTCTTCTTTCTTCCCACCTCTAGTATATTTTACTGACTGTAGAGATAATTTTTTTCACTGTATATTTAAAAGCGCATTAATAGACAACATTATTGCTCACAGACAAACTAAGAAAAGCCTACTTCTCAGGTTTTTGTTCTTCATCTTACGAAGTCTGCAAGAAAAGAAAAGGTGGACCTTCAATAAAATTTGGCCTTGATCATTTTTAGGGCAAATGAATTATAGGGAAGCCTCCTAGAAAACATCACCAATACTCAGTAAAACAAATATACTTTAGGAGCTCAAAGTTAAATTCACCTAGTGAACCAATAATAAATTTTTTTTCTAGGACTGTTTGCCTAAAGGATTTCGGCTTTGTTATTGGAACATAAGAAATCCTAGACCCTGAGAAAGGCCACTTGGCTAAGCATGGCTGATACTTTCAAATTCCCTGATTCCAGCTCCCGATAGTTTCTCAATTTAAAAATTCATCTAGTCATCTGTTTGAAACAATAAAATGATGCTCCTAGTTTCTCTAGAGTTTTTTGGCAACTGCTTAGTTGAGACATTTATCTTCCAGGTGAGAGTATTTTGGCAATAGCACCTCTTTCTTTTCCTACTGTCCTATTTGTATAAGGTCAGGTTGGCCTCTATACTGTGAGCATGAAGAGCTTAATTGGAACAATATTATTATCCTTCACAATTTACAGAAATATATTTGGCCCTCATGAACTGTCATTTTCCTCAGGGAGAATACGCTGCTTTCTTATTAAGCCTTGCGGAAAAACAGAAATAATTCTTCTGAACCCCTTGGTGTTGCCTAGGCATTCTACCATGTTGCTCTTAAGCGAAAGAACAGAAGAGACACAATGACCTTGAAACTTCATTCTAAAACAACCCCCAAAAGTGAAAACGTAGCAAAATCACTGAGTCAGTTTTGGAATTGGTAGATTTCACGGAAGAATACCTCCCATAGGACCCACGTAGAAAGGGATTTAGTTTGTAAAAAGACAGCATCCGCCCCTCACGTGATCTCCATGAATGAATCTATCTTGACCCTTTTCTTTGCAAACCCAATTCTGATGCCCTTCCCCATTCCAATGTCTTCGTCTCCCTTTTATAGAAGGATGGCACCTGTTCCAGGCAGCCACATCTGTTGCCTCTCTGTCCCTCAAAATTTTAGCCAGAAAAGCTACAACCAGAAATCTTGCCTTTTAAAGATCACAATTAATAAAACCATTGGCTTTCTAGAAAAACTCCTTTCTCGTTCAGATTCTTCTCAATCCTTTTCACATCTATTACTCACTCTCACCTCAACATCAGAATTTTTCACCACGACCCCAACTATTGCACCTTCCTTGGTTTCCCTATATTTTCCCTCAATGGTATTACTTTCCTCAGCCTTTTGTTCTTCAAATTGCCTGGCTGCTTTTCACTGCCTCTTTGTTTGCCCTGTATGCACAGAATCTCGCCAATTCTTTAAGATATCACCCAGGTTTACTTTTTTCCTCTGTGTTTCCACAGCCACTGCCCAAGGTTTGACCCTCTTTACCACATATCTTTATATTACTAGAAAATTCTAATTATTGGTACTTAACATACCTGCATCCAGCTCTTCCATCCCATCATACACCATCACACACCATGCAGCCATCTCTACCTTTCTAAAATACCTTTTTCAGTATTTTGACTTCTATTCCATCTTCTCCATAAATTTCCACCCTAGCTTAAGAACCTACCCTAAAATGGCCGGGCGTGGTGGCTCACGCCTGTAATCCCAGCACTTTGGAAGGCCGAGGCGGGCTGATCACAAGGTCAGGAGATTAAGACCATCCTGGCTAACTCGGTGAAACCCTGTCTCTACTAAAAATACAAAAAAATTAGCCGGGCATGGTGGGGGGTGCCTGTAGTCCCAGCTACTGAGGAGGCTGAGGCAGGAGAATGGCGTGAACCCAGAAGGTGGAGCTTGCAGTGAGCTGAGATCATGCCACTGCACTCCAGCCTGGGTGACAGAGCGAGACTCCATCTCAAAAAAAAAAAAAAAGAACCTACCCTAAAACAACAGCAGTGACCATGCATTAGCTGGTTACCTGCTGCAATCATCCTAGGTGCTATACAAGTTGCTTTTCATACATTATATTTAATCTTCACTATCACCCTATAAGTTTGGTGTCGTTATTACCATTTTGTAATAGAGAAAACTGAAACAAAATAAATAAGCAACTTTTCCAGGAATGACTAGAGCTCAAATTAGAATTCTCATCAGTTCGACTTCCAAACCCATGCTTTCCCCTGATTACAAAGGCCCCCAATTACCTAATGGATCTATCAAAACTCTTCCAACCTCCAGTTTAAATAGCCTCATGATGTGGCACACCTGATCTACTATATCACCACAAACCTTGTGCTCCAAAAGATGGTAGTTAAGGTCATGCAGTCTGGGTTCAGGTGCTAGCTCTGCAACTTACCAGTTCAGTGAGCTGCAACAAGTTCCTTGACCTCTCTGCACCTCAACTTTCTCATAAATCCTGATAATAGCACTCTGAGAAATGTTACATTTGTGGAGGGCATGCTCTCAGGACAAACACCAGTAAGGCAATGAGAGAAGCAAGATTGAGGAAAGAGAGAAGTTGAACGGTGAGGCAGCGGCAACAGAGGCCTCAGCTGATCCCACTAATTCCAGCTCCGAAGCTGGCGTGGCCCTGAAGAGATATTGACCAGTGATTGGATACAGGCCTGAAAAAGTCTGTAGCCTTGGACAGGCAGCTCCTCCCTGCCAAGAGCAATTTCTAGGGAAGGATTTAGCTATGAGCTGTCAGCAGACAACACTTCTGGAAATGGGAGCAATGCCTTGGGCCTATAGGGGGACACCTGTGTGACACACCACAGCATCCATTACAGTTAGCATAAGCACTATATGAATTATTACCTATAAATCACTTAGCTGGCATATTTTAGCCCAAGGTAAGTATTAGCTCTCACATCAGTTTCAATGCCTAGAAAGTTTCTTTGCTTTACCTGAAGGCTGCCTGACTAAAATTTTGAAAGAAGGGTGACAGTGTGGATTTTTGTTTATTTGTTTTAATGCCCAATGCAGCTAAACTCTGTAAATATTTATACATTTATCTGATTATGTGTTTGCTTCTGCCTATTACATAATGCTTTGGTTTGTTGTACTTTAAAGTGCTTATTTCCCTACTGTCTATCAGAGCTGAAAGCAAATACAGAAGAACAGTGTCTTCTTAACTAAATATGGTCATCAGTGAACACATGCCAGAGCAACTGCTGGTTATTTAAAGAGTATTTAAAATTAATCCACGTAGTCTTGAAAAGGAAGATGAAAATTTTTAAACAATACAAAATTGAAGGGCATACGTAAATTCCACCAGCACTAGAAATCAACAAATCCTTCAATCCTCTCAATTATCCTTTCAGTCTTCTTCTCCTGTTAGAAATATTCCTGAAGTCTTAATTTCCTCAACCTGAGCTCTAGACACCCAGCAACCAAAAAGCGTGGGGACTCTGGGGCTAATATTGCAAGGGGTGTGATATATGTATCCAGCTACCAAAAAGGTTGTACATTTGTTGGCCAAAGAATGCAAAATTTCAGCTAGATAGGAGGAAGAAATTCAAAAGATCTATTAAACAACATGGTTATCTGTAGTTAATAACAATGTATTGTATTCTCAAAAATTGCTGACAGTGAATGTTAAGTGTCCTCATCACAACAAAAATAAGCATATGAGATAATACATACGTTAATTAATTTAATTTAGCCATTCCATAATGTATACCTATTTCAAAACAGGTTGTACATGATAAATATATGCAATTTTTGTCAATTAAAAATAAATATAGAAATAAATAATAGTCTATGTCTCTCACCATATATATCATCCCCAAAAATTATATAATACTGTAATTAATAATGTATAAACTCATTTAATGACATTACTGAATAAATATATAGTTCTCTAGCATCATGAATTTCCTTAATGTTTAATATTTACAAATATTATTGGCCAGGCTCGGTGGCTCACGCCTGTAATCCCAGCACTTTGGAAGTCTGAGGCAAGCTGATCATGAGATCAGGAGTTCGAGACCCGCCTGACCAACATGGTGAAACCACATCTCTACTAAAAATACAAAAATTAGCTGGGCATGATGGCAGCCGCCTGTAATCCCAGCTACTCGGGAGGCTGAGGCAGGAGAATCGCTTGAACCTGGGAAGTGGAGGTTGCAGTGACCTGAGATCATGCCACTGCTCTCCAGCCTGGGCAACAGAGCAAGACTCCTTCTCAAAAAAAAAAAAAAGGGAAAAAAAATCACACACATTATGATAAGAAAATATTTCTATAGTCAATCACTACATTTTTTGTATTCCTTTTTATCCCTAATACAATGTATCTTTTCATCTTGAAGGCAATAGAGACACTAAGCGTCCCCATAAGGGCTAACAACAATTATCTATCTATGTATTCCTATAGTATCTCTTATACAGTAGAAAAAGCAAAATATATCATAATTTTACAAATATTTATTGCACACTTGGTTTGTTCCAGATATTGTGCCAGGTCCTAACGATATAATATTAAACTAAATATATTAGTTATCTATTTATAGGTAGCTTACAGTCTAGTAGAAAAAACAAATCATGAAAAAGAAATCTGGCTGGGCGTGGTGGCTCACGCCTGTAATCCTCAGCACTTTGGGAGGCTGAGGTGGGCACATCACTTGAGGTCGGGAGTTTGAGAGCCTGACCAACATGGAGAAACCCTGTCTCTACTAAAAATACAAAATTAGCCGGGTATGGTGGCACATGCCTCTAATCCCAGCTACTCGGGAGGCTGAGGCAGGAGAATCGCTTGAACCCCAGAAGTGGAGGTTGTGGTGAGCCAAGATTGTGCCATTGCACTCCAGCCTGGGCAACAAGAGTGAAACTCTGTCTCCAAAAAAAAAAAAAAAGAAATCTATACTTTTGATAAGTGTTGTGAAAGAAAAATAAAAGGTGTGATGAGTGATGAGTTTAGGGGAAATTGTTTCAGATTGGGTGGGCAAGAGGAGAGAGGGAGATGCTAGGAAAGGAAGCCTCCTTAAAGCTGATATCTAAAGGATGTGTGGGAGTTAATCAACAAAACTGATCAATGCAGAATTCTAGGCAGAAGCAATACCATGTGGAAGTAAATAGAGGAATCTTCAATGTTGCCATGTGCGGAGGAATAGGTCTGTTTGCAATTTATAAGAACATAATTCAGAGATAATTTTTTTTTTTTTTTGAGACAGAGTTTCACTCTTCTTGCCCAGACTGGAGTGCAATGGCACGATCTCGGCTCACTGAACCTCCACCTCCCAGGTTCAAGATTCTCCTGCCTCAGCCTCCTGAGTAGCTGGGATTACAGGCATGTGCCACCACACCCGCCTAATTTTTGTATTTTTAGTAGAGACGGGGTTTCTCCGTGTTGGCCAGGCTGGTCTTGAACGCCCAACCTCAGGTGATCCGCCCGCCTCGGCCTCCCAAAGTGCTGGGATTACAGGTGTGAACCACTGTGCCCGGCCTATGATAAATTTGATTGAAAACTTAAAATGCAAGTTTTTTAAAAATGTGCTTACTTCAGGCCGGGCGCAGTCACATGCTCTCCATCCCTTTCAAATGCCTCCTTCGTACTCTGTCCTCCTTCAAGGCCCTCCCAGGCTCTTTGACATTTGCAGGCAAAATAATCTCCCATCAGCCATCCTGTAGCTTTTGCTGAGGCTGCTATTGTAGCATTTACCATAGAGCACATCTCCAATTATATGCCACTTCCGCAGGAGGCCTCCTTTGAAGTTAATGGCCCCTTCTGGGGTTGTCTTACCTCTTTGTCCTAGCCCCTTTCCCAGGACTTGCTCCTCCTTCCTGTAATGGTCTGTCAACCTCCTCTTCTGGCTGAATCGCAAGCCTCCGGGGGGCTAACACTATCTTGCTCACCTGGTATTAACACACCTACCGTGATGGTCGATTCATAGTGGAATGCATATTTCACTGTCAAACCAAAAAGTGTGCTTTCTTATCATTGTTTTTGATAAGAAAACCTTAAAACATTTTTTAGAAGAGAAATAAGTTGAATTATACCTAAAATTAAATTAATACGCCAAAAAAAAATTTCATGTCACTTTAAAAGCAAATCCAAGTGATTCAGTATTATTTCATTTAATTTTTTACAACTCACTGTTTTTCTCAATTCAGTGAAAGTGTGTTCTCTTAAAACTCCATGTTTACATTTCAGTCAAACTTTTTAAAATTAGCAGCTCTCATCTGCTGAATCTCAAGAGACCCAGTTGTACATATGGGCCTTATGACAGATATCCCATACCTTTTTAAAAAATAATGCTAATAATGGAAACCACACTATCTCAGCATTTCCTGAGTGTTGCAACTTTGATAGTATGCTCTTTACAATGGCTTGGCATTCTAGAAGATGTTCATTTTGGGGTTTTGTTTGTTGTCTCTTCAGACATGACCTTCAGTATCAGCTCTTTCTTAATTAAACCGCTGAATAGCAAACTCAGCTTTTCCCTGGGGAACTGGAACGTTGTAATATAATCCTTCTCTGGGTCCCAACAAAAGACTGTGTCACTTGACTCCCACAGACTCCTTAGACCCCAAGTGTTTGAGTTTAAATACCGATTCCCTCACTTGTGTGAGTAGCAGAGGAACACTGAGTAAAGAAGAACAAGAAGCAGAAGTGGAGGAAGCAGAAAACAAGAGGCAGGAAACAAGAGGTCTGGAAAGGAAAAAGGTAAAACAATTTACTATAGAAAACAGCCAGGAGAAGAGAATGCCCATGAACTCGAGCCCCTTCTTTGTCAGAGGTGACCAGAGTGTCTGAAGTCCGAAAAGCCTAAGCAGTAATTTCATTACAATTTTGGCCACATTTTATAATGATCAAGTATTCCCAAGAGTCTAAGTGCCTTGCATTTTTTAGTAACTCAATTCAATTCTGATCACAGTTCTAAATATACTGGTGCATCCCATCAATACGACCCAGTGGGCCTGTACTAAAAGCAAGCCTTTCTCTTGAAGAACTCCATCCACTTTACTACATAGTAATCAACATATAGGGTAAGAAAAAAGGATAGAAATTGCTGCTGTCTGCACATTTTAGTCAGGGGAAGTTCCAAAGAAATGTATTCTAATGCCTAAGGTCACATGGCCAATCAAAGGCAATGCCAACCCCAAGAGCCATGCACCACTCTGTGGGTTCAACTTCAATGTCTTATAATAGATGACTAGTTTAAATAGAACCATTCTTTAGCCATAAAGCAAACAAAACGGGGATCTTTTGTGATGGATGTAATTTTTTTCCTTAAAAAAATACCCTTTGCAGGAGGAATATATTCACACAATAGAGTGTAGTAAAACTCTTCCTGTAAGTTTTTGAGCCATTCATTGCAGGTGTGAGCTTCTTTCACGTATAACATCTCTCTAAGCTTTCGTCTGCTGAGAGTGAAAATCTGAACCACAGGTGTACATTGTATAGTAGAGGAACCACCAGCCTCTGCTGGGGTGTTACCTAATATTTATTTGAAAAACAATTTTTAAGCCGGACGCAGTGGCTCATGCCTGTAATCCTAGCACTTTGGGAGGCCGAGATGGGCGGATCACGAGGTCAGGCGTTCAAGACCAGCCTGGCCAACATGGTGAAACCCTGTCTCTACCAAAAACACAAAAATCAGCTAGGTGTGGTGGCAGGCACCTGTAATCCCAGCTACTCGGGAGGCTGAGGCAGGAGAATCACTTGAACCTGGGAGGCAGAGGTTGCAGTGAGCTGAGATCATACCACTGCACTCCATCCTGGGTGACAAGAGCGAAACTCCCTCTAAACAACAACAACAACAAAAATTTATTGGGATTCATGCTTCATTTCATGCTTTCACTAGATCTGCATGTGAGAAAGCACAGAGTGCGATGTAAAAATTACTGCACATGAGACCGATTTTCAGCTCTGTGTTCGCCTCTGGTAAAGTAACTCAACTTCGGTATTTCAAATAGGGTCTTCTCATATCTCTAAGTTGTTCTTGGGGACCCTGAACAATACATGAGCTCCTGCTACTGTTCACAACAGCACAGCGGTGGCTTTCAAATGCAGTCATTCAGTTAAACCCAAGCACAACAATGGGAATGGTGGATCTACTCTCCAGCTGGTGTTAAATTGTGCAAGGTATTATCAAATCCTTTTCCCAAGGCTTGCATCTTCCCTTCAATTCAGTAAATTTCTCTACAGAATCCAAATACTTCAGGGTTCAACAGTTGCATGGTAAGCATTGACAATCACCCTGTACTTTCTGCAGGGCATACGCATACACAGTGCTGGTGGCTCAAAGCTTTCAGCAACTTAGACAATCTTGATTGAGTCTTGCTTACAACAATCAAGTTCAAAGATAACATTTGCCACCACCCTGAAACGCAACGTGAGAGAATTTTACTTTATAGAATCATTGAACATAAAGGGGCAGAAAAGAACCCAGAAACCTAAATCCAAATGTTTTACAAGTGAGAGAAGAGATTCTAAGAGCTAAAGTGACTTGTGCAATCTTACATCAGCAAATACTGACACAACCTGGGCCTTGACCCCTGGGGTGTCCTGGCTTCAGCCTGCCTCTCACTGTATCGTATGTCCTACACTGTAAGGTGCAGGAGTGCAGGAATTGCACCTAGTTCATTTGTCACCACATACGCAGATTCTAGCACAGTGTCTAACACATAGCACAGAGGAAAGGAAAGAAAGGAGTATTTAGCAGTTGAGTTCCAAATCTAACTCATTTTTCTGTCTTAAATATTTTAGCTTAGTTAGAGGGATCTGTGAGAATGAGATTATGGTGGAGAAAAGATAGACTCAGACAAAAGGACCACATCGGGAGTGGGTTATGAGGTTTGAAGAGAAAGAATGGGGTTGGCTTGAAATACCAGAAACTTATAACTGGAGAAAGAACATCACAGCAGGACATCTGGCCCCAAAGTATGGCTCTCTGAAGTCACATGTCTCAAAGACATTGTGTTGGTGTGAGTGTGAAGGGGACACAAGAGATCCAGGACAGAGCAGCTGACACACTCATTTTCCCTACCAAGGCAGCAGCCCAGAGCATGAGATGTGGACACTTCCCAGAGCTCTCCTCTCCACTGAGTTCTGACCCATGCTCCTCTTCTAGAAGACTTTATTCTCCATGAAGCATAGCTCAAAAAGTGACCTTTGCAGTAGTAATTTTGAATCCAGCTCCCTGGACCTCTCACAAGGATGTCAGCCAGAGCTCAACTAACGCTAGATTCTACTGCAAGATGTGAAGGGAAGCAGCGCAGGTAGAAACTCACCACTTGACGATCAAAAGCTCCTTTAATGCCTCACGCACCCTGCCAGTCTTGCCCCAGCATTGTAACAACCCCCTCCCCACCCCTCCTCCATCCTGACACTCTGTGTTTACGTTATGTAAATAATCTCACACTCCATCATGGTCTCTCACAAAGTCAGTATCTACTTTCTAGTTCAACATCTCTCCCGACTTTCATTCTAAGACATTGCAGCTGCATGTCTTCAAGGCATATCAAAAGCAAAATTTCCAAATTCCAAACGATTACAGTCAATCTTTATGATTCACAGATCCCACATTTGTGAATTTTTCTCCTTCCTAAAATTTATTTGAAAACCTGAAAATAAAAACTCACACTGTTTCCACACTCATTTCCAGACATTCAGAGAGCAGTGAAAATTTTGGGTAGTGTGTTGGTCACACATGTTCCAAGCGGGGTCAAACAAGGCAATGCTCTACTTTCTTCTTTCAGCTCTTACACAGTCAACAAGTGTCCTTTCTGCAGTCTATGTATTGCCACATTCTTCATATTTTTGTGCTTTTTGCTGGGGATTTCACTTTTTAAAATGCTATCCCCGGCCAGGTGCGGTGGCTCATGCCTGTAATCCCAGCACTTTGGGAGGCCGAGGTGGGCAGATCACCTGAGGTCAGGAATTTGAGACCAGCCTGGCCAACATGGCAAAACCCCATCTGTACTAAAAGTACAAAAATTAGCTGGGTGTGGTGGTGGGTGCCTGTAATCCCAGCTACTTGGGAGGCTGGGGCAGGAGAATTGCTTGAACCTGGGTGGCGGAGGTTGCAGTGAGCCGAGATCATGCCACTGCACTCCAGTCTGGGCTACAAGAGCAAGACTCTTGTCTAAAAAAAAAAAAAATGCTACCCCCTTGGCCAGGAGTGGTGGTGGCTCACACCTGTAATCCTAGCATAGCACTTTGGAAGGCTGAGGCGGGTTGATCACTTGAGGTCAGGAGTTCAAAACCAGCCTGGCCAACACAGTGAAACCCCGTCTCTACTAAAAATACAAAAAATTAATGGGGCATGGTGGTGCATGCCTACAATCCCAGGTATTCAGAAGGCTGAGGCAGAAGAATTGCTTGAACCCAAGAGGCAGAGGTTGCAGTGAGCCAAGATTGTGCCACTGCAGTCTAGCCTGTTCAACAGAGAGAAACTCTATCTCAAAAAACAAAAGAAAAAAAAATAAATAAATTAAATTAAATTAAATGCTATTCCCAAGCGTAGTGCTGAAATATTCTCTAGTATTCCTAAGCACATGAAGAGTGTGATGTGTCTTGCAGAGAAAATGCATGTGTTGGGTTACCTTCATTTAGGCATGAGTTATAGTATTTTTAGCTGTGACTGTGATGTTAATGAATCAACAATACATATTAAATAAGGTGTCTTTAAACAGAAACACATAAAATAAGGTTATGTATCATCAGTTGATGAAAATGTTGTGACCAGAGGCTCAAAGGAACCTAACCCTGTATTTCCCCTAGAACAGTAGTTTAATGTTCCTTAATTCAGTGTTTTAGGCAACTTTATAGAAGTAACTACAGTAAATAATGAAAATCAAACTGTAACTATCTCTTTACTCCATCTTAATTTTCCATCAGTATCCATAAGCTCCATTAATGTCCCAGAAACCTGAGAGTTATCTTAACCTTCTCCTTCTAAACACACCCCATCAGTCCTCAGCCTAAATAAACACATTCTGTCCTCATCCCCACTACCTTGAATAAGGTCCTCATTATCTAGCATGGAAATTAATCACAATGGGCTCCTAACCTGTCTTCCTTCTTCCCTCTTTTACCTTGCATTTCATCCTCTGCCCCTGTGAAGTGACTGTGACTTTCTCTGCTTAAAAACCTTACCTTTGCAATCTCACCATGCCTGAGACCACAACTCCAAATTCCCCAGGGGAAAACTTAAAGGTCCAGTGATAACAAACTGTTGGAGTTCTCTGCATTTGTCAAACTTCTCACCTCTTCTTTGCATATGTTGATCTCCCTACCTAGGATGTCTTTTCTTACTTTTTAAGTTGGGGAACACCTATTCATCTATGAGACACAATTCAACCCACACCTCCAAAATGAAACTTTCTCTGATCCCAAGAAAGAGGCAGGAGCTCCTTGCTCAGTGCTACTTCTGCCCCAGTATATAATTTTCTAATTGCCTTGGTCATATTTAAGAGTAACTGTTTACATTTTCCTACTCCTTTGCCCTACTAGACTAAGCTCATTGAGAACAAGGGCTGGCTTTTCAAGCTTGATCTCATGAGAAGTTTCCTATACTGTTTGGAAAATGGTATTCAGTAAAGGATGGTGAAAAATCAAATGTGTGAACAAATGAATGGGATGATTCCCACAGACATCACTTTGACTTTTTCTCCTGTGTCTTAGGTGAACCTCATCTTTGGCCCCAGCTCTCTACCTGCTTAAAGTCATTATAATTTAGTAACTATCCACTCAGCGAAGAGGGCAGTGGTTTCTGGGCTATTCTATAACTGCCAGGTGTTGACTATTTTAAAGCTTATGGATGAAACCAGAAAAATATTTGACCTTTTGCCCAAGACTTTGCTTTGACATGGAAACTCCCTCCCCCTTTTTTCCATTATCTACAATTTATCCTTCCTTTAGGGTCTAAACTTTTCCTTCTCCAAGGTGTCTTCCCAGCTACCCTCCCATTAACCCCAAACCTCTGACTGCTGTATTTTCTGGGCCCTGTAAGAGTGGCCTCCACCACTGGGGGAAGAGGGCAGGATAAGGGTGAGCTCCCCAGAAGGGCCCCCCCATAGAAAGTCGAATCTGGGAGTGTCTGGAATTAACTGTGAATGCTTTAACCTGAGGAAAAGAGACTGCGACTTCTCTACCCTATTTGCTTTGTTCCCCCAGGGTATCTTCACCTTGGGCAAAGGTCAGTTGTGTGTTTGTGCCCACCCTTAGGGCTGAATTCTCCCTTAGGCACATCGGAAGCACAGTACCCAGGGCCCACAATACTTTTAGGGGTTTACAACAATGTTTTCATTTTATTTAAAATCATAAGAAAAAAACTATATAATAATAACGAATATGTAAACATGAATCCAGCCTGGATTATATGATCTTACACCAATACAGTCATAAAATATGATTATCAATATTTTTATGGAGGAAGAGGCCCACAAAGGCAAAAGCAAAGCAAGTGGACCACTTACCACCAGACAAGCCACAAAAGTCATAATGCAGCGCTGACAATTGTGTGAGCTGGAATCCAGTGAGCAAGAAAATAACATTAGGAAGAAGTACAGAAAATTCCTGAACGCTAGCGCCCTATGTTTGGGAAAGAAATCCCTCTCTTTTGGGTGAGGACAAAGAAGTTCCCATATCCTACCCACCCTCCTGCCCCCACCCCAGCAACAATGCAACTCATAGAACATTCTGTGCCCTATCACATTCATTACACCTATGGGACGCATTCACTCATCAAAGATCACCCGGCTACTGAGGCATCCTCATTTCTATCGTTCAGTGGTCAAGCTCTTCTTCCCGTTCAGCGTACGTAGTACCTAGTCTGTTGAGGGTGCTTTAAAATGTTTAAAGAATGATAATGATCAATTTCTCCTATTTTTTTTTTAGCTTTTGAATCAAACATTTGGAAACATTGAATTTTCATGCTGCATTCTATGTATTAATTATGAAATAACTCTCATGATTGGAATATTCTAAATGAAGAAAACAGAAAAGGAGTTACGTCTTTCTGTTATTTTTCACCAAACACAGTACACTGGGGCTTATAAATACACTTTATCAAATCCCTCTGTGCAAGTAGTCCCGAGTGCTCCCCCTACCAACCCTGCACCATGAGAGAATGAATAAATGAATATCTAACAGGGCCCACACAATACCCACGAGATAATCGGCATTCTGAAAGTGTCTGAAGATATCATGTATGATAGACACCAAAGAGTGACCCTGTGCATTTCACTCCTGAATTACTGGTTGGCAGAAATGGCTGAGCAACACAAACAGATCTGAGAAGGACAAAACAGATAAATTCAGAAAACAGGTCAGCATGATTAGTAGATGTCAGAAATGATACTTTTCTGTCCCCCACCCCCTTCTGATTTATGCAGGACACTGTTTCTAATTTCCTTTGTTTTTCAACCCCAATATATTCCAGCTCCAGTTATTCACTACAAATGGCCACACTGTTTACTGAAGGCTGGCGTGTCAGTTGTTGAAGGAAGAAGGGACCGAAGTAGTGCCTGTCTCCAGAAGCCCAATTTCTAACCCCTCTGGGGTTCCAGCCTCCTAGCGAGTAGACGAAGACTGCCAAAGGTTGATCTCCAAATTGAGTTTCTCCAAGGCCAGCTTGCAGAGGCCTGGCAATCAGAAGAGGATACTAAAGGAGCATCCTAACGACAGACACACTGAAAATAATTATCCTGATTCACAAACACCCTCAAAGCTATGAGAATGGTCTTATAAGCAAGGTCTGCTTTAATGGAAACATAAGTATTATGCATTGCAGTCTATCGTAAATTGGTTGTAATTTTCTCCTGACACTTTCTGAATTAAACTAGTTAGTATACGAAAAATAATAATAATAATAATAAAATAATAATAATAAATGCCACAAAGCAAAAGCAAACTGGGTGTCTGAAGGTTAATGATTGCTCATGAAAGCCACAGAAATAAATTATCTGCCTAGGGACACTGTCACATGATCAGCACAAAAGCTGCAACAGCCAAAAATGTTTATGTAGAGGAAAAAAACACATCAGCGTCACAGAACCCTTCCCCCCACAGCTAAATTCAAGTCCTGAGCCAGCCAGCTGCTCCTGACTGCTTACATTAAACTAATTTGTGCTGCTACATTGCAGCTGCTTAATTTTTAGTCTGAACTTTATCACCAATAAGTGTTACAATAACAAGCGATATGATGGTATCTCTGAAGAAATATCCATCAACCCCCAAACAATGACAACCTCACAAGAGTACACTGCAGAAAAACAAATTTAAAAAACAACAACAAAAAAAAACAAAAAAAAAACACAAAAAAAGAAAGGAAGAAAGAAAATTACCCCCACACTGCCTCTTTAAAGGGGGGGAGGGGCAAACTTTTAGTGGGAAAGGCTTTAAAATGCTGCTTTGTTCCAAAGGCCATTCTGCAATGATGAAGGGGGATGATTGAAAAGGTTAGTAGCAGGGGAAGAGTTAACAAGTAAGATGTGCTTTTGCTAAGAGGGGGTGATTTGCAAGGTGAGAGCTTTAGAAGGGGGAAGGCAATTTCCTTACAACAATGCAATCGGTACTTTCTGTCTTGCTCACAGTCCTCCAAGACGTTATGCAAACCCAAACTGCAGCCTGGGCGGTAATTTCAGAGTTGCCCCAAACATTATTCTTTGGCCAGCCGGGTACTGGAGCTTACAATATTCCGTGTTGTTCCCCATGTTTTCCTGTGTTATTTTCCTAGCTCAGTGCAAATGCAGAAACTCTTCTTTGGGCAGAAAGAGACACTGACCTGAACTGGTTTAAATTCCTGCCAAATATGCAGGCACTGTTTTTGCTACATTTTGGAATTTGGCTTAGACCATATGTCAGGCATTTATTTGTACTCAGAACTAGAATGGAGACCTAACAACTTCAAAAAATAAAAGCTTTTTTGTTTTTAAAGCATTAAGAATGTCCTGAAAGTTTTCTATTATTAATTAATCTGAATATGATTAATGTTTTTAGTTAAGATATCTCATTACACACTCTCCTGTTTACTGCAGGGGAAATTCAGCTTCACCCTGCTCAGTAATTACAAAAACAATTCCTTTGAAAGCAAGGGAAGAACACCCGTGTCAGCTATTTACAGCATTTAAAAAATTCTGTGGTTTTCAGAATTAAGGTTCAAAGTGAATGTTATTAATGTTGAGTAATAAAGTAGTTTTTCTTGCACAGATATACTAAATGTAAAAAGAAATGTTTACACTGGAATGATTTTCCCAGGGTGGGAATCGGGGCTGGGGAGTTGGAGGTTTGGGCCCACCCTAGGTTTTTCAACTTGACATCTTTACATCTTACGGTTCCAGCCCAGGTCCTAGCAGATTTCTTTTTTCAGAGAGCTGGTAAATCACGCTACGGGACTGACTCAGAGTGCCACGGGGCATGGCCTTGTTTCGTGGGTTTCTGTTGATGATCCTCCACCGTGGCGGGGCAACTGTGTTTGCAAGAGCCCTCCAGGAGAGGATCCCGGGGAGAAGTAGATGGATGAGGAGTCCCTGGAGCCCATCAGGATTTCTCTTCCCCTCCCCCTCTCTGGTGCCAAATGGGTCACTTGCACAGTGCAAAGCTTTCTCTCCACAGAGCTCAGCGTGATACCTCCGTCTGCTGTTGGCAAAGCTTTAAGACTGCTGGGAACTCAGACGAAATCATCCACAGGCTTGGAGGTGTGGCAGGGTGTAACTAGAATGAGTGCAACTTTTTAAACGGCTCCTAACCATAGGCAGGCTGGGAAGGCCCCAAGACGGAAGGGCAGCCGAGGGGAGGGTCGCTGAACAGCAGCTTGATCTTAATGATAGAATTGGCAGCGGTGTTTGGTTGCTCTTGAACAGAGTAAAAGACCTTAATAGGCCAGACGTCCTATTAAAACCTCAATTGTGAAATTAGAAATTAACTTGATGGAATGTGACAGTCTATCTTACCTATCTGTTCTTTCAGAGCTGGACTAAATTGGTCTAACTAGGACACTTGAAGGCTTGTGAATCAGTTCACACGATCAGTGTGAAAAGCGGGTATGAAGACCCAGATGCTGGTGTGTACGTGTGCATATAAGCCCCAACAGGTATGAATTCAGAAGCAGTGGATATGCGGGTACTCTTCACTCTCAAGCAAGCCCCACATGACAGAAAGTTCTTGCTACCAGCCAGGAATGATCTCACAGGGTTGAGCAGTTTGAATTGGCTACTTTCCTGAAAATCTCTAGAAACAAATTCTTTTCGACATAGCCTTTTCCAGAACAGCACCAAATTAGAGTAAACTCCACAAATCCTGAATTAGAATCGTAATTCCGAAAAGCGGCTATCTTTATTCTTGTGGGTTCCATAAGCAGCAAGGGACTCTGGTCACCAGTTCCTTCATGGCGTCTCTGAACTTCCCTCAATCTCGCTTTGCTTTTTAGCTAGAAATCAAGCCTTTCTGGCTTCCGATTGTTGGAGAAGTGGAAACAGTTAATGGAGTATGCAATGAGGTATGTTGTAATTTCCAATTCACAGCATTAACGCTTGTAGTCATGAACTTGAAATGTAGCATTTTTCACAGAGGCAAAGTGTGGAAAGTAGTATATATGAGTAAGGAGTACAAATGTTGTTTTGCATTTTTGCTTACATCTGAGAGCATAGGCCAAATTATAGAGTGACAAAAGTCAGATATATAATTGTCTTTCATAGCATTTTTCTTCATAGAATTATAAATGACAAATGATTTATCTAAAATTAAAACCACTGTTACTATTAATATTTTTATATAAATATAAAGCATTTTTCCTCCTAAGATCTTACATGACTTTACAGATTATCAAAAGAGATAATGTATATGAAAGTGTTTTGCAAACTATGGATGCTATTACATAAAGATTATTGACATTATTATCACATCTGTCTCCAAATTTTTTTTTTTTATGGTGGAGTCTTGCTGTGTCACCCAGGCTGGAGTGCAGTGGCACGATCTTGGCTCACTGCAAGCTCTGCCTCCTGGGTTCACGCCATTCTCCTGCCTCAGCCTCCCGAGTAGCTGGGACTACAGGTGCCCACCACCACGCCTGGCTAATTTTTATATTTTTTAGTAGAGATGGGGTTTCACCATGTTAGCCAGGATGGTCTCAATCTCCTGACCTCATGATCCTCCTGCCTTGGCCTCCCAAAGTGCTGGGATTACAGGCGTGAGCCACCGCGCCCAGCCTCTCTCCAAATTTTAACAAGTAATTTATTCTAAGGGCTGGGTGCAGTGGGTCACACCTGTAATCCCAGCACTTTTGGAGGCTGAGATGGGAGGATTGCTTGAACCCAGGAGTTTGAGACCAGCCTGGACAACATAGGGAGATCCCATCTCTACAAAAAAATAAAAATTAAATAGCTAGTCATGGTGGCACACGCCTCCTACTCCTACTCGGGAGGCCGAGGCAGGAGAATCGCTTGAACCTGAAAGGCGGAGGTTGCAGTGAGCCAAGATCGCAGAACCCGGGAGGCAGAGATTGCAGTGAGCCAAGATCACGCCACTGCACTCCAGCCTGGGTAACAGAGTGAGACTCCTTTTCAAACAAACAAATAAACAAACAAAAAAATCTATTCTATCTTTTATTTGAAAGATAGGTAAACAAAGGTATATTGATTGTGCAAGATCTTCCAAGAAACAGAACTAAAAGACAAAAATCTTGTAACAATTCTTCACTCAACTAGAATGTATTGTCTGGTTACTGTGTGTATAGTAAGGGGGCAATCCTGATGTCATGCGACTGAAGACACACTCTGAATAAGTTCTTCTTTCTCAAAATATATATCTCCACCCACGTAAAGTGCCCTCCCATTCAAACATCAGGAAACTAGACAACAGAATGAGAGGTCAGTGTCTCTGAAATCCCTCAGTTGGCATGCACCCGGCTATGCTAGATCCAGAGCGGTGAATGGTGGGGAAGATTTGGACAGAGCAACTCCTACGCAGAGCAGAGCTATCCGTGAGGCTCACCTGACATCGTGCTCAGAGGCCGTGATACTTTTAGGTGCCCATGAAAATGTTTTAATTTCTTTTAAAATCAGAAGAAAAAAAAGGAACTTTTAGGTCAAAGAAAGTTTTTTTGTTTGTTTAGACAGAGTGTTGCTCTGTCACCCAGGCTGGAGTACAGTGGCGCGATCTTGGCTCACCGCAAGCTCCGCCTCCCAGGTTTAAGCAATTCTCTGCCTCAGCCTCCCCAGGAGTTGGGATTACAGGCGCCTGCCACCACGCCCGGCTAATTTTTTGTATTTTTAGTAGAGATGGAGTTTCACCATCTCGGCCAGGCTGGTCTTGAACTTCTGACATTGTGATCCTCCTGCCTTGGCCTCCTAAAGTGCTGAGATTACAGGTGTGAGCCACCACGCCCGGCCTAGAAAGCCTTTTTAATATATACCATATTCATCTTTATACCAACATGATCATAAAATACAATTTTCTACTTTTTCACTGGAGGAAAGAGCCCATGAAGGCAAAAAGTGCCTGGGTTAGTTTCCTATTACTGCTGTTACAAGTTCCCACACACTTAGTGACTTCATTATCTTACAGTTCTGGCGGTCAGAAGTCCAAAATGGGTCTTACACGACTAAAATCCAGATGTCGACAGGGAGGAAGAACTGAGGATCCTACATCATGTTAGGGAGCAGCAAGAGCACTGTAGTAAGACATAACCCTCCTTTGCCTCTCTATGTCCTCTGCCCCATGCTGCTTATGTCCTTATTGAAGTTAAGAGTCCGGCTGTCATTGAGAACCTCTGATACTGCACCATTTGATGAAGGGCTATGAAAAATTCCCCCGAGAACAGCAATGCACACTGATCCTACCAGCTCATTCACTAGAATACACTTTCTAAAGCCAATACTAATGGCTGTAGGCAAATAGAGCAGGACGGTCAAGATACCTCTACCCACTTCATTCTACGCATAGACTGTCTGGTTCTCTGAGGTCACAGCAGTATAATCTTAAGGTGACCATTAAGATCTGATTGACACATTTTCAGGATTTAAAGTAAAATTAAAAGAACGTGGAAGGCAGCTGTTTGTGGCACTGTAACAGATAGCCATGTTTACGAAAACAAATTCAAGTTGAGCAATGATCTGGCAGATTTTGTTTGCCAGGGAGGACCATTGAGCCAATGGGACCCACAATTTTCCCACTTCAAGAGATTTTTTTTTTCTCAATGACATTATATAACTGATTCAGATATCATTTTTCCTTTACATACCCAGACACAACCCTAGAGATGCCGAGCCCCCAGATATTTCACTTTTTATCAGATATTTGGCACAAAGAAACACTTCTGCAGTCTATAGTTTAAACTATACAACTGTCTGGGAAAACTTTGTGATTGTAGGTGCTAATTTCAACTGTCCTGTAACTCATTCCTCGGTATTACCATCTATAAAATGGATGTAGCAATAATAAATTAAGTCATGAAATTGTTTATGGGGAATAACCACTGATGGGATTATGTGGCACTTTACATACGTAAAATCCTAAGTAGTCCAAGCAATCAAAAGTAACATTTTCCAGTGACATCTCCATAAAAGCCACTTTCTTCTGAACAAATACAAACTTTCCAGAGATGTCTAAGCCACAGAACTGCACAGGCAGATGTGAAATGTAAGCCCTATAGAGAAACAGAGAAACGAAACAAAATCTGCATTTGAACATTGGAGTTTTATCACAATTGCAATACATCTAACAGTCTTCTTTGTTTTAGTTACTATACTTTTTCTTACCATCATGAAGAAAAGATATCACAGAAAATGATGTTAAAGACAGGCCTAACATACATTTTCTGAGCTTTCTGGTGAAAGATTATGTTTTCAAAAAACTTCTCCAAGGGAAACTCTTTGAAGTGTTTTTACTGCCATTTGATCAGTTAAAATTTTGTTATTTGCATTATTTTGAAATGTCTTTGTACTCTAAAGGCTGGTAAAAGAATGCATAATTGTGGAAAACAATTTAATAAATAAGAGAAAACTAACAACAACAATATAAAATACTTATGGAATTTCTGACTCCGAAGAATTGAAATGGGGAGAGGGTGACTAAAATGAAGAGAAAAGTTGACAAGTGAAATTTCAAGCAGTTTTATTTTTAATGGGAAAAAAATTCTCCACCATTAATGTGTAATCTGCACAAAGACAAGGTTAAAAAAAAGAAAGAGCAAAGTCAGGAAGGTCAGGGTGTTACATCGGATTTGTGCAGATAAATTATATAATAACACTTTGGATAGACGACTTAAGTGAAACTGGAATAATGACATCCTGAATACTGTTTGGCCACAAACAGTAGAAATTTCTCCCTTTGTAATGCCTTCCACCTCATCCCTGCAAAACAGGATAGGGAACGGAGCAAACTCTGAACAGCAGAGAACTACATCCAACCAACAACAGCAAAGAAGAGAAAAGAAACCATGAAGTGGGGTTATATTATTCCAAAATATTCTTTGACATTCCCTAGATTTTTTTTTTTTCCATTTTGCTACTGTACTTGCCCAACCATGCTGGGGTGTTATGCTATTTTAGACATGAGTTAACAGGTCTCTTTACATACACACATTTCCACATTCCAGTGAGACCTATTATATCCTTTTTCCTCCCTACCCCACCCTTGCAGCGTGCACACACACACCACCACTCTCTCTCCTTCTCCACCCACACAGTACCATCCCCCTCTAGTATTTTTTCCTTGTTGTTCAACAATTCCCCATTACTGAATGTTTCCAAGGCCATGCAAATCCACATGCCTGAGAAAGGTTTTCTACCATATGACATGGTTGATTCTGTGAAATAAAATAGCTGTACACAGAAAGCAGGTAAAACAGAACAAATGGCAAGAAAAAGGAAGAGCTTTGACTTGGCTGGTAATTGAGAGGGTGGGAATAAACCTCAGGGGATCTTGTAGCCCTTGCTACTCAATATGCAATCCATGGACCCATAGCCTCAGCTGGGAGCTTGTCAAAAATGCAGACTCTCAGCTGGGCATGGTGGCTATAACTATAATCCCAGCACTTTGGGAGGTTAAGGCAGGTGGATTTCTTTTTTTTTTTTTTTTTTTTGAGATGGAGTCTCGCTCTTGTCGCCCAGGCTAGAATGCAGTGGCGGGATATCAGCTCACTGCAACTTCCGCCTCCCAGGTTCAAGTGATTCTCCTGGCTCAGCCTCCTGAGTAGCTGGGATTACAGGCGCCCGCCACCATGCCCGGCTAATTTTTGTACTTTTAGTATAGACGGGGTTTTGCCATGTTGGCCAGGCTGGTCTTGAGCTCCTGACCTCAGGTGATCCTGCCGACCTCGGCCTCCCAAAGTGCTGGGATTACAGGCGTGACCCACCACGTCCAGCAGATTTCTTTATTATTATTGTTATTTCAATAGTTTCGGGGAAATAGGTGGTGTTTGGTTACGTGGATAAGTTCTTTGGTGGTGATTTTTGAGATTTTGGTACACCCATCACCCGAATAGTGTACACGGCACCCCAGGAGGATCTCTTGAGCCCAGGAGTTTGAGACCGGCCTGGGCAACATAGAGAAACCCCATCTCTATGAAGAATTTAAAAATTAGCCAGACATGGTGGCACACACCTGTAGTCCCAGCTCCTCAGGAGGCTGAGGTGAGAGGATCACTTGAGCCTAGGAGTGCAACACCAGCCTGGGCAACATAGTGAGACCCCCCCCATCTCCAGAAAAGAAAAATGCCTACTCTGCATCACACCTACTGAGTGCACATTCAAGACAGAGAAACATTTCACTGTGTCAATCTCCACTGAAGACACACTTGTCAATGATTTAAATATTTATATCCAATGGGGAGAAAACTCATAACTTCCCTGGGTACATATTCCAAGAACTATTAGCCTAAGTAATCAAGATGCAGCTGCACTCTCACCCTTCACCCATCGGCCTTCTCATAATTTATTGGGATTTTTTTTGCTCTATGTGCAGATTCCTATTCTCTCAACAACTTCATGGCAATGTAAGGTAATTACAGTCTGGCTGGATGAGATGGCTCACACCTGTAATCTCAGCACTTTGGGAGGCCAAGGCGGGCAGATCACTTGAGGTCAGGAGTTCAAGACCAATCTGGCCAACATGGTGAAACCCAGTGTCTACTAAAAATTCAAAAAAAAAAAAGAAAAAAATAGCTGGCCATCGTGCCACATACCTGTAATCCCACTTACTTGGGAGGCTGAGGCAGGGGAATAGCTTTAACCAGGGAGATGGAGGTTGCAGTCAGCCGAGATTGCTCCACTGCACTCCAGCCTGGGCAACAGAGACCCTTTCTCAAAAAACAAAACAAAAAAAAAGGATGACTACAGTCTAAAATGGTGGGCTTTGGAACAAAGACCTAAGGCCCCAATACTCTCTACCCACTCAGATATTTAATACTGTGATGGGTACTTCATCCTCCATCACACCCAGTGAAACTTCACAGAGAGAGAGAAGGGTGAGAATAGTATTACTCTCCCAGAGGCATTTTTATTTGAGTAAAAGAAATGACTGAATCTACAGTATTTGGCAGAGGAAAAGAAATTTTATTTTTTCCTTTTTATGCCAAGAAGTTGGGCTGGAGGACGTTCCCTTTATCAGGTCTTACAAGCATCAGCCTTGTTTACAAGGCCAGCCCTGCCTTCACTGCAGAGGCAGAAGGTTATTTTTTAAGCATCACTTGGAAGTTTATTGGAAAGTGCTTCCTAGGTCTTTGAAATAATGGAAAACAAGACATGAAGGATCAGAGCAGAATTATGCAAAGTCACCTTTAAAAAGGAAGAATTGCTCCGTGAAAAAAATAAGTCTACCCTAAAGGGGGCTCATTGCCATGGAAGGATGGTAAAGGAAGACTCCCAGAGGCAAACAGTGGCAGGGCCCATCCAGGTGCTCTGGGAATGTCCGCTCCCTCATCAGACTTTGAGGTTGATTGAGCATTTTCGGACCCACTGAAAATTCATTCTTTTAGTAGAGATGAATGCAAAACATGCTGCTAGACCTTAACAATTTCTGGTCCTATTGGCAAGATTATTCCCAATGCTGTTTAGATGTTTCAAGCCAACTTAACCTGATGCCACTATATATCCAATGTATCTAAATCCTACTTTTCAGATTCTGCCCTACAAAACAAATTTGAAGTATGGGTTGACTTGCCTTAAAGTTTGAGTACTCAAGGAAAGGGCTAATCATGGAGGTTCTAATATTCTGGTTCTTAAGGCCGTAACTTGTCACAGTCAATAAATGGGTTGACTTTCTAAATTATACATCAATCTTAAAAGCTGGGTTAACGTGACTCTCCCCACTGAGAAAGGAACACTTGCTCAAAATGTTGACACCTCAGCTTTCTGGGCCTACAAGCCTTAGGGCTAAAGACAAACTATGATAAGTTAATCAAAGCCCAAATGGCTGCTCTATGAAGCTTCTCCAGAGATAAACCTGGGCCCCTTAGTTTGTGGTTACCATACTATTATGAAAATGGGATTACAAATAAATCTCTAAGGTCTGTGGTTCATGAAACTTTCAGGACTCTGTTTTTTGTGTGTGTGTGTGTGTGTGTGTGTGTGTTTCTGAGATGGAGTTTTGCTCTTGTCACCCAGGCTGGAGTGCAATGGCTCAATCTTGGCTCACTGCAACCTCCGCCTCCCAGGTTCAAGTGGTTCTCCTGCCTCAGCCTCCCCAGCAGCTGGGATTACAGGCATGTGCCACCACGCCTGGCTAATTTTGTATTTTTAGTAGAGATGGGGTTTCATCATGTTGGTCAGGCTGGTCTCAAACTCCCGACCTCAGGTGATCTGCCCACCTTGGCCTCCCAAGGTGCTGGGATTACAGGCATGAGCCACCGCACCCAGCCACTTTCAGGACTCTTTAGAAATATTTAGAAATGTATCCTGTTTGCAAAGGCACAATAAAGTTGCGTCTTATAGACTATAGGCAATGAAGCTAACAATAAACCTTATTTAACACAAACCACATCCATATCCTCTGTTCATTTGATTTTGGAAAAAGTCTAGCATATCCAGTAGTTTCAGGGAATTCATTTTAACTTTAAGAATTCTCCTTTAATTTATAAATTTTGGACTGATTTTAATAGAGTTTTGGAAAACTATAAGAAATGCTTTGTTAATGTGTGTATTCCTATGTAAAACATATGGCTTCTCCTGTGTATATTTTTAAAAATTAAAGAAATGCACATTTAAAAAGTGAAAAAAAAAAAGAAAAAGAAATATTTACTTACTACTCCATAAAATGCTGGGAATACCATGGGAATGTCAAAGCACAATCATAAAGTCATCAAGGGGAAATTTTCACCTATCTATTTTTCCACAAATATTTTCTGTGTTTCTCCCATGTGCCTGGCACTGTGAGTAATTCTGAGAACACTTTGAATGGGGAAATAGACAAGTAAGAATCCAGAATGCAATGCGCTAGTGCAATAACAGAATAACAGGGCAGTTTTCTAAATTGTATCTGAGTTGAGACTTAAAGGGGACAAGGATTTGGCCAAGTTGGTGATCTAGGGAGAGAAACTGACTGATGTGCAAAATAAAATGGCTGAAACCATAAAGCAGTTAAAACAGAATGAACGGCAAGGGGAAGAAAGAACCATGACTCCTCTAGTAATTAAGAGACAGGATGAGCATAGATCCTGTAGTCCTTGCTGCTAAGATGTGGTCTGTGGACCAGCAGCATCAGCTGACATCTTACTAGAAATACAGATAGTCTTTTTTTTTTTTTTTTTTTTTTTTTTTTTGAGGTAGAGTCTCACTCTTTTGCCAGGCTGGAGTGCAGTGGCTCAATCTCGGCTCACTGCAACCTCCGCCTCCTGGGTTCAAGCTATTCTCCTGTCACAGCCTCCCGAGTAGCTGGGACTGCAGGCATACGCCATCAACCAGATGGTCGGCAGGGAGTGGTGGCGCATGCCTGTAATCCCAGCACTTTGGGAGGCTGAGGCGGGTGGATCACCTGAGGTCAGGAGTTCAAGACCAGTCTGTCCAACATGGTGAAGCCCCCGTCTCTACTGAAAATACAAAAATTAGCCGGGCGTGGTGGCGGGCGCCTGTAATCCCAGCTACTCGGGAGGCTGAGGCAGGAGAATCGCTTGAGCTCGGGAGGTTGCAGTGAGCTGAGATGGCACCATTCCACTCCAGCCTGGGCAACACAGTGAGACTCCGTCTTTAAAAAAAAAAGAAAAGAAAAGAAAAAGAAATACAGATGGTCCCCAATTTATGATGATTCTCCTTAGGATTTTTCAACTTTACGATAGTACAAAAGCAATATGCATTCTGTTCACTCATTTACTCATGATGAAGTTAGGTCTGGAAAAATCTATTATAAATTGAAAATATTGTAAATTGATGAGTTTATCTGGATGTAACCCCATTGTCAGTTGAGGAGTGTCTGAATAGAATTTACAGCCCCATCTGAATTAGAATCCGTATCGTGGCATGTTTAGAGAACTACATGTCTTTCCGTATTGTTAGACGGTAAAGTCGTTAAAAAATAGCCAGAGACGAACCAAAAAAGTAAGGGAGGGCTAGATTGTAAAGAGTCATATTTGCCATATAAAGGGGTAAGTTTGGCTGGGCGCAGTGGCTCACGCCTGTAATCCCAGCACTTTGGGAGGCCGAGACGGGCAGATCACTTGAGGTCAGGAGTTCGAGACCAAGACCAGCCTGGCCAATGTGGTGAAACCCCGTCTCTACTAAAAATGCAAAAATTAGCCAGGCTTGGGAGCACGCACCTGTAATCCCAGCTACTCGGAAGGCTGAGGCGGGAGAATCACTTGAACCCAGGAGGCAGAGGCTGCAGTGAGACGAGATCCCACCACTGCACTCCAGCCTGGGCTACAGAGAGAGACTCCGTCTCAAAAAATAAATAAAAATAAATAAATAAATAAATAAATAAATAAATAAATAAAGGGGTAAGTTTAAGAATTGCAGAGTGGAGAGATAACAGATTTTTATATTCAACATGTCTCTAACAGCAGGGTGATCACTTCTCGGGCTTTTGGCTAAGATTAAGCCTAACAGCAGGGTGAAGAATGGATTCAATCTAAGACAAGTTTACTAGTTCTAACCAAAACAAACAAACAAAAAGTGGAATTAAGGCAGATCTAGTAAGAGTTTTTTGAGAGGCAGACGGGACAAGAACTAATGACTGATTCATCTAAAGATTAAGGGAGAGGAAGGAGAAGACTAAGATTCTTGTTTCTAACTTGGATACCTACCTGGATGATGATGCTAGTCATACAGATGAAAAAAATGGGAGGGAAAATATGCTTTGGGGTCAGAATGGTCTCTCCCAGACATGTTGTATATGAGGAAGTTTGTACACAACTATGTAGAAAGAGCTATTTATATATTTGGACCAAAGGAGTTATATGTTTGAAGCAAAACTAAGGAAAGTTACAGAAACGCAGACCTAGAAATCACCGACACAGAGAATAATTGATGCCACAGACAAAGATATTATTTAATATTTGCCAAGAAGGTTGTGAAAAGTGAGAAGAGAATCTTCCTCCTGCTTATTTCTGCACAAAGTTCTCTCCTCTTTCCCTTACTGCCCCCCAACAAAAATTCTAGTGTACTGTTGTCATTGCTGGTGAAGATCAAGTTCTAGTTTCTGAAATTTTTTGTGACATTTCTAATTATCTCTGAAACATATCTGCCCAAAATTCCGCTTCATTATGGTTATACCTTGGATCAGATGATTGTATGTGAATCTGATTTTAAAATGCATACCTATAATTTCTGAAAATTAATGTATTTTCCACTCTCAGAAAGATGTGCATTTTGCAAGGTCATTTACCTAGTTCTTATGTTTAGAGCAATAGCCAAAGATACGTAATTCCCTGGTGATTTCTAACACCCATGGCCCACCAATATCAGGCATTTTGGAAAACAGACGAGCTTTGCGCTGATCTTCCTACCACACCGCTACATAAATGCTACTAGTTCTCTTCCCCCTTTCTCTCCCAACAAAAGGCCCATTAAAACCAGGAATGAAGTGATATGATGTCTTGGATTGGATTTAAAATAATCCAGTGGTGTTCAGATGGAGAGAGAAAGGGGTTGGATGGGAATATATATGAAAACAAGACTGGTCATGAGTTTATTATGGTTGAAGTTAGATGAATAATATTGGAGTTATTTTTGTGTATGTTTGAAATTTCCATAATAAAAAGTTTTCTTAAAAAAAAATAAGAAATTATGATCAGCGATTGACTCTAATTTCTTGCTCAGGACCACATTTCTAAGGACAGGGCAGTACACAAAGTAAATAATAGTTTATCTTTGGATTGGCCAATACTCTCCAACTATCACTCTTTGCTTAAGGCGTTTTTGTCATTCCAATTAATCTAACATCATTCAACATGTTCATTAACATTATACTTACTACATCTTCCAAATCATAATTAATAGAAATAAGACCAAGTGTTTTATGGTGGTATAAATCATTGGGAAAACCTTCTCAATTATATAGTTGATGAAAAGCAATAAATGATAATAATTCTGCAAATTCACCTCGAGATGATCCTCAACAGATCCACAAGGTTCATTTATTTAATTTAAATTCCTACATAGTACATTGAAATATCTCCAATATTTCAAAAGCCAAAGTTAAAAAAATAAAAGTATAATGACAGTTATGTCTAATTTAGCTTTTAATCTATTGTTGGGGGGTTGGGGGAAAAAAGATATTTTTACAAGAAATATTTACAAATAGAGCCGCAAAGTCTCTCACTCAGTTCACCAATTAGAAACAAATCAGAAAATACATTTTTTAAAACATTGATTTTTTGAGCACATGTATGAAAATTTCTAATATCAAGTGAGTAAAGAAATATGTGTTTATTTTTGATGCCATAATATGTTGCTAAAATAATACAGAGATAAAGAATTAACTGGACCAGAGATGTTATACATTGTTGTGAAAAGGATTCTTGAGTCCAAAAAGGTAGAGAAATAATTAATGCTGTGTTTCAATCCATGTTAATATTCTTACCCTCAATAAATGTATACAATTATTATTATTATTATTATTATTATTATTATTATATATTTTTGACATGGAGTCTCACTCTGTCACCCAGGCTGGAGTGCAGCGGCATGATCTTGGCTCACTGCAATCTCTGCCTCCCGGGTTCAAACAACTCTCCCTGCCTCAGCCTCCCGAGTAGCTGGGATTACAGGCATCCGCCACCATACCCAGCTAATATTTGTATTTAGTAGACATTGGGGTTTCACCCTGTTGGCCAGGCTGGTCTCAAACTCCTGACCTCAACTGATCCGCCCGCCTCGGCCTCCCAAAGTGCTGGGATCACAGGTGTGAGCCCCTGCGCCCGGCCTCAACAAACATTTATAAACATCTACCACAGGCCAGGTACTTTCTAGGCACTGGAAATAGAGTGCTGAGTGAAAGAGACCAAGCAGCTAGAATAACCTTATATTCTAGCAGGAGAGACAAGCACAAATAAAGGCATAGATATGTGCTGTGCAAGTAGCGATAGGTGCAAAGAGAAATTAAAAGGAGTAACGGAGATGAAGAGATTGAGAGGAGGCGCAGGCCACCTATTTTAGTGGCTTCTCAAGAGCACATTGTTCCACAGTTTTTAGAAGGTTTTCCTCTGGATATAAATGTTTAAATGGTTGGCATCCACCTGTTTTAGTTTCTCAGAGTAGCAAATGATCTAGTTAATCTCCTAAGGTTCCTTTCTGCCCTATTACTTTATTATCAACAACTTCATAATTAACCACATTATGAACAACTCTGTTTTTAGAAATTTGTTCAAAATTTAATATTTATGAAATTCTAACAGTTTCATGGTCCATCTTCCCTAATTCTCTTTTCATTCTAACAGATTCTTTCTCTGTTCCCTGTCCCACTGGCCACACAAATTACTGACATGGATCATAAGTCAGGTATTCGATGTGGAAATACATTAATAATTGTATATACTGAAAAAGCTACACAAATTGTGTTCAGTAATTTTACTACTCACATCCCAGATTCTCCCTGCAGAAGCTGCTGACATATCACAACCTGGCCACAAATTAGTGGACCAGGGTCAACTTCTGAGTCGAGGTCCAGACTGGTCATCAACTCATGGGAACACCAGCACCAAACCTCTGCCCTAAACCAGGTGCCTTAAACCAGGTCTCATGGGATACTATCTCATGGGAAATTTAAAACTGAGGCTCGGAAGTATGTCAGCAAATACAAAGCACTGTGGAAATAAGTGTGCAGTCAGTGCCATGAAGCAATAGAAGCAGAGTGTAATAACAAGGCACGTTCTATGGAGAATGAAAGTGAAGAGAGAATTGCACTATGGAGAAAAAGCAGGTAGACTGGGCACGGTGACTCACACCTGTAATTCTAACACTTTTGGAGGCCGGGAGGGTGGATCACTTGAGGCCAGGAGTTCGAGACCAGCCTGGACAACACAGTGAAACCTGTCTCTACCAAAAAATACAAAAATTAGCCAAGCGTGGTGGTGTGCGCCTGTAGTCCCAGCTACTCGGGAGGCTGAGGCATGAGAATCTCTTGAACCTGAGAAGCAGAGGTTGCAATGAGGCAGGATCATGCCACTGCACTCAGCCTGGGCGACGGAGTGAGACCCTGTCTCAAAAGAAAAAAAAAAAAAGGAAGGTAGAGGAGTTTTGTCCCAAGAATAGCCTCCTCAGAGAGATGCTGTTGGTCACCATCTATCCTCCCAGCCTCCTTGAAGCATCACTGTATGGCATATGCCAGGAACTTTCCCGAGATAAGTCCTCCTTACTTCCCCAGGGTTTATTCTTACTTAAAAGCCTGTCAACTGAGGTTAACTGACAGTTACCAAACAGGATTAAAACTACATTTAATGAAGTTTACCATCACCATTTATGCAACAAGATGACCCTCTTAGTCTGGCTGATGAGGCCACTTATCAATAACATATTCCAAAGGCTCATTGTATGCAGAGCATTCCAGAAAACATAAATGGCACAGGAACATTATGATCCCATGAAAGGGAAATTAATAAATAGTAGCACTCTGCATAAAGTTTTACAGGAAGTTTAACGTGAAGAATTGCATCACTGCAATACAGTCATGATTAGGAGCACACACTCCGGACCTCTAGACTGCCAGGGTTTGGTTCCCAGCCCCCCAGCTAAAAGCTGTTCAGTTTTGAGCAGATAACTCCAATCTTTCTACACCTCAGCATATTCATTTGTAAAACTGAGAATATTAATAGTTCTGCTGCAGAAAGTATTGCAATAATTAAGTGAGTTAATATGTGTAAAATGCTTATTGTTTCACTAATAGTTTATGATAGTGAAAAGGATGGAATCTACAAGTACAAATATTGTGAATGATAAAAAGAAAAAGATTGGGCTGGGCGCAGTGGCTCATGCCTGTAATCCCAGCACTTTGGGAGGCTGAGGCAGGCGGATCATGAGGTCAGGGGATCGAGACCATCCTGGCCAACATGGTGAAACCCCATCTCTACCGAAAAAAAAAAATACAATTAGCTGGGTGTGGTGGCGCATGCCTGTAATCCCAGCTACTCGGGAGGCTGAGACAGGAGAATTGCGTGAACCCGGGAGTCGGAGGTTGCAGTGAGCCGAGATCTCGCCACTGCACTCCAGCCTGGCGACAGAGCGAGACTCTGTCTTGAAAAAGCAAAAGCAAAAGAAAAAGATTGTTTCTATGATATATTTATCCTTTACATTGGTGCTAGTGTTTTACCATGCATAAAGCCTCCCCAACAAGACTATAAACTCTGGAAAATTCAGAACCATGTTTAGTTTGCACGTTGTTGTCTCTTGGGAACTCTCACAGTTTCTAGCACATAGTAGGTGCCCAGTAGTATTTGTTAAATTAACAACTGGCTAATCTCAGCCCTCTTGTATATCCTTGTCAATATACTCAATTATATACTCAATAGTACAATCCTGCCTCACATTTATTTTTACTTTTTATCTTTCACATATAGGTTTTATCTATTTACCTTGCCACTTCATTTATCTCTGGATGCATAACTCTCCTTGACAGTAGTGCAAGGGGATTCACACTTACTGTGACCATATTCCTGCTTGCTAAAACACTTGTCCCACTTAGAAGTCTTTTCTATCTATTCTTTAAGTGTAAACACTTTATCACATGTATGCTTCATTCTAGATTCTGCCAGAAACGGAGTAGAAAAACTGTGGCTCACCCGGGACCCAGTCTTTCCCCAGGTTCCCCACAGATGAGCTCTGAATCTGTTATAATTGACTCACCACGACCTGCATGTACACATGGAATTCCTCATGGCATCCTTAGATCTTTTTTGCCACATCCTTTTGCTCTGACTCGAAGAGGAAGCCAACCCATCTCTTCGCTGGCCTGTGCCACAGATGCATTCCATGTCAATACCATCTGTGATCCCGACGGAAATGATAGTTAAAATTTGTTGCATCTGTTATTGAGCCTATCTTTGTAGTAGGAGTAATGAAATTTGGCTTCCAAACTAATTCATCTTTATGCAGATAGCCCAAACTAACCTGCAATTAAAACACTGAAAGTAGTCACAACTGGGAGATACAAAATAAATGTGGGAAAAAGTTCTTTTTCAATAAAGAAGCTTGATTAGTTTGAGAAACATCAACTCCAAGGACTATAATCTAAGCTGGTAGAAATTAAAATTATGGGAAAATAGAATTTTGCCGATAGACTTGAAACTGTGAAAATAAGTAGTGTTTGATAACCTGAAATAAACTCTTTCTAAAGCACTATTTTTATAGTGGAACCAGGGGCAGCTATTATTTTGTTATTATTTTAATTGTTTGTGAACATATGGGATAAAGAAAAGGAGCATGAATGTGATTGCAGCTACAGTATATCTAGAAGAGTCAATTAAATTTATGTTCTAAAGGAGCATAAGAATGATGATTCTGTCACTCAGAATTGAAGATGTTTAATGTATATTGTAAACTGGTAATGTTTAAGATTTTCAGATAGTGTGTATATTGATTAAACAAGATATTGAGAGATTTCAAATGGCCAAAAAGTAGAATTGTCTTTATGTATATCAAAATATATTTTTGAAACTTCTGAATTTCTCAGTCATATAAACAATAAACATCTACCTCTAGAAGAAAATTTAATCCTATTTTACTTAGTTGGACATACTCTTTCATACACAAGAACACTTTGCTGGTTTTCCAGTGATCACACAAGTGACTGGTGATAGTTGGACCACAGCCCCATTGCTCCACACTTCCTCCGGGCCCCTGTGAGTCCACCCTGTACTCAACAGAGTACAGACAGTTTAACTAGTTAGCCAGAAAATCCTGGGAAATCTGTCTCAGTGTAGACTATTCAAAGCTGGTATGCATCATTGTAATTTACTAACAGTGAATATTGATTCTGCCACAAAGATAAAATAATCTTTGCTTTCAATAAAAATAAAGAATTGGCCAGGCGCGGTGGCTCATGCGTGTAATCCCAGCACTTTGGGAGGCCGAGGCGGGTGGATCATGAGGTCAGGAGATCGAGACCATCCTGGCCAACACGGTGAAACCCCATCTCTACTAAAAATACAAAAAAGTAGCCGAGTGTGGTGGCGGCAGCCTGTAGTCCCAGCTACTCAGGAGGCTGAGGCAGGAGAATGGTGTGAACCCAGGAGGCGGAGCTTGCAGTGAGCTGAGATCGCACCACTGCACTCCAGCCTGGGTGACAGAGTGAGATTCCATCTCAAAAAAAATGTAAATAATTAATTAATTAATTAATTAATTTTGCCAAAGATTCAAGAGATAATTCCTTAGTAAAGAGATAACTTTATGGCTTTAGTTTCATGGATTAATCTATCTTAAACTATGAAGATTACAGAATAAGACATTCTTAGGGCCATTTCACATAGATGAATCAAAAATTCAATCTTGAGAAGTACAAACAAAAGCAAAAATTAAATGCTATTCCAGAGAAACATCTTTCGAGTCTTACCCTACCATATTGGTTGCTCAGTGTTGCATAGGTATAAAGCAGGATCAAAATTGTATTTAAAGAAGTTTTACCAGCATGATTTATACAGTAACATGGCCATCTATGGAAAGGAGCATCACTCTGGGGTTAGGTTGCCTAGATTCAAATTCAGGCTCTATAATTGCCTAGGTGCACACCTCAAACAATCTGCTTAATCTCTCCCAGTTCCCTCATATGGAAAAAAGTGTATAATAGTATCTAATACTTCTAAGGATTACTGTGTGGGTTAAAAAGCTAGTGTAGGCCGGGCACGGTGGCTCATGTCTGTAATCCCAGCACTTTGGGAGGCCAAGGTGGGTGGATCACGAGGTCAGGAGATCGAGACCATCCTGGCTAACACGGTGAAACTCCGTCTCTACTAAAAATACAGAAAATTAGCCAGGCGTGTTGGTGGGCGCCTGTAGTCCCAGCTACTCAGGAGGCTGAGGCAGGAGAATGGCATGAACCCGGGAGGCAGAGCTTGCAGCGAGCCGAGATTGTGCCACTGTACTCCAGCCTGGGTGACAGAGCGAGACTCCGTCTCAAAAAAAAAAAAAGGTAGTGTATAAAGTGTTTAGAACTGTCTGGCACATACTAAGTGCTCAATAAATATTAAGTTGCTATTATTGTTTTTATTAGTGCTAAGTAAGTAGGTCATCAATAACACATATTCATGGATTGTGAACACTTTAGAAGACATTGTGGATTTTCCAAAAGAAAAATATGACTTACCAAGAAGATTATGGTGCAGTGGAAGAAGAAAGAAAAATGCAAATATAACTGATAAAAACAAAAATGTAAATAGGACAATAAAGTCTAAGTTAAGTGGAATAATGTAAACAAATGTTACAAGTGTTAATAGCTATTATAATTACCCTACTACTATCCATTAGTGATCAATATTTAGTAAATTGTGCTTAAGTTCACACTTTTACCATCAAGACAATGGATTTTTTTTTAAAACAGGTGGCTGCAAAATTCTAAGAAACTCTTAATCCAAACAACATATTTTAAAAGCAACTATTGATTACTTAGCATGAAAAAGAACATTTATCTCAAAAAGCAGCTAAAATATGTTCATAAAACACTCAATCCATTCCTTTTAAAACAGGGATGCCAGCATTGTTAATCTTGTTCTACGCATTCTAGTCAATGCAGTAAGAGATGAAATGGAAATAAGAATTATAACTATTATTATTCATAAATGATGCTATGGTCTACTTAGAACTTTCAGGGAATACATTGAAAAACTATGATGATAGAACTAATAAGAATGTTCACCTAATATGATCGAAAACAAAGTACATACCCCCAAAATCAGTACCTTCTTAAATAATGCCAGCAATAGCAGTAAATGTAAGGATAAACAGATTCTTTTCATGATTGCAGTTTTAAAAAATGTTAAATACCTAGAAATAACTTAGAAAGGGTACGACTTCTGTATTTCCCCACCTCACACACACACAAAACACCTACAACAACTTACTGAGAGACAAAAGAAAACTTGAATAAAGTTCATATACCATATTCTTAGATGAGACTAAATATTATCAAAATACCTACTTTCCATGCATTAATTTATCATTTCCAGTCAATTATAATAAAAACATCAGTGAAGTTTTCTCAAAGTTGGCAAGGTGATTGTAGTATCCTCTGGAAGGATAATGCCAGATTTCATTTGGATTTAAGGAAATTAGAAAACATGTCATATATCCAAGCTTATGAAGCAAGGGTCATGCACATGCATATGCATAAGAAAGCCTGGAAGAAAATTATTTTAGTCATGTTTATCTCCGGATGATGGGATTATGGGTAGATTTTTGCTGTTGTTGTCCTCCTGCATTTGAGAAAATCTTTACAGTAACTACTTATCGATTTTTTTTTTTTTTTGAGACAGAGTTTCACTCTTGTCGCCCAGGCTGGAGTGCAGTGGTGCGTTCTCGGCTCACTGCAACCTCTGCCTCTTGGGTTCAAGCGATTCTCCTGCCTCAGCCTCCCGAGTAGCTGGGATTACAGGCACCCGCCACCACGCCCAGCTAATTTTTGTATTTTTAATAGAGACGGGGTTTCCCTGTGTTAGCCAGGATGGTCTTGAAACTACGGACCTCAGGTGATCCACCCACCTCAGCCTCCCAAAGTGCTGGGATTACAGGTGTGAGCCACTGCGCCCGGCCTACTTATCAATTTTAGAATTAGAGATAATATACATTTTTAAGAGAAAAGAGGAAATGAAAAAAATAAAGGAATAGCTTGGGCTTTGCAAGCAAAGATGAGAATTTTGCCATGGTAAGTAAAAACTGTATTCATACACTGAAAATCCACTTATGCGGCCTTTAAGCATATCATTATTAAATCCCGTGTTGCGACGAGGCAATCACACAGGTATAATCTATTAAACTTGTTAATTATTAATTTGTTAATCTGTTTTTGTTAACTATTAGCCTGTTAATTATTTATTAAAAAAAACATTTAATGCCCTCTAACTGAATTTGGCATTCAAGAAGAAGAAAATGACTAGAAATGGGAAAACCATTGAGGTGTGCTAAAAATGAAGATGCCTTTTGAGGAGAAGAATGCATGTGGGTAGTTGAGGCACCGGAGAGCACTTGGGCAGACAATGAGATGTGAGGTGGCTGCCAATGAGAAAGAATAGATTTTGCGGAATCTGTGCTGGCACTGGGTCAAGATTCCCAAGGTTCCTTACTCAATTTGAATCCATTTCACAAGGATTGAGAGAAGTCTCCTGTGACCTCAGCACACTATCAGATGCTGTAATGGCCACAAAAGCGATGTAAAACAGGGGCCTTGGGCAGGTGCAGTGGCTCACGCCTATAATCCCAGCACTTTGGGAGGCTGAGGCGGGCAGATCACCTGAGGCCAGGAGTTCAAGACCAGCCTGGCCAACATGGTGAAACCCCGTCTCTACTAAAAATAAAAAATTAGCCAGATGTGGTGGCACATGCCTGTAGTCCCAGCTACTTGGGAGGCTGAGGCAGGAGACTCGCTTGAACCCGGGAGACCGAGGTTGCAGTGACCCGAGATTGCACCACTGCACTCCAGCCTGGGTGACAGAATGAGACTCCATCTCAAGAAAAAAAAAAAAAAAACCATGACCCTTGCTCTCCAGGACCTTTCAATCTGGTTGTGAAGGCAAGTCAACACATGGACAATTTGAAAACAAGACAAAAGAATAAATAGATTAAGTGCCCATATGAGAGGCTCAGAGAATTGGTGTAATAGAAGGCCACTGAAGGATAAAATTTAGGGGCCAGAGTAGAAAGAGGAATGTTCATGCCCCAGGAAACATGTTGTGACTTGTAAGTTCAGCCCTACATCCTCCGTTCCCTCTTTGATGTTGCACAAGAATCACAAGTCCTACAGGCAAGCCCGTCTCCAAACTAGAAGTCAGCCCTTAGAAATAGCCCATCTGTTGAACAATAGCTTGGTCTCAAATTACATTCTTCTTTTTCTTATATCAAGGATTAATCATACCACTTTTTCCTGACAACACCCTTATATTTCCTAAATTCATGAAGCTGATATACCAAGATGTTTTTACACTAAAGTGAATTTATCCAAGCTGTGATAGTATGAGGGACTTGAGAGAAACCTTGGTCTAAACAGCTTTGAATCACATACAGAAAAACAATGTGGGCAATGATCCAGTATGAGAGCATGCTTTTCACATAGACTACTCTTGAGATCCATGTCAATATCAGATTGCATCAAAAATTTCAAAGGGAATTGGATTATTCTGTTGTCTTTGATTGAGATTCAGAGGCAAATGGAATTCAGGGTGAGATCTAAAGAGATAAGACCTTTGTTTTTGAAGAGATACCAAGGCCTTAAAGTGCTCAGAGATCATTCCAATAGAGAGGAGTTCAAATTACGAAGGAATTTAGCCTAACACACACAATTACATTGGATCCCACAGATAAACATGACATATAACAACCAGTAGTAGGTTGATGTAATAAAATCACAGTACAACTCATTACTTCAAGTTTTTTGTTATGTCATATGAAAACCAAAAATCTGTAGGAATTGGTGCATTTTTTTTACAATGAATTACTTTAATCATCCAGGATATTTCTGGAGCATAATGAAATATAACCCAGAGTTGGAATTTATGCATTCCCTGGATAGAGATACTTGGTCTCATATTCTGTCCTTGTATCAGGCAATAACACTGAAGATAATACACACTTAAAATGCACTTCAGCTTCTTTGGTAGAATTTCTTTGGCACCTGTTAAATTTTAAAGGGCTCTGTGAAAAGCATTTTCTTAACCATCCACTGGCTCTTGATTCATTCATGTGCATAGAAACACTCTGAAAGTTTAAAATTGAAAGTACATTACTTACCAAAAATTTTTCTCTGGCGTTTATTCTCACACGTCCGTGTTACAGGCCTACTCATAAGTGAACAGCCTATTTGGAATCCTTATGGTCCAGAATCATGAAGATCTCATACTGTCTGTTGTTTGGATAAATAAATATGAATGAATCTCATCATGCATTTATAATAAATTTTATCTCAAGTCCATGGTAATTTAGGTTCCAATTCTAAATAGTGGAAACTGAATCTTACAGCTATGTCCATGTGATTGAAATAACCAGATCTCCATTCACTCCGTTATTTCAACCACTTATTCATTGATGAGTATCACTGAATAGACAATTGTGTAGACAAAAGACAAAATGTTGATAAAATTCAAAGTACCAAACACAGGCCTCAGAAAAGTTGATGGCTTATACAGGGATGCTTAAAACCATACACAACAACCTACAATCCTCCCCAATGGGCCGCACCCTTCACTCTTGGGTATCATTATAAAAATTGCCCTTTCCTAAAATACCTTTCTCTTTTTCACCTGCTGATCCCTTCAGGAGCCTCCACCTCCAGGATGTCTTCTCTGATTGTGAGATGCAGAGACTTGAGCTCCTGAACACTCTCTTTCTTTTTTTTTTTTTTTTGAGACAGAGTCTCGCTCTGTCACCCAGGATGGAATGCAGTGGCACCATCTCGGCTCACTGCAAACTCCACCTCCTGGGTTCAAGCGAGTCTCCTACCTCAGCCTCCCAAGCAGCTGGGACTACAGGCACTGCCACCACACCTGGCTAATTTTTGTAGTTTTGGTTGAGATGGGATTTCACTATGTTGGCCAGGCTGGTCTCAAATTCCTGACCTCAAGTGATCCTCCCACCTCAGCCTCCAAAGTGCTGGGATTACAGGCGTGAGCCACCACACTTGGCCCCTGAACACTTCTCAAATCACAGTGCACCATAAGAGAACACTCCTGAGGAATTAGGCAGAATGGATTCAATCACAGCAAGTTGTTTGTTAATTGCACGATCCTAGGCAAGTTCTCTCAACTTTAGTTTCCTCCTATGTAAAATAGAGTAATAACATTGCTTGCCTCACTGGACTGCTGAGAAGATTAAAAGAAGCAATGCTTATACAAAATAGCAGAGGTACCTGGCACAGAGAGACATTCATTGAAGATTAGCCCATGGATATTCAGTTAGATCCACCGTTTTTCCTTTAATACATTTAAGCTATTTATTTAGGCTAGGGACTTATTTTGACAGCTTACATTAGTTTTATATATTATTAATATTTTTTAGAAATTCATGCAATCTAAATATGTAATCTAAATGCACTTGTTAAACTGTTGAAAATGATTTCATAATGAATGGGGCCAAATTACTATTCCAGACAAGCCCATCTCCAATTTTATCAAGAAAATGAGTAAGAATATAGGCTTTGGGACACAGAAAGCAGATTTTCCTCACCCCTGGGAATACATCAATTCTGTAATTTAAATTTCTCGTGCCTGGCTGTAACTATGTAGCCTTCATGACCAAGAAGAATGATAACATATCTTATTTTCAGATATTCAAGCCTATTCAGTAGGAAAAAGTAGAATGATTGGTCGTCAAAAGCTATTAACAAATAATGTAACTGTTGAAGATTTTTTTAAAATCATGCACATCCGATTTTTCTCCTTCTCTATAATATTGTTTTGGTTTTTCTCACAGCTTGACAGTTCTTTAAAATTAAAAAAAAAAAATTAAAAAAAAAAAAGGTTGGGGGGAGTATCAGGCAGGAAATAATCACAAAAGAAAATTCAGCCTCCTTGCTATGAGAGCTTTAGGATTCCAGAATCTGAATGTCCTTCCTGATAATGGCTGACAAACTGCTGAGTCAGAAAATGTTAAAAAGCAAACAAAAACAGAAAGGAATCTTAGTGAGATTATTGAGTTACAAGGACAAAGAGAAAAAAAATCTAAAAATTTTCCAAGGAGAAAAAAACATGGGTAACCTAAAAGAACAAAAATCAGTTTGTCATCACATTTTATATCAACAAGTACTACATAACAAAGAAATTGCTTTAAAAAGAGAAGAGAAAACTCTCTTGAACCCAGAATCCCATAACCAGAGAAAACATCAATCTAGAATGCAGAAAATATAAAGATATTGTTACACATGCAATGATTTATAATCCTTACCACCAGGATGTCTATTCCAGTGGAAAAAATTAAAACTACAAAAGAGCAATTTAAAAAGAAATGACATGGTGCAAGAGGATTTCATTAAATACAGAAAATGGGAGAGGAGAGGGAAAAGTAAAAGCGTGCTACCGGTTTGGTCATGTTCAGGAGAAAGAGGAAGTTATAGATTCAGATAAATTCTCCATGTTGATTAAAATACGGTAGATAGATTTTACTATGTTTGCTAAAATTGTAAAGATGGGTAGCCCAGACTCATGTGGGCAGCTTCCACATTAGAATGTGAATCTGGAAGGTGTGGTGTGGTGGGGGCAGCTATTGGAGGCCAGCTACCACAAGAAGAGTCTATCCAAGTGACCCAGCAGCTCTACTTTGAGGAACTCAGCCTCAGAAATCTTGCATGTGTGCACAAAGATATGTATGTAGTTAGCATTGTGGAAACCAATCCATGTATTCTTCTAAATGGAATTGGTTTACAGGGTATGCATTCCTTAACGTAGAACACTATGTAGCCATTAAAAAGATTGAAGTAGATTGATTCATACAGACACGTGAAGATATATTGTTATAAGAAAAATGTGCTAAAGAAAGTGTATACTGTGATCTCAGTTTATGAAATTAAAAAACTCAACATGTACGCATATATGCACATTTGTGTTTATAATGCCTAGAAAAAGTATAGTAAGCAAAATGAATGAAGGAAAATAATTGAGGATATATAGCAAAGGAGATTTTAAAATTTTACTATATACAATTTTGTATTTTGGATATTTTCTACAATATAATGTATTACTTTTGTAATTTCACAAACACTAATAGAGCTGTCAAGTACCTGAGATGGGTACAGTCTCACTCAACAAAAAAAGTCCTCTTTCAGACTATGACATGACTTGAATTTGTTGTCAGCTTATATTCTGTGAAATGTGGTATTTATCTCTGAATAGATAAGGGTCTTTTCAAGTAAACTTTCCATCTGAACACAACAGCTAAAAAACTGCTAAAGGGAGAGAGAAGCAGATACAGATTGTCAGGGCAGCAGTTATTTTACCTTTGGGAACTGAAACTATTTTTACTCAAAAAGAAAGTTTGCAGAGACAGCATTTTCACATTAGACTTCATAATGCTACACAAAACAAATGATTTGCAATGGAAAACATATAATAAAGTGGGTGCATATCAGTTGCCCTAGAAAAACAACCCAAAGACAACAATAGCCAATCTGTCTATCGGTCTCTCTTTCTCTCCACATTGATCCAACTTGCATTTTGTGACTAGATAAAAGGTTTTAAAGTTGAAAATGACATCATCTGGGCCTTCAAGGAGCTGAAGGAAGTGTGCAAGATGGAAGCACCTAAGTGGTTACTCATAGAACAATTTGGGAAGTTTTGTCATAGAGATAAATAATACAAAGTACATTCTCACTTGGCTACTTCATAGGCTATGCAGTTTTGAGCAAGATACGCCTCAATTTCCTCATTTATAAAATAGGTATCATGATTATACTCCTTCCTAACTGTTCTGGGGACTAAATGAGACAACACAGAAAATCCACGCACAAAGTAATCAGTCAGTAAAAGTTAGCTACTATTATTTGGGGAGGTTATTCAGACTCCCTGGAATTGAAACTTTATTATGGGACCCTGGTCAAGTTACTACATGGAGTCTTAGGTTCCTCATCCAAAATTGGTAGAGTAACTTTATCAGAGGCTACCAGGCAGAATGAATGAGATAATGTGTGTGAAAAATTTAGATCAGCAATTGGCACCTAAGAATTCCATTAATGTAAGTCATTATGTCTATCAAAATGCTTCAAAAAGAAGAAAGGAAATAACAACTAACTCTTCCTAAGAGTGACAAAGAACAGATAGCAGGAGAGCTGGTCTTGAATAATTAGCGGGAGTGCTCCAAGCTGGTGTGGTGAAAGAAGGATGTAGGAAGCAAAGAAAACAGCATGTGCAAACTGGTGGAGAATTTAATCATGATGATCATGATAATGGTAATAATAATAACAGTAATACAGCCTGTTCAGAGAAAATAAGAGATGTCCTATAGGCCCTAGGAAATATGAACTGGACTTCAGCTGAGAAGTTATGAGCCACAGAACTTTATCAATGCTTATGGAGCTATTAAAGAAATTAGAATAGGGCAGGAGTGTGCAGTGTGAGCTGACCATAAATTGATCCCCTAGAAAAACAACATCAAAGGGTGGGAGAAACCAGCAAAGGAAGCCCAAGAAGAAAGCTTAGAGAGGCAGAAGCTGGTGAAATAAAAGAGGCGGAGAAAGAAGAGAGAGTTTCAATAAGGAGGGACTGGTCAACCGTGTCAAATGTTGCATAAATGTCAAGTAGGATAACAAGAGAAAGTGAGGCCATTGAACTGCCCACTTGGGAGGATGTTGGTCAGAGAGTATTTTTAATTGAGTGGTGTTGGTGGAAGCCAGACAGTATTGGGTTGAGGAATTAATGAAATGTAAAGACACTAAGTATAGACCAAGTGTAGACCTCTTTCAAGAAGTTTAGTGATTTAGAAAAAAAAAAAAAAAAGTGAAAAAACCGTAGTATTTTAGCCTCATCAAAACTAGAAAATGAATTCTTAAATGTCCAAATGAGCATAATTCACATTTGGCAAAAAGGGTAAACTTCCCAAGATATAAAAATAAATAAATAAAAAATAGAAAACTACGGGGAGAAAACAAAGAAAAGAACTTACTACTTTGCTCGAATGGGATTAGAGGATTAAGGTGAAGGACAGGTGGAGGAGAAAATCGAAAAACAGCAAATTTGAAATGACTAGGAAATTAAGATTTTAAAAAAGAGGAAAGAGGAGAATGAGGAATCTCATGGATTTGTTGAAAGAGCAAGAGGCAGGCATAGACTGCCACAAATGAAAGTGATCAAAACAAAACCACTCCTCTCTGTCCCTCAGACTGAGCCGGGGTATAGTAAACCCAGAAAACATGGTCCTGATTAGAATTCTGTCTCCTGTGTGCTAAAGAAGCCTTAGCTACAAGTCACGGGCAAACTGCTAAGCACAAAGGCCTACGTTGGCAGCTGTAGTGGTTTATCTCTAGCTGCAGGTATGGTTCCCTCTACCCAGGGGCAGACTCTAGGTCCTTCTCTTGGAATATTTGCCCCCCAAGACAGTTTACCAAAAATTAGACCTGGCCTGAACTAGTCAGCATGAGAAATTTGAGAGAAATATGGGAAAAGACTGTAATATGAATGATTGGATTTTCGAATAAAAGAGAATATTGGATGAGTTTTTTTTCTAGCATATCTAGAAAAATCTGCCTTGAAATGTTTACATTAGCTCTTGGACCATAGGCCAGTGCTTTTAGAAAATGTGATCAGTCATGAGGTCAGGTGTTCGAGACCAGCCTGGCCAACATGGTGAAACCCCATCTCTACTAAAAATGCAAAAATTAGCCTGGCGTAATGGCCGGCCCCTGTAGTCCCAGCTACTTGGGAGGCTAAGGCAGGAGAATTGCTTGAACCCAGGAGGCAGAAGTTGCAATGAGCTGAGATCGCTCAACTGCACTCCAGCCTGGGCAACAGAGCAAGACTCCGTCTCAAAAAAAAAAAAAAAAAAAAGAGAAAGAAAAAAGAAAATGTGGTCAGTCACTTTGCTCTGTGTGGTTCTCCATTTCCACAGCTGTAGAATAAGGAAGATTAGATTAGTTTTAAGTCCTTCCAGCTCTATTATGAAATTTAATGATTCTGTCCTTTACATTTCTTTCATTTTCACAAGGATATCTGTCCCTGGTTTAATACTAATGTCCTATCTTCCTAACCATATTGTTAGCCCCAATTTTGTTTTAGTTTCCTTCTTTTGTCTAAAAGGAGTCAGAAAGTGTGTTAAAAGATAAGACCATCTTAGGACACCCTGGGTGAGGCCAGTTTTTGTCCAATCAGGAGGCTTTTATGTGGAAAACACCCCTTAACCAGGCTGAGCCTACTAGTTTGAGATAAACATTTTGATGAAACATTCAGTAAAGAAGAACTGGATCTTACATGAAGAAATTAATGCCTACGCCCCAGTGCAATAGTTAATTCCTCCCTGAAACATTTTCTTATTGTTATGTAAACATAACCTAAGTGGGTTTGTTAGAGATAATTAGAAACATTCTCTTAGCCTAGTGACTTGGGGAAGAATAAAAAGAGATGGGAATTATTAAGACGGGATATACAGGCAATGGGGGAAGGGCTAGTTCGCATGGAACAACCAAATATATCTTTTGTAGGCCAAAGACTCTGAGAAATTATTTTTGTACCTGCTCTCTATTTCTATTTCTATTCTGGTTACTAAGTGGACAGGTGACTTCTCAGCCTCTCTTTGAATACTTTTTTCTATGTGTGTGTAAGTATGTATGTCAGAATACCTTTGCATCTTGGATGTAAATGTGGACAAAATGCATTTCTAAGTTAAAATAACATTTAAATTGTGAATACCCAATTTTTAGAGATAAGAACACTGTCTTTTTAGTACAGTTTCATGTCTTCTCTCCATATTCTATTTTACCAACCTATTTAGCAAAATAGCCAAGACCCTCCTTCTGAGTTAGCCAAGAGCCTGACTGCCAAAATCTCCTGAAGACCTGTAAAGATACCTTTCTTTAGCTGAATCCTTGGCAGCTAAAGATAGATAACAAAGATTTTTTTTTAAATAATAGCTCAAACAGAAAGAGATCTAGGGATTTTGCTCCTGATCAATCTCATAGCAAAGAAGTATAAGGCCTTATCCAGGAACTCACAGTTTGGTACATTATATATAATTTCAGTGTTTGTGAGATGGCTGTTGCCTGTGTCAACCCCATATGAGATTTGGTGGGTCCAACGAAAGGCGTGGGGTGAACTCTCCAGGTTAAAAAGGGCCTGGCAGGGGTGGCCATGTTTCTGACTTGGGACACTCAGAAATCTGCACAATCCATGGTAAGGGTAACCTGGAGCTCCGTGAGCCAGCATTTTTTTTTTTTTTTTTTTGAGATGGAGTTTCACTCTTGTTGCGCAGGCTGGAGTGCAATGGTGCGATCTCGGCTCACGGCAACCTCTGCCTCCTGGGTTCAAGCAATTCTCCTGCCTCAGCCTCCTGAGTAGCTGGAATGACAAGCATGAGCCACCACGCCCGGCTAATTTTGTATTTTTAGTAGAGACGGGATTTCTCCATGTTGGTCACGCTGGTCTTGAACTCCTGACCTCAGGTGATCTGCCTGCCTCAGTCTCCCAAAGTGCTGGGATTACAGGCATGAGCCACTGCGCCCGGCGAGCCAACACTCTTTAAAGGAAGAGCTGCCAGGTCTGAGATGAGGTCTTCCTCAGCAGAGCTGGCTCTTTCCAATCCATATGGGCCACTCTGCCTTTCCCTGCCCTTTCAGAAAAATTTCATGTTTAACCAGCACTGCAGGTAAAAAACAAAAAGCCAGCTTAAGAGAGGGCAGTGCTCTAACAAACCTGCGAATTTTCAATTCTGGCCGAGATTCTCATGTTTTTTTTGCCTCTGACTTGATAGGAAATGTTAAGACACCAGCAGAGCAGCTTGGTGACTTGGTTTACCTCTCCAGGAAAACATTTGCGCTACTCCTCAAGGTTGTGAAATAAAATGGCCTCAGGTTGTTATGAACTTCCACGTTTGCATAATCTTTTCTCTAGCATTTAAAGTTTGTGGAACTAAACCAGAGGGAGACCTGCAGCAAAATCCGAATTCAAATGAACCAGGTGGAAGCAAGTTAGCACTATCGTGTTATGAATGAGGCTGCGCCACACTCAGTTACATGAGCAAAGAGGAGCAGCCTGCATCCCTTCTGTGAGACGCAGCAGTTTCTGGTGGGAGTTTTTGTTTGTTATTCTTGTTGAGTGAATCTCTAACAGAACACACTTGGGTGACCACTGCGAGACAAAGAGAGTTTAGGCTTTAATTATTCTTATATTCTGATTAGGGGAAATAGTTTGAATCCAAAAGGATGTCATTGAGTGCAAACACAGTCCTGGAACTGGGCCCGTTGGGCGTGAACCTCAGGAGCTATTAATCGACATGCTTCAATTTGTAAGTATGCGGGAGACTGAGTCAGTAGAAAAAAAAAATTTTAAACATCTGTGGTATTCTTTCTGTTCCAGATTAATTACACTGCTTGTTTGTTGATGCTGACCAGAATTTTCAATCCTCTGATGCTATGCTTGGAACGTCATAAGTATTTTTCTATGTGTTTATCATTGCGTCCCATGAGACTTTATCTCTGTCACAGTCTGCCTTTCATAATTTATTTTAGGTCCCAGTTTTGTTCTTTTGCTCACCTGCCTTAGACTTCTTGTTTTTGCTTTTATACTGAGCAATATGCAACTCTTTCTCATTGAGTACTTATTATTACTTTTAAGAGACACCTTGTTAATACACAGCCCCACGTACACACACATCATTCAATCAAAATGATGATATAAATGAAAATCCAAATGTGCTGTTTAATCAACTGGAGAGGCTGGTAATTATTTTCAATCAGCTAGGATTGCTCTGCTAGCTCAAAGAATTATTAATAAGAGCCATATTTGTTAATAAATTGTGAGCAGCCCTTTTCCGGGAGTGGGGGCAGGTATCAGGGCAGGCTATTTCAGAAGTTGTTGTCCAGCCTTACATTATACCCTAAAAAGCCAAACCCCTCCTTCTAAGTTAGCCAAGAACCCAGCTGCTAACATTTCCATCCTAACATCCATAAAGATACCTTTCTTGAACTGAATCCTTGGCAGCTCTAAACAGAAGAGAATCACAAAGATATTTCTTTCTAAAATAGCCCAATTTGAAAATGAGAAATGGGCAGGCCCGTTGCTGTCTGTAAGGCAACCGTAATCCCTAACCCTTCCCCCAGTCAGCTTTTGGGGTCACCTGCCCTTGTCTCATTTCCCCACCATCAATACCCAACAGTGTCTTGTGACTTCTGTGGCCCCAAGATGACCAAAGAGCTCCTGTTTGAGGACCCAAGCTCCCTCCCCTCACTCTTAGCCCCAACGGCTTCTCCTCAAACCCCAGCCTATTTACAGGCTCTTCCTTTCCTCTTTGCCAAACACCTGAGATCTCAGGTTGCTTTGGGTCTCTTTCTAACCTTGCCACAATCCATTCTGTTCCCTGGAGTTTTCTCTCTTTAGGCTGAGGAGAGTGAGGCCTCCTGTGCTTCTTTCTGCTCACTTCCTTCCTCCTTCTCGTGATAAGCCCACAGCTCTTTTCGTTTCGTGGGTTTTACTGAGAATTACCAAGGAGGAAAAAAAAAAAACCAAAATAATTCATATGGAAGAGATGTGACTGTTTGAGAACTCCTATAATTGCTCAGCTCAGCAATGAACATACACTGATCACTTTTTATATGGTGATCATGGATGCCCTCTGAGATCCAATATTTATTGTTTCTGGGCTACCCTTGGGTGATCCTGGAAGCCCCGTTGGCCACTCACTGCCGTTGGCAAATAGTTCCCTAGCCTTTCCTGCTCTTAGCAATGAACACAAAATTAAAAGTGATCAGTGCTCTCTCCTTGGCTAATTTTTTTTTTTTTTGAGACAGAGTCTCACTCTGTTGCCCAGGCTGGAGTGCAGTGGCGTGATCTCGGCTCACTGCAACCTCCACCTCCCGGGTTCAAGTGATTCTCCTGCCTCAGCCTCCCAAGTAGCTGGGAGTACAGGCGCCCGCCACCATGCCAGGCTAATTTTTTTTATTTTTAGTAGAGGCGGGGTTTCACCATGTTGGCCAGGATGGTCTCGATCTCTTGACCTTGTGATCCGCCCACCTCAGCCTCCCAAAGTGCTGGGATTACAGGCGTGAGCCACTGTGCCTGGCCGCTCCTTGGATAATTTTTATTTCTCTACAGCACCACACATATGGATAGCATATGTGTCAATGTTCTCCTACCTATAATGACATTAAGATAACATGAATTGGCCGGGTGCGGTGGCTCACGCCTGTAATCCCAGCACTTTGGGAGGCCGAGGCGGGTGGATCATGAGGTCAGGAGATCGAGACCATCCTGTCTAACATGGTGAAACCCCGTTTCTACTAAAAACACAGAAATTAGCTGGGCGTGGTGGTGGGCGCCTGTAGTCCCAGCTACTCGGGAGGCTGAGGCAGGAGAATGGCATGAACCCAGGAGGTGGAGTTTGCAGTGAGCCAAGATCATGCCACTGCACTCCAGCCTGGGCGACAGAGCGAGACTCCGTCTCAAAAAAAAAAAAAAAAAAAAAAGGTAACGTGAATTAAATTAACAGATACACACATGCACAAGATCTAACTGTAATAATAATGAAATTATTTGACATTAAGACTATTTTGAAAACTTCGGATTCTGCTCATTTTTTCACACTCTGTCTACCTGCTTTCCTCCCACTATTGTGTTTTGACCAATGAAGTTTTCTGTGGAAATCAGATGGTTGAGCGTCTATCTGCTGACGTGCTTCTGAATCTGCTCTCTAAAAAGGACAGACATTGGATGGCATAGCCTCCAAAAAACTTTTTTTAAGCTAAAAGAACAGACAAACAAACAAAAAAGTCTTGATTCATAACGTTTGACCATTTCTATGATGTAAGTAGTTCCCCCATGGTCAATTTTATTGGCAGAATGATTTCAAACAACCAGATAGCAAGAGCTCTTCCAAGCCAGTTGAAATCAGTTCTAGCACACCATCTATCCTTCCAGTCTTTTCCCTTATCAAAACTTGATCTGGGCCTCATCTCCAAAGGACTGTTCTGGAATTGGTTTTCATTTGGAAAAGCAATATAATAAGCAAATTCCAGCAGTGTTAATGATAGAATGAAAAATGCTTGATGTGTTAACCCTGCCAGGGGTGTCTGCCTGCAGGAAGCCCTCCACCCAATGGATGAAATCCAGTGTCAGAACTGCAGGGGAACTCTGAGGCCCAGGGAGCAACCCTCAATGTCAATTCAGAGATAAACAGGGGAAAGCCCAGGCCAAATGCCTGGAAAAGAGCATACTTCTGAGCCAGGATGCCAAGGTGTATTATTGGGCAAAGTTACTGAACCTCTCAGTGCCTTCATTCTCCATTTGTAAAATGGGAATATTAATATTGCATTTCATGGAATCTAAGCTGTCATTGTAAAACACACCATTATGTTATGGTCCATTAAGAAATTTTAAAATGCTGCCCATTAAACTATGTCACACCATCAAAAGTAAGATACATTCTAAGTTCACAAATGTTAAAATGTGAGAGAAAATTGTTTTACAACCCATGAATTACAGTAGCACCTTCCACATAGGGTTGTTGGAAAGATCAAATGAACTGCTATCTGTAAAGTGCTTAGCACGATGCCTGGCACATTACAGGAATGATGGAAGATTTTGCTTTTATAGTATCTTTATTATTACCAAGAGATTAATGAAAAGGAAAAAGAAATGCAAAATCTCTGATTCACAAATTAAATCTTCCAATGTCCTCATAAGTGTGAATAAAAGTGGTCCTAAACTAACATTTTTCAAGCTATTTTTCTGATAGCCACGTGGGCCTCAGGGACTGCAGCGGTAAAGAAGTAGAGTTGAGAGTAAGGGTGAGGTGAAGGCCAAGAGTGAGAAATTTTGTCACCTCACTCAAAACCCAATCAAAGCAGCTCCATTTTTACCAGTTGAAGGCACTGGAGTTCAATGTAAGGTTGCATTTAATTGTGTATATATAAGTTGTGCCCAGCCACCTTAACAAAACACCTGCACCCAGGTAGAGAGGGACCTGTGCAGCCACACAAAGGTGACTTTTCCCAATTGTAAACTAAATTCTCATTCAAATCCACAGATCCCTGGGTCCAGAAAGTGCTCTTCTTGGTCTGTGGGCAGAAACGGCTTCCTTCCCTTCCTTCCAGCAGCCTGCACTATCTTCTGTGACAATGGCCTCTGCCAGACCACATCCATCACTCCTAGGACATTTGTGTCTTAACTGGAGCTGTTTAAATTTTCAAGTACAATAACCAAGGACTGCTGCAAGAAATTTAAATATGATAGCAAAGTTTATACCCTCACCGTTTCTCTAGCGGTTCCCTTAGCAACAGCTCTTACTTTTTACGACTCACCTTGGCTACACACTGCCTTCGCAATCGTTTGTCAGACTGATTTCCAAAACAGCTCAGATCCCTCTCAGAACTAAACATTCAGAGCAGGAGTTGAAGTGGAAAACATAAAACCTTTTTGAACAGAGGTTTAAAATCTCCTTAAAAGTCATCATAGCTTCCCAGGTCAACGGAAAAAAATATATATGTCAAAAAATAAGTGGGGAAAAGTAAAGAAACTACAAAAAGCTGTTGCACTGCAATTCTAAGTATTTGACAAATGTATACAGAGATGAAGAATAACAGCTGAAAATGAAAATAGTTTTATTGGTGTATTACGAAAGTAGGAGATTAAAAAATAATATTATATTCTTGTTATATTTGTTTTTTATAAAAATGTCAAAACACCTCTCATGCACTCATTCAACAAACATTTATGGTACTCTTAACTTGTGTTTACCTTTGTTTACTCCACCCTCCCCTCATCTTTTTCTCATCTCTCCTATGCCTTCAGGTGTTTAATCAGTCCTTTAATATTTGCACCTGTGTGTATACTTTCCCTCCCGATCGGGCTTTTCGATGGCAATGGATTGTCTATTTTTTTCCCCTATAAACCTTCACTACTTCTCTCCTGTGGATAGTATACTTGAGTTACATGAAACAAGTTCAAGTTTACAAGTTCAGCTAACATACCGGATAAAATACAGAGAAGGATCTTCATGCCTTCCCCCACTAGGGTTGGTGGTCCCCAAGAGAGGATAAACAACATCTGAACACCAGGGCCACCGTTTTAAAAGGGATGCTGGTATTCATTTAGGGTAAGAATGGGTGTGTGAATCAAGGTTCAATGAGATAAGCAGAACTACCGTGAGTGATGTAAAATAGGGATTCAAGTCTTAACACTAGTATGGGAGCTAGTGGAAAAGTCTACATGAGGCTGTGGCTTCTGTGACTGGCATGGGCATGGAGTGGCTGTGGACCTGAGCCAACAGTCAAGAAGGAAAGCTGGTCGTCAGTGCAGGAGCGCAAGGACAAACCAGAGCGTAAGAGAATAAACTGGGCCAAGCACGGTGGCTCACGCCTGTAATCCCAGCACTTTGGGAGGCCGAAGCGGGTGGATCACTTGAGATCAGGAGTTCGAGACCAGCCTGGCCAACATGGTGAAACCCCATCTCTACTAAAAATACAAAAAGTAGCTGGGCCTGGTGGCATGCACCTGTAATCCCAGCTACTCAGGAGGCTGAGGCACGAGAATCACTTGAACCCGGGAGGCAGAGGTTGCAGTGAGCCGGAATCGCATCACTGCACTCCAGCATGGGCGACAGAGCGAGACTCCTTATCAGGAAAAAAAAAAAAAAAAAGGAGAAAGAGAGAGAATAAACTGGAACCCATGAGGACAAATTGGAATTCACGTCTGTCTTTCATCCGCTTCAGCATCAGTGACAAGGAAATCTGCATGGTAAAGCCAACACACTTTACCATGGAGCTGTGCATATATCAGGCTAGAGATTCAGAGAAGCCAAAGGAAGATCCGTGGTTGCTGGAGGAGCTGTGGCCTGGGTGGTCCACAATGTGAACTCATGACCGTCATCAGTTTGCATAATCTGCCACTGCACCTGCAGTTCTACATCCACCTTCAGTGGGTGAAATATGGCTGCTGCTTCACTTTCTCCTTCCAGATCTTGTTCAAATCTTTTTTGTGCCTAAATGTAACCTGGAGCCACAATGAAAGGGATTACGAGAAATGGAGTTTAACTAAGATGACCCAGTACAAAGGTACACAATAGATGTCTCCATTTCTCTCCCCGGAATGAGTTTGTAGAAACAACAGCTATAATCATTCTAAATTCAATTTAATCCTAGGCTTGGCACCAAATCTCAAGGTTCTGGAATTTCCAGAAGACTTGCTTAAGGGTCTCATTCTCATGTCTAAATGTAGGAATGGAGAAGTCAACTAAATAGGAGATCCTTACAGAAACAAGAAGAAATGAAGGATTGGAGTTGGGAACTATTTGAAATTATACTAATGATCATGTCTTCTATTGAATTAAAAGCAACTACCAGTAATGTACTAAGGAGTTTTCCAAATTCCTAATCCTCTCTGTTGCCCTCCAAAAAAAAGGAGAGAGACAGAGAGAAAGATAAAAGTAGCAAGCTGCTCTTTGCATGAAGAAGTCATTCATGTATTCATCGACAAGAAGCAGCAGCCAAGCATTTACAGAGTACCTATCCAGCTACTCGGGCAGGCTGGGCACTGTGCTAATATAGCGTCCTACATGGGGACTGTCTTACAGAAGATTGGAAAAAGGATAAGAATCCATTTTTAGCATATTTGAACAGAAAGTTGCTATGCAACAGCCTCACACCTAAGCAAAATGCTGGCTGCTGGCCTTCAGCCTGGGCATGGCCCAGGGCAGGTGGAGGCAACTGACACCAAGGACATTCTCTCAGAGACAAGACAGCCCCTGGAAGCCCCACTAGCAGATCTACCTGGGATCCTTAGATTAAAAATTATGTGCAAATAGCTATCAAAATGTCAGAGAACACTCAACTAAAAGCATGATCATGATCGTCATCATCATCATCATCGTCATGACTCCTGCTACCCACACAATCTGCAAATAGCAAGACTTTTGTCCTTCTACACAGACGTGGAGTCCAGCCAAATACCTCTGTGGCCTGAGGCATCTGCAGATCTGGACCCAGTCAACAGAGGTTGAGTGATTGGATGTGGGCCAGAAAATTCCTTACTTTTATTTCTTCCACTTGGTGGAATAAGAACACAGTGTTGTCTTGGTAAAACCCGCTCCTGTGCTTCTTCCCTTTGCAAAAGGCAGGCTGGACATCATTACTTTGAAAACATGACATTTTTTGCATTGGTGAGTTGGGTTGGGTTTTGTTTTGCTGTTGTTGTTTCCTGTATAATGATTATTCACATACACCTGACTAATCACTTGTCACATTAAAAGTCAAAGGCCTCCCATCAGGAATTTAGAGGATTTATTTTCCCCACCATGGAGTTCTCATCAGGACTGACCTGTTAGAACCAGTTTGATGGCCACAGCTGCTTGCATCCCCATGACTGCCGCACAGTCCCTTTAATCACTTCTCAGAGTCCAGGGAGGTCCCTGGGAAGGCTGATTCCACTGCGGGATATTTATCTGAAGTAAATTCAGAAAATGGTGTCATCTCTTGCCATGTGGATGCAGAATATCATAATAATATCATTCCTATTCGTTCCAGTAAGGTTCATTTGACTGTATCTGCTTTTATTTTAAAATAGAAATCTTGCCCTGCTGTGGATCACACATTTTCCCACCCAAGTTAATTGGTAATGCCAAAAATGTACCTTATAATGGATTTTTACTAGGCATTAAAAATATATAATTGGCCAGGCACAGTGGCTCACTCCTGTAATCTCAGCACTTTGGAAGGCAGAGGCGGGAGGATCGTTTGAGCCAGGGAGTTCGAGACCAGCATGGGCAACATGAGACCCTGTCTCTATTTTATAAATAAAAAATAATAACAAAATTTTAAAATACATAATCAAGTAAGAGCAGCTATATTGAAACATTCATATAAACTCTAGTCAATACATTTGGTTTCTCAGCTATTCCTCCACAGTGAAATATTTGGTATTAAATAAGTGTATGTTAAGTGGTAATAAATCTTCAACTTCAGTCATTTCAATATTTTGCTAACCTCCAAGCAATTGACTTTTAAATTCATCTAATTTTTATTATTATGATAATACATAAAATCATGTTCATCAATACAAAATAGATCCATTTAGCTCATCAGTATTTTATATATTCATAAATTTTATAAAATATGAGGAAATTTTCATGGTATTTTCTGATGTGCCTTGTTAGAGAATAAAATTTATGCTTTTGAAAAATTATATTTGGTTACTAGTCTTTCCCTCTAGTCTTATAATTTTCTGACAAAAAATACACCCTCTACAATAAAACATAAATATTCAGAATTTGAAAACACATGACAATGATGAATTGGTCACATTTACATTTATTAACTATAACAAAAATGTAATATCTACCATCAGTAAGAACTTGCTATATGCCAGGTGCTGTGCTAAACACATTATGTGGGTTACCTCCCTTAATCCTTATAAAACTTCTGTGTGTGAGTACTGAGTACTATAAGTATTAGACCCATTTCATACATAAATAACATATGCTGTAGAGAGGTAAAGTAAATATACAAGGCTACCCAGCTGGTAAGTGGTACAACTGGGATATCAGTCACAGGTCTGATTCTAGAGTTTGAGCTCGTGCCACACAGACTAGTGATCTTCAGTTTAAGGGGGATGAAGGGTTACAGAGTTCTCTGAGAAGCTGGTTAAAGTTACAGGACCTCTCACGAGGAAAATGCAACCCCCCCCACACGTACACACACATTTTCACTGCATACAGTTATAAGGGTTTCTAGAACCCCTTAAAAACCATCCAGCATTTCCTTGGTATCCATAAGCCCTAAATTATGGCACTCCTATTTAAATATTTCCTTAAGTATTAAGGTGTAGGGATTTGATTGCTGACTATCTAAAGACATTGCTCTGCAAATGAAAATGTTACATGAATGTGGAGAAAGAGCAACCCAGATACTTAGACACCTGAATGTCCTACCTGTGGTCAGAGCCAGGGAGTCAGAAAATAAGGAGTCCTGCCCTACAGGTGTCTGTGTTAGGTTCTTCCAGTTACTGCAAGAAATGAGGGAGGAGTGGTGGTTGTAAGAATACACACTGGAGAGAGAACCTCACAGAAATAAGAACAAGCACTGTGGTAGGGCCAGACCTTTCTGAGCATGAAATTGGACAAGAAGATTGTGCAGGTCCAGAGACAATTCTCTGCCAGCAGCAGCAGGGTTATGTGGTGGGACCCCTGTGATCTGTCTCTGCTCATCCACTCAGTTCTCTTCTATCTAACTGATTTATTCTTTACTCCAGATTGTATGGTTCACACCTCGGGGACTCCCACGTGGAAGTGCAACCTCTGAATTCTTAAAAATTCCAGTTTCTGCTTCTTCATAACTTCAGGTTACCATGACACTTCATGGTTCTAACTTTACCTGAGTTTCTCTCTTGCATCTTCACAGCTACCATTTCCTCCTCTGGAATTAATGGAGTTAATGGTCCCATTCTCTCAGTATTTCTCAATTCAAGAGTCTGGTTGCAGCTGATGTCTTTTGCATGAGGTCAGGCCACAGGTTTTGAACCAGTTCATAGTCTGGCTGTGCTGACAGACACCACCCCTAATCCAATCAGCAGCAGCTGGTGGCAGAGAAGATAGGGGACTCCTCTAGGGAACTGAACATGCCCCTGTACTAGACCAGCATAGGGTCCTTTCCTCATGGGCTGGAGAATTTCCTGTACATAGGTATAGGGAGAAAATATCTAGTACAGACCCCCAGGATAGGCTGTCTGTGAAAAACACCATGCCACCATCTACACTTTGAACTGATTCCATCTACTATCCAGTCCTCCACACCGTTCAGGTGGGTGTATGTTTAGATAGGGATTAAATGGCAGTAGAAATCCACATTCCTGATGAAAGGCCAGGGATTAAGGAAAACATCTGGAGCTGAGACCGGCCAGGTGTGCCCATCAGTTGCATGTTGTCCAGGATACTTGTGCCAAGAGATTTTTGTGTCAAGCTTCAGGATACATCATACTTCCTGGTATATTTCACTGGTTGCTCACTGAGCCTTTTAAGGAGGAAGTAGCTTAAAGGGCACTGTGACACATGCAGCATAATAGAATTACAGAGTTAGACCTTTAAACATCATCTAATCTACCCACATATATTATGGAGAGGGAGCCTGGCCTGGGAGGAGCTAAGTGCTGTAAGAGAAGCACACAGAGAGTTAGCAGTGGGCTCCCCATTTCTAAGCAGTCACATTTGCTCTTTATTCCCTTGCTGTCTTTGAGAATGCTATCATTCTGTAGCAAAATTTTAAAAGAAAACTAGAAAAGCCTATCAAATAGTATCTCACATTAAGGTTTAACCCCAATTCATGTATATGTACAGAGTCTCTCTAATCACAGATAAATAATTTATTAGGAATAACCCTAGATTAGAGGACTCACTCTGTCCCTCTTAGACATGTGAATTAACCTTTATTTCTTCATATGAGAAATAATTCATTATGCAACATGTATTTATCTAACAGACACTAACTGAACGTCTGCTCAGTTTGGGCTCTAAGTGTAAAATGATGTATTAACAATTGTCTTTTCTTTATTTAAAAAAAAAAAAAAGGTGGCCAGGCGCAGTGGCTCACTCCTGTAACCCCAGTACTTTGGGAGGTCAAGGCGGGTGGATCATGAGGTCAAGAGATCAAGACCAATCCTGGCCAACATTGTGAAACCCTATCTCTACTAAAAATGCAAAAAGTAGCTGGGAGTGGTGGCACACGCCGTAATCCCAGCTACTCGGTAGGCTGAGGCAGGAGAATGGCATGAACCCGGGAGGCAGAGGTTGCAGTGAGCCAAGATTGTGCCACTGCACTCCAGCCTGGCGACCAGGTGAGACTCTGTCAAAAAAAAAAAAAAAAAAAAAAAAAAAAAGCTTTTATACTCTAGTAGGGGGTATAAAATAGCTGCAACACCCAAGGAATTATGGTAGCAAATAAAGAGAAGAAAACTCACTCTGCCTAGCTAGAAGGGGTCAGGGAAATCTTGCCAGATGGACATAACAAATGTAAAGGTGCAGGTATAGGAAGAGTTAGCCAAGCAGAGTGGGGCTTTGCAGGCAGACGAGGGACAGCATGGGGCATTGAGGAAAGAAGTACAGAATGAAGCACAGACATCAAGGAAAAGGCAGAGTGGGAATGGCAGAAGATGAGGCTGGTAAGTAACACTAGTACCAAAGAACTGCACACAGCATCCTTTCTGTCTGGCCATTGGCAATGAGTAATGCAGGCAGGTTTTTATTTTACAACTGTTATCCCAATGGCAGTATAGAGTACGTGCATGGAGAGCTTACAACCACGAAGACAAGTCCAGAGACTGATGCAGTGGTAGTGGGGCCAGAGAGGATTAGGCATATTCTAGAGACTTTTTAAAGTATAATTGAAGGTTTTGAGGTGGATTATAAGCCATGGGTAAGGATGTGAGGGGAGAAGGAGAAGTGGAAGATGCAGCCGTGATCCTGGCCATGGTAGGGGGAGCAGGAACTAGTGGGTTTTGTTTGGGACATTTGATTGAGGCTCTAGTAAAACAGCCAGGCCTAAAGTTCCTGTAGAAGATTAGGTAGTAGATCCAGAGTTCAATGAAGAGATCGGCTAGGAATGTAACCATTGGCATCTATAGGTAGGTGGTTCCCAAAACAGAAAGGAATGAGGGCTGTCAGATTTACCTGGGAAACTATTTCCAACTACATCTACCAACCCTTTGACATCCTCCAGTGCCATTCCTCCCATCCCCTAACTGCAAGCCATTCCAATTATTGGGTTTGTCAGCCATCAGTGGAGTACATTAACACCAGTGATAGAGAACAGGAGATAGTCTCCTTAGGGACACTGATATTTAAGGGGTAGGATAAAGGAAAAGAGTGGCAATAGATCCCAAGGAGCATCCAAGAAGACAGTAAATGCCTAGCCTGTCTGGGCCACTATAGCAAAATGCCATAAACTGGATACCTTATAAACAACAGCAATGTATTTCTCACAGTTCTAGAGGCTGGGAAGTCCAAGATCAAGGCAGATTCCACATCTGGTGGTGAGGACCCACTTCCTCATTGACAGCTGTCTTCTCCCTCTAACCTCACATGGCAGAAGGGGTAAGAAATCTCTCTAGAGCCTCTCTTATAAGGGCACTAACCTCATTTATGAGGGCTCTGGCCTCATGACCTAATCATCTCCCAAAGGCCTTGCCTCCTCACACCATCATTTTGGGGGTGAGGACTTCAACATATGAGTGAGGGGATCCAGAGGGATGGGGGCAGACACAAACATTCAGACCATAGCAGTAAGAAACTATTGGTTCAAAGTCTCACAGACACCAGGAGAGAATGTCAACAATAAGGGCATGGCCAGTCATGTCAAACACAGTAAAGAGGTTATGTGAAGTAGACTCAAAAGGATTGGCACTGTCTGCACTGCCCCACATAGCTGTGACAAGGACCAAATAAGAAATACATAAAGGTGCTTTCTAAAATACAAAATACGATACAACATAAGCAGTTATTATTATTATAACCTAAGACTCAACTCAGGCCCAGCTTATTCTGGAGAGCTTCACTGTCCCTCCAAGCCACTCCACTGAGGTTCCTCAGCACCAAGTAGCAGCCCGGGGCAGAGGCTGTGTTTACTCAGCCTGTGCCCAGCATTAGAATGGCGCCTGGCCTCCAGGAGGCAGGGAGCATATGCTCATGGGATGAGTGGAGGACTACGATTGCCTCACTGCATCCCATGATTTCCTTAAGAGGAGGACTAGGATTGCCTCACTGCAACCCATGATTCCCTTCAACATGGAAAATATACAGATTCAGATTGCTTTTTGAAAAAACAGAATCCAATCTGCTTATTTCTTTTTCTTGGCATATATTTGTTTCTGTTTTATTTTATGCCTTCACAGTTTAGGAAAATTGAATCAGCTCCTTATAATTATTGAATAAATATAAATCTAAGAAGTATTCCTTGTGGAGAGCCTTGTCCTCCTCCTCCTATCTCCCTTTCTGCTGGGCACCCTGGATCTCACCAAAGCCCATGCTGGCTGTCTAATTTCCAGCATGCTCATATCCAAATGAATCTGAACTCATTTTGCAAGTAAAATGTTTTGAGAGCTGACCCAAAGTGCTTTCCTAAATTCTGAATATTTAACATCTGTTTGGCCAGACTCAATTGTTAGTCTTGTAAGTCTCCTTAAATCCACCAGTTTGGCTTGCCGCAATTGATCACTTCGAAATCTATGTTATTTATTGCCCTTGATTACATCAACAAAGGTATTCTGAACTGTTTTTGTGGGTGGCAGGGGGGATCTTTTTCTTTTTCTTTTTATCTTTTTTTTTTTTTTTTTTGAGACAGAGTCTCACTCTGTCGCCCAGGCTGCAGTACAGTGGCACAATCTCGGCTCACTGCAGCCTTGACTTCTTGGGCTCAAGCAATCCTCCTGACTCGGCCTCCTGAATAGCTAGGTGTTCAATACTGCTGTTGTTTCTCTCAATTTTTCTTACATTGTCTTGTGAAATCATCATATCTAATTTACTAGGAGGTCATTTCCAGACACCTTTTTTCCAGCCATTGCAAATTTATTCCTGAATCTCCTCCCAGCTCTATGGTGCATTGTAAAGGATAATAAACTCAGAAAGTTTATCTTCTAGACTTGCAGATTTTTCCGAGCATTTACATTTCAGACACCTACTTTTAATGAGCAGATATTTTTACAAGGTGTTTCTGCTAATCATCTATTTTTGTTTCTCAGGTGGTTATGCAATCTCTCCAAGGCTGAGAGGAGCTTTTTAGTCTTTAGGGCATGCGCACCTACCCCCCACCACCACACTCCTTGTGTACACACTCTGTCCCTCTGCAGTATACCGGCCTTCCTCTTTTTCCTTTCTTACCCAACAGGGAGCCATGAAGAGAACATCCCCACCCTGCAAGTTTTGTTAGCAGCAGCTACCATTGCTTTCAGCCTCACTTCATCCTCTCACCCTTTCAGCCTCAGGCCTGGCAGCAACAACAGATAGGGAAGGGGGAGCTAGCAGTTGCTAAGCGCTATCATAGTAACATGAACAAGCCGAGGAGACTCTTCTGGGCCTCTGTGCTCACCCTGCAACACACAAAGACAGAATGGATTTCTGCCTCTTCCTGCGGACGGGGAGGTTCAAGGCAGAAGAGGGATTAAAACAGAGAGCTGAACATACCTTGTTCAGATGACACAGGGGTGCCTGTTAGTAAACTCCTGGCCAGGCTCAAGATTTGTGAAATACCAGAAGCATCAGGCATCCACACAGACAGAGAGACACCCTTCTCAGAAGTCTCAGGAGCAGGCAGTCTTGAGCCACCACTCTTCCTTGCTATGAGTTTGATCAGCACCCAGGGCTTCTAATCTTGTGTCTCTCAGTGCCATATTCACAGGAGAGAGAAGCTTACATATCAAGCTTGGATCAAGAATTTCTGGACCAGTCAGCTAATAGTCAGGAGCAAAGAGTTCATGTAGATACGGAGATCTTGCAAATTTCTGTCAACCATGGCACCATCATAATTTGTACCTTTGACATCCTAAAACACCAGCTCTTCCTTTAAAAAAATATTTCCTGCTCACACTCCCATATCTCTGCCAAAGGATCTCAATCCTCCAAACTGCTAAATTTTTCTCTAGCGAACCTTCTAAATACGCTTTTCCTTGATCAAAAGTAGAAATAAAAATTGTTGAGGTTCTTCGTTTCTTCCAGCTCTGGAAAAACAAAGGAAAAAGAACATTTGGAGAAGTCATCAGGTAAAATATTGATATACAGGCTGGGGCGGTGGCTCACGCCTGCAATCCCAGCACTTTGAGAGGCTGAAGTGGGAGGATCGCTGGAGCTCAGGAGTTCAAGACTAGGTTGGGCAACATAACGAAACTCTATCTCTACAAAAAATACAAAACAACAACAACAACAACAAACAATTAGCTGGGTGTGGTGGTGTGCACGTGTGGTCCCAACTACTCAGGAGGCTGAAGTGGAGGGACTGCTTGAGCCCGGGAGGTCGTTGCAGTGAGCTGTGATCATGCCATTGCACTCCAGCCTAGGTGACAGAGTGAGACCTTGTCTCAAAAAAAAAAAAAAAAAAAGATACACAGGTTAAAATATGTAACATCCTAAAGCCTCATTTTGTTTATTGATAAAGCGGTGATAATTATGTCTATCTCTTAGGGCTGTGGAAACTGAAGGAGCTATGGAATATAAAGCATAAAGCATCCCACCTCAAAAGAGCTCAATGACTATGAACCATAGTTGTGTATGTAGTGTGTATGTGAGTACATATGTTGTCTTCCTTAAGGTTTATTGCCTTGTTGGAAGTACACCAGCAAGATCACCCTAACATTGGGAGGTCGAGGTGGGCAGATCACTTGAGGTCAGGGGTTCGAGACCAGCCTGGCCAACATGGTGAAACCCCATCCCTACTAAAACTAATACAAAAATTAGCCAGACCTGGTGGTGGATGCCTGTAGTCCCAGCTACTCGGGAGGCTGAGGCATGAGAATTGCTTGAACCTAGGAGGCAGAGGTTGCAGTGAGCCAAGATCGTGCCACTGCACTCCAGCTTGGGCAACAGAGCAAAAGTCTGTCCCAAAAAAAAAAAAAAAAAAAAAGATCACCCTAACTTCAGTATTAAAAACAAGTATGTTTTCAATGAACCCTCAGTCCTTCATATTATGAATTAGAGCATTAGTATGTGTAGCAACCATGGGTCCCTGAGTGTTCAGTAGGTAACTTCTTGGTTGGAACTCTGTTTCACCTATCTGTTTGGGTTCTTTGGCTCTCTTGGGTCTTCTGCTGCACCCTGGGGCCCCTCCTCTTCTGTGGCTGATAGCCAAACATCCTGAATGGGCAAGTAATTTATTTGCCCCTGAATCTTATCAGGGGGCACTCTACCAACCTAAGGGAAACTGCCCACCTGGTGGAGAAATTCTGACTGTGGAAAATTACTGATCCACCCTGAACTACATAAAAAATCCATTTGCAAAAATCCTAAGAAGAGCAAATACTTCCCCTGGCAAGTTCTCCAGCAGGGTCCTTGGCTGGCAGGAGCAACCACCCTCGCTAGGCACCAACCAAAAGCCCAGTCCTGAGTGGTGACAAATCTGGAATCCTCTGGCAGACTCCAGCCCAGGGCCTCCTGCACAAAGGAGGCCCTTCTTACAAAGTGAGCACTGAATATGAACACACTTAGAATTAGTTTTGGCTGTAAGGGAAAAGCCAATGTGGAAAATATAATCTGATGGATAGGATTTGAAATGAAAGACAAAATATGGCTCAAGCTTCCAGAGCCTAAGCTCTTGGCAGAAGCATAAACACTTTGTGGAATCTAAGACCAGGACACAATATGATACCTCAGCAAGAACTCAAGGATAGCAAGGGATTTAAACATTAAAGGACTCACTCCACTTTTCAAACTGTGAATCACAGACTCTAAATAGAGAGGAAAAGGTGTATCAGCCAACATTTACCTTGCCTCCCCTGGGCTGAAAAACTCTTCTAGTGCCTGCAGCACTCTCTTACAAAGATGAATAAGCCAAGACCTGGCCCTTGAAGAGTTTGTACCTGGTTGGGAAGGCTGGCAGGTAACTAAAACACACGTCTTAGTATGGGACGTGCCAAACGTTGAATAAAAGTGAAGGGCAGCAGGACAGATAACTCCAGTCTTCAGGGGAGGGGGATAAGGTTTCCCAGAAGAGAAGAGAGGGCACCCTATCTGGGTCTTGGAAAGACAGCGGGATTCTGAGAGGAGCAGCAAGGACAGAGGCAGCTCAGAGAGGCCAGGACAGGGTGTGGGGAGGAACCGGGCTCTGCATGGGTGTGGCAGCTTCTCTGCCAATCGGGGTCGGCGATGGGGAGGTTTTGAACGTCCAGGGACATTGGACTTGACTCCTTGGTTCTTTCGAACATTTCAGGTCTGCTTTCAAATTGAAAAGCAACTCTGCCCTGTGTATCAATGATGAATTAGAATCAGGGAGAGAACTGAAAAGAGTATCTTTGCATATGCTTTTTGTTTCTTTTCTGCTATTTGAAAAAGTGATCACACATGCAAATCAACGATTGGCTCTTCGCTGTATCCAGCAAGTACTTATTCCTGAGTACACATTTACTCTCCACAGCAGTACTATAGGGGGTTCCCTCACCCCTGCTTTGTGGGGCCCTACCAGACCAGATCAACTTTTAGCTTAGAGGTTTTATCACCCATGTGTTCTTGGCACATTGAAGGCTAGCCTTCAATACAAAAGGGTCATTATTACCATTGCAGGGGCACAAGTCCCTTGAAATTATCTACAACATTGTTCCTGTTTGGTTTTTGTTTGGTTTACTGGGTTTCCTCTGCCTATTCTGGATGCAAATAGGAGTTAAAAATAATTCTAAAGGGATGCTATTAAGTACTTAAGCTTTCTTTTATATTATAAGAAACAATCCCATGTCTTGTTGGTAAAATCAAAACTATGTTGATGACAATTTAGACATGAAATACCCAGCAGAGACAGACCATGATTATTTATGAAAGGCTCTATCAGGAAATTATTTACATCTTTGGGCAATTTCCACTTTGCTTGTGATTTAAGTCCTATGAGTATATTTCATCTAGTTATTCACACAAAGTTAATGGAGCTGTCTCTACTGTGTTTTTGATAGCACAGCATGTTGAATCTGACTCCCACCTTCCTTTCCCTAATTATTTGTAAGCTTTCCTCACCTCTGTTTTATTTTCTTTGCAGAGTCATTCTTTATTTCAGAAGGAAGGCAACATGTGGAGTGTGAGATGTGGTTTTGGAATGTTCTCTATTTCCAGAGCCGTTGTTTGGGACCAGGTGCTGACCGGTCAGATTACAAAAACAGGAGAGTAATTTGTACTTGTCACCTGGAGAAGCTCTTGTCTAGAGATATCAAATACTATCCTTTTCACCTGATTCAGAGGAAAGAGGTAGCATCTTGGTGGCACCATTGTGCCCTCTCAAAGTGCCCTCTAGTCCTCCAAACTGTAGCTTTATTTTCTCAGTACTGAAATCATTGTGCTTTTCCCAGGCATTGAATTAAGAGAGAAGCAGTTGACTATAGGATGGGTTACTTGTCAGAAACTCACGCCTGTGGTGCTGATGGCAAAGAAAGTTCTGGCACCAGAGTTTCAAGCTGAAGGAAGATTTATTGAGAGACTAAATCAGAAGAGTATCAGTTATTTCTCCAGCACATTTTCAAATTAGATGAACATACCTGACCTCCTAATTCCCAAACCAACAGATTTTAAAGGGCAAAACAGTCACACCACAATACTGAAAGAGATCAGCCCACAAGGCAGACTGTCATTTTTAGCCACAGGTTTAAATGAGTGTGTCTTGGAATCAACACAGTGGGAAAGAGAATACATTTTCCACCATAACACACATGGGGAGCCAACACCTCCAGGACACATGGCAGACTGTGTGAGATTGTTCTAATGGAGAAATAAACCAGTCACATAAAAATTTCATTCCCAAGAAAGCATCATCACCAAACGAAGGGGGAGAATGTAGAAGGGGGGGGAGGAAAGATGGAAACTGACATATCCTGAGTATATTCTATCTAAATTTCAACCACTTTCTCCATTACCCCTTTTATATCCCTAAAAAGATTTGTAAGGTGTAACTTTTCCTCCCATTTTACAGAAAAAGAAAAAGAAACTAAGTTTCAGAGAGTAAGCTAAATAGGCTAAAGTCACACAATTAATAAAATATTATATCAGGTTTTGCACCCAAGATTCCTTATTTGAAAGCCCACCTTCCCTTTAAGGGACCACACTGCCTAATTTTAACCTGTTGTAATTCAATATTAGTACTGAATTACAACATACTCTAAAAAGCATACTCTAAAAAAGAGAAGAGTGTGGAAAGACACTAAGCTAGAAGTTCCTCAGTTGTTCACATCACTGGTAAGAGCAGGATTCTAGATTATTTTGGATAGGGTACAGAAAAAAATCATTTACATGTGATGTTAGAATGCATTACATAAGAATATTTTTGCTACAACAGAAGTAAAGTTACCTTCCCTAATGTGTTCTGATTGTACTAATACTGAAATTGGACCATGGATACAGACCACCTAGCAACTGATTAAAAGGCACCAAGAGCTTTCATAGAAAGCCAATCTAGGGACAAAAGTTTTGTCACAGATTGCAATGTTAGGAGGAAATTGTCTGGCGGCAGGAATAGGGGACCAAAGAAATTCAGAGATAAAACTTTCACCTTTATAGCCTGTCAAATTATATACCCTGAATGTACACAGACAAATTCCCCAGGCACTTTAGGAATCACATGCGGGTGTGTCTATGTGTGTGTGCGTGTCTCTATGTGTCCCATTTGCCCTCTGAAGAAGGCTTAACTAGATTATATCAAACGATGCAACCCATTTCCAGAAGATGCAATTGACGTTAAATCCCAGAAGGCAGGCTGGTATCTGCCAGTATCATTAGGGTCTAGGGAGAAACCAAAACAGATCTTGCACTTCACCAATTTTATGCTGTGGAGAAAAATGTCCCCCCACCATGATGAGCAGGGCAGGTTGCCAGCTCTCTAAAGAAATCACAGGTGGCCTGTAAGGATAACCTGGTATCAGGAACCACAGTGGTGATAATCGAGCACACAATGTAAGCAGATTTCTTTTTAACCACCACTTTCCCGGAACTGGAAATATGCCATCAGGTGTGAACCTACTTAATCACTATATTAGAAGTTGCCAGCTGGGCACAGTGGCTCACGCCTGTAATCCTAGCACGTTGGGAGGCCGAGGCGGGTGGATTGCAAGATCAGGAGTTCGAGACCAGCCATTTCAAGAATAACCTGGCCAACATGGTGAAACCCCATCTCTACTAAAAATACAAAATTAGCCAGGCCTGGTGGTGCGTACCTGTAATCCCAGCTACTCAGGAGGCTGAAGCAGGAGAATTGCTTGAACCCGGGAGGCAGAGATTGCAGTGAGCCGAGATCGTGCCATTGCACTCTAGCCTGGGTGACAGAGTGAGACTCCCTCTCAGAAAAAAAAAAAAAAAAAAAAAATGAAGTTGCCAACAAATAGCCAGGTTTGCTCTAAATAATTGTTTTGAAAAAAATTGAAGCAAAACAAAAATATTTCCCACTTAAGTCTGAAAAAGAATACTGAGAAAAAAAAAAAATTCAAGACACTCAGCTTTTCAAAGACTCCATGAACCTTGGGCTTTTTGTCTGTAAAATGCTCTTTCTGCCCAAGTTGTGGTAGTATTGAAAGGAAAATTTAGAAAATGTTTCACTGAACAGAGCCAAGGCACTTCCACATTACGCAATGCATAAAGTGTATTCATATAGAATGAAATTAGTCTCAAGCAATACTGTAGTCACGCTAGCAACGAAAAAAACTAAAGAATAAGAAATTATAATATGAAGAAAATATTTGGGGGTATTCTAAATGTTGGAGCTAAAGAAAAACTAAAACGCGAATGATGAAGTAAATGATGGCTTTTCCTTTCTTTTCTTTCCTTAGTTCCATCACCTTCTAACATGCCATTTAATTTATTATCTTTATTGTGTGTCTGTCTCCCCTGCCAGACTGTACCCTCCCTGAGGGCAGGAATCTTGATAGGTTTGTTTATTCATTGCTACATCCCAAGCATCCAGCACAGTGACTGGCACATTGTAGTCAGCAAGCACATATTTCTTAACAAATTCATTTATAATGTGATAATGATGAAAGGCGCCCAGTGCACCTTTGAGAAAGACTGATGGGATGACTTTGGGCCATTTCACAGGGGAAAATCTTCTGGCTGCTTTCTTTTAGTCAGGGATTTATAATGATGGAGGAATCTGGGGTTGCTCTGGACACCGTAGATCTCAAGGAGCTGGAATGGTGTTCTCTGAATATTTTGTGATGAAGAGTGAGAGCATCCGTCACCTCCTGGTCACCTCAGCTGCTCCTCTTCCCACGCTGGGTGTGTGTGTGCTAACAACACGCTGGTACATTCGCTTTTGGCTCTTCCACCCAGAAGAACATCTGAATCCTCCATGGGGTCTTCCTCTCTCTTCCCCTGGGCCTGTTGTTGGCGTTTCCCTTAGCAGAGTTCCATCCATTTTCCTAGAAACACTGCCTATTATCAAAAGGTCTGGAGCTAGGGGCAGGGAGCAGGTTGTGGTGTGAAACCCTCTAGACTCTTTGGTGGAAGGGAGGAAGCTCCAGCCCACCCCTCCCTTTGGGGTAGGAGGAAGAGCCCAGGGTTTGCTTACCCAGGGGAGACAGTTCTGCTGGGATCCAGCTCCCCAGCCTTGCTGAAGTCTGTGTTCTCAAGCCAGCCCTGTCATTAACCAATGTTTCTTATTTAGTTCTTAGAATTTTAGAGTAAACTTAGAAATACAATTTAACTTCCTCATTTTAGAAAAAAGAAAACTAAAGCTCAGAGAGGGAAATTGACTTGCTAAGGTCACACAACTAGCAAGTCGGAGGCAGAGAAGCCTTCACCACCTTGACGACACCTGTCCTGGCAGCACTAGGTGTGTCTGGTGAAAGTCAGGCATGACCTTGACAAGAGTCAATAGTAGCAACACGGTAAGAGTAGCAGCAAAAGTTGCATGCCTTTGTAGGAATGAATCAGATTTTTGTAATTTTTGAAATGATACAGCCAGATAAATCCAGTAATAGTTACTTGATTTATATTTTTTTAGAGTACTCATCTTTTTTTCCAAAAGGCTTTCCCAGCAGGTTACTTAAAATAACCTATTCCCACAATGTATTTGAAATATGGTTTCATTCACACATTTTGCTGCTTAATCTCAATGCACTGTGTAGTCTTTTAAGGTGTGATTGAACTCACAACTTCCTGATGTAATCATTATGACAAATGAGTTGTCTTTTTCAAGAGATGTGGCTGAGTTTATTCTTATTTATGGGTTAACAAAGTTAGGCTTTGGGGTGGTGAGTGAGCGGGAGTAAGTACAGGTGAAATCAAGCAGATCAACCCTAAACAATATTTTGGCAAAAAACAAGTTATAGATTGGTGCCCTTGTGGGGAGTAGAGGGTTGCCCCTAAAGTCTAAATTGGCAGATTAAAGAAGCCAAGAAAAGCAAGAACATTCAGGTCATAATATTCTAAGCTCCTTTCTGCTCTAGAACTGAATTAAGTAGAATTGAAGGTGTACCGTCTAGTCCAACTATTTCACAGTTGGATAAGAAAACAAAAGTCCAGAGCAGAGACTGACTTGTCCAAGGTCAGCGAGGTCAGCTGGTTCCCAGTGGGGTTCTTTTTTTTAGTGTAGAGCTTGCACCGGGTGGAAAGGGAGAGCAGTAGGATAAGACAAGAGAGGAGCATGGAATTCTCAGGAAATGTCAGGAGCTCCTCCCTACCGATAGGGAAGCTCTCAAAGTATTTTTGTCAACTCCAGCTAGTTCAGGCAAAAGAGAGTAAATGGATCTTTCAGAATCACTGGACACAGAGCATAAGCTAAGGCTAGGTAAGCAAGCAGGCCTTCTTGGAGGTGAATTTCTTTCTAGGACTTGAGACGTTCCCTGGATGGGGACAGATAGCCCATGAGTGGGAGTGGGCTGACTGTCAAAGCCCCCACCAGCATCTACAAGTACAGTCCTAAGAGTCTTGCCTCTAAGTCTATGGTTCTAAGCCTGGAGACCTTGGGAAATGTCTGAAGATCCTTTGGTTGTCACAACTGGGGAAGGTGGTGCTACCCCCATCTAGTGCCTAGATGCCAGAGATACTGTGAAAAATCACAGCCTACCACTCTACCAAAAAGTATCCCACTCCAACTGTCAATAGTGCCAAGGTTGAGAACGAAACCTTGCTCTACCTACCTATCCATCAGTGTTCTGCTAAGACTCAGTATTACTTCATCAAATGTTACTTTCTGAACCCAAGAAATCAAATAACAATTATAATGGTTCATTCTTCTCTCTCTTTAGATGTTTTGATTTTAAACTCCCCCCTAACCCCCCCACCAAAAAAAAAAAAAATCCGGATGAAGAGGAGCTAAGCAGGAGAATAGGAAACAGCAATTTCAATAAAAAATACTTAACACTGAAAATGTATGCGTAGGAGAGACTATTTTCCATGTACTTATATTTTTCTTGTTCTTTGTTGTCATTCCACCATCCTTGGTAAATTTGTTTTCATTTTAAGTGTTACAAGCAGTTATTATGTATTCCAGGCAGGATTCCCAAGCTGTGACAATTTAAATGAGGGAGACTTTTTTGTAAGGAAAAAAAATGATAAAAAATATATAAATGGTTTGTTGAAACACTGAAGAAAAGCTTGCCTCAGAGAGCAAAATGCTTTTTAGGTAGTCTTAATATTAACCGAAAATGAAAATGTCCTTCACTTTGAAAGGGTAAGATTTGGCAGGTATGAGATATAAGAGGGCAACGAGAGTCTCCTCCACATTGACAACTGCATGTTTCTTGAAAAGACTTTGAAAGAAATAGTAGATAAGGAGCTACAAGTAATTTTTAAAATGGCTTAAATCTTTTACATGTTCACCTCAAAGAAAGAGAGAAACTCACAATGGCAGCGTGGAAGAAGAGAAGGGGTTGTGGATGAAGGATCTGAAAACTTGGATTTTATCCAAGATCGTTAAAATGTTCCATGACCTTGGACAAATGATCTATCACTTAGGTTTCCGTTTACTCTAAATAATAATAATAATAATAATAATAATAATAATAATAATAATAATAATATGTGACTTGGCCGGGCTCAGTGGCTCATCCCCACAATCCCAGAGCTTTGGGAGGTCAAGAGGGGAATATAGCTTGAGGCCGGGAGTTCCAGACCAGCTTGGGCAACATAGGGAGACTCGCTTCATCTCTACAAAAAAATTAAAAATTAGCCAGATATGATGATGAGCGCCTGCAGTCACAACTACTCAGAGGGTGAGGCAAGAAAATCACTTAAACCAAGGAGTTCGCAGTTGCAGTGAGCTAAGATCACACCACTGCACTCCAGCCTGGGCAACAGAGTGAAAGCTGTCTTTCTAAAAATTAAACATAATAATAATAATAATGCATACTTACCGACTTCATAAGGTTATTTCAAGTTTCAAAAGGTATGTAAGTGAAAATGCCAGTGCTCAGACTCCCCTCAGTATTGCTTTATAGTTCCCACACCAGCGTGATCAATGCTTTCATGAATATGAAGAGTGATCACTCCTGGCAAACAAAGTCAGGATCAAACCAGGAAATTATGACAAAGGAGACTGTTGTGTTACTTATCACACATTTTCAAAGTTCCTTTTTTTAATTCCTTTTTTTTTTTGTCTGTTTAAGTTGAGGCATCGTTGGTGTAGGATGTATGTGGCCCAAATAAATATCTTTACAGAAAAAAGAAGTCATGACAAGGTATCATGCCCCTGAAACCAAAATATTGGAATGTTTGCTCCCAAAGGGAAAATTTGCTTTCTTGAAATTTCTGACAAGCTGGTAAATAAGTGAAAGAGTTAGCAAGGCATGTTTCTTACAGTGCAGAAGGAGCCAACCAGTGGAATTTATTTACCTCGTAAAGTCACTCAAAATCTTATCAGTTATGTTGCAGCATTAATATGAGACAGGGAATGCATCTTGGTTTGCAGAGGTTCAGTGACAGGCTGGGGTTGACACAAACAGAAAATTAATATTAAAGGAAAGGAGAAAAAAAGCAGTACCAGATGACAAACCAGCATATCCAAAAAGAAGAGAAGAACATTTGGAAGTTGTTATTTTCTTTATGTGTCTTTAGTATTTTTAATGCAGAATTTTGTGGAGACCACAAAATGGTGGGTAAAGGAAAACTACTGGATGTAATTTATTTAGACTCTCAAAGGGCTTTTGATAAAGTCCTACACAGGAGACTATTAAGGAAACTTGGTAACTACTGGGCAAGAGGTAAAGAGCTGTCAATCATAGGTTAAAAGTGGGTTAAGAGATAGAGGCGGAGCAAAAGAATAAACGACCAGCTCTCAGCATGGAAAGGAGTTAATTGTGGGGTGTCAGCGATCGATGCAAGAGCACTGTCCTCCAGGATACGTGGTAACATCCTAGAAAATGGACTAAATAATGAGGTGCTGAGATTTGCTGACTACACAAAACTATTTTGGTTCCCTAAGTTTACACAGATGGATGTGAAAAACATAGAATCCAAACTCAGTAATTGGGCAAAACAGTGGCAGATGAAGCTCAGAACAGACAAGTGCAAAGTCATGCACATTGGAAGTAGCAACTTAAATTACTCATCCACTTGGGTAAGTTCTGAATTAGTTCTAACCTTACAGGAAAAAGATGTAGGCTCACAGAACACATCTTAATGAAGATGTATGCATGATGCTCAACAGAATTTTAAAGCAGAAAAGTAAATATACTGTTAAATTGTAGTAAGAATAACAGAGAATATATTCCAGTGTTGCTACAAGATCATTGTACCCATTTGTCCTACATTTAGTTAAAGTCATCTTATTACCAAAGGAAGATGGTGAAAATAGAAAGCAGCATCTGATAACATCCAGGAAAATAATTAGGAGCAGTGGGAAGGGACAGGCAAAATTTTATATGAGAAGTGTTTTTTTAAGTGAGCAATTAGTTAATAATTTGAACAAAGAAAAGTTGAATATAAGGAGGGCATACATGTTTTCCATAAAGGTAAAAATGTAGAGTAATAATTTTGTAACTTAGATTTAGGTAGACTAGAAACTGTCTGTAAATGGCATCAAAGATAACCTGGATTTTCTTCTGATGTGAGATGCTGTGAGCTGTTGGAGTTCTGTTTTTCCTCATGAAAGCCAGTCCATCTTCCAACCTACAGTAGCCATATTTCATTTGTTCTAAGATGGGAAATAAGGGAATATACCCATTATAAAGTTTCAGGATGGGTGTGGTGGCTCACACCTGCAATCCCAGCACTTTGGGAGGCCAAGGTGGGAGAATCACTTGAGGCCAAGAATTCGAGACCAGCCTGGGCAACATAACAAGAACCCATCTCTACAAAAAGTAAAAGAAATAGCCAGGCGTGGTGATGTGTGCCTGTGGTCCCAGCTACTCAGGAAGCTGAAGTGGGAGGATCCCTTGAGCCTGGGAGGTCAAGGTTGCAGTGAGCCGTAATCGTGCCACTGCACATCAGCCTGTGTGACTTTGTCTCAGAAATAAAAGAAACAAAAAGTAAAGTTTCATAGACGTAATTTGTGACTTTGTCTCAAAAATAAAACAAACAAAAAGTAAAATTTCATAGATGCTATTTCTAAAATCATTTATGATATTTTGTCTCTTCTTCCAAGCCCAGAAAGTTGCATATTGATTTCATATTGATATTATGTATCAACTCCAATGAAATAAAGACAAGTGCCAGGTTAATCCAACAGTTAAGTTATTGAGTTCACCTTATCTTGTAAGTTCCCAGATACACAAATCATTGCACACTTTCCCTCTTCCCTCTTCTCCAAGAGGCAATTTATCCATGGACCTGACCACCAGGAGCAGTAAGATCTGTTTGCCTCTCTGTCCTTTCCTTCTCCTCAGATGTTTAGCTGAGATTGGCAGCTATGGTTACTGAAGTCAGGAGGAACTAAACCCCAGGCTTCCAGAGATTAAGCATCCATTGATGGAGGCCTGAAAGAAATACTCTCCCCCAATGCCAAAGTGCTTTACAATTGACCCAGTGCTTGTTGAGAAAATGACATCCTCACAGTCAAGCTAAGGATTGCACAAGTGGGCAGGTGCATGGAGGGTGAGGGAAAAAATGGGTGGGTTGGAAAGCGAGGACAACTACTGACTAATTCCCTTCCTGCAGCATTTACACCTCACCAGAAGACTGGAGTCGAGTTGTTAGAGTCTTGGGTGCTTCTTAGCCTGTATTTACTATTTACCATGTTCAAGCAATTGATGTGGTACGGGACTTCAGAAGTACCTTTCCCTGTGTGTTTTCCTTCCCGAAATCTAATCCTTTTGCACTGTGGTAAACAAAAATGAACTAAGAATGAATAGCAATAAAGCACGAGCAAGAACAAACCAAATACTGATGTAACAATAGCATTAATAGAAGCTAAAATTTGAATTTCACTGCAAAAAGAGTCTCAGCATAGCAATTTTTTTTAAATCCTGCAAGTGGTGTATAAGTATTCTGTAAAGGATCAGCTTACCCTTAAGAAATGATATATATTAGACACGCATTTAAATGCTTACTGAAACATTTCAAGTGACATATAGATATTTTCCTCTTCAAATATGTAGATTCTTTCTAAAAGAGGGCATAAGGTAACATTTTCCACAGCAACTCTGCAAATCATAAAAGGCAGACATTTTGCTAAGTGTTGGCATCACACAAGAGGGTTATATCAAGTGGAAAGTTACTGGCATGGGTCAGTGTTTACATAAGTATCTTTACCTCTCCACTCTTTGTATCAAATGTCTTACAAGCTTCTTTTCAAAAGAAAAAAATATATATATATATATATACACAGCTGCTGAATCACTTGCTATTTTAGGAAAGTTTTACTCATCATTTATCTGTAGTTCTACCAATGACGACTCGTGGATACCAACATATCAATATTGCCCTCTCAGCTTCCACTCATACCTCACCATCCCCCAGTCTCTACAGAGACCAGATATTAAAGCATCTTTTATGAATGGCAGTATTACCACCACCATCATCCAAAACTGTTAAACTTACACATATACAAAAATGCAGAGAGACAGAGAGAAACATCTTCAGTCCCTTCAGTACTGGTCATCTAAAAGGCAATTAAAATTCTTGTAAACAACTCATTCAGATGGACATTACTTACCCAAGGCAATAACTCTCCAGAATATAGCCAAAAAGAAAAAGATTCCTGAACAGTGAAAATAGATGTCAAAAATCCATGCATTTCCCTTTCTCATGAACCCTTCAGATTGTCCCTCAAAGCCAAAGCCAGTTCACTTTTTAAAAAATTCATTAATATATTAATTGCATAAGAATATTTTTCTTCAGTTTAGATCATGCTTGCTGTTTATGAATTAAATGATAGTTCATGATAACATATATTTTAAAAATCTTAACAGCTTTATTGAGATGTAATTCACATGGCATAAAATGCATCCATTAAAGTGTTCTATTCAATGGTTTTTAAGACATTTACTGATATGTACACCTATCACCACAGACAATTTTAGAACATTTTTATCACCTCAGTGAGAAATCTCATAACTTTTAGCTGTTACTCTCCTGCCTCCCTATCTTCGTTTCCACCCCAGCCCTAAGCAAACAATAACCTACTTTCTATCTCTATAGATTGTTCTGTTCTGGACTTTCACATGAATGGAGTCATAGAATACATGGTCATTTGTGACTGACTTCTTTCACTTAGCATAATGTGCTTAAAGTTTATCCAGGCTGGGCACGGTGGCTCATGCCTGTAATCCCAGCATTTTGGGAGGCCAAGGTTCGGGGATCACTGGAGCCCAGGAGTTAGAGATCAGCCTGGGCAACATGGTGAAACCCCGTCTCTTCAAAAATTAGCAGGGTGTGGTGGTGCAAGCCTATAGTCCCAGCTACTTAAGAGGCTGAGGTGGGAAGACAGCTTGAGTCCAGGCAGGGGAGGTGTCAGTGAGCCAGGATTGCACCACTGCATTCCAGCCTGAGTGACAGAGCGAGACCCTGTCTCTAAATAAATAAATAAATAAATAAAGTTTATCCATACTGTAGCATGTATCAGTGCTTCATGCCTTTTTATGGCCAAATAATATTCCATGGACTGGATATACCAAATTTTTACTATTTCTTTTTCAGTTGATGGACATTTAGGTTCTTTCCACTGTGGCCATCGTGAATAATGCTGCTGTAAACATTCTTATACTCATACATTTCTGTGTGGACATATGTTTTCATTGCTCTTGGATATATGCTGAGGAGCAGAAGTACTGGGTCATACACTAATTGTGCAATTATTGGAAAAACTTCCAGACTATTTTCCAACATTGTTGTACCATTTTACATTCCTGCCAACAGTGATAATGGTCCCAATTTCTCCACATCCTCATCAACTTCTTATTATTGGGCTTTTTGATTGTAGACAGTGGGTGTGAAGTGGTATCTCATTGTGGTTTTGATTTGCATTTCCCCAATGACTAATGATCTGGTACCCCTTTTCATGTGCTTATTGACCCTTTGTATATTTTCCTTGGAGAAAAGTCTATTCAGATCCTTTGCCCATTCTTTAATTGGGAACCAGTTACTTTTACTTTACATATAATGTTAAAGCTGATTTTTCAGCTAACAAAATGATCAGAAATAGCAAATAAGAAGTGGGAAGGAGCTATTAGAGACAGCCACACCAACTAACCTGGTATAATGAGAGAAAGAAAAAATTACAGAGAGCAAAGATAAAAACCGCAAAAAATAGAGCATTCTCTAGTCCTATAGAGAAAATTTCAATGGGCCCTGGCAGCATCTCTGTGCTATAATATGGCAAGTGACTGAAGTTTACTGTGATTATCTTAAATCCTCTTTATAGGATCATTTTAAATTCTATTTGGCTTTTTTTTTTGAAAGGCTAGGAGGATTATAATTTGGAGCTATGCTGAAGGGGAATTGATAGTTATTATCAATGGTGTACTCCTAAATGTTTAACAACCAACTCTCCAAGGGGAAGAAAAAGTCTGATTCATACTTTCACCATAACTGATTTCAAGCTACCAAATCAGGTCAACCTGCTCAAGAACTTCCAGAAAATTCAACTATCAGCTCCCAAACTATTAGAAGCCAGCTTAGACTTACTACAGCTTAATGTGTGACTTTTAAAAAGCTGGTCACTAGGTTCATCTCCTTACATACTACCATAGTTTGAATGTTTACATCCCTTCCAAAATTCATGTTGAAACTTCATCCCCAATGCAACATTATTAAAAGGTATGGAATTGGGAGGTGATTAGGCCAAAGGGTTCTGCTCTCATGAATGAATTAGTGCTCCGATAAAAGGTCTGGAGGGAATGAGCTAGGTCATTTTTTTTTCACTTCCTTCCTTTCTATCATGTGAGGACACAGCATTCAAGGTGTCATCTTGGAAGTACAGAGCAGCCCTCACCAGATGCTGAATCTGCCATTGCCTTGGCTTGGACTTTCCAGTCTCTAGATCTTTAGAAGATGTTTGTTCTTTTCTTTTCTTTTTGAGACGGAGTCTTACTCTCACCCAGGCTGGAGTGCAGTGGTGCAATCTCGGCTCACTGCAACCTCCACCTCCTAGGTTCAAGGGATTCTCCTGCCTCAGTCTCCAAGTAGCTAAGACTACAGGCACGTGCCACCACATGCAGCTAATTTTTGTACTTTTAGTATAGACGGCGTTTCACCATGTTGTCCAACATGGTCATGAGGTCATGAGGTCGAACTCCTGACCTCAAGTAATCTGCCCACCACATCCCAAAATACTGGGATTATAGGTGTGAGCCACCATGCCTGACCTAGAAAATGTTTATTCTTCATAAATTACCTAGTCTCAGGTATTCTGTGATAGCGGCAGGAACAGAACAAGACACATGACCTCATTTACTGTGCTCAACAACCTCAAAGAAGAAGTAAGCGTATTCATTTCCCTTTTACACAGAAGTAGACTACGGCTCAGAAAAAGTTTAGAAACTTGTCCAGGGAGACACAGCCAGGTATTGCCATGATGTTCTTTCCAAAGAGTGCGTTCTTCCTAGTACAGTAAATAAATTCCTCATTTTTAAAAGTGCACTAAGAACAATTCTTTTTGTTTTTTTTGTTTTTTTTGTTTTTTTTTTTTGAGACAGGATCTCACTCTGTCGCCCAGACTGGAGGGCAGTGGCACAATCTCGGCTCACTGCAACCTCTGCCTCCCAGGGTCAAGTGATTCTCCTGCCTCAGCCTCCCGAGTAGCTGGGATTACAGGCATGCATCCCCACGCCTAGCTAATTTTCGTATTTTTAGTAGAGACGGGATTTCACCACGTTGGCCAGGCTGGTCTCAAGCTCCTGACTTCAAAGATCTACCCGCCTCAGCCTCCCAAAGTGTTGGGATTACAAGCATGAGCCACCGCACCCAGCCAGAACAATTCTTAAATTGGGTTAAAAGGCACTTCTGAAGGAATGTGATCCATTATTCTGAAATTACACTCATTTGAAACACCACAGGCCTTGGCATCAATGGGCAAGTGAGGTGTTGATACATAGATATTTCTTTTTTTTTTTAATTATACTTTAAATTCTAGGGTACACGTGCACAACGTGCAGGTTTGTTACATAGGTATACATGTGCCATGTTGGTTTGCTGCACCCATTAACTCGTCATTTACATTGAGTCTTTCTCCTAATGCTATCCCTCCCCCTGCCCCTCACCCCAGGACAGGCCCCAGTGTGCTATGTTCCCCACCCTGTGTCCATGTGTTCTCATTGTTCAATTCCCACCTATGAGTGAGAACATGCAGTGTTTGGTTTTCTGTCCTTGTGATAGTTGGCTCAGAATGATGGTTTCCAGCTGCATCCATGTCCCTGCAAAGGACATGAACTCATCCTTTTTTATGGCTGCATAGTATTCCATCATGTATATGTGCCACATTTTCTTAATCCAGTCTATCATTGATGGACATTTGGGTTGGTTCCAAGTTTTTGCTATTGTGAATAGTGCCACAATAAACATACGTGTGCAACATACATAGATATTTCTTACTGAAACAACTAATAGCAGCTTCATCAGAAAAAAATGAACAGAGGACTAATCAGTGATGAAACCTAAAGTCAAGCAGGAATTTACAAACAAAGCTTCCCAGCACAGGCAAGCAGTGTAGAAAGTGGCTGTAAGTAATCAAGGGATAGTCCTTCCAGCTTCCCATTCAGCTGTGACTCCTGCCACGGCCAGCCCCTGCAAGGGCCCAGCAAGAGACTCTTCCACAAGTTCCAAATGCCCTAAGTGTGTGCATTCACGCATGCAAAGTTAGTGCATTAACACACCTTAACAACCTTATGGCAAAATGCGAGAAATTCCATTTCAGCCTATAGTATGTAACAATATTCCCCTCTACTTGCATTATGCATAAAAAAAGTAACACCTAACCCTGCTTTTTGAAAGCAGAGAAAGTATATCTTGGGACTGAACATTACCCAGATTCTATTCAAATAAAACAGCAAGTTCTCCACCCAGAAGCTAATGACTACTGGGATGGTTAATACTCAATGTCAACTTGCTTGGATTGAAGGATACAAAATATTGATCCTGGGTGTGTCTATGAGGTTGTTGCCAAAGGAGATTAACATTTGAGTCAGTGGGCTGGGAAAGGCAGACGGGCCCTAAATCTGGGTGGGCACAATCTAATCAGCTGCCAGCATGGCTAGAATAAAAAGCAGGCAGAAAAAGTTGAAAAGAGAGATCGGTCTAGCCTCTCAGGCTGCATCTTTCTCCCGTGCTGGATGCTTCCTGCCCTTGAACATTGGACTCCAAGTTCTTCAGTTTTGGAGCTTGGACTGGCTCTCCTTGCTCCTCAGACTGCAGATGGCCTATTGTGGGACCTTGTGATTGTGTGAGTTAATACTTAATAAACTCCCCTTTATATATATGTGTGTATATATATATATATAATTTATTTATTTATTTATTCCATTAGTTCTGTCCCTCTTGAGAACCCTAATACAATTTTTATACTTAAAAATTTGTAATTAGGCCAGGAGCGGTGGCTCACGCCTGTAATCCCAGCATTTTGGGAGGCCGAGGCTGGAGGATCACCTAAGGTCAGGAGTTCGAGACCAGTCTGGCCAACATGGTGACACCCCATCTCTACTAAAAATACAAAAATTAACTGGGCATGATGGCATGTGCCTGTAATCCCAACTACTCAGTAGGCTGAGGCACAAGAATCCCTTGAACCTAAGATGCAGAGGCTGCAGTAAGCCAAGATTGCACCATTGCACTCCAACCTGGGTGACACAGTGAGACTCCATCTCAAAAAAAAAAAAAAAAAATTTGTAATTAGACATATCGTATACAAGGAATCACTTATGCAACCGGTGGCAAGTTTCAACTTCTGTTTCCAGCCGGTATCAAAGAGATGGGTTGATCTACCACGGGATAACACATTCCCTTTGCCCTATCTGGCACCCATCATGAAATATATTACTCTGTTATGGAAGCTGCTATTGTGTGCTTGTTTGGTAAGAAGGACTTGCAACTCAGCAACCAAGCTTATACTAGCTGAGACTCAAATCTCTCCACATACCAATGTCCACAGGCTTCAATACTACAAAAATCTAAGAAGGACATCAGTCAAGGCTTTGGAAGGTCTCCCTTTAATTTATGGCGAGAACACAAAGCTATATTCTCTCAGTATCTCAAGAAACTGGGACCATTAATGTACAATACTCTTCATTGTATTTTGCTCTGCTCTATATTCAAACCTGAATGAACCGGATTAAAAAAACACGCACTTTTTTTTTAACCTTTCACCTAACAAAGAATACAATAAACAGTAGCCTCATTCAGAGATCTTTGGTACAGAGCAGGATGCTTTAGACACTTAATATTAGTCTTATTAAGTCTTATTAGGCTTAGTAGTAGACATGTAAGAGAATAAGAGGAAAAGAGATGAGAAGAAGGCAGCTATTGGCAAAGTTTGGGAATCCCTAGCCCCCTTTTCCTCAGCCCGCATCTTTGGCACCGACATCCACCCACTACAGATGGCCTGTCAATGTCTTTCCAGGGCATCACAGCATTCTAGCCCAACCGTTTTCATGCCGTGCTCTCTTCGTCCTGTCTCTGACCCCCTCACACTCCACTTTGCAGGTTAGACATCTGGAATCTCATGTCCTCGGGGCCAGGTTTGGTTGTTAGGAAGCACAATAAACTATTCCTTTCAACTAATAGGATAGAGTAAAGTAGAAGACACCACTCACTTCACCACTTCGTATAGGTACATTCAAACTGCTACCAGGGCTTCCTGGAGGTGATGGCCACTCTTTTTTTTTTGAGATGGAGTCTCACTCTGTCGCCCAGGCTGGAGTGCAGTGGTGCAATCTTGGCTTACTGCAAGCTCTGCCTCCCAGGTTCATGCCATTCTCCTGCCTCAGCCTCCCAAGTAGCTGGGACCACAGGCCCGACTAATTTTTTGTATTTTCAGTAGAGACAGGGTTTCACCACCAGGATGGCATCGATCTCCTGACCTCGCGATCCGCCCATCTCGGCCTCCCAAAGTGCTGGGATTACAGGCGTGAGACACCGCGCCCGGCCGATGGCCACTCTTTTATTGACTCACCCCAAGACTGATCCCAGGGGTGAGGATCCTAGCCCAGGCTATAAGAAGAGATAATACCACGTCAGGTTTCAATTTTGGCCACTGGGCTGGAGATGGCTGAGTGAGGGATGAGTGAGGGGAGATCACAGCACTAGACCTGGCCTCATCAGTTGGCATGTTCCCTAACAGTATGCAGATGGACTAGCTGCAATCCAGCTAGCCTTCCTGGAGGAATCACTTCTACTCCCATCTCTGTGCAGGTTAACCACAATCAACATTTGAGTCACAATATCCAACATATATGGATGGCTTGTAGAAAACAACCTTTTAGAATTCCAGCACCAGTAACACCAGTCGCTAGCAACAGCCCTTGTCATAACAAGATATTGTGAGTTGTGCAACCAATTTCTTGTGGCTAGGAGGTTCTTTTGTCTGGCAGCCAGGTAAAACAAGGGCTGACTCCTTTAAACAGTCTCCCTTCCCCTACATACCCTTCATACACAGAATTCCTTTCGAAGCCACCGAAAATCCCTTTCCCAAAACAGAGATGAGAACAATTCGTTTGTTTTTGTATGAACCTTGGCTTTCCCTCCAACTATCCTAGCTAGTTCCCTTTTCTCTTTCAGACCCCTTCTCAAAGCTCCCGCATTCCACGTTCCCACGAGGGCTTTTCCGACGATGGGTCTTCTCTAAATCAAAGTGGCTACAGTCCAAAGTTGTACCAAAGAAAAATTCACCAGCTTCCAGCAAAGTCTCAGCAGTATGATTGACCTTTTCTTCCTGCATGTTTTTATTATTGTTTAATTGTCATGTCTGTCCCAGTTAGGTGACAAACATGAGGTAGGAATCGCTTTAATCCTTGCGTTTTTATAGTACTTCAAATGAATACTCCACTCAGTAAATTGAAAATCATTATTATATATAAATACATATGTTAATGCATGACCTGGAAGATCAAGTGGCAGAATGAATAAACAATTACTGGCAAACACCAGGGTATGGCATTTCAAGGAAGTCATCGCAGAATCACCAGCAATTATCTTCACAAACTTAAGGTATCTATGGACTGAAAGAGAGAAATGCACATGTGTTTCTGAAAGAAAAATAAGAAAACTAAAAAAATTAGACTCAATGTCTTAACATTCAAATCCAGAAATATATTGTTATCCTATAGACACACACACACACACACACACAGACACACACACACACACACACACACACACACACATACACACTAGCTTACTGGAAAAAAATTAAGACCGTTCTGTTTAAAAAGAAACTGTCTCAATCAGTTTCTTTTTAATTAGCATTTGACTAAGATCACATTAGTCAACTGCTACTCCTCAAAAGTATGACAAGTCGGGTAAAAATCAAGTAGAAGGCAAAGACATAAATAGTTTTGAGTATTGTGCAGTTTTAAGTGTTGTCTTGCTATTGGGCAATTCAGAACTGCACCCTGAAATCATCCCCTCATCCGGTAGATGCATAAGTGATTAGAAGGCTTTTCTCACTAAGTAATTATTAATGGTCCAGTGGCAGCCCAGAGATGCATACCTCATGGAATTCCAGAGAGGTTGGTCTTAACTTAGTGCTATTTTTAGTAGTGACTTAGATGATGGGAGAGAATGTGGTTATTAAATTCAGCGATGACATCAAATCAGGTGTGGTACATTCCACTTTGGAAAACTGGATAGAAGTGCAAATGATCTTGATAAGTTGGAGAAGTGGGTGGACATAAACAGGGTGAGGTTCTGTAGTGTCATTCATATGGGAAGAAAAACAAACCACAGAAATGCAGGATTCATTCTGTGATGTCATACAGAAAACGCTCTGGAGATCATCGTCAACACAAGCTATTAGGGTTCAGGCTTGAGCTTTAAAAGCATGTTTGATTTAGTAAAAGAAAAACAAGTGTTCTTTCCTTGATGCTCAGTACCAGCTACAGGCTATCCTAGAATACTCCACACCATCTTTAAGTTCGCATTTTAAAGTGGAATACGGAGAATGTGAGGGTGTTTAATAAAAAATCAGTTTTTTAAATTGGTTATATGTTGAAGAAATAGCCCTTAGAGAAACAACTAAAATCATAAAGCTATTTGGCCTAGAGAAGACTATGAAAGGGACTTACTCAATTTCAACCTCAGGAAGAAGAAGGTGGGAGAAGATCAGTTTCAAATTAGATTAGAAAAGCTTTCTAATTTTTCTTTTAAAAAAGCTATAGAAAATCAGATATCCCTCACTGAAAACTTAAAAAAATGGGTTTAAGTTGGGAATTGCTTTATGTGTAGACAGAAGACAAAACTACACCTGGGAGAGTAAAATCAAACCCAAAATCTCTGTGTGTCCTGTTTATCTGGTTTGTCTCCCTTTTATCTGACAAAGAAAGCAGGGTTGAGAAGGAAGAGGAAGAACTGTCCAGGGCTTCAGGACCCTCACTTCCTTGACAGGACTCTGACAGCTCAAGCCCCATTGCTCACTCTTGCTTCCCAGGTCTAAATGCTGCATTGCTTGGATTCTTGGCTATTTTGTTTCAGGGATGGTCACTTTGCAGGTAATATTGAGCACAGAAACGCACACACATGCACACACACACACACACACACAAAGCCGAAGCCCTTCACCACCTCTAAGGTGGGAGGCAGCCTGATTCACCTCAAATTTCACTTTTGCTCATTCCCATCACTGGGCTTTGGCTCAAACCTTGGGCTCTGGTCTGAAATGCATAATACATCTTTTCATCGCCCTCCTAAGAACTCCCTGCTTTTCAAGGCCGGATGCAGTTCCACCTCTCACAGAGCCTGTCTGACCTCTTCTAGTCATAGCAATTTCTCCTTCTTAGGAACTCCCAGCATTTGTTTACTGTCAATGTCATTCACTTGATACATAGTCACACTCAGCCTTGTGACATCTCAGGTACTGTTGAATCACCATTTAACATTTACTGTGTGTCTACACTATACTACTACCTAGGCCATAAGCTCTTTAGGGTGAGGATTCTGTGTTAAACTGTGTTGTATCTACAGCACCTAACTCAGCAAGTGATGTACTCTGCTCATGGTAGGGACTAGGTTATTCCTTGCTTAATGAGTGAATGAATGATTAAGGAGAATGTTTAGAGTAAATTCGATCTGGAAACGTTGCTCTCTACCTTGGAAAACTGTTTCTAAGGAGGGACTATTTCATGAGAAAATAAAACCCAATTCAGGGAAAAACTTAACGTTTCATAAATTTTTGGTGGGAAAAGTAGATGTCAACATTATAAAACCCAGTAAAACAATCACAATGTCTGTTTTTATCTAGGAAATATTAAATTGCACAGTTCCTCACAGGAAAAGAAAACCAAATACCAAGTGTTCTCATTTATAAGTAGGAACTAAATGCTGGGGACTCATGGACACTGGGGACTATTAGAGGCGGGAGGAAGAATGGGGGGAGAGGGCGGAAAAACTATTGGGTACTATGCTTAGTACCTGGGTGAGAGGATCTATTGTACCCCAAACCTCAGCATCACACAATATACCCATGTAGCAAACCTGCACACGGACCCCTTGAATCTAAAATAAAAGTTGCAATATAAAAAACAATGGTTAATACTTGGCTTCTCATCGACAACAATGGAAGCCAAAATTCTTGTCAATCAAGAATTCTATGTCCAGATAACTCTCCTACAAGCTGTAGTAGCCATAGCTTTACCAATAAAGCAATGGCATTTTTAAAAATTTGTTAGACATCACCAATATATGTAATTCTTTTTTTTTTTTTTTTTGGGAAATGAAGTCTCACCCTGTCACCCAGGCTGGAGTGCAGTGGCGCCATCTTGACTCACTGTCACCTCCTCCTCCTGGGTTCAAGCAATTCTCGTGCCCCAGCCTCTGGAGCAGCTGGGATTACAGGTGTGTGCCACCCCACCTGGCTAATTTTTGTATTTTTTTAGTGAAGACACAGTTTCTCCATGTTGGCCAGGATGGTCTCGAACTTCTGACCTCAGGTGGTCCACCCACCTCAGCCTCCCAAATTGGTGGGATTACAGGCATGAGCCACTACACCCAGCCATATATACAATTTTTATTTGTCAATTTAAAAAAGTAAATTAAAAAAAGCAGAAATTAAGAAACTTTCAAATTAACAAATGCAGAAAATTTATCTCTAGCAGATCTGCCCTAACCACTAAAGGGAGTCTTTCAGGCCAAAATTACACTAGCCAGTAACATAAATCCATATGAAGAAATAAAGATAATCGTAAAAGTAACTACATAGAAAAATATAGACAATATGAGTGAATTTTTCTTATAACTCTCATTTGTTTTTAAAAAAACTGCATTAAGGAAAAATTATAAAGCTGTTGCTGATTGGGCTTATAGCATATAAAGCTGTAATTTACAATAATTGGCAATAATACTACAAAAAAATTTAAATAAATAAAATACATTACTAATTTCCTAAAATGATAGATTATAAAAAATACACAATTCTTGATATGTTCATCTAAGTAGAACACTTACTATTAGCATATGCAATATGAAAGCAAAAAAACCCACCGTGTGTGTTTAAGATGATTTAGTCTAATAAAATTTGAACACTTCTCCTTTATTATTTTAAGATTAATATTTTATGTTCATTCTGTCCCAACTCACTATGACTGGTCTTTCTACTAATACCCCAACAAAGTGTCAAAGGTGGTGGCCATTTTTCAAAATGCATCCAGCTGTATCTTAGATTTTGAGTTTAGGACACAGATTTTGCAGAGACAAATATCCCATGATAGTTGCAGATTGGGTTGCATTTGAACCTATGACCTGGAGCCTACAAGCACCATATCCACAGCATCTTCTCAACAACCTCAACATGAAGCATAGCTACTGTAAGCAGTGTTCAGTTGTTTGTTATCTACATACTGCAGTTAGATGTTTAAATCTTTGAAAAATACTAAGGCAGCATTACGATGTGCATTGGTTGAGGAGGTTGTTTGACAGCTCGGTAAGACCTGTTGCTTGCTTGAGCTACACTTGGAGTAACTTCCCAGGAACCTTTTGCCCATGGTAGCAACACAATGTCCCCCAAATTTCCAAAATAATTCAGGATGTCCAAAGATCTTGTAAATGCATGTGGGGTTGGTTGGGGTGGAGAAATGAATTTTGGCATGAACTATGGATTTGAGAATCAACCAAAAAAGAATAATTTCCTTTCATTAATCCTCCTGTCAACCTAAGTAAAGATTTTTTTTTTATTTGTTTATTTTTTATTTTTTCGAGACAGAGTCTCGCTCTGTCGCCCAGGCTGGAGCGCAGTGGCGCGATCTTGGCTCACTGCAAGCTCTGCCGCCCGGCCTCTTGCCATTCTCCTGCCTCAGCCTCCCGAGTAGTTGGGACTACAGGTGCCCGCCACCACACCCGGCTAAATTTTATTTATTTTTTTTTAGTAGAGACAGGGTTTCACCGTGTTAGCCAGGATGGTCCTGATCTCCTGACCTGTGATCCGCCCGCCTCGGCCTCCCAAAGTGCTGGCATTACAGGCTTGAGCCGCGGTGCCCGGCCAAGATTATTTTTAAATGAGGAAACTAAAACAGACAGGGCCCAACTAGTAAGCATGCTAATTGAGTCCTGATGAGTACTAAGAGTGCTGGTTAAGACTGCGGATGGCAGAGCTGGGGCCTGTGGGTCTCTGAAGCCAGTTTCTCAGTCATTACCCTATTCTACCTGCATGCCTGAAGTAATATTTGTGCAGTGTCTAGTACAGCACCTAGAACATACTATTAATCACCCAACTAGTTGTTCCTTATAGTCTTTGGGACAAAGTAGCTCATCACATATCCAGGGCAGGCAGGATCCCCTGCACTGGAAGCACCTGCACGGAGGTAGGGCCCCGAATGGAAGTGTCACAAAGCAGGTGTCTGGAAAAGCAGAACAGGGGCTCCCACGCCAGGGGCCTATCTCCCATCTGTTTGCCCAGTACCTCTGCTATTGGCCTAGACACACTGAGTGCTTCCCAGCTGTTTACTGAATAAACTGAACAAAAGAACAAGACGGTGCAGAACAGGAGCAGAAGCAACATCCTGAAAATCTAAGGTGCTGTCATTATAGCAATTACAAACTAAAGTCACAAAACTTTCTTTTAAAGACAGTATTCATGCTCTGAGTGCATTATTCTGATGTATTCTCTTTCCCCACCACACCCCCACCACCCCCTCACTCTCAGCTTCGGGCCAAAGTTTGTGAACTCTAAATACTTCAACCAGATGTAATTCATTACTAAAATTGCGAAGTCCTCTTTCATTCTATTTTCATTCCACATTTGTCAGCAGGTCAGAGTGTGACATGCACAGCATTAAGTGCTCAAAGATTGTGACCGATGTTAGTCATTCTTCCCACTCGTCCAACAGGAGTGTTCTTAGAGGACGAGAGAAACCACAGGCCAGCAAGAGGCAATGGGAGAAGTCCATCACATGCTCTCTAAAGGTCCTGTTCCTGGGCCTGGTTACACATCAGACCTGTTGTTACGGTGTCTCTATGCCAAGGGTGTCATTTCCTGGCTGAGAGGAGAGGAGGAAGTAGATGACGCAGGTGTATTTTTCCAGGGAAAAGATGTATGGATGTGATTCATAAGTTCTTCCTTAACTTCCAGAAATGTTAAAAGCCTGTGGAGCATTTCACGCCCTTCTGATGGGAAACAGGTCACACTCCTCATTCATCCCACTTCAAGCATTCTTTCTCAAGGGCTCAAGACTTAGAAAGGCTGGCTGAAACTCAGCCAAAGAGATTCAGAATAATGATGGAGAACAAGGGCCGGGAGCGGTGGCTCACGCCTGTAATCCCAGCACTTTGGAAGGCTGAGGCGGGTGGATCACGAGGTCAGGAGATTGAGACCATCCTGGCTAACACGGTGAAACCCCGTCTCTACTAAAAACACAAAAAATTCTCCGGGCGTGGTGGCGGGCGCCTGTAGTCCCAGCTACTCCGGAGTCTGAGGCAGGAGAATGGCGTGAGCCTGGGAGCGGGAGCTTGCAGTGAGCCGAGATGCAACACTGCACTCCAGCCTGGGCGACAGAGCGAGACTCCGCCTCGGAAAAAAAAAAAAAATGATGGAGAACAAGAAATTTCACTTGGTTTTTCAGTTGGGTCACATGTGAACACAGAATTTTCCCAAATTCTCAAAATATTTTGTGTGGTATTAACACTCCTCAAAGAATGTGGATCCTGGACATCCCCTCAAAATTGTTTCATAGGCGGAATGCTAGTGAGAGGATTATCCATCCAGGGGCTTTGAAAAAATGGTGCAAAAGCCCTAAATACCCGGTTACATTTCAAATACAATCATAATTTGATATGTAGTATCAGATGTATTCATTTTAATAAATAGTAAACATTTATTAAAACGTAAAAACAATTTTAATCCCAGAAACGTATGTTAAACAAACAGTAAAAGAAAATGTTATAAAAAAAAATTAATGACTTTTCCACCTAAAAGCTATGGGAATTCCAAAGTTATACTTAATCCAATTGACATTTACTAAGAGAGTACACAGTAATTGGAAATCAGAGGTGAATAAGACGTAGTCATTGCCTCATGGAGCTCCAATCCTAGCTGTGCAAGGCAGGAAAATAAGCAAATTGGTGTAATACAAAACAAGGTATGCTTAGAGCAGCCAGCACCCCAGAAACAGCTCCTAATCTCATCTAGAGAGAATTAAGGGAAGCTTCTCTGAAGAATTATGCATAAGAGAATCCTGAAAGGTGAAGAGGGATTTTCCAGGTGGACATGGCAGAGGGATGATGATGGCAGACACCCTCATGGAACCCAAGACAATTTATGAGACTAGCATGAAGCATTTGTACTTATTAACAGTGCTCCTGCCGGATGCAGTGGCTCACACCTACAATCCCAGCACTTTGGGAGGCTGAGGCGGGCAGCTCACGAGGTCAGGAGTTTGAGACCAGCCTGGCCAACATGGTGAAACCCCGTCTCCACTAAAGATACAAAAAATTAGCTGGGTGTGGTAGTGCGTGCCTGTAATCCCAACTACTCGGGAGGCTGAGGCAGGAGAATCGCTTGAACCCAAGAGGTGGAGGTTTCAGTGAGCCCAGATCGTGCCATTGCACTCCAGCCTGGGAAAGAGGGTGAGACTCCATTTCAAAAAACAAACAAACAAACAACAACAACAACAACAAACAGTGCTCCTAGGCAGTCTCACAAGTGTCCCAGATTGATTGATAACCTGCATGGTCTTCCTAGTGATTAGAATCCATTATGAATACAAACAAAACCTGACCAGTGTCCTCAAAGAGCTCCTAGAAATGGAAAAGACAGGGCTGGGTGTGGTGGCTCACACTTGTAATCCCAGCACTTTGGGAGGCTGAGGCAGGAAGATTGCTTGACCCTGGGAGGTCGAGGCTGCAGTGAGCTGTGATCGCACCACTGCACTCCAGTCTGGGAAACAGAGCAAGACCTTGTCTCAAAAAAAAAAAGAAAAGAATAAGAAAAAAGGAATAGGCAGACATAAAAAAAGCTAATTGTAATACATATCAAAAGATGATATGCTGTATAATATAAGAATGAGTAAACATTTCCAGACATGATGACATTTAAGCAGGACTTTGGAGAACAAGTGGGAATTGAACAGGAATGCCAGACCATTTGGGGGTGAATGGTCATGTCATGTTGTAGAAAGGCTGGCATCAAAGGAGGCTGAAGGAGAAACTTAGGGCTCTGGTGGCAGCTGAAGCTGAAAAGTTAGCCTTGAAGACAAATTGTCAAGGGCCTCGAATAGCCAGAATTCTTCAACTTTGGGCAATCAACTTAATATTTGGAGTTGATAATGTCAGCAATGAGGATCCCTTAAAGATTTCTAATCAGGAGACGAACGGGATCCAATCTCCCTTTTGAACAGATAACTCCAGCTTCTCCGGAGGATGAACTTGAGGGAGGAGATAATGGCTGCACTTCAGATGGAATTGAATTTGGCACTACAGATATCAGAGCCTGATTGCTGTCTTCTATGAAGCTTGATGACTATGATGTTTCAGGGTCTAGAAATGAAGAAAAGAGTAGTCTGATCTATGAATGATGGTAAGCAAGAAATGGAAGAATATTTACAATCCTAGGAAGATTGTATTGGCCAAACAATACAAGGGAATGAGAGGAGATATTACAAAAGGTTTGATGAGTTTACTACCCCAAAGGTTATGGCAATGTTTACACACTATAAATTTTACAATAAATCATGAGACCAAATGAACCCGCAGAAAGGCTTGTGACAGAGCCAAACTACTAATGAAGGACCTTTTGCCTTCACTGACAGGGATGAAATAATTTATAATAGTGATGGTGTATTCCAGACCAAGTCAGTGAAAAATGTGACAAATTGGAGATTTGGAATTTATTTCAATAAAGTAACCTGCTGAGAGTTTTAATAATTAAAATACATAGGCCAGAAGCCATAGGGAGGAATGAGAAAAACCTGTTTGTCTCCTTTGCTCTCTTATCTTTTCCTTTTTCTTTTTTTTGGAAAGAAAGTAACAATGAAATTTTTGAAAGAACATAAATCCAACTCAATAAGCCATATTAAACCTAATCATCAATGGATAGCAGAAAAAGAACCCAGATCACCCTTACATACAATTGTCAATAGAGAAGTTTTTTTAAAAAAAATGTTCAATAGAAAAGCCATATTTGCCCAATCATAAAATAATTTCCTTGGCTTTTTGAAAAGGGGCTTCTGTGCAGATTAGGAGATTGCGGGCTACATTAGTCCATTAATTAAGATGGAAACTTACCCATACTTGTATCATGAAAGATCCACTTTTTTTTTTTTTTTTTTGAGATAAAGTCTCACTCTGTTGCCATCTAGGTTCACTCTAGTCTCAACCTGCCCAGCTCAATCGATCTCAGCCTCCTGAGTAGTTGAGACTATACACGTAAACCACCACCGTGCCCAGCTAATTTTTTGTATTTTTTGTAGAGATGAGGTTCCACTCTGTTGCCAAGGCTGGTCTTGAACTCCTGTGCTCAAGCGATCCGCCTGCCTCGACCTCCCAAAGTGTTGAGATTACAAGCGTGAGCCACCACACCCAGCCAGGTTTTACTTTTATTTGGAGTTTTCTCCCTGTAATTCTAATCTTTGAAGAATTTCTTCCACTAAACAAGCAGTATTTAAGTAACAGATCACTTATTTTCTTATTGTGTTATTAATCACACCTAGCCCTTCCTGCCAGTCAGAGTTTCTGATCATTAGGAGAGAATCTCTGTTACCAGAGATTGTTGTTACCACAACAAGTTGATATGATTTTAGCCAAGAGCAAAGAAACTTGACATTTTATTTAGCCTCTAGGGACTTATTGTAAGTAAATGTAATGGTTTCTGTTAGCCTTTTGAAATATTGAAAATAACTCAAGGAGCTATTACAATCTTCAAGGACCCTGAGGGATGTAAAAACCACAGATGGGAAATTTTTGCACCAGAGAATAGACAAGATTCTATTAAAAATAAGCAAATCATGTGCACATTATATTTCCCCAGCTCCTATCAATTCATTCTTACATTCATACCATTCAACAAGAATTTATTGAGCCTCAACTAATCATGTATTAGACACTGACATCAGCATTAGGGATATAAAAATAAAATTCCTTGCCCTCAAACGGCCCACAGTCCAGTCACAGAACTAGATATGTAAGATGTAAGCAAACCCAAGGCAAGCAAATAACAGCTTGATTGCACACAGCATTTGGCTGTATGGTTGCAGAGCATTGTGTCCTAACACTGCCTTGGAGAGCTGGAAAGGCTTCTGGAGAAATTAACAACTGAGTGGAGATGTTAGGGTGGAGAAAGAGCCAGCAGTTGAACAAATGTGATTGATCTTTCCAGGAAATGGGAACAGCATGTGTAAAGACATAAGTCATAAGAGAGAATGAACAGGGTGTTCAGAAACAGCTAGCAATTCAGCAGAAGAAATAGCATAGTGTAGTGGTTGAACACACAGACTTTGACGTCAGATCATCAGGAAGGGTCTCTAGGCTTCACCACTTAGAAACTGGAGACTTCCCACAAGTTACCTAAGCTCTCTAAGCCTCTGTTTCCACATCTGCAAAATTGAGATAATAATACTATCTACTTCTTGAAGTCATGAAGAGAATCAAATTGCACTTTTTATTTATTTTTTATTTTTATTTATTTATTTATTTATTTTTGAGATGGAGTCTCACTCTGTCACCCAGGCTGAAGTGCAGTAGCATGATATCGGCTCACTGCAACCTCCGCCTCCTGGGTTCAAGCGATTCTCCTGCCTCAGTCTCCCGAGTGGCTGTGATTACAGGTGCCTGCCACCACACCCAGCTAATTTTTGTATTTTCAGTAGAGACGGGATTTCACTATGTTGGCCAGGCTGGTCTCGAGCTCCTGACCTCAGGTGATCCACCCACCTCGGCCTCCCAGAGTATTCAGATTACAGGCGTGAGCCACTGCGCCCGGCCAAATTGCACTTTTTAAAGCATTTAGCCCTGTTCTTGGTACTTAGTAATTAGTACTTATACATGTTGGCTCTCTATTGCTCTTTAGGAAGCATGCTCCTTGTGGGAGAGTAAAGTTGGAGAGATTGTCAGGGACCAGGGCATGAAGGATTTTTCTGCCACGCTAAAAAGGTGGCATCACCTTCTGTGGATCCTTGAAGAATTTTAAGCTCAGGAATAAGGAGCAACATGATAGCATTTTTAAGTTAGAAAGAACACTTTGGCTCTAGTGTGTAGGAAGAATTGGATAAATGGGAACTGGAGGTATAGAGCTAACTAGGAAACTATCACAATGGCACAAAATAAGCTTAATATTGGGCCAGGCGTGATGACTCACGCGTGTAATCCCAGCACTCTGGGAGGCTGAGACAGGAGGATCTCTTGAAGCCAGGACTTCCAGACCAACCTGGGAAACACTGAGATCCAGTCGCTACAAAAAATTAGAAGAAAGGAAAAAAAAAAAAACAACTTTTGAGCCTGCCCTAGCCAACATGGTGAAACTCCGTCTCTACTAAAAATACAAAAATTAGCCGGGCGTTGTGGCAGGCACCTGTAATCCCAGCTACTCAGGAGGCTGAGGAGGAGAATCGTTTGAACCCAGGAGACAGAGGTTGCAGTGAGCCGAGATCATGCCACTGCACTCCAGCCTGGGTGACAAGAGCGAGATTCCGTCTCAAAAAAAAAAAAAAAAGAACTTAGCCAGGCATGGTGGCATGCATACCTGTAGTCCTAGATACTCAAGAGGCTAAACTGGGAGGATCAGTTGATCCCAGGATTTCGAGGCTTCAGTGAGCTATTGTCATGCCCCTGCACTTCAGACTGAGCAACAGAGCGAGACCCTGTCTCTAAAATTTAAAAAAAAGTATATATGTGTATATATATATATATATATTTTTTTTTTTTTTTTTTTTTTAGACGGAGTCTCGCTCTGTCGCCCAGGCTGGAGTGCAGTGGCACGATCTCGGCTCACTGCAAGCTCCGCCTCCCGGGTTCAGGCCATTCTCCTGCCTCAGCCTCCCGAGTAGCTGGGACTACAGGCTCCCGCCACCACGCCCAACTAATTTTTTACTATTTTTAGTAGAGACGGGGTTTCACCGTGTTAGCCAGGATGGTCTCGATCTCCTGACCTCGTGATCCGCCCGCCTCGGCCTCCCAAAGTGCTGGGATTACAGGCGTGAGCCACCGTGCCCGGCCAAAAAATATTTTTTTAAAGCTTACTGTCGGCCGGGTGCGGTGGCTCACGCCTGTAATCCCAGCACTTTGGGAGGCCGAGGCGGGCGGATCACCTGAGGTCAGGAGTTTCAGACCGGCCTGGCCAACGTGGCGAAACCCTATCTCTACTAAAAATACAAAAATTACCTGGGCATGGGGCCTGCGCCTGTAATCCCAGCTACTTGGGAGGCTGAGGTGAGAGAATCGCTTGGACCTGGAAGGCGGAGGTTGCACTGCGCCGAGATCACGCCACTGCACTCCAGCCTGGGCGACAGAGCGAGACTCCACCTCAAAAATAAATAAATAAACAAACAAACAAACAAATAAATAAATAAATAAATAAAAATTAAAGCTTAGTGTCACTAAGTGATAGTTATAACTGTGATTGCCAAAGACGAAGCTGCTGAGGGGAGAAAAACTGCTGTATGCACTCACACCAGGTCTACAATACTCTGTGAAAATTTCTCTTCCTGAAGTGTTTGTTTATCTCCTAAGAGCAACAAAACATATTTTAAATTAGCATAGCAACCAATGTGGGAACTTCATTGTCAGCTCAACACAGGGGAATGTATAGAAAGTCCTTTCTAAAGGCACCTGTAAAAAGCCTCTTTTGCCTTAAACGTGATGACTTAACTAATGGGATAAATAAACCCTCTTTGAAATGCAGAAGTGGCTTAGAAGGAGCCTCCAGGAAGTCGTATTTGATATGCGCATGCATCTTGAAAAATAGTTTCCTTCTCCCAGTGCTGCCTTGGGGATCCGTGAAGGACAATTCTTCAAGCCAGGCAAGAACACCAGCAGAGCGGTGTCTTCACAGCTCAGCCTCCAGACCCCAACAGCTGGGCTTTCATTACAGTACATATTGCAAACCGCCTTTTGCCAGAATTCTCCAACTTCAGGCTAACACAAGGCTGCCAAGGGAGCTGGGGCACTTGAGAGCTGTGGGCCAGAAAAAGGGACCCCGCCAAAGCTAGGGACTCTTAAGAGGCGATGCGAATGGAATTCTGCTCTTCCAGGATTACAACTCCACCATGCTTCCCTTCCTCTTAAAAAGCGTACTATGAAAAAAATAATTATACTGCATAGATAATTAGAAAGGGAAAGCTCAATAGCTTTAAATAAAGGTTCTTAGCCAGGGGATGGGGAAACAAGAAAATATTTAGAGAGGGAAGGAGAGGTCCCTTAGAGCCGACAGCAAAGTGCCATATTTTAAGGTGGTATGTTTTGCCCAAATGGTTTCTTCACAGCTTGTTAACAGCTGAGGCTCTTTCCCATACTAAAGACCACCCAGTTGTGATAACTTGGTGGTGGACTTATCTTATTGGCATTTATAATGGCAGCTGCCTATAGCCCAGGGAGTTAGAAGCAACCCACAGAGCAATTTCAGTCAAATGCAAGTTCAAGGTACATGACCTTGCAAGCAATGCTGCTGGAGAGAGATATATGTATTTCTCCTCCAGCCCCCAACTCCCTCTGGAGTCCTTGGAAAGTCCTTCTGAAAAATTCTGAAAGAAAAAATGCTAAACTGTCAAACTCAGGGAAGCTGGGCAATTTTTGTCCCCTTTAAAAAAATATTTTCTTGTATTTTCCGTGAAAGTTATTTTCCTGCAAAGGAACAAAATTTCACTCCTCTATAATTTGTATTTATATCAACCACTTTCATCACAATCATAAAAAATTTGTTACAATCAGCTGTAAACTAATTTGTACTATTACAATATAATCTCCTCTTTGGTTTGAGAAACTTTGGTAAAGTTTACTCTACAAGCCAGAAAAAAAAGTTATGCACCTGTATAATGCTAGAGATACACAAACCTATGGATGCAGAAGCTGTCCTTAAAGGAAGTATGTGTAGAAATGCAACTGAAGAGTTGTTATTTGTTATTAATAGAAGAAATTTGAAAAAAATAACTATAAATACTTTATAATTCTAACAAATGTAGTGAGGAAGAAATGGATTATTTAAGTCCAAAAGTAAGTACAGTACAGAAAGTTCTGATTTCTGACATTGTAACCAGAGACAAAAGAGAGAGAGGGCCTGGCGCGGTGGCTCAGGCCTGTAATCCCAGCACTCTGGGAGGCTGAGGCAGGCTGACCACTTGAGGCTAGGAGTTTGAGGCCAGCCTGGCCAACATGGCAAAACCCCATCTCTATTGAAAATACAAAAAGTTAGCTGGGCATGGAGGTGCACACCTCTAATCCTATCTACTCGGGAGGCTAAGGCAGGAGAATCACTTGAACCCGGGAGGCAGAGGTTGCAGTGAGCTGAGATTATACCACTGCTCTCCAGCCTGGGTGACACAGTAAGACTCTGTCTCAAAAAAAAAAAAAAAAGAAAAGAAAAGAAAAGAAAGAAAGAAAGAAAAAAAGAAACACACAGAGAGAGGAACACTTGTGAATGGTTCAATCTGGAAGTATAAAAAGGGGAGAAAACAAATACATACATGGATCATAGGTCAGATGTAAGAGATAAGGTTTAATGGCTAACACTAAGATGACTTGCACTATGGCTGTTTTGTAAGTAGGTATTGGAGGAGATTTTTTTAAAGTGTGAAACATTATGAAAACCTCCTCTCCCTCCTCTCCATGGAAAAAAACTATACGTGCTCTGTGTGTGTGTGTGTGTGTGTGTGTGTTTGGTATGTGGGGTGTGTGTGTGTGTGTGTGTTTGGTATGTGGGGTGTGTGTGTGTGTATGGTGTGGGGTGTGTGTGTGTGTATGGTGTGGGGTGTGTGTGTGTATGGTGTGGTGTATGTGTGTGTGTGTATTTTAAACAAAGCACAAGAAACCAGCACAGAACATCTTCACAGTAATTTTCTATCTAAAATGTGGCAGGACAAGAATAAAGAGACCTACACTTAAAAAAAAAACTTATGGCAGAAATAGCCTGGGTGAAATATGGGAGGAAGCAATTGAAGACCTTCAGGGGAAGATTTTCCTTGGTCAACATATGGAAAGTTATTGTTTCACAGTGAATAAGCAACTAGAACATAAAAATCTATCCCTCTACTAGAGTTGTTCATCAAAGGGACATTGTAGCAAGCCAAAAAAAAAATTTTTTTTTGTAACATTAAAACTGTTCTCCAGTACTTTTTCACTTATGTCATTCAATGCCCTTCTAGGATAACTCACATGACGAATTTCTCTCAGCTACGAGTAAAAAAAATCATTTATCTTTCCTAATAAACTAGTAGTCCTTTCCTTATTGGACACTGAAAGCTACATAATACAACATATTTCTCCCTTTGCCTTGGCTACCAGGAAGCGCTAAGAAAATTTGCATCCCCCAGGATTCACTGAAACCATTATCCATTGCTCCTCTTCTTTTGTAGTTTGTCTTGTTTTATTTTTGTGTTAAGATTCCTTAATTATATGTTTTGAAAAGCTGTTATTTCATTCAAAGTTGGAAAGAGAGAATGGAAAGAAGAGTATTTTTCACCTTTCCATCTAGGATAGTGCTGATTATTATGTCCTGTCCTTAAAGTGGAGAAAAGAGGGATGAAAGGTTAAAGAATTTGGGAGCAGTTTCTCTAGATTTGGAGAAACAAAACACAACCCTTGCTTGGAAAAGCTTAACTTCTGTCCAAAGTCCTACTCTACTCTACTGTCTTTTAAAAGCAATAAACAAGAATAGAAAGCCTTACAGTGTTGAAGTCAGGTCGATTTCACCTGAAACCCCAGCTGTGCCACCTGGGAACTGAGTGACTTCAGTCAAATCACTTACCCTCTCTGGGCCTCAGATAGTAACACCATTTGAGCAGAGTTGACGTTGAGATTCAATAAGACAATGTATATGAAAGCCAATGGCATACTCTAAGGCTCCTACAGTCATTCAGCAAGTATGGTCTCTCCTTTCTTCCTTCTTTTACTTCCCCCAATGGTATACTGTTTTTCTGTTTCTGAGTCATTAGACACAGTGCTGTGTTAAGTAAAGAATGCAGTGTAATTGATGCCAGCCAAAAGCCATCACTAAAGACCTCTTTTTTTACAGCTTACATTTTATGTTTTAGGGAGGGAAGGGAAGGATTCTTAACCAATTGAATTAATTAATAATTAACTTTCCTTTCCTTTCTTTTTTTTGAGACAGGATCTCACTCTGTTGCCTAGGCTGGAGTGCATGGAGTACAGTGGTGCAATCATGGCTCACTGCAGCCTCTACCTCCTGGGCTCAGGCGATTTTCCTGCCTCAGCCTCCCTACTAGCTGGGACTACATGCACACACTACCACACCTGGCTAATTTTTCTGTTTTGTTTTGTTTTGTTTTTGAGACAGAGTCTCGCTCTGTCACCCAGGCTGGAGTGCAGTGGCGCGATCTCGGCTCACTGCAAGCTCCGCCTCCCGGATTCATGCCATTCTCCTGCCTCAGCCTCCCGAGTAGCTGAAACTACAGGAGCCTGCCACCATGCCCTACTAATTTTTTGTATTTTTAGTAGAGACGGGGTGTCACCGTGTGAGCCAGGATGGTCTCGATCTTCTGACCTAGTGATCCACCTGCCTCGGCCTCCCAAAGTGTTGGGATTACAGGCGTGAGCCACCACGCCCGGCCCAAAGTCTTGTTCTTTTATGGGTTGTGTGTGTGTGTGTGTGTGTGTGTGTGTGTGTGTGCGCGCGCATGGTTTGTTTGTTTATTTGTTTTTAGAGACAGGGTCTCACTCTGTTGCCCAGACTGGAGTGCAGTGTCACTATCATACCTCACTGCAGCCTTGAACTCCTGGGCTCAAGCAAAGTCTTGCTCTTTCAATTCCACTTAACATGGGTTCCATGCTGACCATCTGCCTTTGGTTAACGCCTCTTTCTTCAGATATCTCACTGGACTTCAGCTTTCGTAGCTAACATTCTGATCATTGATTGCTGCTTTGCACCTTTTTGAAAGCAGTTTCATTCCTCTGTTGTCAACCAGAGTGCCTCCCCAAGCTCACAGCCCAGCCATTGATTAGAAATAGGTGCCTCCTGTTGTCCCAGCCATACCTGTATTGACAGACTCTTGAGCTATTTCTCTAGATAGCTAATCTCAGGGGCATGGCCCATTCTAGTTTCGCTCCCTTTCAGAGGGTGGACTATAGGTCTATTCACACCTCAAAATTCCAGTGATGCTGACCTCACTTGTACATTCCAGAAATTAAAAGAGCCTTGTAATAAACAGAGGATACTGGAAAGAAGGGTGATCAGTCTCTCTGGCACTGATAAAGGGACACAGTTGGGTTAAGAGAAATGCCTGGTTAATTGGTCAGTATGATCCATATAAATATATATATATATTTATATGTATATATATATATTTATATGTATATATATATTTATATGTATATATATTTATATGTATATATATATTTATATGTATATATATTTATATGTATATATATATTTATATGTATATATATATTTATATGTATATATATATTTATATGTATATATATATATTTATATGTGTATATATATATATTTTTTTTTTTGAGACAGAGTCTTGCTCAGTCACCCAGCTTGGAGTGCAGTAGCACGATCTCGGCTCACTGCAAGCTCCGCCTCCCGGGTTCAGGCCATTCTCCTGCCTCAGCCTCCCGAGTAGCTAGGACTACAGACGCCCGCCACGACGCCCAGCTAATTTTTTTGTGTGTGTTTTTAGTAGAGACGGGATTTCACCATGTTAGCCAGGATGGTCTCGATCTCCTGACCTCATGATCCACCTGCCTCGGCCTCCCAAAGTGCTGGGATTACAGGAGTGAGCCACCGCGCCCGGCCCAGTATGATCCATATTAGGCACTTTGCTTTTTCAGACTCTATTTGCTCACTGAGCAGTCTTTACCTAAGTCAGAATTGTAATGGTGCTTCCAGATGTTTCAAACTCCTAGTCGTGGACCTGGATTCACACCTTCGATAGCATCACTTTTGCTCCCAGTATTCTTCAAACCAATGCTTCTGCCTATGATAAACAGTTTTCATGAAATAATCTGAAAGCAAAACATCAAGATTTTTGCAATGAACAGGGTCTGTGCATTTGGCTGAGCAAGGGGCGCTGACCTTTCATGTGTCCTCAGAGCACCCTGCTAGCCACCAGCTTGACCTGCACATATGGCCCAGTTCGAGTTCTGATATGAAGTTGGCTTTCCAGAGATTCCAGAGAGCTAAGAACAACTCTGATCATTTTTCTAACCACCAGCCCATCTCTCATGACTGCTGTCTTTGGTCTGTACTTTGAGCGAAGTCTTTGGCTACACATAGGTTTTTTGTGGTGGCAGCTGGTGCACAGTTGATCCCTTCAGGATTGTCAGCAGGACATAAACAACAGGGCCTGAACTTCACATGACAGTTGATATAATCTTCTGCAACTCTTTCAAGTTTTGCTCTTTATTGTCTCTGTGTCCTGGGGCAAGTCACTTTACCTCCTTTAGCCTGAATTTCTATCATCTCTAAATAAAGTGGATTGAATAAGATGGTTTGTATGGGCCTTGCCATCTGCAACTGACTACAATTCCATCATTCTTATAAATCTACTACAAAAACTCCATCTCTGCATTCAAGGTATGGCTGGAATCAGGCACATTTTTGCATGCGCTTGTGAAATCTTTTCTACAACTTTATAGTCACACTTTGTGCACCAATTACTAGATAAACTCCTGTAAGAGTTTTGATGGTGGTTGTAACTTGATGTTTACAGAAAACTTTCTAGCTGTGGCTGCCTAGGCCTTTTGACTTGAAGGAGGATAGCTACATCAGATAGGTTGAATGACTACCATTAAGATTCAGTTGTACATTATTGATGGTAAGGAAGGAATCCAGGCTGGGCACGATGGTTCACGTCTGTAATCCCAGCACTTTGGGAGGCTGAGGCGGGCGGATCACCTGAGGTCAGGAGTTCAAGACCAGCCTGGCCAACATGTTGAAACCCCGTCTCTACTTAAAAATACAAAAAAAATTAGCCTGGCATGGTGACGTCCACCTGTAATCCCAGCTACCCGGGAGGCTGAGGCAGGAGAATCATTGGAACCCAGGAGGCGGAGGCTGCAGTGAGCCGAGATTGCACCACTGCACTCCAGCCTGGGCAACAGCGCGAGACTCCATCTCAAAAAAAAAAGAAAAAAAAAAAGAAGGAATCCAGGGTGAGCTCAGTGGCTCACACCTGTAATCCCAACACTTTGGGAGGCTGAGTCGGGAGGATCACTTGAGCCCAGGAGTTTAATACCAGCCTGGGCAACACAGTGAGACCCTGTTTCTGTGAAAAAATTAAAAAATCATGCCAGGTGCAGCGGCTCACGCCTGTAATCCCAGCACTTTGGGAGGCCGAGGCGGGCAGATCACGAGGTCAGGAGATCGAGACCATCCTGGCTAACACGGTGAAACCCCATCTCTACTAAAAATACAAAAAATTAGCCAGGTGTGGTGGCGGGTGCCTGTAGTCCCAGCTACTTGGGAGGCTGAGGCAGGAGAATGGCATGAAGCCGGGAGGCAGAGCTTGCAGTGAGCCGAGATTGTGCCACTGCACTCCAGCCTGGGCGACAGAACAAGACTCTGTCTCAAAAATAAAATAAAATAAAATAAAATAATTAACTGAGTGTGGTGGCATGCGCCTGTCATCTCAGCTACTCGGGGGGCTGAGGTGGAAGGATTGCTTGAGCCTGAGAGGTTGAGGCTGCAGTGAGAGATGATCATGCCACTGCGTTTCAGCCTGAGCAACAGAGTGAGACTCTGTCTCAAAAAAAAAAAAAAAAAAAAAAGAGAGAGATTCAACAGAGAATGACCAATGGTGATAATCAGAGAATTACAGATCAAGGCACAGACTTAAACCTCAGTGAACTTCTGTACTATCTAAGTAATATATGTAGTGAATGCAAGAGTCCCTGTCCACAAAAACAAAACCAAAAAACACATACTTTTTTTTTTGAGCCACTGCGCCCAGCCAAAAACACATACTTTTAAAAAGTTTTGTAAAGCTATTCAATCCAGTTTGTTGTTTACCAAATGAATATATACCATAACATAATTTCTGCCTCCTATTTAATTTTAAGACTATATTTAAAGAGAGAAAATGTTTTCCAACCTGTTATTGGACCTATATTTATTTCCTGAGAATAATTTTACTTATGAAAATGTGTTATCCCTGAATTAATGTCCTTCTATCATCCAAGTGTAGTGACAAGAGAATGGGTTTGGGGGTCAACAGATGTTAGGTGTTAGGGCACAAGGAAAAATAAGTTACACTCCAGCCCGGAGGAGCTTGTAGGCAGTGGCTGCTGGGGTGGGGCTGGGGGAGGGTGACATGTAGGAAAACTGTTCTTTGTTAGAGCAAGTTGGAAGAGTTATTATACTCCCTGGGTTCTGATCTTGCACCTTTTATCTAATCTCCTGAGATCTCTGGTAGCAGAGTTCATCTAGCCTCATGAACTCTGAACCTTTCTCTCTGTCTGCAATAGTTTATCCTGCCTTCTTTTCGTGGAATTCTCCCTGGTAAACAACAAAGACCATGAAAAGGATGATTTGTTGGTGTCATGATGCTCTGGAATTTATATCTAAATTAATATTTCTTTTTTTTCTTTTTTTTGAGACGGAGTCTCACTCTGTTGCCCAGGCTGGAGTGCAGTGGCACAATCTCAACTCACTGCAACCTCTGCCTCCCAGGTTCAAGTGATTCTCTTGCCTCAGTCTCTCGAGTAGCTGGGACTACAGGCACATGTCACCACACCCAGCTAATTTTTTGTATTTTTAGTAGAGACGGGGTTTCACCGTGTTAGCCAGGATGGTCTCGATCTCCTGACATCATGATCTGCCCGCCTCGGCCTCCCAAAGTGCTGGGATTACAGGCAAGAGCCATCGTGCCTGGCTAAATTAATATTTCAAAAGAAGCATCCTTAAGCTCCACTATGGCACCAGGTAATCTGAAAATCCATGACCATGGTGGGATCAGAGGGAACTACATGTGGGTTCATCTTTTGCTGCATCTGCTTCTATAATATCCTCTTTAATGTGTAAGTAGTCCCTACCTCCAGGTGGAGAACTGATTCTTTCTCTGAATTCTCTTTCTCCTGATGATGCATTATGAAGGATCCACAAAGCCAATTGAAAATACAGGAAATGTTGGCCTCATGAAGAGCTTAAATTACTGGAGAGAAGTTAAAACATCGAAAAGGTGGTAAAGGAAAGAAAGACTGAAAAAAAATCTTAATTCTAAACAACAACTAATTTTATAAATGATCTTTCTAAATTATTTAGTATAGTTTAGCATGTATGGAGAACACTTTGAGAGTTGACACAGTAGCAAACTAGAAGATTAGAAAATGTTTTCAATTATTCAATTTTTTTTTTTTAAAGGAGATTTAAGGGCCGGGCACAGTGGCTCACACTTGTAATCCCAGCACTTTGGGAGGCCAAGGTGGGTGGATCACCTGAGGTCAGGAGTTTAAGACCAGCCGGGCCAACATGGTGAAACCCATCTCTACCAAAAAAAAAAAAAAACAAAAAAAATTAGCTGGACATAGTGGTGGGCACCTGTAATCCCAGCTACTCAGGAGGCTGAGGCAGGAGAATCACTTGAACCCGGGAGGCGGAGGTTGCAGTGAGCCGAGATTGTGCCACTGCACTCCAGCCTGGGAGACAGAGTGAAACTCCATCTCAGAAAAAAAAAAAAGGAGATTTGAAATTAGATCTCAATTGCTTAACTGTAAGTGTTAAAGGAATTTGCATTTTTTAGCTGCATGATCACCTACTCTGAGTCAGGTACTATTTCTGCACTGGAGATGCAATGATGTGACACTGGGCACAAGATAGAAGCCTAGACCTTCCCTTCATGGGGACAGTATTGAAGGAGCCACAACAATTTATCTAACTATACATTTTGAGAGGGTCTGTGAAAGAAACTGTCAAGGCAACTGTATATAACAAAGGCAATAATGGGAGACCTGACCAGTCTGGAGCAAAATCACAGTTTCCCTCATGGAAGAATGCCAAAGCATTATGAGATATCAGTAAGTAAGGGGTCTCCCACCCAATTCAGAATTTCAAATTATTTCAATAGACCCACTGCAGTTACAGGACAGAGGTAACAGGAAGGGAGGGAGGCCAAAGGACCCTCATGCTGTCGCTGTACCCTTCCCTTGGCGACACCACCACAGATGAAGGCCTGCTCTTCAGCTCAGCTGCTCCATTCATCCTGAGTTCAACTGACTCCCACACTCATCAGATTCACAAGAGATTGATGAACAGCAGTTGATTCATTTACAATTCCAGGTGACTGCTAACTCCCAAGGTACCCAAGAGCCCGGGAAGCTGAGATGTTCCTGCTAAAGATGCTGATCTTATCTTGTACATGTTTATGCTCCTTGAAGGCACTCACGGAAGCTAATCTTATCTCAAACTTCTGAGGCTGTTTCTCTGGTGCCCCCACACACTGATTCCAGAAGCTGGGCTGCACTTGAAATCAGTCTAGAAATCCTTTGCTCATACAAGCTAATGATGTGAACAAGATTGTCTAAAATACTTAAAAGACCTGAAGCACCTACAAGCACTCCAGAAAATGCCATTTAAAATATAAATAATTGCCAGGCACAGTGGCTCAAGCCTGTAATCCCAGCACTGTGGGAGGCCGAGGCGGGTGGGTCATGAGGTCAGGAGATCGAGAGCATCCTGGCCAACACGGTGAAACTCTGTCTCTACTAAAAATACAAAAAAATTAGCTGGGTGTGGAGGCACATGCCTGTAATAATCCTGGCTACTTGGGAGGCTGAGGTAGAAGAATCACTTGAACCCAGGAGGTGGAGATTGCAGTGAGCTGAGATCGCGCCATTGCACTCTAGCCTGGGCAACAGAGTGAGACTCTGTCTCAATAAAAATAAAAATAAAAATAATAAAAAAAATTGACATGAATATAAATCATTCTTTTCTAGTTATTACCCAGCTCACCTAAGCATTTCTGTAAAGCTGGTATTTGAATGAATAGAAGCGGGAACTGATGAGTCAATGACTAAAAACAATTGAACTCACAGACAACTTTGGGGTCACATATTTATTTGATATAGGAAAGAAACCTGTATTTTTTTAAGGAAGTGGCTAACACTCAGCCTTCGATAGTTTAACCTTTCTATTCCATTCTCTGCCAACTATAGATCCAAATTATTTATTATAATACACAGTTATATGACCCAAAGTATTGGTAATAATAAAGACCGGATACCACCAAAACCAGGGTTTCTTTAATAGGAGTTCACAGATCCTTCACAAACCTTAAAGTAGTCTTCGGTGTTCTCTTTTTCTCCTCAAGAATTCTTTAATTTTATGTTTTCATTTTGTTGATTTTTTTTTTTTTTTTTTTTTTTTTTGAGACGGAGTCTTGCTCTGTCGCCCAGGCTAGAGTGCAATGGCACGATCTCGGCTCATTGCAAGCTCCGCCTCCCAGGTTCATGCCATTCTCCTGCCTCAACCTCCCGAGCAGCTGGGACTACAGGTGCCCGCCACCACGCCCAGCTAATTTTTTGTATTTTTAGTAGAGACGGGGTTTCACTGTGTTAGCCAGGATGGTCTTGATCTCCTGACCTTGTGATCCGCCCGCCTCGGCCTCCCAAAGTGCTGGGATTACAGGCTTGAGCCACCGTGCCCGGCCTTTGTTGATCATTTCTAACAAATTATTAGACACGCATTATGAATCATCCAAATGATCATCTTTCATTATTTAGATTTGTGATTATAACTGTGATGGTGCCAAGTAGCATGACTTTAAAATGTTGAAGACAAATCAGGAAAGAACAGAGATGGCTTTAATATACTGAAATGGTCACACCATGTGAAGACCAACTGAAATTGTGGTGCACAGTATACAAGTTTGCACAGTGGTTCCAATACAAATTTCACTACATGGCATGCTATAGCATCAGCAGGCCAAACTCAGTAGCAAAAAACAGATACTGTAGTTCTTGTTGCTGGATTCACATTGCAAGGGGTGGCTTAATTTTGACAAAATCTGCCAGATAAATATTGTTAATTTCTATTTTTATTGGTTCTGAATTTTTATTTAACATGTACATGTGTTCTAGTATTACAGTTGTATAAGAGCTATAAACATAAGGATATCATGCATTGTTCCCTATTTTTACATAGTTAAGAAATATAAATAATGTAAATAAACATTTGAAATCTAAGACAATTTTTTTTTTCTGAGACAGACTCTTGCTCTGTTGCCCAGGCTGGAGTGCAGTGGTGCAATCTTGGCTCAGTGCAAGCTCCACCTTCTGGGTTCACCCCATCCTCCTGCTTCAGCCTCCCGAGTAGCTGGGTCTACAGACGCCTACCACCACACCCAGCTAATTTTTTGTATTTTTAGTAGAAATGGGGTTTCACCGTGTTAGCCAGGATGGTCTCGATCTCCTGACCTCATGATCTGCCCACCTTGGCCTCCCAAAGTGCTGGGATTACAGGCGTGAGCCACTGCGCCCGGCCAAGATAATTTTTTCTTTTGAAAGAGAGCTTTATTATTCTTGGCCAGGCACTGTGGCTCACGCCTGTATTCCCAGCACTTTGGGAGGCCATGGTGGGCGGATCACGAGGTCAGGAATTCAAGACCAGCCTGGCCAACATGGTGAAAACCTGTCTCTACTAAAGATACAAAAAATTAGCAGGGCATGGTGGCGCGTGCCTGTAGTCCCAGCTACTCAGGAGACTGAGGCAGGAGAATGGTGTGAACCCAGGAGGCGGAGGTTGCAGTGAGCCGAGATTGAGCCACTGTACTCCAGCCTGGGCAACAGGGAAAGACTTTGCCTCAAAAAACTGTAAACAAACAAACAAACAAACAAACAACAGAGCTTTATTATTCTTTATTCTGAAAGAGAGCTTTATTATTCTTGAGAAACACTGACTTAAACCAGCATTTTTCAACATTTTTTTCCTGTGAGTCTCCTTCATTGTTATCTCATGAACCACTTAGGCATTTTCAGATCATTTAAAAAATTTTTGTATGGCATGTAAGAAGAGAGTTCACAGAAAACATTATGTTTTAGATAAATGTATAATAGAAGCTTGTTTTGTGGTGTTTATTTTAAATAATATTTATTACAAAGACTATAAAACAAATTATTTTTTGTTATAAAATACAATTATAAGATCTCTTTTCAATTAATTATAAGAAGTAAAGCACAGCTTGTTAACAAATTCAAAATTGACAATATATTCTCTGTGGATCTGAGACTAAATACATATTTAAACATATTGAAATACAACTACATATTATGACATTACAAATTGGCACGAAATATTTTCCTTTCCTGATGTTTTTAGTTTTTGACTTTTGTACATAAAAATCAACTGGGATTTTAAAAAATAATGTTTGTGCTTTGTTTGTAAGTAATGAGATCAGAGGAATAGTTTCAGGCTATTATTTGCAAACATACTTCCGTAATTATTACATACAGCAGCTGAATCTTTATTTCTAATAAATTGACAGACAATTTGAGTGTAGTCATCACTATGTTTTCTCTCTTTTGGATTCATTTTTTAGTCCTAGAGTTATGTAATTTGTACTATATAAAAGTTTTCATGATATGAATGCAACTTCTGGGTGAGATGAGCATCATCATAAGTTAGTTGTGAAATAATTATCACAATTCGGCTGGGCACCATGGTCATGCCTGTAATCTCAGTGCTTTGGGAGGCCAAGGTGAGAGGACCACTTGAGTCCAGGAGTTTAAGGTTACATGAGCTATGGCCACATCACTGCACTCCAGCCTGGACGTCACAGTGAGACCCTATCTCAAAAAAAAAATTATCACAATTATATTTCTCACAGGTTTATTTTATTCAGGACCATTAGTCTTCTATCTTTAAAAAAAAAAAAATCCGTATGTGTAAAAGAATTAAAAGCAACTTAAAGTTGTTAAATAGTGCAACAACCACTCTGACATGAGTATTTAGCTGAGAGAGTAACTACATTACTTAATGCTTGTCATCAGATGTCTACAACCAGCTCTGTGGGCTCACTCAGCACAACTCAGAGACTCTCAAACTTCCATCTTGCTGGGGTTTTTTTGTTTTGTTATTGTTTTGAGACAGGGTTTCGTTCTGTCATCCAGGCTGGAGTGCAGTGGCACAATCACAGCTCATGGCAGCCTCAAGCTCCTGGGCTCAAGTGATCCTCACGCCTCAGCCTCTCAAGTAGCTGGGATTACAAGTGTGTGCCACCATGTCTGGCTAAGTTTAAAATTTCTTTTTTTTTTTTTTTTTGAGATGGAATCTTGCTCTGTCACCAGGCTGGAGTGCAGTGACGTGATCTTGGCTCACTGCAACCTCCGCCTCCTGGATTCAAGTGATTCTCCTGCCTCAGCCTCCCAAGTAGCTGGGACCACAGGTGTGCGCCACCACGCCTGGCTAATTTTGTGTATTTTTAGTAGAGACCAGGTTTCACCATGTTAACCAGGATGGTCTCGATCTCCTGACCTTGTGATCCACCCGCCTCAGCCTCCCAAAGTTCTGAGATTACAGGTGTGAGCCACCGTGCCCAGCCTCAAATTTTTTTTTGTAGAAACAAAGTCTCTCCATGTTGCCCAGGATGGTCTCAAACTCCTGGGCTCAAGCCATCCTCTTGCCTCAGCCTCCCAAAGTGCTGGGATTAAAGACGTGAGCCACTGCACCCAGCCCCAAACTTCCATTTTGAACTGGAAAACTACTTTTAAATGATTTTAATTCCCACTGTTTTAAAAGTAGAAATTGATATAGATTCTATTACTGTCTTCTGCAATCCTATCCACCTATAATATAGAACATCAGCTGGGAAACGCTGATCTAAAAAACCACTCAACACATCTCTATTTCACTTCAGTGAAGTCTTCATAAAGACTTGGTCTGCTCCGATAATCCATACCAGTGTTTTTAAATCCTGATGGTTAGGAAGTCCTTTATGAGCAAGTCACTTAACCTCTCAGGACCTCAGATTTCTCATCTAGAAAAGGAAGGAGTTTGGATAAGATTATTTTTAAAAGTCCTACCCACACTAGAATTCTATGATTTTTATGTATTATCCAAAGCATTAGTTTTCATAACTGTTTAACATCAGAACAATATGTTTTTAAAACAAACAGAAACCCTTAATATATAAAGCACTTAAAAGTGAAGCTGAGAATACACAACATCTACAGAACACAAATTTGGAAACCACTGATCTAAAGCTCTCTTTTTAAAAACGCCTTCCTTTTTTCTTTGTCTCAGTGGAAAAGGAAAACATCTGGAAAGGATCCACCATATTAGTTTTCCTCTATGTAGACCAGAACATATGTATTAAGTCACCTGTCAGCTTTTTCTTCCCCAGATTAAATAGCCATTATAAGTCCCATTTCCCGTCCCTTTAAAAATATATTTCCTTTTTTTTTTTTCAATGAACTTTCTTTGGTTTTGGTAACTCTTTATTAAAAGGTAAAGTTGCAAACTAACCATGATCTCTCAGAAGAGCCCAGTGTAGCAAAAGGATTACTTCCAGCTCTGTCATGTGATTCTCACTCCTGATATACTCCGAGTTGTGTCCTTTTCAATAACAGCATTCCGTGGCTGCCTCTGATTCAACCAATAGCTTAGGAGGACCCGCAGTTTTGTTTTGGTTTGGTTTTTGGCTGAACTTGTTATATCTACTCAATAATTTCCCATCCAATACCCATGTAATTTGTTATTGTCCTCGTGAAGCCTCTGCAGTTTTTCTTATTGAACATAATCTTGTTTTTGATAGAGTGTTTTTCTAATTATTTAAGGTCACTGAATTTTTCTTCTGCTTTCCAACATACCTCATCCAACTTCAAAACCAATGTGAATGTTCTCTAGCTTATTGTTAAAGCTGCAGACTAAGAAAATGCCAATTATCTAAAAAAGAATCTATATGTGACGTGTGTTATATAGGCTGAATTGTACCCCCACCCAAATTCCTCTGCTGACAGCTAACTCCCGGTATCTAAGAATGTAACCATAACTAGAGATAAGGTCTTTAAAGAGGTGATTCAGTTAAAATGAGGACATTAGGGAGGGTCCTAATCCAATCTGACTGATGTCCTCATAAGAAGAGGAAATTTGGACACACGAAAGAGACACCAGGGTTTCCTGTGCACAGAGGAAAGACCATGTGAAGACACACCAGAAGCAGCCATCTGCAAGCCAAGGAGAGGGGTCCTGACACTTTGATCATGGACTTTCAGCCTCCACAACTATGAGGAAATACATTTCTGTTATTTAGGCCTCCCAGGCTGATATTTTGTTATGGCAGCCCTAGCAGCACTAGCAAACTTATACACATGCTCCTGGCTTATGATGGTTTCACAGATGATGTTTTCAACTTATAGAACGGGGTTTATCAGAGCATGACCCCATGGTAAGTCGAGAGGCATCTGTCGAAGGTTGACCTTATTCTGTGCACGACATTTTGCAGCCCCTTGGAGCTCACCTGGGAACCTCTGCCATCACAGAGAAGGTTACAGAAGAATACAAATACCCATAACTCAAGTCAGAATAGGTCAAAAAAGAAGATCTGAGTAAATTGCCCTGGAAGCACCAACGAGCCAGAATTCTTGCCATCTAGGGGATCAGGGGAGGCTAAAAAAGAGGAAATGTCATCTGAGCTGGGCCTTCAAAGACAGGCAAAATTCCAGTCATGGGCGGGAGGCGGAGAGGAAACGGGTGGCAGTCCAGGGAAACTGGACATTATGAGTGTGAACCAGGTTCACAGTACACCCATGAACCCTGTGAGAATGACCCCAGTTGTCATCAACCTATAAACAAGGTTGGCTGTTTGCAAACCTAGCTAAATATCAGAACCAACCGGGAGCTTTTAAAAAATATACAGCTCCTCAGGCCCCACTCCCAGCCTGATGAATCAAGAACTCCAGGAATGACATCCTAAAATATTTATTTTAATCAAATTCTCAAGCGGGATAGTACCAACTTCATCAATTTAAAGACCCTTTAATACAAACATTTCATTGACCTCTACGTGATAATGGCTATATTTCTCTTGAATGAAAAAATACCTAAAGACAGAAAAACTATTATGAGTTTGGTAATAATTTCAAGTGAATTTGTATTTTATGAGTTAGAACCAAGTTTACATGTTTAAAAGTGATATTCACATCTCAGTTTGACATATATACTACATGTAAGACATTATTCAGTTTGCAGATAACACCAGGTTGCATATAGGGCCTCTGTCACTATTAAATCATGTGTTAACAGACTCTCTGGCTACCTCTCTCCTCTTTTCCCTATTCCTCTCCTTCTGAGAAGGTGGCCATGTTTTTCATTGTTTTTATTTTTATTTTTAAAAGATTCTCTGAGACTCAAAGTCCTCCTTACTAAAGTGATGAAAGTAATCCCTACTCCTTACATTGAGGATTAAGTGAGCTTTGGGGTTTTGTTTCATTTTGTTGTTTTGTTTTTTGGGTTTTATTTTTTTTGAGACAAGGTCTTGCTCTGTCACCCAGGCTGGAGTGCAGTGGCACGACCTCGACCTCGACCTGCAGCCTTGACCTCCTGGGCTCAAGTAATGCTCCCACCTCAGCTTCGCGGCTTCCTGAGATGCTGGAACTACAGTCATGCACCACCATGCTCAGCTACTTTTCATATTTTTTGTAGAGTCTGGGGTTTTGCCATATTGCCTAGGCTGGTCTCAAACTTCTGGGCTTAAGCAATTCTCCCACCTCAGCCTCCCAAAGTGCTGGTGATTGTGGGCATGAGTCACTGCCCTCAGCTGAGATAATTTAAATAACGTACAAAATACAGTGCTAAATCTCACCTTCCTCCCTTCCCTAGCTGCACCACACAAGTATGAGGTCTTTCAATATATTTTTTGAAGCTGGGTCCTTCAGTCAGCCTTTTCTCAATTCAGGTTTTAGCTAAAGCCAGAGACTCACCTCTAAAAACTTGTTTCAGTCAAAAGTTCACACCAATGGGGACCTTTGTCCATTACTCAGCAGTCAGTGATGCCCAGGTGAGTCATCTTCCCAAACAGATAACAGTTTTGCCCAAGTGGCTGCCACAATGCAGACAAAGGTAAGCTGCTGTTCTCCTTTTCCACTTGACTTTTCTACCTCCAGCTTTTTTTTGGTAGAAGGGATGAAGGTCTCACTCTATTGCCAAGGCTGGAGTGGAGTAGTGTGATCACAGCTCACTGCAATCTCGAACTCCTGGGCTCAAGCAATCCCCCCGCTTCGGCCTCCCCAGTATCTAGGACTACAGGTATGCACCTCCACACCCAGCTCATTTTCTAATTTTATTTTGTTGAGACAGGATCTCAAGATGTTGCCCAGGTTGGTCTCGAATTCCTGGGCTCAAGTGATCCTCCCACTTCAACCTCCCAAAGTTCTGGGACTACAGGTGTGAGCCACTGCACCTGGCCTACCTCCAGCCTTGAGAGTGACCTTCTCCAGAAAGTCTTCCTTGGCCCCTCATTGGGGTTCCCATAGTGCCAATGCCATATTTTATTCATGCATTCACCCTTCAATTAGTAAAAGTCTAATACCTGCCAGGACTTGTTTCAGACAGTGAATGAACAACCAGGCTAGGTCTCTGCTCTCATGGAGCTGTCATTCTAATGGGGAAGGCAGTAAACTGTCAATTTACCATGCAGCATGTCAGGTAGGAAGATACTCTAAGATGAAACATAAAGCAGGGCAAGGAAACAAGAGAGATATTGCTATTTGGGTAGGACAGTCAGGGAGAGTTTGTTGAGGTGATATTTGAGCAGAGACATGAAGAAATGAGAATATGGGCCAGTAGGACGTCTGGGAAGACAGTTCCAGGTGGCAACTTTCTTTGTCAGCAGCAGGGGTCTTGTATTACTCAGTTTATTTACCACTGTTATTAGTCAAATTGTGTCCCCGCAAAAATATCTTGGAGATATGTTGGAGTTCTAACCTCCAGAATATGACCTTCTTTGGAGTCAGGAGCTTATAGAGGTGATCAAGTTAACATGAGGCCAGTAGGAGAAGCCCTAATCCAAAAGGACTAGAGTCCTTGTCAAAAGGGGAACTTTGGACACAGAGATACACATACAGGGGGGCGGGGGGTGGAAAACGTCACATGAAGATGAAGGTGGGGATCAGTGTGATGCATCTACAAGTCAAGGGACACCAAAGATTGCCGGGAAACCACCAAAAGCCAGGAAAGAGACACGGAATAGATTCTCTCTCACGGTCTTCAGAACCAACCCTGCCAACAACTTGGCCTTGTACCTCTAGCCTCCAGAACTGTGAGACAATAATGTTTTGTTGTTTAAAGCTTGATCAGCCTTAAGTTTGTATTAGACTGGTGCAAAAGTAATTACAGTTTTCGCCATTGCTTTCAATGGCAAAAATCACAATTACTTTTGCACCAACCTAAATAGTACTGTGTTATGGCAGCTCTGGGAAATGAATACAACCATTCAGTGCTGTGAGGGCCACAGACAGATCACTTGCTCGCTCACCCAGGTTCACGGGATAAACCCTGGTTATACGGAACTTCTGGGAGCCCTGGGTTACTGTAAGTGCCCCCTAACTGGACTCCCTGTTTCCTGTCTTACTTTCTCTAACCATTCTCCACAGTACTGCCCTGATCTTTCTAAAATCCAAATCTTTCCTATCTCATGGCTTCACAAGCTTTTACCTGCCTCCCAATGTCTTTGGGATACAGCAAAATTTCTCAGCTTGAGGCCACAATGCCCTTGGCATCCGGCCCCAGCATATTTCTCCAACCTTATTTCTCTCATCTTTGCATTCACTCCCTAGCCATACATTTTCTACCCCACTCCTAATGGGACCAAACTTCCATTCATCCTGAGGCCTCCACTTAGTCACCATCTCCACCGGAAAGCCTTCCCAAAGCACCCAGGAGGGGGGTAGGTGTCCCTCCTATGTGCTCTCCAAAGCCCTTTCCTTCAATGCCTTTGTGGCATTTATCACAGTGTGTTCAAGGCCTGTTTGTCAGTTTTCTCCCTGTGACCATGAGTTCCTATCTTGTTTGTATCTCCAGGCACCAAGAAAGCACTTGGCACTTGGAGGACATTCAGTGGACGGATGAGAATAAATGAACAAAGCATGCCATGTTCCAACCAGCTGGTCCCAGAACTATTTTGTTCTCCTTTAAGGGATGGGGGATGGGCAGGTGACCTTTCCAGGGATTTCCCAATAGTAGGTAGAACCACTGGAGCTGGATGGAGCTCCACCTTTCCTTAGTGGTTGCAAGAGGAATTTAGATTAGACATTCAAAAGCTGTTTCTTGTGTCGAAAGACACTTGCAGTACAAAGAAGGGAAAGTAAACAATCCCGCGATTTTTCAGGTTGGGTTTTACCAATATTTTAGAATCTGTTTTTTTATAGGAAGTGGCCCCTTCAGGTATCCAAGCCTCTGATACGGTAAACTGCATGTCCTGACCTACAGGTAAAGGTGGTGGGAGGTTAGGAGAATAGGGAATTGTTGCAACTAACAATGCAATGTGTCATGTGCCCGTATCTCTAAAAAGTAAATATTTTTGAGGTTTAAAAATTATTTGCCTGCACGGTTTGCCGGAGAGCCTGGAAGAGGAAAGAAGACAAGACACAAAGTAACAACATTTACAAAAATATGCCTGACTAGGAAAAGACAGAGGGGTCATAGACGAAAATAATCAGGATTGGGTCTCTTTTGCAAATTCCTGAACGGGGAAATGTATCAGAATTTCCAGTCCTCAAGAAACAGGGCCTTTAAAAGTCTTGTGTGCAAGAAGGGGGAAAAAGACGAGGGGGGGGCGGGGAGGCGGACTCGCTCTTCGCAGCAGGAAGTCTTCAATGGCTATCGAGTTATGAAGAAACAACTGCCCAGAAGTCCTTATTCGGAGCGCTAAACTCGATTTTACCACATAAAGAGCAATGTAAAAGCTCAGAACAGCCCCATCATGGTGTTGGGGAAACAACTCGGCTTCCCCATGTGAGAAAGCCAGAGAGCTCCGACTTGGTAGTAGCCCAGACCTGTGTTAGGGGTTTTATTTGCAAGTCAATGAACCAAACGGGCGACCAGGCTCGTTGTGCCGCGTTGTGGAAGCAAGGTTATTATTATCGCCCATTGCCCCACTGAACAATTTCACTGAAAAGGAAGAGTCCCAGCCGTGTGTGTGCGCGTGGTGCCATACGGGACGTGCAGCTACGTGCCCACCTCCAGAACGACTTTATTTACAAAGCGATTACCACGTTATCTATTTGTTTTCCTTTTCCAGCAAGAGCAGCCTTACTCAGCCCTCAAATTTCTTAATTACAAACCCGTTTGCTTCTAAATCAACCCCAAACCGTCAGGCAGAGCCCGGAGGGAGGCTCTGCAAGTTTGTACACACCCCCACCTCCCGGATCCAGGGCAACAGCAGAAGCAAGTAACTGTGTATGTGCAAAAAGGTGGATCTGGGGACGAGGATCGCTGAGTTTGTTTACAGAGCAGAGACGCCTCAGCTCGGATGCCAAAGCTACCAAGAGCTGCAAACGCAAACTTAGCAGAAGCACACGTACCCCGGGAGCGGCAGGCGGGCCCGAAAGCGCGGACTGGAATTCCAGGGCGCGGGAGCGGGGGTGGCCGGGCCCTCGAGCGCGCTCCGTCCACCTGCAGCGGCTGCCCCTCCCCGCCCCCAGCTCCTGTCCTTGAAAGGAGTGGAGGAAAAAAATGCATCTACAAGCGGTGATCTAGAGTAGGTCTACCCACTGCCCGTATGAAAACACAAAGGCACAGCCTAGGAAGGCGCGCTCAGGAAAGGGCGCATTATTTGTCCGGGTCTTTAAAACCCAACTCGAGGAAGCACAGCCATTCTTCGCTGCCTGTGGAAGCTTTTGCAAAACCGGGGAGGCACAAGGGCACTCTGGAGGGCGGGGGGCGCTGGGCGAGTCCCCTTTTCCCGTAGAGAGCGGGGCAGATCGCTAGGTGAACCGAGTGAGAAAGCTGGGGGTGGGGTAGATCCAGCCTGAGGGGGGCGGTGAGCTCTCCTCGTGGCTATCCCGGCAGGCTCTACCTTCGGGCGGGGCGGCAGGGGAGGATTTTCCCCCTGCCTCGGGGGTGGCTGAGCCAACCTCGCGTTTCTGGGCCGGGAAGAAACCAGAGTCGGGGGGCGACGGGGCGACTGGGCGGCCCCCGGGCCCCGCAGCCTCTGCAGCACGTGCCGCGGGCGGCGGGGACGCGGCTCCGGGACCCGGTCCAGGGTGTTCGCGGTGTTCCGGAATCCGCGTCTTGGCGCCGCCCGCCCTGGAGGCTCTCGCTCCGCCTTTCCGAAATGCCTATATTAACTGTGGCCAAAGCCCTAAGAAACACAGCTCATTGTTGGCAGCTGCCGGGCGGTCCTGCCGAGCTGTGAGGGCAACGGAGGGGAAATAAAAGGGAACGGCTCCGAATCTGCCCCAGCGGCCGCTGCGAGACCTCGGCGCCGACATCGCGACAGCGAAGCGCTTTGCACGCCAGGAAGGTCCCCTCTATGTGCTGCTGAGCCGGTCCTGGACGCGACGAGCCCGCCCTCGGTCTTCGGAGCAGAAATCGCAAAAACGGAAGGTAAGCGCGACGGGCGAAGCTGGCTGGGGCTCTTGCCAGCCCAGTCCTCCGAGGGCAGGGTTTGCCCGGAGGAAGAGCGTGAGGCGAAGCTGGGGAATAACAACAGGATGTGCAACAACAGGATGAGGAGGGCTGATTTAATGCCTGAAGTTCGCAGCAGGGCTACGGGGCACTTCCTTTATTAGGCCACTTCGGGGAGCAAAGGGGGTGTGGGCTCGGGTCCCCCCGCCCGATCGCAGGGGAAGGGGCTGTTTGTGCAGCGTCCGGCTGTGTTATGAGTGGTAGCTCTTCCGTGGTGGCTAGCCCGGGTGCACAGGCTGTTAGTGGGATCTTGGGGGTGGTGGTTCGCAGCCGACGTGCGCCCGGGAATCCTGGGGGGCAGAGGCGAGCAAAAGTGGGGTGCGCTGTGGTGGGCGACACGTGTGGCGCGGGTCTCATTATCTGCCCTTTTCACTTCCAGGACTGGAAATGGCAGACCATATGATGGCCATGAACCACGGGCGCTTCCCCGACGGCACCAATGGGCTGCACCATCACCCTGCCCACCGCATGGGCATGGGGCAGTTCCCGAGCCCCCATCACCACCAGCAGCAGCAGCCCCAGCACGCCTTCAACGCCCTAATGGGCGAGCACATACACTACGGCGCGGGCAACATGAATGCCACGAGCGGCATCAGGCATGCGATGGGGCCGGGGACTGTGAACGGAGGGCACCCCCCGAGCGCGCTGGCCCCCGCGGCCAGGTTTAACAACTCCCAGTTCATGGGTCCCCCGGTGGCCAGCCAGGGAGGCTCCCTGCCGGCCAGCATGCAGCTGCAGAAGCTCAACAACCAGTATTTCAACCATCACCCCTACCCCCACAACCACTACATGCCGGATTTGCACCCTGCTGCAGGCCACCAGATGAACGGGACAAACCAGCACTTCCGAGATTGCAACCCCAAGCACAGCGGCGGCAGCAGCACCCCCGGCGGCTCGGGCGGCAGCAGCACCCCCGGCGGCTCTGGCAGCAGCTCGGGCGGCGGCGCGGGCAGCAGCAACAGCGGCGGCGGCAGCGGCAGCGGCAACATGCCCGCCTCCGTGGCCCACGTCCCCGCTGCAATGCTGCCGCCCAATGTCATAGACACTGATTTCATCGACGAGGAAGTTCTTATGTCCTTGGTGATAGAAATGGGTTTGGACCGCATCAAGGAGCTGCCCGAACTCTGGCTGGGGCAAAACGAGTTTGATTTTATGACGGACTTCGTGTGCAAACAGCAGCCCAGCAGAGTGAGCTGTTGACTCGATCGAAACCCCGGCGAAAGAAATCAAACCCCCAACTTCTTCGGCGTGAATTAAAAGAAACATTCCCTTAGACACAGTATCTCACTTTTCAGATCTTGAAAGGTTTGAGAACTTGGAAACAAAGTAAACTATAAACTTGTACAAATTGGTTTTAAAAAAAATTGCTGCCACTTTTTTTTCCTGTTTTTGTTTCGTTTTTGTAGCCTTGACATTCACCCACCTCCCTTATGTAGTTGAAATATCTAGCTAACTTGGTCTTTTTCGTTGTTTGTTTTTACTCCTTTCCCTCACTTTCTCCAGTGCTCAACTGTTAGATATTAATCTTGGCAAACTGCTTAATCTTGTGGATTTTGTAGATGGTTTCAAATGACTGAACTGCATTCAGATTTACGAGTGAAAGGAAAAATTGCATTAGTTGGTTGCATGAACTTCGAAGGGCAGATATTACTGCACAAACTGCCATCTCGCTTCATTTTTTTAACTATGCATTTGAGTACAGACTAATTTTTAAAATATGCTAAACTGGAAGATTAAACAGATGTGGGCCAAACTGTTCTGGATCAGGAAAGTCATACTGTTCACTTTCAAGTTGGCTGTCCCCCCCGCCGCCCCCCCCACCCCCATATGTACAGATGATAATAGGGTGTGGAATGTCGTCAGTGGCAAACATTTCACAGATTTTTATTTTGTTTCTGTCTTCAACATTTTTGACACTGTGCTAATAGTTATATTCAGTACATGAAAAGATACTACTGTGTTGAAAGCTTTTTAGGAAATTTTGACAGTATTTTTGTACAAAACATTTTTTTGAAAAAATACTTGTTAATTTATTCTATTTTAATTTGCCAATGTCAATAAAAAGTTAAGAAATAACTTGTTTTCTAGAAGTCATTTGGGGGTGGTTGTTCCCTTTGGTGGCTTTTTTCCCCCCGTCTTTGAGTTGAACACTATTGATGAGAGTAAGCATTCCAAAGGATAAATTACAGGACACTAAAACAGGTCATGATGAGCTTAAGCGGAGAGCAGGATTTAACATAATTGGCATAATGCTTCATTGTTATCATTGTAACATGCCTCTTGGTGTGCTTTAATCAAAAGCTGCAAAGTTGTCACTGCTTTTTTTTTTTTCTTAATTGCCATCATATCAAGTGTACTCCAGAGTTAGAAAGGTTTGCAATACTCAACATTATCTTTTTCAATGGGCAGGAGGCAAAAAAAATCAAGTGTTTCTGTTTATACCTGATTCAACTACTTAAATAGAGGTAGATTGGAATAATACACTGATTGATTGATGGGTGGCATTAAATATAAATCTACCTTTATCTCCAGTGATGAGAGTTTTATTTCTCAGCAAAAGTGCCAAGGATAGGTACATATTTTCTAGCGTAATCTCTGAAACAGTGTCTGACTGGTTTATAGTTCTGAGAAAGATGAGGCAGAATTCCACTTTGAGGCTTTTGTCCTATAATATTTAAAATGTACTCAGGTTGACTCAAAGGTCAAATTACAGTCTTTACAAGATGTTCCCTCTTAAGCATGCCCTGTTTTCCTGAATTCTGAGTTTTCCTGTTGCATGCATGGGATGCAAATCACCTGAAAATTATACTTTAATTTTACCTGGATAGATGTCTTATCAAGAAGACCATAGCTACAACTAAGTGGGTATCAAGTTTTGCCTTATATAATCAAGCAAAGGAAAAAGTAATATTGTGAAAATCTCAAATTATCCCAGGTGGAAGGAGAAGGAATTTTGTTTTTCATGTTTTCATGGCTTATCTTATGTTTATAAGAGCAACACACCTACCTTCAAGAAAAAATACAGACTTTTGTACGCAACTTACTAGGGGAAGTAAAAAATGTAGGTTGAGGAAAATCTTATAAATAATGCTTTAAAAGAACATTTCATTTAGACTCCGATTCTCATCTTAAATTCCATATTTTATAAGAAATCAGGAGGAGCGGATATTTAGAAGTGTTATGAGAGAGTAAGTTGGGCATAAAGGCTGCTTTAAGTATAATTCAGATCACCTGCATTTTATAATTTTATTTCCAAGGTAGGCCATGTAAAATTAAAATGCACACACTCCACTGGGTTTTTTATATACCTCTATAATTGACACTTTCTTCTTTAAAATTATGTTCAAATAAATATACTGAATCATCCAAAACTCTTTTTACCCTACTTTAAAAGCTGATCCAGATTTCCACATTAATAGTTAAAGCTGAAGTTTTCTTCAGCTAAGACATGTCAATACTAAATCTGCAATCAGCAATGAATCTTTCTGGCTAAGCATTTTCACAGTAAGTTTTTCTTTCTCTCTCTCTCTTTTTTTTTTCCAGAGGCTTAAGTGAAAAAATATGTTTGCATACATATTAATACAGCAACTCCAATCCTTTTTCACTAGTGCCAGGAAAAAAGGAAAGTGATTAAATGCATTTTTTTTTTTTTTTTTGCATAAAGAAGCCAAAGAATTGTCTTGCCACCACCCTTCACCATTTATTCTGCCAGGGAATAAGCCACAACACCTGCTCTGTCACTAAATTCCTCCTGCTGCTCAAACGCCGGAACACGTATGTGGAGATGCAGAGCCCAAGGAACTATTATTAGATCTTGAGCCCATCCCTACCAGAACAGAGGACTCAAACAGAGGAGCTGGGCTAAAAAGCACAATTTGTCTTCAGTACAAATACAAACGCTCCCGCACCCCAGTTCACTTGAGTGATCTCTGTTTCATTAAAAACTCTTTCTTGATCAACAATTGAGCAGATTCTACATGATATCTGCAGGTCTCTTAAGCAGAGAAAAATAACTCCTTGTTTCAACAACCTGATTAATGAAACCTGTACAGTGACCTAGATCACCCGGCTACTGGCAGACATTTGCAAAACCTTTTGTGGTCTTGCTTCCTACTAAGTTGCTTATAGCATATGGGGAAATTTGACCTCTGTACCTTGGCTGTTTGTCAAAAAGTTCTAATATGATACAAGAGAGCTTCTGTTCTTTAAGCTTTGCCCAAAAATAGACACTCCATGCTTGATTTTCAAGAAGAGATCAATGATAAGCTGCAGTGCAACCTCATAGCTACATGTCAGAAAAATAAGTCCACATTAATAAAAACGTATACTTCTGTCTTGTGCCTGATAAAATCCTCGTGACAGTATCTTTGCGGGAGCTGATAAAGACGTTAGAGCTATGGATGGGTCTTTGAAGAACAGTTACCTAATCACCACTGTTTATGGGGTGCTGGGCTAGAGCACTAGTAGCAGAAGGCTGACATCTATTGTGAAGTTTATGGTCTCCATGACTTTTACTACTGTAAACGCCTGGGATGGCTATAAATTGATGTCAACATTAAAGGCCAGATCCTTTAGAGAAAAATATTAATCCACTAATCTATTATGGGTGGCCAGCTTTGCAATAAAAACTTTGCAGCCCCGGACCATTAGGTGTTTTCGCCCCCTTGTGGAATTTATTTAGAAGGTCAATGAAAAGCTGTTTCCTCAAGAGCTTTTTCGCTTTTTTGTTTGTTTTGTTGCCATTTCTGAAGACTTTGTTTTCTTCTTTGAGCAAACAGCACATATTCGAGCAACACATTTTTTAAATCAAAGAAGATTCCAAAATAAACATCCTTTATAAAATAAGAATATTTTACTTACCAAAAACCTTAACCTATGATTAAGTGTGCATAATTGAGATTTGCCTCATATTTGAAAATATGCATTACCTAAGGGGTTTTCTTTTAAAAGTGTAAGGAGCAGTGGTTTGGGCTGATGCTTTAGCCTGCAAACTGAGGGGATGGCAAACCCTCAGCGCCTCCACAACAGGACTGTTGATTTGCAGTAAGGGTAAATAACAATGCATTTGACGGTATGAGGTTGGAAAGGTGGAGGGAAATATCCAGGAATGCAGAATGCAATTATCCACATTGGAATGTGACCAAGCCACCAGCCCTAATCTTGTGAAAGGACTGCAGGATCTTTAATGAGGATGAGTGTTGCTGTCTAATTGAGTCAGTAAAATTTACTTTAAAATAAACTGGGCAGATAACATTGTCTCCAAAAAATAAATAAATTTAGAATTCAAGGAATTTAAGACCCATGCCATTGGCAATTTTTTCCTCTGCAGTGGAAATGTTTTGCTAGCATGAAAGCAGCAGTACACCTCTTCAGAAATGCATGCTTCAGAGATGGTATTTATCATTTTGGGACTGCACCACTATCATCAAAATCAGCGCTCCCAGGCAGGTTGAGGCTGAGCCTCCAGAAGAGAACAATAGGTAGCACATCAAATGACTCAGCCAGTGAACCCCTATTATCATGGGCTCTGTTTGTCTTCTCCCCCTAGAATAGAAGGAACAATGGCAATGTCAGAATTTTAATTGCAATGGACTGGCTTAAATTACTTGACCTATTTTTATGCAGCAAGGAGAAAAATGATTCTTTTTTTTTCCTGGTAGCCATACTTTTAATTTAAACTGGAAAAGGAAATATAAGAATATTTTCCATCAAATAACATACTGCTGATAATTTTAGTTTGCCTTGTAGTGAGACCTACCTATATTTTAAAAAAATATTAAAACATCTGAAATAAAGAACTTCTTCCCTTCCCAGGAAGAAATTAAACTCATAAGTAATGCAGTAATGCTAAAGAGTGAGAAAATATTCTAAGAGCGGCTGGCGTGAATTTCTATCATATTTTGATATTTATACACAATGAAAGAAAAGCTATGATAAGTAAGAGTCTGTTGTGTTGAGGAACTGAATCCATGATCCTTGGGAAAGAGAAACTATCAGACCGACCTCTTCCATACTGTCTATGAACAAATAATGACTTTTTAGCGGCTGGATTCTTATCAGTTACTTCCTTCCCCTAGAGGAGCACTAAATGAAGCAGCCCCAGGAGGCAGTTAGTGGTGCTTTTTGAGAATTCAGCTTGGCTAAATCAGGACTTGCAGAGTGAGCAAAAAGCACATGAAAGAAAGATGGACGGTGAATATTATTACTTGCTTTATATGTTATTAGTTTTCATTAGGCTGAACTAATCTGAAAGATTAGTGAGGCAGGGGCACAACCAGGGGTGAGGACTGTGGTTCACGGAATTCTTGGAATTTTCCCATGGTATCACCATTGTGCTCAGCCCTGAAATCCCTCCCTTTCTTCCCTCTACAGTAGAGTGGTTACTTGATTACATTTTGGGTTGCTGAACAAAGCCGACAGGGGAATCTGTCTCCTGAGGAGCCTGTAGCAAGGCAAGGTTAGCGTGGTGCGCATTGCAGGAGATATGCAAATAGGCGAGTGGCTTTTGAAAAGTTAATAGTGCCCAAAGAATTCTGCCTGTCCATTCCTGAAAGCTGAGTGGGGAGCAAAATTAAGGCTTGAGTGCAAGTCAAACTAGCACAAAATCAGGAAAAGTCAGCCAACTCCAGATTGTCAGTACTGTTTTTATGAACACATGCTACAGTGAAGGAAATGGGATTGGAGGCTATTGAGGTCTTTTCTCTTTGGGTTTTCCTATGGATTGGTATAACATTTGGCCTTGTGATTTCCTTAGTCACTAGGCCACAGAATTTTATTGTTGTTAGTGGTGGTGGTTTATTCTCGTAACCCACTGGGTTTGGGGTTTGGTTTGGGTTCCGTTGGGTTTTTTGCTTCATGACAGTTGCTATCTCCTTAAAGCACATATAGTATACTTCAATTGTGCATACACATTCTTAGATCACCTTGTAAATATGGCCCCGTTGCATGTATTTTGGATAACTCTTGAAAGGAGGATAAGCAAGATGATGACCAGTTTCATACATCTCTCTTCACCCTATGTGTTTAGCAAACATAAGGACGATGAGGCCAGTAGGTGAAAAATGATTGAACTGACTGTTATGTTCCTAATATGAACTTAAATATCTAAATGTTTCTAAGATCCCCTTCTGACACCATTTTTTGGATCAATAGTTCTCAGCTGGGTAGAGGTACCTCTCAGGCTGGGGAGAAGGGAGAGAAAACAGTAACTTATAAAAACATATTCCATACTATATTTGGACAGATGTTTTAATACACATTCTTTTAGTAAAACAAAATGTAGAAAGACATTTCAAACTCTTATTATTTTTTTATTTATTTTGTTTGAGACAGAGTCTTGCTCTGTTGCCAGGCTGGAGTGCAGTGGCGCAATCTCAGCTCACTGCAACCTCCACCTACTGGGTTCAAGCGATTCTCCTGCCTCAGCCTCCTGAGTAGCTGGGACTACAGGCACGCACCACCATGCACAACTAGTTTTTTTGTATTTGTTGGCCAGGATGATCGCAATCTCTTGACCGCGTGATCCACTCACCTCGGCCTCCCAAAGTGCTGGGATTACAGCGTGAGCCACTGCGCCTGGCCTCAAAATCTTCTTGACTGATAGGGCATAGATTTTTAAATGGTAAGAAACACTGTTTAGACTGCATGGGATCAAATCGAAGAAATTTACCCTTCAATCAACATCTCTTAACAAATCTCTCTGTTGACCATAAGTTTCCTGTGGCTGCCTTGGTTGAGCACTTACTATGTGACAGATATTGTGGTAGGCACTTTACATACATAATCTCATTTAATGCTCACAATATGCTTGCAAGATTCATGATATTCTTCCAAATTTACATAAGGAAATTGACATTTAGAGAGGAAGTCAACTGCTCAAGGACAACACAGTAGCGGATAGAGGAGCAGAGTAGTTTCCAGACCTAGCTTCCGAGTCAGTGCTCTTTCTAAGACGCAGTGCTGCTGTGATAAACCAAATGACACCTATTCTTAAATGCCACTGATTGTAAAATGATCAATAAGTGATTAAGAGAAAAACCCATTACATTACATGAACACAAGTTCTAAAATATATGAACACAACTATACCATGTATTTATCCGTACAATCACACACCGTTTCCTTTTGGGATTCACAAGATTCGGGTCTACGCTTTTTCAAATTTGGTATAAAAATTCCTCCAAATTAAGTGTGACCCCTGAAAGTGCATGAGTAGCCTCATGGTGAGCTGCTTACCCCTTCTTAATATTTTGACCTCGTTAGCACTTCAAGTCAAATGAAAGAATATCAGTGATTTAAATTGCGGTTTCAGTTTTTTTTTCCTTAACTGAATTCCTTCTTGCTGGAAATAAACAGTTTCTTTCAGAAATTAAGCCAATGCCTTACCCTCCCAATTCTATACTCTATTAAATGAGAATGTTAGTTACTAAATTCTGGCACATAAATATGACCGCTTTACAACTCGCCCAACTGCCTGCCAGCGATTATGTTTTAATATTGATTATAAGATTCAGGCTGATTTCATAATGTTAAGATTTTTTTTAAGTACATGTTAGAATAAAGGAAATACAATATTTAGTTACTTTACACTTAACTAATCTTCCTCAATTTATCCAAAGTTTCTTGATGCAAATGTAAACTCACATTCTCTTACTTTGGTCTTCTATGGAAATGGAGAACTCTTCTATTAATAGTTACTGAAAAGAATAGTAGATCAGGAATAAAAAACATAGGTCTAGTCTTAACTCTGCAACCAAATAGCTGTGTAATTTAATCATTGTTGACTCAAGTTTCTCCATCAGTAAAATGAAGATGTTTAATTAATACATCTTGTATTCAAATTCTCATGAAGAAAACATAAGCCCGTTCCTATCATTTCTCCTCCTCTGAAAACATGGAGTACAATATTATAAGACCACCTCAAAACCTGTTCCATCATTCTTACCATTGTTTTTCCAAGCTCACCGTGAGTCTGTGGGTGTGCCATAGACCTGACCCAGTTGTGTCAACTTTCCAAAGATTGGAATCGTCTCTGTAAATATTCCCTTTCATTGCCATAATGAGCACAAATTTTGGCTACTGAGATTTATCAGCCTGCAAGCAAATGCCAAAAAAGCTTGCCACCCTAGGAAATATTTCCAGAACATGACATTGCAAATTTGCTGATGCAGTTGTTTAAATTATGTGTGTGTGTGTATGGTGTGTAACTTACTGAAAATAATTCGATCAATTCTTTATTTCAGGTTCTGTTTTATATTCTTACAGATTAATTTCACTTTTCCAACCTCATAAATAACAAACCATAACTATTTGAACTCTCTTCCTTTCAAACATCTTTTCCTGGGCCACAATTATTATCGTCATCATTAGCATAACTGTTAGTATTATTTACTTTCTCAGAGAGGCAATCCTATATACAATGCTAAGTCAGAGGAAGCTAGCATGTGTTGAACACTATAATAAGCAGATACGTAAGAGTTTTCAAGTAGTTAAGAGGCATTTGTCTATATCCATTTATCTATTTCTCCCTCCCCAACTTTACAACACCACATTCCACCAGTTTGGGAAATCAATTATTTAGCTAGATGATCAACTAATAGATTAGTTGAAAATTGTTAAACAAAAGTGTATCATAATACATAACTATCCAGGAAATAATTATAGACTGACATGTAAAAGTAATGTAGCTAAAGAACCATGATAATGTTACAAAATATTTGTTCCTTTCATCACTTAACCACTAGATGGAGCTAAAGGTCTGTAAATTCAAATTTGCGCTTTTCTCCTGAGCTGCTGGACTGTCATTTCCTTAAAGAATTTGCCCCCATCCCCACTTACCATTTCCTGTTTGTATTACTGAAACAAAAAATATCCTATGTGACCTATTTTAACCCTCAAAATTAAAAATATGTCAAGGTCACCCAAATACACTCTGCCCAAGCACCATTGCTCGCTACAGTCTAATAAAAATAGGAAATTGACAAAAGATGTCTTTGAGCAACTCCACTTTTTTTTTCTTTTTTTTAAATTATACTTTAAGTTCTAGAGTACATGTGCACAACGTGCAGATTTGCTACATAGGTATACATCTGCCATGTTGGTTTGCTGCACCCATTAACTCATCATTTACATTAGGTATTTCTCCTAATGCTATCCCTCCCCCTACCCCCCACCCCACGACAGGCCCCGGGGTGTGCTGTTCCCCGCCCTGTGTTCAAGTGATCTCATTGTTCAGTTCCCACCTATGAGTGAGAACATGCGGTGTTTGGTTTCCTGTCCTTGTGATAGTTTGCTGAGAATGATGGTTTCCAGCCGCATCCATGTCCCTACAAAGGACATGAACTCATCCTTTTTTATGGCTGCATAGTATTCCATGGTGTATATGTGCCACATTTTCTTAATCCAGTCCATCATTGATGGACATTTGGGTTGGTTCCAAGTCTTTGCTCTTGTGAATAGTGCCACAATAAACATACATGTACAAGTGTCTTTATAGTAGCATGATTTATAATCCTTTGGGTATATACCCAGTAATGGGATCACTGGGTCAAATGGTATTTCTAGTTCTAGATCCTTGATGAATCTCCACACTGTCTTCCACAATGGTTGAACTAGTTTACACTCCCACAAACAGTGTAAAAGTGTTTCTATTTCTCCACATCCTCTCCAGCATCTGTTGTTTCCTAAGTTTTTAATGATCGCCATTCTAACTGGTGTGAGATGGTATCTCATTGTGGTTTTGATTTGCATTTCTCTGATGGCCAGTGATGATGAGCATTTTTCTCATGTGTCTGTTGGCTGTTACATAAATGTCTTCTTTTGAGGAGTGTCTGTTCATATCCTTTGCCCACTTTTTGATGGGGTTGTTTTTTTCTTGTAAATTTGTTTAAGTTCTTTGTAGATTCTGGATATTAGCCCTTTGTCAGATGGGTAGATTGCAAAAATTTTCTGCCATTCTGTAGGGAGCAACTCCACTTTCTTCCCCTTTTTAACCCCTTCCCTTTTTGAAGTGTTCTCCTGCCTTTCATTTGCTCAGGTATCAGTGGCTCAATTTTCTGCCCTGCTGGGACGTTTATATCTTAATAGAGAAATTTGAGAGAGAGAGCATTTAAAACTAAAGGAAGAAATTTTGAATGGTAGGATTTTGTGCATCATTCAGAAAGATATTTGAAGGTCCCTAAGCCTTTCTCTATCTTTTTCTGACCCTGAAATCATTCCTTTTTCCTGTCTCTCCTACCTCTCAAGCCAGTGCTATTCAAAATCTTATACGAGGCCCTTTGCTCCTACCTTAAATATTGGTGTTTGCCAGACTTCTTACCTCACCTCACTAGTCAATTTCATCTATTTCTAAAGGGCTCTGATACCACCTAGAAATTGAGCATTTCAAAACCCAGATGTCCAGCCCAGACCTCCCCAATCTCTGCTTACTACTGAATGAACACACGCACGTGCACACACAGACACACACACACACACACACACACACACACTGACGTCTGATACACATTGAAGTAGAATATGTCCAAGACTTTATTCAATCCTCTCTCATTCACTTCCTGTGTTCTGATTCCTGGTTAATGGAACTGCTATTCATCCAGACACTGAAACCAGAAATCTAGAACTTTCTTCCATTCCTTCCCTCTTCTTCACCACCAGCCAAGCTACTTAGTTACCACATTCAACAAACTTGCCGCCTGCCTAAAATGTGCTTTCCTTCCTAAACCTCCCTTAGGTCTTTGTGAGAATTTGCTTCCTAGATGGCCACACTAATTAAAATGGAAAGCCGTCTCCAGCTTTTCCCCATGGCATGCCCTATCCCTTTAATCCTGATCAACTTTTCCCCAGAGCACTGCCAAGGGTGTTTCAAACTCTGTAAAGGCCCGGCACGGTGGCTCACCCCTGTAATCCCAGCACTTTGGGAGGCCGAGGCGGGCAGATCACGAGGTCAGGAAATCAAGACCATCCTGGATAACACGGTGAAACCTCATCTCTACTAAAAATACAAAAAATTAGCCGGGCGTGGTGGCGGGCGCCTGTAGTCCCAGCTACTCAGGAGGCTGAGGCAGGAGAATGGCGTGAACCCGGGAGGCGGAGCTTGCAGTGAGCCCGGATCGCACCACTGCACTCCAGCCTGGGTGACAGAGCGAGACTCCGTCTCAAACAAACAAACAAACAAAAACTGCCTGTAAATTTTTTGACACTCATCTCATCAAAACAGCATTAGGCCTCTTCCCTGAATCTGAGGTTCACTTATGGACTCTCTTCCTGTGTAACTTTCAAGACTGAATAAGAAAACACCGCATAGCTTCCCCTTGGTTCTCTTGGGACACACGCCTCTGGAGCTCTGGGCTACAATATAAGAAGTCCAGCTACCCTGACACGGCCATGCTGTAAGGAAGCCATGCCACAGGGAAAAGCCATGTGTAGGTGCGTCCACCAGCAGCAGCAGCCAAGGTTCCCAGGTGATAGCCACTATCGACTGCCTCCAGGTGCTTCCAGGGTCCAGCTGTCGAGTGCCAGCATCTGTAGCATCTTCCCTGTGGAACCCCCAGGTATTATACGCTATGGAGCAAAGTCCTTGCACTAGCTCAGGCCAACTGAAATGGTGAATCTGGGCAGCCATGTTTATACCATAATGACCCTGTCTCCCAATGATACAGCAGATTGGACTATGGGCAAGTAGCTGTCAGGAAAGGCTAGCACATTGGCTGGCCGGGAAAACTCCAACAAAGAGACAGAGAAACTATAGTCAAAGAAAGCATGGAGGTGTTTTTAGTGAAATTATCTAATATTGACCCTGTAATGTCCTCTGGAAGCCATGCACTCATACTGAAGAGCAGAGAAACTGGTTTGCAGAAGTCAGCGGGAGAGTGGAACACATTGCCTGAACAAAGCAATAGTAAGAGACCATCTGGTGCTAAATCAAGATAGATGGAGAGGGAAGACACATCTGTCCCGGGCAACTTCCTGGTTTCCTGATTAGCACCCACCATACCCACAGTTCCTGTAAGATGTGTCTATGCCTTTTGTAATTTGTCTAACTTGAGGGATTTTGAGAATATCTATTTTATTACTCTGTGCTTTTGCACATGCTGCTCCCTCTGCCCAAAAGGCACTTCCTCATCTTCATTCCTTTGCTGAAATGTCCTTCAATACCCACCTTAAGTATCTTCTTCTCTGAGAAACTTCCTCATATACCTCCCTACTTTGCAGCACCCCTATACCTTATAAATACCTCTGTTTGTATGGATTACGTACACAGTATTACAATTATTTGATAATAAGTTTCTCTCTTCTACTTTGCAATCATATCTATTAAGAAATTTTTAGCTGCAAATAATAGAAATCCTGATTCTGGCTTAAACCATGAGAAATACATTTATTATCTGTCAAAAGTCAAGAAGGCAAGGGCAGGCTTCAGGGTTGATTAATTCACTGATCAATAATGTCCACAAAGACTCAGGCTTCTCTCATCTCTCTCCTGGGCTGTCGTCAGTGTTGGCCGCACCGTGGACCGGTGACAGGTGGCATGAGCAGAGCTCACGTGACAAGTAGGGAAAAGAAAACTTTCTCCAGAACCATCCTTTTCTTCATGTATCATGTCATGGACCAATTTCTGAACCAACCAACCACTGGGATTGGTTTTACCATGGGGTGGAATTATCACAATTGACTTAATCACCTCGGTGTGAAATGGATATTAAACTGACAACTCCATCACCAGAAGAGTTAACAGCGAAGCAGACCTTTTCTAAAATTTCTGTTTCAAGGCATAGATTTTAAGCTGTAATTGACAGGGACTCTTTTTAAAGTTTTTTTTTTTTCCAAATCTTCTTCATATAATAAAGACATATATAGCTAACAAAATTATATCATAAATCACTCAGAGAGGGTTTACTTGATTAAGGTTGAAATGTCTTCTATAAAGCAACATTTGTTAATATAAATAAATATTCTATTAAAAAGAAGTATATGGTCATTATGTCTTCATTTCTAGCCCTTCAAAATATGTTTGATATTCCCTTGTTAATATGACTAATAAGTAATTTTTCTGCACCAAGAAAATCATGTACATTTTGGCAGGTGATTAATCTCTGTGCAAAATGAACAGAATCTAATATTTATGAACAAATTACTGATAGCTATATAATCTATTTCCATAATAAATGCACTGGTCCGTATGACAAAGCCAAAAAGAATATAAAAACAGCCTGACAAGATTCAAACACGGAAGATAAGAAAACTCTAATATATGGCCGTGAACATCTTCTGTTCTGTCTACTCATTGCTTGTCCTACCCTTCCACAAAATGCCACTTTTTCACTTTAGTTACATACGTCCATGTGAAAATTCCCATAATCCTATGTGCCCTGGGCACAGTGAATGGCTAGGGGTGCCCAGATGGGCCCAGTTGAAACATTCATCACACTTTCATCTTACCCTCTGGCTGCAGCTAATTGGTCTGTGGATAACACTGACCCAACAGAAACCTTCCCACAGGAGTTAGCTTTCTTCCTTTCTTCTTCATTTTAGTAATTTTGGGGGCACAAATAGTTTTTTGTTGCACAGATGAATTATGTAGCAGTGAATTGAGATTTTAGTGCTCCCATCACCCATGTAGTGTACGTTGTACCTAATGTGTAGTTTTTTATCCCTAACCCCCCTTCCACCTTTCCTGTTCTGAGTACCTATAGTCCAATATATCACTCTGTATGCCTTTGCGTACTCACAGCTCAGCTTCCACTTATCAATGAGAACACATGGTTTTTGGTTTTCCACTCCCAAGTTACTTCACTTAGAATAATGGCCTCCAGCTTCATCCAAGTTGCTGCAAAGACATTATTTCATTCCTTTTAATGGCTGAGTAGTATTCCATGGTGTATATATACCACATTTGCTTTATCCACTCATTAGTCAAAGGGCACTTAGGCTAGTTCCACATCTTTGCAATTGTGAATTGGGCTGCTATAAACATGCACGTGCAAAGATTATTTTCATGTAATGACTTTTTTTCCTCTGGGTAGATACTCAGTAGTAGGGTTGCTGGATCAAATGGTAGATCTACTTTTAGTTCTTTAAGGAATCTCCATACTGTTTTCCATAGAGGTTGTACTAATTTACATTCCCATCAGCACTGCATAAAAGTTCCTTTTTCCCCATATCCATAGCAATATCTGTTGCTTTTGACTTTTTAATAATGGCCATTCTTGAAGGAGTAAGGTGGTATTGCACTGTGGTTTTAATTTGCATTCCTCCCCCTCCCCCAGGAGCTTTTAACTTGACAACAGAGAGATCAAGTTTTAAGTCCTCTTTAGTGATGAAACTATGAGCCTGTAAACTGCTGTTAGCCATACTTCCAGCCGTGTGAAAGAAGTGAGTGTGGGAGAATACACACTCTGTTCATCTGTATTCACACTGCTAAGAAGATATACCCAAGACTGGGTAATTTATACAGGAAAGAGATTTAATTGACTCATAGTTCAGCATGGCTGTGGAGGCCTCAGGAAACTTACAATCATGGCAGAAGAGGAAGCAAACACGTCCTTCTTCACATGGTGGCAGAGAGAACCATCAGATCTCGTGAGAACTCACTCAGCTATCACAAGAACAGCATGGAGGTAATTGCCCCCATGATTCAATGACCTCCCACCAGGTCCCTCCCACAACACATGGGGATTATGGGAACTACAATTCTAAATGAGATTTGGGTGGGGACACAGCCAAACCGTATCAACAGAAAATATGAAGAAAGAAGCAGAAACAAAAAGGTAATCTGTTACTATCTGAGTCCCTGAGGTCTAGGTGCAACTTAACCCTTCCTGAAGTTTGGTTACGAGAGACAATAAAATTTTCCCTTCCAGAACTAATTTGAATTGTGATCAAACACATGAAACAAAATTATCTTGACTAATCATACTAATACTAACACAACTTTCATCTCCACTGTATTTTGTTTGTTTGCTTGCTTGCTTTTAAATATTTTCCTGAAGTATATGTTTGGGAGGGACTTCTATTTTATGTATACTTTCAAAGTCACTTAAAAATGATCTTTTCAGGAAACAATATGAGAGATATAACATGTCTGTATTAAAATTCACTTTTTTTCTCCTTGGATAAGGCTTCTAGCATTGTCTTGCACCAATATTACAGTAAGTAATGGACATTGTGAAGTGCTGCTCAAATCCCCCTTCAGGACTGAAGAACTTCTTCCCTCCATTACTGGGAATACTGTCAGCAAATGGCCCTCAACTGACACCTTCTTCTGGAATTTCCTCACCACCTTGCTCAAGGTCACACCCCTTCTGGAGGCAGCCTGCATACAGTGTCTGGAATAAAGGCCTGGCTCTCTCGTCAAGTTGGGACAATTCTGGGAGACCACCCTAGGAGCTTCCCATGGATGAACTGAGGACTTTCTTGAGGCTGCATTGAAGTTCATCTTCTGCCCAATCTGTCCTTCCGCTTCCTTCCACAGGCGTTGCTTCCAAGACCACTCCCAATCCACTCCCAGCATTCTAATCTTCATCTCAGGGGCAGCCCCTCCTAAAGAACTCAACAGGTAGCACAACACTTTAAAAATCGTCAAACTGGGCCGGGCACGGTGGCTCATGCCTGTAATCCCAGCACTTTAGGAGGCCGAGGCAGGTAGATCACAAGGTCAAGAGATCAAGACCATCCTGGCCAACATGGTGAAACCCCGTCTCTACCAAAAATACAAAAACTAGCTGGGCATGGTGGCACGTGCCTGTAGTCCCAAACATTTGGGAGGCTGAGGCAGGAGAATCACTTGAGGTGGAGGTTGCAGTGAGCCCAGATCATGCCACTGCACCCCAGCCTGGGTGACAGAGCGAGACTCCATCTCAAAAAAAAAAAAAACAATCATCAAACTGTGAAAGTATTACGGGGTCCCCTAAGAATGGCCCCTTAAATTTTCTTAGCACTCTGCTAAGCATTCCAGAGGACAGAATAGAGGTATGAGGTGTGTGCCCTGCCCTTAAGGAGCTCACAGTCTCATTGGAGACATAGAGCTTAAGCAGGCGTCTTCATACAGCTCAGCAGTGTGCTCAGATGAGGAAGGCTAAAAGGAAGCCAAAATTAGTGCAGAGTAGGTCACACATAAATACTGAATGAATGAATGTGTTAATTACTTAATAAGAAGAGATCTATGTGAGCTCAGATAGACGATAACATTTATTTGAGGCCAAGGTGCATTTGCCACTGCCATTTTTCTTTTATTCATTAACCCAGTGCAGTACAGTTCTCCCAGTGGCCTTGAACCAACCCAGTTTTCCCCACTGTCTCACTTCTAGTCCTTTTTTTTTTAATTATTATTATACTTTAAGTTTTAGGGTACATGTGCACAATGTGCAGGTTAGTTACATATGTATACATGTGCCATGCTGGTGTGCTGCACCCATTAACTCGTCATTTAGCATTAGGTATATCTCCTAATGCTATCCCTCCCCCCTCCCCCCACCCCACAACAGTCCCCAGAGTGTGATGTTCCCCTTCCTGTGTCCATATGTTCTCATTGTTCAATTCCCATCTATGTCTCACTTCTCGTTCTTAAGAATGACTGTAGGCTGGGCACGGTGGCTCACACCTGTAATCCCAGCACTTTGGGAGGCCGAGGCGGGTGGATCACGAGGTCAACAGATCGAGACCATCCTGGCCAACATGGTGAAACCCCGTCTCTACTAAAAATACAAAAATTGGCTGGGCATGGTGGTGCACGCACCTGTAGTCCCAGCTACTTGGGAGGCTGAGGTGGGAGAATGGCTTGAACCTGGGAGGAAGAGGTTGCAGTGAGCCAGGATTGCACCACTGCACTCCAGCCTGGTGACAGAATGAGACTCCATATGAAAAAAAGAAAGGAATAACTGTAGAAGCCAAGTGCAGTGGCTCGCACCTGTAATCCCAGCTACTAGGGAGACTGAGATGGGAGGATCACTTGAGCCTAAGAATTCCAGGCTGCAGTGAGCCTGGGTGATAGAGATCCCATTAAAAAAAAAAAAAAAAAGAATAGCTGTAGAATGCGCTGGGAATGCACATCCTGAGGCAAGGAAGAACTGGCCAGAACAGCTCAGTCTCTGTTCCTTCCCCCTCCCTCTTTGACAAAGGATGTTTTTAAATGCTTTAGCCCAGCAAGTCACATTACCCTGAACTATAAAACCCAAGGCAGTTGCTATCCAGACTCCCTCAGCTGTGATGCAGGTTGGATGCCTGCAGATGACAGTCCATCTGCCCTAGGTAGCTTTCCTAAGTCCTGAGGGACCAGCTTGCCCTGCATCCTTGGCATCTGTTGTGCCTTGCTGCCTATCTGTGGGTAATAAACCCGCTTCATAAAACTTGTGCATGCGAGTGTTCTGTCTTGCTGGACTCAGGCAAGTAGTAAAAGCGCGGTCCAAGATGCAGTGGGCTGAAGTGGAAACCAGCACACGGTGAGCCTGCTTTGCACCCATTGCTTACTTTTCACAACCAAATATAAAATAACTAACCCAAGCAAACACAAGATCCTACTGGAAGCCCTGCTTTGGTTTGGGACAGGTCCCAAGAAAAAGAGCCTGCCCTTTTCCCACGTTCCAGAATCTCACCTCTCATTCATTCTCTGAATGGCCAAGGTGGACCAAAGCTGTTGTCACCCCAAAAATAACCTGTGAAGAAAGAGAGCTATTCTACAGCCAGTAATGATTGTAACATTGGTAATAATATCTTACATCAATATAGTATTTTATTGTCTCTGAACTGTGCCTTACTTGCTCCTCACATCATCCCAAAAGGTAAAAGGAATAGATATCATTGTATCCTCCTTTCATAGATAGAGAAACTGAGGTTCAGAGATCCTACATGTTAGAGCTGGGCTCTATTGAGGTCTTCTTACTCCCACTGCAACCTTACTCCTACTGCAACCCTACCAACTCTTGGTTTCTACATGTACTATATTCTTGGGTTTCTGTTTCTTATGGCTCATCCTCAACTGAGGGTTATGACTTATATCAGTAATAGGGGAATTTACGTCTTTCGTTCTAGTAGCACAAGTTTTGGACTCAATAAACATTAATTAAGCTTAACAAAACTGAATGTGTGTTATCTTATACATTACTAAGAAGTGATGCATTTCAAACACTATTCACAATAGCAAAGACATGGAATCAACTTAAAGGTCCATCAATGGTAGACTTGATCAAGAAAATGTGGTACATATATACCATGGAATACTATGCAGTCATAAAAAAGAATGAGATCCTGTTCTTTGCAGAAACATGGATGGAGCTGGAGGCCGTTACCCTTAGCAAACTAACACGGGAGCAGAAAACCAAATACCTCATGTTCTCACTTATAAGTGGGAGCTAAATGATGAGAACACACGGACACACAGAGGGAAGCAATACACACTGGGGCCTATCAGAGGGTGGGGGTGGGAAGAGGAAGGAGATCAGGAAAAACAACCAATGGGTAGTAGACTTAATACCTGGGTGATGAAATAATCTGTACAACAAACTCCCATAGTACAACTTTACCTATTTAACAAACCTGCACATGTAACCCTGAACTTAAAATAAAAGTTAAATTAAAAAAAGAAATGATGCATTTGAATATAAACCTTGAATTAAAAAGCAGAGAGAAGTTTGTCCAGTTAATTATACCCATATTTGAACAAATATGTGCATTACATTCTAAAAGATAAATATCTTTAACTTTTATGTAGGGTACTATTTTCAATTATGCAATTTCTCAAGAGTTAAAAACTAGATTGTATTGGAAACTTTTATTTCTATGCTGCTGCACAACATAACATTCTATTCTTAACTGAGATATACTTTTTTTTGGATGTCTATATTGCCAGGTCCCTTGTGAGGTGGAGGTGGGGGCGGTGGTGAAAATTGATGGAAAAGAAATTGTGCTGTCAGCTCCTGCGATGCGCCTTCAACTCAAATTGGCTTGCAATTTCCTCCACATGTCTTCAGCCAGCATATGGCAAAAATATCAGTTCGTTTCCTCTTCCCTTCATGAGTGAATTGAGGTCATCTCTTGTGCAGTTATTATTCTGTAAGGATTGTTCTGTAGGATGATTTGATTTCCTATTCTCTTGTCTACTCTTATTTCCACCTATATTTACATCTCATTGATTCTCAGAAATAATGTCTTACTCAGCTTCATTCCATCTGCTCATGTATATAATGAAGATTCTGTTTCTAATGCATTCTATTCCTGAGTCTGAGCCTCATCACAGCAGTCCCACTTGTGGACAATATGACCTCGGCCAAGACAATTACCTACTTACTGGCCTTATCTTCCTTCTCTGCACAAAGGGGATAATTATAACCGCCTCTTAATGTGCTTTGAAAAAAATCACAATAGATCCTTGAAATGTGTAGATTTATCGTTCATGGTTGTGCATTCACACATAATTCCTGGAAGAAGCCCTTGACATGTAGAGTAGATTGTCACTTTGGATTAGTGGATGTTTAAAGATGGTACCTGAGATAGTCATTCAGCTGATGCTGGAGCTATGGGACTATCCAATAATTGTATCTTGTTCCCTTCTCATCAGCGAAAACATGGAATAATAAAAACCATGTTTATTTAGCATGGACCCCAAAAGCAAGCTAGCGTTGAAAAAGTAAAGAGCAAATAAAGTAACCATTATTAGCCAGAAAAATTTGGTTTTGAATAAGTGAAAGAATAAAAGAATATTGAATTGGTCAGTGACTCTTATGTGAATGATTCTGACATATTTATTCAATATGAAAGGAAGAAAGGATGATTGAAGAAATTATTTCTGCAGTGCTTTAGCCAATGCAAATATGGAAATGTGTGGGGGAAAACTATATGTTGAAGTAATTTTGTAACTTGGAGGATTCTCGATGGGTTTAGGTGTTTCTTTCTTGAATGTTAAGAACCTGCTACATAAGGCAGCGTGGAATTGCTGGGCATGTTATTATTGTCTCATTGGATGAAGTACTGCTGATTGTATAGGGGTTATTAATACTTAATAATATTGTTTTGACTCCTACATAAAACAACTATGTATTTTAGGCCAGTGTGGTGGCTCATGCCTGTAGTCCCAGCACTTCGGGAGGCTGAGGTGAGGGGATTGCTTGAGCCCAGGGGTTCGAGACCAGCGTGGACAACATGGCAAAACCCTGTCTCTACAAAAAAATACAAAAATTAGCCAGGCGTGGTGGCAGGCACCTGTAGTCCCAGCTACTCAGGAGGCTAAGGTAGAAGGATCACCTGAGTCCGGGGAGCTAAAGGCTGCAGTGAGCTGAAATCAGACCACTGTACTCCAGCCTGGGCCACAGAGTAAGACTCTGTCTTAAAAAAAAAACAAAAAACAAACAAAAAAAGACCAAGTATTTTAAACTCCCTGGAGCTCATACTCCATACTTATGACTGAGAAAATAGTAAGCAGGTTGGATAATTTGTTTAAAACTATCAACTCACTTAGGGGCCGGGCATGGTGGCTCACACCTGTAATCCCAGCACTTTGGGAGGCCAAGGTGAGTGGTTCACTTGAGGTCAAGAGTTCGAGACCAGCCTGGCCAACATGGTGAAACCCCATCTCTATTAAAAATACGAAAAAAAAAAAAAGCCTGGGTGTGGTGGCTGACGGCTGTAATCCCAGCACTCTGGGAGGCTGAGGCGGGTGGATCACCTGAGGTCTGGAGTTCGAGACCAGCCTGGCCAACATGGTGAAACCCCATCTCTACAAAAAATACGAAAAATTAGCCAGGCATGGTGGCGGGCACCTGTAATCCCCGCTACTTGGGAGGCTGAGGCAGGAGAATGGCTTGAACCAGAGAGGCAGATGTTGCAGTGAGCCGAGATGGAGTCGTTGCACTCCAGCCTGGGCAACAAGAGAGAAACTCCATCTCAAAACAAACAAACAAATAAACAAAACACAATTAGCCAGACATGGGGGGTAGGTGTCTGTAATCCCAGCTACTGGGGAGGCTGAGACATGAAAATCTCTTGAACCCGGGAGGTAAAAGCTGCAATGAGCCAAGATTACTCCACTGCATTCCAGTCTGGACAACAGAGAGAGACTCCATCTCAAAAAAACCCCAAAACTCTCAACTCACTTAAAGGTGCTGTGTAAATGCTCATAGCCTTTAATTTATGTTTTCCTTCTGTGAATCTATCCTAAGAGAATAGTCCAAAATATAGAAAAATGTTTGAAAATGTTTGTGCATTACAATATTTATTGCAGGTTTATATGTAGTCAAAAGCTTTTGGAAACAATCAAAATGTCTACTATTAAAAAGATGGTTTAGTAAATTATTATTTAAACATAGAAAGATAAGTTGTGTTGCTGTTTAAAATAATGTTTAAAAAAACTTTAGTTAAAAATGAAAATGGCATGACAAAATGTTAAAAAAGTCCTAGATAAAAATCTATTTTACTGGTGGAGATCAACTATATGATGATACGCATGTTGATAAAAGTCTGAAAATAAGTATGCCATGATGATAATACAATGGTTTTTGAACAATGAAATTAAGACTTATTTATATTTGATTTACTTTATAATTTTTCTATAATCCATACATATTATGTTTGGAGTCAGAAAAAAATTGAAGAAAATTTTTAAAGAAATGGAGTTTGTTTGTTTGTTTGTTTGTTTTGATGGAGTCTCGCTCTGTTGCCCAGGCTGGAGTGCAGTGGCGTGCTCTGGGCTCACTGCAACTTCCGCCTCCTGGGTTCAAGCGATTCTCCTGCCTCAGCCTCCCAAGTAGCTGGGACTACAGGCACACAACATCACTCCCAGCTAATTTTTTGTATTTTTTATTAGAGACGGGGTTTCACTGTGTTAGCCAGGAAGGTCTCCATCTCCTGACCTCGTGATCCGCCCACCTCAGCCTCCCAAAGTGCTGGGATTACAGGCTTGAGTCACTGCGTCCGGCCTATTTTTAATAATCTATGTTCCTAACAATTAATATTATCTGGTGGAATTTTGTGCCATGAACAAGCCAATAACCCAATATCAGAAACTAGAGTGAGTATTGATGATCTGTAGCACCTATACCATACAGGCATGTAAATGTCTTGCAACTTCTTGTCTAGCACCTGTGAAATCAGGCTGGCTATAACTATTTTTTTTTTTTTTTAGATGGAGTCTCACTCTTGTCGCCCAGGCTGGAGTACAGCGGTGCGATCTCAGCTCACTACAACCTCCACCTCCCAGATTCAAGCAATTCTCCTGTCTCAGCCTTTCTAGTAGGGGCAGGGGTTACAGGCACCCACCACCACACCCGGCTAATTTTTGTATTTTTAGTAGAGACGGTGTTTCATCATGTTGGCCAGGCTGGTCTTGAATTCCTGACCTCAAGTGATCTGCCCTCCTTGGCCTCCCGAAGTGCTGGGATTACAAGTGTGAGCCACCGCGCCCAGCCTATAACTTTTAAACATTTCTATAGTGAGCAAAACAAAGTATTGACAAGATCCAGAAAAAAAATTCCCAGATGCCTTCTGTCATTACCCTACTTTGGGTAATGGTTCATTTACAAATGCCTGTCTAACTAAACACTTGATACTGTATGTGTTATGGGTTGAGAAGCAAGACAAAATAAGTAGTTCAGAGTTTAAAGTCTAATAGGAGAGGTAAATATGAAGCAAATAATCACGTAACTAGAAGCCAGAAAGATTAGTGAGAGCTCACCAAGCCAAGCTGAGTGGTAAATAAGGCATGAGGCAATATATGCCCCAGCTCTGGAAGCAAGAAGGCGAGTACCTAGTGCTCTCCAACAGCCAGCTCTCCTTCCTTGGCTTGCTTACGGAGGGCTCTACTTCTCAGCTCCTTTGTACTTGGGCAAGTAATGAGTCTGTTTCTGTCCACTAAAATGTGAACAGGAGTCAATATATAGCAATTCCAAGCCTAAGGCAGTCTCTTTCCTCTCCTGACCTTTAGCAGAGGGGTCCATGTCTCGTAGAGGGTACAGGTTACAGGATCATGTCTAGATCATGGAGTCCCCATATAGATAGCGGTCACCCTGGAGAATTGCCTGGACCTGCAGCAGACTGCATTGACAAGAGATACCTTTTTGTGTATGTCCTGTTTCATAGAAGAAATGTGCATCTAGAAATGGCAATATTAATTGCATCAGCTATGGCTGACATTATTATGACATGGTCCCTATGGAGATGCATTCCACAGCATTTTAAGTTGATACTCACTTGCCTGATCTCAAATCTCCCCATCACACACCTCTGGAAACATGCTTTTCTAAGCCCCATTTATTCAATTTCTGGTCAGTTTTCCCTCCCGGGTTGTAGCTGTAAGTAGAGTATACTTCTCAGTAGACTGCCACCAATCCCTAACTGCACATTTCCACGACTCTTTCTTTGAAGCCTCCTCTAGGTAATGTAAAAATTGCATGTTAATATCCAGCATGAGGTTTCTCTGCTTCACTTTTCTTAAACCCTGTCATCAAATATGTTTGCCAAACACAAAATAAACAACATAAAAAGAAGCCACAGGGGGGAAAAGACTACCATGCTTGCAACACACAGTCAATTAAACTCAGAAGAGTACAGTGATGAGCATTTGAGGCATGCTACCCACATATGCCTTGCTATGAGCACACAGACTACAGTCAGCCCCGCTAGTTCTACCTATCCTCATCTGTAGTAATGGCTAACATTACACAGGGCTTACTTTGTGTTAACAGGTTAGAACCAGACCAACCACCTCCATCAATCATGCCAAACTCAGAACTGGAAGAACTACTTCCAGTTCCAACTGAGAATGTCTTAGGACTCACATAAACACTTCCTTCTTCTTTCAGAACTGGCGTCGACCCCCACTTTAAGAAACCAATCAATTCAAAGACTTTTCCCGCTTTTCATATTCCAAGATCAATCACTGAACAATAAAAATTATGCAGTCATTTCCCCTGCTATTTCAGAATTGAAATGTATTCTCTTGCGTCTGTAAGTTTATGAAGTTCATTTGCTTATATCACAATAGTTTTTTGTTGTTGTTGTTTGTTGTTTTTTTTAATAAGAAGCAGGCTTTTCCACAGTTTACAGAACCCACCAAGGCTCAGCTGCCACCGACGAGGACCCCTGAGCCAAACGACTTTGGCATGCAAATCTGAGGGCCCTGAAAACCTCTTCTGTTTCAGATTCCTGGCTTATGGTGGAGAGATGAATCATATTCTGGGTCTGAGATATGATTTCATTGAAGCTTCCAAGCACTGAATCTGATTTTTTTTTCCTGAGAAAATTATATTTTACTGATTGATCTCTTTGGACTTTCTGATTAGACTTCTATCACTAAAAGTTCTTGGTGATATAGCAGTTTTCGTCCAAGCTCAACTTTATCTTGTTCTGTCATCCCATAAACATTATTTGTCAATAAGAGGAAAAACAATAGAGAATGATCAACAGATGGAGTCCCAATAAATCTATGTGCATGATCAAGAGTAGCTGCCAAAATTTGTGCTTATGGCTAAGATGGAGTAATAAGGACAGATTAACCCTCTTGCCCGAAACAACTAACACAAAAGGACGAAATATATGAAACAACATATTTCAGGTTACTAGGTGTCAGGCAGCAATAAACATTGATTGCTGGGAGATGGGAAACAAATAAGATGAGTGATGATTGGCTTGGCTTCAGGCCACAGAACAGAAAAACAGAACCGAAGAGGAGCTTCAAAGTATCCCTGAGTTGAGGAGATGGAGCTGAAAATCTGGAGAAAACAAAGTAGCTAGGGTTTACAGGACAGAGTAGTGAAGATTGTTGCAAGGAAGGAATCATCCAAAATAATTAGAGCTAATAATAGTGGGTACTCACACAGGACAGGGAATAGTGCCCACTCCCACCTGCCAAACTGAAAAACCTTGTAATTCACAAAGCATTTGGTAAAGTGTCTTGCCTTAAGTGTGAAGAATAATTAACCCTACCCTAAGACTGATGAACAAATCTTAAAAGTAAGCCACGAAAGGATCAAACTGTTTTCAAGTAGTTTAACTACATCCCAGAAAAATGCACAAGAATCTTTTATTATTATTATTTAATATTTTTATTTCAATAGCTTTTGGGGTACAAATGGTTTTTGGTTATAGGGATAAATTACATAGTGGTGGAGTCTGAGATTTTTGTGTACCTATCACCCAAGTATTATACATTGTACCCAATATGTAATTTTTTTTATCCCTTATCCCACCCGTCTTCCCCCTTCTGACTCTCCAGAGTCCTGTTATACCAATCTGTTTGCCTTTGTGTATCCACAACTTAGCTCCCACTTGTAAGTCAGAACATACGGTATTTTGTTTTCCATTCCTGAGTTACTTCACTTAGAACAATGGCCTCCAGCTCTATCCAAGTTGATGCAAAGACATTATCTTGTTCTATTTTATGGCTGGGTAGTATTCCATGGTGTATATATACCACGTTTTCTTTATCCACTCACTGGTCAGCGGGTACTTTGGTTGGTTCCATGTCTTTGCAATTGTGAACTGTGCTGCAATAAACATACCTTTTTGTATTACCATTCAAGGTACCTTTTTGACATAATCACTTCTTTTCCTTTGAGTAGATACCCAGTAGTGGGATTGCTGGATCGAATGGTAGATCAACTTTGAGTTATTTAAGAAATCCGGCCAGGCATGGTGGCTCACGTCTGTAATCCCAGCACTTTGGGAGGCTGAGGTGGGCAGATCACGAGGTCAGGAGTTCGAGACCAGGCTGACCAACATGGCAAAACCCCTTCTCTACTAAAAAATACAAAAAAACTTAGCCAAGCGTGGTGGTGGGCGCCTGATGTCCCAGCTACTCAGGAGGCTGAGGCAGGAGGATTGCTTGAACTCAGGAGGCAGAGGGTTGCAGTGAGCCAAGATCATGCCACTGCACCCCAGTCTGGGCAACAGAGTAAGACTCTGTCTACAAAAAACAAACAACAACAACAACAACAACAACAAAAGAGCTACTCCTGCTCACTTTTGGTTTCCATTTGTATGGAATATCTTTTTCGATCCCTCTACTCTGAGTTTCTATGAATCCTTATGTGTTAGGTGAGTCACTTAAAGACAAGAGATATTTGATTTGTGATTTTTCATCTGTTCTGTCAATCTGTGATTGTTTTGTTTTGTTTTGCTTTGTTTTTTTTTTGTTTTTTTTTTTTTTGGCAGAGTCTTGCTCTGTCGCTCAGGCTGGAGTGCAGTGGCACAATCTCAGCTCACTGCAACCTCTGCCTCCTGGATTCAAGCAATTCTCATGCCTCAGCCTCCAGAGTAGCTGGGCCCACAGGCATGCACCACTGTGCCTGGCTAATTTTTTGTATTTTTTAGTAGAGACAGCATTTTGCCATGTTGGCTAGGCTGGTCTCAAACTCCTGGACTTAAGTGATCCGTCCACCTCCTCCTCCCAAAGTACTGGGATTACAGGCATGAGCCACCATGCCTGGCCCAATCTCCGTCTTTTAAGTGGTGCATTTAGGCCATTTGTGTTCAACATTAATATTGAGATATGAGGTATGATTCCAGTCATCAAGTTGATTGTTACCTAGATATTTTGTTTCCTTTGTTGTGTTATTGTTTTATAGGCCCTGTGACTGTTACGCTTTTAGGAGGTGCTAGTCTGGTGCATATCAATCTTTTGTTTCAAGAGTTAGAACTCCTTTTAGCTTTTCTTGTAGAGTGGGTTGGGTTAAGTGACAACTTCTCTCAGCATTTGCTTGTCTGAAAATACTTTATTTCTCCTTCATTTATGAAACTTAGTTTTGCTGGATACAAAATGCTTGCGTGACAGTTTTTTCTCTCCAAGGAGACTAAAGACAGGACCCTGATCCCTTCTGGCTTGTAATGTTTCCACTGTGAAGTCTGCTGTTAGTCTGATAGCTTTTCCTTTATAAGTTACCTGAGGCTTTTTTCTCACTGCTCTTAGAATTCTTTCTTTCACATTGACTTTGGATAGCCTGATGACTATAGGCCTTGGTGATGTCCTTTTTCCAATTGATCTCCCAGGAGTTCTTTGAGCTTCTTGTATTTAGATATCTAAATTTCTAGCAAGGCCAAGGAAGTTTTTCTCAATTATTCTCTCAAAGAAGTTTTTCAAACTTTTTGCCTTCTCTTCTCCCTCAGGAACACCACTTATTCTTAGGTTTGGCCATTTTACATAATGCCATATTTCTTAGAGACTTTGATAATTTCTTTTGATTTTTTTTCCTTTATTTTTGTCTGATTGGGTTAATTCGGAAACTTTATCTTGAAGCTCTGAAATTCTTCCTTTTTTTTTTTTTTTTTTTTTGAGATGGAGTCTCACTCTGTCACCCAGGCTGGAGTGTAGTGGTGCAATCTTGGCTCACTGCAACTTCCGCCTCCCGGGTTCAAGCGATTCTCCTGCCTCAGCCTCCCAAGTAGCTGGGACTATAGGCACACACCACCACACCCGGCTAATTTTTTGTATTTTTAGTTGAGACAGAGTTTCACCATGTTATCCAGGATGGTCTCAATCTCCTAACCTTGTGATCCACCTGCCTCGGTCTCCCAAAGTGCTGGGATTGCAGGCATGAGCCACCACCGTGCCTGGCCTGAAATTCTTTCTTCTACTTGGTCTAGTCTATTTTTAAGCTTTCCACTACATTCTATAATTCCCCAAATGTGTCTTTCATTTCCAAGGGTTCTAATTGGTTTTTCTTTAAAATATCTATTTAGAAATTTTTTAAGTCATATCCTGAATTTTTAAAAATTTCTTTATGTTGGTTTTCACCTTTCTCTTGTATCTCCTTGAGTAGCTTAATAGTCAACTTTTTGAATTCTTTATCTGGTATTTAAAGAGTTTATCTTTGTATAGATCCATTGCTGGAGAGCTCGTGTGATTTTTTGGTAGGGGGTGGTGTTATAGAATGTTGTTTTGTTGTATTGCCAGAATTATTTTTCTGGTTTCTTCTCATTTGGGTAGACTATTTCTTGTAATTATTCTTGAATTTATTTTTGATATTACTCTTTTTTAAAATTTCTTTTCCCCCCATTAGCAATGTGACTTTAATGTTTATAATTTACTGTAGCCTAATGTGGCTCTTGGTGCTTTAGGGATGAAGATTCTGTTCCTTGGTTACAGAGAGTCTCTCTGTATGATGGCTTTCTCAGATGCTGGCTATGGTAGCAATGTGCTTGTTGTGTGAGCAAGTTCAGTGTCCCCTATGAGGTTGGAATGGCAGAGGTCTCTTGAGGTTTCTCATTCCCCCATGGTGTGCACTTTTTTATTCATTTATTTTTTCCTCCAGTATTTTATTTATTGGGTTGAATAGTTCAGGCTTCAGGCCAGTAGAGGAGGTGTCTCTGGGTAGAAACTGGTCATGACTAAAGCAGGTAGGTAAGTGCAATACCCAATGGTGGGCAGAGGTCTCAGCCTTGGCAGAGGTGGCTGGGGTAGCTCTCAGCGAAATGCACTGAGGTCTTTTCAGGGGGAAGAGTGGGAGCTGCCTCAGCTCCACTGCAAGGCAAGCAGGAAAGCCCTTCACCTCCCAATCACACTCCTGACCCAGTGTTTCAGTTATTCAAATCAGGCAGGCACCTCTTTTCATCTGCAGGAATGTTGATGTTCTAAGTAGAGAGGGATTGTAACTCTACCACTTATGCAAGCCTGAACCTGGAGGGTGCCCTTCCTGGAGTGATGCAGTCACCCTGAAGTTTTCTAGAAAGGCTGTCTATAGGTGCACCCATGCTAAGCTCCCATAGGAGAAGTCCCAGATGTGCCTGCAGTGATGGACTAGGGGGAAAAGAAGTTCGCTTCTCCAAGACCCTTCACAAGTGCTAGGGCTGCCTGACTGTTGGGGTAGAGCTATAGACTGGTCACGTGGACGGACTCAGAACCTCCTGGTTAGCCAGGGTGCTGCATGCAATGGTGATAGCTGAGGTCACACACAAGTTTTCTCCTTCCTGGGCTCTGTGTTATTCTACCTGAGAATGCTGTAATGGACTGTGTCAGTTGGCCTCCAGCCAGGAGGTGGTGCTTGCAAAAGAGTGTCAGCTGTGGTAGTAGTGGTGGGATTTGTGCTTGCCTTATGTAACTCAGGGGAGGTATTCTAGAATCTCAGGCAATGGGTGGGTCCATAGAGCTCCCAAAAGTTTCTGTCCCTTGTGTTAAGCTACCAGGGCAAGTGGTGGAGCAAAGCCAGGTGGGGGCTGGGTCAGGCAGGTCCATGCTCTGGCTCTCCACATGCAGGGCAAATAACCCCAGTAGGAGCTGGGGGCCAGTTCTCCGGCTGCTCCGGTAATATTCCAGGAAGCAGTGCAGCTGCCTGTGTTGCACAGAAGAGTTTCACAGGGAGTGGGGAATAGCAGGCAACAGTAAGCCTACCCAGCTCCCACACGCTTAGAAAGGCAGGTGGCAGGTCGCAGGCCAGGCGCGGTGCTCATGCCTGTAATCTCAACACTTTGGGAGGCCGAGGCAGGCAGATCACGAGGTCAGGAGATTGAGACCATCCTGGCCAACATGGTGAAACCCCATCTCTACAAAAAATACAAAACTTAGCCGGGCATGATGGCACATGCCTGTAATCCCAGGTACCTGGGAGGCTAAAGCAGGAGAATTGCTTGATCCCAGGAGGCGGAGGTTATAGTAAGCCAAGATCACTCCACTGCACTCCATCCTGGGAGAAAGAGTGAGACCCCGTCTCAAAAAAAAAAAAAAGAAAAAAGAAAAGAAAAAAGAAAGGCAGGTCTCTCATACTTGCAGTGTTACACTAGCATCAGCTAGCTAAGTTCCAGGCAATCTGCACTTAAAACTCAAAACTGCCCCAGCCCATAAGCCTTCCCTGTGGAGACAGCAACAGCTGCTTTCAGGACATGCTCCTCCCAGTCCCAGCTCCTGTACTTGTGGCTATAGCACACTTCCCACTTGCCCCCAGTTCTGGCCAAGGGAGTCTGTCCCCACTTGAAATTATATCATGAATTTCAGCTAGGAGCTTCTCTCAACGTGCAACCACCACTTGAGTTAGTTGGCAGACTTCTGGGAAGTCCCTTGTGAGGTAGGACCAAAAATCACTTCCCTTAGTCTGTGCTGAAGACTGGGAATGCACACAAGGCTCTTCCCACTGCTGCCCCTGCTTTTATATGCCACATCAATCCCTAAATCAATGCCAGCACTCAGTAGGGTTAAGGCCTTCCCCCATGGACTGGATTAACTGGTTCCCCAGTGGGAGTGTATTTCCTGGAGGCAGTTTATCCCCCTTCAGATTCTGCAGACTTAGTTTTTCACCTGACTCATGGTGTAGGCTGCAGCCCACCACTTCTTTCAAAGGGCCTGTGGTTTCTTTCAGTTTTCCTGTTTAGTTCCTGTGTTGCTTCTTGGAGAAAAATTCACAGTGTGAAACACTACACACTATTGTGTCTTTCCAAGGAGGAGAAGCATGCTGACAATGTCTCCAATCTACCATCCAAGAAGAGACCAAGAGTCTTTTTAGGAATATGAAACTATCCAGCACCAAACAAGGAAAAAATCTATAATGCCCAGCATTCAATCAAGGATTACCATACATCAGGATCTCAAATCTAATAAAACACAATTTAAAGAAAGAAAATAAAAGATCACCAGTCATGAAGGAAGCAAAACACCACCCTTAATGAAGAGAAAAGTCAGTCAATTGAAAACCACCTAGATGTTAGAATTAGCAGACAAGGACATTAAAACACTTATTGTAACTGTTTTTCAAATGATCAAAAGTTAAGTAAAGACATGAAAGATATAGAGGAGACCTAAATCAAATTCTAGTGATGAAAATTTTAGAAATGAGATGAAAAATTCATTGGATGAAATTAGAAGCAAATTAGATGTTTCACAATAATGTGATTATACTTAACACCATTGTACTGCACACATAAAAATGGATAAAATGGCAAATTTTATGTAGATTCTTTTACCACTATATATACAATATATATATTTTTGAGACAAGATCTCACTCTGTCACCCAGGCTGGAGTATAGTGGCACAATCATGGCTCACTGCAACCTCAACCTCCCAAGCTCAAACAATCATCCCACCTCAACCTCCCATGTAGCTGGTACCACAGTCACATGTCACCATGCCCAGCTAATTAAAAAAAATTACAGGCACAGTGGCTCATGCCTGTAATCCCAGCACTTTGGGAGGCTGAGGTGTGTGGATCAACTGAGGGCAGGAGTTCAAGACCAACTTGGCCAACATTGTGAAACCCTGTCTCTACCAAAAATACAAAATTAGCCAGGCATGGTGGCAAGCGCCTGTAATACCAGCTATGCAGGAGGCTGAGGCAGAAGAATCACTTGAACCAGGGAGGCAGAGGTGGCAGTGAGCCGAGATTGTGCCATTGCACTCCAGCCTGGGCAACAGAACAAGACTCTGTCTCAAAAAAAAAAAAAAAAATTGTAGAGATGGGTCTCACTTTGTTGCCCAGGCTGGTCTCAAACTCCTGGGCAATCCTCCTGCCTCAACCTGCCAAAGTGGTGGGATTACAGGTGTGAGCCACCACGCCCAGCCTAAAAATATATTTAAGGGGTCAGGTGTGGTGGCTTAAGCCTGTAATCCCAGCACTTTGGGAGGCCAAGGCAGGTGGATCATGAGGTCAGGAGATCTAGACCATCCTGGCTAACATGGTGAAACCTTGTCTCCACTAAAAATACAAAAAATTAGCCGAGTGTGGTGGTGGGCACCTGTAGTCCCAGCTACTCGGGAGGCTGAGGCAGAAGAATGGCATGAACCCAGGAGGCAGAGCTTGTAGTGAGCTGAGATCACACCACTGCACTCCAGCCTGGGCGACACAGCGAGACTCCGTCTCAAAGAAAAAAAATATATATATATATAAGGAGTTTAAGAAATAGATTAGAAATTGCAGAAGAAAAGATTAGTGTATATGTGTATATGAAGACATAGCAATAGAAATTATCTAAAATTAAACAGAGAAAGAATAAACATTTAAAAAACCATGTATCACTGTGCTGTGGAAAACTTCAAGATGCCTAATATACATGTAATAGAAGTCACTGAAAAAGAAGAGAGAGGGTAACAGAAAAAAATGGGAAGAAATAATGGCCAATAATTTTCCAAATTTAATGAAAAGCATAAATCTACATATTCAAGAAGCCCAATGAACCCAAAGCACAAGAAATGTGAAGAAAACGACACTAAGGCACATCATAATTAAATTTTCCTAAACAAGTGATAGAACATTGTAAAGCAGAGAAAAACATCACAATATATTTAGGGAAACAAAGATAAGAACTATAGCAGATCTCGTATAAGAAAAAATGCAAGTGAGAAGACAGTGACACACAACATCTTTAATGTACTGACAAAAAAATTATTAAACTGTCAAACTAGAATTTTATACCAAGCAAAATATGTTTCAAGAACTAAGGTGAAATAAAGACTCTTTCACATATACAAAAGCTGAAAATATTTATCAGCAACAGACTTGCTCTATAAGAAATGTCAGGCTGGGCGTAGTGGCTCATGCCCGTAATCCCAGTGCTTTGGGAGGCCAAGGTGGGTGGATCACAAGGTCAGGCAATCAAGACTATCCTGGCCAACATAGTGAAACCCCATCTCTACTAAAAACACAAAAATTAGCTGGGCTTGGTGGTGCGCACCTGTAATCCCAGCTACTCAGGAGGCTTAGGCAGGAGAATCGCTTGAACACGGGAGTCGGAGATTGCAGTTAGCTGAGATCACGCCACTGCACTCCAGCCTGGCAACAGAGTGAGACTCCATCTCACCACAAAAAAAAAAAAAAAAAAAAAAAAAAAAAAAAAAAAGAAATATCAAAGGAAGTTCTTCAACCAAAGACATGAGGAAAAGGGAAGAAAAAGAAGAGATGGGTCAAACAGAAAACAAATGGCAAGATGACAGACTTGAATCTATCAATTATCACATTAAATATAACTTTGTCAAAACATCTCAATTAAAAGTCAGAGATTGTCAAACAGAAAAGAAACACAGGGCCGGGTGCGGCAGCTCACGCCTGTAATCCCAGCACTTTGGGAGGTCCAGGCTGGCGGATCACCTGAGGTCAGGAGTTCGAGGCCGGCCTGACCAAACCCCGTCTCTACTGAAAATACAAAATTAGCTGGGCATGGTGGCACATGCCTGTAATCCCAGCTACTTGGGAGGCTGAGGCAGGAGAATTACTTGAACCCAGGAGGTGGAGGTTGTGGTGAGCTGAGATCGCGCCATTGCACTCCAGCCTGGACAACAAGAGTGAAACTTCGTCTCAAAAAAAAAAAGAAAAGAAAAGAAAAGAAAAAAACAGAAGACCAAACTATATGCTGCATATAAGAAATGTACTCTCTCTCCATATATATTTTCTTTCTTCTTGATCAGTCTAGCCAGAGATTGACCAATTTCACTGATTTTCTCAAAGTAACTGTTTTTGGTGTTATTCATTTACACACACACACACACACACACACACACACACACACACACGTTAGATGTTAAAAGACAGAAAAAGATAATCTAGCTAACCTTAACTATAAGAAAGTTGTAGTGACTATATTACTACCAGACATGATAGATTTCACAGCCAACAATATTACATGGGATTTTTCAAGTTTATTTCATAATGATAAAAGGTCATAAACAAATCTAAACATTTATGCACCTAATAATAAAATACATTGAGCAAAAAACTGATAGATCTACAGGAGAGGCAGACAAATTATGGTTTGAGATTTAAATATTCCTCTCTTAATAGAAATGATCTGCTGATTACATTTAAACTGAGCGACTCTGCATTTTCTGGATTCTGGATGGTTGCCTTTCATGAGCCCAATCGAAGAAAGAAAATCCTTGGACCAGATGCTTCACAGCTGAAGCCCGTAGGACCGCGGAAGAATACCTTGAAGATATTGTTTGCATCAAAATCACCCAAATTTATGTCTTCCTTATCCAGGTCCTGCCCACTGTGATAATGAATCGTTTTCTTGGAATCAAAGAGGATGATAAAGACCTCGCCACTTCCTTGATCTTCTCCTCCTCCTTTTGAACCCCAGCGCTGGCTCCATCATGACGATGTGGATGGTACTTCAAGGCCTGTTTCCAATAAGCTTTCTTGATCTTGTCCTCAGAGGCATTCTTGTCACTTCCAGAACCTTGTAGTAATTATCCCTCTTACTCTTCTTCAGTTCCAGCTGTGCATTTTTTAGGAGCTGTTTGTATTCTTTTGTTTTCTCCATCTGATATACTTTTTTCATAGCCTCGCACTGTTTCTTCATACTGTTCTGTGTCCAAGAAACACTGAGCTCTTCTCAAGTAGGCTTTTATGTAAGTGTCATGAGCTTCACTGCATTTGTGCAGCTGTCTATTGCATCATCTAGTTTCCCAAGCTCGGAATTAACCATATCCCGGTTACAGTAGAGTTTAGCAATTGCTTTTATGTTGTCGGGGTCTACCCCGGGGGTTCTGCGTACAGTTCATCAGCTAGTTTGTAATTTCCTTCCCTAAACGCTTTATTCCAGTCTTCTTTCTTTGCGTTAAGTGCTCTGGCATTTCTGCACGCAAGGCAGGCCTTCTCATGGTCAGGAACCACTCTGAGAGCCTGTACAAAAAACTGAACAACTGCCTACTCAGTACAATCTTCATAATAAAGGCAAGGTCCGCGTACATACAGAGCATCCACATTGGTGGAATCCGTTCATAAAATGTCACTGGCCACAGACTGTGCTTCTGGATAACGACCCAGCATTGCTAAACATTCTGCTTTGAGGGATATTGAAGTGATGGCAGACAGGGGCAAATTCTAGGGCATAGTCCATGCAGAAAACAACCTTCTGAAAAGCCCACTTCTCAAAACTTGTTTCTATGACTTTCTCCTATTCCTTGACTGCATTAGCATTTGTGAACTCCTGTTGTGAGTGAGCATTGTTATGATCCAGTTCTAGGGCTCTCTGAAAACTGCAATGTGCTGCCATGGCATTCCCTGGAGAGAGGTGGCACTTGCCCTCTCGTAGATGTCCCCAGAAGAAACCATCATCCAATTTCACTGTGAAAGTATCTCCATGGGCTTCGCAGAACCTTCCAAGTATCATCAATGTAGCTGCTCTATTACTATGATAGCTAGCATTTTTAGGGCACATATCTGTGGCTTTTGTTTAATAGTTATAAGCTTCGTTGTAATCTTCCTTGGCATAGTGTGCATTTCCTTGTTGCTTCAAAGACTGTGCTTCAGTATTTTAAATTACAAACTGGCAAAGCCACCCTCCTTTTATTGAGGCGATCCTGCCTTTTTGTTCTTCTCCATCACTGTCCTGGCAAGCCGTCTTTGCTTCCTCTTCATGGAGCAGCCCTGGCTTGGTTGCCGCACCACATTGCACGATGGGGCAACTGACAGTTTCTTAAAAAGGAAATTATATCCCTGCCATATGACGCAGCAATTTCACTCCTAGATATTTACTTAAAGGAAAACAAAGTATGTATCTATACACACAAACTTGTAGATGAATATTTATAGCAGCTTTATTTATAACAGCAGAAACCTAGGGAAAGAAGGCTTCAATGTTTATGTTCAGGTGAGTGGATAAACAATTTTTGGTATGCCCATATAACAGAATACAAATCAATGCAAAAAGTGAACTATTGACTCACACAAAACATGGAAGAATCTCAAAATTATGCTGAGCGAAAAAAAATATATTTTTTCTCAGAATGCACACTATATTCCATGTATGTAAAATTCTAGAACACCAACTAATCTACAGTGTTAGAAAACAGATCAGTGGTTGCTTGGGGACTCAGAGGTATGGGGAGCAGGGAGAAGAAGGGGGTATTACCAACGGACATGAGGAAACTTATGATGCATATTTTCATTATCTTGATTATTATGCTGGGTGTATACAAATGTCAAAGCTTTTCAAGGTTTATAGTTTAATTATGTGCATTTTATTGTATGTCAATTTGGCCTCAATAAAGCTGTTAATAAAAATTTTGTCAAGCTTATGTTCCCCAGTAAATGAAATTTACTTCAAGTCACCAACAAAAAAACGTACAAGGTCCATTTTTCCTCTGTTCTGTGTTTACAACTGACAGTTAATATGAAAGACAGAATATCCAAAAATTCTATCTGCTGAGGGCCACAAATTATCAAGTCTCTTGTCAAGGGTGGCCAGCCACTGGTTAGTGGCTCAAGACACAAAATGCAGAACCAACACATTCAACTGACCATGATCATTTCTCCAGGGGTAATCTCAGTTCAAGTGTGCACTTCTGCCAGTCCAGACACTTGCTTCTTTATTATTATCCAAATGCTTGCACACATCTCACAAACTGGCACTAGTTCACCGATGATGATTTGGCCACTTTGGGAGAATTCCATATGTTTCCAAAATTGTCCATCTTACAGTGTTCTTAGAGCAAATGAAGTTTCTCTTCATTAGGACAGTAAAGTCCTAATGTTGAATGTACTATCTTTTTTGATTGGAATAAAGAAGCTTCTAAATAAAATTCTGATTCTCTAATAGCTTTAATTACAAGGAAAGCACCAAAAATCCATAGCTTATTACAGTCTGTCTTTTGATCCTGTGGCAAAGGCCTACCTTGCCTCACGGCTACAGCAGCCACTGCCAAATTCATGGCCGTGTCTGCTGGCACAATTCCAGGGGCTTTCTGGGAGCTCGTGCTACACAATTTTGGCCCTTAACTGAAAATACTCATTTCCAGCAAGCTGGTTTACTCCTGTAAGATCATCTTACCTCTTTGCAAATTACTAGCCATTATTATAACACTTTATACCTTGCTACTTCCACTCTCAGGAAAAGAAGAAATGCAAATAACTTGGGGTTACCTAATTCGTAACACCTCCCTAAAGTTAGATGCCACTTGGGCTAATTGAAATTTGGGGGAAGAAGCCTAAATTGAATGATTTTACCCTGAAACAATGTCTTAAAAATCCTAATTTGGCTAGGTTTATCCTGAATTAGAAGAATTAAATTTGTCATTACCAGGTAGAAATTTAGCATTTATGACAGAAATTAAATTTGGTTATAGAAAATTTTTAAAAATCTCTATTTCATGCACAATTAAGTCATGGACTGATCCATTTACAGCCACTAAAAAAGCATCCACCCCTACTAAGAGGAGGATCCAGCCTCCTGGTCTATCTCATTTGGGCAATGATGGAATGAATCATATAAGCTCCCAGACAAGGGTCTCAAGATAGAATTTAAAATAATTCCACTACAAGGATAAAGGAGATTATAGAATAGATTGGGACAGAAATAGGCATGCTAAGCCAGAATTCACACAGGAGTTCATTTGACTCTAAACCTATGCTCTTTTTTTTTTCTGATGAGATGGTTCAGAGTTTGCGTTTCAACTCACTAGCTTAGAGTCTGAACATTATTGCCTTTTATGTAAAAGAGGGATTATAGCGATCTTAAAGGGTGAGAGAGCCTTTGTAAAGGCCTGACACTAGCGTTTGACTCATTTTATTTAAAATTATAGCTATTTATGTAGCAGAATGTCAGGTGATGTTGTGGAGAAACTGAGGAACCAACCAAAAAAAAAAAAAAAAGGTTATATACCAAATGATCAGTTTTCTGGCCAGAGAGAATTTGTATTGAAATTGGCAAGAAAGAGGCAGCAGGATTTTTGAACTGCCTGTACATGATTAAGTGAAAGTCAGAGGGAGTCAGAAAAGAAATTATACTTGCTTTCACAGCTCCGTTCTACAGCATTCTTCCACCACAAAAAAGCTTGCAGGTGATTTGTTCAGACCAGTTCTAAACGCCTGCAGAGGTAACAGCCCCACCTTTTGGAGATTATTACTTCACCTAACTCTGATGGGAGACAAGCTAATAGGACTTCCCATTAAGAGTAGTTCTGGATACTAAATTTACTCATTTTCCTCTGTAGTCTGATTCCACTTCTTTTTATTTTCACCAATGTTCAGTGATCTTGCTTTGACTTATTGTTGCTGTTGACCTTGACTCATGGCTTCAGGTTATTCTATTCACCATCTACCTGTCCCTAGTTCTTCTTCGCCCCCTCCCTAAAAACTTCCAAAAAACCTTTCTGAGAGTATGTTTCTAAGTAACAGCCTTCCCTGTATGTTACAGCCTCTAAGATTATGAAGTCAACACCGACATGCTTCTTTTGAGACAGATTTCATCATCACAGCAGTGAAAGAAACACAAGATGCGTTTTAAGGGTGACTTTTTGAAAGATGAAGATGGCTAGGGAGAAGTCTGTTGGATGGAAGATGAGCCCATTTGGCAAAGGATTAAATGAAGCAGCAAGTTTGATAAATCTGTTCGAGGTTTAAGAATATTCAGACACCTTTTCTTCCCAAGAAAATCCCCACACATCTCTTTTGGAACAAAGGCTTCTCTACAATGGTTCCAAATGATTCAGACATAACTTCCTGCATCTGTCACCAAAGGGATTTCTTCACTTTTAGTAAGACCATTAGCTGGCTTGCCAAATTCTTCAGCATAACAAAATTATACGTCATTTCTCTCTTGGGTATGCTGAAATGGTGAAAATTGCCCAGAGAAAATAGAAACTCTGATAAATGATTTTCTTACTGTTTTCAAAAGACCCAAACCTTTCTCTTATTAAATTGAATCTTTCAGGATGAACACAATCAAGACCATGGGGAATATCTCTATATTCTTAGAACACTTTCCAGCTAAAGTTTACAGATGATATTTCTTCAGACACAGATTTAGAATTAAATTATTTTTCTGAAATAGAACTCTTCTCTCTGAGCTTATGCGGAATCAGCCAATTTGACTATGTGATTTACTTTGTCCTTTTTATATGAAGTCCAAGAATTAAAGATGAAAAAAAGAACAGGTAAATATTGCTGTAAAACAGACGTTCATGTCATAAACTTGATACTGAGAAATAAATCTCTCTCCTCATTAGTGAACTACTTGAGGTAGAGACTTCGTTGACAAAATGGCTGAAATGCAGGACCTCTAGTTTCCTCATAAATTATGTTTCCAAATGATTGGATAATATTGTCAACACAAATATGTGGTGTATATATTTCCAAATCAAGATGCTTTGTGGTTGTCCGTAAGATACAGATTGAGTTGCATGACACCACTGCTAGACAGGTATGTGAGAAAATATATTGAACACTGAAAAACAATATTTTCTTTTTTTTTTTTTGAGATGGAGTCTCACTCTGTCGCCCAGGCTGGAGTGCAGTGGCGTGATCTCGGCTCACCGCAACCTCAGCCTCCCGGGTTCAAGTAATTCTCCTTCCTCAGCCTCCTGAGTAGCTGGGGCTATAGGCGCATGCCACCACATTAGCTAATTTTTTATTTTTAGTAGAGACGGGGTTTCACCATGTTGGCCAGTCTGGTCTTGAACTCCTGACCTCAGGTGATTCACCAGCCTCGGCCTCCCAAAGTGCTGGGATTACAGGTGTGAGCCACCACACCTGGCCAAACATTTTACATTTGAATGTTCTTCCAATAGAAACACTTGACGACCTTTACTAGAATAACTCTTTATATACCAAAAGCATATCTGGGCTATGAAGACAAGTTCTTTGAATTATTCATTTCCTGAACACAATTGTATTAGTCTGCTTGTGGTACTATAATAAACTAGAGATTGGATGACTTAAATCAGAGACATTTACTTTACACAGTTTTGGAGGTTGGGAAATCCAAGATCAAGGTGCCAATAGATTCAGTGTCTGGTGAGGGTCTACTGCCTGGCTTGTAGTCAACTGCCTTCTCCCTGGGTCCTCACATGACAGAGAGTCAAAGTTCTTACTCTTCCACTTCTTAAAAAGCCATTAGGGCCGGGCATGGTGGCTCACGCCTATAATCCCAGCACTTTGGGAGGCCAAAGCGGGCGGATCATGAGGTCAGCAGATCGAGACCATCCTGGCTAACACAGTGAAACCCCATCTCTACTAAAAATACAAAAAATTAGGAGGGCGTGGCGGCAGGCGCCTATAGTCCCAGCTACTCGGGAGACTGAGGCAGGAGAATCGCTTGAACCCGGGAGGTGGAGGTTGCAGTGAGCTGAGATCGTGCTACTGCACTCCAGCCTGGATGACAGAATGAGACTCCGTCAAAAAAAAAAAAAGCCACTAATCGCGCTCTCATGACCTCGTCTAATCTTAATTACCTCCAAATCCTCACCAATAAATTCCATCATATTGGGAGTTAGAGCTTCAACATATGAATTGGGAGTAACGGGAGAGATAATGCAATTTAGTCCATAGCAATGATATGACAATATTTCATATCTCAACTGATATTTATACCCTTCTTTTCTAAAGTTCTATATCAGAAAAAAGAATTTCATGAAGAGGTCTAGAGATCGTTGACCTCAAATTCTGACCAGCTCTGCTGCTGGAACATCTGAGTTCTACCTTAGGGTGGACATTTGTTCTTTATGCCCAGGATATCCACTCTTCCTCATGTTGGTAACAATACCCCAATTTTGCTTTGGATGAACAACCGCATCCCCAGTTCATGTGCTTAGGAAAAGGTGACTCCTCTTTACTATGAGGTGGAGCCTACGCGAAAGAGCTCACCTCCACCCACCCAGGCCGCAGTCACTATGATTGTTTAAAGGATGGGATGAGCACATTGACCCAGTCTGAGCCAGAGAGAGAGAGTGTGGGAACCCCTAGAGTTATGAAGAAGCTGCAGGAGGCAATTCCCCCTCTGCAGAACTTGAAAGTAGAATAACGTAAATTTGAATAGCATTATGGACCACAGTGCAGCGCGTAGAAACGGACCCTAGTGGTATTCTCTAAGCACAGAATCCAGCAGTATCTAAAACTAGCTCTCTTCCTGGATGATTTCATTTCATCCAAAAGAGCATCAAATATTAAGTCACAGTTCAATTTTTAAATGGCTGCAATATTTAAAAAATCCTAATTGGCATTTAAGCTTCTCCACTATTTGAGAAGTAACATTTTATATCTTAATTAAATTATTATTAAAGACAAGTTTTTGGCTGGGCACGGTGGCTCACACCTGTAATCCCAGCACTTTGGGAGGCTGAGGTGGGCAGATCATGATGTCAGGAGATGGAGACCACCCTGGCTAACATGGCGAAACCTCATCTCTACTAAAAATACAAAAAATTAGCCAGGAGTGGTGGCACATACCTGTGGTCCCAGCTACTCAGGAGGCTGAGGCAGGAGAATCGCTTGAACCCAGGAGGCGGAGGTTGCAGTGAGCCGAGATGGCGCCACTGCACTCCAGTGTGGGAGAGAGAGTGAGACTCTGTCTCAAAAAAAAAAAAAAAATCCTGATTTCCATTTTTTTTTTTTTTTTTTGAGACAGAGTCTCGCTCTCTCGCCCAGGCTGGAGTGCAGTGGTGCGATCTCAGCTCACTGCAACCTCCGCCTCCTGGGTTCAAGTGATTCTCCTGCCTCAGCCACCCAAGTAGCTGACATTACAGGCATGATCCACCAGGTCCAGCTAACTTTGTATTTTTAATAGAGACGGGGTTTCATCATTTTGGTCAGGCTGGTCTCGAACTCCTGGCCTCAGGTGATCCACCCTCCTCGGCCTACCAAAGTTCTGGGATTACAGGCGTGAGCCACCCAGCCTGGCCTGAAGACAAGTTTTCAACAGGAACTTTCATTAATCTGAGAGAAAACAAAACAGCTTAAAGTTACAGAGAGGTACCTAAGTGTGCAATTTATAAGTTATATACATAACTATCAATTTTATAGTTAAATTGAAATGTATTAAATTCAAATATTTAATCTACATTTTCCTTAAAAAGAGCTAGAATGAAAGGTCTTGGATATAGAGAATAGGATCAATAATGAGCATAGATTTGGGGACACGGTTGCCTATGCTATGGCTTTTACAAGAGCACCATGAAAGTACAAATTCCAATTCTGACCAGCTGAGCTATTTTACTCAACTTTGCAGGCTTACAACAATCTCTCCTTATTGTATAGCTCCAAGGACTCTTCCCACGCAATAATTTATTTGAACAAACATTTATAGCTGGATGATGGTATCTACTCAGTCACCTGAAAAGGAATGGAGACTCAAGAGAGAATCTTCTGCCTGCAGTTCTTTAGAAACTATCCTGAGTAGCAAATCTCAATCCCGATCAACTGTTTGCTCTCTTTAATGTCTTAGGCATAGTTTCTTCAAATTGAACTCTGTGTAGAATCAATCTTATCCACAAAAAATAACTCTGTTGTTCCTCTAAGTTACAAATGCATACATTGGCTCTCTCCTCCTTTGAAAGTGTAGGACAGATTTCAGACTTCAGGTCTGGATTTCTCAATCTTTTACAAGGGGGAAAAAAACACAAAACACAACCATCTGACCACTGGACACTGTTTTATTTTTCCTTTCAGTCTCACGAAGTAGTCAAATTAATGTCATAATCATGTTGGTATTCACACATTTTTCCTGTGTTTTTTCCCATGTGTGGGATCTTGGTATAGAAACCAGCTTTTGAATTTTTTTTTTTCCAGCCAGTATCTAACATTCTGGCAGAATGAGAATGAATGAGTGACATTGTGACAGACAGAGTTTTAATTTTAAATGTTTTAGAACTTGAGTATATTTTAGTCTTTTCAACTTATATGTGTATATGTGCATGTGTAAAAGATATTATTCAGATCTTAGTTAAACATAAGTATTCTTCCTTCTGAATAGGAAGATGTTTTAGTTAGATATTTAGTTAGATATATATTGGTTGCATGTAACAGAAAAATGAACCTAAATTGGCCTAAACAAAAATGATATTTCTCCAAACATGGCTGGATCGAGGGCTCAAAAGCTGTCATCAAGCTGTCTTTTTACTCAGACTTCCCCTGTGCCGCTCTCTGTCTTTGGCTCTTCATGGAAGCAAAATAGGGCAGCTGCACTAGGCATTCCATTCCATGAGGCTTCTTGTTCAGCTGGGAAGCAGACCTTTTCCCAGAAATCAGCGAATGTCAGCATACCTGCTTGACTCAGATTGGGTGGCTGGACAATGTCTGAACCAATCAGAGAATGCAACGTAGAGATTGGTTCCACAAATTCCTGTTACCATAATGATGCACGGATGATAGGAAGCCAGAAAAACTACCTTCTTCTATGAAAAGTCCATTACAGGATGTAAGAGTTATCTTTCATTTTTTGACATACTTGTATTAAAATCTATGAGGGCAGTTGGAAAGCAGCTGCACTCATTATCTACTTATGGTCTGAAGATTCACCTTAGGATAAGCTATACTAAAATACTTTGAGACATATTTCAAATCTACAGAGACAATAAATTAAAAACTCCACTTAACAGGTCAGTTTATGGTGTAGGTATTGGTATATTTTGCAAATAATTCTCAGAATGTAATTATAACCAAAATTAGATTTGAGTAATACCCTACTTAACCCAGAAACTCAATTTGGAAACTTGAGTAGGAGGCATAGGGGAAATAACTTTTTCTGCTTTATTTTAGTTCTATTACTATACATGATGTTTGATAAGGACATGTTGACCTCTACTTGTCCCTTTTCTTAATAAACTTTGCCTTTCTTTTAGCTTAGTTCACCAGAAAGCAACATGTACTTATTATCTTAACTCTTCCCTGAAATGCCTTCGTGGAAGTTTAATATTATCCTCTCAGAATCCATCAAAGGTTAATGCAGGAAATGGCCATTCATAGACCTTTTTAAAAATTTTACCTTACTTTAAGCATGTGCAGAATGTGCAGGTTTGTTACATAGGTATACACGTGCCATAGTGGTTTGCTACACCTATCAACCTGTCATCTAGGTTTTAAGCCCTGCATGCATTAGGTATTTGTCCTAATGCTCTCCCTCCCCTCACCCCCAAACCCCCAACAGGCTCTGGTGTGTGTTTTTCCCTTTCTGTGCCCATGTGTTCTCATTTATCAACTCCCATTTATGAGTGAGAACATGCGGTGTTTGGTTTTCTGTTCCTGTGTTAGTGTACTGAGAATGATGGCTTCCAGCTTCATCCATGTCCTCGGAAAGGATATGATTTCATTCTTTTTTATGGCTGCATAGTATTCCATGGTGCATATGTGCCACATTTTCCTTATCCTTGTAGACCTTTTTGCACCAACCTAATATCTTCCATAAAACAAAATTTAAAGGTACTGCTTACTGCGCTATCAACTCCTTCTCTGCTCTGTATGAATCCCTACAAGGAATTCCTCCTGGAACAGAATTCCTACCTGGCACACAATGTTTGGAATACTGAGGGGTTTTGTTTGTTGTTTGTATGTTTCTTTTATAATATTTAACGGGACCTCTAGAACCCATTCTGTTTCCTTTTTGGTCTTGTCTACGAGGAAATTAAAATATATAGCTATATTGCTAAATTTATGTTAAATCTAAATCATATTTACATATAAATTACACTAATGATTCAACATCAGATTTTTTTTTTTTGAGACAGAGTCTGGCTCTGTTGCCCAGGCTAGAGTGTAGTGGAGTGATCTTGGCTCACTGCAACCTCCGCCTCCCCCATTCAAGCAATTCTGCCTCAGCCTCCCAAGTAGCTGGGAATACAGGTGACCACCACCACACCTGGCTAATTTCTTGTATTTTTCTTTTTTTTTTCCTTTTTTTTTTTTTTTTTTTTTGAGATAGGGTCTTGCTCTGTCACCAGACTGGCATGCAGTAGCGTGATCTCAGCTCACCACAACCTCTGAATCCCTGGTTCAAGCGATTCTCCCGCCTCAGCCTCCTGAGTTGCTGGGATTACAGGCACGCACCACCATTCCCAGCTAATTTTTATATTTTTAGTAGAGACAGGGTTTCACCATGTTGGCCAGGATAGTCTCAATCTTCTGACCTCATGATCAGCCCGCCTCAGCCTCCCAAAGTGCTGGGATTACAGGCATGAGCCACTGTGCCTGGCCTCAACATTAGAGTTCTGTAGTAATCGATTTTCTTCTCTTAAAAGCCTAACTATTGCCTTAATCTTTATATGAACTTATTTGTCTGATGTTTGAAAAATGTCTTAGTATGATAGTGGCCTCAAATTTTACTTGGAAGTAAAGGTATAATAATAAATTTTAAATATACATTAACTTCTGAATTTACACATAAAGTTGAAGAAAAGTTATGTACACAAATTTTTTATTGCTAAAGTGAAAAGTGTTGTGGAAATGGAGAGTACTGTGAAGGTTCACAAACCATAAAGCGTATGTTTAAACATTTTTCTTTTTTCTTTTTTCTTTTTCTTTTTTTTGAGATGGAGTCTTGCTCTGTCGCCCAGGCTGAAGTGCAGTGGTGCCATCTCGGCTCACTGCAAGCTCCGCCTCCTGGGTTCACGCCATTCTCCTGCCTCAGCCTCCTGAGTAGCTGGGACTACAGGCGCCCGCCACCACACCCGGCTAATTTCTTTTTGTATTTTTAGTAGAGACGGGGTTTCACTGTGTTAGCCAGGATGGTCTCGATCTCCCGACCTCGTGATCCGCCGGCCTTGGCCTCCCAAAGTGCTGAGATTACAGGCGTGAGCCACCGCACCCAGCTGGTTTAAACTTTTTTCTAAAAACTGATGAGGAAACACGACTCCCAATTAAGTAGTAATTAATAATAAGTGAGATAACCTGAAATGAAATACCACACTATCTCTTGATGTTGGTACTCTAAATTTTGCTCCAATGTATTCATTGCTTAATTTATATTGTGTCTATACTGCCATCCAAACAAAAAACAAAAAAACAAAACAACAACAACAACAAAACCACTTTTAACACACATTGAGCTGTTAGGTCATTTATTCATTCTATTTATTCAGTCACTAATTCATTCATTCAACAGATATTTATTGAGCACCCACTAGGTGTTAGGCACTAAATTTTCAACCCTATTCTTATGAAACTAACAGCCAAATGAAGGAGACAGGCATCAAATAAACGAAAAAGTCAGCTAACTATATAGTGATAAAATAATAAGTGCTATGCAGAATTCAAAAACAGAGTGTTAGGGGAACACGGGAGATCACTGATATCAGAGCATCAGAGAAAGCAACTCTGAGGAATTTGACATTTAGGCTGAATTCTGAAAGAATGATGAGAGTTAGCCAAAATAAGGAGGTCAAGAGAGAGAAACTTCCAAGCTGAGGAAAAAGTCGGAAGAGCCAGAGGCAAGAAAGAGGCTGGCACATTTAAGGAACTGAAAGGCCAGTATGGCTGGAGCTTGAAGAGTGAGGGGGAGGTGGCAGAAGCATGGTCCAGAAATGAACACCTGTTTAAACCGCCAGATCAGTCAAATAAAGCCAACAGCGGGGCAGACAGTATAGGGGCTGAAAAGGTTAACAAGAAAAAAGCATAACAAATGTGTTTTTTTGTTTTTTGAGACAGAGTCTCACTCTGTCGCCTAGGCCAGAGTGCAGTGGCACGATCTCGGCTCACTACAACCTCCACCTCCCAGGTTCAAGCAATTCTCCTGCCTCAGCCTCCCAAGTAGCTGGGACTACAGGCGCACACCACCACGCCCAGCTAATTTTTGTATTTTTAGTAGAGACAGGGTTTCACCATGTTGGCCAGGATGTTCTCGATCTCTTGACCTTGTGATCCGCCCCGCTTGGCCTCCCAAAGTGCTGAGATTACAGGCGTGAGCCACCACGCCCGTCCAACAAATGTGTTTGATCACAGTTTTAGGTAACATGAGAGCCTTTGGAATGAAGACCCAAAAATACAGGGGAAAATATCAATTTTTATGCTTAGGTTAAACAAAGAATGGACAGCTATGTAGAAATGTGATCGGGCCAAAGGTTTTCCCCCAAGGACTAACGTGATAGACTGAGGAGGAAACCCAGGAAGTGTGGGCTCATATTCTTGGCTTCTCTGTGTGCCATTCCTTTCTCCAGGAATGGGGGCAGGACCCCTCTGGAATGAGGGTCTTAATTTGTTTATGGCCAGCTATTACACAGAAAGCTGGGAGAAGGTTAGAGTAACATTTTTGGTCTTTATGCTTGCTTTGGGGAAAGGGAGTTCTGGTTTCTATGACCCACCATGGGGGAGAGAAATTCTAGTTTCTTCTAGTTTCTATGACTTGCCTCAGGGGACTATAAAGGATGAGAGACAGGAGGGCAGGAGAAGGTCAGAGAGAAACTTTGCTTCTGAGGCCTTCGTTCTGGGGTATAATTTTCTGAGCCCCAACAAGAGCAACAGATATGGTGAAGCAATTACCCTTAGACTCTCACTGTTAAACTATTGCATGAGAAATTAATATATGTGCATATGGTGCTGATTTTTTTAAAAGTGCATTTTATTGTGAGAAAAAAATACATGACTGCTTGCTGCTAATTTATGGTGAGTTATTCCCTCATCAGTCAACAATCATTTATTGAGCACCTGCTTGGTACTGGTGCTGGGTATACAAAGATGAATAGGAGAGACACCTCTTTTGCCTTCATGCAACCTAAAGTCTAGGTTAGATGAAGACAAACAAGCAGGCAAACACCTGGGACTTATTCACAGCTCAGCAGTAGTGGAGGCAGCCGTTCCACAGAGGAAGGAGGGGAGTAACCAATGGCAGACAGTGGCCACAGCAGTGTGGGTAAAGCAGCTGTGAAGAATGAGCAGGAATCCAAGACCCCATAGCACAGGAAATATTCCCCAGCCAAGAGACACAGACCCAGGCTGACCCCCCTCACTATTTAGCCAGGTGTCAGGGAGGAGCTGTTTTGGTGTTACCATGTCAGGGTTGTCAGGAGCAATTCTGTCCTAATTCTTGATTATCCAGGGATGATTGATTTCATTTCCCTCATAAAATGAAGGCACTACTGACTTGGAGAAACATGCAGCTTTAGAGGTTGGGTTTTTAAAAGAAAACGATTTATGTTTTCTAACTAGAATGTAAAATATTTGACAAATGTCAAATTATTTGACTCTATGTTTGCATTTGAGAAAAATTGCAGCCATCAGCAGGCATAAAATTAACACCCCTTGAAAAATGAGGAAGTAACTATTACAGTTAGTAAATTGTTTCCCTCTCTGACCACAGAAGCAGAGGCTGGCAACAAATTTGATTTACAGAGTAAATATAATTCCTACAGTTGGGCTGAGCCTGTTGTTTTCTTAAAGGAAATATATTTTAGGTTGCTCTATGAAAAACACACATTAGCATTTTTCAGAACATTAGGAACCAAACACAGTATCATAAAAACATAGAAAAAAAGGAACTAATTTTATCTTCTAGTCACAGATGATGTTCAGAATCAAAATGACATGTGACTAATAGTCAGATATCAAATTAGTGGAGCTCTGCTCTTAACCACATATTACTCCATATCTGTTTCTTTATGGCAGCAAAAGACAAGACTCCAGCAGTGGTTCAGCTGTATAATGGGAATATGAATATTCCAGAACTTTCTGTATGCCAGGTGATTGAGAACAACAGTCTCTTAATATTACCTGGCTTTTAAAAGTATTGGCATACATTTGAACTAAAGATTTTTTTAAAAAATAAAATCTGTCCAGGTGCAGTGGCTCACGCCTGTAATCCCAGCACTTTGGGAGGCCGAGGTGGGAGGATCACGAGGTCAGGAGATTGAGACCATCCTAGCTAACATGGTGAAACCCCGTCTCTACTAAAAATACAAAAAATTAGCCAGGCGTGGTGGCACGTGCCTGTAGTCCCAGCTACTTGGGAGGCTGAGGCAGGAGAATGGCATGAACCCAGGAGGCGGAGCTTGCAGTGAGCCAAGGTGGTGCCACTGCACTCGAGCCTGGGTGACAGAGCAAGACTCCGTCCCCCCCAAAAAATAAATAAATAAAAAATGAAATAAAAGGTAATCTCTTAAAAAAAATTATTCTGCATTCAAGTTAAAACCATTGAATGTAGTCCCACGGGCCCTTGTCCTGGGAAAGCCACTGTTCAATCAGCAGCTGTTTATGGGAGATTGAACAGGGAGAAAAAACTAACAAAAATTCCTGCCCCCATGCAACATACAGGAGAGAGGAGAAGACACAGAATAAACAAGGAAATAAAACTTTCCTTTCCAGAAACAATAACAGACCAAAAAAAAAAAAAAAAAAAACGGGGGGATTTTGTAAAATGTCATCCTGAACTAGTCACAGTTAAAAAAAAAAATTAAATGAAAAAAATATATATGTATGTATATATATATACACACACATTGAATACACTCCACAAAAGAGGAGGCTCCTCTCTGTCCCCAGAGCTTGGAAGGAAGCTAGAAGCTTCCGGCAGAAGATTCTGAAAACAAAGCTAAGCTCAAGCATTAATGGGCTGCATGTTTAACATTTGGTGCTAGAATAAGGTAGTCAAAGATGGGAATCATAAAACAATGTCAGTATCCCAGAACACTTTTCCAAGTCAAAGTGGAGTTGAAACAGTTAAACAGACAGTCATCTGAATAAACAGGAACCTGTTTCTATGGCGATGACAATGGGGGAGGGGCGTGACTCCTATCTACCTTCCCTGCGCAAAGCTTCTGGGGGCGTGTTTTGCTTTATGGGACCCTTTCCAAACCCTGACCACAGCAGAAAGGACGGGGATGAGCACTGACTGGAGCAATCTGTTGACTGTCCCCTGTTGTAAACCACAGCTGCCTAATTTTGAGAAACAGGGGCCGAGCCATCAGATGTAGGGGAATGGAAGCTGATGCCAACGGAAGCCCGGAGGTAAACTAGGGCCCCGGAAAAACGAAGAGGAAACAGAAATTATGAGTAAGCAGCGGAAGTTGGTAAGTAAGCCTAGAGAAGACAATGCAGCAGATGTACAGAGAGAAACCACGTGCCTCGTGATTCTTGGTGACTTTCCTGCTTGTCCCCAGCCCAGGTCCACATGTTTCTTTATTATTATATAAGTAAATAAAAAAACTAAACAAGCCTGGGCGCGGTGGCTCACGCCTGTAATCCCAGCACTCTGGGAGGCCGAGGCGGGCGGATCACGAGGTCAGGAGATCGAGACCATCCTGGCTAATACTGTGAAACCCCCGTCTCTACTAAAAATACAAAAAATTAGCTGGGCGTGGTGGCACGCACCTGTAGTCCCAGTTACTCGGGAGGCTGAGGCAGGAGAATTGCTTGAACTCGGGAGGCGGAGATTGCAGTGAGCCTTGATCATGCCATTGCACTCCAGCCTAGGCGACAGAGCGAGACTCCGTTTCAAAAAAAAAAAAAAAAAACTAAACAAATTCTTTTTCTTGGGGTCACTATAATACATCTCTAGAGGTTTCTTGCAAACAAAAGAGCCCAAACCACACACTGAGCCCCATCCCTTCTTCATCTCGTGCAATGTCAACACCAACAAAATGATTTCCTATGTATTTAAGGAAGGATAATCATAGTCACTGGTCCAAAATGAAACTTCTTACTGAAATGACAATTGAAATTATTCCTAGTCAGTTCACAGAAATGCTAGTTTCTTATTTTAAAATGAGGACAGATCCAAAAGAGATAAAGGGATTTAGGGAAATGGACATTTAGAAAATTGATAGCCCCATGGGCCTCTGTCCTGGGGAAGCCACTATTCAATTAGCATCTGTTTATGGGGGATTCAACAGCAGGGAAAACCCAGCGAAAATGCCTGCCCCCATGCAACATACAGGCAAGAGGAGGAGACAAAGAATAAACACAGCAAATAAGTAAAATGTACAGAAAATGTGCAGTGTGTTTTTTCTACAGAAAAAGAAGGAACAAGGGGGATATAAAGCTGGGCTGGGGAGGCATCGATATTTTAGGGGAGTGGCCGGGAAGGCAGTTGTTACTAAGATAATTTGGATGAGAGGTGGTTGAACTCTGCACCGTATTGAGGATAGAACTAATGGGACTTTTGTGTTGGATCAGATGTGGGATGGAAAAGGAAGAGAGGAGTCAGGCATGAGTCCAAATTTTTGATCTGAGTAACTAAAGGATGGAGTTGCCATTTTCTATAATGGGGAAGACTGGAGGAGGAATTTCTTTAGAAGGGAGGTGGGGCCTAATGGGAGGTGTTTAGTTCATGAAGGCTCTGCTTTTATGAATGGATTAATAATGGATTAATGTCACTATGGAAAGGGCTGGCAGGAGTGGGTTCACTCTCTTCTGCTCTTCTGCCAGTGTGAGGACACAACACTTGTCCCCCCAACCCTTGCCCTTCTACCTTCTGCCATGTGAGGATGCAACAAGAAAGCCCTCATCAGATGCCAGGGTGTTGATCTTGATCTTCTCAGCCTCCAGGACGGTGTGAAATAAATGCCTGTTCTTTATAAATTACCCACTCTGTGGTATTCTGTTATAGCAGTGCAACCCAGCAGTGATAATGCCGAAGCAGAGATGTCAATAGGCTGTGAAGTCAGGCATGGTGGTGCACCTGTAGTCGCAGCTCAGAAGGATGAAGTGGGACGATTGCTGGAGGCCAGGAGTGCAAGGCTTTAATGTGCTATGATGGTGCCTGTGAATAGCTACTGCACTCCAGCCTGGGCAACATAGTAAAACTCTGCCTATCTTAAAAAAAAAAAAATTAATGAATCTGTAGTTCAAGAGAGTAGTCTGAGAGGCTGGGCGCAGTGGCTCATGCCTGTAATCCCAGCACTTTGGGAGACCGAGGCAGGCGGATCACGAGGTCAGGAGATCGAGACCATCCTGGCTAACACAATGAAACCCTGTCTCTACTAAAAATACAAAAAAATTAGCCAGGCGTGGTGGTGGGAAACTGTAGTCCCAGCTACTTGAGAGGTTGAGGCAGGAGAATGGTGTGAACCCGGGAGGTGGAGCTTGCAGTGGGCCAAGATTGTGCCACTGCACTCCAGCCTGGGCAACAGACTCCATCTCAAAAAAAAAAAAAAAAAAAAAAGAGAGAGTAGTCTGGGCTAGAGACATAAATGTAAAAGTTTTCAGAAGTCTCTGTATATGAAGTCTCCATAGATTAAAAAAAAAAAAAAAAAGGAGAGCTCAGTCATAGCCCATGTGGGCTGCTATAACAAAGTACCATAGACTGGGTATTTTATAAACAACTGAAATGTACTTCTTATAGTTCTGGAGGCCGGGAGACCCAAGATCAAGACATCAGCAGATTCAGTATCTGGTCAGAGCCCATTTTCTGATTCACAGATGGTGACTTCTCACTTTATCTTCATATGGTAGAAGGCACAAGGCAACTCTCTGGAGCCTCTTTTGTAAGGGCACGAATCCCATTCATGAAGGCTCTACCTTCATGACCCATTCACCTCCAAAAGGCCCCATCTCCTAATGCCATCATCTTGGGGGTTAGAATTACAACACCTGAATTTTGTAGGGGACACCAACATTCAGACAATAGCAAGGTCCAGTGACGGAACCCCGGGGCACTTCTACACTGACAGGCTAGTATCAGGATTCAATCCATTGGATAAGGTAGAAAACCCAAATAATAGTGTCTGAAAGAACATGGATGTCTGGAGGTGAGTATTTCAGGCCTAGCAAGCAGGTGCATGACATTAACAGGGATCTAGGTTCCTTTTACTTCTCTGCTGTGCTGTCCCAAGCCCATGGCTTTCATCTTCACAGTTGCCTTAGAGTGGAATATGGCCACTGTAGCTCTAACAAATACATCTGCTTCAGGTAAGAAGAAGGAGAAAGTGGGAAAGGGCAGAAGAGCTTTCTTAGAAGTGTTACCCAATGACTTGTGCCTATGTAGCATGGGAGAGATATAGACTCTGAAGTCACCTTGTTGAGTGAGAATCATGTCTGTACCAGTGCAGAGCTAGAAAGTCTTGAGCAAGTTGATAACTTGTCTCTGCCACAGATTTGTCTTTTGAAAATGGGAACAATCACACTGCTCACCTCTAGGTTGGTAAAAAAAAAAAATGAGATTATATGCTTAGAAAATTTTCTGCCTACAGAAAATTCCCCAAAAGTGGAGTTTTACAAATTAAGTAAATGATAATCGAAATAAAAAGGAACCCATTTGATTTCCAGTGTCTCGTCTCCAACCCAGTCCCATGAATTTGGATTTTTGGTGATGGTAATATTTTAGTGAAGGAAACTTGAGTTCACTGGCAACAGTTGTGTTCCTCTAGGACTGAAAATATCAACTCATAACGAGCTAGCAAGGAAGGCAATTGTCTCACTGATTTTGTAAATATTCCTTGTGGTTTCCAGAAATTATTTGGAAACAGAAACCTAAAGGAAGAATAGATTAGTGCTCAAAATCGATAATATGAGTAAGAATATAATGTAATTGTCTACTCCCAAATTGATGAATTAGGACCTATGTGTCATACAAAATTTTAGAAAACATATAGGCTTAGTCACCACTTAGAAGTTACTTAAGTAACTTTTATTTAAGGGAAAGAGAAGTTAGAAACCAGGCACTAATATTTATTTTAAAGAGTTAATAATTTAATACCACATTGGATTTTAATAACTTTAACAAATTATAATTTAAAACAAGATATAAAATACATATTCAATAACCACTACAAATTAAGAGATATTTCAGTTATTTATATATATATGGCCATAAGCTAAATATTTATAAAGTAGTAGAAATGTATTTTTAATAACTTTTTTTTTACTTTTTATCCACTTCACTATGCTGTGTATTGCTAATCCTTTCTAAATGTCTCATTTCCTGTTGTAATTGTTAAATACTATAAATAGTCATTTATTAATTCATGTGAAATACTCATTTAAAAGGATTTACTTGTTCTCATGTTGCTCCTTTTACTTATTTATTTTTTTAGAGACAGGGTCTCACTCTGCCACCCAGGCTGGAGTGCAGATGGCACAATCATGGCTCACTGTAGCTTTGACCTCCCAGGCTCAAGTGATCCTCCTGCCTCAGCCTCCCAAATAGCTGGTACACAGGTACATGCCACCATGCCCAGCTAATTTTTGAATTTTTTTTTGTAGAGATGGGTTCTCCCTATGTTGCCCAGGATGGTCTCAGACTTCTGAGCTCAGCCTCCCAAAGTGCTGGGGTGTGGTATAAACCACCACAGCTAGCCTTATATTGCTCCTTTAACAAAGGAGGTGTGGTCATGCCACTGCACTCCAACCTGAGTGACAGAATGAGACCCTGTCTCAAAAAAAAAAGAAAGAAAGGAAGGATGGGTGCAGTGGCTCACACCTATAATCCCAGAACTTGAGGAGGCCAAAGCAGGCAGATCGCTTGAGCTCAGGACTTTGAGACCAGCCTGAGCAACATGGCAAAACCACATCTCTGCAAAAAAAAAAAAAAAAAAATTTTAAAGGGAGAAAGACATTGGCTGGGTGTGGTGCTCATGCCTGTAATCCCAGCACTTTAGGAGGCCGAGGCGGGCAGATCACGAGGTCAGGAGTTCGAGACCAGCCTGGCCAACATGGTAAAACCCCGTCTCTACTGAAAATACAAAACATTAGCCGGGCATGATGGTGCGTGCCTGTAGTCCCAGCTACTTGGAGGGCTGAGGCAGGAGAATCTCTTGAACCCAGCAGGCTGAGGTTGCAGTGAGCTGAGATCGCGCCATTGCACTCCAGCCTGGGTGACAGAGCAAGACTCCATCTCAAAAAAAAAAAAAAAAAAAAAGGAAGGAAGACAATCTAATATCCTGAACAAAGCTTTAATCTCTTAAACTCAAAAAAAGGCTAACTACCATTTGTGAATTCATCATTTTAGTTTATTCATTTATATCAACTAATATTTATAGAGATTGCTACATCAATCAATTTTAATGTGGATTTATTGGCAACAAATACACTCATATTTTGTCTGGAAAAAATGTCTTTACCTTCAGATGTTTGCACTGCTTATAGAATTCTAAGTTGGTTAGTATGCTAAAAATATCAGTCCATTGTCTTCCATTGTCATCTAGCTTTCATCAGTTTGTTTCTGCTTGGAAATAATGTGTTTTGTCCTCTGGATGCTTTTAACATTTTCTCTTTGTCTTTGGTTTTAAGCAGTTTTACCAAGGTACACACCTTGGTACCTTGATGTGCTTGGGTTTTATAGAGATTCTTGAATGTTTGACTTGATATCTTGTGTCAGTTTTGGAAGCTTCTCAGCCAGTATCCCTTCAATTATTGTTTATCTCTCATTCTCTTTCTCGTTTCCTTTTGGGGATCTAATTACACATACGTAAGAATTATCACCACTTTTCATATATCTCTTCTTCTCTTATATTTTTCATCTTTTTAATTTCATATTTCTTATTTAGCAGTTCCATAATCCTTTCTTTTCTTTTTTTTTTTTTTTTTTTGAGACAGAGTCTCACTCTGTCACTCAGGCTGGAGTGCAGTGGCGTGATCTTGGCTCACTGCAAGCTCTGCCTCCCAGGTTCACGCCATTCTCCTGCCTCAGCCTCCCAAGTAGCTGGGACTACAGGCACCCGCCACCACCCCCAGCTAATTTTTTGTATTTTTTAGTAGGGACGGGGTTTCACTGTGTTAGCCAGGATGGTCTCGATCTCCTGACCTCGTGATCCATCTGCCTCGGCCTCCCAAAGTGTGGGATTACAGGCGTGAGCCACCGTGCCCGGCCCCATAATCCTTTCTTTTACTGTCTAATATGCTGTTTAGATCATCTGATGAGATCTTTTCTTCTGTTTTTTAAATTTTTTAAAAAATTCTCACAATGTTGCCCAGGCTGGTCTCAAATTCCTGGCCTCAAGTGATCCTGTTGCCTCAGTCATCTGATGAGATCTTAATTTTGATTATTTGTATTTCTCAACTATAACTTTCATTGGATCATTTTTATAGATTCCAGTTCTGTGGCAAAATTTTATATTTATAAATCTATTTTCTTAACTCTATTATTACCATTAAAAAGCCTCTGTCTTGGCCGGGCATGGTGGCTCACGCCTGTAATCCCAGCACTTTGGGAGGCCGAGGCGGGAAGGTCAGGAGATCGAGATCATCCTGGCTAACACGGTGAAACCCTGTCTCTACTAAAAATACAAAAAATTAGCTGGGCGTGGTGGCGGGCGCCTGTAGTCCCAGCTACTCGGGATGCTGAGGCAGGAGAATGGCATGAACCTGGGAGGCGGAGGTTGCAGTGAGCCGAGATTGCGCCACTGCACTCTAGCCTGGGCCACAGAGCGAGACTCCGTTTCAATAAAAAAAAAAAAAACCTCTGTCTTTATAACTCTAATATATAGGCCATCTATTGTTTCTGCTTTAGTATTTGCCCATTTTTTTTCCTGTCTCTTGGGATGTCTGGTAATTTTTTACTTAATGCCAATCATTGTGTATGATGAGTTACAAGATCACTGGATAATATCTTCTTTTAGAGATGACTTTTTTTTTCTAAAAGACAGAGAAGCTACACATCTTGATCCAATCAGTGACTGAACTAACTAAAATATAAGAGGTCCTTGGAAATGTCTGAACTCAATTTTTGTCTCTCTCAAACACTGTGAAACTATCTCAAGTTCTGCTTGATTTCTCAGCCTCTTAGCTTCCACTTTCTGCTTTATCGCTTATATTCTCACACTGGAACCTCAGGAATAATCAGATTCCCCGAGGGAAAAAAAGAGTTGCAGAATATCCAACCCACTTTTCTGCAATTCCCTTTTCTCCAGTCTTGGATCCTCAAGTACATGACTAGTATTGAACTCCAACCTTTGCCTCCCCAGCCTTGTGAGCCTTAACTGTTCTAGGCCTTTCCTTCTGCTTTTCCTCTCACCTGGGCCACTTACATATTGAAAAATGGCTTGAAAGGACAACCCACAAAGAATGTGAGGTTTACCTCAATGCATTTCCCCTGACTCCAGAATTTGTACCATTAATTGCAGCAGTCTTAGTTGTTCTCAGATGTCTCCAAAAGCTGTTTTTTAAAAAATACTTTTTACAGGCTTTTTTGTTATTCTTGTGTTAAAGAAAAGATTGTTCAATGATACTTGTTAAAGCACAGTAAGGAAGACTTTATTCAAGATCAGCAACATATGTTTAGGGACCACTGCAACAGGGTCTTGTAGTATGAAAGATTGGGCTCAATTCCAAATACAGCCTGGGCAAGTGGGAATTTATAGCTAAGAAATAGGGTAGAGGGTCTGTGATAAGAAAAAAAAAATTACTAGCAGAAAACATCAGGGGTAAGGGAATTCTGACTAAACCAACCTAACAGGATTCTTGCTGAAGACAGGCCAGGGTGATCAAACATCACCTGTGGTGGGAGGGGAGGGATAAGAAACCTGATCATATATCAAAGGTGATCAGATATTAAAGGTGGGGGTTCTTGGTAAAATGACTTAATAGTGTTCTTTTCTAAAACTGGATTTTATAAGGAAGTGCACAGGTAGGCCTAAGAGAAGGTTCAGGACCCTGACTAAAGCTTAGCCAAGCAAAGAATCTTTGTCCCTTGTCAGAAGAGAGGGCTTAGGCCGATATAACCTACTGCCTCACAGATAGAAGTGGAAATTTTCTAACAAGATTTTTACATTCTTCTCTGTATATTCTTACCAAATATTTTTTCTCCCTGTCATTTTTTACTTATTATTTAAACTTAATGAAGTTTTACTATTATTACTATATTATATAATTTAGTTTTCACATTTCTTATTTATTGAAATCTGTATCATTTTAAATTCTGTATCTTTTTGGCTTGTAACTTCATAATCCAAATTCTCTTTATAAGTTCTCTGTGTCTAAAATAACATCCATTTTAAGTCTGTTGATTAAATGGCTTTATTTCTAAATTTATAAGAAAGTAATTGTGATTTTTTAAAAAGCTGGCCCACATACATTTTATTCATCTCAGCATAAATTATTTTTCTTCTATCATTTGCTTTATTCTCATGAAGAATTTTAAACTCCCTTGTCTGAATATTCATCCTTGCCTCTCACAATTTTTATAATATATTCTACTTAAAGGGAATCTGAAACTCAAACTTGCCTGGGATATTATAAATATTCTATTTGTGTGAACTTTGTATTCAAATAATTGTTTCTTTATTACAACATTCATATGAGTACTATTCGCAGCCAGAGGTCTAACAAATAATTACATGTTTGCAGATTTCATTCAAAGAATGCAGAGATACATGAATTTTACTCATAACTTACTCTCTTTTATGTCAGGAACAAATGGAGGAAAAAACAATGTAACTGCCCAATGGGTTCACCTTGCCTGCTGCCTAGACAGAGCCGATTTATCAAGACAGGGCAATTGCAATGGCCAAAGAGTAATTCACGCAGAGCCAGCTGTGGGGGAGACTGGAGTTTTATTATTACTCAAATCAGTCTCCCTGAGCAATTAGGGATCAGAGTTTTTAAAGATAATTTGGTGGGTAGGGGCTTAGGAAGTGGGGAGTATGGATTGGTCAGGTTGGAGATGGAATCATAGGGGGTCAAAATGAGGTTTTCTCGCTGTCTTCTGTTCCTGGGTGGGATGGCAGAACTAGTTGAGCCAGATCACCAGTCCAGGTGGTGCCGGCTGATCCATGGAGTTCAGGGCCTGCAAAATATCTCAGGCACTGATCTTAGGTCCCCAGGAACAATTTGGGGGGTTCAGACTTTTGGAACCAAGGGCTGCATGACCCCTACGTTGTAATTTCTAATCTTGTAGCTAATTTGTTTGTTCTGCAAAGACAGACTGGACCCCAGGCAAGAAGGGGGTCTTTTCGGGAAAGGGCTGTTAGCAATTTCGTTTCAGAGTCAAACCACAAACTGAATTCCTTCCCAAAGTTAGTTCGCCCTACGCCCAGGAATGAACAAGGACAACTTGAGGATTAGAAGCAAGATGGAGTTGGTTAGGTCTGATTTCTTTCACTGTCATAATTTCCTCAGTTATAATTTTGCAAAGGCGGTTTCAGAACTACTTAGTATTGTTCCAGATACAAGTAATCACTGTCAATGGAAAAGAGGCAACTCTGTGAAATATTTCAAGGGATTTATTCCAAGCCAAATCTAAGTGACCAAGGCCCAAGGCACAGTCTCAAGAGGTCCTGAGAACGTGTGGTCAAGGTGGTTGGATTACAGCTTGGTTTTATGCGATGTAGGGAGATAGAAGATAGCCATCAGTGCATGTAAGGTAGACATTGGCTTCGTCTGGAAAGGCAGGATAACTTGAAGCAGGAGCTTATAGGTCATACATGCATTCAAAGATTTCTTAATTGGCAGTTGGTTGAAAGGGTTAAGCTTTGCTTGAAGAGTGTAAGTCAGCAGAAAGAAATGTTTGTAGTTAAGACAAGCAGGGCGTTGTGGAAGCCAAGGTTCTTGTTACATAGATGAAACTTCCAGGTCATAGGCTTCAGAGGAATATATGGTAAATGTCTCTTATCAGACTCTAAAAGGTCCCAGAGTCTTAGTTAAATCTCTTCTGTATCAGGAAAAGACCTGGAAAAGGAAGGAGACTCTCTACAGAATGTAGATTTTCCCCACAAGAGATAGCTTTGCAGGGCTATTTCAAAATATGTCTAAGCAATCTATTTTGGGGTAAAATGCTTTGATTTCTTTCAGGGCCTGCCATCTGTCACATGATGCTATACTCGGGTCAGGTTGGAATTTGGTATCTTATTGCTACAAGGAGTCTTCTTTGTCAGTCTTAAGATCTCTGTTTTCATGTTAATGCTGGTCGGCTGTGCCTGAATTCCAAAGGGAGGAGAGCAGAAAGAGGCAGGCCTGGACTCCCTCTTTCCATCATGGCCTGAGCTAGTTTTAGTTTTTCAGGTTTTCTTTGGAATGCCCTTGGCTGGGAGGATGGTTCATTCAGTCGGTTGGGGGGCTTAGAATTTTATTTTTGGTTTACATCACAAAGTTTGAGATCCTATTTTGTGAAAAAAATAAAATCTTATAAATGAATACTGGGGCTGCCTGCCACAGGGTGACTTAAAAAAAAATATAGCAGCTCAATTGATAATTAAAATTTACCTTCCCAGCATAAACTTTCTAATAGCAAGCTGCCCTCAGTTGTTTCTGAAAGCACACAGAGCTCTTTCTCACAGATGTTCAACAATACCTCCTGCACCTGGTTCTTTGCCCCAAACTCCTGGTCAGGGTACTCTTTTCTTGTCTCCTCACCTGATACACATTCTGAAATTGCTGTCATGCAAGAGGAGCTAAACTCTGTAGGGGAGGAAACTTTTTTTTTTTCTTCCTGCCATCCTAGGTTCCTGGCTAAAGTCCATGTAACAAAAGACAGATTAAAAAGAGAAAGACAGGCCGGGCGCAGCGGCTCACGCCTGTAATCCCAACACTTTGGGAGGCCGAGATGGGTGGATCACAAGATCAGGAGATCGAGACCATCCTGGCTAACACAGTGAAACCTTGTCTTTACTAAAAATACAAAAAATTAGCCGGGCATGGTGGCACGTGCCTGTAGTCCCAGCTACTCGGGAGGCTGAGGCAGGAGAATGGCGTGAACCCGGGAGGCAGAGCTTGCAGCGAGCCGAGATCGCGCCACTGCACTCCAGCCTGGGCAACAGAGCGAGACTCCATCTCAAAAAAAAAAAAAGAGAGAAAGACAAATAGAAGTTTATTAACACTTACATCACATAAATATACATTAGAGAAACTCAGGGATGAGTAACTGAAAGAGGTGGCTAGAATTTGGGCTTCAATACCATCTTCAGTTAAAACAAATAGTGTGCGAGAGGCAAGTTATTGGAAGGTGACCAGGAAAAGTATAGTAAACAAGGGTAAGATTTGTTGTGCAGATTTCAGTCAGTGCCTTCTTCACAGATATGAGTCTTTAAGGACTTACAGTCATCCTCTCCTCAGTACAGAGGGAGAAACCCTCACATGGATATTTCCTTTATAAAATATAAATTATCCTTACAAAAGGGTAACATACTGTTTTCAGAGCTTCTCCTGCGTATGCTATATAATCAGCTTAAAATAATCCTTATCCAAGGGATGTTTTGGGGTTCATATTCAAGTCTCCTACAACTCTAAGGATGATGGCCATTGCTAACTCCACTCAGGCCTAGGGGTCAGCCTCTTCCCCTCAGTCTATATCATGCAGCTAAGTTCAAACTGTAGCACTTAATAAAATTATACTGTCATTTTTGAGGCAAGGTACCCAAATGGAAAGGCATCTTGCAAACACTACGAGAGGTGGCAACCCTCACAGTTTAATCTCCACTTAACTTCAGAATCCTCATAGGGTTGCCCCCAGCCAGCTTCAACAGAGTAAGGGTCATGTTATTCCAACTAACAGAAATTATTTTTTTGACTATAACTGTGCCTAACAGTCCAGATCACCTAAGACAGCTTAAGATTAAAAAAGAGATTGATTTTTTTTACCTTTCCTCAAGTCTAATGTCCTAAGATTGGCTCTTCTTATTCAAGGAGAAGAGGTGTCTCCTTCACAGGAAAGCCTACCCCTACCCATTGGAGTGTCATCTTGCATCATGATGGCATCAAAACTATGACACCAAAACATAATAGTGTAGTGTTCATCATCTTGGATTATTCACTCTTAACTCATATAGGATATAGGACATATTATGGACTGAATGTTTGTGTACCTCCAACATTCGTATGTTGAAATCCTAAGCCCCAGTGACATGGTATTAGGAGGTGGGGCCTTTGGGAAGTGATTAGGTCATGAGGGTATGAGACTAGTGCCTTTATAAGGAGAGAGACTAGAGTTCAGTCTCTCTATCATGTAATACACCATTTGCAAACCAGGAAGAGAGCTTTCAACAAGAACCTGGCCATCCTAGCCCCCCTGCTCTCGGATTTCCAGAACTGAGAGTAATAAATGTTTGTTGTTTAAGCCATCCAGCCTACGGTACTTTGCTGTTGTGCCGGAACTGACTAAGACAGGCCACAAACAGTCCAGTTCAGGTGGAGCTGCAGACGACGCGGTCCTGTTCTCTTGATTGTTTTTCCTCCATAAGAGGTAAAGATTTCTTCTGGATGTCCTTCCTTCCAGTTTCTCCAGTTTAGTACATCTCAGGTAAAAATGAAACTAACAACAATAAACTGCTTAAGGCAGAACATATGCAGCATCACAAGGTCAGCTAGAGGCCTTTTCCAACAGCAGACTCTAAATTCATAATCACGCACACCCCCCCACCCCCCAAAAAATATCACAAAGTAAAGTCTCAGAATCATGGCTTGGGCTTATGGACAAGTTACAGTTTCATCACCAAATAGAACACTCTGCAGCACCTGTCCTGCGTTCAGATCTGCCCACAGATTCTTGATTTACATTTGTATAACTAAGTTATCCATTCAAGAGGTTTTATGCAAAAGAAAAGAAAGATATGGCTCAGAGATAAGCTGAAATCTCTTTTAGCAAGCAGACTTGCTTGCCACTTTTTGAAAAGTTTCTCCAGCTTCCACTGATCAAGATGTCAAAAAGCATTAGGGCCACATTTTCAACCAGCATTTGCAGTGACACAAAGTGCAGCATAGGCAGAGAGGGTATAGGCTGGCCAAACCAGCTCCAAACTGCAGGCTGGAAAGCTTGTGTGTTTGCCTCAGCTCCAGATGAAATGACTGACATTTAAGTTATTATTTCATCAATTATTATATCTTAGTACTTATACATAAACACAATAGCAATTGTGTGGTATTGAAACAGAATGGGCTGGGCACGGTGGCTCACGCCTGTAATCCCAGCATTTTGGGAGACTGAGGCGGGTGGATCACCTGAGGTCAGGAGTTCGAGATCCACCTGGCCAACATGGTGAAACCCTGTCTCTACTAAAAATACAAAAATTAGCTGGGCATGGTGGCCAGTGCCTGTAATCCCAGGTACTCAGAAGGCTGAGGCAGGAGAATCACTTGAATCCGGGAGGCGGAGGTTGCAGTGTGCTGGGATCGTATCACTGCACTCCAGCCTGGGCGACAGAGTGAGACTCTTGTCTCAAAAAAAACCAAACCAAAACAAAACAGAATGACATGTTTGTCTACAGTGCAACAATATTAAAATTTACTCAAAAGATATATACTTGTCCTTTTTAATAATTTAAACTCTTCTTCATTAGGTAGCTGGATGCTTTGAGCTTAATCTGAAGGCTTCGGAATTAGACAGAGAGATAGAGTGGCTATCCTTAAACTGCCAGAAATTTACTTCTAATAGGTTTTATTGTGTGAATTGTGGAAGAAGACATTTGTATGTAGGATAGATAGCTTCTGTTTTGGAAGGTATCACTTTAGTGAGTGTATAAAGTCATTCCTTATGATTAGTGATGTTGCACACCTTTTCATACACCTGTTGGCTATTTTAACTCTTCTGTGGAGAAATATCTGCTCAGGTCCATTGCCTATCTTTTATAAATCAGATCCTTTGTTTTTCTGCTATTGAGTTGTAAGAATTCTTTACAAATTTTGGATATTAAGCCCTCATCAGACATGGGGTTTGCAATTATTTTTTCCCAGTCTGTAGGTTACTCTTTCATCCTGTCGATTGTATCCTTTGCTGGACAGAGGTTTTCATTTGATGGAGCCCCATTTATTTATTTTTGTTTTTGTAACCTGAACTTTTGGTGTGATACCCAAAATATCATTGCCAAGGCCAATGTCAAGAAGCTTTTCCCCTGTGTTCTTGTCTAGAAGCTTTATGGTTTCAGGTCTTCCATTTAGGTCTTTATCTGTTTCGAGTTAACTTTTGTGTGTGGTGTAAGACAAGAGTCCAATTTCATTCTTTTGCATATGGTAATCTAGTTTTTCCAGCACCATTTATTGAAGAGACTGTTCTTTCCCCATTGTGTCTTCTTGATGCCCTTTTCAAAAATTTGTTGTCCATGTATGTTTGATTTTATTTATGGGTTTCCAGGGCCCTTTTATATTTTTTAATTAATTAATGTATTTATCTAAATAGAGACAGAGTCTCACTATGTTGCCAAGCTGGTCTCCAACTCTTGGGCTCAAGCAATGCTCCCTCCTTGGCTTCCAAAAGTTTTGGGATTACAGGTATGAGCCACTGTGCCTGGCCCTTTTTGTATTTTCATGTCGAGACTCTTCGGGGAATTAACGATGAATTCTGCTTTACTAAGTGTGTAGTTTGGACAAGAGGCAATATTGACTACTTTCTTTGTACAAGGTCACATGCTAAGCACCTTTATGCTTATGTTAGTGAGAACAAATAGGCCTATCATGCAACTGGGAAAGGAAAGAAGAAAGAAAAGGAATTAACACTTAATATGCATCTACAAAGGCCTGTGATGTGTACTTTGTGTGTGTACGCAAGATCTACTGTTTAGAAATCTTATTGCAAACAAGAGAAACTGATTTGGGCATATTTAAACAGAAAGAGAATTCATAGCTAGCCTACTGAATCTAAGAAATATGGAAAATCAGGTTTGGGAAATGGTAAGGAATCATATAAATCTAAGCAGAAGAGTCCTGGCTCAGAAATAACTCTGATTAACATTTGCTGCTGAAACCTCTTCCCATAATTCTGGGGCTGCTGGAAACTCTCCACCCACTGGACAGTCATCACTGCCCCAGGAAATAACCTCTGCTCCCTGCATCATTGCATAACTGCCCAGATTCAAAGTTCCAGCTGGGAGTGTGGTTGGACAAGGCTAGGCCATGTGCTACTCCTAGCTGTCAAATAGGGAATGGAATGCATGCTCCTCTTTACCTTTCACAGGGGTAGACAGAACCCTGCCCATCACCAAGACTTATCCTTATTCAAGGTTTGAAATAGAAAGAAGACTTGGATGCTAAGCGGTCAACACAATGGCAAGCATTCACTGTTGTTTTACTACTTTGGTTTCCTAATTTCTATATTTGCCACTTGTCCTTTATGGTAAAAACTTGCATGTTAAAATAAATATTCCTGTTTAACATGACTCATTACCTAGTGGGAAATTTACCCACCCCCTCAAAGGGAAATGACCCAGCATCTCAATAGTTTCTACATTCAGCTCCAAATCTAAGATCTCTGGGTGATACTCATTTCTCCTCTAGTGACCATATAAATCTATCTTCATGTAATGTAAGTATGAACAAAATTGGAAAGTCAACCACTAACGACATAGTCCATACACAATAGTGTGGTTGGAAAACAACAAAAAACTTTTAAAAGGAGTATTAGTTGGAATATATAGCAAAACAAGGAAGTGAACACAAATAAAGCCTACAGTAGTCATATCTGTAACTCTTCACAAGATATTTTATGATGTGTGCAGTATTTACAACTTCCCTCTTCCACTACCTACTGCATCTTGCCTTTGTTTTCAGACGGCGTCTGGGCTGGTCAGGGTTTGTCTTTGGAAGTCCTTCCAATATAGTGATGCAGTGGTCTTCATTAATTTTTTGCAACCAGGCAGGTAGTTGTATCGCTTAGGATCCATCCATACTTTTCTCTGTCCTTCTTATATAGCAATAACCATACATGCCCATGGTAGCCAGAGTCAGTGACTCCAAACAGTTTCTTAACAACCATCAGCCCTTCCACTCTGCCTATTTGCCTCTTCGTTTAATAGCATCTAGAGCTCTCAGTAGGTAGGTGTCCATTTAGCTTTCATTTTAAAAGAGCCATTGTGGCCGTGTGGAAGCATCGATCACTTGGGTTCTGAAATCTCGCATGCAGAAGAACCCAGGTGTCAATACTATTCCTGGGTTCTGAAATCTCGCATGCAGAAGAACCCAGGTGTCAATACTACTCCTGGGAAGTGTCAACCCACTTCCACTCTGGGTCCCTAGACCCATGTGTTTTAATTAATCAGGAGCAAATTTGTGTAAAAACACGTCTGGATAAAAATCAATTTAGCAAAATTGTTTTTAAGATATTTATACAGATAAAATGATATAATTATTTCTTAGTCTTTCATAATGAAGCCAACATTTAACAATAAATTCAATATTGCCTTTAAAAAGCCATTTGTTTAGATATCCAAAGAATACCCAATACTATGTTGAACAAGAATGAATAGAAGAGGAAAAAAATGAATGGGTATAATAAGGTTGTCCTGGAAATCTCTATATAGGCAAGAAAACTATAATTTGGAAAAGTATGTTACATTCTCTTATGAAAATAATTGAAAGGGCATAAGCTCACCTGAATATGTTACTATAGACAAAAACTATGATCTACTTTTCCTCAGCCAAATTTATGATTTAATTCATAGATATTTGTTGAGGCCATGCACAGTGGCTCATGCCTGTAATCCCAGCACTTTGGGAAGCTGAGGAAGGAGGATCACTTGAGGCCAGGAGTTGGAGACCAGAGTGAGCAACATAGCAAGACCTTGTTCCTACAAAAAATAAAAACTTAGCCAGGGGTGGTGTCATACACCTGTAGTTCCAGCTACTCAAGAGGCTGAGGCAGGGGGATTGCTTGAGCCCAGGTTCAAAGCTGCAGTGAACTATGACTGTGCCAGCCTGAGCGGCAAAGTGAGACCCTATCTCTAAAAAACAAAACAAACAAACAAAAAACCCCAATCATTTGTTGAGAACTAGTAGTGTGCTCTGGGCTCTCTGCTCAACCTGTCTTGGTCAATACTTTTGTCAGTGAAGATGTAGCCATAGGCTTATCAAAAGTATAGATGGCAACAATGTGAGATTTAAAACATCTAATAGTAGAATCATGATTCCAAAATGTCACAATAAGCTGGAATAATGATCCAAATAGAGATACTAGTGAAATCCTTAGGTTCAAAATAGCAACTACATAAGCACAGAATTATAGAATCATGTTTTAAAACATCACAGAAAGAAACAACAACATAAAGCAAAACACAGGGGCTTGAGTTGGCTGCAAGTATGGTGAGAGTCAAGAACATGATAAGGCCACCAAGCAGATAATGGCTGTTGGCTGCTGTAGAAATGCAGTGCCCAGGAGCAGAGTAGGGTCCCCTGCTGCCTACCTTGGTCAGGCTACATCCCACATGCTGTGCTAGCTTCTGCATCTTTGCAACAATACAGGGATGAACTGTAGCAGGAAAATCAGGCTGAGGAAAGGTTTGGAGACTATATCATATGAGGAACAATTGAAGAAAGCGGGAATATTTAGATCAAAGGCCCATATGATTTTCAGACATTCGAAGGGCAGTCATGAGGAAGTGGATTGAAATATCTTATCTGTGACTCCTGATAACAAATGCTTAGGCAGGGTCTGAAAGAAAAACTGTCTTCATGCCTCAACCATTTGCCATTCAAGCCCAGTTGCTGGCAGGCACCTTTTGTATAGCACATCCTTTCACAGAGAATGTCAAGGGCTGTGTCTCTGGAGCGTCCCAGAAGTTTGACCCTTTCCATCTGTGAGCATGCCCTGGAATAAACATCAAAAACATCAGAGAAAACTTTTCCTCTGTCTCTAGTACTTTCTGAAATGGCTGCAGGAGGGAGCATTCAAAAATAGGAGCAGCTCAGTAGGACTGGAAGGAGACAGACTTTTCTCTGATCTTTGTGGAAGGAGACACTGATGGAAACCAAATCACCTTACAACCTTAAGGACCTCATTTATTCATTCATGGTTACTGGGCACTGACTCTGGGCCAGGCACTGTATTGAGTATACTGAGATAAAATACACCATTCTTGTTTCTAAGGAGCTCCCAGTTTCCTGGGGATGTAGGCAAATAAATCACTTCAATGAAAATTGTTGAAATGCTACAATCAGGGCTATTTTCCTAGGTAGATCTTCTAGTTTCCTACTTTACACGAATATTAATAAATCATTTTCATTCCTTTAAATTGTTCTATACTTAATTCCAAATATTCTGTGGATTAAAAAAATGCAAACTCATTAAGGAAGATGAATATCTTCCTAATTAATTAAGATTATTTACTATCAGAGACAGATGGAGGATCTGGATCCTTTCCCAAGACCTAATGATACATGCAAAAGTCTACTTATAGTTATTATGTTAATAATTCTACAACTCTGATACAAGTTATCACTCAGCCCACTTCCTTCTCCTTAACATTATACATAGTACCTAATTCTTCTATCTTCCTATAGAAATCTACAGCTACTGTCCAGGATGATCCATTCAATGTGTTTGGGATTTTTTAAATATGTGAATATCTTTCTGACTCTAACAATTTATAAACTGATAACATTGTAAAAGATTTAGATGCCTTTTCATTGAACTGTTTTTTATAAATGAGACTTTGTTCCATGGTCAATCCACAGATGTTATATAACTATGTGGAAGCAGTTCTTAATACAAATACCAAAAAAAAATTGTTTTAATGCATATGGTTATAATCCATAGCGATTTTTCTGGTGCCTTTCTATCTTAAAACTTGTAGGCAAATTGTCCTTAAATAAGATTGTAAATATCAATATTTTAAAATATTAGTAAGCTGTTAGATCTCATTTCCCTCCAATTTATATCTTAATACATACACACCACATGCTCAAAAATTTCCAATCTTTCACAACACATCAATCAAGTAATAAGAAAAACTGGACTACCACTACCAAAGTTGTCAAAGTTTCAATGGGAGAGTTATGAACAAGGAGAAGGCTTTTGGGGGAACAATTCTACTTAAAAGTGAGTGGAAAAGGTAATTCAAAACATTTAAGTTACGTTGAATTCATGATTATGATTTCAAATTGCTATTTAGTTATATTTCATATTACAGGCTATCAAAATTGCCCTTCTGCTGCCTGTGGAATATTAAGTTGACAAACGAGACAGTTATTTACCTCTTTAAAAAACAAGATTTACACACAAAAAAGCACCCACCTAAATATGTTTTATTAAAAAATGGAATGAGGTGGTATCTTCTCCTTTAAATTGTTTTCCTAGAGCTACCAAAAATTTGCATTTATAGAAAAGTGGACACAAATACCTCTGGATTGATACAAACAGATATACGGAGACCAGCGGTGAGAGTTGGTTTATGACACACTCATTGGACTTCACTTCTTTTTCATTTGGCTTCATTAAAGGCTGGACTCTCTTCATTGTTAGTTTCTCTGGTTTCTGCAGGAGTCTTCTTAAGTTCTTGGATAACCCTCTCTACCTGTTTTACTTTTGTTTGCCTATTCTGTTTTGTTTGCATTCATTTTTGTCTGAAGATTGGTTCTGTCCTGTTGCCTGTTGCCACTTGTTTCAGCTCACATGAGCAGGCTTGGTTGATAACCTTGCTCGTCACCTCTTGAGCCCTTCTTTTACTGCTCTTTTAGTGGAAGTGACCCCCTTTTGTGCATCGTGGTACTGATTGCCTTTTCCATTTATCTCTAAAGACATCTGTGCAGGATACATTTCTTCCTATTTCTTTGCATCATTTAAAAACTGATATAACCGAATTTTGGATACTTTCCATGGGTTTTGTCTGACTTGTAGTCACAAATTATGGAGTCTTTCTACTGATATTCTCACCTTGTGTCAGAAAATGCCTTTAACTGATATATTTATAGCATTATTCATTTCTGTATTCTTTATGGATACAATCGATGAGCCAAGAGTGCCAAATAAATAACAAAGCTCAGCAGTAACAACTTCTTCACCTTCTTTTCAAATACTTCCCGTTATTTATTTTCTTTTTGTTCATTGCTAGGGAATCATAGCTGTTTAATAGATTTCAGTTGACTGGAAGATTTATTATAATTCTTAATGATACAACTTTGACTAGTGGTAGTTTCTTTTAGGCAGGTTCTTATGTCTTTTTGATAGTACTTTAGAAAGTTTTGAAAGCTTTCTTGCTTTCTAGCACAAGGCAGTTCAAGCTATCTTGCACATTTCTGGGCCAAACAAAGACTGAGATGTTTCTCTTAAGAATCCTTAGTTTCTTTTAGTTTAAAAAAAAAAAAAAAAAGACCAGGAACTGGATGATTGGCTGCAACATGGATTGACATTGTTCCTAGATTATTTCTGTGTCAAAACTACAAATATTTTCTTTTAAATTTTATATTTATGTTAATATTTCTAATTCTGTTCTAAAATTACAACATTCCTCATTAATTTAGGAATTCTATAATTGTAGCACATTCTCTCTTATATAAGAATACTTATATTTACTTTATATAAATATTAAGTAATTTATAATTACTTATATTCTTCATTTGCCTAAGAGTGCCAAGATGCTAACACCAACATCAGTATGAACAATAAAGTACTGAGTTAAGCTTAACCTTTTCTACATAGTTACTTTTGTTTTTAGAAGGTTTTCCAGAAAGAAAATGCATTCCATCCTTTCCTGAGCCATAAACATTTCCTTGTATATAGCATGCAACATTTCCTTATTCCCTCAGGAACCTAATATATCATGGAATGTTTTATTTGCATTTCATGAACCCAAGTCATTTGCCTAGTTAGTACTATGTATATGTGTACTTCCATCCAGCGCCAGACCAGTTCAAAGTGTTTCATTTTCTTGCAAGTAGATCAAGGAGAGACTTTGTAAGCGAGTAACATTACATGGAAACTCAGGCTTTTGAGGTTTAAACTGAAAGTCTCTTCTTTGACCCAGGATCCAAAATCCATATATTTTAAATATGTTATCTGATTAATTATCACTTATCAAAAACACATTAGTTAATTACCAATGACACTACTATAGAACTCTAATTTTTCAGAGGTCTTTGGATAAATCAAAATATCCATGACTTTAATATTTTATGAATTCAAAACTTTTGAAAACCACTTTGGAATATCAGAAAATAAGCAGAATGTGTCAAAATAAGACAGTTTAATAGAAATACTATGTACATTTACATAAGGTAATTGCATATTTCTCTGTCAATTTTTTTGCAGAAATCTGAATTTGTATCACTTATCCTTATACAGAAAAACCACAAAATCACATTAATTTTCCAGTTTTATTACACAATATAAATGTAGTTACCTTTCAAAGCTTAACAAGGTTTTTTTTTCTTTTTTCTTTTTTTCAAGACGTAGTTTCACTCTTGTTGCCCAAGCTGGAGGGCAATGGTGCGATCTCAGCTCACTGCAACCTCCTCCTTCCCGGGTTCAAGTGATTCTCTTGCCTCAGCCTCCCTCGTAGCTATTCAGGCGCCATTCAGGTGCCCGCCACCATTCCCAGCTAATTTTTTTTTTTTTTTTTGTATTTTTAGTAGAGATGGGGTTTCACTATGTTGGCCAGGCTGGTCTCAAACTCCTGACCTCAGGCAATCCACCCGCCTCAGCCTCCCAAAGTGCTGGGATTACAGGTGTGAGCCACCGCACCCAGCTAACTTAACAGCTTTTTAATACAAAATCACCCAATTTTGGAAGAAATATTATAGAAAACCCACTAGATTCATTTTTGTGGTTGCTGTTTTTCAAACTCTGTCTTTCTAGATGTGTTTCACTGTTAGGGACTGATTTAAAACAGCTCCTTTTTTTTTTTTTTTCTCCTCTCTCTCAGACCTTTACCCAGACCCAAGTTTCTAATCCCTTTGTTGGCCTTATTTTCCTCTTACTAACACAAAACTAAATTTCTCTTCTTACGCTTAAAAATCTGACTTAAAACATATTTTTAAAAACAGCTTAATTCATATGATATTCAACTTTATATACCTACATGTATGCTACCATCTTATTTTTAGCTAAATATACAAAAATTCATCTAAGCAAAATATTCAAATACATTTTTTATCATATGCTTTTACCCAATAAAGCATCGTAGTTTCAATTAAGAATATATATATATTTTTGTTTGCTTTCCACCCCAAAAAACATTCATTCTTTAGATCCTAAGATCTCTGAATTTAAATTTTTTAATTCTAAGGACTTGTAATATATTATCAGCCTGTCAAGGGTTCCTTGCTTTGCTTTGTTTTTGTTTTGTTTTGTTTTAGGGGACGGGACAAGTCTTTTTTTATTAATATACACAGAGTTGCTTACTAAGTACTAAATGAATACTAAAATATGTACTATGGTCAGGGGGGTGGGGATTAGTTCATTATTATCTATATCAAGTTACTGTGAAAGTAAAGGTCAGGCAGGGGAAGCATTGATTTCTGTGCATAGACTTGGTGGGGGCTTGTTGCCCCATTCTGTGTGGGGCACTAGAGTACAGCACTTTCTTCGGTGAGGACTCTGATGATTCCAAACCCATTGTATCTCAGGTGTGCTCTTCTAACCCATGGAAGACTTAGTGATCCCATCTCAAGAGCTTACTCTTTTTTCCAGACCATCTATAGAAGATTTCCTGGCAGTTCTAGAGGAAAGATATATGGAGGTTTATGGGGACTTCATAGGAAGGTAGCTTTGGAACTCAGGGGACAATGGAGGTTGCAGAGGCTTACTCACACACTCATGTCACCAGTAGCAGGTATTATTACTTTTAATAATAGTAATATTTTCACCCTAATAAGGTCATCTAAGATGTCATCTTTTGTATTTGGTGGCACTATACAGATACCCAAGAAAATTTCCCTGCAATTTTTCCTTCATATTTTTTAATGATTTTGCAACCTCTCTTGGGTATATATGAGAAAGACAACTAGGAGTTTGTCCTTTCCACAGAGACCATGATTTCGCCTAGCCATAGTTTCTGGTATCAAGGTCCCAAGTTGAGTCTAGGAACTCTATGTTCCACAAACTCAGGGGGTCCCACATCTATTTTGTTTGAACAGTGACCCCTGGAGTTAGGTAACAAGGCATCTCAGCCAGGATCCATCTACAGTTTGGGCTCCTAACTGGCACAATTCCAAATTTATACAGAATGGGGGCCCTGAAACAGTTTAAAGAAGAATAGAAGAGATGTGGTGCTTCCTTTGTAGTCCTTGAGCTTGAATTAAGGAACACACAAGGGAAGTTATTCCCTTTTTTTTTGAGATGGAGTCTCGCTGTGTCACCCATGCTGGAGCACAGTGGTGCAATCTCGGCTCACTGCAACCTCCGCCTCCCTGATTCAAGTGATTCTCCTGCTTCAGCCTCCTGAGTAGCTGGGATTACAGCCGCGTGCCACCACGCTGGCTAATTTTTGTATTTTTAGTAGAGACGCAGTTTCACCATGTTGGTCAGGCTGGTCTCGAACCCCTGGCCTTGTGATCCACCACGTCAGCCTCCCAAAGTGCTGGGATTACAGGCGTGAGCCACCGCACCCAGCTGAAGTTCTCTTCTAAGGACAAAGGAGTCATATAAGATACATTAGGAGCAGAAAGGCTCTGAAAGCCTTTCGAAAGGCAGACAGGTTCAGGTAATGGGCTCCCTTTAAGCCTATCAATGGACAATTAGCCTAGGCATCCCCTCACCATGAAAGGGAGGGAAAAAAGAGACATAATTGGGAAGATAAAGAGGCAAGGTAGCAGGAGTCTAAGCATTTGCTCACTCAGTCCCAATCCTGTTGACCATCTCTGCTGTTCCCAGGTTGCGTTGTTCTACATCCTATCAAAGCCACACCAAATTGTTACAGAGAAAAAGACCACACATAGAATTTAAAAATTAGTCCATGCTCTTTGATAAGAACTGCATTGCAAGAAGGAAGGAGAGGAGTGTCCACCAGCTCAGAACTAGGTGACCACCACACACCTGTTTTCTAACACATCAAAATGACAGGCTTTCCTTTCAACACAAGTTCAACCTTAGACCCTTCCTGAGAATTGCTTTGTGATCAGCAGGGGAGGAGGGGCTTCATGACACTCACGTAAGGGAGAGAAGAACTTCTGACCCTTAGGGAGGGGAATCAAAAGAACTTGTCATACTAGACAGAGAAGAGAAAAATGAACCTTATAGTTAGTTAGTTAGAAAACCTCAAAAAGGCTATTTGAAAGGGATGCTTTTATCAAACCTCTGAAAGGAGTCACAGTGCTTGTATGGTAAAACATCATGGATCTATCATCTTTGGAGACTTAACTATTGGCAAGTAGTACTGTCTTATTTAAAAGAGCCATTTTTTTTTTCATCAAATGTCATCTACCTAAGGACAGATCAGGGTGGCTCTAGACAGGACCTCTAAGTCCTGTCTAGTATCAAGGTCCCAAGTTGAGTCTAGGAACACTATGTTCCACAAACCCAGGGGGTCCCACATCTATTTTGTTTGAACAGTGACCCCTGGAGTTAGGTAACAAGGCATCTCAGCCAGGCATCTCCCCAAGTGGGGAGATGATCTGTGAGGTCCCTTCCCTCACCAAGATTCTGCAGACCCCACGATAGCTGGCAAACCCTAGGACAAGGAGGAATGAGAAGAGGGGAGGGAAGGAAGAAACATCCCTGTCCAGGAGGTCCCAGTCCAAAACCATGGGTGGCCTGAGGACTTCAAAGTTGGGACTATTAACAGTTGACATTTCAGTTAATCTGCATTATTGCCTTCTTCTTGCCATTAGTAAGGTTTGTTTGGGTATCTTGTGGCCAGAGTTCTTTCAGATGGGATATGTTTCCCAAGTTTCTTACAGGGAACATGAGCCAAAGGAAGCAGAATGCCACAAAAAGGGTGACATGAGCCCTTCGAGTTCAGCAACTTTTGTTCCCAGGGTTGTTGAATATTCACACGCCAGCTGGGCTTTCTTACCCATGTGCAGCAACAAGGCAATCCCTCCCCTCCCCAGGAGCAGCCAGGGGCCAGCCAATGGGAACAAGCCAATGGCAACACAGATTGTCTTAGTCTGTTTGTGTTTCAATAAAGGGACACCTGAGGCTGGGTTGTTTATTTAAAGAAGATATTTATTTGGTTCACAGTATTGCAGGCTGCATAAGACGCATGGTGCCAGCATCTCCTTCTGGGGAGAGTTTCAGGAAGTTTCCACTCATGGTGGAAGGTGAAGGGGAGCAGGCATCACATGGCAAGAGGGAGGAAGAAGGAGAGAACATGGAGGAAGGTACCAGGTGCTTTTTAGCAATCAGTTCTTGTGGAAACTAATTGAGCAAGAACTTGATTCCAAGAGACTCGCACCTAGCCATTCATGAGAGATCTGCCTCCATGACCCAAAAGCCTCCACCTCCAACACTGGGGATCAAATTTCTACATGAGACTCTGAGGGGACAAATATCCAAACTATATCACATACTTTAATCAGGACCAATCACTTGACCTTCACATCCTCTTGCTGGCATGCAGGGGTTGCAACAGTGGAGTCTGCTTTAGGGGAATGTCATTGCTGCAGCCCATAGTAGCCACTAAAATCCAACTCTACCCTCAGGGGACACTCTGCATGAACAAGTCAACATGCAGTTCTATGCTTCTGAATCTCTACTACATCCAGCAATGGGATAAGGAAGAGCTCTTCAAAGATGGGGAGGTCCAATATTCCTGCAAAATAACACACCTTATTCTGATCTTCCTTGAAGCAAATATTGACATGAGCCAAATGTCCCCTGTAGAATGCATGCAGCAATGTCATATTAATTTGAATTCAACAGAGAATTGGTATAAAGGAGCCTATCCTAGAATCTGTCTGCATTATTTATAAGAAGACTTTCATGATGAAATTGTTAATATAAAAATGTAAGAGTAATAAGGCTACTTAAGAGGTGGGGCTCTTTGCAAGTACAAGTGTAGCACCCAATATTTATACAAATTTCAAACTATTTATTTTATTTATGCAAGTCCATCTGCTCTTTACTAGAAATAATATTTGCTTGCCTAATTTTGCTGACAAGTGATAAAACAATTCTTTTCACAGGGTGGGAATCATATTTCACTTTTAGTACAAATTAAAGAGTTGTCACCATGGGAATTGAATATTGTAACTTGCTGTTTGGTTTTGTATTTGGATTAATACAAAATAATCTCTGTTTGATTACAAGCCCACATTTCCCTCCATTTTAGAAAGACAAAGGTGATGTCTGCTGAGTAGAAGCAGTATAGAATGATGCGCCCCCACCACCCCAAGCCAGATCTAGCCTAGGTCAAGAATATAAATACCACAACCAAGAGATGATACAATAGATTCCTTCAACTTGGTCCTAGGCAGCAACAATTTGAAAATGTTATTGGTGTAGAAAATATTAATTCCCATTCACAGGCTTTATTTAAACACATAATTATTGGAATTAATTAAAAAGATTATGTGTTTGTATTAAACCACATTTACTATGTTAATTTCATAACAATCATATACAATAAGTAGTCCCCATTCTATGGAGTAGGAAATTGAAACTAAAGAAATTAAAATATAGCCCAAGTAAAAGACAGATCTGGAATTCACGTGGAAGCTACTTGATTTTAAGGCTCATAATCTTAATTATTTAATGATTTCTGTTTCCTTTCAGCCCATGGTAGAATAGTACAGAATTTATAAACTTCTATACTTGAAAAAGATCTTAAGTGAATCATTTAGTTTACCCCTGCCCCCTTTCCAGACATTTCTTTACTAGTATTCCTGAAAGAAAGAACAACCAAGTCTCTACTGGATATTTCCAATGCTGATGCTTTTTATTTGGAGGGATAGGTCATTTCATTACTGGACTGCTACAGTGGTTAAACACATCTTTATGGTAAAAATCAGAAAAGAAGAGAATTCTGACTTCTTTCTTCTATAAAATTCACCAGTAAAGAAGAAGAAGAAAAAAGGCAGAAAAAGGGAAGCTCTAATGTTAGGGAAGCCAGAAGAATTGAATCCATAAACCCCAAACCACAACGGATGAGGACTAGAACACAATACATAGTGGTAAATGATTCAACAGGAAGTGTGCTTCACAGGGATGAGTTGGATGTAAGTGGGACAGGCAAGCAGTGAGGGGCAAGCTGATTTCCCTGGTAGACTGGAAAGACTAAGGAATTTGAGGTTAATACTCTGCAAGTGGAGATACTATTGAAATTGGCAGTAAAGCAGGAGACTACAAATAGTAGGATGGTTTGTTGGCTGTTGGCTTTGTTTGTTTGTTTGTTTGTTTGCTTTCAGAGATGGGGTCTCACTATGTTGCTCAGGCTGGATTTGAATTCCTGCATTCAAATGATCCTCTCGCCCGCCCCTGTCTTCCAAGTAGCTGCGACTACCAGGTGCGCACCATCACACCTGGCTTGTTTGTTTCCAGTTAGGAGAAGGAACAGTTAGAACAAAGGGTCCTAAATGCCACCCTTCAAAATCAAGCCCCTTTCAGGATACCTGAGGATTGTTCTCTGAAGAAGCTTAACCAGAAAGGCTCTGAACTGAGCGATATGAGGCTCAGAGGAGGACAAGGGTGAGCAACAATGACGAAAAAGAGAAGAGGTTAAACATTTGAGTCTACAGACATTAAAACCAAGTAAGCATCCAAAATAATAAATGAAAAAAAGATCTACATCAAATTTAATCATTGTGAAACTTCAGAACATCATGATAAAGATGCCAAATGGTTCTAGAGAGGAAAAAAAATGGATCATATCCAAAGGATTAGGAATAAGAATGACCTTGCATTTTTAAGAAACATTAAAAACTAAAAGACAGGGGAAAATAATATGTCTTAAGATTTTTAATAAAAATTATTTTCAACCTAAAAGGTTACATCTAGCCAAACTATCAATCAAGTAAGTATAAGGGTATCAAAAAGATATTTCAGGCACACACACAGTCTCCCATAAATGCTTTCTCAGGAAGCCACTAGAGGATATGTTTTTCTAAATGAGGAATTAAACCAAGAAAGAGGAAGAATAGGAGCCAGGCAACAGGAGAGAGGTAAAGGGAATTCCCAGAACGACAGCAGGGGAAGTGCCAGGACCACAGCTGTGTAGCAGGCCTAGAAGCCACCAGCCCAGGCTGGAGGAGGGGGGGGTCAAGGTTCTAAGAGTGTTTGTATGTGGGGATCATATCTCCAAAAAAGTACTAGAATACATAAATTATTTGACCTTTGGGAATATTGTATAGAAAGATTTATAGGCCTCTTACGCTGTTTGGGAAGACAGAGTATTCTCAATACTAGGCAAATGAAAAGAAAAAGAAATTATCAACTCCAGGAAAAACAGAAAGTTGCATATGAATAGAACTATAATCACAATGCTCTACCTGGTTTAACAGTAAACATTATTTCAATAAAGACAATATAGGATATGAATTAAACATTGAGATATAATTTTGTGGGGAAAATGAAGAGAGGAGAAAAAGGGGAGTGTAAACAATGAAAATCTTCATCTATCATTATGAGAAGACAATAAATAATGTCAAAAATTGGTGAGTTGTAAATAAAATCAAGGCATTTTATTTAAAAATGATAAAGTAAATCCCCCCCCCAAAAAATATCTACAACAGTTTTATGTTATTACCTCTAGAAAGCATCACAAGGTTGGAGGAAGGTGGAAGAACAAGGAGTTATTGTTTCTTGGGTTAAGCTTTTTAGCATCATTTGAATTTTCAAATTATTTTCCTGTGATATTTGCGTAAACAGTTAGATGTATTTTCAAAAAATAAGTGTATTCTTTACAAAAGTTCAAAGCCTTAGACGTGTAATTTGTGTTCTTTTAACGTTGATTTGACAATAAAACACTGAGCTCTATTAATTTGCTGTCTTTATTAACTTATCCCAGTTTTTTGGGCCCCTATCAGGCCACAGATAAATTCTTGGGAGTCACAGTTTTGCATGTTTGTATTATTTTCAATTATACTTGAAAATGCATATGCCTGTTTTGGATCTGGGTAGCCACTGTGTAAGTGTCATTTTGATACCTCCACTATCATGTGTGTATCTATTCAAGTTAGGGCCAATTAGCACTACTTTAATAATTGCAGGACAATGAGAAAGAATAGGGCTTTCATCTATTCAGGCTGCTATAACAAAATAACATAAACTGAGTGACTAATAAACAATGGAATTTTTTTTTTTTTGAGACAGAGTCTTGCTCTGTCGCCCAGGCTGGAGTGCAGTGGCACAATCTCGGCTCACTGCAACCTCTGTCTCCTGGGTTCAAATGATTCTCCTGCCCCAGCCTCCCCAGTAGCTGGGATTACAAGCATGCGCCACCACATCCAGCTAATTTCTGTATTTTAGTAGAGATGGAGTTTCACCATGATGGCCAGGCTGATCTTGAACTCCTGACCTCAAGTGATCCACCTGCCTTGGCCTCCCAACGTGCTGGTATTACAGCCGTGAGCCAGCGTGCCGGGCCAACAATGGAAATTTATTTCTCATAGTTCTGTAGGCTGGAAAGTCTAAGATCAAGGTGCAGGCAAATTCTGTGTCTGGTGACTTCCTCGTACAAAGCCTTCTTCTCACTGCACCCTCACATGGCAGAGGGGTAAGGGGTTTCTTTCAGACCTTTTTTATGAGAACACTAATCCCATTCATAAAAGCTCTACCCTCATAATCTAATCACTTCCCAAAGGCCCCACCTCCTCATACCATCACCTGGGGGTTTATGATTTCAACACATGAATTTTGGGGGGACACAAACATTCAGACCATAGCAAGCAGTAAATGATGCAGCCGTATCAAATGAGAGCCCCATGAAATCATAGCAGGCCATATGAATAAAAACTATGTAATAATTTGAATGAATCAAGTGTTGAGGAAATTCCCAAACCACATTGTAGAAGAGTACCAGAAACTCAAAAAACCCAGCAGTCAATAGAGTATTCATGTTGCAAGCAGCAATTTAAGTTCAGCAAAACAATATCTGTCACATAAAAGTAGTGTTATTAATTTGAGTCGCATTTATTGATTTTGTAGGCTTTAAAATGTATACATTTTAAAATTTATGTAACTACTGTAAGCATAAGGAATTTATCCTATTTTCATTTTAGTACATGTAGGTTCAAATAATAATATAATCCTTCAAATAATTTCCACATTATTTAAATTATTCTGTTAAGTGAGTCTATACATTATTTAAATTTGAAAAGCACTGACTTGTTTATATTTACTAAGAGATGTGATCGGGTCAGTTTGCTACAATCCAGGATGGAATGCCACCCAATTTGTGGCACTCACCAAGTATTCATTAATTTAGAAGAAAGTGCTTTTCTCTTTCATCAATTTTAATTCACTAACTTAATTATCAAATAATATAGTGAACAGCTTCATTGTCTTCAACACTGGAATTTCTTTATCCTGACTTCTGCTTGTTGGGTGCACTCATCTATATATAACTTATGCCTCCCCTAAACTCAGAGAATAAGTAGGACAAAACTGGGGGTGGGATGTTTTCATTTCCTTTTGTTGCCATAACATCTTATCACAAATTTAGCAGCTTAAAAATAACATAAGTTTGCTATTTTATATTTCTGGAGGTCGGAAATCCAAAACGAATTTCTTTGATCTAAGATCAATGTCGCAGGATTGCATCCCTCTGGAGGCTCTAGAGTATAATCTGTTTCCTTGCCTTTCCCAGCTTCTAGAAGCTTCCTGACCTATGCTGAGGTCATCAAATCTCCTTTTCTGCCTCCAATCCTACTGCCTTCCTCCCTCATTTATAAAGACCCTTATGAGGCTGAGTGCAATGGCTCACGCTTATAATCCCAGCACTTTGGGAGGCCGAGGTGGGCGGATCATGAGGTCAGGAGTTCGAGACCAGCCTAGCCAACACAGCGAAACCCCGTCTCTACTAAAAATACAAAAATTAGCTGGATGTGGTGGCAGGCGCCTGTAATCCCAGCTACTTGGGAGGCTGAGGGAGGAGAATCGCTTGAACCCGGGAGGTTGCAGTGAGCTGAGATTGCACCACTGCACTCCAGCCTGAGTGACAGAGCGAGACTCTGTCTCAATAAATAAATAAATAAATACCCTTATGATTACATTGAACCCACCCAGTAGTTCAAGATAACCTCCCTACCTCAGGATCCTTCCTCACATCTGCAAAGTCTCTTTTGTCATGTAAAGAAACATATTCACAGGTTCCAGGGAGTAGGACGTGGAGATCTTTTGGGTGGCATTATTCTGCCTCCCACAAGGGATGCCACTATGCCTAGCCTGTCCCCAGAGCAGAAACCGATGGAGGAATCTGCTTTGGAAGTATGGGAACACAAGCTCCAGAAAGAAAAATAAAAGGCAAATGGATGTAAATTAATAGACAGGCATTTTATGGTGAATCAGAAGGAATTTCTTTTTCTGAGGAGGATCAAGGAGCATGTTGAGGATTTACAAAATGTGGGAAAGCCACCAACTAAGGAAGAAAAAGCAGACTGCTTCCCTGAGGGTTTGTTTGAGATGGGAAGAGTTACCTGGGAAAGACTGTGCTCCAAGGTCACACCAATTACCACGTGCATGAAGATTATACTCAGTTCAGCTCCAAAATCACCATCTACATGTTTATTTCAAACTTTGCAAACAAACCAAACAATGACATCAGAATTAAAATGGTTCCACCACCTCCCTGTTCTTATGCCATTGTTTTTCTTTTTCCATGATTCCTGTAAGAAACCTGACACTAATTAAGCTAGTGCAAGAAGAAGAAGAAAAAGAAGATGAATCTTCCACCACACTGGAGATAACCCAAGAAGTAAGAAAAACTGATCTCTACCCAAAAAGGACAACAATGGTGAAAGACTGCATTTGCAACGGGGGTAATATACTCAGAGTTTAAATTTCCGAAAGGACAAACAAAACATGGAGAGTCTAATGAGATCTTCCAGCTGCTTCTCTCTGCTAAGGTATTTCCCCTGGCAACAGCTAGGGAAGCTTGGGTGTATTTTCCCCTTGCTGTGTCATATGATGTTCCTTTCCCTACCCCCACCTCCTCCAGACTGCTGCCTCCATCAGTGCCTGTGGCGTGTGTGTGTGTGTGTGTGTGTGCGCGCGCGTGCGTGCACGTGTGTATGTGTGTGTGTGTGTATTGGGTTTCTCTCTCCCTTGTAAGAACACAGCCAGCCCGCCCTCTCCTGCTGTTGCTGCAGCTCTGACTTGCTTTTTCCTGCCTCCTTCCTCTCCTCTCTCTTCTTGCTTAGCTTCTTGCCTTCTGGTAAGTATGACAAACACTCCCCCAAGCCCTGTGAGAAGGTATAGGGTGCGGTTTGTGGTGTTCGAAACTTGCAACTTTGAGATTGCCAGTGAACTGTTGGAGAACTTTTCATTGTTGTATTTATAAATAAAATGTGTTGCTTAGGGAGGGATGTGTCTGTGATAGTCATCTGGAATAGCCAACACAAGTGAAAAGTTCTCTCCCTGGGGAGGGGAAAATAAGGCAATAAAGTTTATATAAGATAAAAGTTAGAAATAATTTCTTTGCCACATAATATAAAATGGATGATTGAAAAGTAACAAAGTTCTCTGACTTTGTTTTTTTCCCTCTTGTTAACTTGTCTTGAGGCTACTTTTGGGAATTGAATTGTCCTGGGCTTTATAATGACTGTTCTGTTTTAAAGTAAATGTGGAACAGGAGTTTAAAGAATAGCCATGGAATTAAGAATTTAAAAAATCAATGATTGTGGCATCTCATGAAGAATAAATCAAATACAAACAGCCACTTGCATTTAGACTAACCGAAGTAAAACTCCTATGGACAGCTTATCTTAAATTAATTATTTTGAAGTTCATTTTACTTGAGATTTTATTTCATCCTAAGATAGTCTCCCCGACTTTAAAACCCATGTATGGATTTAAGCCACTAAATGTTTACTGTTTTCAATTTGACTGAAAAACGATTCTCTTGATTTTCAAGGATGAAGTGCTAAACGGCATGACTCATTTTAGAATAGCTTAAAATAACTTCTGGCTGGACAGCAGGTGCCGTGTGTCTTTCTCCGTGTTCAGGGGAGGCCTAAGTTATATATAGATGAGTGCAATCAACAAGTGAGGTCAGGAAAAGAAATCCCAGTGATGAAAATAATGAAACTGCTGCATTATTTGATAATCAAGTTGGTGAATTCAAACCAGTGAAAGAAAAAAAGTACTTCCTCTAAGTTATGAGTGTTTGGTGAGCATCACAAGTCAGTGGCAACATCTGTGTGTTGAATTTTCTGTTCTTGTTGGTGTCTGAGCATTCAATTGACATCTACTGCCCTGAGAACAGGAAAAGGAAGCTGTGCAGTTGTAGAACAGTATGCTTTTGTTTTCACTTTCATGTTACCACAACAGCAAAACCTGTGAATTATGAGGATCTTGCCACATTTTTATGCTGCTATTTAGCAGCATCACTGTTAAATATTATTTACAAATAAAATGCACCATAACTTAAAGGCCTAAACCAAATCTATTGCAACTCTAGAAGTGGTAATAGTCAGAAACCCTGGAATCTCTGACTCAGTACCATCTCTCACCCTTTCCTAAGGGCCCTTATTATTGCTGAATTATTTCTCGAGTTGGTCTCCTCCTTGTTTATGAAACATTGCTACTTCTTAAAAATCATTAAGTTTTTCTAGAGCTTCCTGACTTAGAAGAGAAAGTTGTAATCTGTTTTTCTCTTTTAAAAAATTGGTTTATATATTGGAATAAAAGAGTATTATAGAAATTTAAGGAATTGTTGTTATAAGTATCATCATGCTTTTGTTTTGTTTAGTTTTTGAGACGAAGTCTTGCTCTGTCACCCAGGCTGGAGTGCAGTGGCACGATCTTGGCTCACTACAGCCTCCGCCTCCCAAGTTCAAGCAATTCTCATACCTCAGCCTCCCAAGTAGCTGGGACTACCGGTGCCCGCCACCACACCTGGCTAATTTTTGTATTTTTAGTAGAGACAGGGTTTCACCATGTTGGCCAGGCTGGTCTCCTGGCCTCAAGGATCCACCCGCCTCGGCTTCCTAAAGTGCTGGGATTACAGACATGAGCCACAGCACCTGGCCCGTGTTTCCATACTACTTTGTCTATTTATTTATACCTTCCCTCATTCCCTGTCTTAATCTAAAAATGATGCCAGTTTAAGCCTCAAAAAAAGCATTCGTGTTGCTTATCTGAAAAAGAAAATGCCAGAAAAGTGAGAAATGTCTCCTCTATCCAGTGTAATAATGCATTTACATCAAAATATTCACACTAAGCAAAATATTGATTTATGGATCAAATAGAGCTTAGAGATGTTATTCTTATGAGTTATTTAAATAAATTCAATGGCTCTTCTATTAAATATTTTAACTTTGAAAGAAAACTAATACCACTTTATATTTAAACATTTTAAATATATACAGTCATGTACCCCCAGTGATTGTTAATCTACATAGAATTATACAGGAAAATGGTAACACAAACTGACTAGTGTAAGCAAAATGACAAATATGGCCACAAAGAAAAATAGCATGAATTACTTTCTTAATGTGAATAATAAGGAATGCTACTGAAAACTGAAGATCAAAACCAAAAATATGCCAGCAGTGTGACTTGATTTGGAAAAACAACTTTCCACTGTCCCTACTTTAATAATTGTAATGCAGCAGGACAAGCCGCAGACAAAACCCTTCAGACACCCAGTTAAAGAAGGAAGCAGTTTAATCGGCCGGGAGCGTCAGCAAGACTCCTGTCTCAAGAGCCGAGCTCCCTGAGTGAGCATTTCTTGTCCCTTTTAAGGGCTCACAACTCTAAGTGCGTGCACGTGAGAGGGTTGTGATTGATTGAGCAAGCAGGGGGTACGTGACTGGGGGCTGCATGCACCGGTAATTAGATCGAAACAAAACAGGATAGGGATTTTCACAGTGCTTTTCTATACAATGTCTGTAATCTATAGATAACATAACCTATTAGGTCAGGGGTCAATTTTTAACTACCAGGCTCAGGGCGCGGCACCAGGCTGTCTGCCTGTGGATTTCATGTCTGCGTTTTAGTTTTTACTTCTTCTTTGGAGGCAGAAATTGGGCATAAGACGATATGAGGGGTGGTCTCCTCCCTTAGTAACATCAATGGTTTGTGAAAGGACATTGCCTTTCTCTACGTTAGAGACTATAATTAGTTGGTATTCACTTGGGGGATATCCTTACCATTGAAATGTAGCATTGATATGTAGCAAGTAGGTTAGCTACATAAAGCCTAACTGTGCTTACCACTAGATACTACTCCCAAGATGGAGGCTAATCACTCTGAACAGCTCTCAGCGGAACGACAGTCAACACCTCCAGGTGACAGTTCATCATTACCCAGTCACAATGGCCTGGAGAAGGAAGATGGCCAGGATTCTCCAACCCCAGTCCAACCACCAGAGAAAGAGGCAAGTGTGCACCCCGATATCTCTGAAGAGCTGAATCGACAGCTGGAAGACATCATTAACACTTATGGGTCTGCTGCCAGCACAGCAGGGAAAGAGGGCTCTGCCAGGGCCAGTGAGCAGCCTGAGAATGCAGAATCACCTGACAACGAGGATGGGGACTGTGAGGAAACAACTGAAGAGGCTGGAAGAGAACCCGTTGCTTCTGGAGAGCCACCCACTGTCAAAGAGCCCGTCAGCAATAAGGAGCAAAAATTGGAAAAGAAAATCCTAAAAGGATTAGGCAAGTAGTTATGTTCAAATATGTGACTTTTCTGTATGGTATTCCTAAAAAAGGGGCACTTCTTCCAAACTTCACTAAAAGCCACATCCAATATTTGGATGACTGTAGTAGCCTTCTATATTTTCCCTTGTTGTATTTGTCCCCAGCCCTTACCCCTCAATGGAGCTCAGGTGAACTTTTCAGTGTGTTACCCATTGACCCTTTGTTCCGTGGCCTCCTACTGCTCTTAGGATGAAGACCAAAATCTTTAACATGTTCTCTAAGATCCTAATGGTCTAACTCCAACCAGTCCCAGTTTTATCTCAGATTACTCTACCCTACAACATCACCTTCCTGAACACTCTGCCTCTATTACCACCACCACCACTACTGCCTAATAGCTAGTCATTCTGATCTTGTCTTTCAGGCCTTTGAACATGCTATGCTCCATCGCCCACAAGGCCTGTGCACATCCTAGTTTCTTTACCTAGAAATCTGTACCTATCTTCAGGTGCCCAATGAGTGTTTATTAATGCCTAGTCTTTGTAAGGCACTGTGCTAGGTGCACAAAGATAAATAAATCATGGTCTTTTGGTCAAGGAGCTGTAAGTATAGAGAAAACAGAAGACATGTAAATTAATTATATAGGAGAAGTGCAAAAACGGGAAAAGGAAAATTTTTTAGGAGAGCATGGGAGATTGGTGACACCAACGATGGCTGGGAAAAAAGGGTGAGAACGTTAATTTTTAAAACTATGAGTGAAGCATGTTACTGTACATAGGAAAGTCCCTCTGCTTGTCTTTCCTGGTGGAAACACTCACTACGAATACTCCCTCCTATGTGATACTTTCCCTGACATGCCCAGGTAGAGTTAGCATCACCTTCCTTAGTTTTCTATTAAATTTTCTGCAGCAATCATTTGTTTATATACCCATCTCTCATGCTAGATGGAGAATCTATCAAGGGCAGAGACCACATATGATTTGTTTCTGGAAGACTATGTGGTAGAGTGAAAGATCATGAGCATTGGAGTCAGAACTGGGTTCAAACTCCAGTAACCAGACTATCTGTAAACCCAAATATATCACAAACTGGAGTAGAATATTTTTCTGCAGTGAGCAGGTATATACAAACCTACCCACAAAGGCCAAGGGAGCTGAAGGCCAAAAACAGAGGCTGACAAATCCACTTTCTCAGAAAGAAATATTTAATAGGGGCTTACAAACAGTAGTGCTGTCTTGGGCAGCAGTGAGACAGTGAATTCCTACACCCACTCTCCAGAAAGTGTCCTTTACATAGCAAGCTTTTAGGTAAAGTCATGTGCAGCTGGTCACATCTCCAACTTTCTTGCCAAAAGTCATGACCACTGGGAACGTTAGATAAGCATCTTTCTGAGGGATTGTCTATGTCACAGGCATTGTTTAAAGACCTTGCTGCAGAACAGCCGTCAACCTTTTTGGCACCAGGGAAGACAGTTTTTCCATGGACTGGGGAGGGATAGTTTCGGGATGATTCAAGTGCATTACATTTATTGTGCACCTTATTTCTATTATTATTACATTGTAAGATATAATGAAATGATTATACAACTCACCGTAATGTAGAATCAGTGGGAGCCTTGAGCTTGTTTTCCTGTAACTAGACGGTCCCATCTGGGGGTGACAGGAGACAGTGACAGATCATCAGGCATTAGATTCTCACAGGGAGCATGCAACCTACATCCCTTGCATGTGCAGTTCACAATAGGGTTCACGCTCCTATGAGAATCTAATGCCACCGTTGACCTGACAGGAGGTGGAGCTCAGGTGGTAATGTGAGTGATGGGGAGCAGCTGCAAATACAGATGAAGTTTTGCTCTGTCGCCTGCCACTCATCTCCTGCCGTGCAGCCCAGTTCCTAACAGGCCACGGACTGGTACCTCACCCTCCCAAAGTGCTGGGATTGCAGACGTGAGCCACTGCGCCCGGCCCCTAGTCTTCCTTTGAACGGTCCGGTCACTCTCCCAGATAGTCTGTTTCATCTGTTTTAGCTTGATTTCTAGTTTCTCTGAGAGAGTAATAAACTGCAGCTTTGATATTTTCTGAAGGAGATGGTATTTTCTGAAGGAGACTAAATTTTCTGAAGGAGATGATAAGAAGACCAGAGAAATTCAAGGGAAAGAGGAATAAGCAGAGACAAAGCTTGACAGGTAGATTCATAGAGAAGCTAGAACCTAGACCAGACCTTGACAGGGAGGAGAGTTTACAGAAGCAGATGGAAGGGGAGAGAAAAACCTTGAGGAAAATTATTAGTACTCTCTTCTGACCAAGGTAGGGAGTGGATGGATGAATATTTTACTGTTTTTTCTAATATTTTTATTTTTGTTATTGGTAATAGTGTATACACATCATCACTGTTGACCTAATAAGAACTCCAGATCCACTCTCCTACTGAGTGAGAGGCCAAAGTTCCCCTACAAATATGACAAGGCCACTGAAAGATAAGAAATAGAAAATGTAAGCCAAAGGGAACAAAATCTGACAAGAAAACACAGGCTAGGTGGTATTTTCGAAACTGATAGAGGCCTCTCGTGGGTAAAATCTCTCTCGTGGGTAAAGTCACTTTCCCCTTGGCATCTGAAATGAAAGAAATGAAAACAGATTTCCCATTATGCAGCCCACAATGACTGGTACCAGTCCGTGGCCTGAGGGTTGGAGATATCTGCTGCAGAACACCTTGGTATGGAGGAGTCAAACATTGGTCATCATGGCAGGTTTGCTTTACGATGGCATCACTCTTGCCATGCAAGGGGCTATTTTCCTACAGATATCGCTATGATGCTAAAACCCATTGCTACAATGCTTTCAAGAAGGCCTAAATAATACATTCAGGTAGCATACTTCACCCAACTAGGATAAAATTAAAAGAACTCAGATAATAACTTTTAAGTATCTTCAAGTTCCAAAGTGCAGGGTTGGAATCACTCTAGTGTTTTGGAACATGGAAAAACATAATAAAATTGCTCTGTGTTACAGAGCAATTTTTTCTTCTCTGACAAAACATCTCAAATGTGTCCCTTTGCAAAGTTAGTCATTATTCAAGTTTCCGTAAGACAATATACAAAATCTCATTCCAGAGGTAAGCAACTTCAAGTGTTCCTAACCAGAAAAGTTATTTTTCAATCACCCTAAAACTTTTACATAAGAATTGGGGTGTGTGTGTGTGTGTGTGTGTGTGTGTGTGTGTGTGTGTGTGTGTGTTGAGGGGAAAGATATGAAGAAAATAGGGATAAAGTTAAAATAACCAATTTGGGTTTCTACTCTCTTCCATGAGTTATTTCATAATCTGCATTAACCTTACAATTACCAAATAGTCAGGATGATGTTTTTAAAAATTCCAACTCCCTAATTCTGCCGCTATTTACGATACCAAATTCCAACTGACTGTGTTTGACCAAAATCAATGCTTGTGGATTAGAGTACCTAGGTGTGTCCACTCTAATTGAGTATGTGTGGGCTCATGACCTTTCTGTGCCTTCCCACTCATCATCATTAGCATATTATTTTAAACACTGTACTATTTAACAGCTACATTATGCATGAAAACAACATTTTTAGGCTAACCTCAACTTGTAACCACCATTTTAAACTTTCAGTTGTTTGCAAGTAGCTTTGGCAGCCTTCTTAGCTACTTTTCAGTTAAATGGTACTGTGCTATCGTCTAGACTAATGGTTTTCCAACTTAACTGTTTATTAGAATCAATTGCAAAATTTGTGAAAAATGCTCCTCCTGAGCCCCCACACACAGATATTTGGAGTTTGTAGGCCTGGAGTGAAGCATGATCTAGTTTCTCAGTTCTTTGAACATGCTATACGCCATCTCCCACAAGGCCTGTGCACATTCTAGTTTCTTTGCCTAGAAATTTCTACCTATCCTCACGTCCTCAATGAGTACTTATTTATTTATTTTTATTTATTTACTTTTTTTCTTTGAGACAGAGTCTCACTCTGTTGCCAGGCTGGAGTGCAGTGGCGCGATTTCGGCTCACTACAACCTCCAGCTCCCTAGTTCAAGCGATTCTCCTGCCTCAGCCTCTCGAGTAGCTGGGATTACAGGCATGTGCCACCATGCCCAGCTAATTTTTGTATTTTTAGTAGAGACGGGGTTTCATTGTGTTGGCCAGGATGGTCTCGATCTCCTGACCTCATGATCCACCCGCCTCGGCCTCCCAAAGTGCTGGGATTACAGCCGTGAGCCACCGCACCCGGCCCACAATGAGTATTTATTAATGCCTAGTCTTTATGATGCACTGTGCTAGGTGCGCAAAGATAAATAAGTCATGGCCTTTAGTCAAGGATCTCTAGGTAGAGAGGAAGAAGAAGACACATAAGCTAATTGTCATATAGTGTAAGTGCAAGAGCAGGAACAGGAAAATTTTTAGGCGAGCATGGGAGATGTTCACCCTGGGTAATTTTGACACAGATTGTGGAAGCAATGGTTCTGATTCTTCAGAAAGTGTTTTCTCTGCTCTTTTGGAGAAAATATAAACATCTGGCTGTGGTCTCCTTTTATAACCTATTTGGACCTCTTAGAGAATTTTAATAAGTCATTCAACCCATATCTGAAGATATATTCTTAGATTTTGCTTATGTACTTGATCAAAGATGTCTTTAATCATTGTATTTATTAGATGCTATTTGCTTTATTGGCACATTTGAGATGCTAAAATGTTTTGACTCTCTACTACAACATTTTCCAAAGTGTGTCTACTTTGGGATGCTTGAGATTTCACAAAGTTAAACAGTTTCTTTACTGCCAGAATTCTCTGACCTTTACTGTATACACAATGAAGATCTAAAATAGTGATGGGCATAGTTTCCATCATTTCCAAAACTTATTGACTGATTGGATCTATGAGAGACATTTTTTTTTTTTTTTTTTGAGACGGAGTTTCGCTCTCATTGCCCAGGCTGGAGTGCAATGGTGCGATCTCGGCTCACCACAACCTCCGCCCTCCGGGTTCAATCGATTCTCCTGCCTCAGCCTCCCAAGTAGCTGGGATTACAGGCATGTGCCACCACTCCCGGCTAATTTTGTATTTTTAGTAGAGACAGGATTTCTCCATGTTGGTCAGGCTGGTCTTGAACTCCCGACCTCAGGTGATCCGCCTGCGTCGGTCTCCCAAAGTGCTGGGATTACAGGCATGAACCACCACGCCTGGCCAAGGCTTTTTTTTTTTTTTTTTTACAGAACACCTTGAATATTTGGGAAATGTCTCTACAACCTAAGCTCCCAGGACTTCTTTTTCCTTTTGAGGCTGCACTTTCTCCTACAATAAACGCAGTACTTACCGGAGCAGTTGGGGGAATATTTAAAAATCTCTCTCGTGGGTAAAGTCACTTTCCCCTTGGCATCTGAAATGAAAGAAATGAAAACAGATTTCCCATTATGCGGCACCATGCCAAGTTCACATCTAAAGTATCCCCTTTGTTCTCCTACTCGCATCCTCCAGGCTCAGAGGTATCTCTCATTTATCACTTCTTTGACAACATTATGTGGGCTGGGAGAAAAACAAAGCTCATTCACAGGGCTATTCTGAGCTCAGAATCCATCTAGTCAACCTACTAATTTTATAGACAGGGAAATTGAAGCCTAGGGAGTTTCAGAATCCACCAAAAAATGTTACTCATCTAGTTGATGTGATTGTGAGATTAGTCATAAAGCAAGGGATGGACTTTGTGTCACTGACATCGCAGGACCAAAGTGGTACAGAAGCAAGCATCATATTGGTTAAGGAGCATTTATTACACCTCAGTTAATGAATTTTGTCTTTCTAGTTACAAGTGAGCTTCAGTGGTACCTTCTGAGAGGCTCCTGACTAGGACATCAGTATTCTGAAATGTCTTCAGACATCCATTTACATAGTCTTCCTTTATTTTTTGAGACAAAGTCTCACTCTGTTGCCCAGGCTGGAGTACAGTGGTGCGATCTCAGCTCACTGCAACTTCCACCTCCCAGGTTCAAGCGATTCTACTGCCTCAGTCTCCCATGTAGCTAGGATTACAGCCACGTGCCACCATGCATGGCCAATTTTTATATTTTTAGTAGAGACGGGGTTTCACTGTGTTGGCCAGACTGGTCTCGAACTTGTGACCTCAAGTGATCTGCCCACCTCACCCTCCCAAAGTGCTGGGATTGCAGACGTGAGCCACCGCGCCCGGCCCCTAGTCTTCCTTTGAACGGTCCGGTCACTCTCCCAGATAGTCTGTTTCATCTGTTTTAGCTTGATTTCTAGTTTCTCTGAGAGAGTAATAAACTGCAGCTTTGATATTTTCTGAAGGAGATGGTATTTTCTGAAGGAGACTAAATTTTCTGAAGGAGATGATAAGAAGACCAGAGAAATTCAAGGGAAAGAGGAATAAGCAGAGACAAAGCTTGACAGGTAGATTCATAGAGAAGCTAGAACCTAGACCAGACCTTGACAGGGAGGAGAGTTTACAGAAGCAGATGGAAGGGGAGAGAAAAGCCTTGAGGAAAATTATTAGTACTCTCTTCTGACCAAGGTAGGGAGTGGATGGATGAATATTTTACTGTTTTTTCTAATATTTTTATTTTTGTTATTGGTAATAGTGTATACACATCATCACTGTTGACCTAATAAGAACTCCAGGGCCGGGCGCGGTGGCTCACGCCTGGAATCCCAGCACTTTGGGAGGCCGAGGCGGGCGGATCACGAGGTCAGGAGATCGAGACCATCCTGGCTAACACGGTGAAAACCCGTCTCTACTAAAAATACAAAAAATTAGCCGGGCGTGGTAGCGGGCGCCTGTAGTCCCAGCTACTCGGGAGGCTGAGGCAGGAGAATGGCGTGAACCCGGGAGGCGGAGCTTGCAGTGAGCCGAGATCGCGCCACTGCACTCCAGCCTGGGCGACAGAGCGAGACTCCGTCTCAAAAAAAAAAAAAAAAAAAAAAAAAAAGAACTCCAGATCCACTCTCCTACTGAGTGAGAGGCCAAAGTTCCCCTACAAATATGACAAGGCCACTGAAAGATAAGAGATAGAAAATGTCAGCCAAAGGGAACAAAATCTGACAAGAAAACACAGGCTAGGTGGTATTTTCGAAGCTGATACAGGCCTTAAAACCAAACGAAACAAGCAAATGAAAACCCTGACAATGAGTGGTGACAGTGAGGAGTAAGAGAACCTTTGTAAATTAAAAAAGTGGACCATAATAGTCTAAGATAACAAATATGCCATCCAAACAATGTTGCTTTTGTTTTCATTGTTATCTAAATCAAGCTAAAAATGGTGAAAGCTATTTTAGTTGTGAAATGACCAAATCTTAAAGGTTGAACTCAGAATCCATTTAGTCAACCCACTAATTTTATAGACAGGGAAATTAAAGCCAGAGAGTTTGAGAGTCCACACACACACAAAATAATAAAAATAAAAAAATAAAAAAATAAATAAATAAATCACTCAACTAGTTGATGGCAGAGTTGGTTCTGGAACCCAGGTCTCCTATCCTTAATCCAGTGTGAATTTAATAATACTTTCCTTCCTATCCCCTGCATACATGAATTTTACTTCCCTTAAAAGATATCTATAGATGCTCAGGAATTATTTATCTCATGCTTATTTTTAGAAATCATATCCTATTAGAAGAAAAACAAAACTAACAGTGAAATATAAATCTAGGTCTAACATTTGAAAGAGGGACATTCACAGTCTTTTCTGGCTTTAAGTTTCTGCCACAATTCATGGAAATCAGGAAGGTGGTTAGAGAGGTACACAAGTACGTATTTATAATGAAATTTAACCCCAAAGTTCTAAAAAAAAAATTTTGGAAGAGAAAAGGCATACTTTTGTTTTTGAGAGATGGAGTCTCGCTCTGTCCCCCAGGCTGGAGTGGAGTGGCCAATCTCAGCTCACTGCAACCTCTGCCTCTCAGGTTCAAGCGAGTCTCCTGCTCAGTTTCCCAAGTAGCTGGGACTACAGGCGTGCGCCACCACGCCCAGCTAATTTTTGTATTTTTTAGTAGAGACGCGGTTTTACTATGTATTGGCCAGGCTGGTTCTCCCGACCTCTGGTGATTTGAACACATTAAATCTGCATAAGTTGTCACCAAACTTAGTATAAACAATCATTACTATGCTAAAAGTTTCAGAAAAATCCTGGTCCACATTTCTGCAGCTGGCTTAGTTGCCTTTAATTTCAGGTTTTTTGTTTCTTTCTTTCTTTCTTTTTTTTTTTTTTTTTTTTTTTTAGAGAGAGAGTCTTGCTCTGTTGCCAGGCCGGAGTGCAGTGGTACAGTCTCGGCTCACTGCAATTTCTGCCTCCCTGGTTCAAGCGATTCTCCTGCCTCAGCCTCCAGAGTAGCTGGGATTACAGGCATGTGCCACGACACCAGCTAATTTTTGTATTTTTAGAAGAGGCAGGGTTTCACCACGTTGGCCAGGATGGTCTCGATCTCCTGACCTCGTGATCTGCCCGCCTCGGCAAGCATGAGCCACCACGCTCGGCCAGTTTTTTTGTTTCTTTGATGTAAAAATAATTTCTCCACCTTCCAATAAAACTGTGCCAGTGACCACAGCCTTATGCAACAGCGCTGTGTCTGCTACACAGGTGGTTCCACTTTCATGTAGACTTCCTACCACGCTGAGCATTTCGCAGTGTGGTGGCTACATGCCCACATGCCTTCCTAGCTTTCATGAGGAAGAAATGAAGCTTGCTTTGGAAGAACACATTAGGGAGAAGGCAGGTGATTCCTTCCTGATAAAGCGTCCCTGAATAAAGTCAGTTTTTCCTCTTTTGTTTGACACTGTCACCAAATGACCCTATTTCCATGGAGATGTAATGATAGCCTTTTGTAGATGATGAGCAAGTCTCTGTCTACTCCCCTCCTCCATGATTACTTCACATAGCACCCTAGTCCCACAACACCAATGGAAGTTTAAAAACTGAGGTCAGTGATGTTGTAAATTTATGAATTCTGCACATGCCCATCTCCAGTTTCCTGGATTTTTTTTAATTAATCTCCAGTTTTAGTGCTTTTCCTGTGAGACTTACAAATAGAAATTCTGTTTCCTGGATTTTTTGTTGAAGGGAAGAATAATTTTTGAAGGCATATTGATGCACCTGGATGTTAACCTTCTATACAAAATAACACAGTAGAGCAGAAAGAGACCTCAGTGAGTGTGAAGAGTAAAAAACAAAACAAACAAAACCAAAAAGAAACCTCTTCTCACAGTCACAGAAAATAAAACCAAAGGGGAGAAGATACTTAATGTGGGAAGAAAGCAAGAACCTTTGGACTCACTCATTTCTATCTCTCCCAAACAAGACAGGTAATGGTTTCACATGTCGGTACACACACTGAGAGGTATTCCAGGATACATAAAACATCACAGGTGAGAGTAAGACCTGTTTTTCCTCTAGTTGGTCACAAAAAATTGTTTTCATGACAGTGTTTATTTGATTCACATGATACGAGTTTGAGCTAGTTGGCTTTGATTTTTTTATTTGTTCGTTTGTTTTTTGCAGTGGAGTGCAGTGGTGCAATCTCAGCTCACTGCAATCTCTGCCTCCTGGGTTCAAGTGATTCCCCTGCCTCAGCCTCCCGAGTAGCTGGGACTACAGGCATGTACCACCAAGCCTAGCTAAGTTTTTGTATTTTAGTAGAGATGGGGTTTCACCATGTTGGCCAGGATGGTCTTGATCTCCTGACCTCGTGATCCGCCCGCCTTAGCCTCCCAAAGTGTTGGGATTACAGGCGTGAGCCACCGTGCCTGGCCAGCTTTGTTTTATTCTATTATTATCATCATTTACTGAGCACTTGCCATGGGCCAAACACTGTGTTGCATCCTGGGCCAAGAATGATCAAGAGTAGTCTCTTGACTTTAATAGATGACACTCTAACTTGAGATTGTAGTCTTCATGTGGGCACCTTCCCTGGACTGAAGACAAAGGTGAAGGGATGGCCTGACCAATGCAAATCCATCCCTGTCAGTAGAGGGATAACCCAAAGCACATGCCTGGCAGGGGCGAGGCGTCAGTGATTATCAGCTGCAAATGCCACAGGCCATAATTGGAGAGCTGGGAGGGACCCTACTCACACCCACCTTCCCCTGTTTTAGGCTAATCTGAACTGACTCACTAGGCAAAGATAGACAAAACTAACTGTTGGGAATGAGGTCATTTAAAAAAAAAGTTGCCTTCTATTTCTCTAGGTCTCTCTAGCATCAGAATTCCACATGAGAGTGGAGTGACTTAGAACAAGTAGGCTAGCCTTGGATTCAAGCCTTCTCTCTGCCAGCACTAATCATGTAACTTTGGACTTTTCTGGGCCTTAAATACTAAAATGCATAAAATTAACCGGTTAGTCTGGATGCTCTTTGAAATTCCTTCTAGACCTAAAATTCCTTGATTCCATGTAAAGTTGCCAGGTTTAGCAAAGGAAAATACAGGATGTCCAGAAAAATTAGAATTTCAGGTAAACAACGAATCATTTTTTAGTACAAATATGCCCCATGTCCTATATTTCATCTGGCAATCCTAATTTCATGACATATATGCCTCTCCAAGATGAAAGCAAGTACTCTAGCCAAGGGGAAATGTCTGTTCTTGGGGGAAAGGTTGTCAATTTTCTTAAGCAGATTTATGTCAGGAAGTGTGGGCTTTGTTGTGTGGCTTGACCACCCTATTCTGATTAAACAGAGTGGTTTTCATAGATAGGTAGGGATGGGAAAAATGCCCCACCCTTTCATGATTATTTAACAGGGTTAATTTTTTTTTAGTGTAGCATAAACTCCAACTGGAAACAAAATGAAACTGCCAACGGATATTAAGGCCTAGGTGGGGGAAAGGAAGGCCAGAGAAGGCTGTGTCCATTATCACAGAGACAGAAAAAGGCTTGTGGAAAGGCTCTCCATGTCTTTACTTGGTTTTCCTTCTATAATGATTTTATTCTATTTGGTAGGAAACAGGATCAGAGTTATTCCCACTCCAACGCCAGGGAATGGGTTTATGTACAAAAAAGAGAAACTTGGTTCCCCCTAAAAGAGGGAAAAGAAGTACCAAAAGAACAAAAAACACAGGGGAAAAAACGGGCAGGCTACTTCATCAAGCTTCTCTGCTTCTGGCTGGAATCCCAGCAACTCCGTGTTGCTGTTTCATACTAGTCGGAAATTTTGATTGGCTGTTTTGCTTCCTTTTTGTTAATTCAAGTGGGAAAACGGGTGACGTATTCTTTCAGAAAGTATTTTTGATGTATAAAATCTTTTGATTCTGAAGAATACAGGGAGGAGAAATAAGAACGGATTCTTGTGATGAAAACTGGGAGACTTCTGTTATAGCAAACATTTATTGAGAGTCTGCCATGAACCTCACACCGTACCACACATTCACAAACTTCCCAACTAATGTTCACTCTGTAAGGTAGGTGTCATCATTTCTATAGGAAAGAAAATTACATCTGATAAGATGAATGGCTTAGCCAAGGTTGGGAATAATTAGCAAGTGGTCAATCTGAGACTCCAGCCCTTATCACCTGACTGTAAATTCAACACTTATTTTTTTCATGTCTTTTTTTTTTAAGGCAAAGAAGCCAACCTGCTAATGCAAAATCTGAACAAGTTGCAAACACCGGAAGAAAAGTTTGATTTTTTATTCAAGAAGTATGCTGAATTGGTAAGATCTTGGATTAGCTTCTTTTCTCAGAACGATTAGTGAGCCCAGTGCCTCTAGCTTCAAGGAACAACAAACACCTGCCAATCCGAGAATGAATTGTAAACAGCAACATCTGAGGTCTGTGCGCTAACCCTGCAGATTATGAGACCCACAGCTAAGATGTGGCATTCTCTCTAGTAAAGCTAGGCAGTGGCCTTCTCCTTTATTTCTGCTTCTTAAAAAATTCTTTTGAAGGAATGCCCATCAGAATCTCTATCTGATCCATTTGGTTATCTAAATCAGGGAATGAAAATAAACCATATCACCCAATCCCAGTGACATAGGTACCTCTACCTGAAATGCATTGTGACCAGAATCACTGGGTTAATTCTCGCATGTTAGCACCTCACTAGCTCCTTTTGACTGTGTTGGTGTCATGTTGAGAAAAAGGTAAAATAAATCTTACCATACACTAAAAATTCATACTAATAGTAGTGAAGTTAGATGGAACAAACAATTGAATTTATTTTTATAGAAGTTATTGAGAATAATCTTTCTTTTGTACATATACGCATTTTTAGGTATATTGACATAGTTTGGGAAACTTTATTAAAGTTAGTCAGTTGCCTGAGTTTTTAATATTGGACTTGGCATTTATATATGTGCATCAACTCTGTTGGATACCAGAATACTATAGGAGTGGATGAACTGTTCTAGCAACTTTCAGCATGTACTATATGGGGCATATTTAAGTTATTTATAAACAAGGAAATCTATTTTATGTCGTTGTTTAGAAGAATTGCATGAAATCATGTAGTTGCAAATAAAAGGTAGTTTGAGGCAAAACAAAAATTCTTTCACTTACTTCTTTTGGAGAAACAGTGACAGGAGAATGCAACTTAAGAGACTACATATAGCAAAAAATCCCTCCAGGCAGTAAGTTGAACTGCCCCCAACAGTAGATTTACCATTGCAGCTGAGGAAGCTTAAACCTCAGGACATCTCACTTGCATGGGCCCCTTTGAGGCCCGGGGCCTAATTCTCTTTAATTTTTTATTTTGAAGAGGGCCTCCAAAACTGAATAAGCTTCAGGCCCACAAACTCTTCATCCCTGTTGATGGAGCACACTTTAGTAAGTGACTTGTTTTCTTTGTTTTTCACTCTGAATCTAGTCCTGTAATCTTTCTGTTCTTCTACCTAATGTGTCCTGTTATGCTGAACTATTATGCAGTAGATCCAGAAAAATTCTGAAACTCTGCGTGACTGGCTGTTTGCTTAACCCTGCCAACAGTATTTTTAAATTATTTTTTAGACACACAAACTACTTCACGAAGATATATAATGCTGAATACACAAAATAAACAAAAAATCTCTAATCCCTCATGTAAAATACAAACTTTGTTCTATGCATATTCTTTTCCTGTTCTACTGTGTATGCAGATTTTTATTATAATTACAGTCATAAGGTACATATAAGTTGATATCTGGTTTTCTTACGTGACAGGCATTTTTCCATATAATATATAGTCTTCACAAATATATTTTGTAAAAGTTGTGTCATATTCCATTAAGTGGCTGTATCTACTGATTCAATAATTTGAATATATTTAAATTCCTCTCACTGTTTTGCTTTACCAAATATTTCTGCATTGAACATCATCACGTATTAGCTTTGTTCTTTTTCCTTCTTTTTTATGATTTTAAGAAAAATTTCCAGAAATAGGCTTACTAAATTAAACAAGATGAGTGCTTTCTGGTTTTTAAACTTTATGGCCATATTGCTTTCCAAAAGAGCAGTAGAAACTCACAAAGCAAGTATCAGTGTATCAATTTTCTTGCAACTTGTATTGCATTGGCTATTAACAATTTCAATACCATAAAAATAATTTAGGTGTCAAAAATAATATTTTCTCCCCAAATCTGGCCCCCACTCTCACGTTTCCATGCGATTCTCACCTATCCATCCTTGCTCTTTTTAGTATTTTCTGAGTCATTTTTCCTTTACCCCTTCGATTTACCAACTCATACCAAGGCCATTCATGTTTAGTTTCCAGCGCCATGTTCTATACTTGAGGGGACTGGGCAGCATTCTAGACTAATACAGGAAGTGATGTGTGGTGTTACATTCCCACGACAGTGCACTGGGGAAGCATCACTTTTCCAGACTTACCGATATTTTCTCCATGAGCCAGGGTTGTTCATCCTGGTCTCAGGGAACTCCCTGTACCTACTCATCCTCCTAGCAAAGCAGTCACCCCCAATAAACAAGAGATTGTTTTTCCAGAGACCATATTCAATTCAAGCCTTACTTGCTATATTTTGGCATTTGTATCATCTCTCGTAAAAAACTTTCGAACCTGAGAGATCACCTTAGAAAAAATGAATAGGAGAAGATTAACCCAAAAAACTTATCACATTTCCTTTTCAGAAAAGAAAAATTATGAGGAATTTCAATTTTTTACGTGGAGACTAAAGCCTATTTCCTTGCTCACTGATTTGGATATTAATATAGAAAATGACTGAAATATAAGTGTTCACATAGAATAAATCATCAAATTCAAAGCTGTGAATCAAACTGCCACTCTAGCTCACTCATCCTTGCAGAGTCTAAATCCTGTAATATTATCTGACATTGTATTCATTAATAAATAAAGATAAGCTCATTAATAAGTAAGGACATTTCATGACTAAATTAGGAAATGGCCTGGGAGAAATATTTTTCACATTTAATTTCCTCAATTCTTATGTAGTTAAGACAACATCAGTAATAGGATTTTAATTTAGTACTTAGCATTAATTTTACTTTTTAACTTAGTAAAAAAAGAGAAAGAAAACAAGAGAAATTACAGACAGAAATTCTATATGCCTATTACAGTTGTACAGAAGAACTATGCCTAAGTTAAATCACAAAGCCAGCATTTGATTGAAGCTAGGCAGTAAGAACCTAGAGGGCAGGGAATGTGTATTTTTCATTGTCTTCAATGCCAAGAATCACTTGAATATTGGCTGAATTACTTTGTTAATAATTTAAATTTTTTTAAATATAAAGGAAAGTTCTGGAGTATTATCTGGCTTAATATTAGAAACAAAATAGGCCAAGCACAGTGGCCCATGCCTGTAATCCCAGCACTCTGGGAGGCCAAGGCAGGCAGATTGCTTGAGCTCAGGAGTTCAAGACTAGCCTGGACAATATGGCAAGAACCCATCTCTACAAAAAAATTAGCTGGGCATGGTGGCACACAACTGTTGTCCCAGCTACTCAGGAGGCTGAGGCAGGAGGATGGCTGGAGCTAGGCGTTTGAGGCTTCAGTGAACTATGAATGATTGTGCCACTGCACTCCAGCCTGGATGACTGAGCAAGACGCTGTCTCTAAAAAATTAAAATTAAAAATAAAAATAAAACATTAAATGGAAAATGAGCAAGCACAAATCATTTCTCTTTCCAATTTATGAAACACCTGTAGGGTGTCTTCCTCCTGACACTCAGATAAAGCCACATAGTGCAGAGTTCCCTAAACAGGGACAGTTTTGTTCACCAGGCGACAATAGGCATGTCTGTCTGGAGATATTTTGGGGTGTCGCAATTGGGCAGTGCTACTGGCATATAGCAGGTAGGGGCTAGGGATGGTGTTGAGCAACTTACAAGGCATAGGACAGCCCCAACAACAAAAAATTATCTGGCCCAGTATGTTACTTGTGCTGGGGTTCAGAAGCCCTGACATATGGTTTAATCTTCAGAAGGTAAAGTCTACGCCAGAATGGCAATAATAATAACAATATATAAATTTCTTTTCTTTTTCTTTTTTCTTTTTTTTTGAGATGGAGTCTTGCTCTTGTCACCCAGGCTGGAGTGCAATGGCACGATCTCAACTCACTGCAACCTCCGCCTCCCAGGCTCAAGTGATTCTCCTGCCTCAGCCTCCCAAGTAGCTGGAATTACAGGCACCCGCCCCTAGGCTCAGCTAATTTTTGTATTTTTAGTAGAGATGAGGTTTCACCATGTTGGCCAGGCTGGTCTCCATCTCCTGACTTCAGGTGATCCGCCTGCCTCAGCCTCCCAGAGTGCTGGGATTACAGGCATGAGCCACCGTGCCTGGCCTACAATATATAAATTTCAAGAAAGGACAATAGTCATTTTAAATCCAAATATATGTACAAGAAATTTCACGCCTATCTAATAACTATGGTGCAAAATTAAAGGCTCACATCTATACTATGAGCAGCTTAGCATGAGAAATATTTAATAACAGATTATTTATTTTCCAAGGAGGATATCTATTTCAATCAATATTTTTAGTAATATGGGTTTTGTTTTTACAATGCTAATTTCCACTAGTAGCTAGAAATTGCACATAAGTATGAAGATAGAATATCATATATACATATCCTTAGCTTTATCTGGCAAGGGTTTAAAATGCTTATTTTAGGGTGGCAGGAGGGAGAGAGGAAAGAAATAAAATGTGAACCGAAGAAAGTGTGACAGGTGTTCATCTTGCTCAGAAAGAACAACTGCTTTTCTATTTATTTTTTATTTATTATTTTTTGAGATGGAGTCTTGCTCTGTTGCCCAGGCTGGAGCGCAGTGGCACAATCATGACTCACTGCAACCTCCATCTCCCTGGTTCAAGCAATTCTCCTGCCTCAGCCTCCCAAGTAGCTGGGATTACAGGTGCATACCACCACGCCCGGCTAATTTATGTATTTTTAGTAGAGATGGGGTTTCACCACGTTGGCCAGGATGGTCTTGATCTCCTGACCTCATGATCTGCCTGCCTCAGCATCCAAAAGTGCAGGGATTACAGGCATGAGCCACCACGCCCAGCCCCAATGGCTTTTTTAAAATGGGGAAACTGAGGCACGTGTCAGGACTCATGTGGCATCTGTATCCATTTGCATTAGGCTCTGTGAGGCACCAGAACACCTGAGGTCCAGAAGAACCAGGGCTTTTCCTTTCCGTTCACCAACAAAGTCGTTATTAGGACTAGTACTTACCTGACTTCAGCACCATCTGGGCCCTACAGAAACTGAGGCCAGTGGAGGAAATGGCTCTGGACAAAGGGCTGCTGCTTGGATGTGGCCCCAGCGATGGTCAGTCTGAGATCGACACTCCTAGAGTCCACCAATCTCTCTCTGGAGGCTTCTGAGGTTGATCCCCATACTCCCCACACCAGGTCTACAACTCCATAATAATGCTGCCAGATGTAACAAATAAAAATACAAAGTTTACGTTTCAGACAAACAACAAATAACTTTTTGGCAAAAATATGTCTCATGCAATATTTGGAATATATTAATACTTACGCTAAAAATTATTTCTTATTTATTTGAAATTTAAATTTAACTGGGTGTCCTGCATTTTACTGACAACCCTACCCTAGAACTTCAGCATCCAAGATGGAAAGTACAGCGGTAAGTTGGTTTCATGTTCCAAGGCAGTCCTGATACAGTACTTTAGTTGTGGCTGCTGGAGGAACATGAGAAGAGTTCAACTGGGCTCAGCAGAAACCAGCAGAATGATTTATTTGTTATAAGCACAGAGCGGGTGCGGGTGGGGAGCAACAAGGCGTGTTACAGATATTTGCTATTCATGCTGTTGAATCATGCAGAAGCTATTTCTGATGCTTTGGTGAAAACCCGTCAATGCTTAGGTAGTGGAAGGGTACTTTCTCTTCTCCTTTCCCACACATAAACAATCCACACTCAGAGCCCAACATTATAAAGAAGAGAACTTCATCTTCTGTTTACCAGGAGGCTGCATTTCTCTTTCCTATTTTTAAAAATAGCGCTAGAAGCTTGTTTCAAGGAAGAATTAGGAAAACTCAATGCAACCCAAGCAGACAGACTTTAGATCATTGCCTCAATGCAAGGCATCGTCATGAACTCTGGCAGTTTACAGATTCTGAGACATGCCTTTCTATTTTGTCTGGCTATTCAATATTGGTTAGATAGACTCAGGAAAAATATTTCTAGACCATCCAAAAATAGATCAAAGTAAAAAGAGACTAATAATAATGAAAAACCTATCAATGCTGTGTTCTAAAAACTATATACCTTCAAGTACTACAAAGGTGACGTTTGTGAATTTCATTTACTTCCAGAGGAAGAGATAATAGCAAAAAATGTTTCCAAACAACCACAGAGTAATCTTTAGGTTTGCTTTTTTTCTATCCACTCCAAGGAGATCCCTGCCATTTTCTTTCATGTTTGTATCTCCATGTGTACAGCTGGATGAACATCGTACTGAGCAAAAGAAGTTAAAGCTCCTCCAAAAGAAACAGGTACAAATTCAAAAAGAAAAGGACCAGTTACAAGGTGAACACAGCAGAGCTATCCTCGCTCGAAGCAAATTGGAGAGTCTGTGCCGGGAGCTGCAGAGACACAACAAGACTCTGAAGGTATGTCCCCATGCCTCAGAATAACATAATTTCTTGAATGGGGCACAGAGACAGGCCTCTGCTACTCATGGAAAGAGTGTGAATTTTAGAATCAGAGAGGCTTGGGTTCAAATACTGCCTCTGCCCCTTGCTTGCTTGTAACCTTAAATAATTTTACCTCCTTGAGCTACTTTCTTCATCCGTAAAATGGAGATTAGACCAGCTTCACTGTGTGGCTGGGAAAAAATTAGATGAAGTTGAATAGGTAAGGTACCCGCACAGTACCTGACACAGTGCAGGCCCTTGATAAAATGCATACCATTCCCCTTACCTTTCTATTATGTTGAGTTTGTTTCTAAGGTGGGCCTTAGTTCTTTTAAAAAAATACATTTGTAAAGATTCAGCATTTTTGGTGTTATAATGAATTCTGCATGACATGAGACAAATGGACACACACCGAATTGACACAGTGAAGTGAGATTGAGAACCAAAATGTCAATAGTCATCTGAAAAAAAGGAAGCTATTGGAAAAAGCACTGAAGCTCTTCAGGTTTAATTATTCAATCTAAAAATAATAGACTGATCACTTCATTTGGTCTGCACGGGTTTCATTAATTACAGCGTAAGCCCTAGCAGTGTGGTTAATTTGATTACACAGAGACACTAGCTCCATTCAATATAGCAAGATGCAGAGCTCTCCAAGATGATACTGTGTGCATCCCCAATCCCCTTTCCAGCTGAAGATCCTAAATCTTTTGACAAATAATAATTAATCAGACACCAGTGTTCCTGTAAGGTAGTTATTATTATAAGCGTTTAAAAGGAGATACTTCAAGAAACAGAGTACATGAAAATCACTGCTGAATTTGTACAATTGAGTTAGGAAGAAAAATAGAAGAGAATCATGGTTCCTCATTTTCCCAAATTGTTTTTTGATATTTGGGAAATGGAGAACCAGTGTGATGAAGTCAAAGTCTCAAATGGCAGGTTTTAGATGTGCTACTGGCGTCTTGTCAACAATAGTACTGAAGACAGACTCCCAGGCCGAATGGGGGCCTGAGGATGGAAGCATCGTCCTCAACTCAAGGTTTGGATTCAAAGGATGCATAAATCTCTTGTGTGCCTGCGTAAATCCACTGTCTGTCAGTAATGTTACACAGTAAGGAGATAAAATTAAATCAGATAGGGTGGGATCATTTATCAACAAAGAGATATAAAGAGTAGAATGATACAGCGTGGTCTTCTTGGGTAGTATTGAAAGACAGAATGTTCAGCTGGTCACAGTGGGTCACATCTGTAATCCTAGCATTTTGGAAGCCCAAGGCCGGAGGATCACTTCAGCTTGGGAATTCGAGACCAGCCTGGGCAACATTTATGAGAGCAAGACATTGTCTCTACCAAAAATCAGGAAAATTAGCTGAGTGTGGCACGTTCCTGCAGTGCCAGCTACTTGGGAGGCTGAAGCAGGAGGATCATTTGAGCCCAGAAGTTCGAGCCTGCAGTAAGTTATGATTGCGCCACTACACTCCAACCTGAGTGACAGAGAGCAATGTCTCAGAAAATAAAGAGAGAGAGAGAGAGATCTTATTAATACCATCCAACTGGCTAGAGATTCTCCCCCACCAAAAAAACAAAGACAGAATGATCAAAGTAGCAGGAGACCCTGTAAGTGTGCCCATATGCCCTCAGTAATGGCTTCTCATTATGAACAATGACATTAAGTATTATTATTATGCCAGAAGTTATGCTAAGTGCTTTATATACATTATTTCATTTAATCTTCATGATAACCCAGTGAAGGTTAATATCTCCACTTTATTGGTGAAGAAACTGACACTCAGCAATCCAAATTGGTTGTCCAAGATCAAGCATATTTAAATGTCAAAATCAATATTTGAAATTTGAATTCAAATTCAAAATATTTTCAAATTTTCTTTCTAATTTTTTCTTTGACCCAGGGATTATTTAGAAGTGTTATTTAATTTTTATAGCCGATCATACATGGTCTTATCTTGATACCATATGTACTTCAAAACAATGTTTTTCAGATGTTGGGTGTAGTGTTCTATAAGTAACAATTAGCTTTAAATCATTTATGCCTTTTTTGAATTTTTTTATCAATTGCTGAGAAATGAGAGTTAAAAATCTCTTCATATAATTGTGGAATTGTCCGCTTATTTTAATTATGTCAATTTCTGCTTTATGTACTTTGAAGCATTAATATTAGGTGTATATACATTTATGATTATTATGTCCTCTTGATGAATTGGTGATTTTACCTTTATGAAATGTCCCTTAGTAATCTTTTTTTTTTTTTTTTTTTTTGTGAGATGGAGTCTCGCTCTGTCGTCCAGGCTGGAGTGCGGTGGTGCAATCTCGGCTCACTGCAACCTCCGCCTCCCGGGTTCAAGCAATTCTCTGCCTTAGCCTCCTGAGTAGCTGAAATTACAGGCACCCGCCACCATGCCTGGCTAATTTTTGTATTTTTAGTAGAGACGGGGTTTCACCATCTTGGCCAGGTTGGCCTTGAACTCCTGAGCTTGTGATCTACCCGCCTCGGCCTCCCAAAGTGTTGGGATTACAGGTGTGAGCCACCACGCCCGACCAGTAATAATCTTTGTCTGGATGTCTACATTATCTGATATCAATTTAGCCACTCTAGTTTTCTTACTCTTATTGTTTGCCTGGTGTATCTCTTTTCATCCATTCATTTTCAGCCTGGGTCTTTATATTTAAAGTGCATTCTTTCAAGATAGCATATAGCTGGATCTTACTTCTTTTCATTCCTACAGTATCTGCCCTTTAATTGCAGTACTAGTCCATTAACATATAATGTACTTACTGATGTGGTTTGATATATGTCTACCATTTTATTATTTATTATTTGTCACCTCTGCTTTGTTTATCTTGTTCTTTTCCTGCCTTCCTTTGGATTATTTGAATATTTAAAAATTACATTTCATCTCTTGTATTTTGAAATTATAACACTACACATTATCTTTAGTAGTTGCTCTGTGATTACAATATACATTCTTAATTTTTCATAGTCTTCCTGGAGTTAATGTTGTATTACTTCACATAACATGTAGAAACACTGCAACTAAATAGATCAATTTACTCCCTCAGCCTTTAAGCTATCATCATTATATGTATTATATTTATATACTTTTGTAAAGCCGATGAGACATTGTTATAATTTTTACTTTAAACAATAATATGTATTTCTTCTTAAATTAAAGGCAAAACTATATCCCTTTTATCTACCCAGATGTTTACCATTCCTGATACTTCTTATTCATTCTGTAGCTTCACATTTCTGTCTGATGTCATTTCCCTCAGCCTGAAGTACTTCTTTTAGTATTTCTTATAGTACAAATCTGCTGGTAATCAATTCTCTTAGTTGCCTTTTATCTTTAAAACATCTTTATTTTTTTTTTAATTGAAGGCTAAATTCATTGGATATAGAATTCTGCATTGAGAGAACCTATTCGTGGGTTTTTTTTTTTTTTTTCCTTTTAGCCTTAAATAAATGTGCCACTATACTGGCTTTTAAAATTTCTCATGAAAATCAACAATCATTTGAATTATTGTTCCCCCATATGTGATATGTCCTTTTTCTCTGCCCTTTTCAAGGTCTTTGTATTGATCTTTCGTTTTCAGAACTTTTACTGCTTTAAGGCCAGGAGTGGTTTTTTTCACATGTACCCTACTTGGTATTTGCTAAGCTTTTTTGTATCTGTAATTATATGTCTTTTACCAAATTTGAATTTCTTTCAGCCATTATTTCTTCAAATAGTTTTTCTGCTCCACTTTCTCTCCATCTTCTTCCCTTCTAAGATTCTAACTCTGTGTGTGTAGACCTTTTGATATTGTCCCACAGGTCTTCGAGTCAGTCTTCACATTCTTCACCAATACTTTTTCTCTTTTATTTTTAGATTATCTTATTTTGATTGGTCTATCTTCACATTCAGTGATTCTTTTCTCTCTCATTTTCATTCTGCTCTAAATCCATCCAGTGATGGTTGTGTTTCAGATTTTGCGATTTTTAATTTCAGAATTTCCATTTGGTTCTTTTTTTGTATGTAACCTCTCACCTGAGATTTTCTACCTTCTCATTCATTGAGATAATATTTTCCTTTACATCATTGACCATAGTTATAATACCTGTTTTAAAATACTTGTCTGCTAATTCCACATTTGCAGCATTGTAGAAAAAGCCTTCTCTAATTGTCTTTTCTTTTGAGAATAGGCCATATTTTCTTGGTTCTTCATATGTCAAGCCATTGTCTATTGGATCCTGGATATTGTGACTATTATGTTCTGGAGAATCTGGATTCTACTATATGATGAATAGTTTTTATTTTTTTAAGCAGACAATTAATTTGGTTAGATTCAAACCATAAACTTTGTCTCTTGAGCAGCAGCTGAAATCTCAGTTCAGTTCTTTTCTACTTAGCTAGACTGCTTTGCACATGTGTGGCTCAAGGCCAATCAGATTTGTGTAAAGTTCATTCACAGGATCTGGGCTCTATTTCTCTGACTCTCTCTTTTTTTGGGTGATCTTCCCCTCACTGTTGAGGGACTATAGTTGTCCAGAACTCTGTATTCTTATTCTTCTAATATGAAAGATGGTATGTTTTATATGAGAATTTTGCCCACCTCATACTCCTGCCAACTGCAGATTTCCCTCAAGCTAAAAGCTATAAAGAATAGGAAACTCATGTACAAGTGCCAACTTCCCTCTAGAGTCTGTCTGATTTTGTTTACTCTCTAGTGTCATCATTGTTTCTTGCATTTCATCCAGAGTTTACAGTTGTTATTTGCAAAAGGGTCAACTTGATATGAGCTTCCTTGGCCACACTAGTGAAACACCTTAAGTGTACCTAAATCTAAAATCCATGCGCTGGGAGCTTGGGAAGATATAGAAAGACAATGTATAACTAGGTATTTCCGCCATCACAAATTTTAGCTTTTACTTTTCTTTATTAAAACCGCTTCTTTAATGAGTCAAACGCACACACACACACACAGACACACACACACACACACATACAACCTCACAATTTAGGATAACTTAAGAAAGGATTGATAAAAGTCTGAGACATGGGTTTGTTTCAACAAAATCATACATATATTCAAAGTGATAAATCTGAGCCTCAAACTATGCTGAAAAAGAACTGCCTAGTAAGAGAGGGGTAAGTGTCTCAGGGAGCATGATTTTCCTAAAGAAATGAGAAGCATTTGTTGTCAGAATATCACAGAATTTTAATGTGGAAAGGACTGTAGGAATGATCTAGTCCAAGCTACTCATATGTCTGTACATAAATTAATAATTCACTGATTCATTAAATAAACATTTACTGAATACCTTTGGATTATGTGCCAGGCACAGCACCAGTTGTAAGATGCACAATGATGCTTGCAAGGTTTTTTTGTTATCTCAGACTTCATCCCTCAATTTTATTGACATTATTTTGACTTTGAATAATGTATTTGATAAAGAAAAGATAATTTTATCTCAGACACTGTCCAAATGATTGAAAATCCTTCTAACAATGGACTCAAATTTTATAAGATTTTGCTAGATTTCTTTTGGTCTCATTGAAAAACAATATAGGCCGGGGGCAGTGGCTCAACCCCCATAATCCCAGCACTTTGGGCGGCCAAGGTGGGCAGATCATCTGAGGTCTGGAGTTTGAGACCAGCCTCGCCAACATGGTGAAACCCCGTCTCTACTAAAAATAAAAAAATTAGCTGAGCTTGGTGATGCGTGCCTGTAATCCCAGCTACTCAGGGGGCTGAGGCAGGAGAATCACTTGAACTCGGGTGTTGGAGGTTGCAGTGAGCCGAGATCATGCCACTGCACTCCAGCCTGGGCGACAGAGTGAGACTTCATCTCAAAACAAAACAAAACAAAACAAAACAAAACAAAAAATATATATATATGCAAGATTACATCTTTTGGGCCAGGATTGGCGGTTATGATTGTTTGTTTGACATTTATTTAGTGCCATCCTATCATCTGTACCTTCTTTCTATAGCCAGTTCCCAATTAAAAAAAAAACAACAACTCAGACTTGCATGGGGTGTTTCATTTATTCATTCATGGAATATTTATAAATACAAACGGTATTCAAATCATGGTCTGTAGTTCTGATTCCAAACTTGCTGACTTCTAAGCTAATCAGGACCAGTGAGGAAACAATCATAATCACACATATATTTAGTTGCTCCTAACTGGTAACCATAATTATTTTTAGCGAAACACATATAGTAAGTGTTAGTATACAAAGTTCAGGGAAATAACATCTCGGATAGTTTATTTCTTCAGTTTAAGAAGTACAGATATCTTCAATACCCCTGAGAAGTTGTTGCTTAATAAAGGTTTATAACATGAATAAATTATGATTCTGACATCAGGAGTCACATTAGAGTTGGGAAATGTGTTGTTATTATAGAGGAAAGAAGAAACCTAATGATAAAATATTTTCAGAGCATATATTCTCAGCATCAGTTTTTATTTGGATCACATTATTCTGTTATGATAAAGGTCTGTACAATTACTTCTGTTAAAAATTATTATTTCTTTTAAAAAATCCTGTTACATAATTTGAACTTGGTAGGCAATCAAATTCAGTATAATTTTACTTGCCAACAACGAAGCAAGCTTTCATATTAACAATTAATCAGAACTGAAAGGAATCCTAAAATGTCTGTATCATTTGTCAGCCACGTAAATGTCTCTATCTTTGGTAGGATGTAGCAAAATTAAACCCTTTTATTCAAAAAGAATAACAATCGCAAAGCAATTCTCAATATAGATATGGAGGAAATTGGAGCTCATTGTTAGTGGCTAGCAATGAATGGAGAGTTTTGATTTAGGAGAAAAGAGAACAGAAATGATATAAAAGTTAATTTGCAATTCTTCAATGTTAACAAAGCGGAAGAAGGAAAATTAGATGTTTCACTTTAGAGTTAAAGAAGATTTGAAACTTAATATTGCTTTCAGATTCAAAATTTACATTGAACATTTTAATTACCCTATGTGACACATTTAATGATTGTTCTTTCAAAAACAAAATAATATCCAGCATGTTTGGAAAGATTCCCTTTTATATTCTTGAATGGCTGTAATTGAGCTATGCTGTCTTAGTTTCCTTTTTTAAAGCTTTTTGATGAAAGTTTTTTCTCACAAATAGAAAATTTTTATTGTGATCACTTATATTTACAAAACTTGGTAATATAATTATGTGGTTAATATGCCATGGTTTTTACAGGGAAATATAAGATCTATTGTTCTCCCTTTACCAAACCAGAGAAACACATGATCTGTCTCATCCATCAGTAAACTCAAGTGGCCTTTTTTTCAGGCCACAGCCAAGAGATCAAAATCGTGTGACTGTGTGTTTGTTAGAAATCGCTGCAGTTCATTCACTCAGCAAGAGACGCATCATCTTTAAAACAAGTCTATTCATCACTGACTACAAATTCAAGGCCTTCACAGCACCTGTTCTGAGTAACTATGTACTCACAGCTGAAACCTTTACTCATACATTTATTTTGGGGCTGAGCAGCTTTAGCTCTAGAGAACTGAGAAAAAACATCCCACCTACTCTGCACACTTATCTCCTTTAGGTGACCTAATGCTGAGTTCTATAAACCCGGGGTGCATTTAAACAAAATGTTTTGCTTTTTATCCGCAGGAAGAGGCGCTTCAGCGGGCACGTGAGGAAGAAGAGAAAAGGAAGGAAATCACAAGCCATTTCCAGAGTACCCTCACGGACATCCAGGGCCAGATCGAGCAGCAGAGTGAGCGAAATATGAAGCTCTGTCAGGAGAACACAGAGCTTGCAGAAAAGCTGAAAAGCATCATCGATCAGTATGAGCTCAGAGAGGAGGTGAGAACCACATCAAACAACTTAGAACAGTACATAGATCCGGATCTGGGAGCTAAAGGTGGGAACTTGGTTAATAAGACAGTTACAGCCAGCCCTCTCAACTGATTAATATTTAGGATTGGATTTCCTTGACGAGCCAAAATGAAGACAGATGGTCTTACAAAATACCTGACTGAAAGTCATATGGGATTTCTTCAAAACTGGCATCACTACAAAGTAAAGGCAATAAATAGAAAGTGATAGGCTGTGGGCACAGTTTTCCTTGAAAATAATATTTCTCAGCCTTTTAAAAATCCTCTCTCTATAGCCAAAAATAACTCACGCACTCCCTCTTAAGAATTGCCATGTCATCTAAATTAAGAGTCTGTATTCTGGCCAGGCGCGGTGGCTCACGCCTGTAATCCCAGCACTTTGGGAGGCCAAGGCAGGTGGATTAAGAGGTCAGGAGTTCGAGAGCAGCCTGGCCAACATAGTGAAATCCCGTCTCTACTACAAATACAAAAAAAAATTAGCCAGGCGTGGTGGTGGGCGCCTGTAATCCCAGCTACTCGAGAGGCTGAGGCAGGAGAATCTCTTGAACCCAGGAGGTGGAGGTTGCAGTGAGCTGAGATCACGCCACTGCACTCCAGCCCAGGCGACAGTGTGAGACTCCGTCTCAAAAAAAAAAAAAAAAAAAAGAGTCTGTATTCTATGTACCCTACCAGGCCAATAATAGTATTAATAATGTAATCATTGTAATAATAATGATATCATTTATTCAGTGGTTAGTTTGTATCAGGCAATGTGCTAAGTGCTGTACTTTACATACCATATGGCATTTAATTGTCTCAACAATCTTATGCATTAGATAATAATATATTATCCATATCTTATAGATGAGAAGCAGAAGCTAAGAGATTAAACCACTTACCCACAGTCACAAGAGGCAAAAGCCTTTTACTTTGAATAGGTTATATTAGGGGGATGATCAAGGTCTTTTGTTATACCCAAATTATATTTTAATATTTAATATATTTTTAAGATTCCAGATACCCTCTCAGGATTTTGACACATCATATTCCTTTCCCTATCCCACCCAAATTTTAAATCTCTGCTTTAAAATGTAACATAACATAGTCAAAGCGGCTCTGTTGGTAACATGCTAAGATTTTATCAAGCACAAAACTGAGCCAACAGCATATGGTCGCGGTGGTTAGGTAAATCAAGAAACTCCTAATAGTAAGCCAAAATGCCATGCTACCATTTTATCTTGTCATAAGGATCAATCCCGCTCCAGAATGGAGGTTCAGACTAAAGAAGATAGGAAGGAGTGAAAGGAAAATGTCCATATTCTTCAGAGAGATCTCAGATGGGAATGGGCTGCTATGCTAGTTGTATATTCCTGGGACTGGTTCTAAGTAAAGCCCAAGGGGAGAATTCCATGTCCTGTTTCTGATTGGACCTCCCAGTGACCAGGAATTTATCCATCCTGAGGTAGAGTTGGAAGTTTCTCTTGACCAAACTAGTCCAGAGGTCAAAAGGTGTGGCGAGCTCTGCACATTTGCGACTCAATTTCTCTATGACCCTTGGCCTTGTCATCTCCACCAGAGCAACAGAGTAGAATTCAGGGGGGCTCAGGCCTCACTCCCAGACCTCGGACCACATGCTGGCACCCCAAGGCTTTCTCACAACGCCAGAGGCAAGAATGCAGAGAATTCATCATGATAAATTGCACAAGTGTTGCAATTAAAAGTGGTTTTATATTCACAGAAAGAGCCAAAATACCAAATGATACAACTGTAGCCCCTGTATATTGTATACTGATACATCATTGTCTGTGCTGTCTAGCATAATAAATAGCATCATATCTAATAGTTACCAAACGTAGAAAAATATTGTATGGATCTTTTGGCATTGACACTGCTGAACTCTGGTGCCTCTACCTTTTATAGCTAGCTTTGTGTGTGTGGTGCAAAGTCAGGGGGAGGGGTTCACCAATTTACAGCTTTATTATAAAGCTGTAAGTGATGCCAATGCATTTATCCCTCTCTTCTTTTAAATCTTAAAACCTGGGGAATGTGTATTAATGTGAATTATTTTACTTTGCATTTTTAAGCACCAATAATAAACCAAGCTTTCTATGTACACTTTATTTTTCTTAGCATCTGGACAAAATATTTAAACACAGAGAACTGCAGCAGAAGCTGGTGGATGCAAAGCTTGAGCAGGCCCAAGAAATGATGAAGGAAGCGGAGGAGCGACACAAACGAGAAAAGGAATATGTATTTATCATTTTAGTCGTTGTGCATATCTGGTCTACCTCAGTGTCAGAGACACTCTGAGCAAGTTGTTTTGTATTTATTTATTTATTTATTTATTTGAGACAGAGTCTCGTTCTGTCATTCAGGCTGAAATGCAGTGGCGTGATCTCAGCTCACTGCAACCTCAGCCTCCAGGATTCCAGCGATTCTCCTGCCTCCCCAAGTAGCTGGGATTACAGGTGCCCACTACCACAACAGGCTACTTGTTTTGTATTTTTAGTAGAGACAGGGTTTCACCATGTTGGCCAGGCTGGTCTTGAACTCCTGACCTCAGGTGATCCGCCTTCCTCGGCCTCCCAAAGTGCTGGGATTACAGGTGTGAACCATCGCGCCTGGACGCAAGTTGTTTTTATAATGGTCAAAGAGCACTAGACTGATGGAGAAAGAGCCCCAGCTTCTATGGAGAACTAAATTAGCCAGCCCAGTCTGAGGCACTATGTCTACACTACTTTCTACATAAAATAGTCATTCATCTATTCCACACATATTTTTCAAGTGCCTGTTATCTACTAAGCACCGTGTTAGGTGCGGGGACATAGCCGTGAACAAGACAGAGAAGGGGCATCTCCCACTATGGAGATTAGAGTCTAACTGGAAAGAGACAAGCAATAGACAAGCAAACAGGGAAGGGTCATTTCAGACAATAATCACCACTACTAAGGAAGTAAGGAGAAACTGAGAAGGGGCCAAAGAAGGGGACGTACTTTAGATTGAGTGACCAGGAAGGCCTCCTGGAGGGGCGAATGCTTGAGCTAAGCCCTGCCAGATGAGGAGCTGCTACTTGGAGCATCGTCTCCAGCATCTGCAGCAGCAACAAACGCCCTAATGCTGGAACCAATTTGGTGTGCTCCAGAAACAGGAAAAGGTCAGGGAAGCAAGAGCATGGGGGAGAGGTTCAAAATGAAGTTGGAGAGGTAAGCAGGTGCCAAACTGTGTAGCTTTGTAGGGCTTAAAAAGTTATTTGGATTTCATTCTAAATACAATGGGAAAGTACTGGGTGCTTCTGCAAAGGAAGTGATGGCATGATCTGCTCTGCATTTTCTAAGATTAATTTGGCTCCTGGATGGAAAATAGACTGCAGAGGGACAAGAGAGCAAGAAGACAGGAGGCTACTATAGCAATCAGATGAAATATGATGATGACTTGGTTTAGGGATATGGCAGCAGAGAAGAGGGGTGGAGATGGATGAAAGTTGTTTTCAATGTGAAATCAACAGACAGTGCTACAGACCTGAAGCTGGTGACAAAGAGAAAAGGAGAAAGTCAAGGATGACTCCTAAGTTTTGGGCTGAGGAAACTGAGTGGTGGTGTTTATTGATATCTCATTAACCCCAAGCACTCCCCAAAAAGCTGTAGGGTCATTCTACAGATGAGAGAATTGAGGCTCCAAGAAGATACGCAACTTGTTAAGGTTGCACACTGCTGACTGAGCAAGATGTGTTTTGATCTTATGTGCGTCTGTTCCCAAAGCCCACACTCTCTGTGACGGTGCATCACACTCAGACGTGTGTTTCAGAGGTATGAGTTGACGCATGTATCTGTTGCTGGGGTGAGAGAGAGGTAAAACATGGTCCATGGACCACTTATTCAAATTTGGCCATGTCACATTTTGATCTTGAGATTTTCATTTACCTAAAATCAGACCAGAATCAATTCAGTTGATTAGAATAGTAATTTTAAAATAAATTTTCAAACATGGCAACAAAAAGACAAATTTTGAGCAACATAATCTGGTGGACATTGGATAATTTCAAATCAGAAGTCCATGTTCTCTTAAGAAAAAGATTAATTTATGAAATCCATCTACAACCTAGCTCTGAAAGCAAGAAATAAAACATTCAATTATTATTCACAATCCAAGAGAATAGAAATTCCACCATTGGTGTAATTACCTTCTTGGGTAAAATATGCTTCCCATAGTATATTGGTACTTTGCTGTATAACACGAGACATGAAAGAGAAAGAACAAGACAAAGATGCACATGAGAGACATTGGAGAGCAGATTTGAGACGACCCAGCCTTAGCAAGAAACTAGCACCTGTTTTGGTTCAGCAAAACAGATTTGAGTCAAAGAGAGGGAGCTCATCTCACTTCTTCGAAGCTAGCCACCTACCTGGCTTGCAGCTGGGGCACCTCCTTTTGGAAGCGATGAGATATCAAGTCACCCAGGCAGAATAGGCAGCCACCAGCCTCCCTCGAGGTTGGGGGTCACCAATCACAACAAAGCTGCATAGCCAGCTCACAAGAAGCAGGCACAGTGCCACCACTCCCCTCAGATGGCCAGAGGGGACACTGTAGGGCTTCTACTCCACAGCTGCCCCAGTCCTCTCATAGGACCATTTGGTTGCACTTCTATGAGAATCAATCTTCATTGCACCCTGGGAGGCATAGAGGAACAAATGCAACCCATTTTACAAATGGAGAGGCTGGGTCATGGGAAAAAGACAAACTTAGATGAGGAAAAAGAAGCTTTCCAGTTTTTAAAAGTAATGATTTTATTGTTAGTTTTTTTGGTTCTGATTATATAATACATAGACCTCGTGGACTTTTTTTTACAATAGGGATAAACTAAAAGTGGGAAATTTTAATCAGCTTATCTTCAAATACAAGAGAAACTTCTTAATTGATAGCCTCCAGACTGACTAGCCAGATTGATCTCTGCGTTCACTGTTTTCTCTGTAAAACGCACTGACCGATGCCCACAGCATGCTGACTTGCAGGTCTACCCAGCCACTCTCTGGAAGGGCTACAAAATTTGCCCCAGTTTAGTAAGGTGGAGCTTACCAAGAATCAGCTCTTTGCACAAACCTTTTCTTTCCAATTGCACTTGCTTTTGTGTAAATCAACAGGATGTTACATAAACTGATGAAATATAAGTATGAAAACAAAAAACTGTTTGTGCAAATTATGCTTAGTGCTTTGAAAGACCAAATGCAAGCAAATGGCAAAAAACAACTGTCAAACTAGATATGAGTAGCTATAAAAGACTGGGGGGAAGTGGAAAACTCTAGAGAATTATCCAGACAAGCTGCTTCATAAGTATTTTTAGGTTCTAGCACTATCGCTAAACACACACACACACAAGCCTAACAACCTAGAAATCTTACATGGCACACTGTGGATGTGATTTTTAAAAATAATAATAAAAACCAAACAAAAAACCCTCTGAACTCTAATCAGAAGATCCATACCCAAAACAAAGACCACAGCCCTACCTCAAAATTGATAAATAGGCATTCATCTTAAGTTAAAATTACAAGCTTATATATGAATGTGTCATTGTATGCCCAAATCCCCTTTCCAATTTAACCCATCAGCTCTCAGGGGCCAGGATTTAGACCAATAGGTCAAACTTCTAACCCATACTTCTCAAAATGTAATCCACAGGCCACCGATATCCAGACCATTTTGGGTATTTTCTTGAAGCATAGAATTCAGTCACACTCTGTACTTCCTAAATCATATTATCTGAGAGGCATCTGCATTTTTAATATGTTCCGTAGGAGATTCTGATGCATGTTAGAAGCTCTGTGTCAGGAATCAGGGACAAAGACCAAGGACATACATAGTTCTTATTGTATCAAGTGTGCTATGGTGGAGAACAGTGGTCTAGGAGAATGATTCTGGATGTACTCTAAAGAAACAGTTGTTGGCCGGGCACGGCGGCTCACGCCTATGATCCCAGCACTTTGGGAGGCCGAGGCGGGCAGATCACGAGGTCAGGAGTTGGAGGCCAGCCTGGCCAACATGGCAAAACCCCGTCTCTAGTAAAAATACAAAAATTAGCTGGGCATGGTGGCAGGTGTCTGTAATTCCAGTTACTGAGAAGGCTGAGGCAGGAAAATTGCTTGAACCCAGGAGGCGGAGGTTGCAGGGAGCTGAGGTCACACCACTGCATTCCAGCCTGGGCGACAAAAGAGAAACTCCGTCTCAAAGAAAAAAAAGAAAAAAGAAAAGAAACAGTTGCTAACAAAAGTGCACCAAGTGGGGATGTTCTGGAGAGGTTCCAGCAGAGGCTGAATGATTGTTGGCCAAGATTACTAGAGAAGGTTCCAGAATGTGGTGGGAAGTTGAATTTTTTGTGATTCATACTTGAGCTAGAGACTATTTTTTTTATTAAAACCACTAGTTTATAGTTGAGAATCCAACTTTTTTAGACCAATTATTTTCTTAGCTTTCTTTTTCTTTATTTTTTTAGAAATGGAGTCTCACTCTATTGCCCAGGCTAGAGTGCAGCAGTGCCATCATAGCTCATTGCAACCTGGGATTCCTGGGCTCAAGTGATCCTCCTGCCTCAGCCTCTCGAGTTGCTGGGACTGCGGGCATGCACCACCACCCCTGACTAATTTTGGTTTTTTTTTTTTTTCAGTGACAAGGTCTCCCTATATAGCCCAGGCTGTTCTCAAACTCCTGGCTTCCAGCAATCCTCCCAGCTCAGCCACCCAAAGTGCTGGGATTATAGGCATGAGCCACCATGCTGGGCCTGGTTTTTTAAGCTTTCTTAGATTCTTTTCAAAGTTCCAAAAAATTACTTAAGGAGGTTAATGAGCAGGTTGCTAAGTTTTGTAGACAAATTACAGCCAAATAGTAATCTAAAAGGCAAATCTGACCATCTTTCCACACACTCTCTCTTCTCATAGTTGCTGAACCAGGCAGCAGAGTGGAAACTTCAGGCGAAAGTGCTGAAGGAGCAAGAGACAGTCCTGCAGGCTCAGGTGAGGCCAGGTGGACGAGGCATGGGGGTGCTGTCCTCACTGTCCCCAGATAAAAAGGCTGGGGCCAAAGGTGGGCAGCAGAAGTCCTCCTATGTGGCAGGGGATGGGGGGATGGGAATTGGAAATGAAGAACAACTTCACATTTATTCATATTTTCAAGTAAAAATAAAAGCACAATATTATATCTATGAAAAAGAAATGTTCTGCGCCGGCAACATCCAGTCAAAGGTTTGTTGACAGACAATGGATGACAGTACAGTGGTCAAGAGAGTCAGCCAGTGTCCAGGTTCCCATCTAGCACTTCTTATTTCCACCGTACTTCCCCTCTCATTGCCCTGTTAAGGTAAGAAGAAAACGTAAACTGCTCAGATGCACCATCTATGACTGGCGATTCTTAAGATGTCCTCATGTCTTGATATTATTTATCATAAAAAGAAAATGAGGCCGGGCGCAGTGGCTCACACCTGTAACGTCAGCACTTTGGGAGGCCCAGGCGGGCGGATCGCCTGAGGTCAGGAGTTCGAGACCAGCCTGACCAACATGGTGAAACCCCGTCTCTATTAAAAAATATATAAACATTAGCCAGGCGTGGTAGCATGTGCCTGTAATCCCAGCTACCCAGGAGGCTGAGGCAGGAGAGTCACTGGAACTCAGGAGGCGGAGGCTGCAGTGAGCCGAGATCACATCACTGCACTCCAGCCTGGGCGACAGAGTGAGACTCCATCTGTTTAGAAAGAAAAGAAAAGAAAATGAGAAAAATAGTCACCACTCAAGTTTCTATGCCATCAGAGGTTGGCCTTGTCAGTGGTGAATGGATACAAGTGTCAGGCAAGTCAGGAACCATTTTGGTTTGGCTGCGTGACAACTTTTATGTGCTTCTGTTAGACTCTGGGGGTTCCTATTTCAGACTCAAAAAAAGGGGGGACCATTCTGGACATTTATGCCACAGCTGACTCTGGAAGAAAGCCAGACCTACCCATCTTACCCCTACCTGGGGCTCTGCCTGTCCTAAATAATGGTCCCTGTGGGTTCCAGGAGTACCATCCTGCCACAGGCCACAGACTTCCACTGCCCTGGGAAACACCCAAGTGCTAAAGGGACTGTGAGGTCACAGGGAGAAATTCACCGAAGGCAAGGAAATCAGAAACCTTCCAAGCTGGGCAGCATTAATTTAAGATTTGTAAATGTTTATATGCTGACAGCTGAGTACTTGTTCACTGTAAACACACACACACACACACACACACAAATCGTGTTCATTGTAAAAGAAAAAAGCAAATAAGAAATTTAAAATCACAGATTATACTACTGCACAGACAAAAATACAGGGAACATTTTCATATCTAGCCTTCTTAAAGTATATTTCTGCAATGCATATATAGCAAAGCAATAATAAATTATTTTCTCCAGTATGAACTACTCTCTGATAATAAAGAAGAATTGTCTTAATACACTAGATACATAGAAGTTAGAACCATAATGTGTCTGAAGCAAAGGGCCCAGAGTTACAAACTCAAGATCATCCTTTAGGCAGTCACGGAACTCATCACATCATGGTGTAGGGTGGGTGGCTGACTGCTGGCTGTCTAGCAGAAGGAAAGGGGGTGTGACCTCAAGGAATCAAGCCAAGGCCTCTAATTCTATCTGTGCCTCATTCACCACACAGAGCCTTGAGGGGAACAATAAATAATACTTGAAGCTGTGCACTGTTCACATCATCTGCTACATGCAATCTCTACTCCTCCATGCAAAATGAAGACAATCAACTTGAGCAGAGTAGATTACATTGTTAAACTGTGGGCTACAGAGTGATTCACTCAGCTGGCATCAGAATCGAGGCCTTTAATGACCTGTACAATACAAATATTAAAGTTTTGATCTAATTTCCCCCTTATACCCCCTCAAACTTAAAAAACCATCAACCAGGGGTTCTAGATTTGCTATTGTTCCTCATTCATCCCTGAGTCAAGGCACCAGGTCAGAGTCCTGGCTCTTTTACCGAGAAGCTGTGTGACCCTGTGTAACCCACCTAAACCTCTATGGAACTAAATTTCCTTGTCTGCAAAATGAAAATGCTATAATGAATCAATGACCCCAGCCTGGAGTCGTGCAACCCCTGAGAGGCCTATGACTTTTCAGCGTTTCCAAAACATCAGCACATAAGGTAGCAGCTACTATCTAAAATGTAGTTGTTTCTGGTATTACTTCACCTCTTGCTCAGCAACTGTGGATGGAAATTATGCCTATGTTTAAGTTTTTAAAAGGAAAATCAGTTAATGCATATGTAATATATGTAGTTGGTTTTCAAATCATGCATCCAAAGCATTTTGCTCAGTGTCTGGCCCAAAATAAGCATAATTAATTCAACCAATATTTACTGAGCATCTACTAAGTGCTAGGCATGGTTCTAGGTTTGGCGATATAATCATCAATAAGAGAGAGAAAAATCTCTGCTTGACTATTAATTAGTGTATGAACTAGTAGTATTATTTCATAGGTAAGGATTTCATATAAGGAAATATGGAAATATGAGAAGGAAATATGAGACAACAGGAGTTTTTTGTTTGTTTTTGAGACGGTGTCTCACTCTGTTGCCCAGGCTGGAGTGCAGTGGCATGATGTCAGCTCACTGCAAGCTCCACCTCCCGGGGTTCACGCCATTCTCCTGCCTCAGCCTCCCGAGTAGCCGGGACTACAGGCACCTGCCACCACACCCGGCTAATTTTTTGTATTTTTAGTAGAGACAGGGTTTCACCGTGTTAGCCAGGATGGTCTTGATCTCCTGGCCTCGTGATCAGCCCACCTCGGCCTCCCAAAGTGCTGGGATTCCAGGCGTGAGCCACTGCGCCCGGCCCAACAGGAGTCTTAAGTTGCAAAAAAGTTGAAGAACCGCTGGAAAAGATGATCTCAAGATGCTATTCAGCTGTAGTTCATGAGCATAGAGAACTTCCAGAGCTGAAGAAGTGTGGCCCTAAGCTAAGTTGACCCCGCCTTGTCCATTGCCTGCAGTGTTCCACAGTGCAGGCAGCCTCACTAATTGCAAGAACCCTCCTTTGTCTTTCTTTTTTGTCTCCAAGTTACCTTTGAAATTCCAATAATTACTTAAGCCTCAAGAATAAAATAGAGGTCCTGAATCCCTATGCGTAATCATGTTTAAACAAGCTCCTCATTAAAAAGTATCAACATTATATTTCTAAAACTTCTAAACTTTGAAAACAAACTCTATCACAGATTCTTTTGCATAACACTCCAACACTTCCTTTGGTTTTACGCTGCCTTTAAAGGGGTGGGAGTAGCAGGAGGCCAAGGCCAAGGCCCCATTTCTAAGGTCTGGGCAACAGAATTATCAAGGACAGATTGTGTTATTTTCCTAGAGAAGTCACTTTTCAGTCATAAGACAACTGCTGGCCAATTGGGGGCAGGCTTCTCACTTAGGGAAGCGATGTCTGGCTTTCAATTATACAAGCCAAGGCAACAGAATAAATGTCAGAGATGATCAATGGGATACAATTGTCACTACAAAATCGAGTGTTCATTGGATCAACAAGGATGAAGACAGTAGCAGATGTGGGAAGTCAGCAATATCTGATGTGGACGCAAAATACTACCCAAGGGGAAAGATGAGTGGGTAAATTGTGGAAAGCATGTAATCAGAGTCTTTAAAGTCTGAAGTCCTCCCCATACCTCTACAGGGTGAGAGGAGAGCACTGCTGCACCTGTTCTTGTCATAGGACTTAACTCCCAAACCAAATCTCACAGGTTCACCAAGATGATTCCTGGACACAGTTGTTTCCCATGTCTATGAGTGTCTGTAATTAAAATTTGGTGCTCAGTGAAAAGACTGTGTTTGTCACTTGGCCCATTTAAAAGTGAAATATTGAGGCAATTTTTGTTGTTGTTCTAATCATAGAAGAGTTTGTTTCTATTTCTGCCTCTGGCAGGGGAAATGCTGTGCATGACCTCTGGATGTCCTTCCCTGGCTCTGTGAAATACCAAAGTGAGACTGGGAATATGACACATGAAACCAAACATGTATCCTGTCAGCACGATAGTGAGAGGGAAGACGCTACCAAACAAATATCCATTTAGTAAACAAGAAGCACAAACATTTAGTAAGTAGGAGAGTGTTAGAGTTATCTGAGAAATCCATAGTTTTTGCCACCAGACAGAGAGGTCAAATAGGAAGAAAAGCAAAATGTTAGACTGGTCACTGGAAGGAAGAAATAGGGAATTGTTGTTTAATGTGTATAAAGTTTCCATTTTGCAAGATGGAAAAAGTTCCAGAGATTGGTTGCACCACACTGGAAATATACTTAGCAATTCTGAACTATACACTTAAAAATGGTTAGGATGGTAACTTTTGTGCTATGTGTATTTTACTACAATTAATTTTTTTAATAGAAAGCAAAAATGAAAACCATAACTAGAAAAAGCACAGAAGAGCTGGTGATGAATCAAGACACTACTTCTCAGAACTCTGGGTGTGTCTGTCTTCTCCATGCTCATGAGCCAGCAACAAGAAAACATAAGAAAAGGAAACAAAATCTGCCCAATTAATACACCACAAAGAACATTCTGCCTTTTTCTTTTTTAAAGCCTTTACTTTGAGACATAATGAAAAAATATAACAGGTACACATGGAAAAGTAAGACATGGTGACAGCCTTACCCAGTTAAGTGAAGACAATCAAACCTGAGGGCTTTTAATGCCTGTTAGCTCATGTTGAGGCTGAAGTCCTGGGGGTGGTTGTTCTTGCTGATTCCAGCAAGGCTGCATCTGTGAGATGGACCAGACATGTGCTCACTCCTGCCCCGTCTGTCTGCAGCCTGCAACTACAGGGCTGCAAGAGGGATCGGGAGGACCAGCTGAGGAGACCACAGTGTCTGAGGCCTCTATGTAACTCTGCTAGAGTTACTGATAAGTTGGAAAAAGAATGGGGAGAAATTAAGGAAAAAAGTTAACAAAAGAGGCCGGGCTGAGAATACAAATGAAAAGATTTTGTGATAGAAGGTGACCAGGATCTGCTGGGGGTAGTTGTTCCCACCCTAGGCCAATGGATGATGTACAGGATAGGTAGCCAGTCCCCAGGAGCTAACCCTAGGGCACAGTGTCTCAGACCAAGAGGTCTGACCCATTTGTGGGCCCTGAAATTAATTCTGGCCCACAGTGGATTCCAGCCAGTATTTTGAAAAAAAAAAAAAAAAAAGAAAGAAAGAAAGAAAGAAAAAACACAGTTGAACAGAATATGTCAGAGTGCATTGCACATGATTGGCTGGGTACAGTGGCTCATGCCTGTAATCCCAACACTTTGGGATGTTGAGGCAGGAGGATTGCTTGAAGCCAGGCGTTTGAGACCAGCCTGTGTTAAAAAAAAAAAAAAAAAAAAGCCAGACATGGGGCATGTGCCTGTAGTCCTAGCAACTCTGGAGGCTGATGCAGGAGGATCCCTTAAGCCCAGGAGGTTGAGGCTGCAGTGAGCTAGGATCACACAATTGCACTCCAGCCTGGGTGACAGAATCAGACTGTCTCTTAAAAGAAAGAAAAAAAAAACCACAGTAAACATTGTCTTATGCACCATGCGTGTGTGTGTGAGAGACAGAGTGTGTGTGTCTCTCTGTGTGTGTAAAACCCTAGAGCCCCTTCTTGGCCATGAATTCCTTGATGCCCCTTTACTCTGTCTTCTTTAATCTGTGTGTCAAGGAATCATGAGAAACAAATTTCGGTTCTGTCACATACAGTACTAATGAGAGAATTCAAAATGATAATCAGCTGTCATTTGGCTTTTCTTTGGATAATCTGTATTCTACCGAAATGATTTATGTTATTGCTGTCTACTGCAGTAAAATCTCTACTACTCCAAATTATTGGGGAAAACCCATTCTAGATAAGCAATTTTCTGGGCTCTAGGGGTTGTTTGACTCATACATACTCCCTCTCACACCCACACCCCAAGACTGGAAACTCTCCAATCTGCCAGCTTTCATTCAGGGTGCTTTCTGTACTTTAAAAAAGACAGTCTCACTGATAACACCGGTCGGTGCCTTCCTTCCAGCTGATAACCCAGCCTTCCTGGTCTATCCAGTGCAGCCAGGGCCCTTGTTTATTGACGGATGCTGCAAGTCTGCTTCTTCATACAAAAAACTATGTTGTATGAAAATGTTATACCCATTTGAAGACTTGGGACTATTCTGGACACTCAAGAGTACCAAAGATTCATTTGAAAATTGAGGCTTGACCAATCTGAATCATCCATACTAAATCCTCTCTTATTCAAAACATGCTACCCTAATATTATTTTCAAAGACAAGATTTTATTATTTTATCACTGTCATTATATCACTGATCAAGTATTTACACACTCTCCTTCCCTGTGTTGCCCCATTTCCACCCCGAATGCAAGCACTTGAATTAAGGACTTGGCGATACAAATGCTCCTCGCTATATCTCCATGGTGAGCCATACACTTGGCAAATGCTAACCCATACAATGCTTCTCTGCAAATTAGAAAAAGGCATCTCTTTTTCAAGACTCATTACTTCCATCTGTGGAAAACTGATGTAATAAACTGATTTTGATAAAAAGGGACATTTAACTGCTATTGGCTAGAATGCTATATTCATAAACATACAAAACTCTGATGTCTGAAACAGAAATGGCAACTGCCTAGAGTGGTGTACAACCTGTGTCATGGCAATGGCCCTTGTCCGTGTCCAGCCCACATTGCCTTTATCACGTCTTTTCATTTGTCTATTTTTTCCCTTCCTTCAAGACCAAGTTCCAGGTTCACCTTCTCCATAAACATGTGGCTCACATGATCACCTGCCATGCTCACCTTCTCCGATCACCCACTGTCCTTAACTGACTTGACTATGTAGCCATTGTCCCATAGTCAAGTTGTCTTTGAGATGGTCTTCCCATTAGAAGTGCAGGTCCCTCAAATGCAGATCCATGTGTTAAATACTTCTGTACATACAGTCCATGCATGTAGTACTCAATCAATGTTGATAAAAGTTTTAATATAATGAAATAACATATTTTCTTTTTTCATTTTTTTCTTTTTTTTTTTGGAGACAGAGTTTTGCTCTTGTTGCCCAGGATGGAGTGTAATGGCGTGATCTCTGCTCACTGCAACCCCTGCCTCCTGGGTTCAAGCGATTCTCCTGCCTCAGCATCCCAAGTAGCTGGGATTACAGGTGCCCACCACCATGCCCGGCTAATTTTTGTATTTTTAGTAGAGACGGGGTTTCACCATGTTGGCCAGAATGGTCTCAAACTTTTTTTTTTTTTTTTTGAGACGGAGTCTCGCTCTGTCGCCCAGGCTGGAGTACAGTGGCACGATCTCGGCTCACTGCAAGCTCCGCCTCCCAGGTTCACGCCATTCTCCTGGTCTCAAACTCTTGACCTCAGGTGATCCATCTGCCTTGGCCGCCCAAAGTGCTGGCATTACAGGCGTGAGCCACTGCGCCCAGACTATTTTTCCATTTTTCTTTAAAGAAGCATTTCAATCATGCTCACTGGCCTAGGTTAATCTTGTAGTAAATAAAATAATTAAACATATTACTAATACTATATTGAGAATTCCTTTAAATAATGAACAATGACATGTTTTCTTCTGGAAGTATTCTGAAAGATCCACTCTTTCCTCTGTTTACAGCTCACTCTCTACTCAGGAAGGTTTGAAGAATTCCAGAGCACACTAACTAAAAGCAACGAGGTGTTTGCCACGTTCAAACAGGAAATGGACAAAGTGAGTATTGCTTATCACCAACAAAATATTGACATTTTCTATTTTGACAGGCAAATTTCCTTTGGTTTCCTTTTTCTCTCACTAAGATATTTTGGTGCATTTCACAAAGTAATGAAATGTTTATAGGTAGGAATGAGGTTTGGGCTGTATTTTTTAATTGGTAAGTATCTAGTGAATTAATCTTAGCAGGAGTCCAAAAATTCTAGGTTTCATTTTCACTCTGAAGAAGAATAGTTCTTTTTCTAACCCATGGATAACTTAAAAAAAAAAAAAAAAAAAAAAAAGAAGACCAGAGCTAGCAATTTAACATGATGGTGTATATACTGAACTCAAAATATAACCTTCTAAGAATTAAAAAAAAAAAAACAAAAACTTTTGTCCAGACGTGGTGGTTCATGCCTGTAATCCCAGCACTTTGGGAGCCCAAGGCATGAGGATCACAAGATCAGGAGTTCGAGACCAGCCTGGCCAAGATGGTGAAACCCTGTCTCTACTAAAAACACAAAAATTAGCCAGGCGTGGTGGCATGCGCCTGTAGTCCCAGCTACTCAGGAGGGTGAGGCAGGAGAATCGCTTGAACCTGGGAGGCAGAGGTTGCAGCGAGTGAGATCACGCCACTGCACTCTAGCCTGGGCAACAGAGCGAGAATCTGTCTCAAAACAAAAACACAAAAAACCAAAAAACTTTTATATGAATATACAAAAGTAGAATGTTAGAATAGGAAATACCATCTTATAAGAACCTTCTTAGAAGAGAATTTAACTTATGTAATGTAATATAACTGACAGAGCCTTGAATGAGAAGATGGAAGCCTGAATTCAATTCTGGTGTGTTCTTGCTCATCAAGTGGTCTTACTCATCAATTCACTTAACTTCCTGAATCTAATTTTTTTTTTTTTTTTGAGATGGAATTTCGCTCTTGTTGCCCAGGCTGGAGTGCAATGGTGCGATCTTGGCTCACTGCAACCTCTGCCTTCCGGGTTCAAGCAATTCTCCTGCCTCAGCCTCCCGAGTAGCTGGGATTACAGGCATGCACCACCATGTCCGGTTAATTTTATATTTTTAGTAAAGACGGGGTTTCACCGTGTTGGTCAGGCTGGTCTCGAACTCCTGACCTCATGTGATCCACCCACCACGGCCTCTCAAAGTGCTGGGATTACAGGCATGAGCCACCATGCCTGGCCTCTAATTTTTTTTAATCTATGCAGATACTACTTTCCCTGCCTAACTCACAAGATTGTGAAGTTAAATTAATACATTTTGGAAGGGATTTTAACTTTTTACATGTATTTTTCAAATATAAGGTGCCAGTATTATAATTTAATGTAATGTTTAAAGCTTGTTCAGTGTCTTCCCAATACAAAATCAGCCATCAGAACTGTGTTTCCGAACAGGGATTGGCATTAATGGTTTTGAGGTGTAGAAAACATCCTCTTAAAATATATTTTTAAAATATTATGACAAATTTTACAATGAGCAACCTGAAGAAGATTGGCACTTGTTAAATGTTACAGTTCTCCCACTTCAGAATGGAACTATCCATTTGCTTAATTTTTTTTTGAAATTCTAGCATTTTAAGATTGGAATAAATTAGAACAGGAAAACATGTTTTTCAAAATTATGTAGTTTTAAGAGTGGAATAAATATTAAATCAGGAGTTCTTAATCTTGGGTCCATTTATGGACGTTAGTAGTTGACCTGAGAACTCTCTAGAAATTACCATAAAAAAAAATGATGCACATATGCACATTTTTGTGAAGTGTGGTCCCATAGCTTTCACCACATTCTTAAAAAGATTGATGACCTTAAAGTTTACAAACAACTGGCTGGGCGCAGTGGCTCATGCCTGCAATCCCAGCATTTTGGGAGGCTGAGGCGGGTGGATCACTTGAGGTCAGGAGCTCAAGACCGCCTGGCCAACATGGTGAAACACTGTTTCTACTGAAATACAAAAAAATTAGCCAGGAATGGTGGCAGGCGCCTGTAATCCCAGCTACTCAGGAGGCTGAGGCAGGAGAATCGCTTGAACTCGGGAGGCAGAGTTTGCAGTGAGCCGAGATCACGCCATTGCACTCCAGCCTGGGCAAAAGAGTGAAAAACAAACAACAACAAAAAAGAAGAAAACAAAGAAGTTTACAAACTACTAACTAATTTAAAATATGATCAAAATTAAAAACCTAGCTTGTCTGTAGAGCCAGGGGCTGACAGTCTTGGGCCCAGCCTCTGGCCTCCGTGGGTACCCAGCTTCAGGCAGCTTGGCACCAAGCAGCGAGTGCCCAGCTATGTTTCATCCAGGAAAACTGCACCTGAGTACATGCCTCGTTCTCCACTTCATCTAAGCAAAGAAGAGATCCTACAAACAAGAATGTGAGTAGCCTCAGGTTCGAAAAACACAGGCTGCATTTTATTCACTTCTTACTTCCTCGTACCCAGCCCAGGGCCTGGTGACCACCAGACATTCTATATGCTTCATTAAATGAAATAAAAGAATGGCAGCCCCACTGTTCTGTTAATTCACCTAAATATTACTCTACCTCTCCGAACTTCGGTTTCCCCATTTATAAAATGGGGGTGAAAATAGAACCTTCCTTGTGGGACTGTTTCAAGGATGAAACAAATAATGCATGTAATCACATTTTGTGAACTCTACCTCACTCTATAAATGTAAAGACCCAGAAAATACAGAGACTGCTTTTGTGCAGCAACTTCTCAGATGTGCCCAGATATTATCAACATTTTAATGGCTAAAAAGGCCATGCCAGCTTTCCCACTGTGATAGTCTTCTATTCAATACAGTAAATATCCTAAATTACAGGCTTGTTCATGGAACTCCATAAAGATATTCTTCTTTTAAATGAAAGAAAAAGCAGTGACAAAACCATGTGCCCCTAAGTCATTTCCCATTTCCTGAATTGGCTCAGGTGCAAATAAGTTTGCTTGCCACTGCCCTAGACGGCTCAGAAATAAATTATGACTCTGCTACAATCTTCATTCTTGACATTGAACATTTGTTTGCTTCAGCATCTGGTAACAAAAGGGCTTCTCCTGGTCTCACATATGGAGCTAATAGCTTCCTTGATATATTAACTTTTCAAGATTAACACACACTCACTCTAATTTCTGTAGACAACTAAGAAAATGAAGAAGCTGGAAAAGGACACAGCCACATGGAAAGCCCGATTTGAGAACTGTAACAAAGCTCTGTTGGACATGATTGAAGAGGTGAGGAAGTTTCTCCCTTAGCTTTAATCCCCTCTGTCTAGTCAAAACATTCAAACTTACGATACAATTATAACCTGGTAATAGTACAAATGGTTATGTGTGAAAAAGAGTTGAATTTGGGGTGGCAGGATGTGACATTTTAAATTGTAATAAGTATAATAAGAGCAAAGGTCATTTAGAATCAGGTCCAGACTCAGAAAGAGTTTTGTGACCCTAAGTCACATGCTTACCTGTTGATTCAATAGCTGTACCCAGGGCAGCTGTCCCCTTTAAGGGCTGTGAATTCCTTAAAGGTAGGATGAGTGTCTTATTTTACTTTAAATTTCCCCAGTGTCTGACACATAACAGGTGCTGAATAAATTAATTAGTTGATTTGAACATACTGCGAGAAGACACCAGCCCAAGAGTCCAGTGCATGTGCTATTTTCTAATATAAACAGATATGGAGATATCTTTTTAATTCCTCCAATAGACATTTAAACACTGATCTCATGCCAGGCTCCAAGTAGGTTTTGAGAGTCCAAAGGCAAAGATACATGGCCCCTGACCTGAGAGGTAGGGCTTACAGGTGAAGGTCTCTCCATGTATAACGAGTGGGGGAAAAAAGGTCTCAAAGGGACAGAGTAGCTCAGAGGTGAGGTGAAGGAGTGAGATAATTAGGAACATTTTCATGCACAAATAGACATTTCTAGAGGAAAAAACTGAACCGTTTGAGCAGCCAGCATCGTGAATTAGTATATGGTGAATTTCTATGGTTATAATTACTGCTCTAACAATTCTTCTCAAATTGCAACCAATTCCAAAGAGATATTACTCATCAACATAAATCAAATGGCTGCTGGGATTAGCACATAGCAGTTTATTCATAGAACAGATAAGGAAGGCATTGCTGAAACCCAAGTCCCAATCCATCTCATTTATCTTGCCGCAAGTCTTGCTTCTACCTTCTAAGTCTCAGAAGCAGAAAATTCATCCATAAGATTTGAGAGGCTATGGACCAAAGCAGAAGGAAGCCTGACCATCTTTCTTTCCCAATGAACAGGGTATGGTGATTAAAGAATCTACCAGTCTAGTACACAATGCCAAAAAAAAAAAAAAAAAAGGAAAGTGATGTCCATGACCAAGCATCTGTTCAGCCCCTACTCTGTAGCCAGGTCCCAGAGCCTAGTAGACAAATTCTGGGACAAATAGTTTTGCTTGTTTCCAGAAAGCATCCTGGACATTTTGCTTATCATGTCATTTCATCTGTGTGTGTATGTGCGTGTGTTTTCACATCACAGAAAGCACTGAGAGCTAAAGAATATGAGTGCTTTGTGATGAAAATCGGGAGGCTAGAGAACCTCTGCCGTGCTTTACAAGAAGAGAGAAACGAACTCCACAAAAAAATCAGAGACGCAGAAATATCTGAAAAGGATGACCAAAGTCAGCACAACTCCGATGAAGAGCCAGAGTCAAACGTCTCTGTGGATCAAGAGATTGACGCAGAGGAGGTTAATAGTGTCCAAACCGCCGTGAAAAATCTGGCCACAGCCTTCATGATAATTCATCATCCAGAGTCAACCCCGCACCAGTCCAAAGAAACCCAACCCGAAATAGGCAGTTCTCAGGAGAGTGCTGACGCCGCTCTCAAGGAGCCAGAGCAACCCCCTCTGATCCCTTCACGGGATTCAGAGAGTCCCCTGCCTCCCCTAACTCCTCAGGCTGAAGCCGAAGGAGGCAGTGATGCTGAACCTCCCTCCAAGGCCAGTAATTCTCCTGCCGGGTTGGGAGCAGAAACCCAATGCGAGGGTCTCCCTGTTGGAGCACAGGCTGATCAGGCGTCCTGGAAGCCAGAGGCAGAAGCTTCCGGTCAGGCCCCACAGGCTCCCACCGAGGCCTCCCTACAGAAGATGGAGGCAGATGTGCCTGCTCCAGCATGCGCAGCAGAAGAGCACGTTGCAGCCATGGTGCCTGCATGCGAGCCCAGTAGGCAGCCCCCACGAGCAGCAGCAGAGGAGCTGCCAGTAGGGGCCTCAGCTGGGCCCCAGCCGCGCAACGTGGCTGACACCAATCTGGAAGGCGTCGACTAAGCCTCACCGTGCCTTCAGAGGCTTCTTCCTGCCTCTTTGCATATTCAGCATAACAGCTTGTCTTCCGAAAAAGGCATTAAGGGCTAGAGATGTCAAATGGAAGAGACTTAGGATCAAGACATTTTTTAATGTTAGGCAGAACACATTCATTCAGACTTTGCTATTTGTTGTCAATTTATAGCTGATTTGAAGGTTTTCTATTTAACACTGGTTGACAGTATAATTTTCCCAAAGGGCAACAAAACATACAGATAGCAAATTTATATTCCTTTTCTGTTAAGATAATACTTAAATTTGTTAATCACCAGTAAGATTTGATGTTTAAAGACTTCCACTGCAATATATAAATACTGAAAATGTGATGTTCTGCTTATTTGGATATATAGTTTAACAAGTTCCATAGTAATTTATGGATGCCCAGGTTACATTTAAACTATACATATACATAATATATACATACGTGTGTACTTATTATATGTATATATACACGTATGTATAGATGTGTGAATATTTGTTTATATACATATATGCACGTATCTATATGTATATATAAATGCATTATTACACATACATTTCTCTCACCCCTTAATGCATTTTTCTCAATGCAGAATATTTAGATGCTAATCAAAAAAATGATCTCTTACTTGCACTTGAGACTATGGTTGACTAATGCTCTATAAATCCGAAGAGAGTTCGGACTATAAGTATTTAGGCTATCATTATGTTGGGCAAAAATAAGTAACCCAATGGTAGATAAATGAATTCAACCAGTTGATCAAATGGCAGAAAAGCAGTTAGACTACAATCTGTGCAGACAGCATGGACACAAAGATGACCACAAGGGGCCCAAAACAGAAAAGAGAAACACAAGCTCACCTCTTGGAGCTGCTTCTCCTACACTTCTCAGCCCATTGCTTTGCCACCCCCTCATGTGCCAGGGCATCCCATTCCAGGCTTCCTGCAAGGAAACGGTTGGAAGTGGGAAAGGGGAGCTAGGGATTGAGGGGTTAAGGGACCTCACACTAAGAAGGGGCTGTGCTTTGATCCCCTGCCTCTTGCACTACCAATGTCTCAAGACATAATATTCATCTCTTGCTGTCAGACCCATTCTATATTCTAAAAGCTTCTGCTCCTTCCTTCCCAATTTCTCCTTTGTAGCAGGAAATTACACCCAGCCCTCATCTCAATTAATGCTAAATAAAGCTATTGTTTTTCCAAAACACAAATCTACACTGGGTCTCAATATCAGTGATGAGGCTTACAAACCAACACGTTTTCTGCCATGAGGATTTCTCTTTAGGCCAGAAGTACAAAACAAAAAAACCAATGGATTTTAACCAAAATGATTTGAAATATAGGTGAGGATTCAGGAGAAGGCAAAAGCTAGAAACACTTGGGGTTGTCAACATGAGTATTACATTAACATTGCTTGATGAGAACCTCTAATGATACTGACAACATAAATTACCTAGGGTAAAGGATAGCTGCAACAATGAAACAGGAAAGAAGAGAGGGAGAGAGAGGAAAGGGAAGGAAGAAAGGAAGGAGGGAGAAGGGAAGAAAGAAACAATGTCTAACCCAACCCTATCTTGAAAGTTGAACTCAAGTAGAAAAATGGATAGAAACAAAATTCTCTAGTACTCATCCAGGAAACCATTCTTCAATGTTGCATGTGGCTGTTTGCCAAGGCACACAAAGTGCTTGTAGGCAGCAACCATATGCTACAAGAATTGTAAACTGCATACAGTTTGTTTGAAGTAGACAGTGAGGATAATAACAAAGTTGCTAGGCAGGAAAAAAAATCAGGAAAAAAGCTTGTCGCTATTTGAGAATCTGTATATTTTTAAAGGCTTAAAATATTATAACCACAGGGTATCCAGCCAAATTCAACATTACTGCAAGTCTTAGAGATTTAAACATTCATTTGATTCAGAGCTAAATATTCACCATAATCCAGGAGGGTCTCCTTCCCCACTGCAGAGGCAGAACGTCCAAGAATGGAGTAAGATTAGTCATAGTAAAGTCTCAGTCTGAATATTTAGCAAGAGAAACAGGCAGCAGAGGAACCCAAAGGCAGTAAATCAAATATTCTAAAACCCAAAGTTCATTATTTTCATCCAAAAGACTTTCACAGAAACACATTACTCACAGCCATGTATATCTTGGACAGAGTTTCAGATGGAATGACTTGTCTGAAATTTGTAAAGCTTAATATAGGTTTTGGGGGAATTATTTTAATATTCAAAGAATGTTTTATTATAGTCCTTTGTGTTAAAATTTAGCCTTACTAATTATAACAATAACTCATAAAGTTCTAAATTCAGAAGGAATGTCTGTTCTTTATCAAGTGTATGTAACTATTTTTTAGAAATGCCATCTACTTTCTAGAAACACTAAAGTTATTGTTTTCTAAGTTAAATAACTATAATTTATATATCTATTAAAAAGGTACTTCTCTTCCCAAATTCTCTAGTACTCATTTTATTTTTTTAACTTTGACTTATTTTATTTTTGTTTTTATTACTTCTATGTTTCGACAATACCTAATGAAAATTATGGTTTTATTCTGTAGTTTATTAAGTTTTTGGTCACTAAATAGAATTACGTGTAGTCAACACTTTGAAGATATTGGGGGCGGGGGTGTGTGTGTGTGTATGTGACAGACAGAGAGAGACAGAGAGAGAAAGGGAGGGAGAAATAACAATGAGGCTACAGTTACAAATCACGGAGGCCAGGCATGGTAGCTGACGCCTATAATCCCAGCACTTTGGAAACTAAGGTGGGAGGATCACTTGAGCCTGGGAGTTCAAGACCAGCCTGGGCAACATAGTAAACCCCCATCTCTACAAAAAATGTTTTAAAAAAATTAGCCAGACATAGTGGCACATGCCTCTGGTCCCAGCCACTTGGGAAGCTGAGGCAGGAGGATCGCTTGAGCCTGGAAGGTTGGGGCTGCAGTGAGCCATGATCATGCCACTGTGCTCCAGCCTGGGTGACAGAGTGAGACCCTGTCTCAAAAAAAGAAAAAATGTCACTGAGGCCTATAAGAGAGAAGCACTGGAAACGGAGTACCCAGGGCTAATAAGAAAACAAAACCCAGACTCCTCTGCCTGGCTCTGCAGTGCTGGTGGACAGTGCTCACCCAGCTGATATGTTTCTCAGTACCAACCTCCCACGAGACCACGTTTCCACAGGCTTCTCTGCCGTGCGTCCTCCTGGAGGAAGGGAGGAAGCGTAGAAGGTGCCGATGCACTTTTCCTCTCTCCAGCCCTCCTGACTGCTCCAAGAATTTCATCGAACAAGACTCAAAGAGGCCCAGCTGCTCTGCGTTTTGATTCTTCTCCCTCTCTCAGTCCACACTGACCTGGGAGGGGCTTCTCAAACACCACATTTCCTAGCGTGCTGTGAGAAGAGGACTGTGAGCTAAGAAGGGAGAAAAGGTAAGACCTGCCTGTAAGACTGATTTTGCTCCTTTTGGCCTGGTATTGACGTACACGTTTTAAATAGCCCCTTTTTTGAGATGATAAAAGTAACATGTGTTCGTTGTAAAACTGATGCTGCTTTTCAATAAGACCAACAAGAAACAGGAGAGGCAGATGGTTTCAGGACAATTTTCCTGGCCCATTCTCCTCTAACCAGTAGTTAAATCCAGTATTTGGGAAAGTAAAATAATTTAAAATGTAAAGAATTTGCTAATGGAAGATGTGAAATGAAAATAAGGACTCTGGCCTCCGAAGTTCATTCTCATCATAAAGTGGCAAGGAGGGTTTCACAGGCGAGTGAGGCATAAGGGTTCAATTTTCACAAGGTTTAAATAATTTCCATTTCTGTATTTTAGAACTTGAAAATTAAGGTTATCATCCATAGAGCACTCTGTTGGAACAGAAGTTTTCATGTGATAATAATGAAGATTTTTCTCAACGCTATTAAGTTGTATCCTCAATACTGACGTTAAGTCTCTTTGGTGGTTTCTCTTGATAAAAGTTCTACAAATGCTAGCTTCTGTCACATGTGCGTGTGAATGCACACACACATACATATACATAAATACGGAGGTATAAAATTTGACCTAAGTTTAATTCTGGTCCCATTGATGAGTATTTACACTAATATTTTCTTTTTTCTTTTTTGTGAGACTAAGTCTCACTCTATTGCCCAGGCTGGAGTGCAGTGGCGTGATATCGGCTTACTGCAACCTCCACCTCCCAGGTTTAAGCCAGTCTCGTGCCTCAGCCTCCTGAGTAGCTGGGATTACAGGCACCTGCCACCATGCCCGGCTAACTTTTGTATTTTTAGTAGAGACGGGGTTTCACCGTGTTGGCCAGACTGGTCTCAAACTCCTGACCTCAAGTAATCTGCCTGCCTTGGCCTCCCAAAGTGCTGGGATTGCAGGCGTGAGCCACCATGCCTGGGCTTACACCAGTATTTTCAAAGGATACTTAGTATTATCTTTCCTGACAAGAACAAACTATAAAAAAGAATCATTTCCACCAAATAAGGATATTTGGTAGAAACACTTAACTAGCAAAATAAACCTAGAAATTCATTGATCTATGGCACAAAAATTATTCACAGAAGCTACTTCACCTGGCCAGGAGATAACAAAAAGGATAAATTATTTCAACAGCACAATCAAGCTCAGCTAAACCCAAATGCAAGTCCTTCTTCCTGCTGAATTTTAGAGCCCAGGATTTCTATTCATACCAACATCTATTCCACTTTGACTTTTTTTTAAGTGATATAATGTTCAATTACCTCAAATCATAACTAAAACATACCGACGTGTAAAACTCATTATTTCAGAACTGACAGTCAGTTGATGACATTTTATGTCAAATAACACAAAAACTACTTGCTAGAAGCCAAGCAGGAAGACATTATGTTACAAGAGGAAAAGGAAATATTTTCAATCTGATAGCTATTGTGTCTGTTACATATGTATATATGTTATAGGTAAAATATCTAGAATAGACACATTACATCATTTCTTTTTCTTTTCTTTTTTTTTTTTTTTTTTTAGATGGAGTCTCTCACTCCATCCCCCAGGCACTGGACTGCAGTAGTACGATCTTGACTCACTGCAACCTCTGCCTCCCAGGTTCAAGCGATTCTCCTGCCTCAGCCTCCCGAGTAGCTGGGACTACAGGCATGTGCCACCACACCCAAAATAAAGATATTTTGTATCTTTAGTAGAGACGGGGTTTCACTGTGTTAGCCAGGATGGTCTCGATCTCCTGACCTCCTGATCTGCCTGCCTCAGCCTCCAAAAGTGCTGGAATTACAGGTGTGAGCCACTGCACCCGGCCAATATACTACATATTTTCAAAAAAATGTGAAAGAGTTCAAATCTATAAGCTATTATATAGAGGGTAAGATCTTAAGATAAGATATGACATATAAGATAAAACCGTAAGACTATTAAGAACAATGAAAGGAAGAGGGACATAAACTGATGAGCCCTTTTGGGGAAGCAGGATAGCAATAAAAAGCCCAACCCATGATGACCTTAATACACTTTAACACCACAGCTCCAACCTGGAGAATTTTTACGCACAGGGTTTGTAGGGTTGCTGCCTTGTTTTCTTATTTGTGTTTCTTTTAGAATAATAAAGGTGGTCAGGCACAGTGGCTCAGGTCTGTAATCAAGGACCTTGGGAGGCCAAGGTGGGTGGATCAGGAGGATCACTTGAGCTCAGCAGTTGTAGATCAGCCTGAGCAACATGGCAAAATCCCATCTCTATAAAAATTACAAAATTAGCCAGGTGTGGTGGCAGGCACCTGTGGTCCCAGCTACTTGGGAGGCTGAGGCAGGAGGATTGCTTGAGCCTGTATATTAGTCTATTTTCACACTGCTATGAAGAAATACACAAGACTGAGTAATTTATAAAGGAAAGAGGCTCGACTCACTGTTCTGCATGGCTTGGGAGGCCTCAGGAAACTTAAAATCATGGTGGAAGGCAAAGGAGAAGCAGGTGCCTTCTTCACAGGGCAGCAGGATGCAGTGAGTGCAAGCAGGGGAAATGCCAGGTGCTTATAAAACAATCAGATCTGTGAGAACTCACTCACTATTGAAATGGGAAAAGTTCCCTTATCCCCATTGCAGGACATGTGATGGGGGTGTGGCTCGCTTCTTTGGTGCCCTACTGCTCATACCCTTAGGGGAGCATGCAGAAGGGCAGGTCGTGGAGAGCACTGACTCCACAGCAGCATCTAGGGTTGAGTGTTTACAGCTCTGGAAGCCCCAGTGGACGTGTGTTACAGTGCACTCTTTCAGTTTAGCCGTCTGCAGGTGGCTTGCATTAATCAGCTCAGTTAGACTCTCTGACTTATCACAAGGACAGAGGGCTTTCTCTCTCCTGGGTTCTTACCTTAGTGTACCAGAAAAATTGGATCACACGTGGGCTTAGAGAATAAGTGCAAGGTTTTACTGAGTGGAGGTAGTTCTCAGTGAGGTGAATGGGGAGGCCAGAAGGGGGAAGGAGTGGGAAGGTGTCTTCCCCTGGAGTCAGGCTGCCCAGCGTCCGGACTCTTCTCTGACCATCCCCAGCCAAATTCCACATTGTTCCACTGTTGATGGCCTACCAGCATTTGCTGGTGCCTGTCGGTGTGCTCTTCCGCTCCTCTGCTCTTCTTGACATCCAGCTGCCTGTGCGTTCTTCCGCTGATGTGTTCCTCTTGACATCCAGCAGCTGTGTCTTCTAGGGTGTCAAAGTTTTTATAGGCACAGGAAGGGGGGGCGTGGCGGGCCCGGATGGTCTTGGAAAATGCAGCATTTGGGCGTGAAAACAGGAGTGCCTGTCCTCACCTCGGTCCCTGGGCACAGGCTCGAGGGTACAGCCCTCACCAGGGACCCTGCCTTTCTCTACCAGCACTTCCCTGCCCCCATCCCATATCACTATCATAAGAACAGCATGGGGGAAACCACCCCTGTGATCCAATTACCTCCACCTGGTCCCACCCTTGACAGATAGGGATTATGGGGATTACAATTCCAGATGAGATTTGGGTGGGGACACAGAGCCAAACCATATCATTCTGCCCCTGGCCCCTCACAAATCTCATGTCCTCACATTTTAAAACATAATCATGCCTTCCCAACAGTCCCCCAAAGTCTTAACTCATTCCAGAATTAACCCAAAAGTCCAAAGTCTCATCTGAGATAAGGCAAGTCCCTTCTGCCTGTGAGTCTGTAAAATCAAAAACAAGTTAGTTACTTCCTAGACAAAATGGGGGTATAGGCATTGCATGTGTTCCTCTTGACATCCAGCCACTGTGTCTGCTAAGGTGTCCAAGTTTTTATAGACACAGGATGGGGGATGTGGCAGGCCAGGGTGGTCTTGGAAAATGCAACATTTGGGTGTGAAAACAGGAGCGCCTGTCCTCACCTAGGTCTGTGGGCACAGGCCGGAGGGAATACACCTATTCCAAATGGGAAAAATTGGCCATAACAAAGGGGCTACAGGTTCCATGTAAGCCTAAATCCAACTAGGTAGTCATTAAACCTTAAAGTTCCATAATGATCTCCTTTGACTCCATGTCTCACATCCAGGTTATGCTGATGCTAGAGGTGGGCTCCCGTAGCCTTGGACAGCTCCACTCCTGTGGCTTTGCAGGGTGCAGTGCCCTTCCCAGCTGCTTTCATGGGCTAGCATTGAGTGCCTGTGGCTTTTCCACGCACATGGTGCAGGCTGTTGGTGGATCTACCATTCTGGGGTCTGGAGGACTTTGGCCCGCTTCTCACAGCTCCACGCTCCACTAGGCGGTGTCTCAGTGGGGACTCTGTGTGGGGGCTCTGACCCCACATTTTTCTTCTGCACTGTCCTAGTAGAAGTTCTCCATGAGGGCTCTGCCCCTGCAGCAAATTCCTATCTGGAAATCCAGGCATTTCCTTATATCCTTTGAAATCTTGGCAGAGGTTCCCAAACCTTAATTCTTGACTTCTGTGCACCCACAGGCCCAACACCACGTGGAAACCACCAAGGCTTGGGGCTTGCACCCTCTGAAGCAATGGCCTGAGCTGTACCTTGACCCCTTTTAGCCACTGCTGGAGCTGGAGCAGCTGAGATGCAGGGCCCCATGTCCCAAGGCTGCACAGAGCAGTGGGGCCCTGGGTCTGGCCCACAAAACCATTTTTTCCTCCTAGGCTTCCAGGCCTGTGATAAGAGGTGCCGCTATGAAGGTCTCAGACATGCCCTGGAGACACTTTCCCTATTGTCTTGGTGATTAACATTCAGCTCCTCATTACTTATGCAAATTTCTGGAGTGTTTTAGCAGGCTTGACTTTCTCCCCCCAAAATGGGTTTTTATTTTCTTTCACAACATCTGGCTGCAAATTTTTCAAACCTTTATGCTCTGCTTCCTCTTGAATGCTTTACCCCTTAGAAATTTCTTCCATAGATATCCTAAATCCTCTCTCTGAAGTTCAAAGTTCCACAGGTCTCTAGGGCAGGGGCAAAATGCTGCCAGTCTCTTTGCTAAAGCATAGCAAGAGTGACCTTTACTCTAGTTCCCAACAAGTTCTTCATCACCATCTGAGGTCACCTCAGCCTGGACTTCATTGTCCATATCACTATCAGCATTTTGGTCAAAGCCATTCATCAAGTCTCTAGGAAGGGAATTCCAAACTTTCCCACATCTTCCGAGCCCTCCAAACTGTTTCAACCTCTGCCTGTTACCCAGTTCCAAAGTCACTTACACATTTTTGTGTATCCTTATAGCAGCACCCCACTATCTTGGTAACAATTTACTATATTAGTTCATTCTCACACTGCTATAAAGAAATACCTAAGACTGGATGATTTATAAAGGAAAGAGGCTTAATTGACTCATAGTTCTGCATGGCTGGGGAGGCCTCAGGAAACTTAACAATCATGGCAGAAGGTGAAGAAGAAGCAGGTACCTTCTTCACAGGGTGGCAGGACAGAGTGAGTGAGTGCAACCAAAGGAAACACCAGACACTTAAAAAACCATCAGATCTCATGAGACTCACCAAGTCCAGGAGGTCAAGGAAGCAATGAGCCATGTTCCTGCCACTGTATCTAGCCTGGGTGACAGTGAGACACTGTCTCAAAAAAAATATCTATCTATCTATCTATATTTATTTATATATATATAAATTTATATAAAAATATATATTTATTTATATATATATAAATTTATATAAAAATATATATTTATATATAGTAAAGGCAGTCTCTTATAAAAATAATAAAATTACATAATAAACATTCAGAAAATAGAGAAAACTTACTCATAATTATATCACTCTAATTTAACCACTGTCAGCATCCAGTATATAAAATAGTGCATTTTAAATTATTTGAATGTGTTTTTAAGTTTAACATTATGTTAGTTTGGCTTTTAGGGAGGACACAGTAGTACAGGTGAGAATGATAGCTATTAATAGGTACCAGATTTGAGTGTTTACATTGTGTAGTAAAATTTTATATATTTCACTTTATCATAAAAACATGGAAGCATATTATATTATTTATAGAATAAACATGACTATGTAAATACAAATACCCAGCATTCATACATGTTGTTACAAAGCTTTTCCACACATTGTACTTAAAGATTTCAACACACACATACAGGTTTCCACATAAACCTCCTGGACATGGGGTAGAGCAAGATATTTAAACTCAACACAGCTCAAAAAATAAATAAGAGACCAACTCAGGAAAAATACGAATGTGGTAAATAATAAAACAAGAGAAAAAGTCAAACTGTTTATGAAGTGACAGGAAAGATGATAATACCATAAATCATAGCATTGGCTAAAGGTCAGGGTTCTAAAACAAATTCGAGCATTTCAAAATTGATGAGACAGTTAGTGGTTTTGTTGCTCTAGGGAAATGATAACCAGCATTATCTGTTTCATACCTATTAAGTAGAGCACGGATAAAAACTGTCAAGAGCCTGAGATTGCTCTAATATATGTACTAGGAAGATGTAACAAGCCATAAAGTATTCAGAAATCCCATATACAAAGAAAATTTCAAAGTCAGAGTTCAAGTTTATAGAACTAGTGCGACAGGACTACTTTAATCATATCTGAAGTCATGAGATTAAATATATATTAGATGAGAGTACTACAAGTATAATATGGTTTGGCTCTGTGTCCCCACCCAAATCTCATCTTGAATTGTAATCCCCATAATCCCCAGTGTTGAGGGAGGGACCCGGTGGAATGTGATTAAATCATGGGGGCAGTTTTTCCCATGCTGTTCTCATGATAGTGAGTGAGTTCTTATGAGATGTTTATAAGTGTTTGACAGCTCCTCCTTCATACAAGCTCTCTCTGGCCTGCCACCATGTAAGATGTGCCTGCTTCCCCTTCTGCCATGATTGTAAGTTTCCTGAAGCTTCCCCATGTCCAGTCCCAGCCATGTGGAACTGTGAGTACATTAAACCTCTTTCCTTTATAAATTACCTAGTCTTGGGCAGTTCTTTATAGCAGTGTGAGAACAGATTAATACACAGTGTGATACCACAGGCCAGATTTATTAGAATATAGTAAATGCTCTACCCAAACCAGTATAATTCCTCACAGTCAGACTATTGTAATGCTCTGAGTAAAGAAATTCACGTTCATTTGTCTTCTTAACATTCTTATCAACAAGTTATTCCTGGAATAAAAGTATCCAAGTTTAATCAAGGATAGTACTCATCCAGGAATCAGCCTATTGAATGCTTAGTCCCTGCTCTGCTGCCAACTAGCTGGGTGACTTTGGAGAAATTGCTTAACATCTCTGGGCCTCAGTTAACTCACCTATAAGATGAGAACCTCAGACTAGAGATTCCTTACTAGATATGTAAGGATTTTGGTGTCTCCAATTAAAATCTCAAGAGATTATGAAGTTTCCCCACCTCCAGGGAGAGTTTTATTCTATGAGACCTGCACGTCATTTGGGTTACTTCTGTTAAGTCAGGCAAGAAAAAGGAGACAAGAAATTACTCATATAATTTCTTTTAAGTTTAAAAATTAAATAGGGAAAGATGAAGGATTTATTCAACATACATTGAGGGCCTTCTCTGCATGAGGTTCTGTGCTAGCCCCTGGAATGACAGTGGTTACAAGTCTAAGCAAAGTGTTTCACGACCACCCACACCTTGACCCTGTCTGCTCCAGATCAGAGCACCTTGTTGTGTGACTCAGGCCTGATGACTCCTTCCACTTCCAGTGCTAGGAACTCAGCACCGTGGGAAGGGCCTGGAAGAGACTCTGGGCTGTCTCATTCACCCCAAAATGTTCAGCAACTAAAAAACAAGAAGGAAAACTCTGACAGCATGTTTATTAGAAATGATACCCAGATCTCCAAGTAGAGAGTGTAGGTTCTTGCTAGAGAATGGGGGTTTTATGAAATGTGTGTGTGGTTATTTGTGTGTTCATGTATTTATGTGTCAGTGTGTACTTGTGTGTGAGGGTACGTATGAATATTTGTGTGTAAAACGTGCCGGTATGTGCAGTTTTCTGGGAGTGCATTGTATGTATGTAGTTCTATATGAATGCTTGTAGTTGCATGTGACTCTATTTATGCATAATAAAGTAATGGAGCCTATGTAAGGGTGATGGTTATATGCAAGTTTACAATGTGTATGTGTTGGGGCTGGGAACTGAAAAGCTGAAACACTGCAGATGTAATTTGAGTCATGTGGCTAGCTACTTTTTCATAGGATCCCATCTTGCTGCAGACTTTTGTTTGCTCAACTAATCCTCTTTTGCTTACAATGTCACAAGGCTCACTTTTTTTGGCTTCTGAACAAACAGGCAGGTGTGTGAGGCTGCAAGTATAGTGTCAGCTATTCATGAAATAATTGCATGCACCACCAGCCCAATGTGACAGTCATCATGGACTCACAGCTCCATCCCCAGGCAAGAAAAGGAGTATGTCTTGAGAAATTCTCCATGCCATTCCTCACAGAGACCAGCTGCAGAGCATGGAGCACAAGAAGTGGTAGCAAACAGGCTAAATTGATTCTGGCCTGCCTAAGCGGAGAGGAGCTCTTCAGATGGTTACTATCTTTAACTAGGGTGACGTCCTTGGAGGCGGAGTCCCAGTCTCCTTTTTCTCTGCTATTATCCAGCTGAAATCAAGCCCCTGAATAGTTTCCCTGAACCAAAAGCCAAAGAGAAATAGTGTCCAATCCATTTATGTTTTAATCAGTGAGTCAGAAGGTAGTAAACCAGGACTGATTGCAGATCCTACTGGCCTATCAGCCATGCCCATAACTCATTCTTTGTGCCAAGAGATTTTTTGCTGTGATACAATTCATCTCCCCAAAATATTTAGCACTGACTAGCTATATAGTTGTAGGTGGACCATCTGGCTTCTCCCTTGCCCATTATTAGAAAACCGATATTGAAGTCCTTCAATTCAGTCTGGGAGTAATTTAAAGCAATACCAAGAGGAAGGAGAAGGAGAGCTTTTTATAACAAACTAATTGTCTGCCACACGTGTTAATTAATAATCTTCAAAAGTTAAAGGGAGCAAAATAGGTAAACATAAATAAAAGCCAAGGATAGATTGGGAGAATATAGTCACAGTAAATACAACGAAGCATTAACGTCCAGGAAAAAAAGAAATAGTACAAAGTAATAAGAAAAGACAACTCAGAAGAAAGTGGGCAAGGGCAATGGAAGATGGGGTGGGAGGTGCATTGTCTATCAGAGAATATTTAATGGTAATAAGACCAACCACAAGCCAGTCTGCTTTTTATTGTCACCATGCACAGCAGTCCCAAATAATGTGAGTGGTAGTTTTCCTCCCTGCCAGAGATGATCACACCCGCTGTGTGTCCCACCCTCATTTCTAAGCTCCTGGCATGGGATGTGAACGGGCAGTTTGTAGAAGAAGAAATACAAATAACTAAAACACATCAGGTAAATAAAAATAAACAGGCCAGGCATGGTGGCTCACACATGTAATCCCAGCACTTTGGGAGGCCAAGGCGGGCAGATCACCTAAGGTCAGGAGTTCGAGACCAGCCTGGCCAACATAGTAAAGCCCCATCTCTACTAAAAATACAAAAATTAGCCGGGCGTGGTGGCAGGCACGTGTAATTCTAGTTACTTGAGAGGCTGAAGCAGGAGGATCACTTGAACCCGGGAGGTGGAGTTTGCAGTAAACCAAGACCACGCCATTGGTCTCCAGCCTGGGCAACAAGAGAGAAACTCCATCTCAAAAATAAATAAATAAAATTTTAAAATGACACACAATCACTTTTGCTCATTAGCCTGACAGAACTTTCATACTGATAATACCCAGTATTAGAAAGGATGAGGGCAAATGGGTATACTCAGAAACTGTCAATATGGTATTGGGTCATCTGTCCTTTTCTCGTACATTTGTAGGAGTTCTTTCAAAGGGCAATTTGGAAGTATTGATTATCTTTCCCTAATGTGCAAAAATAAAAATTATTTAGCAAAGAGCAGACATATCGCTTTTTCCTGCCCATGTCCCTTCCTTGGAAAAAATACTTTGTCCTGGATACATGCAGTCTGGATGGGGCCATCAAGCACAGAGCCCTACCCACTCACCCAGTCCTGGCCTCAGGAGACGGGCCTAAAACAGTGTAACACTTGATAGAGTATTTAGTTCAAAGACAGTGGCAGCTCCAGAACTGCCATAGAAGAGGGCTTATGGACTGCAACTGGGTTGAAAGTGGGGCAGGAGACTATTTGGCTTGTCATGAAGTTGCACTTTCACACTAATTTTATTCATACGTTATCTGGGGGTTTGTGTGAACTGAAGCCACTCCGATCCAGTGTGCTCGCCCACGTGTACCAAGTGGGGTCCAGTCTAACCTAGCTATTGGGTTTTTTTCTGCTGTAATTCTGCCTACCAAGAGGAATCACCTGCAGGTAGAATCAAGCCAAGAGGAGGTGAGTGGAGTTGCAAGAAGAGAAACTTAATCCTGGTAACCATATTTCAGCCCCTGGAACATGTTGGTCTTTTTAGATCCATTAACTTCCCTTTTTTTTTTTTTTTTTTTTGAGATGGAGTTTCACTCTTGTTGTCCAGGCTGGGGTGCAGTGGCATGATCTCAGCTCACTGCAACTTCTGCCTCCTGGGTTCAAGTGATTCTCCTGCCTCAGCCTCCCAAGTACCTGGGATTACAGATGCCCACCACCATGCCCAGCTAATTTTTTGTATTTTTAGTAGAGATGGGGTTTCACTATGTTGGCCAGGCTGGCCAGGCTGTTCTCAAATGCCTGAACTCAGGTGATCCACCCGCCTCGGCCTCCCAAAGTGCTGGGATTACAGGTGTGAGCCACTGCGCCCAGCCTAGTTTCCCTTTTTAAGAGGGTATGGTTGCGTTGCTGGATGGGTTGCTGTCATCTGCATCCAAACAGCAATGAGTAGCAGAGATGAGAAGAAGCATGAATGGCTACACCATGGTGGCACACCAAAAGAAAAGAGGTCTAAATTCTAATAATTAACTTCTATGGAAATAGTTCCAAAATCTCATTTCTCATTTTAATTTCTCAACATATCTTTAAAAACTCTTTATTGCAAAAATGATGATTTATTACAAAGTGAATTCTCACATGTAACCCACCACCTGGGTCAAGAAATAGAGCATAGTCAAGCATCCTACAGGTTACCCCTCCCTCCTTCTTAGAGAAAAGCACATTTGTTTTGCCTGTGTGTGTATATGAGTGCCTGTGCGTGTGTGCATTTGTGTGTGTAAGGGGGCTGTTTTTTGTTTTTGTTTTTACTTTGTGAAGTTATCCTTTTATGTCTGGCTTCTTTTGCTCAAAACTATCTATGTGCAATTCATCCACGTTTTGGCTTGTAGGAGTAGTTCATTGATTTTCATTGTCATATAGTGATCTATAGTATGAATATACCACAACTTATCTATTCCGATGTTGACTGACATTGGAATTGTTTCCAATTAGTGTCCACTACAGATAATGTTGCTGTGATATTTCCTATGTGTATATGTAGGAGATAAATTGGTGGGTTATATGACATGTGTCTATTTCAGATATAGGAGATACTACTAATCAGTTTTCCAAATAGATTGTAACAATAATTTCAACTACCAGTGTATGAGTGTTCCCATTGATCTATGTCCTCCCCACACATCATGTATCAGTTGTTTTCATTTTAGCCATTTGGAAGCGTATAGTAATATCTCACTGTCGTTTTTTTTTTTGTTTGTTTTGTTTTGTTTTTGAGACAGAGTCTCACTCTTTCTCCAGGCTGGAGTGCAGTGGTGTGATTTTGGCTCACTTCAACCTCCACCTCTCGGGTTCTAGCGATTCTCATGCCTCAGCCTCCTGAGTAACTGGGATTACAGGCACACACCACCACACCTGGCTAATTTTTGTATTTTTAGTAGAGACAGGGTTTTGCCATGTTGGTCAGGCTGGCAAAACTCCTGACCTCATGATCCTCCCACCTCGGCCTCCCAAAGTACTGGGATTACAGGCATGAGCCACCACACCTGGGATCTCACTGTAGTTTGTTTTGTTTTGTTTTGTTTTGAAACAGAGTCTTGCTCTGTCTCCCCAGCTGGAGTTCAGTGGTGCAATCTCAGCTCATGGCAACTTCCACCTCCTGGGCTCCAGGAATGCTCATGCCTAAGCCTCCCGCGTAGCTGGGACTATGGGCGTGCACCACCATGCCTAGCTAATTTTTGTATCTTTTGTAGAGACGGGGTTTTGCCATGTTGCTCAGGCTGGTCTTGAACTCCTGACTTAAGTGATCTGCCTGCCTCAGCCTCCCAAAGTGCTGGGATTACAGGCATGAGCCATGCACCTGACCCTCATTGTAGTTTTAATTGGCCTTTCCTGATGACTAATGAGGTTGAGCACCTTTTTCTATAGTTATTGGTCAGGCGTATAGCCTCTTTCGTGACATGCATATTCATGATGTTTTTTTCCCTCATTTCCTATGGTTTATCTGTTTTTTCTTGTTCATGTGTAGTAATGCTTTATATTTCTGGAAAGCAGTACTTTATTACTTAACAATTACAAATCAGTTCTGCTATGCTGTGGTTTACCTTTTTATTCTCTTAATATACTTTGATTAAAAGAATTTATCAATTTTAATAGTGTTCAATTTATCAATCTTTTACCTTTTTTGACAAATACATTTGTATTTTGTTTTTGTCATCTTTGTGCTACTTTAGTCATAAATTGAATGTTCAGGTGTATGTGTGTCTTTCTCTCTCTCTCTATCTCTTTTTTTTTTTTTTTTTTTTTTTTTGAGACAGGGTCTCACTCTGTGGCCCAGTCTGGAGTGCAGTGGCGTGGAGCAATCTCAGCTCACTGCAACCTCTGCATCCTGGGCTCAAGTGATCCTACCACCTCAGCCTCCCGAGTAGCTGGGACTACAGGCACGCATCACCAGCCTGGCTAATTTTGGTATTCTTAGTAGAGACAGGGTTTCTCCATGTTCTCCAGGTCGGTCTTGAACTATTGTGCTCCAGCGATCCACATGCCTCAGCCTCCCAAAGTGCTGGGATTACAGGTGTGAGTCACCGCACCTGACCTATGTGTGTCTTTTTTCTAAACTCTATTCTGTTCAGTTGATTTGTTTATCCTTGCACCAATACCACATAATTTTAATTACTGTAGCTTCATAATAAATCTTTATAGCTGATAATGTAAGTCTTCCTGCTTTGGTGTTCTTCAAAGTATTCTTAACTTCTTAGCCCTTTTACTTTCATATATAATTTAGAATCAGCTTGTCAATCTACACACACAAACACACACACACTGGGGTTTTCATGGGGATTGAATTTAATGTATAAATCAATTTGAAGAGAATTGAGGTTTTCACAATATTGAGTTTTCCAATCCAGGAATGTGGTAAATATCTCAATTTATTTAGTTCTTCTTTGACTATTTTCAGTAACATTGTATATTTTCTTGGTGTCTTTGTTTATTTTTCATTAGGTTTAATTCTAGATGTTTGATGTTTTATGATACAATTGAAAATGACATAGTTATTTAAATTTCACTTCCTATTATTGTTTGCTGCCGATATACAAAAATATAATTTTTTTATGTATTGGCTTTGTAGCTAGCAACTTCATCAGATCCACTAGTTAATTACAATAGGCTATTTGCAGATGTTTTTGGATATTCTAAACACACAATCATGTCATCTAGAAATAATGGCATTTTTTTCTCCCTTTCCACTCATTATCTCTTTTATTAATTTTTCTTGCATTATTGTACTTGGAAGAACTTCTTGTAGAATTTGAATGTTTATGGTGATACTGGGCTTCTTAGCTTATTCCTGATCTCAAGGGAAAGCTTACATATTTTGCTATTAAATAGAATGTTTACTCTATGGCATCTGTAGACATTTTCTATCAGATTAAGGACATTCACTTTTATTCCTAGTTTGCTATGAGTGTTTGTCATAAATAGGTGTGAATTTTGTCAAATGCATTTTCTGTGTCTATTTAGATAATCATGATTTTTCTCTTCTGTTAACAAGGTGGGTTACAGTGATTGATTTTCAAATGTCAAGCTAACTTTACATTTTTAGAACAAATTCAGGTTGGTAAAGAAGTAATATTCTTTTTACATTACTGGATTTGGTTTGCTAGTATTTTGTTTAGGATTCTTGCATCTATGTTCATGGGAGAGATTCTTTGTAATTTTCTTTTTTTACAACGTTCTTGTCATTATAAGTTGGGAAGTATGCCTTACTTTTCTATCTTGGGGGAAAAGTTTGTGTATGATTAGTGTTCTTTTTTTTCTTAAATATTTAGAAGAATTCTTTGGTTAAGTTATCTAGATCTGGAGTTTTTTGTGGAAAGGATTTAAATTGTGGATTTAATTTTCTTTAATATATTTTCCATTTTCCCTGTCAGTTGTGGTATGCTATATTTTTCAAGATATTAATCTATTGCATCTAAATTTTCATATTTATTGGCACAAATTGTTTATTCTCTTAATTTAAAAAATCTTGTAATATCTGCAGTATTTTCCACTCCTGATAGTAATTGTCTTCTCCCTATGTCTTATCAGAACGCTATCAATTACAATGTTCACAGACCAAATATTTTTTTTTGAAGTTTTAAATATTTATTTATTTATTAATTATTATTATACTTTAAGTTTTAGGGTACATGTGCACAATGTGCAGGTTAGTTACATACATATACATGTGCCATGCTGGTGCACTGCACCCACTAACTCGTCATCTAGCATTAGGTATATCTCCCAATGCTATCCCTCCCCCCCTCCCCCCACCCCACAATAGTCCCCAGAGTGTGATGTTCCCCTTCCTGTGTCTGTGTGTTCTCATTGTTCAATTCCCACCTATGAGTGAGAATATGCAGTGTTTGGTTTTTTGTTCTTGCGATAGTTTACCGAGAATGATGATTTCCAATTTCATCCATGTCCCTACAAAGGACATGAACTCATCATTTTTTATGGCTGCATAGTATTCCATGGTGTATATGTGCCACATTTTCTTAATCCAGTCTATCATTGTTGGACATTTGGGTTGGTTCCAAGTCTTTGCTATTGTGAATAGTGCTGCAATAAACATACGTGTGCATGTGTCTTTATAGCACCATGATTTATAGTCCTTTGGGTAGATACCCAGTAATGGGATGGCTGGGTCAAATGGTATTTCTAGTTCTAGATCCCTGAGGAATCGCCACACTGACTTCCACAATGGTTGAACTAGTTTACAGTCTCACCAACAGTGTAAAAGTGTTCCTATTTCTCCACATCCTCTCCAGCACCTGTTGTTTCCTGATTTTTTAATGATTGCCATTCTAACTGGTGTGAAATGGTATCTCATTGTGGTTTTGATTTGCATTTCTCTGATGGCCAGTGATGGTGAGCATTTTTTCATGTGTTTTTTGGCTGCATAAATGTCTTCTTTTGAGAAGTGTCTGTTCATGTCCTTTGCCCACTTTTTGATGGGGTTGTTTGTTTTTTTCTTGTAAATTTGTTTGGGTTCATTGTAGATTCTGGATATTAGCCCTTTGTCAGATGAGTAGGTTGCGAAAATTTTCTCCCATTTTGTAGGTTGCCTCACAGACCAAATATTGGCCTTTGTTCTTCTCTATTTTATTTTCTCTATTGTACATTTGTTTTCTATTTCATTCATTGTGTTAATTTCTTCATACTTAATTTGTTGTTCTTTTTCTCATTTCTTGAGCTAGAGTCTTAGATCATTAATTTTCTTCCTTCCCCATCCCAATAAATGCATTTAAGACTACCTAAGAATGGCTTTAACTGCATCCCACAAGTTTTGATCTACTATGTTTCTTATCACTCCATTCAAAATATTTTTAAATTTTCTCTGTGATTTCGTCTTTCACATATGTTTAAAAGTGTATTGATTCATTTCTAAACATTAGACATTTTCTACTTTTATCTTTTAATTAATAGTTTAATTGTGTTACAGTCATGGACTATACTATATGATTTAAATCATTCGAAACATGTTGAAACTACATAGTTTTGCATACAGTCAATCTTGGTAAATGTTCCGCCTGCAGTTGTTGAGTGCAGGCAGTGTTCTATATGTATCAGTTAGGTCATTTTATTAATCCCGTTGTTCAAATCTTCTTTAACCCTGTTGATTCTTCATTTGTTTATTTATTTTTGGTCCATTGACCAAAATATTGACCAGTTTTTGGTCCATTGACCAATAAATTTGGTCCTATCAGTTAAAGCTCTTACTATCAGTGTAGTTTTTGTTTTTGTTGTTATTGTTGTTGTGTTTTGAGATAGAGTCTTGCTTTGTCACCCAGGCTGGAGTGCAGTGGCGCAATCTCGGCTCACTGCGATCTCCACCTCCCGGGTTCTAAGCGATTCTCCTGCCTCAGCCTCTGGAGTAGCTGAGATTACAGGTGTGTGCCACCAGGCCCGGCTAATTTTGTATTTTTAGTAGAGACAAGGTTTTGCCATGTTGGCCAGGCTGGTCTCAAACTCCTGACTTCAGGTGATTCACCTGCCTCGGCTTCCCAAAGTGCTAGGATTACAGAAGTGAGCCACTGCACCCAGCCCATTGTAGATTTTTATATGTCTCCATTTTGTTCTATCAGGTATTGTCTTATTATTAGGTGTATAAAAATTTATACTAGCGATATCTTTATGTTGGATTGGCCACTTTATTATGAAATATCTATTTTTATCTGTAGTATTGCTTATTGCCTTAAAATCCACTTTGTGTGATATAAGTATGAGCTTATATAAACATGATATAAACATGATATAAGCTGATATAAACATGAGCTTTCTTGTGGTTAATATTTTCATGCTGTATCTTTCTCCACACTTTTATTTTCAATTTTCCCAAATTATTTGAATTTGCAATATGTACTTCTGTACAATATAGAGTCTTGTTTTATGTTGTTTGCTTTATCTAGTCTGACAATTTTTGTCTTCTAATTAGAGATTTTGATTCATATGTATAAAATTAAACTCACCACCTTGCTATTTATTTTATACTTGTGCCATCTGTTTTATGTTTATTTTTATTCCTTTCTTTTTAAATTTTTTTGGACTTTGGATTATATATTTTTATTATATTCCCCTCTCTGTTAGCTATTTTTAGTTATTCAATCTTTCCTTAAGCTTTTAGTGGATACCATAGGCATTTCAACATTCATCTCTGACTTATTAAAGTCTAATGAAAAATATTATTTTGCCACTTCCTGGCCAAAGCAAAGCCTTAGAACATTTTAACGCCATCTAATCCTTTACTCCTATCTTCTGATTCATCATCCAGTTTATGATCATTCTCTCTTCAATTATATCTAAGCCACTGTTATACCAATCCATTGAGTTCTTAATTTCAGCTATAATATTTTCCAGTTTTAGACATTGTATCTTATTTTTTTATAGTTTCCAGTTTTCTTGTACAATGCTCTATCTCATCATTTAATTTATTGAATGTACAAATCATCATTATCTTAAACTCCACGTCCGATCATTGCAATATCTGGATATCTTAAGTGTTTTTTACCTTGGTTTTCAGCAATTTTGCCTAGAGATATACCAGATATTTTTTGTTCGAATGCAGGGCAGTTTCTGGAGAAAAAAAAAGAAAGAAAGAAAAATGGAGATGATTTAAATCTCTGGAAAGTGTTATCTTCCTGAAGAGAGTACTTATTTTAGCTTCCAGCAGGCAGTTAAGATGGAACCAATTATCTTACCCAATCATAAACTGAGGTGATTTGAAGTTGGGCTTCAGACTTTTTAGGGAACTTTATTTTCTGCAGTGTAATTGTTTGAGGGTCCCAACTAAAAGCATGGAGTGTTTGCCAGGGCCCTAAACCATTAACTAGCTCTAAAATCCAATTTTTGTTTCTGATGCCCCATGAAACTGTGGGATGCTTTGCTTAGCGTCTCATCCTCTCAGTCACAGGTTGCATATTTGCAAGAGCGTTCAAGGGGAAAACCAGTCCCAATGTTACTTCATTTCTCTTTTTGCTTTTCTTGACCATTTCAAGTTTTTGTTGCCTAGCTAGCTCTCCAGTGCCTTCCAACAGACATTCTACCTGTTTTATCAAGTTCTCCTAGTTCTTGGATGCAGGGTTACCCTGCAACAACTGATTCTACCCTTACAAGAAGCAGAATTCCCATCCAGCTTGTCTCTTGAGCATCAATTTCATTATCTTGAGATTCTGAAGATGCATCGTATTTCCTTTGAGCTCTAGTATTTGGGCTCTATGATTTCGGCTCCTCTGAGTTTCTGTTTTATTTAAGAGCCAGCTATGGAGGACCAGGTTTGTTATTTTAGCTAAGATTTTGACCTTTATCATTATCTGATATAATGCAAATATTAAAGGTCAACCACGGTTGAAACTGGGCAAGTAAGTTTTATCCTATGTGCCAAAGAATCTGTCTGAGACCAAAACTGGTCTGGAAGGAAAGTGTGCCACAATAAGTTAATAACGCCAACCCTAGAAGGAGGGGAAGGGGCAGCACATATGCCAGGCATTTGTCAGACGCAGATATGATGACACACATATGGATCCAGCTCTCCGAGGAGCTACTTTGTATCCACTTAAATTTGAGAGACTCATGGCTACCTCACTCCTGCCTCCCTTTGGATGGTATACAAGGATTCACTAAAATGGCAGATATTCACCCCATAAACTAAAGTACTAGCAAAAAACAAATCCCAGTGACTTGTGGTTTCCCATCACTTTGTGTGAGAAGTTTGAATTAAATAGAAATTAAATAGTCTGTTCAGGCTTCTATAACAAAATACCATAGACGGGGTGGCTTACAAACAACAGAAATTTATTTCTTGCAGTACTAGAGGCTGAGAAGTCCAGTATCAAGGTACCAGCAGATTCAGTGTGTGGGAGATCTGCTTCTTCATAGACAGCCATCTTCTCATGGTGACTTCACATGGCAGAAGGGGCAAAAGATCTCTCTGAGGTCTCTTCTATAAGGGCACTAATCCCATTCATGAGGGGTCCACCCCCATGATCTAATTATCACCCAAAGGCCCCACTTCCTAATACCATCAGTTTGAGAGTAAGGATTTCAACATATGAATTTGAGGGGGACACAGTCAGTCCATAATATCAGTTGAGATTCAGCTGTCAGGAAATGAAGGGTAATTACGGTGACCATATTTTCTAAACCGCAAGTGAAAATGCAGTTGGACAAAGCCTAATACTCTTATATCAGCAAGAAAACAGAACATTAGAAATCAAGACTGACCAGGAAAAGCCAGCTCATAGGTATAACAAATATAATTCTGCCACCAGTTCAAGATACTCTAGATTTTTGCTGACTTGGTTTCAAGATGGGTCTTTAGAGAGTTTTCCATATTGATGAGATTTTCCAGCCCAGAGTTATAAGAAGGAAAGGCCTGCCTGCCGTCTCAGCCTCCCAGCTGCTCCCAGACACATCTGTGGGGAACCAGATAACTGACTCCTAACCTGCTTATTTTAGCCCAGTGGCTTCGCTTCCTGACGTCTCCAGTCTCATGGTCACATTCCAAAGGCCCTCACTCTGAAACTGCCTGCAAGCAGGGACAAACAGCAGCAGCTGCCACCGCACTGATAATGGGTTTGTGTTGCTGCTTGCCCAGAAAGGCTGCTTTGAGCTGATGATTTGCATTCCTGCTTGCCCAAACATACAGCCTCCGTGCGGCTGCCAGCTTCTGCACAGAGAGAACAGCAGTGCCACCTACTGAACCGCTGGAGATGTAGCCAGTGACTTGGTCAGCTCAGGCCTGCTTGTCACTAAATCTGGCAGGACTGTATACCCAGCAACTGGACTGAAAACCACCTTTGTACAGTGATTAAGTAGGCCTCCTCTTCTGCCAACTTGAGTGATTGTTTACCACTGTTAGGCTGAAAAAGTCTCAAGGAAGTTTATTTTTCTCTGAACAAATGAAACCAAATTGCAGTTGGGATCCAGGCTGTATCCCACTTCAGTGAGAAATGGGCAAGCCAGCAATTGTGGAGTTGAACATTGAATACAATTAGTGAGTACTTACCCTGTGCTAGACAGTGGGTGAGGCACCGGGATAGAAGTATGAATGAACTACACTAGACAAGCAATAGAAAGATAACGAACCTATACCAGTATTCCACAATTGACAAAATATACTCAAAGAACTCAGCCACAATTTACACCACAGAGAGTATATCTCCAGGGATGGAATTTGGGGGAACCAGCTTTCTATTTTCCCATGGGTTCCATTGCTGCTGTTGCCAAGCTGAGATCCAGAAGCCATGATGACTTCTTCAATGGTTTTTTGGGTTTTTATAAATCATCAATTAACAAATAATATTATGGAATCTTTTTTTTTTAGACAGAGTTTTGCTCTGCCACCCAGGCTAAAGTGCAATGGTGCAATCTCAGCTTACTGCAACCTCCACCTCCCAGGTTCAAGCGATTCTCCTCCCTCGGCCTCCCAAGTAGCTGGGATTACAGGCATGCTCCACCATGCCTGGCTAATTTTTTGTATTTAGTAGAGACAGGGTTTCACCTTGTTGGTCAGGCTGGTCTCGAACTCCTGACCTCAGATGATCCACCCACCTTGGCCTCCCAAAGTGCTGGGATTACAGGTGTGAGCCACCACGCCTGGCCTATATTTGGAATCTTCTTCACAAAATTGCTGCTTTGCAGATGCCCTAAGTATCTGCTTGGCCTTCCTCTTGGAAAATCTTACCTGGACAACTCTCAAAGTGCTAAATCTTTTTGCAGTATTCACAAACTCATCTATGTGTGTTAATAGCACATTTCTGACAATTATTAATAAAGTATATTTTATATGTTTTTGGTGTCTAATAACATCAGAAAACCTTACTTAAATATGTGCATACATACAAACGTACTTGTACTTGCTTATGTAAGTTAGTAATTAAGCACCCTATTAAGTCGAGAACCCAACACATACTGAATTGGTCACACATTTGCTGCTGAGCAGCAGAAGCTGAACACCCTAAAGGGGACCCTACCATACTGAAAGACACTAATGCTTCAGCCACCGTGTACAGCTGCCATCCAATCATAGTCTAATGAGTTATGCAGGTGTGACTCCTCCTCTAAAAGGAGAGACCAGGTAAATACAAATTATTGGAAATGGGCAAATCAGTGTCATGTTGGACACAATGTTCATAGCTTTAAGACTGATTGCAATATTCACAAACTAAGCTAAAATTTCTTTTTCTTTTTTTTTTTTTTTTTTTTTTTGAGACTCTTGCTCTGTCGCCCAGGCTGGAGTGCAGTGGCATCATCTTGGCTTACTGCCACCTCCGCCTCCCAGGTGCAAGCGATTCTCCTGCCTCAGCCACCCGAGTAGCTGGGATCACAGGCAACTGCCACCGTGCCCGGCTAATTTTTTGTATTTTTTAGTAGAAACAGGGTTTCACCGCGTTAGCCAGGATGGTCTCGATCTTCTGAGCTCGTGATCTGCCCTCCTTGGCCTCCCAAAGTGCCAGGATTACAGGTGTGAGCCGCCACGCCCAGCCTAAGCTAAAATTTCTTAAACTACTACTGTGAAAATTATATGTGAAGCAGGATGAAGCAGACGTTAATCCTGCTAAAGTGTCTGGTATTTTACTATGATTTTAGTTTTGAAGTGGGCAATAATTTAAATATTATGCATTAAATATTTACATTAGCTCTTATTTTCACTCATAAATATTCAGTTGTCATATTTCCTACACATCCCGACTCCCTTCTTTTTGCAAGCTTCTGTGCAAAGTGGCTTTGCAAACATGTTTCCACTCAATCTTTCAGCTGCTGACTTCATAGATTTTTCTTATATGACTTATTCTTTGATTCCCATGATGCAGTCAAAAGGGAGGTTTTCAAGTACTAAATGTGTAAGCGCAAGGCTGCTGTCAGCTGCTACAAGTCCACATTTAGCCATTAGGTCTGCTGCTAGGAGAACAGGCACACACCACCCTGGACATCTCTCAGAACCTTCCACAAAATTCTGAGACCACTCCAGGCCTCATTCTCGCCAAAATACCTGCACGGTTCTAAGGATAGGCATTGTAGCTTATCTAGGTCCCTTTGTTTGAATTTTTATTTTATTTCAATAGTTTTTGGGGTACACGTGGTTTTTTGTTATGTGGATAAGTTCTTTAGTGGTGATTTCTGAGATTTTGGTGCATCAGGTACACCCGAGCAGTGTACACTGTACCCAATATGTAGTCTTTCATCCCTAACCCCCTCCAACTCTTCCCTGCAAGTCCCCAAAGTCCATTATATCATACTTATGCCTTTGCATCCTCATAGCTTAGCTCCCACTTATAAATGAGAACATATGATGATTGGTTTTTCATTCCTGAGTTACTTCACTGAGAATAATGTCCTCCAGCTCCATCCAAGTTGCTGCAAAGGCCATTATTCCGTTCCATTTTATGGCTGAGTAGTATTCCATATTGTCTATATACCACATTTTCTTTTTTTAAAATTATTATTATTATACTTTAAGTTTTAGGATACATGTGCACAACGTGCAAGTTTGTTACATATGTATACATGTGCCATGTTGGTGTGCTGCACCCATTAATTCGTCGTTTAGCATTAGGTATATCTCCTAATGCTATCCCTCCCCCCTCCCCCCACCCCACAACAGGCCCCAGTGTGTGATGTTCCCCTTCCTGTGTCCATGTGTTCTCATTGTTCAATTCCCACCTATGAGTGAGAACACGCGGTGTTTGGTTTTTTTGTCCTTGCGATAGTTTGCTGAGAATGATGGTTTCCAGCTTCATCCATGTCCCTACAAAGGACATGAACTCATCATTTTTTATGGCTGCATAGTATTCCATGGTGTATATGTGCCACATTTTCTTAATCCAGTCTATCATTGTTGGACATTTGGGTTGGTTCCAAGTCTTTGCTATTGTGAATACTGCCGCAATAAACATACGTGTGCATGTGTCTTTATAGCAGCATGATTTATAATCCTTTGGGTATATACCCAGTAATGAGATGGCTGGGTCAAATGATATTTCTAGTTCTAGATCCCTGAGGAATCGCCACACTGACTTCCACAATGGTTGAACTAGTTTACAGTCTCACCAACAGTGTAAAAGTGTTCCTATTTCTCCACATCCTCTCCAGCACCTGTTGTTTCCTGATTTTTTAATGATTGCCATTCTAACTGGTGTGAGATGGTATCTCATTGTGGTTTTGATTTGCATTTCTCTGATGGCCAGTGATGGTGAGCATTTTTTCATGTGTTTTTAGGCTGCATAAACGTCTTCTTTAGAGAAGTGTCTGTTCATATCCTTCGCCCACTTTTTGATGGGTTTGTTTGTTTTCTTGTAAATTTGTTTGAGTTCATTATAGATTCTGGATATTAGCCCTTTGTCCAATGAGTAGGTTGCAAAAATTTTCTCCCATTCTGTAGGTTGCCTGTTCACTCTGATGGTAGTTTCTTTTGCTGTGCAGAAGCTCTTTAGTTTAATTAGATCCCATTTGTCAATTTTGGCTTTTGTTGCCATTGCTTTTGGTGTTTTAGATATGAAGTCCTTGCCCATGCCTGTGTCCTGAATGGTATTGCCTAGGTTTTCTTCTAGGGTTTTTATGGTTTTAGGTCTAACATGTAAGTCTTTAATCCATCTTGAATTAATTTTTGTATAAGGTGTAAGGAAGGGATCCAGTTTCAGCTTTCTATATATGGCTAGCCAGTTTTCCAAGCACCATTTATTAAATAGGGAATCCTTTCCCCATTGCTTGTTTTTGTGAGGTTTGTCAAAGATCAGATAGTTGTAGATATGTGGCATTATTTCTGAGGGCTCTGTTCTGTTCCATTGGTCTGTATCTCTGTTTTGGTACCAGTATCTCTGTTTTGGTTACTGTAGCCTTGTCGTATAGTTTGAAGTCAGGTAGCGTGATGCCTCCAGCTTTGTTCTTTTGGCTTAGGATTGACTTGGCAATGCGGGCTTTTTTTTGGTTCCATATGAACTTTAAAGTAGTTTTTTCCAATTCTTTGAAGAAAGTCATTGGTAGCTTGATGGGGATGGCATTGAATCTATAAATTACCTTGGGCAGTATGGCCATTTTCACGATATTGATTCTTCCTACCCATGAGCATGGAATGTTCTTCCATTTGTTTGTATCCTCTTTTATTTCATTGAGCAGTGGTTTGTATTTCTCCTTGAAGAGGTCCTTCACATCCCTTGTAAGTTGGATTCCTAGGTATTTTATTCTCTTTGAAGCAATTGTGAATGGGAGTTCACTCATGATTTGGCTCTCTATTTGTCTGTTATTGGTGTATAAGAATGCCTGTGATTTTTGCACATTGATTTTGTATCCTGAGACTTTGCTGAAGTTGCTTATCAGCTTAAGGAGATTTTGGGCTGAGATGATGGGGTTCTAGATATACAATCGTGTCATCTGCAAAGAGGGACAATTTGACTTCCTCTTTTCCTAATTGAATGCCCTTTATTTCCTTCTCCTGCCTGATTGCCCTGGCCAGAACTTCCAACATTATGTTGAATAGGAGTGGTGAGAGAGGGCATCCCTGTCTTTTGCCAGTTTTCAAAGGGAGTGCTTCCAGTTTTTGTCCATTCAGTATGATATTGGCTATGGGTTTGTCATAGATAGCTCTTATTATTTTGAGATATGTTCCATCAATACCTAATTTATTGAGAGTTTTTAGCATGAAGGGCTGTTGAATTTTGTCAAAGGCCTTTTCTGCATCTATTGAGATAATCATGTGGTTTTTGTCTTTGGTTCTGTTTGTATGCTGGATTACGTTTATTGATTTGCATATGTTGAACCAGCCTTGCATCCCAGGGATGAAGCCCACTTGATCATGGTGGATAAGCTTTTTGATGTGTTGCTGGATTCAGTTTGCCAGTGTTTTATTGAGGATTTTTGCATCAATGTTCATCAAGGATATTGGTCTAAAATTCTCTTTTTTTGTTGTGTCTCTGCCAGGCTTTGGTATCAGGATGATGCTGGCCTCATAAAATGAGTTAGGGAGGATTCCCTCTTTTTCTATTGATTGGAATAGTTTCAGAAGGAATGGTACCAGCTCCTCCTTGTCCCTCTGGTAGAATTCGGCTGTGAATCCATCTGATCCTGGACTTTTTTTGGTTGGTAAGCTATTAATTATTGCCTCAATTTCAGAGCCTGTTATTGGTCTATTCAGAGATTCAACTTCTTCCTGGCTTAGTCTTGGGAGAGTGTATGTGTCGAGGAATTTATCCATTTCTTCTAGATTTTCTAGTTTATTTGCGTAGAGGTGTTTATAGTATTCTCTGATGGTAGTTTGTATTTTTGTGGGATCGGTGGTGATATCCCCTTTGTCATTTTTTATTGCGTTTATTTGATTCTTCTCTCTTTTCTTCTTTATTGGTCTTGCTAGTGGTCTATCAATTTTGTTGATCTTTTCAAAAAACCAGCTCCTGGATTCATTGATTTTTTGAAGGGTTTTTTGTGTCTCTATTTCCTTCAGCTCTGCTCTAATCTTAGTTATTTCTTGCCTTCTGCTAGCTTTTGAATGTGTTTGCTCTTGCTTCTCTAGTTCTTTTAATTGTGATGTTAGGGTGTCAATTTTAGATCTTTCCTGCTTTCTCTTGTGGGCATTTAGTGCTATAAATTTCCCTCTACACACTGCTTTGAATGTGTCCCAGAGATTTTGATATGTTGTGTCTTTGTTCTCATTGGTTTCAAAGAACATCTTTATTTCTACCTTCATTTCGTTATGTACCCAGTAGTCATTTAGGAGCAGGTTGTTCAGTTTCCATGTAGTTGAGCGGTTTTGAGTGAGTTTCTTAATCCTGAGTTCTAGTTTGATTGCACTGTGGTCCGAGAGACCGTTTGTTATAATTTCTGTTCTTTTACATTTGCTGAGGAGTGTTTTACTTCCAACTATGTGGTCAATTTTGGAATAGATGTGGTGTGGTGCTGAAAAGAATGTATATTCTGTTGATTTGGGGTGGAGAGTTCTGTAGATGTCTATTAGGTCTGCTTGATGCAGAGCTGAGTTCAATTCCTGGATATCCTTGTTAACTTTCTGTCTCATTGATCTGTCTAATGTTGACAGTGGGGTGTTAGTCTCCCATTATTATTGTGTGGGAGTCTAAGTCTCTTTGTAGGTCACTAAGGACTTGCTTTATGAATCTGGGTGCTCCTGTATTGGGTGCATATATATTTAGGATAGTTAGTTCTTCTTGTTGAATCGATCCCTTTACCATTATGTAATGGCCTTCTTTGTCTCTTTTGATCTTTGTTGGTTTAGAGTCTGTTTTATCAGAGACTAGGATTGCAACCCCTGCCTTTTTTTGTTTTCTATTTGCTTGGTGGATCTTCCTGCATCCCTTTATTTTGAGCCTATATGTGTCTCTGCATGTGAGATGGGTCTCCTGAATACAGCACACTGATGGGTCTTGACTCTTTATCCAATTTGCCAGTCTGTGCCTTTTAATTGGAGCATTTAGCCCATTTACATTTAAGGTTAGTATTGTTATGTGTGAATTTGATCCTGTCATTATGATGTTAGCTGGTTATTTTGCTCGTTAGTTGATGCAGTTTCTTCCTAGCCTCAATGGTCTTTACAATTTGGCATGTTTTTGCAGTGGCTGGTACCGGTTGTTCCTTTCCATGTTTAGTGCTTCCTTCAGGAACTCTTTTAGGGCAGGCCTGGTGGTGACAAAATCTCTCAGCATTTGCTTGTCTGTGAAGTATTTTATTTTTCCTTCACTTATGAAGCTTAGTTTGGCTGGATATGAAATTCTGGGTTGAAAATTCTTTTCTTTAAGAATGTTGAATATTGGCCCCCACTCTCTTCTGGCTTGTAGAGTTTCTGCTGAGAGATCAGCTGTTAGTCTGATGGGCTTCCCTTTGTGGGTAACCCGACCTTTCTCTCTGGCTGCGCTTAACATTTTTTCCTTCATTTCAACTTTGGTGAATCTGACAATTATGTGTCTTGGAGTTGCTCTTCTCGAGGAGTATCTTTGTGGTGTTCTCTGTATTTCCTGAATTTGAATGTTGGCCTGCCTTGCTAGATTGGGGAAGTTCTCCTGGATAATATCCTGCAGAGTGTTTTCCAACTTGGTTCCATTCTCCCTGTCACTTTCAGGTACACCAATTAGACGCAGATTTGGTCTTTTCACTAGTCCCATATTTCTTGGAGGCTTTGTTCATTTCTTTTTATTCTTTTTTCTCTAAACTTCTCTTCACAGTTCATTTTATTCATTTCGTCTTCCATCGCTGATACCCTTTCTTCCAGTTGATCGCATCGGTTACTGAGGCTTGTGCATTTGTCACGTAGTTCTTGTGCCGTGGTTTTCAGCTCCATTAGGTCCTTTAAGGACTTCTCTGCATTGGTTATTCTAGTTATCCATTCGTCTAATTTTTTTCAAAGTTTTTAACTTCTTTGCCATTGGTTCAAACTTCCTCCTTTAGCTTGGAGTGGTTTGATCTTCTGAAGCCTTCCTCTCTCAACTCGTCAAAGTCATTCTCCATCCAGCTTTGTTCCGTTGCTGGTGAGGAGCTGCGTTCCTTTGGAGGAGGAGAGGCGCTCTGATTTTTAGAGTTTCCAGGTTTTCTGCTCTGTTTTTTCCCCATCTTTGTGGTTTTATCTACCTTTGGTCTTTGATGATGGTGACGTACAGATGGGTTTTTGGTGTAGATGTCCTTTCTGTTTGTTAGTTTTCCTTCTAACAGTCAGGATCCTCAGCTGCAGGTCTGTTGGAGTTTACTGGAAGTCCACTCCAGACCCTGTTTGCCTGGGTATCAGCAGCGGGGGCTACAGAACAGCAGATATTGGTGAACCGCAAATGCTGCTGCCTGTTCGTTCCTCTGGAAGTTTTGTCTCAGAGGAGTACCCAGCCGTGTGAGGTGTCAGTCCGCCCCTACTCGGGGGTGCCTCCCAGTTAGGCTACTCAGGGGTCAGGGACCCACTTGAGGAGGCAGTCTGCCCGTTCTCAGATCTCAAGCTGCATGCTGGGAGAACCACTACTCTCTTCAAAGCTGTCAGACAGGGACATTTAAGACTACAGAGGTTATTGCTGTCTCTTGTTTGTCTGTGCCCTGCCCCCAGAGGTGGAGCCTACAGAGGCAGGCAGGCCTCCTTGAGCTGTGGTGGGCTCCACCCAGTTTGAGCTTCCTGCCGCTTTGTTTACCTACTCAAGCCTGAGCAGTGGCAGGTGCCCCTCCCCCAGCCTCACTGCCACCTTGCAGTTTGATCTCAGACTGCTGCGCTAGTAATGAGTGAGGCTCCGTGGGCGTAGGACCCTCCGAGCTAGGCGCGGGATATAATCTCCTGGTGTGCCGTTTGCTAAGACCATTGGAAGAGCGCAGTATTAGGGTGGGAGTGACCCGATTTTCCAGGTGCCATCTGTCACCCCTTTCTTTGACTAGGAAAGGGAATTCCCTGACCCCTTGCACTTCCCGGGTGAGGCGATGCCTCGCCCTGCTTTGGCTCACGCACGGTGCACTGCACCCACTGTCCTTCACCCACTGTCCGGCATTCCCCAGTGAGATGAACCCAGTACCTCAGTTGGAAATGCAGAAATCACCCATCTTCTGCGTCGCTCACGCTAGGAGCTGTAGACTGGAGCTGTTCCTATTCGGCCATCTTGGCTCCACCCACATTTTCTTTATCTACTTGTTGGTTGATGGGCATTTAGGTTGGTTCCATATTTTTGCAATTGTGAATTGTGCTGCTGTAAACATGTGTGTGCATGTGTCTTTTTAATAAAATGAATTCTTTTCCTTTGGGTAGATACCCAGTAGTGGGATTGCTAGATTGGATGGTAGTTCTACTTTTTGTTCTTTAAGGGATCTCCATACTGTTTTTCATAGTGGTTGAACTAGTTTACATTCCCACCAGCAGCATAAAAGTGTTCCCTCTCACCACACCCCCCTCCAACATCTGTTTTTTTTTAAATTTTTTATTTATGGACATTCTTGCAGGAATAAGGTGGTAGCTCATTGTGGTTTTAACTTGCATTTTCCTCATAATTAGTGATGTTGAGCATTTTTTCATATGTTTGTTGGCTGTTTGTGTATCTTCTTTTGACAATTGTCTATTCATATTCTTTGCCCACTTTTTGATGGGAGTATTTTTTCTTGTTGATTTGTTTGAGTTCCTTGTAGATTCTGGATATTAATCCTTTGTCAGATGCATAGTTTACAAATATTTTCTCTCATTCTGTGGGTTGTCTGTTTACAACACTGAATACTTCTTTTGCTATGCAGAATCTTTTTGGTTTAATTAGGTCCCATTTATTTTTGTTTTTGTTGCATTTGCTTTTGAGTTCTTAGTCATGAATTCTTTGTCTATGCCAATGTCTAAAAGAGTTTTTCCAATGTTATCTTCTAGAATTTTTATGGTTTCAGGTCTTACATTTAAGTCTTTGATCCACCCTGAGTTGATTTTTGTATAAGGTGAGAGATGAGGATCCAGTTTCTTTCTTCTACATGTGGCTTGCCAGTTTTCCTAGCACCTTTTATTGAATAGGGTATCCTTTCCCCACTTTATCTTTTTGTAAGCTTTGTCAAAGATCAGTTGGCTATTAGTATTTGGCTTTATTTCTGGGTTCTCTATTCTGTTCCATTGGTCTACATACATGATTTGTTCTTTTAGCTTAGCCTTCCTTTGGCTAGGTGGGCTCTTTTTTGGTTCCATATGAATTTTAGGTGTGTTTCTTCTAGTTCTGTGAAGTAGGATGATAGTATTTTGATGGGAATTGCATTAAATCTGTAGATTGCTTTTGGCAGTATGGTCATTTTCACAATATTAATTCTACCCATCCATGAACATGGGATGTGTTTCCATTTGTGCCATCTATGATTTCTTTCCGCAGTGTTTTGTAGTTTTCCTTGTAGAGATCTTTCACCTCCTTGATTAGGTATATTCCTAAGTTTTTGTTTGTTTGTTTGTCTTTTACAGCTATTGTAAAAGAGGTTGAGTTCTTGATTTGATTCTCAGCTTGGTCATTGTTGGTGTATAGTAGGATTAGTGATTTGTGTACATTAATTTTGTATCCTGAAATATCGCTGAATTCATTTACCAGTTCTAGGAGCTTTTTGAATGAGTCTTTAGGGTTTTCTAGATATACGATCATGTCATCAGCAAACACCTACATTTTGACTTCCTCTTTACCGATTTGGATGTCCTTTATTTCCTTCTCTTATCTAACTGCTATGGCTAGGACTTCCAGTACTATGTTGAATGGAAGTGGTGAAAGTGGGCATCCTTGTCTTGTTCCAGTTCTCAAGGGGAATGCTTTCAACTTTTCCCCATTCAGTATAATATTGGCTGTGGGTTGTCACATATGGCTTTTATTACCTTCAGCTATGTCCCTTCTATGGCAATTTTGCTGAAGGTTTTTATAAAAAAGGGATGCCAGATTTTGTCAAATGCTTTCCTGTATCTATTGAGATGATCACATGATTTTTGTTTTTAATTGTGTTTATGTGATATATCACATTTACTGACTTGCATATGTTAAACCATCCCTGTAAACCCATATGAAACCCACTTGATCATGGTGGATTATGTTTTTGAAGGGCTTTTGAATTTGGTTAGCTAGTATTTTGTTGAGGATTTTTGCATCTATGTTCATCACAGATATTGGTCTGTAGTTTTCTTTTTTTGTTATGTCCTTTTCTGGCTTTGGTATTAGGATGATATTGGCTTCATAGAATGATTTAGGAAGGATTCCCTCTTTCTCTATCTTTTGGAATAGTTTCAGGATTGTCACGAATTCTTTTTTAGATGTCTGGTAGAATTCAGCAGTGAATCCATCTGGTACTGTACTTTTTTTGTTGGTAATTTTTTAAATTACTGATTCAATCTCATTGCTTGCTATTGGTCTGTTTAGAGTTTCCATTTTTTTCCTGATTTAATCTAGAAGGGTTGTATATTTTCAGGAATTTATCCATCTCCTCTAGATTCCTAGTTTGTGTACATAAAGGTGTTCATAGTAGTCTTGAATGATCTTTTGTATTTCTGTGGTATTGGCTGTAATATTTCCAGTTTCTCTCTCTCTCTCTTTTTTTTTGTTTGAGACTGAGTCTCACTCTGTCATCCAGGCTGGAGTGCAGTGGTGCGATCTCGGCTTACTGCAACCTCCACCTCCCAGGCCCAAGCAATTCTCATACGTCAGCCTCCTGACTAGCTGGGATTATAGGTGCGCACCACCATGCCCAGCTAATTTTTGTACTTTTAGTAGAAACAGCATTTTGCCATGTTGGCCAGGCTGGTCTCAACTTCCTGGCCTCAAGCAATCTGCCCACCTCGGCCTCCCAAAGTGCTGGGATTACAAGCGTGAGCCACCGCGCCTGGCCCTATTTCATTTCTAATTGAACTAGATTGGATCTTCTCTCTTCTTTTCTCAGTTAGTCTCACTAACGGGCCATCAATTTTGTTGCTCTTTTCAAAGAACCAACTTTTGGTTCATTTATTGTTTGTAGTTCTTTTTGTTTCAATTTTATTTCAGTCTGCTATGATCTTTGTTATTTCTTTTCTTCTGCTGGGCTTGTATTTAGTTTGTTCTTGTTTCTCTAGTTCTTTGAGATGTGACATTGGGTCGTCTATTTGCGCTCTTTCAGACTTTTTGATGTAGATGTTTAATGCTATGAACTTTCCTCTTAGCACTGCTTTTGCTGTATCCCAGAGGTTTTGATAAGTTGTGTCACTATTATCATTCATTTCAAAGAATTGTTTAATTTCCATCTTGATTTCATTATTAATCCAAAGATCATTCAAGGGCAGATTATTTACTTTCCATGTATTTGTATAGTTCTGAGGATTCCTTTTGGAGTTAACTTCCAATTTTATTCCATTGTGGTCTGAGAAGGTCCTTGATATGATTTTGACTTTCTTAAATGTATTAAGACTTGTTTTGTGGCCTATCATATGGTCTATCTTGGAGAATATTCCACATGCTGATGAGAATAATGAATATTCTGCAGTTATTGGGTAGAATTTTCTATAAATATCTGTTAGGTCCATTTGTTCTAGGGTGTAGTTTAAGTCTATTTTTTCTCTGTTGACTTTCTGTCTTGATGATCTGCCTACTGCTGTCAGTGGAGTACTGAAGTCCCGCACTATTATTTTGTTCCTATCCATCTCATTTCTTAGGTCTCGTAGTAATTATTTTATAAATTTGGGAGCTCCAGTGTTAGGTGCATATGTAATATCTTCCTGTTGGACTAATCCTTCTATCACTATATAATGTCCTTCTTTGTCTGTTTTTACAGTTGTTGGTTTAAAGTCTGCTTTATCTAAGAATAACTACTGCTGCTCGCTTTTGGTTTCCATTTGTGTGGAATATCTTTTTCCACCCCTTTACCTTAAGTCTATGTGAGGTCTTATGTGTTAGGTAAGTCTCATGAAGACAGCAGACACTTGGTTGGTAGGTTTTTTTAAATCCATTCTGCCATTCTGTATCTTTTTTTTTTTTTTGAGATGGAGTCTCACTCTGTCGCCCAGGCTGGGGTGCAGTGGCGCGATCTCAGCTAACTACAACCTCCGCCTCTGCCTCCTGGGTTGAAGCGATTCTCCTGCCTCAGCCTCCCAAGTAGCTGGGAATACAGGCACATGCCACCACGCCTGGCTAATTTTTTGTGTTTTTAGTAGAGATGGGGTTTCACCATGTTAGCTAGGATGGTCTCAATCTCCTGACTTCGTGATCCGCCCACCTTGGCCTCCCAAAGTGCTGGGATTACAGGCTTGAGCCACCATGCCCCTGACCCATTCTGTATCTTTTAGGTGGAGCATTTAGGTCATTTACATTCAATGTTAGTATTGAGATGTGAGGTACTGTTCTATTCATCATGTTAGTTGTTGCCTAAATACCTTGTTTTTTATCATTGTGTTATTATTTTATAGGCCCTGTGAGACTCATGCTTTCAGAATGCTTGATTTTACTGTATTTTCAGGTTTTGTTTCAAGACTTAGAAGCCCTTTTAGCATTTCTTGTAGTGCCGGTTTGGTAGTGGCAAATTCTCTAAGCATTTGTTTGTTTGCAAAAGACTTTATCTCTCCTTCATTTACGAAGCTTAGTTTTGCTGGATACAAAATTCTTGGATGACAATTATTTTGTTTCAGGAAGTTAAAGATAGGATCCCAATCCCTTCTAACTTGTAAGGTTTCTGCTGAGGAATCTGCTGTTAATCTGATAAGTTTTCCTTTATACGTTACCTGATGCTTTTGTCTCATAGCTCTTTAGATTCTTTCCTTCATCTTGACTTTAGATAACCTGATGACTATGTTCCTTGGTGATGGTCTTCTGGTGATGACTTTTCCAGGAGAGCTTCTTATAGCTGGATGTCTAGATTCCTAGCAAAGCCAGGGAAGTTTTTCTCAGTTATTCCCTCAAATAGGTTTTCCAAACTTATAGGTTTCTCTTCTTCCTCTGGAACACCAAATATTCTTAGGTTTGGACATTTTACTTAATCCCATATTTCTTGGAGACTTTGTTCTTTTTTTTTTCTTTTCTTTTTTCTTTGTCTTTGTCTGATTGGGTTAATTCAAAAGCCTTTTCTTCCAGCTCTGAAATTCTTTCTTCTACTTGTTCTAGTCTATTGTAGAAACTTTCCACTCCATTTTGTATTTTGCTAAGTGTGTCTTTCATTTCCAGATGTTCTGAATGTTTTTTTCTCTATGATATCTATTTCTCTGGAAAATTTTTCATCCATATCCTGGACTATTTTTTAAATTTCTTTAAGTAGCCCGTAATCCCAGCACTTTGGGAGGCTGAGGCGGGTGGATTACTTGAGGTCAGGAGTTTGAGACCAGCCTGGCCAACATGGTATAACCCCATCTCTACTAAAAATAAAAAATTTGCCAGGTGTGGTGGTGCATGCCTGTAATCCCAGTTACTCAGGAGTCTGAGGCAAGAGAATTGCTTGAACCCAGAGGGCTGCCAAGAGTTGCTGTAATGCCCTGACTTGGTTGGCCTCCAGCCAGGAGGTGGCGCTTGCAAGAGAGCACCAGCTGTGGCAGTAACAGTGGGATGTGAGCTTGCCCTAAGTTGGCCAGGGGAAGTATTCTGGTTTCTCAGGCAATGGGCTCCCAAGAGTTTATGTCCTTTGTGTTAAGCTCTCAGGGCAGGTAGAGAAATACCATCAGGTGAGGGCAGGGTTAGGCAGGTCTGAGCTCAGACTCTCCTTGGGCAGGGCTTGCCACAGCCACTGTGGGGATGGGGGGTGGTTCTCAGGCCATCGGGATAATGTTCCATAGGGGAGTACAATTGACTCTGGTATACAGTAGAGTTTACAAGGGGAGTGGAGAATAGCTGGGTGAATGATAGGCCTCACCCAGCTCCCATGCAGTTGGCGAGGCTGGTCTCAATCCTGCAATGCCCTGCTAACAGTGCTGGGTTTAGATCCAGGCAGCCTGCACATAGAACTCAGACCTGCCCCAGGCTATAAGCTTCTGCACTGAGAAAGCAAGCAGGGCTTTTAGGCTTCATCCCTCCCATCTGCCCACAATGCCAGGTGCCTAGCTCCTGTGCTTGTGTCTGCAGCACACTTCCCACTTGCCCCCCAGATTCTGATCAAGGGAGTTCATGCCCACTCAAAATCCTGTCACAAAATTCAGTTGGGAGCTTCTTTCACCCTGTGACCCCTCCCTGGGTCCACTGGCTGCCTTCCCCAAAGGCCTCTATGAGATATAGTTAGGGATGGCTTCCCTGGGCTCGAGCTGGAGAATGGGAGTGCTGCAGAGTGGGAGTGCTGCAGAGTGCCTCCATCAAGAAGAATATAACAATTAGGACATTAGGCTGGGAGCAGTGGCTCATGCCTGTAATCCCAGTACTTTGGGAGGGCGAGGTGGGTGCATCACAAGGTCAGGAGTTCAACACCAGCCTGGCCAACATGGTGAAACCCCATCTCTACTAAAAAATGCAAAAATTAGCCGGGCATGGTAGCCCTAGTGGGCACCTGTAATCCCAGCTACTTGGGAGGCAGAGGCAGGAGAATTGCTTGAACCTGGGAGGTGGAGGTTGCAGTGAGCTGAGATCGTGCCACTGCACTCCAGCCTGGGTGACAGAGCAAGACTCCTTCTCGAAAAAAAAAAAAATTAGGACATTAATGGAAACTTCATTTCAGCAAGCTGTCTAACATGTCAGAGAATAGAGAGATGCACTTGAAGTTTAGAGAAGCACAGTTTGCTCTAAACCAAGGCTTTAAATAGGAATGTTTTTTTAAAAAATTCATACATATACCAGAACACCGATGAATTTTTTTTCCTCTTGTCCCAATTTCAACTCAAGTCCCTAAGTATAAATGCTAAGGTACCTCACATTCTGGAGTGGAACTGGACTGTCTTTGCAGAAATTTTAGGAAGTGGCCTCAAATCACCATCAGTGGTCTGTCAACCACATTTAGCTTATATTTGAGAAAACATGAATGATGAAGAGGGGAAACACTGATGGGTGTGGATGACTTTGAGGAGAATTGTTAGACTGCTGAGCAATTTCTCTCTTCTTCCTTTGACAGGGTGCATAGTATGAGAAGACTTAAGAGATGGGTAGAGAAAAACTAAAAAGCATCCAGAGAGGTAGGGGAAAAAAAGCCAGAAGAGTACATTGTCATGGAAACCAAGGGAAGAAAGTGTTTCAAGAAAAAGGGAGTAGGCAGCTTTATCAGGTGCTGCTGAGAGGTTAAGCTAAGAAATGAAAAGCACTTATTGTATTTAGCAATTATGGGACATTGGCTTCCTTGATTAGAGCAATTTTCCCCCGAGTGGTAAGGGTGGAAGTGAGATTGCAGTAGGTGAAGCACTAATGAGAGAAAATCCAGACAATTCTTTGAATTAGGCTGTGAAAGGAGAGAGAAAGGCTAGTAACTGAAGGTACATGTAAATTCCAGGGAAGAACTTTTAAGATTTAAATATAAGAATATATTTATCCAAAGGAAAGAAAATATGTGTAGCGAAGAGATATCTGCACCCCCACATTTATTGCAGCATTATTCATAATAGACATATTGTCATAATAGACAATACATGGAATCAACCTAAGGGTCCATCAGCAGATGACTGGATAAAGAAAATGTGGTATTTATATACAAATAATGGAATACTATTCAGTCATAATAAAGAATGAAATCCAGTCTTTCACAGCAACATGAATGAGATTAGAGGATATTAAGTGAAATGAGCCAGGCACAGAAAGATAAATACTGTGTGTTCTCACTCATATGTGGGAGCTTAAAAAGTTCTGCTCATAGAAGTAGAGAATAGAATGATAGTTACTAGAAGCTGGGAAGGCAGGGAGGGATGATAGGGAGAGGCGGTTTACAGATACAAAATTACAGCTAGATAGAAGGAATAAATTCTAGTGTTCTATACTGCTATAAGGTGACTAGTTAACAATAATTTCTTGTATATTTTCAAACAACTAGAAGAGATGATTTTGAATGTTTCTAACACAAAAAATGATAAATGTTGGAGGTGATGGATATGCTAATTATCCTGAATTGATGATTATACATTGTATACATGTATCAAAATATCACACTGTACTTTATAAATATGTACAATTATTACATGTCAATTTTAAAAGATTTACGAGAAAAATAAGAGTATAAAGCACTCAAGGAAAATTAACCTGCAATGTCATATGTACTACACAGAGACAATATCCTACAGCATAGTGAAAGCTGTGGGTCTTGAAGAGCTATATGTACATACACGTAAGTTTTTAATAATCTTTAAAACAAAGATCAAAGTTTATTTGTTTAGGTCCCATTACACAACCAAAATAAAAATAAAATATAAAAGAGACCAAATGATTGAAGTTTGAAATTCCTAAAATGGCCAATTTGTACAATAGTGGAAAATTTGATCAAGGTTTCTGAGAAGTCCAGGGCTTTTTCAGCTAAACCAGAGGTCACATGATTTGCATCACTGAAATGGTTCTTGGTTAGTCCAGTAGAAAAGAATGTACAACCACGTATACATGGATATGATCTATGCCAGTTAGATTCCTGATAAAGTCAGTCTGGGACAGGTTTCTGAACTGTACTATGTAACTAGATACAACTGAGAAACTTTCAAATGGAAATTTCATATGGCATCATTTCAATCAAAAGAAATAATAAAACTAAAAATATGTATCACTATTAGAAGAGAAAGCAGTGGTTATGGTGTGGGTACTGCAGTAAGTGACTGGCCGTAGCATGCTAGGAAGGTAATGTTGTAACGAGTAGGAAGCAGTTAATTTTCCCCGGTGTTTTCAGCTTTGAGGCCAGTCTAAGGCTTTTCTCCAGCATGTTTATAGCAAGGTGTTTGAGTCAGCCAGTGTGAGCAGGGTAATGCTTTCTGTCTTCCATTTCTTTTTTCACACAGCCAAATAAAAATACAGACAAACCAACCAACCAAGCACTGACGAGCCAGTAAAGAGGGAACTGTCGGGGAATCAGGGCTGAGAGAATCTCTGATACAGCAGCGGAAATAGGTAAAATGTACTAGCATTAGAGAAGTGTCAAAAGACAAAAATCTCAACAAATTTAGTTAAATGATTTAATTGGCATTTACTTGCAATTCATGAATTGGGCAGCATCTCACCTAGAAATAGGCACTATGCCAGAGGCATGTTGGAGCAGTCAATTTTTGTAAGGTAGCTTGAGCAGGAACAAAAAAAAAACAACATAATACAAAGAGTGGATTGGTTAACATCAGGTTATAAGGGTTAAAGCAGGAGGGAATTCCTTATCGTGCCAGCTAACACTGGCCTATTTGGGGAATTTGTCTATCATCTCTCCTGATTTTTTGGAAGGTCAGATTACCAATTTAGTTTCAGTTTGGTGATGTGGAGCTTCAGCGTGAGTGACTCCATTTTGATTCTGTCTGTTCTATTGGGGCCTGATGCAGGAGCTCAGTCCAAAACACTGGCCTCCATCAATTTCACTTCACAGGAAATTGGACAACTCTTTAAAGATAAGAAAGATGGAATAAAGTTCCAGATATTGTGAAGTTTGGTAATTTGGTGGCAAGAAGTTGAAGGATTTTTTAATTTATTTCAATGTAAAGTAAAAGGCAAGGTTATCTCCTGTGAATGAGGAAGAGGGGTTGGTGGGTTGGGTTTAAAGAGAATCAAGAAGAGATTTAAATATAAAAGCTGCCAGGAAGAATAGGGGAGGAAAAATGATTAAAAGAGCATGAGACTGTAGATCTATTGAGACTGGATAGAGACCAGGAAGGTAAAATGACCCAGATGCATGGTATGGGGTGTTCTCCAGCAGCTGCCCAGGCTATGACTAGGCTCAAGGAAGGCAGCCCAAAGTTGGTGTTTTGTCACTGCAGTTACAAGGGGTAACAAGAAAAATATTGACAAGATGGGAATTGAAACACTAGGTCATGAAATTTAGGCTGGACTGGGGTATCAGTCCCTCAATAAATCTTTGTTAACAGGGAAGTGAAAGAAAATAGAAACCTAATGGAGACATCCCACCAACCTAATCACTGAGCCCTACTGATTTTACATCCCAAATCTCTGTCCATTCTCTCCACCTCTCTCCACTTCCACTCTCACTACATGGTCACCAGCATCTCTTACCTCCTGACTCATCTCCCGACATCCACCATTGATCATGGCATCCCAAAATTACTTATTAAATACCTAAATCTTCATTGTTTTTCCCTGCTCAATATCCTTCCATGGTGTGCTAGACAGGGTCCTCGCTAAACATGGAGGTCCTTTGACCACGCTACATAAGGCATGGTCTTTTATTTCTCTCACCCTATGGGTACTCTTATCTGCCATGCTCCAGGTAGCAAATGTCCCTCTTAAAATATATAGCCTAGATCGTAGACACCAAGACAGGATTAAACATGCAATGGTATTATTAGGGGAGATGCCTGTGAGAGAAAATAGAGAAACAGAAGACACTGGAAGAGCTCTCGGTACACAATGCAGATCTGGCCGCAAGTGTAGAAGAGAGGGAAGGAAGGTGGGAGAGCCCTGGATTACCAGGGAGCCTGAGGAAAAGCTGGCAAGGCTGCAGGGGAGTCCTCAGCTAAGGATGGCCTTCAAAGGAGTCCCATATCTTCCAGGAATGGGCCCGCCTTGATCACCTGGCTGTGCTCAGCTACTGGCTGGAGCTACCTATGAAAGCCTCAGAGCAAAGACATTGATAGATTTCAGAGCACTGTTGCTGGGCCCCGGTATGATTTTGCTTCCTGTCATTGGAGGTCTGTGAGGCCCATTCTTAGAGATACGAGAAATCGCTTCCCATTAAAGTCTTAAAATTGAGTCTTAAATCCTTAAAAAAGCATCATGAACCCTATAAATTTTAGTCTCCACCCACCACTCAAGCCTTACCCCACCCCACTTTTTTACTGCTCCGGTCATACCAGGCTTCTCTCAATTCTAGAAATGCACCATGCTCTAGAAAGGCACCAATCAAGGCCTTTATTAATTCAGCATCCCTTACCAGCAAAGCTCACTCTGATCCCATCACCACCTATGCCTGGCTATATTTTTACTGAGGCTTTGCTCATATCTTTGCTTAGATGCCATCTCCCCAACTCCTCTGCCTATCTCCCCCAGCTTGGGTTCAATGCACTATTATGTGTAGCAGTGAGTTCTTCTCCTTTTTAGAGGAGTCACTTGAGCAATGGTCTGTCTGGCATCTGAATTTCCTGCCAGATGAGGTGGCTCCACAGCAGCAGAGCCTGTCTGCTCATTCACCACTGGACCCCAGGGCCAAACCCAGGGTGATGCTCAAGAAATGTTCAATAACACATTTGACTGACTGGTAAAAGGACATCAGGTAGACAGCAGCTGTTAGCAAGAAATTGGTAGAGTCGCAGGTTTAGAATGCTAGATAAGCTTGAAGCTTAGGAGAAAGAACTTAGTGAAAAACCTAGAACAGGAAGATTAGAAAGGAAAATTTTAAAAAATAATTTAGTTTGCAAAAAAAAATTAAGGCAAAGATCTTACTAACAATATGATCATTTTGCTGAACGGAGTGTGAATCTAGGATCTAAATATAGATATTTTTCTAACAACATGGGCCCTGTAGGCTACACCAGTCAGGATTAAATTTAGCTGCATACAGCAGGAAACCTAAATATGAACCTTTATCGGTTGGGGATCCCAGCATGAAAGAGATGGCACATTGACATTTTGGGCTGGATGATTTAAAAAAAAAAAAAAGGAAGAAAGAAACAGATGGCATATTCGAAAGAGTTTAGCTGAAACAAAGTTTAAAGAAGCCAGTATTTATAGAGGTATGGACAGGGTTCAGGAAACAAAGAGGAATGATGACGCTCCCTGGGGTTAGCAGCAGTGGGAGGCCATTACCACCCCTAGGCTGAGGGGATGGTGTGAATGGAGCCCATCAAGAGCTGCAGCCTGGGAGGAAGGGCTGCTGAGCAGGTGCTATGGCCATAGAGGAACAGAGCCTCTGCTAGACCCAAGACAATGCAAGCAGGGAGTGGGGAAAATTATCCTTCCCTTCTCCTGCATTGGTCTCCTGCCATGCACCTCAATTGGCCAAAACCAATTGGAAGCCAGAGAGCAATGGACCTTCCTAGGGCACAGATTATGGAAGACAGAGTAGAGGAGGGATCTTGGGGAGAGGGCTGCAAAAGGAAAATAACCAACACAACAGCTTATCTGTCTCACATTGTAACAATCTGGAGGTAGGCACCCCGGCCTGAGATGCTGGCTCCAGGGTCCTCAGGAGCCCAGGCTTCCTTCCTTATAGTCACCTCCCATTCCAAGATGACTTCTGGAGCTCCTGACCTCTCACTCTTTTTCCAGGAAGCAAGAAGGAGAAAGGAGAGAAGGGGTACCTTCCAGTTGAGTAGGGCCTCTTTAAGAAGTTCCCCAGCAGCCCTACCCAAGACTTCCACATAGATTTAGTATTTTGTCTGGGCATGTTGCTTCCCAGAACAAAATCCAGGTTTATTAGTTAAAAAAAAAAAAAAGTACAATGGATATTGAGTAGGCCCTCCTAAAACAATGCTTGAGGAAACATTGCCAGAAATAGTTTTACTGAAAGATGGTAGGAGTTTTCTCAGGGATTTTTTGTTTGTTTGTTTATGCTGCCTCTTATACCAACTGATATGGTTTGAATGTTTGTCCCCTCCAAAACTCATGTTGAAATTTACTTGGCCAGTGTAACAGTACTCATGGGTGAGAACTTAAGAGATGATTAGGCCATAAGAGTTATGACCTCATGGGTGGGATTAATGCCATATAAAAGGAGAGTTCAGCCCACTTTTACATCTTGGTCCTTCTGCCTTCTGCCAAGTGAGAATCCAGCCTTCCTCCCCTCCAGAGGATGTAGCATGCAGGGTGCCATCTTGGAAAAAGAGAATGGCTTCAGCAGACACCGAACTTGCTGGAGCCTTAACCTTAGACTTCTCAGCCTCCAGAAATATGAGTCAATAAATTTCTGTTCATTATGAATTATCCAGTCTCAGGTATTCTGTGATAGCAGCACAAATGGACTAAGACACTGACTTAATAACCTAACATCTGTTTGGGTTCCTCAGATTCCTGATTCCTCTGTATAACTTTCCTAGATTACAGAGACCTTTTTATTTACATTTACGTCGTCTTAGTCACATAATTGTCAAGGAATATTTGTCAATCAATGATTGATTGATTTCTGTAACTGATTGTAATGTATCATACCTCCAACTAGTGAAAGATGAAAAGTCTTCATTGACACACTCAAGAAATATTTATTGAGTGCTTACTAGGTGCCACGTACTACTCCAGATACTGGGAATACAGCAGTGAACAAATAAAATCACTGTCTGCATGGAGCTTGCATTATAGTGAGGAAAACAGACAACAAATATGATACATAAATATAATATACAGGATGTTAGTTGGTCATAAGTGCCTTGGACAAAAATAAAACCAGTAGGGGAAATAGGAGGTTAGGCAGCAGCTGCATTTTCAACAGTCAGAAAAGACCTAATTGAGAAAAACACATCTCAGTAAAACTCTATAAGAGTGTGTGATCTAGAGATAACTGAAGGGAGAGTAGAACAGTAAAAGAGAATAGTAAGGGTAGTTCCCTGAAGGGATATAATAGGTGGAATAATAACCCCCCACCCCCAAAGCTGTCCATCCCCTAATCCCTAGAACCTGTGAACATGTTAGGTTATAGGGCAAAGATTAATGAAAATTGCAGACAGAATCAAGATTGCTAGTCAGCTGACCTTAAAATAAGGGAATTATTCTGGATTATTGGGTGGGCCCAATATACTCACAAAGGTCCTTAAAAGTGAACATGGCTTGAATTCATTTATTTTTTTTCAGAATTGGAATTAAGAAAATAACCAAAGATAGTATAGAACTCAATGAGTGTTTTTGATGTCTTAGAAACTGCTATCTTGGCTGAGGTTTTAATTTACCTTTTAATTGACTATAAGGGACATTGCAGTAATATTTCCTATAAGTTCTATATATTTATTAAGGTTTAAAGAGATCTGGGCCGGGTGTAGTGGCTCATGCCTGTAATCCCAGCACTTTGGGAAGCTGAGGCAGGTGGATCGCCGAAGTCAGGAGTTCGAGACCAGCCTGGCCAACATAGTGAAATCCCATCTCTACTAAAAATACAAAAACTTAGCTGGGTATGGTGGTGGGCACCTGTAATCCCAGCTACTAGGGAGGCTGAGGCAGGAGAATAGCTTGAACCTGGGACGCAGAGGTTGCAGTGAGCCAAGATCACACCATTGCACTCCAGCCTGGGCAACAAGAGCGAAACTCCATCTCAAAAAAAAAAAAAAAAAAAAAAAAAACCAGATCTGGAGATACAGTAGCTATGACTTCCTTTATTATTATAAAAATAGTATGATAAGGATTAACAACAATAGCAATAATCATTATTGCTACTACTATTTTCTAAACTCTCATGTTCCAAACACTCTTAGTTGCTGGAAATTTTGCTTCAAATATGTTTTAATGTATCCATGGAAGATTTATTATATGGCTTAATTGGAGCATTTAAGATTACTGCAACCTATATGGTAGATTCCTTTCCTTTTTTGTCTTATCTCACCCTTTCCTCCCCAAAGAAAATATTTGCTGCTGACAACTATTATGTCTTACCTGTGCATTTTCAATGTTATTTTTGAGGTCTGGTGTCATTCACAGTAGAGTGGTTAGGGACCATCAGCAATTTCCTAGAAGAGTATGTTGGATTCTTTAGAAGATCCCATCTAGTGGATTTTTAGAGAACATGATGGGAAAAATGTCATCTTTAGTTCACCTCAGCAGACGTATTTGGAGAAAACAGCAAAACAAGCAGAAGAACAAAGGGAAAATTGACCAATTCCTCAATATAACCATTATTCAAGGAAATAACTCAAGTTAGCATACAAAGTCATCACTGAGCTTTTAATATCCAGTATTTTCTCAACTTAACCATGCAACTACAATTATGGCATCAACTTGAAGTTTATCATTTCTGATCACTTTGTTTACATTAGGTTGTCTTCAGTTTTGTGGTTTAACTTTTTAATGTGATAGAATTATTTTTCAATGCAATTTTGTAAAGATGGACCTCATGTAAATCTGTCACGGTTTTTCTGGTTCTTTTGAAATTTTTCACCATAGTTGGATGAAGGTATCTCTTGAACCTATTCAAATGTACTGCACATATTCTGGATAATTCCATGTTAGACACTCTAGCTATGCACAGGCTTCTCAGACTTCACATCAATGTCACACATAGAAAATAAAAATATGTGGCACACCAGGGTAAATTTGAGGAATTTTAGGGACATCTTACATGGGCCTAGGTGAAAATAATCATTGTATTTTCTTTACATTATATAGCTATCATAAAACTACCAAGTGAAAGGAATGATAATAAACGTTGTTTCTACAAAACTTACAAAATAAAATGTTTTAAAATTGTTTAAAAAGTGGACATGGGAGGCATAAAATGAGGTTAGAGTGATGCAATGTGAGAAGGACTCAATCCATCCTTGCTGGCATTCAAGATGGGGGAAGGGGCCATGAACTAAGAAACATAGATGGCCTCCAGGCATTGGAAAGGGCAAGGAAACAAATTCTCCCTGAAGGCCCTTGAGAAAGGAATGAAGCCCAGCTAACGCTGTGATTTTAGCACAGCAAGACCTGGCCTGTGTCAGGCTTCTGACTACAGAACTGTAAGATAATAAATTTGTGTTGTTTTAAGCCACTGTGTTTGTGGTAATTTGTTACAGCAACGAGAGAAAACAAATACAAGTGGCAACACGCCTGGTATTTTAGAAGAATAGCAGGGAGACCTCACTGAGACAGAGCAAGCAAGGGAAAGAGTAGTAACACTTCCCTAAGAGTTTACAGAAGTAATTGGGGGCTGGATCACTTAGATTCTTGTTGGCCATTTCAAGGATTTTGACTTTTACTCTGAAAGAAAAACATTATACAGTTTTGCAGACAGGGCTGTTTTGATGGAAATACATTGAGAGGCCAAGACAGAAGCAGATGGATCAACTGGAAGTCTATTGCAATATGGTAAGCAAGAGACAATGACTCGTATCAAGCAGTAGTGCTGAGTTGTGTGAGGTGGTTGAATTCTAAACATATTTTGGTGACTGAATTGATAGGATTTTCTAAAACTTTGGGTATGGAATATAAAAAAGAAGAATTTAGGATGATTCCAAGAATTCTGGTCTAAGCAATTGGACTTGTCAGTAATTGAAATGGGGGAGAATGTAGAAGGAGCAAGTTTGGAGAGAAAGATCAAGAACTCAATGTTGGACATGCTAAGTCTGAAATGTCTGATAGATACTCTGTGAGACTGTGTTGTTATTCAAAATCATTCACTCCCTTTCCAGTTGATGGAGTATACTCCTGTCTCATTGACTTTGGTCTTGGCCATGTGACATGCTTTGACCAATAGAATGTGAGAAGATGGGCTAGGTGCGGTGGCTCACGCCTGTAATCCCGGCACTTTGGAAGGCTGAGGCGGGTGGATCATGAGGACAAGAGATCAAGACCATCCTGGCCAACATGGTGAAACCCCATCTCTACTAAAAATATAAAAATTACACTTTGGGAGGCCGAGGCGGGCGGATCACGAGGTCAGGAGATCGAGACCATCCTGGCTAACACGGTGAAACCCCGTCTCTACTAAAAATACAAAAAATTGGCCGGGCGTGGTGGCGGGCGCCTGTAGTCCCAGCTACTCGGGAGGCTGAGGCAGGAGAATGGCGTGAACCCGGGAGGTGGAGCTTGCAGTGAGCCGAGATCGCGCCACTGCACTCCAGCCTGGGCGACAGAGCGAGACTCCGTCTCAAAAAAAAAAAAAAAAAAATATATATATATATATATAAATTAGCCAGGCATGGTGGTGTGCACCTGTAATCCCAGCTACTCAGGAGGCTGAGGCAGGAGAATCGCTTGTACCCAGGAGGTGGAGGTTGCAGTGAGCTGAGATCATACCACTGCACTCCAGCCTGGCGACAGAGCAAAACTCCGTCTTCAAAAAAAAAAAAAGTGAGAAGATGTGACATATGCCATGTTTAGAGGCATCAAAGACTTCCACCTGCCCTCTTGTTTCTGCTCTCTGGTGCAATAGAATATCACAGACCAGATACAGATAGTGCCTTTGGCCTGGGGTCCTAGAATAAGAAGATCAGCAAAAAGATCCACTTATGAAACAGGGAGAAAATGTAAACCCAATCCACAGCCTGGAGCTGAGACGCAGCTGAGCTGAAAACCCATGAGCAAGAAATAGATGTTTGTTTCAGCCACTGACATTTGGAGGTTGTTTTCAAACTAATACAGTCTAGAGTTTAGAGGAGAACTCTAGGCTAGATATATCAATTTAGGAGTCTTCACTATATGGTTGTGATTTAAGCCATGAAACAGACTGAGATCACCAAGACAATGATAAAAAAAAAAAAAAAAAAAGAGGGTCAAAGACTGGGCACTGGGGTATTCCATTGTTGAGACTGGGAGAGGAAGAAGGACCACTTAAGGAGGAATTGAGAAGGAGCTAGCCAGTAAGTTAGGAGGAAAACCTGCAACACATGGAGTCCTAGAAGAGGAAGTTATTGTATTAAAAGCTTTGAAGAATTTAAGTATGATGAGGACTGAGAAATGACCACAGGTTTTAACACATGGAGGTCACCAGTGATCTTCACAACAGTAGGGTTTTTTTGTTGTTTTTTTTTTTTGTTTTTTGTTTTTGAGACGGAGTCTTGCTCTGTTGCCCAGGCTGGAGTGCAGTGGCACAATCTCGGCTCACTGCAACCTCCGCCTAACAGGTTCAAGTGATTCTCCTGCCTCAGCCTCCCAAGTAGCTGGGAATACAGGCGTGTGCCACCATGCCCAGCTAATTTTTTGTATTTCTTTCTTTCTTTTTTTTTTTTAGTAGAGACGGGGTTTTACTGTGTTAGCCAGAATGGTCTTGATCTCCTGACCTCATGATCCACCTGCCTCGGCCTCCGAAAGTGCTGGGATTACAGGCGTGAGCCATCATGCCCGACCCACAACAGTAGTTTTAGTGGAGTGATCAAGTGAAAACAATCCTCCTCTTTGTGATCATATTCTACTTATTCATACATTCAGTGACTATTTCTTGAGTATCTCCTATGTGACAAGCACTGTTCTAGACACTTGGTATATATCAGTGAAATAGACTCCCCCAAATCAAACAAGTACCTATGTCCTTAACAGGCTTAGATTTCAGTGGGAAGAGACACACAATAAACAATAAGCATGCTAAATGCGACAGAAGGTGATAATTGTTATTGAAAAGGAGCCCAAAGGGTTGCAATTTAAATAGTGTGGTCAGGGTAGGCTTCATAAGAAGGTGACATTTGATTAATAGCTTTAAAGAGCTGACTTCTTGATCCAAGACTGTATTCAAGGATTTTATTTTCCTCGATGCACTCAGTTTACAGTCCTCAGCTGGCAGACAAGTATGTCTGCAAGACTTGTGACTCCAGAGGGTTCCCAAATTGTTAATTGGTTGAATAAATAAATCAGAAGTAAAAACCCAAGATTCAGCCTCCACTTATTTCACTGTTATACTTAGAATAATCCAATTAGTACTGTGATCTATGAGAACCACTCAACAAAGAAAAATCATCTTGGATTAAGTCCATTGAAGTTTCCTAAGGGATTATCAACTCAAAAAAATGCCATTAATATTAGGTTATTAAAAAATGAATTAACTGTATGCTTAGCTGCTCACAGAAGAGGATAAATTGAGCAGGGATGTTAGGAACTCCAGCTTTGGGAAGTTACTTTCGCTTGACACAGACCTGAAATTAGCCTTGTGTTTCTTAGGAGGCCAAGTGCGCCCTTTTCCATTCTGTCTCGCGTCCCTGTGGTTGCTTATTTAAGGCTGTTGATGTCTGAATGAACTCAACACAACTCCCTGAGTCTCCCAGGTACACCGCCCCACACCCAGGATAACCAAAAATGAATAAGTAACAGAAGTATTCCATACATTGTTTCTAAATTTAAATCATTTGTTGAAATATGTGAAACAGTGTTAAGGGCTAATAATTAGGAACCCACTCATTAAGGTTTTCACAGAGGACAGGAAAGATTTTGGTGAAAAAAATCTAGCCCAGCACTGTCCAATAGAACTTTCTCTAGTAATTGAAACGTTGTATAATGGGTGCTGTCCAATATGGTAGCCACTAGCCACATGTGACTACGGAGAACTTGAAATATCGTTAGTGCAGTTGATAAACTGGATTTTTTTATTTTTATTTTTTTTGAGACAGAGTTTTGCTCTTGTTGCCCAGGCTGGAGTGCAATGGTGCAATCTCGGCTCACCGCAACCTCCACCTCCCAGGTTCAAGCGATTCTTCTGCCTCAGCCTTCCCAAATAGCCGGGATTACAGGCATGTGCCACCAAGCCCGGCTAAGTTTGTATTTTCAGTAGAGATGGGGTTTCTCCATGTGGGTCAGGCTGGTCTTGAACTCCTGACCTCGGTGATCCGCCCATCTCGGCCTCCCAAAGTGCTGGGATTACAGACGTAAGCCACCGCGCCTGGCCAGATAAACTGGATTTTTAATTAAAAAAAAAAAATTAAACTTCATTTGAACAGCAGTATGTGGCTAGGCTGCTGTACTGAATGGCACAGCTCTAGAGGTCTTGATTCTAAGCAATTCTTGTATCTGTCCCCCTTTCTATACAGTACAGGGATTGGGAAACAGGATTTTTAAGGTGTCTTCTTTTTCTGACGTTTTCTAACTTTTTAATCTTAACTACTTAAATAATCCCACACAGGAGCACTGCTATGGTCTGAACGCTTGTGCCTCCTCCTGCAAATTCATATGTTGAAACTCTAAGCCCCAAGGTGATGGCTTTTAGAGGTGGGACCTTCAACACCTGTGAAAAGAAGAGAAAAACAAAAGCAAAAAACAACAGAAGGGGTGGGGCCTTTTGGGAGGTCATTAGATTATCAGGATTCTGATCTAATCAGAATGAGTTTGGTGCCCTTAGAAGTCCAAGTATGCTTTGTTCACACCTTTGCCATGTGAGGACACAGCTAGAAGACATCATCTATAAGAAACAGGCCCTTGGCCAGGCGTGGTGGCTCACTCCTGTAATCCCAGCACTTTGGGAGGCCGAGGTGAGCAGATCACAAGGTCAGGAGTTCCAGACCAGCCTAGCCAATGTGGTGAAACCCCGTCTCTACTAAAAATACCAAAAATTAGCTGGGCATGGCGGTGGGCACCTGTAGTCCCAGCTACTTGGGAGGCTGAGGCAGGAGAATCGCTTGAACCTAGAAGGTGGAGGTTACAGTGAGCTGAGATCGTGCCACTGCACTCCAGCCTGGGCAATAAAGCGAGACTCTGTCTCAAAAAAAAAAAAAAAAAAGAAAGAAAGAAAGAAACAGGCCCTCAACCAGACACCAAATCTGTTGGCACCTTGATCTTAGACTCCCCAACCTCTACAACTGTAAATAATACATTTCTGTTGTTTATAAGTTACGCAGTCTAAGGTATTGTTATAGCAGCCTGAACAGACTAAGAATCACTTTTATTCTAAATGTGTAAGATATGAAGGCAGTTCTTATGATCCAGGTATTTTCTTTACTGTTAATATTTTGACATTTGGTTTTCTGAAAGGAATCCCCAAGGAAGTAGGCACCCAAAACACAAAACTAGGAAAGAAAATTGTCTGAATTCCCCACAGCTGCCAGCACATTTGTTTGACAGACAGCTAATGGGCACAGCCCTATAGTAGGCATTATGGATAGAAGTTGTCAAAGACAGTCCCTGCCCTAGAGGAGAGCCTACTTGGAGTGACATTTACATGGAATCCCATCACGTGACTTCCATAGTACAACAGCTAGCAATATCTCTGTATCCCCCATCTGAGTGACTTCATACCCGACAAGATCAACCTTGCTAAATGCTGACATAGATCCTATAAAACTGTTTTCATCTGGCTCTGACCTCTCTCCCCGCAAACCTCCACAGCTGCAAAGACAATATTGTCTTTGAAGAGGTGAAAGCTTACTTCCTTGGCCCAAACTGGAAATCTGACCTGGAAGTTTGTATTTTCAAAAAGAGCACATCTCTACAAGTTGAGAACTCCATTTATTTCAGACCTTTCTTATTTCCTTTCTTTTGGGTTTAATAATAAATTCTGAAATCCTCAGACTCATAATTAATATCTTGTTAATTAAAATTACACATAAACCAAGAAAACTAAATGCCAAAGTACTTGCTCTAACCTCAATATAGAGGCAGTTCTAATAATAAAAAACACTAATTTGACTATTTTAAATATTCTTCTTAGATAAAATCATCCTTTTGAATTTTAATGCTTAGCAGTTTTGAATAAAGCTTTCACATGTAGCTTAATTTGCTAGATATTTTCTTAGAACTTTCAACTAATGCAAATCCAAACATGCAACATGAAAAACATCAAAAGAGAAATCATAAACTTTTGGGCAACAGAATACGCCTGTCACCTCCTTTGCAATGCTTTTACCCCGAAAGCTGTAATAAAACATTAGTGCTTCTTACACTACACATCATATGATTGCTTACTGTTAAAACCCCAATTCCAAAGAACCACAGGTTATATCCCACCTACATAGAATACGAGGTTAAAGAAATCTGGGCCGGGCATGGTGGCTCACGCCTGTAATCCCAGCACTTTGAGAGGCTGAGGTGGGTGGATCACCTGAGGGTCACGAGTTTGAGGCCAGCCTGGCCAATGTTGTGAAACCCCGTCTCTACTAAAAATACAAAAAGATAGCCAGGCATGGTGGCACATGCCTGTAATCCCAGCTACTCAGGAGGCTGAGACAGGAGAATTGCTTGAACCCTGGAGGTGGAGGTTGCAGTGAGCCGAGATCATGCCATTGTATTCCAGCCTGGGCGACAGAGCAAGACTTCGTCTCAAAAAAGAAAGAAAGAAAGAAAAAGAAATCTGGAAAACAATTGAGATTCCAACACAATTTTTCAAAAAGCTCTTGCTTCCCGGCATACATACAAAGTGCTACATATGCATTAATAAATCTAACAAAAATGTAAATGAGAGACGTTGGGAGTGAAATTTCTCTTTCAGAAATTTTTCAGTTCAATAAAATTCTTAATACAAAAATGCAAACCTTATAAGTCAAATGCTTTGTCAGAATTTCGATTAGATTTTTTAAAAATAATCTACACTTAAAATTTCATGTTAGGGTAGATCACAGATCCTGTTTTAGATAAGAGAAACAAATGGATCATTTTTCCATCCAAAGAAGAAATAGGTTTTTGAGCACAGGTCTCAGTTTGAAGCTGACCCAACTAGGGAAAAAACAAATACGGCTGTCACAAAATTTCTATCCATCCTTATTAAGACAGATTTTATCTGCCTGCCAGTTGCACAACTTTCTCAACCCTCTTCTCATCTCACTGCCTCACTGAGGCCTGGTTTTATCTCCCTTTCCATCAACGCACCCATCGATTTGAGAGACATAAAGTAAAGCCACTCTCAGAAGCTCCTGTATCCATGACACAGGATCTGCAATTCCTCCACTGCTATTAGAGAACTCTTCAGGAGCCTCTTAGTAAGAAGGCCCCTGGGAAGCTTTCTTAGGGGTTACCACCTAACTGGTTGGTGATGGAAAAGGCCATCAAACATTGAGCCATTTTCCTCATCGGTAAAATAAGTGTTGAGTCAGACAATCTTGCCCTAACATAAGAATGCTTCCAGAAATAACATAAATGATCCTAATACGGAACATCTTTGGCACTTACTCCATGCCAGTGACTGCAATAAACACTTAATTTAATGATTTCATTTAACACCCCCAGGTAGGGACTCAATATTTACAGGTGAGGGAAGTAAGGATTTAAACGAGCTTGAGCAGTAGAATCTTCTCTCAATCAACCTTTCCTTAACCAATCCAGCAATTAACTGCCTCTAAATTGCTTTGTAAAGCCACACTATGATGAATGACCTCGGCCAGATGAATGCTGGCAGCTGGGAGCCTCCTCGCTATCAGGCACCATCTGCATATGGTTTCCCCCAGCAGAGTTCTGTACTTACCAAAAGTTACTCAGGTTTATTCCCAGACTTGCTTATGCCACAGTTACGTTTGCCATTGCAATGATGTAATTTAATAAAAAAGTGCACAAACCAATGAAATATAATTATAAAAAAAAAATACTGTTTTGATAACTCAGTAGGATGCTTTGAGCAGATGAGGCAAATCATATACACAAAATACTGAATTAAACATGGGGAAAAAAAAGCAAAAGATTTTAAAAAATGGAAATCCTACAAGTCTAGAGAGGTTCTATATTTATAGTATTTCTCATGTGTCATTAAGTTCCAATTCCACTTTAAAGAGAACCAAATAGGAAGCATTCTTACAGTGCATCATAAATGAAGGTTTGCAAGAAAGTGTAGTCCTACAACTAGAGGGTCTAAAGAACCAAATCTGTCAAATGAAAGTGTATTACTGATTTAAATATAAATAAAATGTTTATGATATACAAGTTATCCTGGGTAGGGAGGTGCAGGGGGGAGAAGAGGGTATTTTTTTCTGGCTGATGGAGGTATAATTGACACAGAATAAACTAAACATATTTAAAGTATACAATTTAATAAGTTTGACAGATGTCTACATCTGGGAAACCATCACTACAATCAAGACAGTGAACACATCAGTCACCCCCAAATTCTCTCATGCCCTTTGCAATCATTTTCTTTCTCTTCTCATTAATATTCCTCCACCCATCTCCAGGCAACCACCAATCTGTCACCAGATTCATTTGCATCTTCTAGAGCTTTACATAAATGGAATCATACAGGGTGTAGTCTTTTTCTCTGGCTTCTTTCACTTTAATTATTTTGAGGTCCGTCCATGGTGTTGCATGTATGAAGAATCTGTTCCTTTTTATTGCTGGGTAGTACTCTGCAATTGCATATTGCAATTTTGTTCATTCTTCTGTTGATGGGTATTTGGATTGTTTCTTTTTGGGGCTATTACAAACAAAGCTGCTACAAACATTCATGAATGAGTCCTTGGGTAGACATATACTTTCATTTCTTGAATAAATGCACAGGAGTGGAATGGATGGGACATAGGTTAGGCACATGTTTAACTTTTTAAGAAAACTGTGAAACTGTCCCACCAGCAGTGTAATAGAGTCCCAATTACTTCATATCTTTGCCAGCACTTGATATTCTTTTTAATTTCAGCCATTAAAATGGGTGTGAAGTGGTACCTCATTGTGGTTTTAATTTGCATTTCCGTAATGACTAACAATATTGAGTACCTTATGTGTCATCATTCCTTTTTCTGTTAACGTGTTTGTTCAAATGTTTTTTGGGGGAACTTTTTATGTATTCTGGATACAAATCCTTTTCTTCCAGTCTGTGGCGCTTGTCTTTTTATTCTCCTAACAGTATCTTTTGAGAAATTCTTAATTTTAATAACATCTAATCTATCCATTTTTGGATTTTACATCTGATCCATTTTGAGTTAGTTTTAAAAATATGGTGTAAATATGGATCCAGATTGGGTTATTTATATATTTTTGCATATGGATATCAAATTGTTCCAACTCCATTTGTTACATTATCCTTTATTCAATGAATTCTCTTTGTACCTTTGCCGAAAATCAACTGATTATAGGGTCAACTTGTTGATCTTCTTGCTGATTGTAGGTAATTATTTTCTCAACTAACTTCTTTTTTGATTTGCTGACTAACTAATGTCTGGGTTTGTCAAGGAGCTTCTACTATATCCTGATGGTTAAGAAACTTGTTGCAACAGGAAGGGCAACAGAAAGGACAAAGTAGGAAAGAGAGAGATAGGCAGGTAAGGATAAGTAAGATAGGCAAAACTATCACAACAGGTAGAAGAAAAAGGACTAGAAAAAAAGTGAAGGACATTTTTTTAAATGGCATTTTCCCATCACCAAAGACCACCCTTAACCCAGTATGACTCTATCCTATGTTTTTGTGTGTTTTGTTTGAGACAGAGTCTCGCTCTGTCGCCCAGGCTGGAGTGCAGTGGTGCGATCTCGGCTCACTGCAAGCTCCGCCTCCCGGGTTCACGCCATTCTCCTGCCTCAGCCTCCCGAGCAGCTGGGACTACAGGTGCCCACCACCACGTCCGGCTAATTTTTCACATTTTTAGTAGAGACGGGGTTTCACCGTGTTAGCCAGGATGGTCTCGATCTCATGACCTCATGATCCGCCCACCTCGGCCTCCCAAAGCGCTGGGATTACAGGCCTGAGTCACTGCACCCGGCCACAACTCTATCCTGTGTTTTGAAAACTTATGTCTTTAAAGTGAACTGCATTTATTAGGTAATTCATTTGTTTTCATATATTATTCATCAAAGGCATATGCTACTGCCAGTGTTTCTGAGCAGCTTGATAACCAAGATTGCAGTAACTCCTGCCAAAAGTAAACTGACCTTTTAGGTATCCTGTGCAGCCTTGTGGTGGGTAACTTTGTGATCTCCATTAAGTTTTCTGAAATATGCACAGTAGCCCCCAGGACTCCCACTATCCCACTCCCTGCCCAAATCATTCTCTTTTCAGAACCATGGGGTTCTGGAGCCTCAGAGGAACGCAAGCCTATAGGCTTCACCCGGCTTTACTTCCCTCATCAATCACCTGCAGTGTCATCAGAGCTTCAGAAAAATATGCAATTTGTTAATGTGATGAAAATAACAAAAAGGCATAAAGCGCTTATTCAACCAATGGTTTGGCAGTAACTTAGAATACTGCTAATTAGCAAGGGACAGCCCCTAAACCATAAAAAAATTGTCATTCCTTAAGAGAAACATGTAACCAGCACTTTTTCCAAGACTATATGGAACTCCAATAAACCCTGATCAAGTCAAGCAACCCTCAACAGTCTGGGATACCAGAGCTTCTAACAAGATTGTGAGAAATTGAAAATTAAACACACCTAGAGGAACTGTTAGAAAAGTTAGTCAAAAAGGAAAACCCTGCCCAAACTGGATAGATCAATGCTATCAAATCCGACAGCTTGACATGTTTGAATCCAAAAATAACTCAAAGCTAGATCCCCAAGTGAGTAAAATGATGAATTCGTGGTGTAGACTGTGAAAACGTCACCTTATACCCAGAGTTCTCCTTAAGCAATCATCTATCTTAACAAAAGAGAACAGATGTCAACAAATTAATGCATTAAAAGATGAGGTGAAGACACAACTATTGATTTCAAATTTTTTCCCTTTGAGAAAGTGTTCTTTTTCTAAAATAGGGGATGCTTCCAATGTGCTCATCACTCCTATGCAGAGGGCCCAGCTAGGCCTCACAGAATTACTTCTATGTTGGCGCCTGTGTTGCTGAAGCAAGGGCTACTATAGCTTTTAAATCTACTCCCTTGTCACAAGCCCAAATTATTTCTCAACTGAAAACAAGGTGCCCATCCACTGATACATATATTGAGCAAATCTGTAATTTCCACACCCACAAGGCTCCTCTCACTTACTTCTGGGGACTCCCTGCTCTGTACAATGTCCAGACACTTCTCCTTCCATGTTTGTGTATTACACCCAACCTCGTAGGAGACAAAGTAGCAAACATAAGCAGCCATGTCTGCTCATTTCTGCTTGCTAACATAATTTCACGAAGCGCTGACTCCACAACAATGTGCAGCTCTCTGAAAGCATGCTTTGAGGACAGTGCAGTATTAGCAGACGGTCCTCCAAGTCTCTTGCCTGGTCACTATATTCTTTAAAAGATAAATGACCCTAGTCCTTGTGTTTTCTAACATATAATGTCTGACAGGCTTAGTGATTATGCTTCTGTAATCTACAACTAGATGTACTCTTAAACCCAAACTCTGATGTGATTTTGCACGTACCGAACCTCCAGCATCTGTATATAAGCAGTGGGTTGAAGTATCTGTGCTGGAGCAGCCTGGCAGAACCTCTCTCAAAGGCTGCTCCTGGGCTACAGGCCTCAGCCTACAGTCTTCAGTAAGACTTCTGAATAAAACAACCTTTAATTATTTAAAAGGTTGCTATTTTTTTCTTTAGTCAACATCAAGTTAGATATCTTATTAACATATCTGGTAAAAGTGTACATGGCTGTAATTGACATTTTCTTTCCTTTACAGAGAGTCTAAGTGCCATTCATATAGGCCCCCCAATTTGTTACCCTTAGCATCAGAAAATGAAATCAGTAAACACCAAATGAAAGCAACAACAAAAAAATTAACTTCAGGATCTAAAGTTCACATTTAAAACAGCTTCAAAAGTAACATGCACAACTGGCAACGATCTCTTCAGACTACTAATGTCCAGATCTGACAATTAATATGCTAAAGGTGGCCAGTATGCAAGTGGTAACAGAAAACAGAAGGGAAAACCGAAGAAAGTTCATGAATTCTCTACCTCTGAGCAAGAGTTAGCTAGCTGAGTATGTTACCGAATCTCACTTTGAGGACTAGGAGTGGGAATCCAGATTTAATTCCTAGTTAGTCATTAACTATATGAACTTACTTAGATTTAACTTCTTTGGGCCTCAGTTTACCTCTAAAATGAGTACAATTGTCAATGAAATTCACAAACATTTACCATGTGGGTAAAACAAAAAGCATAGCCCTTGCTCCAAATTCTGACACGTCTAAATTCTATGACTGTTTTGGCTATGACTTTCTCACTCTTAGAATAACTGGGTTTATTAGGAATTACAATTAGTTCTATGCTTGATTTAGATATCTAAATTTTTAATCAAGTGTAACAGAACCGCCTGAGATGGTGTTCATCACCAAGAAATGGTGCTACGGTAGCCAATTCCATTTGAACACTGATGAATGTAACCAGTGTTGTTTTACTGAACTTCATGAGACAAACTGCTTTATTTTTACTTTTGCTGTTTCTGAGGCTTAGCAATGCCAGGTAGAGCTAATATAATTACCACAATGCTAAAAGTTTCTACTAAAGAAAAAATATGCCTTAAAAATACATTACTATTTCAAATATTACATCTGTACAGCACTTTATTGTCCTCAAAGGTAGTTCACATTCAGCAGGTAAGGTTTACCTCACTGCAGAGTTGAGAGAACAGAAAAAGAAGAAAAGCTCAAGACAAGAATTTCTTCCCCCTTTGAAAATTTAACCCTTTACTAAACAGCCTAGATAATTAGCAATCTAATTGCTGCTGAATTTGCCAAATTTAAGTCAAAACAATACAAGCAAGATCTAAAGTAATGGAAACCACCAATAAGAAGTAACAATTTTCTTCCATTAAACTAATTGCTTACCAATCACCATTTAACTTCTTTTTTCTGCAACTTTTTTCCTTCTACAGTATGAACTGTACCTTCCTTAAAATTTCAAAGGAATTTTGCTGACCATAAATTACATTGGTAGAAATCATATCCCAAGTCCTTTATAAGGCTTTAAATAAAGTCAAATTTATGCCTCAGACATCTGCATTAGTAAGTAGCAACACAGGCTTTGAATCCACTGGCAGACTCAAGACTTTCTTTACCCAGGTTTCCCCAACTTATCTTGTGTTCTAATGTTTGTGGATTTCAATCTATTGGCCAAGAATGATATTTGAATTGAAGAGGACAAGGAGATTTAAGGATAAACTATTCTTGATCACAGTATATGAAGTCAGCAAGACGTTCAATTAGACTTCTTTGCTTATAATGAAGAAGCATACGATCAAGTCTTTTCATGATGAAAATTGTTACAGGCCTAGGAAACAAAAGCATCTGTGGAATAATCTATTGTCAAAAATAAAATCAGATCAAATTTTAAAATTGTATGTTTATTGTGCACATAAAAGAACAGCTGGCAAACCTGGAGACCTCAAACCAAAATGGTTAGAAGTCTGCACACAGCAGTTATAGTACCATTTATAAAGCATAAGGGAGAAAGTATTTTCACCCTCTTTTATAACTGGCTATTACATGTTAACATTCTTTATAAGGAAAGCAGACCAGTTGTTGATTTGTCTACACAGTAGGCACTCCCTTATCCTTAGGGGATCCTTTCCAAGACCTTTCCTATACATTCATACCTATGATAAAGTTTATAAATTAAGCACAGTAAGAGATTAACAATGACTAGTAATAATATAGAACAAGTGTATGAGTACACTAGCATTACTCTTGCACTTTGGGGTCACTTTTGGGTAAAATAAAGGTGACCTGAATACAAGCACCGCAATACCGGGACTCATCTAGCAGCCTCCTAAGTGACTAATAGGCGTGGGACGTCTACAGCATGGATCCACTGGACAAAGGGATGATTCGCCTGCTCAACAGGATGGCACAGGACTTGAGATTTCATGATGCTACTCAGAATGGTGCACAATTTAAACTATGTGAATTGTTTCTGGAATTTTCCATTTAGGGTGACCATGGGTTACTGAAACAACTGCAGAACGCAAAACAGCAGATAAGGGGGGATTACTGTATGGCTAGTAAGTTTGATTTCACCAAATCATGCCGACAAGGCCTTGCATTTTGTTTTGATTAGAACTAGCATTTCAGGGAAATCAGGACGACTTAAGTTTTGGCTATGTGGCTATGGGTGGTTGACCTTGGGGGTCTATCTAATCTTTAACACTATACTATCTATCAAATAATAGAATTCCCTAAAACCGGAACGATAATTTTGGACTATTCGTATAGAATCAACTTTGTCATACTGAAAGCTTTTATTGCAAAGTGAGTTTACATGTGATACATGACGCAAGCAGCAAAAAAGTTGGCAGTTTTTTTTATTAGCTGCAGGAGTGACTTTGAAATGGTTACCTGAATAGTGATCAAAACCTCAGAAAGCTTTCTCTTCATCTTTTCTGACCAGACAATCCCACTGCTCAAAAATCTCAATGAAAAATAAAGTGACAAACTAAAGACAGAGTACAATGTTAGTTTCTGGAATTTTATTATTTTTAATACATACATTTCACAAACAGAAACCCTCTAAAACCACACACAATTCCACAACCAAATGTTTCAATTTTATCAACATTCTTTAACTATTTACACTGTCTTTCCTCAACAAAAGTGCAATCCAAGACATCTTGACAAGAAATCTTTACTGACAAGAATTTATTTTTGAGCTGGTTTTAATGGAGCCCATCCATTATATTTTCTTTCAATTACCCGGAATATTCAGTGAACAGGACATAGAGATGAACTGGGTTAGGCAGCATCCTATTATAGGAAATAAAACACTAAACAAGAACACTTTCTCCTCACTTCCTTCCCAACCTCCAATGAAAGTTACTCAACAGCTGCTACCAGGACACAAAACAGAAAAGCAAACTGGAGTTCCTGACCTAGACACAGGAGAACAGACTGTGTATTAAGCATCAGTCTTGCAGGACTAAACAAAAGACTTAGCAAATTAGTTCTGGTGCTCTAATAAGGTACATATCTGTCTTATCTGTTAGTTTTAGAGTTCAAATACCTAATAAGATTCTTTTTAGATGAGTTAATTTTCCCCCAACATATATGAAAATACCTTTTACTCAGAAAATGAACTTCTTGAACAAAACCTAGAAGTTAAAGGGCATTTAAGGAAAGCTCCTCTGTAACTAGAATGGGATAATTCACCCAACTCCCCAACTTCATGGCACCATGTCTATCTTTTAAAGTATAAACCCATTATATCAACTGCTTCAAATGTAACAAGAGAATGAAGAGGTGAGATGGCCTGAAGAGAAAACAATCAATCAGAAATTGTCCTCTCACTAAAGCAGATCATTGTATCTGCTCAAGGTATAAAACTCTTAAAAATAAATAATTAAAAAATATTAAGAATAGACGAAAAATCACTTTGAAATTATTAGTCACTCTTAAGACTGCTTCATTTTACTGAACACTATTCATCAGAAAAACAAATTGGATCTCTTGGGTAACTAATATCCTTTTAGTATCCTAACTACAACAAAAATACTAACCTTTTTTGATATATTCCAATTCCAATCAAAGTATTCAGGGCAAGCTTGGGGTATTAAGGTCAGTAGATTTCCAAAATAAGATTTATCTTCATGGTGTTGAATATTCGATTATATTTTATTCCCAAATCAGCCAGATTTTCCCTCTAGACAAGAATGAATCGTCTTAAAGGCAAAAGATATTCCCAGATATGCTTCATGCTCTTATGCTTTTCTCTTTAAGTAACATCCACAGAATCCTTACTTTAGCATCGAAATAATGTCCAAGAGTAAACTTTACCCAATTACAGTAAAACCTCATCCTATTTATTGTTCAGGGGGTAGAAAGCCATCTAAAAAGGCAACATGGAACACAGCATACACTACACTGACGGCAGTTCTAAATTCAGGAGCTTGCTGAATGCAATGTATAGGTCAATTGTAAGCTTCAGAACAACAATATAAAGCAGGTTTCACTATAAAATTTTAGGTGGGTTAAAGATCAGCATCATAAATATTTTACTATTTAAATTCAGAAATAAAATCCAAATGGTATTACGAGGACAAGAGAAACTTAGCACTTTTTGCATCTGGGTACAGGAGAGAATCAATAAGGAGATAGTTAATTCACCACTACAGCTTTGTGCATTAAAGACAAGTTTGCAGAAAGCTATGTCTTACAATCCTCTTTTAGTTGCATCAAACACTGTCAGTTCAATGACTTTCTACTTCTTATAGGCATTTTATGCATTTCTTCCCACTGAAATGTTTTTTCAGATGATCAAACACCAACCTAGATGCAGCAAACCAAATCATCCAAACTGAAAGATGAATGATATTAGTGAATAACATTGGTTCTTTAATGCTGTATTGTTTCAAACAAAACATCAAATACTTCATATAGAACTGAAACTTGGCCAGGCACAGTGACTCACGCCTGTAATCCCAGCACTTTGGGAGGCCGAGGCAGGCAGATCACAAGGTCAGGAGATCTAGACCATCCTAGCTAACATGGTGAAACGCTGTCTCTACTAAAAATACAAAAAATTAGCCGGGTGTGGTGGCACGTGCCTATAGTCCCAGCTACCTGGGAGGCTGGGACAGGAGAATCGCTTGAATCCAGGAGGCAGAGGTTGCAGTGAGCTGAGATCGCACTACTGCACTCCAGCCTGGGTGACAAGAGTGAGACTCCATCTCAAAAAAAAGAAAAAAAGAACTGAAACTCACGTGCAATATTGCCTAAATACTTCTGAAAAGAAAAACCACACAGTTAAAAAAAAAAAAAAAAAAGTATAAACCAAATGAGTAACATAAAATGTTCACATCAACCCCAAATTTGGCTATTCATAAAATGATTTTCTGCATTCTTTTAGCATATATGCACATCATACATGAAATTATCAAATTAATTTTTGAGAAATCATATTCCAATTCTATAAGGGTATGCGACGTCAGTCTATTTAAAGCATTAAAATCTACTGAACCAAAGGCTGTATTTTGGAATGCCCAATGCTCTGACTAATCAAGTTCTATATATATGATCATCCTTTTTCATCAACAGTAAGGTATCATGGGCTTTTTAGAATGGTCTATTTTTCAAACATACTGCTATGCATTAAAATCATTGATTTTCCAAAACATACTTTTAAAAGAAATAGTAAAATTATTTTCTTCATCATCCTTTCACACTTTTTTCCCTTCCCTCTTAAGGTCAAATCTTTGATTTTGGAAACTCAGAATTAATTGGTTATACATGGCCATAAGCAATTTTGAGGACAATAAATGTGGCAATTATTGGTTCTGAAGCTCACCAGTTAGATTCTGTGGCTGAAAGATTTACCTGTGAGAAGAACCTGACACCAAATGACACTTCAACAGTGCAACCTGTAATAAATCATCACTGCCCAAATCAGGTTATTCATGGGTTCTCCTTAAAAGCTATATTACCAACTTCAAAGACACAATTTAAATGATTGAGTTCTGCCTTCTTGCATTATTTCCAAATTCATTTCACATATTCTGTTATAGGTCAGTTTACCTAAACATATTTGCAACACTAATATCTTTCATATGTCTTACAATTTGGATATTACTTTCAGCATGAAAAATGAACTGGCAAATTACAATAGTGATAGAAACAGCACTTGTGCCACTTTCAGGTCACCTGTCAGTGTGAGTAAACTGCCTGCCCATGTGTGCTGCAGAACACTAGGCTGAGATAGACTAATGCACTATTAGCTCTCCAGGCACAGACTTACATTCACTTGTCACATATTTTTCCAAAGGCCCAAGGAAGATCTAAAAGAAGGTTTTTAGAAAGTTAACATTTTAGTAAGAGTTTCCTTCCAACTCCTATCAAGCTCTTAGTTTATAACCACAAATTCCTTTCCTAAATTCACCCCATCCTCCCCACCATCTTAAAGCTGCATCAAAGATTCTTGGTAAGAGTGAACCCCAACCCAAATGCACAGGATTACCCATCTGGGCTCTGGTCAAAACCACAGATTAACACTCGGGAATCAAGACAGGGCAAGGGCAGCCCCTATTTTAGTGGCACACATACAACAAAGTAACTCTCCTTTAAATTAGAAAGGAAATTAATGTCACAGAATGTTTCCCTATAAAAGATATGTAATAAAGTAATAATATCAATAAAATAGCTATTACTAAAGCAAAGCTTTCATCAATAAGCTTCGAGAACTTTGAAGGAGGAAAATGGCTTCACGAAGTGGTAGTCCAGGTTCCCACAGTGTGGACACTGCTGGACGTTGCTATATTCGGAGAAGTACTGCATCCCGATCCTCACGTCGATCACCGGCTTCCCACAGTGCTTACAGTTCAGGCGGGCCTGGGGGAAACAGACACCATCAGCCACAACACCCCTCCACTTCCCAACACTTGTCAAAGTCATCCAAACCAAAATGCTGGGAAACTGATCAAGGGCTTTGCAAAGCATCCCTTTTACTACCAAAAACATGGAAACGGGGTATACCTGAAAGACTCCCAACTTCTCTCCTGATATGCAGCACTGCTAGCTGTTTCACCTACTTATGAGAAGAAAATTCTAAACTACTACTGCCTAAATGCTCTCCACTGAAGTTCCCTAACAATAAGAAACCCCTCCCCCTGGATTTTAAGACAGCGGCTGAAGCTGACTTCCCTCACCCAAACCTCCACGAAACTTCTTTGAAATTTCATTTTTCATTCTACTCTATAGAAAAGTTGCGTTTTCTTTGATGTAAAAATAAAATTTCCCAAGATACTCAAGTAAAATTAGCAATCCAGGAAGTGCGGTGCTGGTCTGAGGCTTCTGGAGTTCCCAGCACCCTGCATCTTCACTCATGCCTAGCCTCTCCGTAACAGCACAGTCCTGGAACCTTTCAGCAATGGGTCCAGGACTTAAGTGAATAACCACAAATTATAAATAAAACAGACTCAATTTAGACTCATTTTAAAAATGTACTTAAAAAGTATAATCTCAACTTGTTCTCAAAATACTCCTGGGAGGTAGGTAGTATTAGCTGACTTTTAGATAATGCAACTGAGGCACATGTGATAAAGCACCATGCCAAAGACCATGGTTAGAAAGCAGCAAGGCTGGAGTGAACCAAAGCAGCCTGCTGATCCTCAGCCACTGCAGGAACTACTTTTCTGTAACCTGAGATAAACACTCTTTTAACTACGTAATCTCTCTGAACAACATTAAAAGTGTGATTCTGAGCAAACCCGTCTTCACACTGTTATACCTTTCTAAGAATCAATTATTGCTTATTTTTGGCTACATCTTATTGAAGACTTCCCTTGATTCATTAGTAGCGTCTAACACTTGTATCCTCACTGATTTTTTTAAATTAACAATAATCGAACATATTTTCCATTTCAGTAGGGGGCCAGAAAAGAAAGGTCTGGGCTTCAATTGTTTTAAGGAAGAAATACAGTGCATGGTGAATACCAAGAGGCTGGGTGTGGCAGGATGCTGTTCTGTTTTTCCTCCTAAAGACATGGAAATAATCTCATTGCCTTTCAATGGTGTACCAGAAAGAACACCAGAACAGGAGTCACACGGTGCAGTCATGGCTGTGACACAATGTATGTAGACCTGGGTAAAACATCCCAAGTTTGTAGGCCTCCATTGTATGAGGAAATAAGGAGGTCGGTCTAGATCCCAGGTCCTTTCCAGTGCTAATCTTCTGAGTTAACAGGCTCAAAAGTTCTTTCACTTCCTTATTTCTTCAATTTAAAAGATAATCCTCCACGGTGTGTGTGTGCAGAGGGGAGCCACTTCCTCTGGTTTCTCTCAAGAGCTGGCATCAAGGCACAATAACTATCATAAAATGCCACAGTGAATAACTACTGATAATAGTAAAGATACTCTCTTTACAAAAATCAAGCCATAATGCTAAAGACATAAAACTATGCAGTAACTAATGAAGTATGTATCAGCTATTTGTACTAAAAAACCAGGCTGGAACACTTTAGAGCAAAGAAAAATTTCTCTCCTGCCCATGAGAGTATCAAGGAATTACCTAACAAGCTGTTTTCTTCCCCAAGCACTTGGAAATAAAGCAAGATATTTCCAAGCATTTTGTCTCCTGTGATTCTATAGGTTATTTGTGTTTTCATATGTGAATACTTCCCTCTTTTTCTGATGACAGCTAAATTTCAGATGTCCTCATAGCATGAGACAATGCCTCCTTTTAGTAGTGCTTTAAGGATTACAACCTCAAACACCTTACAAGGCATGCAATTCCTGGATAACTGTACTATCCCACAGAAAGAAAACAAGAAAATCCTATTTAAGAAAGTGACTTTCTTCCTTTTGAATAACATTTTTTCTATTAGAAATTTACTATAAGCTAATCATACAGAATCTTAGAAAATATACTCAAGGAAAAAGAAAACTAAAGGAACCATTCAGCCTCCCACCACTGAGACCATCTGGTAACAGGTTAGCAATTCCCTTTTCATGCTCACTTACTTACAAATGCAAGCATATTATTATACCATTTTATAACCTGTTCTTTTGACCTAATATACTGGAAATGCTTCCCACATAATTATATATTATTCTACAGTATTCCTTTTAATGACTGAATAGTATTCCACTAAATGACTACATTACAAGTAGTAACTCAGCCATCATTGCTGGACTGAATTTCTTCTTTATTGCCAGACGCATCTTCCCTACATTCACTTGGGGACAGAAGCCTAATATCACCCACTGCTCCCTCAGTGTGTTCAGTACCTACCTGACAACATGGAGAGGCAGCCAGGATGTCGTAGGTGTACATAGTGCCCAGCTGGTGCCAGCTGCCATCCCACCGTGACTTACACTTGATGCAGATGATCTTGTGAACCCCTTCCAGGCAGTCCACGCACACGGCATACAGATGCATGAGTCTCCCTGTGCACAGAAGACACAAGGCTCTGAGTGGCCATCATGGAAATCACATTTCATCTCCAAGGAGATAAAAATGTTTCATCTACCAATTATAAGCAAAGATTTTATCATTTGGATAAATATAAAAAGAAAAATCAATATTTAGTACACAAGCTGTCCTTTCAGGATAATGATGAATTACTAGCTGTTGTCAATAAAGCATGTATTTTAAGTTCAAGCATATTAAAAACTTGGCTTCAATTCACTTTTCCAAAAAGGGCTGCTGGGCTTACATAATGGGTCCATCCAAATTCAAGTAACAAAGCCACATACACTCAAAACCAGCCTGTACTGTATTCACGCAGGACTTCCTGCTCAAAAGTTTATGTTTAGCATATAGAGACTTAACCAACACCACTGATCTTGTCACAAGCTCTCTTGTGACAAGTCCCATCATAAAAATCAAAAGTCTGTCTTGGGGACTGATAGCCCAGAATTACACCACAACCAAAATTACTGTTAACTATCCTTGTCCTCAAAATGCTCAGCCATCACCACATCTAATTTAGGAACCAGAATTATATCTTACTCGTAATTTTTTAAAAGAAGTTCAATGTCTTATTATTCACCGAGCTCTTAAAAGTTACAACATGATCCCCCTCCATTATTTGATAACATCTTAATGTTAATAAAGGAAAGATGTCATCCTAGTGTATATGGAAGCATCACAGTTTAAATAATTAGGAAAGAGTCAGAATGCCCAGAATCTGCCCAGGCAACGTATAACAGCAACATTTCTGCTCTGTGTGGAACCCAGGGTGCTTCCCCATGTTAAAAACTACCATCAGGAGAACACATAATCCTAAGTGGCCTCATATTCAGAATGTGCTGCTCACTGCCATCAGTCAGACTATGGGTCTTCAGCACTCAGTAGTAAGGATCAACCTGCTCCTTACCCGATGGAAAGGTATGTATGTTCCATCTACAGTACTTAGGGGGAGCCCTTCGTTTGCATTTACTTGCATGACCCCCTTCCTCCTTGAGGGCAAGAACCATGTCTTAGTCATCCTTGTAGACTCAGTGACTAGCACAGTGTCTGGGATGTGGAAAGCACTTTATAAGTGTATGTTGGGTAAATGGATGGGGCATGTTAACAGCCAAAGACAGATAACCTTGGGGGCCTTTATGCCAAAAGGGGGAAGGATGACAAGAACTTCTTGAAATACTCCCCACCTCTGCTCTACGGCATTGAAAATAAAAGGGTCTCACATGCCACATCTACTCTGGCCTCGGGGCATGTTAGGAAGTCCGTTCAAGGATCCAGGAGCCACTGGAAAAAATTTCATTTGCACTCTCTGTCCTGCATACTCAATGCAATTCCCAAACATTCCCAGGTACAGAGGCCACAGCTGAGAAGGGTAAGGGCAGCCTTAGACACAGAAGTCAGGTGTTGCTAACGATGACCATAATGATGAAGACAGAGTAACTTTTACTAAGAGTTAACCGAGGGTATGGCACTATGCTACCAGCTCCGTGTGAATCATTTCATTTAACCCTAACAGCAGCATTACAGAATAGACATTACTGTTGCTCCCACTTCTGAGAGTAGGAAGTGAGGCTTACAGAGCTGAGCAGCTTGCCCAAGTTCTTAAGATTTAAGTAGCAAGTCCAGACTGATTCATGTCTCTCGGATCCGTAACCTACAGGCAAACTCACTGGAACACCTGGTCTGGACTGAGTCTAGATTTGTTTCAGTTCTGCTACACATTGTCCTGACCACAGAGAATTTTGAATTTCTAAACCCTTTGTGAATTTAAACAAAAAGCCGATTCTTCAGAGAACAATCACATGTGGTTCAAAGTGGTAAAGAAGCCCAATAAGAACTTCTTAATTAGATCAATCTTAATAAATTAATGCTAAACAAAACCTATTTTCAGAGGGAAAGAGAGCAAACGAAGTCCAGAGACAGGGTCCGGGGAGGGCAGTGAGTGGTAAAGGGCAGGGCGAGGGAGTAGTAATCCAGAAAGGGCCACTGAACACAGCAAGTACTGCAGCAGCATGTCAGCCCCGCATGCTGTGCAATCCTGTGGCCTGCAGTGTGGCCCTTCTATTGGAGTTGAAAATGCTTTAAAAAACACATGATCAGGCTAGGCACAGTGGCTCATGCCTGTAGTCTCAGCATTTTGGGAGGCTGAAATGGGATGATCATTTGAGGCCAGGAGTTCAAGACCAGCCTGGGCAATAATACAGTGAGACCCCATCTCTTAAAAAAGTTTAGGGCTGGGCGCAGTGGCTCACGCCTATAATCCCAGCACTTTGGGAGGCCAAGGCGGGTAGATCACCAGAGGTTAGGAGTTTGAGACCAGCCTGGCCAACATGGTGAAACCCCATCTCTACTAAAATATAAAAAAATTAGCTAGGCGTGGTGGCGGCGCCTGTAGTCCCAGCTACTCATGAGGCTGAGGCAGGAGAATCGCTTGAACCCAGAAGCAAAGGCTGCAGTGAGCCGAGATAGCACCATTGCACTCCAGCCTGGGCAACAAAAGTGAAACCCCGTCACAAAAAAAAAAAACACAACAACAAACAACAACAACAACAAGTTTAAACAAATTAAATAAGCCGAGTGTGGTGGCTTGAGCCTACAGTCCTAGCTACTGGAGAAGCTGGGGCAGGAGGACTGCTTGAGCTCAGCAGTCCAAGGCTGCAGTAGCTATGATCACTCCGCTGCTTTCCAGCCAGCCAGGGTGACAGACTGAGATACTCAAAAAAAAAGAAAGAAAAAAGAAAAGAAAAATAGAAGAATGTGTGGTCAGTAATTGGTGATTGAAGACATGATTTACATTTTCTTACTACAAATAAGACGGCATGGATTTCTCAAAGATGTGGCAATAAAAATGCTGATATGTGGTCAAGGCCTCACTTGTGGCAATGATAACTTCTCTGGTAATAATTAAACACCCTGATCTTCAGGTTTTACATCAAACGTTCAACTTCTCAGTATCTTTGTGGGCACATCTAATGTGCGCATTATCTATTTATGTATGTCTATGTTTTGATGTGTATATATACGCACACACAAGTACTCAGGCCTAATTTTCACCTCTTTCTTCATCTGCTCCCTGAAAGGTACTCTCAAGATTTGGTTGTGGGTTTATCATATCCTCCTTCCTTTTTTTTCTCTTTTCTTCCTATCCAAGAGCTCTTCCACCCTTAGGATTTTAACCACCACTGTTATAAACTCCCAGTGTTCAACCCAAATGCTTATTTTTAACCATGTTTGCTAGACATCTCCACACAAAAGTCCCAACATCCCTTCAAACCCAACACACAGAAACCTCATCTTCTGCCCGCAAAACCAGGCCCTTTCCCCACCTTTATCTACCCATCTCCTTTCTCTACTCTTGCACCATTTATCTGGTCTAGAAACAAAGTGAATTTTGTTTCTAAATTCACAAGCTGTAATTTTTCTTTAAAATAACCTCTTGACAATATCCCCTCCCTTCCATTCTGTCCACACCTTTTATCTCCTTACATCTAGACTACAAAGCCTCAACTCTGTCTCTAGATCCCACCCCTTTCAAACCCCTTTCCCGCACCTTTCCTCCATGTGACTGCCTGCTTTAAAAAAACACTGAAAATCTTTCCATTCACATTCATAAAGAATATATAGCAAAGTTCTTTATTATGGCTTGAAAGTACTTCTGCAATCTGTTCTCTCCCTTCTCTCCCTATCCTACTCCTTTCCCACTCTAGAACACCCTTGGCTCCAACCAAACAGTTCTCTCCCTAGCTCCTCATCGCAACCTGCCCTTCTTCTTTTTAACCACCCTTCCTTTGCTTGCAGGCACTCCCTCCTCATCAACAAACACCTGACCTGGGTAGACCCTCTGCTTACCAAGATCCAGTCCACCTTTTGACATCAGCATTCATGCTGCCTCTTTTTACGAACCAAGCCAAAGTGGTCCCTTCCTCTGGAAATTATAGGATACTTAATGTACATCATATCCAGGTATGATACTAGAACTTTAAGCCTGGTAAGTTAGTTACATTTTATAAAAGCATCTTATCCTAAGATTATAAATTGATGACAAGCAAGAACTGATAGTACCCAGCATGTGTGATATCCGTAAGTTTGATGAACTGATGAATGGATTACATGACAATAATCTGTCCATCATGGATAGAAAAAGAACACTACTATTCTCATATCTGCTGTACCCATATTCATCTTCATAAAAAATGTTTCAAGTTTTACAATGGAGAAATAAAGGTGTTTCCATCCACTTCCCTCTAAAATTACCCCCAAACAGGATAAAAAAACAAAAACACAAACTCCATCTTCCATGAAACAATGAGGTTATTTCAACCCTGAATTAAACTATATGAAGTCAGAAAGTAGACTGAGGGATAGTAAATGGTTAAGCTCAGAAACTGGACAAGCACCGGGGAGTTTGTAGGGAGCTCGCAGGGAGCAATAAGTTACAAACAACCATAAATTCTATGCAGCACTTTCCATCAAAAAGCAGAGTATTTCAGCATCATCTGAACCTGGGCTAGACTTAGGACTTATACTGATGAACAAAATGTGACAGGAGTGATGTTACTCAGTTCCAAGCTTAAGCCTCTAGAGACAGACTCTGCAGCTTCCACTTACATCTCTTGAATGCCATCCTGAGAGCAACATGTGAAAAAGTCCAAGCTAGCCTACTGGAAGATGAAAGACTACATGGAACACAGACAAGCCATTCCGGCTGAGGCCCCCTAAGCCAACCTAACAATCCACCCACAGAATTGTGAGAAGTCATTAAATTATCCTTTTAAACCACTAAGTTTTGGAATGCTCTGCTTTATAACAAATGCTACAAGATAAAGGGAGTTAGGTACAATTCTCAAAATGAAAGAGACTACTCTCTGCAATTTCAGCTCCCTTTCCTTGCTCACAAAGGTAGCACAAGAAATTACATACATGAAACAAGAAGAGAATGCTATTAAAAAGAGCTCCTGGAAATTAAAAATGTAAGAACAGAAAATTTGTAACTCCGTAAAAACACCAAAATAAAAAGTCAAGGAAATTTTCCATAAAGCAGAATAAAGAGATGAATAGGGCCATGTATATATTTATTATATATCCTTTATTATATATAAAATAAAGGAGTTCTCCACTCCAACAAAAAAAATAATCTAAGGGGTCTAATATCTGATTAATGAGAGTTTCACAGAATTTTTTAAAAGTGAAAATAGGGTAGCGGAAATTGTCAAAGAAATAATACAAAAACAAATTTCTCCAAATGGAAGATGGTAAGTTTATAGAGCCAAAGGGCCAAGAGAGTACAGAAAGCACGACAAATAGAGGAAACTGTGTAAAAGACCCACATATGGTGAAATTTCAGAACATTAGGGATATATGAAGAAAATCTTAAAACCTTCATGGAGGGGTGGAGATGGAGGCAAAGACAGGAATAAGAGTAACATCAGACCTCTCAAAATAGTGACATTGTAAGATGGGAGACAGTAAAGAAATGTCTTCAAAATTCCAAGGGGAAAATATGTATAACTTAGAAGACTACAGCCAGCTAAATAGCAAAGAAGAGTGAAGATTAAATCAGGATATTCTCAGACGTTGAAAGTCTCAAATCATCTATTCCCATGCTCCCTTTCTCAAAAAGCTCCTGGGGGATGTTTCCTAAAAGCTGAGAGAATAAACCGAGAAAAAAATAAAATATTGAGATCTAGGAAACAAGATTTTTAAAAATAGGACAGAAATGAAGGCATTCCTAGAAGGACAGCTATGTGGTACACCAGGTCCTGAGTGCACCAGGACAGGTAGAAGCAGGAGGGTAAGAGTCTCCACGAGGGGCATTTTCAGGGGCAAAAATTTTTTTTCCAAAAAAAATCTGACAGGTATGTGGAAATGTCTTTGAAAGATGGTTTGTAAAGCTGCTGGAGAGTGAGAACTAGCCAAAGTTAAAAAAAAAAAAAAAAACTATGCAAATCAAAATAATCAATTAACCCTAATAAAAACAAAAGGAGTCCTAGACTATATGGTACTATATAATAAGATAAAACCCTATACTTCTTGGCTCAATATTAAATATATATATTCACATTAGTAAACATTAAGGATTTAACTAATAATTGTGGTATCTTATCCTGAGAGGAAGGAGGAGGGGGATGCACAGTCATCCACCTTCAAAGCCAGTCAATAAACAGATAATATGTAAAGCTGGAGAATGAAGACAGCAGTATTTACAATCACGATGTCAAAAACTTGAAGCATCAGCTAAGATTTGAAAATGTTTGTCTGGGTACTGACACAGCAGGGTTGGTGGGAAGGAGACAGGTGGGGATATATCATTTTCACAACAAGCTTTTTAGCACACATTTAAAGTGTAAACATGTTATATGTGATGTGTCTCATCTTTATGGAAGTTCAGTAGTTGTACATGAACTGACAGATTTCTTATACTAACCAACCTCGTGTCATTCAATTTATGGCTGAAATGTACCAAATCCTTATATGCCATCCACAGGAATAATAAGCTTCCCCATCGCCCCTCCTTCCACCACCACCACCGGGCTAATGTCTGAGCTTTCAATAATCCTGTTTACCTTTTGCTGCTATCAACACACTCTCATCTTTCATAAACTTCAAAATTAATTCAACTAATCTAAAAATACCTTGGCCCTTTTCTGACCACTGCTTTTCCTCACTGTTATGTTTATAAGGATCTAAGAGGATACACAGCTAGATGGGCCCATTAAACAGGTTTACAGTAAGTGACAAATATGCAACAACTCCACTAATTTCCTTCCCCATTATGCAAAACCATACACCGGCAATCCTTTCTTCAAATTACAGAACACACAAAATTATCCGCTAGGACAACTGTACTTGGTACTGTGACATCAGAGTAAAAAATCACCGCGTCACTGGGCGAAGCTGAAATATTCAAATGTTACCTAGCACCTGACTAGAACAAAAAAACAACACTGGTGAAAACTACACCAAAATAGAGCAATCTGTCTTGTTTGTTGTTTGGTTTTTAACAAACAGAAAGCAGGCAAGGTGAATTAACACCTATACCTTGAAGGTGACAAGGAACATCATATTCGATCTCATCATGTCTCGACGGGCTTAGGAACAAAGTTCCATCCACCAGTGGGAACTGTTCGAACACCGGGAGCGCCCGGTGGCACAGGGCACAGTTTACCACGTTTCTGTGGCTGGCACTGAGCGCGGCCAGAATGAACTTCCGCAAGTCTTCCCCCTGGCCCACTTGGGCATCGTCTTCCATGCGCACGTGGAAAGTGTTCAGCTTATGCCTGGGGATGTGAGTGAGGAGTTCGGAGAGGTCCAGCCGCCGAAGGAACTGCACGGGGGTGTCGAAGTGTCCCCCCCTGTGAACTGCCAACCCCGCAGGGCTGTAATCAAAGTGGGCATTTCTGAACACATGGCCCCCAGCCATGGCCTTCTTGTGAGGCTCCAGATGGATGGCGTTCTTTAAGAACTCCCCGAGGTATCTGGAGGAGCGGGGGCCGCTGAAGTGGGCAGGAGAGAGGATGGAGTAGCCCGTGGGTGGGGACTGGCCCGGGGAGCCACCGGGGGAACGGGCACCGTAGGCTGCGGCACCCACTGCCTTCTCCTGGGAGTTCTGCCGGTCCATGGAATGCCGGCGGGGGAGGTCGTGGCTTGGGCCTTTCTGGGGCTTATTTGGGGGCCTGCACTTTTTTGCCTCCTCCGCCGCCTCACCAGGAGGCCTCCCTGTGTTCTTCTCGGAGCCAGACTTCTTCTTTTTCTCGTCCTGCATCCGCTTCACCTGATACCAGTCTGTGTCCTTCTTCAAGTGGCCCTGGCCACAGCGGCAAGAGCAGAAGCGGAAGGCCAGGTCGTAGCCCTTCTTTGTCCACATGTTCTGGCGGCATTGCTTCTCGTTCCAGCTGCGCGCGCGGCCGATGCAGTTGAACTGGACGAGGATGCTGCTCTCCCACTCGTAGAAGCACTGCAGGTGCATCCAGGTGCTGCAGGGGCAGTGCTCGTTGTTGCACACCACCTTCTGGTAGTCGTCCTTCTCCAGGTCCACCGGCCTACCGAAGCTGCAGATCAGGGGAGTGGCACATGGGGCTTCTGGGGGAGGAATAAAGAGAGAACAGATTTCAGATTTTTGGATTAGGGGTACTCAACCTGTACTTGCAACAGTATGGTATAAGGTTTTTCTAAGACATGAATATAATGAAAGGCAGTTCCAGGGTTCCTTTAAAGATGAATCACTCCAGTGAACCAGGGAATAATATGATGAAGCTACTTAACCAACCAGTCTGGTGGAATCTCTAAAAAGGACCTTCAACGCCCTTCATCCTGAGCTTTAGGTTGTCCTGAATACCAGAAAGCCGCTGGAACATAGACGGTCTCATACCGATTTCTCGTCTAAGGTGGTCTGACACCCAATGGCAGGGATATTGAATCAAACTAATTGTTGGTCTACACAAAATTACAAAGCCAGGCTGTGAAGGAAAAAACCAGAATTCTTCCAAAGCTACCAGGACAGGAAGTGGGAACAACATAGTTGTACTCTATCTTAAGTACATGTCCCACACATGTCCCACACTGTGCAAACAGCCAAGCCGGTTCCCAGAAAGGACAGAAAACATGGTGACAGAAAGTAGAATCCGCTAACCCAATTCTTAAGAAATAAACATGATTCATGGATATGGGAACTCCACTGATTCCTTACAGCTATTCAATGATAACTGAACATCTGAGCTTAGAATTTATTTCTAAAATGTCAAAAAGACATGATAGAGTCAGTAAAAAAAAAAAAAAAAAGTGGTTGCCACAGGGGGTGGGGGATGAGCAGGTGAAGCACAGAGGATTTTTAGGGAAGTGAATCTATTCCCGTGATACTATAATGGCAGATACACGTCATTATACATTTGTCAAAATCCACAGGATGTACAATACCAAAAGGGAACCCTAATGTCAACTATGAAATTAAATGACAATGATGTGTAAATGTAGGTTCATCAATTGTAACATATGTACCATTCTGTATTCACAGTGGGGGAGGCTGGAGGAGGGCAGGAGGTATATGGGAACACTCTATACCTCCAGTTTTTCTGTGAACTTAAATCTGCTCTAAAAAATAAAATCTGTTTTTTTAAAATGAGAAATAAAAGGACATGTATGTATAAGTCCTGGTTCCATGGGATACTAGCCGTGTAAAAGTGAACTGGTTATTTCATCTGTTTAATCTTCCATTTCCTCAACCATAAATGGGCATAATTGTAGTAGCTACCTTATAGAGATTTTTTGAAGATTAAATAAGAAATGCTTATAAAGAGTTTAGCACAGTACCTGGCACATAAAGGATCATTAATGTTGTTGCTGCTGTTCTTGTCGTTAGCTGACTGTGACACAGCTTGGGATATTTTTATTTACAAAAGAAGCTGTGTAATAAGGTGGCCAGAGGTGGAAGGGGCTAATGTAGAGATGGCAAAACTGACCAAATGTGGGGCCAAACTGGGAGACTGAGAGTCTCATAGTGCAGGACCAAGGAAGGAAACCTGTTGCCACAGGCCCAAAAGAGTGGCTGCCGGTTGTATGAGCGGTGGGGGGCGGTGGGGGGGAGGTTAGTGTGGCTTACAGGCTGGGATGACAAGGGTGCTTCAGGGAGTCACACAACTAACAGCCTTCCCCACTTGTGTCTTGGCATTTCTACAATTTTCAATACAATTCATCACTCCCTTACATTCTTGCTTGCATTTCCGTAGGATTTTATACCATGCAGTTCTTTTGCCTCCCAATCCCCAAAATAAGTACTCTCCAGGACCAGTGCTCAGCATTTCTCTCCTCATCCTCTAGGCAGAAGCTAAAAACTACATCGCCAATTCTTAATGAGGGCACTACTGGCATCTGGACAATTCTCTTCCTGTAATGCACTGGACAGCCCAGTCCAGCACACTACAGGAAGCAAACATCACTAGGCCTGAGCACTCAGTATCTGTAGCCCACCCACCCCACCTTCCCCATCATGATACCCCCAATGTTCATAACACTTTCAAAGGGCCCCTTTGGAGGGAAATACTACTCTCCCAATTGGGAACCACTGGGCTTGGTCATGAAGCAGTTTAGATTATGTGTATAGATGACAGAAGCTAAAGGCAGACTCCCAGGCTCAGAGTTCTGCTCTAGAAAGCTCCCCTGGTGGCAGCGTGGGGCACGGGACTGGAAGTAAGGAGGCCAGAGGGAGGGTGCTGTGGGTTGAGAAATAAGGAGTGCCTGTGCTTCAGGAGCAGTGTGAGAAGATGCTCAGAGAGAGAGAGAGAGAGAGTGTGTGTGTGTGTTTGTGTGTGTGTGTGTGTGAGAGTCCATGCTGACGGACAGCAATGTGGGAACAGCAGGACAGGGAAGATGGAAAAAGACTTAGGGCTGCCCTATTTAGGACCCACTGATTTAGAAGTGCCTGTGTACCACTGAGGTGGAGGAGACATGAATTTGACTGGAGCTCAAGAGAGCTAGAGCTGTGAATACAGATGTGGAGTCACTCACCCACAGATGAAGGTCAAATCCCTAGGACTAATGAGATGCCCAAGAAAAACGGGAGGAGTGGGCAGAGACCAGAGGCCAGGAAAAGAATCCTGGGATGCAAGGACTGGAACCAAGGCTGGAGGAGAAGATTCCCCTGCAGAGATTGGTAAGAAATGAACTCAGAATTTACTGAAAAACAAGTCAGGAGAGAATTATGTCCAGGCAGTCAGGGGACAGCGCAGTGGCTCACGCCTGTAATCCCAGCACTTTCGAAGGCCGTGGCGGGTGGATCACCTGAGGTCAGGAGTTCGATACTAGCCTGGCCAACATGATGAAACCCCATCTCTACTAAAAATACAAAAATTAGCTGGGTGTAGTGGCGCACACCTGTAATCCCAGCTACTCGGGAGGCTGAGGTGGGAGTATCACTTGAATTGGAAGACGAAGGTTGTAGTGAGTAGAGATTGTGCCACTGCACACCAGCCTGAGTGGCACAGTGAGACTCCCTTTAAAAAAAAAAAAAAAAAAAAAGAATGGAGAACTGCAAAATGTCCCAGAGCACCAGGTAACATCGGTGCTTCTCCACCTCTGCACTACAGACATTTGGGCTGGATCTCTGTTGTGGGAGCCATCCTGTAAGATGTCTAGCAGCTAGCAGCAACCTCACTGTCCATCCCGTAGAGGCCAGCCCCACTCAATGTCTCCAGGCACTGCCAGGTATCCCCTAGGGGGTAAAATCACCCCGAGTTAAGAATTCACTGGATGCAATAAACCTGAAAAGTCCCAGCCAAAATGAGCAGTGAGCCAGGCACTGTCTCCTCACGGAGAACAGCTCCAGCGGGAATGATGGAGGGCAGGTCAGAGGTAGACAGTGAGGTGAAAAGGCAGAAACAGGGAGACTCCAGGAAACTCTTTCCAGAGGGTAACTGTAGGGCAGGGAAAGAGCATGGGCAGGGTACAGAAGACAGCAGAGGCTGAGCCTTAACACCATGTTCATGAGCTCAGGGAATACAGGCCAAAACCTCACGACAGCTTAAAGACATATGAGAGGGAACAAACCATGTGACTCCTCTACTCAACAACCTTCCCAACCTTATCCCTGCACACTGAACCACAGACACAACATTCCACCAAATCAATCAGCAGAGGGTGGTGGCAATGTGGACCCATAAAGCCTATACAAATATTAGTTCTGTCATATGTTACAATTATCCCCTTCAGGTGTGGGATTCCAGGGCCTTGGCAAAATGGCCCTAAACCAATTTGTCTACCTCTATGTATTAATATTTGATCACCGTGGTTTCCCCTTAATCTTCATTTGTCCAAATCCCATTCAGCCACTGACAGCAATTCACAGTTCAGACTCTGCAACCAGACTGCCTGAGTTGGAATCCAGGCAGGACCATTTATGAGCTGCATGCTCTTGGACAACTTACTTAACTTCTCTTTGTGTCAGTTTCCTCTGTATAAAATGCAGAAAACAACAGAATGTACCTTAAATGGTTCAGAAGAATGAAATGAAAAAAACTATACACATGAAATGCTGAGAAAGCACCTGGCATCTAGTAAACTTCCTCCCCACTCCTACTGCTTCAAGGCCCACCTCTCTACATACCAATTTTACCAGGATTGCCCCCCTATCCTGACTCCAACCCTTCTCCTCCCCTCCCTGATGGTCTGGCCCCAATCTTACTTGAGTCCCTCATCATGGGGACTCTTCATAATCCCCACCAGCTGACGACTCAGGAGAGGAAGCCTCTTACTCATCTTAGTGTTTCCGGCACCACTGGGCCCAGGCTTTGTAAAACTCCAGTGCTGAAAAAAGTCGCATTAAAGATACTGGCTCACCAAACCCACACATGACAAGAGGAGCAGAAGTGAAAAAGAGAGCTGTAATCCTAGACAGTCAGACCTGGATGTACTGAAGCACAACAAAAAGAAGTAGAAGAGTGGTTTGAAACTGAGTAAATTCACCAGTCACCTGGGCTGTGACCTTTAGAGGCCTTTAAAATGTTAATTGGTCAATTATTAAGTGTAGTTGTTTTTATCTTGATCCTTCAGATGAAGAGCCTTGAAGTAAACGTCCCTGAAATGTAACCACAATAACCAAATTTTACTAACCCAAGACCAATAAAATCAAATTAGGTCAAAGGAAGATCTAACTAACATTTGCATTCACAATATTCCAACTGTAAATGTTGAGACTGACTTGATATTTCTTTGAAAAGTATTTTCACACTAAAGAAAGGTGGATTAAGAGAGGAAAAATTCTGTGTCTTTTCAAAAAGCAGCAAATATTTCATTTAACCAATACTGAGCACTTCCTACATGCCAGGTCTTGAGCTAAGAGCTCTAATGGTCTAACAGAAGTGCACACATGGAACACAGACAAGGTACCACAGCTGTGCCCCATCCCTGTCCCTTTAACAGTGTTTGTCATGTTCACAGCCATGCTCCACTGTTTCCTAACCAGAAAACCTCTTCCTTGTATGAAGAGCCCCCACTCCAACTTGCCAGCCCTGCTTGTTTATAGTCAGCCACTTTGATGTGGCCTTGTGGGTAGGCTTCAAAAACAAATACAAAGCCAAGAGCATGTTAAATACACCCAGTAATACACACAACAGACACTTCACCCTATGACACACCAGCAGGGTGAGGCTCCCAGGGAGACAGGCAAAATGGGGTAACAGGGTGGACCTCGGGAATAGTCAGAGGATGTCTGACAATGCTTTTGCTGAAGTGTGTTGGCCTCTAAACTCGGACATTATTTCCTTCAAGGCTCGGTTCAAACATACTTTCCTCCCTCATTAGCACCACCCCTGTCCCCGACACACACACACCACACACACACATTGTCCAAACTGGAAAAGCAGCAGGGAATAACAGAAGAGAGGTGTCTGATGCCAGGTCTGCTCCTGATTAGTTGTTTGACATTGAGCAGTTTTGTTTCCTCATCTGTAAAGTGGGGATAAAATGCTTGCCCTATTCAGCTCATGTACATGAAAACACTTTATAAATAGTAAAGTTTCATAAAAATGTTTGCTTATATGCTACCATAATTTTATACCGCTGTATTTCACTCCCCAGATAAATGCAAACTGCTCCAATGTTTTCTACTTTTTCCAATGTTTTGAACATGCCATACAGGTGTTTAGAAAATAAGTAAGTATGGCCAGGCACAGTGGCTCACGCCTGTAATTCCAGCACTTGGGAGGCTGAGGCCAGAGAATCACTTGCGGCCAGGAGTTAGAGAACAGCCTGGACAACATAGTGAGACTCCGTCTCCATGAAAATTTTAAAAAATTAGTTGGGCTCAGTGGCATGTGCCTATAGTCCCAGCTACTCAGGAGGCTGAGGTGGAAGGATCAAGTGAGTCGAGGAAATTGAGGCTGCAGTGAGCCTCGGCAATGAGTGAAACCTTGTCTCCAAACTAAAAACAGAACAGCAGTCCCACAAAGGCATAAATGGAATATAGATTGATCTGACACAATTAAATCTTCAACAGGAGAGATGGGAGAAGGGTATCATACACTTGTGCCACCAACTTCCCTTGGCGCATTAATCTAAACTGTGATAATCTAACAAGCAAAACAGAAAAATGCTCCTTTACACAGAGTTGGCATTGTTTAAAAAAGTATATAAACCTTCCAAGGCCTGTATTTTAGGTTCATCATCAAGTAGTCAGTACCCAGCTTCTATTTCTTCTGCTCAAGTTAAAATAAACAGGGTTCATGTGATTCTGGGCAAAAATCTCAGTTTCAAGTCTGGATAACAGGGTAGCTAGGCTGCAGTCACCTGGGCCAAGCCTATCCTGTCTCCCCAGCTTTCTTACCCTGCATCCTGCCCTCACTTGAGAACTCTGTGCTCCTTACCTATTGAAAGAGGAGGATCACACTGAATGCCCAATGAGCCCAAATCTCCTGACAACCTCATTCACTGAGGAGCCCCATAAACCGGACATTGCTATTTTCAGCTTTTAAACTATGAGTTAAATATTTTTATCCCCCTTAAAACAGCTGCACCATAAGCAGGTGGGGAGTTGGGTGGAATGAAGGTAAGGAGGGTCTTCTTAAGTCATATGAGGCTTTCCAGGCAAAATCTAAAATAGGGATGACTTAGTCACATTCATCCTTGTAAACCCACTACTGCATAAATAAGTGTTTAATAAATCTTCTGATGAAGGAAAGAATGACCCAACCAGACTCAGTCCTCTGGTTGTGACCACAGTAATAGAGAGAGGGTGAACCCATGGGGAGAACCAGCCCAGCTGCTGGGGAGGCAGCTGCAGAGCTCCAGCCAGGTCTCCTAGATTCAGTCCAGGCCTTCTCTGTCGGGACAGAGCCTGGCCCTCACCCTCACTTCCTCAAACTAACATCATTCCTGCTACCCTCCTTGTGGCACCCAGGTACCATTTTTTTTTTAAAGGAGGAAAAAAAGACATTTATGTGTAAGTCCCGGTTCCATGGGATACTAGCTGTGTAAAAGTGAACTGGTTATTACAAATGTAAGGTTTCAAAACTGTTTTATTAGATCGCTGATTATTCCTCTTATGTGGGAACAAATCCCCTTGTTTGCAGAGAGCATGGTCCTCTTAGGGTATGAATTTCTGACCAGTGTCCTCCATCTCCAGCTTCCCGACTCCAGACTGTGGGAGATGACACAGAGCCAGCCTGCCTGGATGTGACTCAGCTCTGCAACTTATTAAAGACCTTTGGCAAATCACCTAACTTCCCTGTGCCTCTGTTTCCTTACCTGTAAAATCCTGTAAAATGGCAGAAATAATAATTTTTTTTTTCAAAAATTTTTTTTTGAGAGGGAGTTTCGCTCTTGTTGCCCAGGCTGGAGTGCCATGGTGCTATCTCGGCTCACCGCAACCTCCGCCTCCCAGGTTCAAGCGATTCTCCTGCCTCAGCTTCCTAAGTAGCTGAGATTACAGGCATGCGCCACCATGCCTGGCTAATTCTGTATTTTTAGTAGAGATAGGGTTTCTCCATGTTGGTCAGGCTGGTCTTGAACTCCTGACCTCAAGTGATCTGCCTACCTTGGCCTCCCAAAGTGCTGGGATTATAGGCATGGGCCACTGTGCCTGGCCCAGAAATAATAATACTAATACCTACCCCAAAAGGGTTGCCATGAGGAATGAAGAAGTTATTAAAGTAGTTAGAACAGTGCTTGGCACCTAAACACCAATTTTTCTTTTTTTTTTTTTTTTTGAGACAGGGTCTTGCTCTGTTGCTCACACCGGAGTACAGTGGCATGGTCATGGCTTACTGCAGCTTCAACCTGCCAGGCTCAAGCCATCCTCCCACCTCAGCATGGGACTACAGGTGCTGGGACTACAGGTGCACGCCACCACTCCCAGCTGATTTTTTTTTTTTTTTGAGATGGAATCTCGCTCTGTCACCCAGGCTGGAGTGCAGTGGCACGATCTCTGCTCACTGCAAGCTCCGCCTCCCAGGTTCACACCATTCTCCTGCCTCAGCCTCCCAAGTAGCTGGGACTACAGGCACCCGCCACCACACCCAGCTAATTTTTTGTATTTTTTAGTAGAGACGGAGTTTCACTGTGTTTTCCAGGACGGTCTCCATCTCCTGACCTCGTGATCTGCCCGCCTCGGCCTCCCAAAGTGCTGGGATTACAGGCATGAGCCACCGAGCCCAGCCCCAGCTGACTTTTTATAAAAAAATTTTGTAGAGGTGGGGTCTCACTCTGTTACCCAGGCTGGTCTTGAACTCCTGGGCTTAAGTGATCCTCCTGCCTTAGCCTCCCAAAGTGCTGGGATCATAGGTGTGAGCCACTGCACCTGGCCAAGCACTGTTTAACTATAAGCAATTGTTAACAAATGCCATATCACTTTATATTACTTGTCATAAAAATCAAGAGATTTTGAACAAGTTTAGAGCAAAGCCACAACCAGGAAGTGGCCATCCATCCTCCTTTCTCCACATTAAGTGCAAGGCTGGCCGAGCCCACCAGGAGTTGGGCACTTCAGTGTTATTATATTCACCCCCTCTCATTTGCCCCCTTTTGCTACATGCAGGCACACACCCTCCTCCACCTGTGCCTCGCCTCAATCCTGTCCCAAGCCCAATCCCTTCCACATCTTCCCAAGCCCAGGGAGGTGCCAGCCTTCTTAGCTGGGAAAGTACCATCCCACTCTCTACAGCCCTCTATATTACTCTTGGGCCAAATGTTGCCACTTGCATGCTCTCCCAACTTACACTTTTGTCAGTCATGACTTTCTATGTGTGCTTTAGGCTTATGAGGGGCAAGAAGTAGATTTCTTCTTCACAACAAAGCAGTATGGCATGCATAAGATAATTCACTCAATATTTACTGACTAGTGTCAAAGAAGTAGAAGGAAAAGGAGACCTTCAAAATTATCTTCTTCTAACCCCATGAAGATGTTCTTCTCAGTGTCAGACAAATAAGTACTCTGTTATATTGTCAAGAGGCGTGTGAACCAGAGCAACTCTATCTTAAATAGGAGCTGGGTAAAATGAGGCTGAAACCTACTGGGCTGCATTCCCAGATAGTTAAGTCACATGATGAGACAGGAGGTTGGCACAAAACACATATCATAAAGACCTTGCTGATAAAAACAGATTGCAGTAAAGGAGCCGGTCAAAACCGACCAAACCCAAAATGGTGACGAGAGTGACCTCTGGTCATTCTCACTGCTCCACTCCCACCAGTGCCATGACAAGTTTACAAATGCCATGGCAACGTCAGGAAGTTACCCTATATGGTCTAAAAAGGGGAGGCATGAATAATCCACCACTTGTTTAGTGTATCATCAAGAAATAACCATAAAGTGGGCAACCAGCAGCCCTTGGGGCTGCTCTGTCTATGGAGTAGCCATTCTTTTATTCCTTTACTTTCTTAATAAACTTGCTTTCACTTTGCACTGCGGACTCGCCCTGAATTCTTTCTTGTGCGAGATCCAAGAACCCTCTCTTGGAGTCTGGATCAGGACCCCTCTCCTGTAACAATATGTATTTTTAAACCTAATCCATCTTTCCCTAGCATGGGTAACAGAGATTCATGAAGCATGACTGCATTTTACTCATGGGACATGGTCCTGAAGAACTTACATAATTCAGAACAGATTATTCCATAGTCTAAGGATAGAGTATGCGGAATGCACACTCAGAACACAGACACGTGCCGTCATTGTGCTGTATTTCTGCTTTACTCATACTTTTTAATTCTATCAGCATTAACTCTCATACTTCTGAGTTTATTTCATAAATTAACAGCATGTCATTTCCTGGTATCTTTTATCACATCTAATTTCTTTTCCAAAGTTACTGATTTCCAGGATGTTTTTCAGCACCAGTATTAGCACACTTAGGTGATATTTTGAAAGCTACAGGCTGGACACAATGGCACACGCTTATAATTCCAGCATTTTAAGAGGCCAAGGCAGGAAGGTCACTTCAGCCCAGGAGTTCAAAACCAGCCTGGGCAACATGGTGAGATCTCATCTCTATCAAAAAAAGAAAATACAAAAATTAGCCTGGTGTTGTGGCACGTGCCTGTAGTCCCAGCTACTCAGGAGGCCGAGGTGGAAGCATTGGCTTGAGCCTGGGAGGCGGAAGCTGCAGTGAGCCAAGATCATGCTACTACACCACAGCCTGTGTGACAGAGCCAGACCCTGTCAAAGAAAAAAAAAAGAAAAAGCTATAGTAAAGATTTTAAATTGTAACAGTGAATGTAAAAAATAATAATACAAACGTCACCAAAATCCTTACAGAAGTTCTAGCAACAAGAAGAGTTCACATAATACTGCCACAAGTTAGTATTTGTTTATAAGAAAATATAAACATATAAAATATAAACATATTTATAAAATAGAAACATATAAAATATAAAAAATATAAATGGTGCCACTGGGTAAGAAAGCACTTTTATAATTCAGTTGACCTGACAGCTTTGAAAATATGAAATGGCTTCACACATAATTTGGGAAAACATGCTTGTTGAAATTTTGCACACAATGTGAAGCTTTTATTAATATTATTTATATGTGAGTAGTTGAAATTTGCATAATTCAATTTGCATATAATGGGATCACACTGTACTAGAAAAGAAATTAGCAGGCTGCCTTTTCTCTTGTTTGGAGATTTAGATCTTGGGGGTACTAAATCATTGAAAACTACACAGCATCCTAGCACGAAAATGCACTACATAATATGCTCTGAAGGAAATGTAGATTCAGGAGCTCTTGGAACCAAATCACACTATCATAAAATGGGAAGAGGACTCCAGACTAAGCATATGTGTAAGTGTATGTGTGTGTATATGTACGTGTGCATATACAGTCATATGCTATATAACGACGTTTGATTCAACAATGAACTCCGTACACAACAGTGGTCCCATAAGATTATAACTGAACTGACAAATTCCTATTGCCTAGTGACGTCCTAGTATACCTACCTCATTTTTCCCCTACATTTAGGGTAGCCTAAGTGTACAGTGTTTATCAAAGTCTACAGTAATGTAATGTCCTAGGCCTTCAGATTCACTCACTGACTCACCCAGAGTAACTTCCAGTCCTGAAAGCTCCTTTCATGTGTAAGTGGCCTACATGTGTGTACCACTGTTTATCTTTTGTACTGTATTTTTACTGTGCCTTTTCTATGTTTCTGTATGTTTAGATGCATAAATGCCATTGTGTTCCAATTGCCTACAGTATTCAACGAACCTGCTGTACAGGTTTGTAGCACAGAAGCAACAGGGTATACCATCTGGCCTACGTATGTAGTAGGCTATACTTTGTATAAGTACACTCTATGATGTACGCCTGATGATGAAATCGCCAAATGACACACTTCTTAGAATGTATCCCTGTCATTAAGCAATGCATGACTGTATATATACAACTGCGGAGAAACTGTCCAACCAGTTGTTAAACAATCCTATTTTTAAAGACTTCATGTCAGTCTTTAGTACTGTATTCCAATATTATCCTTGCTTAGGAAAATAAGCTTGATTTTGATTATCCATATTAATGTCCTCCTTTGTCAGCACAAATATTCAAAATGTGGCAATACTCAAACCTCTTTACTCATAGTTTATCTATGTGATTTTCATTTACCATGTAAATTACAACGCAGTGTAAATGCTGGACCTGCTTCTTCTCTCTTGATGAGCCCCAAAATGGTATTTGGAGGCCAAAGGCCATGGCCGATTTGGCCCCTTCCCCTTACCTCTGAAATCCCAATGACCTCTGCTGAAAAGACTAATGACTTTACCCCTTCCCTTGTCTGCCCAACAGGTAAAGCATAAGACTGCATGATTAACTGGCAACACGGGTCATCCGTAGACCAGTTACCGGTTAGAAAATACAACTCACAACTCCCTGCTGTTCAAAATATTCTAAAAGCTCAACTGATAATAGGTGATATGATGTCTATATATCCCCTAGATCAGAGTTCCAATGGGGCAGTTTGGCCTGCATTGTGTCTTAGTAAACCAGTCCAGAGTTTTTTTTTGGAATGTGAATCAGAATGCTGTTTTGGTGCAGCACACATTCTCCAGGTAGCTAAGACTCCCTCTCCACCCCATTCATATGCAGTCTGTCCTCTATATCTGTGGGTTCCACATCCATGGATTTGACCAATTGTCAATGGAAAATATTCATGGAAAAAAAACAGATGGTTGTGTCTGTATTGAACATACACAGGCTTATTTTTCTTGTCATTATTCCCTAAATACAGTATAACAACTATTTACATAGCAATTACATTGCTCTGATACCACAGAGCTAGGGAAAGGGGGAGGTACTAACCAAGTTAAAACACCACAGCTCACTGTTTTTATTATGATTCAGTCATTTCTCTTGAAAGAACACTCTTAGAATTACTGTAAGCCTTTGGTTAATTTCCAGAGTTCTGAAAAAGTTAATTTTGGTAATTCTTGGCAGTGTTCTTATTGCTTTCATGGAGGAGCAAATTTCTGGAGGCCCTTACTCTGCCATCTCAGAAGTCCATCTTAATAAAAATTTAAAAGTTTATATGTATATTTTGTTATAGGAAAATATGATAGGATGATCAATAAAATACTTCTAAGCAGGACAATACCCTGTCTTAGGATCAAATTCTGAGTACAAACTGAATGGAAATAAAGAAAAGAATGTAAAATTTCTATTATTTTTTTAGGCCGGGTGCGGTGGCTCCCACCTGTAATCCCAGCACTTTGGGAGGCTGAGGCGGGAGGATCACCTGAGGTCAGGAGTGACCAGCCTGACCAACATGGCGAAACCTCGTCTCTACTAAAAATACAAAAATTAGATGGGCATGGTGGCACGTGCCTGTAATCCCAGCTACTCGTGAGGCTGAGGCAGAAAAATCACTTGAACCTGGAAGGCGGAGACCGCAGTGAGCCGAGATCGCGCCACTGCACTCCAGCCTGGGCGACGAGAGCAAAACTCCCTCTCAAAAAAAAAAAAAAATTACATTATTTTTTAAATGGATGATAATGGTTACCAAGTTACTACGATAATTAGGATTCTGTTTGCATAAATTACAATGTTTACAATGAACTGGAAACTGTATCCTCAGCATCTATTTAAGTCTTTAGAAAACTGGGTGTGACAACTTAAAAATTTACAAGAACCCTGTTTTTTTTCTAATTCTCTTAGGAGATACACAGCAAAAAAAAGTTTGATTGATTAATACCTTCAGATCGGCATTCTGAAAACTTGACTATGATCACATCATACACACATTCAGAAACCTCAGAAACTCAGACTAATGCTCCAAGTTCTTGGGTCATGTTCAAGGAGCTCCTGTAATTAGGCCCCAGCCTTGCTTTTCCATCTGATCACCAGCTAGGGTAAAGTCTCTGCTTCAGCCTTGGCCCATTCCTGTGGCTGTAACATGGAAATTAGGTAAGACACAGGAGTGGACAAAGAAGCTAACTGCAGCCCACTGATGCTCCACACTGTGCCTCAAATTCACAGGGTGTTTAGGAATCATTTCCTATATACTACTATGTACCCACAAAAATTAAAAATAAAAAGAAATTTAAAGAATCATTTCCTGATTAACCGGCAAGTATTATTTAAATGAAAACTCAAAAGGTTTTAATATAAATTTCCTCAAATATTTTTAAGACCTTTTTTCTACTAAAAATAAAGACACTAAGCACTACACATAAAGGAAGGCTAGTACTTACAAAAATATTTTGTCAACTTGTTTTAATTAGTATAGGAGCTACAATGAGATCACTTAAGCTTATCTGTCTTAACCTTTGATGTAATTTAACCTCCCCTTATGTTATTTTAGTGTGTGAACCTGCTCCAAAGTGAGTAGCAAATTGAGCACAAGGCAATTACATTCAGTTAAACATGTTTTTCTTTGCTTACAGTAGGATTTAAACGAAAAGCTTTTACTCAGGCAAACCACTCTGTCAAAATAAACATGGAAGCTACACACACACACACACACACACACACATCCAATGCTTCAATACAGTTTACAACTTGGGTTTTTAACATTCTCTTAATATATTTAGTCTGTTCTCCTAGACCCACCCTTTTCTTACTTTGAAATTAAAACCCACAAGTCTACCCAGCCTCAAATTCAAACTAAATAAAAAACTCTAGGTTTCTATTTTACCTGTTATTTCCATTCTGGCTCTGACGCTCTGATCTCAGTAAGAAATCACATCAATAATGACTATAAAGTAGAAGATTCATATTTTCCTTGTCTAATAGAAGACACGTCAAGACCCAAAAGAATACGGACCCAGAATATGCCTGGTTTAGGCTGAACATCAGGATGAAGATAATAGTGTCATAGTTTATCCTAAATGTTTCTTAAAAGTATCAAAGTTTCACAGAATAGAAATAGGACAATCACTTTAGTCCAGATTCCACATACTCTTTCTGAGCACAGGAAGGCTCCTTTGGTGATGTGCCCAAGGCCATTCAGCTAGTAAGTGGCCTTCTCTCTTGTATTTCCACCCATACTGCACACAGGACAATTGAGAGCACAGAGCCAGCTTATATGGAGAGGCTGTGACCCCACAGCTTTGCGTAACCAGATTGTAGTATGTAGTTCTACAATTGAGAATAGTGTCTTATTCAAAATGTTCAATCCTCATATTAATCCTTAGAGTACTTAAAAAGTAGGTAAGAAAGTAATGGCAAAAATCGCAAATTACTTTTGCACCAACCTAAGTGACCACGTTAAAAAAGTACTTAAACTCAATTACAGTATAAAGGTTTCCTGACCCCAATCTTTGCACTCCTTAAAAATAATGACAAGAAAGTCAATCTGCTCTAGTTAATAGAATTGCTAAACTCAAAAGAGGAGGATTTTCCTTTGAAAGAATGTAAAGAAACACCATTCTCTCAGTATGGAGAATATCAAATTAAGTAGCAGAAAAAGCACGGCCGGAAGAAACAGAAGTTCAGCCTGCCTTGCCTGCATTCTGTTTAGTTAAACGGATTGAGTTAACACACCAACTCCCAAGATGATTTTAAGACTACTGTATTTAAATCAATAAAATCTCAGCACGATGTAGCTAAATTCACTTCTTTACCCTATCCATACCCTAAAATAAATGAAATCTTTACACTCTTTTGTTTTCCACAGGCCTTTTCTGCCCTGCTGAACTTTCTGAAATACACTCTTTCTGCTCCCTGCGTCCCTTCAAAATAACCTGGTAAAATGCTTTATAGTGATCACTCTGGCAGTCATTCCGCTAGGTTCTTGGGAGAAAAGACAAAGCTTTTGCCTGGGGCCACACTGCACGGCCTATTTCTGAAAAGCTGCATCAGCAACCAACAGGCAAGTTATAGAATCTGTTGCAACAAGGAAAAACTTGTCAAAGAAGAGGGCATGTCTAAGTCTTATCCATACCTCAGTAAAAATGAAAAAGTAGACTCAACAATCAGTCATGATTGTTGTGAACTAGCAGTTCACATATACTAACTTGAAGCAACTTGCTATAATATGATTTGATTTCAAGGGAGTATTTCATAAAATTTTCTAAGGAAAATTAAGTAAACTTAGAGTTACAGACTCCTATTGATAGTTTAAGCTAGTGATATTTTAATTAAATGTTCATTCCTTTTCCAATTACTAACTTTTGTGGAACACAGATATAATTTTATGGTATGACCATTCTCAAAGACTCAAAACTATTCATTTCAAACCAGAGGGGAAAAATAATATAACATTTGTGAAAAGAGTTACCAAAAAAATCTAAAACTTACTTTCTACTATTATAGAATTTGTTATATTACCTATGATTATATTCAACATATATATATATATTCTAAATGAATTCTAACTCATATGTCCAAAATTGATCAAGAAAAAAATATTTAAAATTAATTATTTAAAAATTACTCAAAGTCATCTTTTTTATCATCTATTTCTTTTTTTTTTTTTAGCCCCACTCTCACCCCCAAAGTCATCTTTAGATCACATATATCACAGAACATTAAAATATAAGTTGAGGAAAACTGATTTATTCCAAAGTCAAAAATTTCAAATCTGAATACCTCTCATGAATGAAGCTAACAGATTGTTTTTTGTCAGCCTAACCCCAAGAAATATAATGATTCCATATAAAATATTGATACATACACATGACCAGTATTTCATACCCACAGAAACTGTTTGAATAAAATCCACAATATAGTTTGGTAAATTCACAATTCTATAACCTAATTTAAAATGCAAAACCTAAAAGGGAAGTAAGGAAACCATGAAAGTCTGATGAACATTTCAAAATGCTTTTACAACAACATGCAAACTTCCACTCCATATGGCCCTAGAGGCAGGTAAAGAGGAGAAAGCAGAAAAGCCTGAAGTGAATCAAAATATAAACTATGTGAGGCATAATTACAAATCCAGATGCACACTGTAAATCATGCAGCACAACAGGCCAAAAACAAGGCTCTGCTGATCAAATGGTTAAAATCTAAGTGGACTCTGCTGTTATAACAAAATCAGGAGAGCTCAGGGACAGGATTGATCCACAGATCACAACAAAAGAATCCCAAAGTCAGCTATGCTCACACTGGTGAAAGAACCCTCCTCAAGGCTTCGGTTGCCTCAGTTTCTCCTCACTGTGGGGTCAGAAAGGCTGTTTGCAGTAGCTCCAGAAGGTCTCATTCAAAAAACTGGGCTTGCCCTGAGACCGGCAGGAGAATGAATACTACAGATTCTCTGGGCAAAATTTGCACAGCAAGAGCTCCCAGATCCAAACTTGCAGAGAAACGAAAGGCTCCCCCCAAAGCAGCAGAATACAGATTTGGAAGACCGGCATTCACTGCAAACTCCCTGGGGGAAAGCCAACATCTGCACTGGTTCTTCCAACAAATCAGTGTGTGCATTCATCACTGGTTGGGAAGCAGCCACACTGCACCACATTACAAACAGAGAACCAAAAACTCACCTAGAAAAAACTAAAAACCCCAAATCATGGCACAACGATTTGCTTTTCCAAACAGCTCTATGGTTTGAAAAAGAGCTCGTCACAAACAGTATCATGTCATGCTCACTTTCTGCAGATAAAACTTGGGCTTGGCAAGGTTTGGCAGCCTTGCAAAATGGCAGAGCCAGATCACCTATAACCTGTGTCTCCCAAATCTCACACTGTTTAGAACAGAAATGAGTTTGGAAACCTCTTCCAAATCACAGACATCTGAGAAGGCACAAAGGCTCCCTGGATCAGCATGATGCATGGTGTGTGAATAAACTCTTGGTTCAATCGAGTGCTATGTTCTCATTTTATTAATATACACATGTAATTTCAGTTCAAGTGCCAGAAGGAGAAAAATGAGAACTTTCTTATGATTCAGCATTTAAGTCTGTTATCATAAGCAACTTATGGGCAATTTAGCCTTAAGAGGCCTCAGTTTGCAGCCTGGTTCTTGAGAAGAGGCAATTACAAGTAAATAATGAGTCTTTATCTACAAGTGTCAAAGTCCTACATAGCTGGAAAAAAACTACAAGGGATTTTAGAAATGTGCAAGAAGAGACGGGTATTGAGCACTGGAGCTCAGCTATTGACTCGACAGCAGTGAGTGGCCAGAGACTCGGAGAGGAGGTAAGGGAGGGCAGCAGGAGTTGCAACCAATTTTTTTTTTTTGGAGACAGAGTCTCCCTCTAATGCCCAGGCTGGAGTTTAGAGGCATGATCTCAGCTCACTGCAACCTCTGCCTCCCAGGTTGAAGCGATTCTCCTGCCTCAGCCTCACGAGTAGCTGGGATAAGAGGCATGCGCCACCATGCCCAGCTAATGTTAGCATTTTTAGTAGTGACATGGGGTTTCACCATGTTGGCCAAGTTGGTCTCAAACTCTTGACCTCAAGTGATCTGCCTGCCTCAGCCTCCCAAAGTGCTGAGATTACAGGCGTAAGCCACCACACCTGGCGGGTTGCAACCAATTCTGAGAAACAGAGCCTTCCAAATTAAAAAGTAAACACAACCTCATAAATGTAATAGCATTACTGTGCACTGGTATACAAATGAACTCAAAGTTGCTAACTTTATGCCATGCCCAAACTGCTTTGCCTACAAGTAATTTCACAACTTTCCTCACACTCCCTTACCTTTACCTTTATTTCTATGTGGATGTTAATGTAATCATACAAAACTGTAAAATTTCTAACCAGCAAAGACAACCATAAATAAGGCTGAAAGGCAAACAATAAATTAGGGAAAGCGTATGTCAAAAAGTACCCTGAATACGCAAACACTTTGTGAAAATCAGTAAGAACACAAATACCCTATTAGTAAAATGGACAAAAATCACAAACAAGAAAAAAATACAAATGATCAATATAAATATAAAAAGATATTCACTGATGATCCAAAAAATGCAAATATTATGACAATGAGATGTGATTTTTCATCTATCTGATTGGCAAAGATGAAAATGGTAATCGAAATTTACATTACAGAGTGCGAAGGAACTGCACCACCACTGATGGTGTAAACTGGCAAACCTCGTCTGTAGGAGCAGTTTGGCAATATGTATCAAACCAGTGATCCTACTGCTAGGACTTTACCCTAAAGATAATCACATGCTAGTTATGAACTCTGGTCCATTAAGAACAGGAAGTGCCAGTTCAAATGTTCACAATCTCCCAAGCCAAGACCAGGAAGTCCTTCTGTGATAGAAGGATCAGATCAACATACGTGTACAATGTGTGAGTAAAGTGCTTCCTTGGGTCAAGTATTTTCTTGTTTTACAAATGTAATTTCAGTTCAAGTACCAGAATGACAAGCATTTTTTTTCTTTTTTTAGACAGCATCTCGTTCTGTCACCCAGGCTAGATGCAGCTCACTGCAAGCCTTTCCTCCTGGGCTCAAGCGATCCTCCCACCTCAGCCTCCCGAGTAGCTGGGACTACAGGCACACATCACCACATCCGGCTAATTTTTGTATTTTTGCAGAGGTGGGGTTTTGTCATGTTGCCCAGGCTGGTTTCGAACTCCTGGACTCAAGTGTTTCACCCACCTCAGCCTCCTAAAGTGCTGGGATTACAGGCATGAGCCACTACGCCCGACCCATAAGACCTTTTAAAAGTAATGTAAATGTCCTTATTCAGTATAAAAACCATATTGGTGTTTTTACACTGAATTTCAGTCCTCTCCTTTAAAAATCTGCATACAGTTTTTCATTATTTATGTACGTATGTGTGTGAGTCAAGATGGACCCAACATCAACAAGATTCCAACTATAAAGCATGGGGGTCAGGCACACTTCCCTACAGCCAAGCCTTTTCTGCAAGAAGGGAAGGCCATCTCTGAAGCTTAGTGTCCTCATACTCAAATGTAGACTGCAGACTGCAGGTGTCACACCTGACTCCTACTAAACACTCAAAAAGGGGAGCTGTGGCAACTTCACTTTTCCTGTCACTAGGAATGGCTGCTTCTCCTTTCCGTAAGTTCTACAGACCCAACACACCAATCACCCAGGAGTCTTGCCTAATTTGCTTCTGCACTACAGCACATCACCTTCACTACTAAAACTATATGCCTAACACAGTGGAACTGTATCATTACCGAGGTAAAGAAAGTCACTGTGACATGTAGGCACTGCCCAGTAAGAACGGATCCAAGGAGCTGGAAGCCATTTGGAAGAATTCTTTGAGCTTCCCTATGTTTTCAGGCATGTACACTTCTGCCTCCACCACAGCAGGCACTTATTTTTCAATGCCAGGCCCTCTTCATGGCTTCTGGCAGCACTGTTCTGGGCTCTCCGTGTCTGTTCACTGACACCTATCACCAGCCATCTCAGGCTCCCGCTCTCAGATTACAGATTGTACCCGCTGCCAATCAAAAATAGCCAGAACTTGATTCTGTACATTTCTGTTTCGACTTCTGCCTACTGAGCTGTGTTAGGCATAACAACTAGTGTGTTACCTTAATAAGAAGTTGTGTTATACTAAATATTACACTGAAATAAGCATCACACTCAGGAGTGCTCATTTATAAAGCGAAAACAAAGCCTGTGACTCAGTTTCAACATTAGTGTCCAAAGACTCTACTGAGATGACTTTATAACTTGAAGGGACATGATCTAAAGTATAATCAAACCTATGCTTACCCCTAGAGAAAAATATACATTTTCAATGTGGCAAGTAGCTGCTTAACTTACCGGAGCAATTTGATACCTTACTAACTTTTGTCTGAATTCATCCTCTTGATCACGTGTTATGAAGGAATAAATCTTAAGGCATTCTATTTTTAATGAATTTCCAATAAAATGAAATAAAAAGAAATGTGAATTGTGACACCTGGACCATCTTTTCCTATCCGACTATCTGTAATTGTTCTTGGTAGGGGAGGGGAGGTAATATGATTTGAGTGGCAATATATTGTGAGGGGGTCCAGAATATGCCACTGTGGCATAAAAATTAAAGAGCTGAAAGTGATTAAGTTCCTGAAATCTCTTACTGGCCTAAAAGCAGAGGCTCTCAAAAAGAATTCAATTAACATAAATCCCCTCCCCAAGAGCAACCAAGGAAGAGCGACTCATCACCAGAGATGAAAAGTCTTCACACCACACCAAGCTGATATTACCACCAAACTATCGCATCTTTCATCTATTCTCCTAAACGCCCACTTATCTTTCCAAAAAGTCCTTTGTTTTCCCATAAGTTCCCTTTTCTCCCCTCCCCTTCCCCTATTAAAATAACATACAAGCCCCTACTTCTAACCATTCCTTTGGCTCACATTCTTCTATGATTAAATGTCTTTTATCTTGCAATCTGTCTCTTGTCAATTTAATTTGCAGACCCTCAATCACTAAGCCTAAGAGAGTAGAGAAAGTTTTTCCTCCTTGACTATTTAAATCTATGAAATACACTATATTACGTGTATATATGAGAACAATGCTAACTTTCTCATTAAATGCTATCTAAGCAATTATATGACTACATTGAACACTTCATCTTCCTTTTTCCTCACTTTTCTTTAAGCTTCCTCTTAGTATCTTTCTTGTTTCTCACTCTTAGACTTTTCAAGTATTATCCTCATCTGTACAATTTAGCAAAAGTAATTTGTCTGAAAAATTGTAACATTTTAAAGTATTAGAAATGCTACTGACTTTTTGCTAGTTTATAAAAAGCTCTCAAGTACAATTAAGCTAAAACATCCTGTTGATTAAATAAAGCAAGTTGCTATTTCGCTAACCACTGAAAACTGGAAGCTTTCTGAAATATACAAAATTAAAACACACAGTCACTCTGTACAAAATAGCATTTCCCCTCACCAGAGTTTATTGTTTTAAAAACTGGTAAGATGTTGACAAAAATAAAATGACAAACCAAGATAATTAGTACAACTTGGCACAGAGATATACACTTTCTACCTAGGTACGAAAAATAAACCATAGGGACAAGCCCCTGCCTCTAGAGAAAATCTTACTTGCTCAAATGGTCCCAATCCCTCCCACTGGCATCTAGTTCTCTGATGTTAACCTCAATTAGTAACCTCACATGGCTCAGAAAGCACTGGGCTGCTGCTGCCCACAATTAAGATAGGCTTTCCATACAGCAGTCTTGGATCCTGCAACACTGTCATCCTGGGCAGAAAAGCAGCATGTGCCATGTGCCCTCTGCTTCATTGAAAAACCACAATTGAGGGTCCATGGCAGGCTCCACCTCCAATCCTTTATTAGTTATATTAAAAGATACTCATTCTGTTAAAATATATAATTTTACAAACTTGTCAACAACCTGTGATTACCCCCTTTTCAAATTCAGCTGACCATGTCCTTGTTTATAAACCTAGGTGGGCGGTTCTCCACTGGCTACAAACATCCAGCTTTGACTGTCTGACCCAGCCCCCTTTCCAGCCTCCAGTCCTACCACGGCACCTGACACCGGCTACATCAAACTCCTGGAGCAACCAGAACTCAAGGCCCTTTTTCACTTCCCTCTGTTTGGAACATCCTTCCTCTACCTTTAGAATTCACTGTCTCTCTTCCTGCAAGACTCAGCTCAAATGTCCCCTCCTCCAGGAAACATCATTTTCCCCACTGGCTATCCACAGTACATTATCATGGCTCCTGTTGTTTCCATGTCTCTCTGCCAGCTTCACAGTGAGCCCTTGATGGTATGGATTCTGATCCCCCCAAGTATAATTTAACATTGTACTTCTCAGTCATAGGAGATAGTAGGTGCATAATAAATATGTAGTAAATGGATGAGTATATAAACAATGAATTAGGATCTAATGAATGAGGATCTAATGAATGAATGAGGATCTAATGAATCCAGTAGTTGCCTGGAGAGAGGGAAGGATCCTGTGTTTAATTCTCAGTAACACTAAGCCCTGGCTGATCCCCCAAAGTACATCCTGGGCTCCTCACCTCCTTTCAGCTACACAACTCCACATACTCATTTGACTTCTCCATCTTCAAATCCAATACTTATATTTAACCCAATATTTTGCCACATATGCTCCTGCTCTTTCACAGCTGCCCTTGTTTAATACATGGAATAACTTACTTGCATTTCTTTCTTTCTTTTTTTTTTTTTTTTTTTGAGACAGAGTCTCGCTCTGTCACCAGACTGGAGTGCAGTGGCGCAATCTCGGCTCACTGCAATCTCCATCTCCTGGGTTCAAGCGATTCTCCTGCCTCAGCCTCCCGAGTAGCTGGGATTACAGGCACGTGCCACCACATCCAGCTAATTATTCTATTCTTAGTAGAGATGGGGTTTCACCATGTTGGCCAGGGTGGTCTCGATCTCCTGACCTTGTGATCTGCCTGCCTCAGCCTCCCAAAGTGCTGGGATTACAGGTGTGAGCCACCACGCCTGGCAGCGTTTATTTCTATATAAGGAAGATGTACCCATTTTTACATGTTGCTTTTTGTTTGCTTATTTTTAGCTAAATCATCTGATTTTTTCCCAGTAAACTATGATAAGAAAGAGAAGATGGGGGAAGAGTAGATAATCATTTTGAGTCAAAGCAGTGCTTGAATAAAAACTTGCACGGTACTATAGTCTTTTTCCACATTAATGTCTCTCAGTGTCTGTTCTTAACATCACAATGGCTTAACAAGTTTTTTAGTTGGATAAGGTTGAACAAACCACAAAATTTACAAAGCTGTTGTTGACAGGGCTCATATCTGCCAGGCCCTGTGCCAACGTCTTTCACATATACTGTTTTCCTTCAAAAAAACACCCTAAAGGATTGCATTTAGAAAACAGAGGCTGAGAAAGGTTAAATAACCTGCCCCAAAGTCACTCTGCTATAGCGTAAGTTATAGCACCTAGCTTTACACCCAAGCCTGAAGTACCCAGTCTTTTTTCACTAAAGCTTTAAAAACTCCAGATCTTACTTTGTAAGATTAGAATCATAATACAGACAGAATTTCAAAGGTCTATGCTTTCATCTTCACTAACTCTATCACCAGTTACTAAAATATCATCTACCATTATTACTTTTGTTTTTGAGACGGAGTCTCATTCTGTCGCCAGGCTGGAGTGCAATGGCGCGATCTCAGCTCACTGCAACCTCCGCCTCCTGGGTTCAAGTGATTCTCCTGCCTCAGCCTCCTGAGTAGCTGAGATTACAGGAGCCCGCCACCATGCCCAGCTAATTTTTGTATTTTTAGTAGAGAAACAGGGTTTCAGCATGTTGGTCAGGCTGGTCTTGAACTCCTGACCTCATGATCCGCCCGTCTCGGCCTCCAAAAGTGCTGGGATTACAGTCGTGAGCCACCATTGCCTGGCCACCATTACTACTTTTTAAAATCTCTGTTTTAAAAACAGAAATACATCCAGCCTTGGAAAGTCCCCCTATGTACGACAGCATCTGCTCCAAATTCCGGATGCAAATGGGGCCCTCCAGTTGCTGAGACATTTTGGAGAATTTGCTGAGCAATTCTCCAGCATGCCTTTAAAACAACCAGGGAATGATGAGACCATGGGGAAAAGCACTCTGACCACAGCAATGTCAAACTGGTACAACCTTTCAATAGGGCAATCTGTCAGCATGTATTAAAAGTCACGAGAATATGCATAATCCTTGGATATAGCAAGTCCACAGGAAGAATTTTTCCTAAGTACATGCTGTGGTTTGAATGTTTGTGTCCCTCCAAGATTCATGCTGAAACTTAATCCCCAGTGCAACAGTATTATGAGGTGGAGCCTTTAGAAGGTGTTTAGGCCATGGTCAGGTGCAGTGGCTCACACCTGTAATCCCAGCACTTTGGGAGGTCAAGGCGAGTGGATCACAAGGTCAAGAGATCGAGACCATCCTGACTAACGTGGTGAAACCCTGTCTCTACTAAAAATACAAAAAATTAGCCGGGTGTGGTGGCGGGTGCCTGTAGTCCCAGCTACTCGGGAGGCTGAGGCAGGAGAATGGCGTGAACCCAGGAGGTGGAGCTTGCAGTGAGACGAGATCACACCACTGCACTCCAGCCTGGGCGACAGAGCGACACTCCATGTCCAAAAAAAAAAAAAAAAAAAAAAAATTAGCTGGGCATGGTGGCATGTGCCTGTAGTCCCAGCTACTAGGGAGGCTGAGGCAGGAGAATCGCTTGAACCTGGGAGGTGGAGGATGCAGTGAGCTGAGATCAAGCCACTACACTCTAGCCTGGTGACATAGTGAGACTCTGTCTCAAAAAAAAAAAAAAAAAAGAAGGTGTTTAGGCCATGAGGGCTCTCATGAACGGGATTAGATCCCTCATAAAAGTGCTTGAAGGAACAAGTTCATCCCTTTCACCTTCTCTGCCATGTGAGGATGCTGTGATTCTCACCAACTACAGAATCTGCTGGCTGTGACCTTGGACTTCCCAGCTTCTAGAACTGTGAGAAATAAATTTCTATTGTTTATAAATTATCCACACTGAGGTATTTTGTTGTGGCAGCAGAAACAAATTAACACATGAAGTAATTAAGTGGACAAATGCCCAGAAATATATAAATAAGAACCTAAAGGTAAACAATAGTGGAATGATCAAATTTCCAAGGTGCAGACATATGATGATGCACCTGTATATTTACTGCTCTGCTAAAATGTCCACAAACTATTCTATGTGTAAAAATCAGATTATAAAATATATGATCTTCTTTTTGCAGAAACTATATATGTACTTTTAAAAGTTTTGTGAGAAAAAAAATTTAAGGCTGCAAGAACATATATCAAAATATTAATAATGTTGATCTCTTAAGTGGTGGAATTATGTGTTTAACCAGAAAGGCAAAGAAAGCTTCTTTTCTAAGATGCTTATTTCATTACTGGTAAAATAATAAAATAACACAATATTTTCAAATAAATAAAGCCCTTAAAAATGCCAAAGAGGGCCGGGCGCGCTGGCTCACGCCTGTAATCTCAGCACTTTGGGAGGCCGAGGTGGGCGGATCTCGATGTCAGGAGATCAAGACCATCCTGGCTAACACGGAGAAACCCTGTCTCTACTAAAAATACAAAAAATTAGCCGGGCATTGTGGCGGGTGCCTGTAGTCCCAGCTACTCCGGAGGCTGAGGTAGGAGAATAGTGTGAACCTGGGAGGTGGAGCTTGCAGTGAGCCGAGATAGTGCCACTGCACTCCAGCCTGGGTGACAGAGCGAGACTCCATCTCAAAAAACAAAAATGCCAAAGAGTTGCTGATCAAAATCAGTTAGGACAGATTTTTTTCTGTAAAGAATCTCTTCTGGTACCTTCAAGTTCTTTAAATTATTCATAGCTAAAAGCCTGAAGTAAACTCATAGGAGGATTAAGCTGCAAGAGATTTTCCCGTTTTATCTCCCGTTTTCAATTCTCCATGGAATGAAATATATTCTTGGACTTACAGGAAAATTGACATTGAAGGTTTAGTTTCTAGAACTTAAGGACAGATCACAGATCCTCTAACAAGTAAAGAATGAGAGAAAGACGAGACTGCGCATAGAGCACCATGAACGGCGCACAGAAGAGCTCTTCACTTTAATACACGAAGTGTACAGGAAGAATCTTTGATGCATGAGGCAATATTTTCTGCCAATCTCCACTAAAAAGGTGGATTTCAAAAGACAACATCCAAAGGCAAATAGTTCTTGAGACCCAAAAAACTGACTTCTAGATAAGGCAAGAAAATGTTTTCTAAGATTATAATGGTAACCTATATACCTTAGATCCTCAACAGATATTCCTTGATTTGAAAATAAACAGCAAGCAAACATTTTTCATTTTCCTACTGATGGATATAGGTAATTTAAATGTAGTAGGAATTAAAGTAAACATCTAAAAAGAAACTATTTAAAATATACTACAAACCTCGGTTATAAAAAGTGTCTTTAGTGGCCTAAATATGCAGCAAAATACAAATCCTGTGCATAGGGAACAGGTGGTACTCCAAAAAAAATCTACTTGTCAACAGATATATGGAATTCAGAATGCGTTTTCCCATGGAAACACTGTTATAATGGTGGTTAATTCCCAGTCTCCTCCACAAAGCCTATTTAGTTGTTAGTGAGAAATATTTATCCCACACCTGTGTTTTATGTGAATGGTACTGGTGGTCTAAATGAAGACATCCATAATGCTAGGGGAATAAGAATGGCTCTCCTTTCACTCAGAGCTGAAGCTTCTCAGCAGAGTCCCTCTCCATAAAGGGTTTCCAGGTAAAGAGATGCCACCCTCAAGGTCATGCTCTCTTCCTGGGGGGAGCCCAAGTCCAAATGACCAGTCAACTGGGAGTTGGGGGAGTGTGTAGAAGGCCCTGCCCCTATTATTTAAGGTGAGATAACTCAGAAAGGCCATCCCACCTCCAGAGCTCCCCCAAGAGAGGATCAACTGGGGTCTCTGTTACAGATGCATCACAGTTCAACTCCTGCTTCTGCCCAATCCTGCTTCCTTCCCTCCTCCACTAGGAATGATGCCAAGAGCACTCTCCAGTAACCTCCAGCACGTGTATCTCTGCTCAGGCTATTTCCAGGATCTAAGACAAACAGCTAATACTTCGTAAGCTGGTACTGTAAGTCAGACACTGTTCTAATCTATCTAATGTATGTAATCTATTTATTTTAAATATATTTAATAGATAGATACAGATATTTTACTACATCTGTATGGGTAGGTACTACAATCCATTTTACAAAGCAGAAACCAAGGCTCAGAGAAGTTAAATGACTTGCCCAAGGTCATTTGACAAGTAATTTGAGAAGCCAGGATTTGAATCTAGGTCCACCAAATGGAAAGCCAATCTCTATGCAAACGAACTCCATCTGCTAGAAACAGTTCCATGAATTAAGGCAGACTCTGCTGCCCACGGGTTCTAGAGGCAGTAAGGAATGAGTGGAGTGATGAACCATGGTCATCCAATAACAGGAATTTATAAAAGTACTTAAGATCCAGGCCCAATGAAAACTAGATATACTATGATCAAGGTTTCAAATATTTTTAGGCCTGATATAAAAATGTAGAGGCCTAATGGAACCAGAATGAAACTACGTATCTACCTTTTGATAACTAGATTCTAAATATAACCATTGGTAATCTTGTATACCTGCAATGAAAATGCAAATGGTATGTGCAGACAGATTACTATGTAGGAAAAAGATGGGGTGGTCTTTTACACCAATCCCTGAAAAATAAGCCTCATAAACTAGTATCTTAAAATTAGTATCTAATAAATGTCTTATTAGCGGTATGATATCCTAAGAATTAATATTAAACTTACTCAAGATGCACAACTGCAGCCAGTTCATCTTCTCCAACCACAACTATACCGCGGCTTCCCCAAGCTCTCCGTAACTAGTAATCTTCCTTTACAGAATAAGTATTTATTTATGCCCACTTGACAAACTGAACAACTAAAAGCTAATATTGCCCTGCTCTGGTGGCCGCACTGCCCAAGAGCTACAAGACACAAAACCATTCTATAAACTCCAAACAACTACAAATAAACACTATTAATTTTAAGCGAAGTCATTAAGTTTGCATGTTTGCAGATGTAGATAGCTGACTTGAACAGTGAAAAACTATTTACAAGTTTCAAAGAATATCAAGTACCTCCTTTCTTGTAATAATTACTTGATTTGTAATTTCTGTAATTACAAAATCTAATGTCACAGTTAAGTAAAAAATTGAAATACACTTAAAACTACTACCGATAATAACTTTAACATTAAAAATCCAAATATTGGTCCTTAGTTGATTTTGAGAATTTACGCATCTCTTGCCCCTTCCTCTTTAAAAATTCACCAGTAACGCCTCTCCCAAACCCCTACCTTATAAACTATAGCTTTAAATAACAAAGAAAAAAACAAAGAAAGAAAGAAAAGAAAAGAAAAAAGCATTTGATTTTGCACCCAGGAGTCCTCAGCATCCAAGTTCAGTTATCATCAACTGCAGAACTGAGGGGGGGTTCCTCACATTAAGGTGAATCATTCACGAAGACTTCACATCACTTCAGAAACAAGAATCAGGCATCATAAAATTTGGCTCACTCCTCTAATATAAGTTACATCCTCTGACCCTGACTATGGGAATGTTGGCCCATTCCTTTTTCTCCCCGCCTTTCACTTAATAAAATAAGCTCCTAATCAGAAACAGCTCTTCACATACACTGTGCTGCTAAATATACTTGAGTCTGCCACTTCAGAGAATAATAATAGGGGCCCCTTAACCAGTTTGTTATGTACAAACTAGGAGGTACAAGTAGCCTAAGAAAAAAATTTCCTCATGCCACCTTAAATTGGACTAATCTTTTGGAGCAAGAAAAAAAAGGAAACTGTGAACTTGAAGCTTCCACATAGGCCAAAAAAAAAAAAAAAAAGGAGCTGGTAGGGGGGTGGGCAGAGCAAACCAAAACCACCACCAGAACAGGAATGCAAGCTCCCTGAGGACCGGGATGTCTCGTCTTGATTACCGCTGGATCCCTTAGTATTGAACACGGTACTTGCAACACTGCAGGTAATCTTTTTTAAATGAATAAACGAAAGCTGTCATCATTGTTCATGCACTCTTTGTGAGAAACTTTAAGCTCATTATATATGTAACCTTTAAAATAACAAGAACTGGGAGCATAATAGGGAAGGGGCACTCTGAGCCTCTCAATAACACTAGGAGGGAGCCAGGGTAATTTTTTTTCAAGTTTACACATGAGGAAATTGAGGCTCTGGAAGACTGACCTTTCCAAGATGATGAAGCTCTAAATGGCTGAGCTAGGAGTCTGTCCTACCCAGAGTCTGAGCACCTTTCTCTCTGCCACATCAATACCAAAATGAAGGTTAAAGCCAGGAGAAAAACAAAAGAACATGAAGAACACAGGCTACCCAAAACTAGTATTCTGAAACATTCACAAACGGGGTAAGTTTGTTTCTGAAAATAAATAAATAAATCTTCCTATTTCAATATTGCAGAGACACAGCCAACGGGGCCTACAGTTCTAACAGGCGACATTCAGCCGCCTATGTTCAGAGCACTGTACGCTGCTTGTAAGAGCAGGTGCCCTGTTTAAAAAGTGCCTGATCTGGCTGGGCGTGGTGACTCACGCCTGTAATCTCAGCACTTTGGGAGGCCGAGACGGGCGGATCACGAGGTCAGGAGTTCGAGACCAGCCTGACCAATATGGTGAAACCCTGTCTCTACTAAAAATAACAAAAATTAGCCGGGCGTGGTGGCGGGCGCCTGTAATCCCAGCTACTCGGGAGGCTGAGGCAGGAGAATCGCTTCAGACCGGAAGACGGTGGTTGCAGTGAGCCGAGATTGCGCCACTACGCTCCAGCCTGGGCGAAATTGCAAACTCCGTCTAAAAAAAAAAAAACAAAACAAAAAAGTGCCTGATCTACATAAAGAATGGCTTCAAAAGCTGACGCTATAAATTAAAAGCCAGATATAACAATTCAAATCTCCCTTCATTAAAATACCTACGTTGTCTTCCTGGAAAAAGTGCCTGACTAGAGGAATTCAAAGAACTGTCCAAATAAGTAAGTGTTTGCCCAGCACCTTATAACGAAAACCATGGCTCTGTAATGAGAACAGAAATCCTGTCACATCTGGGCCAGTTCCTAAGTGTCCCCTCAAAAGGAACATTCAGGCACTACCTAAGATTATGAGGCTTCCTTCTGAAAATGTTAAGCACAATGACATAGAGAATGATTTTTCTTTTCTTTCTTTTCTTTTTTTTTTTTTTTTTTTAACTCCGGGCTGAGAACGGAAGTCAAGTTCAGATTCTCTTCCTTCCTCAAGCAAGCCAAAAAATTAAAGAGCAAACACAGAGGCCCTAAATGTCTCGAGGCCTCTTCACCTGTGGCGATCGACGCAGCAAGCCTGGGTGTGCTAAGAATTGAGGCTCTCTCTCCTTCATTCCGGGGGTTACGGGTGGCCTTGGAGCACCGGGAAGAATTAACCGGTGCCTAAGTTTTCAATCGGATCATTCTTCTCAACTTGGGCGGCTCTTTCCTCCCTTCCTTCCTCCCTTCGGCCCGGCACACACGGCGGGGCAGTGCCAGCGCGGGCAGCAGGCTGGGCCCGAGGGCAGCGCTGCCGCAGCCGGGAGCCCCTCAGAGTGTGGGGCGCGGGCTGCCCCCCGCGCGGACACCGGGCAGGGGCCGCAGATCTGTCCCCGCCGCCAGGCGTGGGGACCGCGAAGGGGCAGCCGCGGCGGGGCGGAGGGGCGGGGTGAGCACTTCCTGACTCTCGCATTGTCCACGCACCGCCCGCGCCACCCAGGGCCCCGCCACCGCGCCGTCCCCGTCGGGGAGGAAGTTGGCGCTCGCCCCGCCAGCCCCGTCTTACCGTTTTTGGCATCGCCCGCGGCCGCAGCCCCCGCGGCGGCCGCAGCGTTCGCGGCGCCAGTCCCCGCGCCTCCGGCGCCCGCCGCGCCTCCGGCGCCCGGCGCGCCCGCCGCCGCCGCCCCGCAACCGGCCGCCGCCGCCAGGGCCCCCCCGGCCGCCGCTCCCGCCGCGCCCGCCGCTGCCAGGGCCCCGGCTCCATTTTCCTGCTCGTCGCCGCTGCTGTTGGCGCGCTTGTTTTTGCGGCCGCCTTTGCTGTTTTTGGGGTTGGGCATCTCGCTCGCTCGCGTCCAGGTAGGTGCCCGGCGTCAGCGAAGGCGGATCCCAGAGGCACGGCCGTTCCCGGCCCTGCGTGAAGCCGGCTCCGGGAAAGAACGGAGGGCGCGAGCCGGCGGTTCCCTCGGCTCCCGTCTAGCCGCACGGCCCGTGCCGCGCCATCCTGGCCGCCGCGCCCTCTCCGGCTTCCTGGAGCCGGCACGCGGCCACCCGAGGCTCGCAGCCGCGCGGGCGCCGCGGGCCCGGGGCGCAAGCGAGACGCTCCCGAGCCGGAGGGAAAAGGCGGGTCTCCGGCTTGTTTTGATTCGGCTGCACTGACACGCTCTGGGCCCGCCCCCTCCCGTGACGACACTGGGGATTCGGCCTGGCCGCGCCCACCAGGTGACCTCACGGCTGACGGGACCGCCCGCGTGACGTCACGCCCCGCGCGGGGCCTGCCCACCTCGAGTGACGTCATCCAGGCGTCCCCACCCGGGCCTCCTGGACTCCCGGGCGTTCATGAGCTGCCCTGCTTGACTTGCTCCACCCGCCAGTGCAGTGGCATGTGGAGTTCTTCGGTGGCCTCCTGGCCTTAATGTAATTGAGGCTTAGAACAGTATGGTCTGGAAAAATAAGCTGTGACTAGAGCAAGAATGGAAAACAAAAGATTTTGGATTAATAACTCATTCAAAGGCTATGCCTTTCAGTAACAGTAATTAAAGAAACAGGGGACCGGGCGCGGTGGCTTATGCCTGTAATCCCAGCACTTTGGGAGGCCGAGGCGGGTGTATCACGAGGTCAAGAGATCGAGACCATCCTGGCCAACGTGGTGAAACCCTGTCTCTACTAAAAATACAAAAAAAAATTAGCTGGGCGTGGTGGCGTGCGCCTGTAGTCCCAGAAACTCGGGAAGCTGAGGCAGGAGAATCACTTGAACCTGGGATCCGAGATCGCGCCACTGCACTCCAGCTTGAGCAACAGAGCGAGACTCTGTCTCAAAAAAAAAAAAAAAAAAAGAAAAGAAAGAAAGAAACAGGGTAGAGTTCCCAGACAATGGGGATGAACACCAGGGTCCTGAATGGGAAGCCTTCACAGTCTGGTGGTGAAAACAATTCACTCAAACAAGACCCATCATCCAGGGATGTAACTAGATGTTGCCTGGACTCTGAAGCAGTCCCTGCTTGGGGGGAACCCATCCCTATGCATAGGGCTGAGTTGTCCTGAAAGATAGTGAAAGATAGGTAGCCAGGTTATGAGCAGTAGGAGATTAGGTGACACCAGTGAAGACAGGCAATATGAGGGCAGGGGACCCCTGGGAAGAGCTCCCCTTGATCTCTTTCTGCAATTCTATTCTACCTTTTCGGCCAACTCCTTCCCTTCCTTCAGGTCTCAGCTCAAATACATCACTTCCACAGAGACCTTCCCAGGAGAGCTGTCAGAAGTTCCACCCTGTTATTTTCCTCCTCCATCTCTAATTATGTTGGCAATGTAGGTGTTTACTTATTTCTTGTATATCTCCCTCTCACTGAAATGAAACCTCCATGGATAGATTTTATCTGCCTTGGGCACATCAGAGAACAGCTGGCATAAATTTGTTGAATGTATAAATTAGGTTCCTTCCTCACGAACTGTGGAGGAAAGACTAGTTTAGCTGACAGCTTTACAGTGTTCCCCTTTTATAGTGTAATCTTTAATTCAGCCCTTTAGTAAAAGCTCTGTCACGGTGTTGTTGTTACCATTAGAGGGTCTTGACTGCAAGTCGTCCAAGTTCTTGGCATTTTGAACAAACAATTGGACCAAACGCCCAGCAAAGCAAGGAAAGAAGAAAGCAGGGATTTATTGAGAATGAAAGTACACTCCACAGTATGGAAGCGGCCCCAGCGGTGGCTCAAGGTTCCGGATGCAGAATCTTCTGAGGTCCAAATACCCCCTGGAGGTTTCTCATGTAAATGAAGTGGTGACGCACAATTAGTCTGATTGGTTGCTTTCGTCAACCAATCAGAGGCTGAAGTGGAGTTAACAAAGGTCACACTTCTGTGCAATCACACTTTTTGCACACTTCTGTTTAAAAAGCAACCAATCAGAGGCTAAGGTGAAGTTACAAAGTTGCACTTCTATGCAAAGACTCCACCCGCAATCAGTCTCATTGGTTGCTGACAGCCAGTTTCCCATCTGCCACGCAGAAAAGGTGAGGGTTTGCAAAGGGAGCAGCTTCTGGTCCTTTTGTTACTCAGGTGTGGAAAGTTAGGGTTTTCCTTTCAATTTAGTTTAGGAAGTGGGGTGAAACGCCCTTAGGTTCCCTGCCTCCAGACTCTGTTCTCTGCCTCATTGTGAACTATACAGATAGACAGGAAAGTACAAGAAACAATACTCTCCCCCACATTCAGGTAATGGAGAGGAGATTCTGATTGCGAGCTCTGGGCAACCATAGCAGAATGCATAACAGAGCCTGGAACGGCAAGAAGGAGCAAGCACTGGATACTCAGGGGAAATTGCTGGTTGGACTCTTTAGTAGAAAAAAAAAGTTGAAATTTTAAATTCCCTAATATGTATTAGAGGATAGTGACCCTTTAGAAGGCCCTATTGATAGATAGATATTTTGTGCTTATATTTTCATGTCTATTTCTCCCCAACCTTGAAATCCCCTAGGTGCTAAGAGAGCAGGGATTGTGCCTAGCTTTCTAACGCTACAGAGTCTGGCATAAACCTTGACCCACAGTAAGTATTCAATAAAAATTTGTTGCATGGAAGATACCTAAAGCACTCTTCTTCTGGCTACATTATTCTGAACCTTAAAGTCTCAGCTAAATCATCAATTCTCTAGGAAATCTGTGACAACCCAAAACTAGACTTGTCCCCAGATACTCCCTGCACCTTCCTCACCATAGCAGCTTACACACTGGGATATTGCTTTGGTGGCCACTTGGACACCAAAAATGAGGGGTGAAAGAGAGAGTGAAGTCAAGAAATTCTGAAAATCAGAAGAAATGATGAAGGTAGTTAATTAAAGGGAGACTTCCCGGGGAGGGCAGTGGGTCCGTGGAGGAAGATAATGAATTACTGTTGCCCATTCAGACTTAGCTTAATTTCATTATTGATACCACTAGAGGTCTCAAAATATGTGGGTGATGTTAGCTTTGGCGTTTCTTTTTTTTTTTCTGGTTTTTTGTTTTGTTTTTTTAAGTCGTGAAGGCGAAGACATTTTAGGTTAGAGTACAAGAAAATTGAGATAATTATTTTCTTGAATAAGCACATTGCTGTCATGCCATATTGGATCAGAGTTAGTATGCATGTACCCTGCAGACAGACATTCACACCAGCTGCCTCCCACCTCTACATAACTGAGAATTAAGAATTGGAAACTTTCCACAAAAATATCCTAATTGGCTCAAAGCACCCAGACATCCAGCCAGTTGCTGTTCTGGTTAATTGTGTGAGCTACCTCCTTCTATTCAAACTGAAACAAAATGAAAAGGAGGAAGGAGAAGCTTGCCACTTCTTCCATGCTCAACCTCGCTAATCTATTTTTAGCCTTAGTCAAATTTGGTGCAGAGGCAATAGTTCCGATTTTATTGCTACAAAGACAATATACTAAAATCAAGATGTTAGGAACAAAATGTAGGTGAAGTTAAAGGACTCCATTTCCTATGTTCTATCCTGCTGTCCTAGCCGTTTTCCCACCATTTCTGAAGGTGAGAGAGAGAGACAGCATACCAAAAGACAAAAGGTGGCAGATGGTACAATGGAACATTCCCCTTAGAAACTTCCAGAAGTATAAAGAACTCCAAGGAACTGAGGAAGCCACTCTGTTCTGTACATCTACACTTGCCTTCTCATTCTTCAATTTCCCTGATCAACTCATGCTCTGATATAAACTTCAAAAAAATTATACCTCTATCCTAGGTTTCCTTCCCCCAAACCTCACCCACCCTATTGCTCACTTCTCTGCGAAAACAAAATAAAGCACAGCAACAAATCAAGGGCATCAAAAGCAAACAATTTACACCCTTAAGAAAGGGGTGGGCTAATCTTCAGGCTGAACTGGAATAAGCAGTCATTGTTTCAGTGCCCTAATTTTGTTCATTTGACATTTTGTGGCTGTCTTCTGAGCTCTTGGGGTCAGCTAAGTTTGGTTAGGTTTAAAGTACAAAATATATGTGTTAAGGATAATTGAAAACTTAGAACATAGGTAAGAAGCCAAATATCCAAATACACCTTGATCGAAAAAATCATATTGGAACTCAGAAGGAATTCTGCAGATAACACAGTAATGCACACAAGAATATGTCCACAATTGAAACATAAGCTAAAAGGTACTAAAGCCTGATCTGCTAAAAAGTCACTTCAAATAAATACACCTGGAGCAATGCATTGTCTTCATGCATCAGTTTTTTCTTCTGCAAATAGCCTTTCCTATGGCCACAGGTTTTCTTTGAGGAATAATGACAATTGTGATTATAAAAACTTTGAAAAAATGGAATATTAAAGCAAATAATAATATTGATTAATAAATTCCATAGATCTACTCTCCCTTTAGGCTGTTCCCGATTACCAATATTAATATTTTTCTCAAATATTTGCCCTTAAAATCTCTTTTCCATCCTTTAGTTGTGACTTTTACATTATTTTCATAATCTATAAAAGCAGTCATAAAAAAGGGTCAGAATTTTTTTCAGTGATCCCTGAACTTGCTGCTTACTCGAACCTCTGTGCCTTCCTTGCTCATACTATTGTCCCAGTTCAGCATCAATACTATCTTAGGCCCCAGTAAACCCGAAAGAACGTTTCCTTCATGAGATTTATTTACTTTTTTTTTTTTTTTTTTTTTTTGGGACGGAGTCTCGCTCTGTCGCCAAGGCTGGAGCGCAGTAGCACAATCTCGGCTCACTGCAACCTCCACCTCCCGGGTTCAAGTGATTCTCCTGCCGCAGCCTCCTGAATAGCTGGGATTACAGGTTTGCGACACCATGCCCAGCTAATTTTTGTATTTTTAGTAGAGACGGGGTTTCACCATATTGGCCAGGCTGGTCTCGAACTCCTGACCTTAAGATCCACCCGCCTTGGCCTTCCAAAGTGCTGAGATTACAGGTGTGAGCCACCTAAGAGGCCGCGCCCGGCCTAAGAGATTTATTTTTATGTTTATTAACTTTGTTTACTGTCTGTCCTTCCACACTAGAATGCAAGTTTCAAGAGGGTGAGGATTTCTCTGTTAATCTTCTGTACCTAAAACAGGGCCTGGCATATAGTTAAGTGTTTAATACATATTCATTCAATAAAAGAGAATGGAGAGGAGCACCTAAAAGAATAATTTGAGCCAGATCTCATGAAGAAAAAAAGAATTCTTCTAAAACCACATTTTTATGTTCAGCTAGCATAATATTTAAACCAAAAAGGGATGGCTCAGTTTGGTCTAGATTTGTATAACAAGAACCCCTATAATAGCAATACCTTCATCAGCAATTGCAGTGGCCATGGAATTATCCATTTCTACACCTTGTATTTCTGATATCTCCTCTGGAGTGTCACTGAAATCTCAAAGATTTTTGTCATCTAGTTTTTATCAATATCCCCTATGTTTATGCCCAATTAAAATCAGCACTTTTCTATTCTGCCATTCTAAAGCTTGACTTAACCACAGTGCTTCTGAAGGCTGTCTGCAAGATTTGACTTAGATAATACAACATTGGCCCTCTCTAAATGCCTCTTTTAATATGGTGCTAATTATCTATTGCTGCCTAACAAATGACCCCACAATTTAACAGCTTAAAACAACAAACATTTATTATCTCACAGTTTCTGTGAATCAGTAATCTTGGGATGGCTTAGCTGAGTCCTCAGAAGGCTATAGTCAGCCAACTGGGGGAGGATCCATTTCCAAACTCAGTCCTAGGGTTGCGAGAAGGATTCAACATTCCTTGTGGGCTGCTGGCCCCAGACCTCCCCTCAGTTCTTTACCACAGAAACCTCAGCCTGGGGCAGCTCACAACAGGGCAGCTGGTTTCATCCAAGGGAGAAAGACAGGGAGCATGAGAGAGTAAACAAGACAGATGCCAATCTTTTTTGTAATCTAATCTCAGAAGTAACATCCATCATTTTGCTGTACTCTGTTTCTTGGAAGCAAGTCATCAGATTTAGCCAAAGCTTGGGTGGAGGAAATTACACAAGGGCATGAACACCAAGGGATGGGGATCATTAAAACCCATCTTAGGGCCGGGCACAGTGGCTCACGCCTGTAATCCCAGCACTTTGGGAAGCCAAGGCGGGTGGATCACGAGTTCAGGAGTTTGAGACGAGCCTGGCCAAGATGGTGAAATCCTGTCTCTACTAAAAATACCGAAATTAGCTGGGCGTGGTGGCACGCACCTGTAATCCCAGCTAATTGGGAGGCTGAGGCAGGAGAATCACTTGAACCCGGGAGGTGGAGGTTGCAGTGAGCCGAGATCATGCCACTGCGCTCCAGTCTGGGCGACAGAGTGAGACTCTGTTTCAACAACAACAACAACAAACCATCTTAGAAACTACCTACCACAAATATCTTCATATACTGCTTGCACTCTAAGTTCTCATTTTCAAGGGCTTCGAGTTTAGTTTATAAGATAAAAAGCATGGAAAAATTAAGACCTTATTCCAGTTCTTCCTTTCCACACTGCTGTTTCAACTAATGAATCTTTGATGATCTTGGATGATAAAATTTCATGAATTTACAATAACTTTTGCAAAAGATCTTTGGCTTAAGTGTTTCAGGCCTCTGTAGTTAAAGAACTATTGACTTTTAGAACAAACACAATCAGTGTAGTTAGTTCATTGTTGGATCTGAGGATCTATTTCAAGAACACCTATTTTTTTTCTAAGTGCTAAGGCTACTGCTCTGCTTGTTTCTGGAGTTAATTTTGATTGATCTTGGCTAGAATTTTCTCTCAAGATTCAGCTTCCTCCTTTATTTCTACTTGGAATGATTTCTACCAAGAATATCCTGAGGAACACTAGTTATATAAGACGTGCCTCTATTTCTGTGGTAAAATAAGTCTAGGAAACACTGTATATTGTATGAGTCACAATATATATTAGCATAGTAAAGATCCTAAAAGTCCAGCAGTAAAGAAACCTGTTTACTCTCAACTTAGAATTTCCCAAATGTATATAACCTATAAATCCTTTTACATGTAATGCTTATTAACATTCTACGGAAGTAGAGTCCTGCTGAATATTTTTAGGGGAAATAATGCCTTGGAACAACAACAACAAAAATCTACTTCTAGCTGGGCACAGTGGCTCACACCTGTAATCCCAGCACTTTGGGAGGCTGAGACAGGCAGATCACTTGAGGTCAGGAGTTTGAGACCAGCCTGGCCAACATGGTGAACCACCCCCGCCATCTCTACCAAAAATATAACAATTAGCTGGGTGTGGTGGTGCACTCCTATAATCCCAGCTACTCGGGAGGCTGAGGCAGGAGAATCTCTTGAACCTGAGAGGCGGAGGTTGTGGTGAGCCCAGATGGTGCCACTGCACTCCAGCCTGGGCGACAGAGTGAGACTCCATCTCAAAAAAAATAAGGAAGAAGAAAAAGAAAAGAAAACAATCTACTTCTGGCACTAGCAATCAGGTGAGTATTGATACAATGGTGAAAAGACAGATACTGGATCCCTCTTGTAAACAACCAGTTCTTTAGAAAACTTCTTGGGAAATATCTTCAAAACTATAAAACGGAAACTGTCAGAAGATATAATACATTAAGTACTAATTCTAAATGATGTAAACAGTTGAACATTCATGGTATTGCTTCCATTTTAAGAAACTTCAAATATGCTGTAATTGTTATAGGTAACAAAAATTTACCATCACATGAACAATCAGTTTCACATTTAGTCCAGTAATAAGTACTGCTATGTATGGTTCTGGAGTTCATTTCAATCAATCTCGAATAGAATTTTGTCTTAAGATTTCCTTTCCTCCTGCAGAATATTTGTTCTAAGTCCTTAAATGCAAACATAGCACTGCATGGATTAAAGATGAACACAAATGTGCTACTCCTCTCTTCAAAAGGTGGAGTCTGTTTGCCTTCCCCTTAAATCTAACCTGGCCTTGTGACTTGCTTTGACCAATTAGAAATGCAGCAAAAGTGCAATTGCTCTAGTCTGGACCCTAAATTTGCTTTTGCTCTCCCAAAAGCCAGCCACCATGCTGCAAAGAAACTTGAGCCAGACTATGGAATGATGAGAGGCCACATGGAGAGGGTGACAAAGACTCCGTCCTTGACCAAACTTGAGTCAGGCCCCTCTGATTCCTCTTTTTGACTAGGCCCCAACCTTGCCTCGTCCTTGGCCTGCTTAGTTCCGTTTTAGCAAGAATCTTGCTGGGTCAATTTCATAAAAATCCCCAACTTTCCGTATGAGATCAGCCTGGCCTGCCTTCAGCAAGAATCCTCTCAAGTCAGTTTGGCCACAATCCCCCTAACCTTGATGTTTCCTCTTAGTAACTGTCTATCCACTGACTCCCACCCCTGCTCCTTGGCTACAAATCCCCACTTTTCCTTGTTGTATTTGGAGTTGAGCCCAATCTCTCTCTCCTAATACAAAACTCCATGGTAGTAGTTCCCCTGAAAAGTTTGCATTACCATCTGTAACAAATGTCATGAATAACATTTTTCTTTAATAAAAGATCATGGACATGTGGAAGATGAGAAAGGATACTTGTGTTCCAGCCCCAGCCAAGCTCTTAGCTTCGTGGTTCTCAACCCCTGGCAATTTTGCCTTCAGGGACATTTAGCAATGTCCAGGGATATTTTTGGTTGTCACTTCTAGCATCTAGTAGGTTGAGGCCAGAGATGCTGCTCAACAGCCTGCAATGCACAGGACGCAACAACAAACAATTATCCAGCCCCGAATCTAGTGCCAAGCTTGAGAAATCCTATCTTAGCTGAATATAGCTGTATGAGTCACCACAGCTTTACCACATGGAACAGATTGCCCGGATGAGCCTAGTCAACCCACAGAATTGTGAGAAATAATAAATAGTTGCTGTTTTAAGCAACTCTTGGGGTAGTTTTAGTGCTGTGCTGTTGCTAAACTGGCTGGGAAGGGATGTGGGAGGGAACTCTGATTTGTAGCATTTCTAGTTGCCCATGGTATAAATACTCCTACTGTGGCCAGTTTTAGGTTATCAGCACAAGCCACTGAACTCAAGGTTGGGAAGAGATGTGCACAACCAGCTCTTATGAGCCAATGGGAAATGATTAAATTGTTATATTATAGTAGGCAACGGAGGCAACATCCCATGTACAAGATCTTCTTATGCCTGAAATTCTAGGTATGGCCACTTCCTATATGCTGTTGATCACCTAGTCATAGTTCTCTACTTCTATATTGTGTTAACATTTCTACTAGAAAATTCTATTTTAAGTGCTGACATACTGATTCTGCAGCCTTCCTGGTTTGGGCCATTTTTTTGCACCATTAAAGTTGCCAAGTTGGGTTTAGCCAACAGTCTCCCACAGAGGATCACAGCATGGACTCTACTCCAAACCAATCCTACCACACTCTCCAATTTGTAATATTGTGGCCCATGGTCTGGTTTGGGTTAAAACATTGCCCTTGGTAATCTGTGGGGTTTCTTTGTAAGAGGAAACACCTGATCAATACCTAAAGGAGCTGCTCAAAAGTGGAAGCCAGGGTGATAAGAGTACCACTGTGTATTGTTTGGACCTACACTACAGTGTGCATTTGTTAAAAAAACAAAACAAAACAAAACAAAAAAACAAACCTTTCCCTTCAAGATAGAGGAAATTCCTTCTAGCATATAAGCAGAAAACATTTGTTATTTCCTAGAGCAGGCACTTCTCAGGTTTCAGGGTAGATGCCAGCTTTAGATCCAATGAAGAGTTATTATAGTTTTGTGGTTAGGGGCGTGTGTACGGAGCCAGACTTTCCGAGTTGCAGTTTTGGCTTGCTAGCTGTGTGATCTTGGACAAGATATTTGTGAAATGGGGATAATGGTATCTATTTCAGAGTTAAGACTCATAATGTATGTGTAGGGCCTAGCGCATAGTAAGCTCTCAATAAATAGTGGTTGTTATTACCAGGAGCATTTACATTTTATATTCTTTGTCTGTTGCTATTTGCCTTTTTTTCTTTTTAACTGTAAGTGCTATTTAACTTTCTCCTTTTTAACGGTAAACAAGATTTTTTTTTCTAAAAGCAGTACTAGTTCTAGGTCAAGGATAAACTCTTTTCAGCATACAACTGTAGTCTCATCCCAGAACAAACCACACCCCACTTCCTGTTGCATGCAGATACAGATACCTTAAAGGGACAGTTTGTACCAGGGACCCATGCAGGATGCTAAGATTGCAACAGAGCGCACTCTGGTGTACAAAGCTGGGAGCCGGTGGGGAGGAGATTATGAGAAGCAATGCCTTGCCCAAGTTTGAAGTTGATTTGTCCAGCTCTAAGAAGTTATTGTAAGTTACTAGATAAGAATGATGTGATGAAAACATCGTTTTGGAAGAATACTCTGATAGTAACATTCAGGATACATTTGATAGGAAAAGTGGTGACAAGGAAGCCAGCCGAAAATATATTGTATCATCGTTGGGATGAGACGATGAGAATTTGCAGTTAGGGAGTTAAAAGGAGAACCGAGGAAAAGGATCACTATAGGAGACATTTTAAAGGGAAAAAAAAATCATAGTACTTAAAGACAAAAATTTGATCTTAAAGAAAAGCCATCCCACCATCTTATTCTGTTTAGATCATACCATAAGTTTCAGTACCCACAAATAAATTGCTAGCATTTTCTATTCTAGTAAAGCCTGTAAGTGGAAAAAATAACCCAATATTTGCTATGTTGGTTTGTTCTCTTTTAAAGGACAAAATTAATCTACTATGAATCAAGACTTGAAAGTTCTAGGTGAACATAGCACTTATTCCAAAACTGACCACATAGTTGGAAGTAAAGCACTCCTCAGCAAATGTAAAGGAACAGAATTGTAACAAACTGTCTCTCAGACCACAGTGCAATCAAACTAGAACTCAGGATTAAGAAACTCACTCAGAGCTGCTCAACTGCATGGAAACTGAACAACCTGCTCCTGAAGGACTACTGGGTACATAACAAAATGAAGGCAGAAATAAAGATGTTCTTTGAAACCAATAAGAACAAAGACACAACATACCAGAATCTCTGGGACACATTTAAAGCAGTGTGTAGAGGGAAATCTGTAGCACTAAATGCCCACAAGAGAAAGCAGGAAGATCTAAAATGGACACCCTAACAACACAATTAAAAGAACTAGAGAAGCAAGAGCAAACACATTCAAAAGCTAGCAGAAGGCAAGAAATAACTAAGATCAGAACAGAATTGAAGGAGATAGAGACACAAAAAACCCTTCAAAAAATCAATGAATCCAGGAGCTGGTTTTTTGAAAAGATCAACAAAATTGATAGACTTCTAAGAAGACTAATAAAGAAGAAAAGAGAGAAGAATCAAATAGACGCATTAAAAAATGATAAAGGGGATATCACCACCGATCCCACAGAAATACAAACTACCATCAGAGAATACTATAAACACCTCTATGCAAATAAACTAGAAAATCTAGGAGAAATGGATAAATTCCTGGACACATACACACTCCAAAACAAGGAAGAAATTGAATCCCTGAATAGACCAATAACAGGCTCTGAAATTGAGGCAATAATTAAGAGCCTACCAACCAAAAAAAACCCCAGGACCAGATGGACTCACAGCCGAATTCTACCAGAGGTACAAAGAGGAGCTGGTACCATTCCTTCTGAAACTATTCCAATCAATAGAAAAAGAGGGAATCCTCCCTAACTCATTTTATGAGGCCAGCATCATCCTGATACCAAAGCCTGGCAGAGACACAACAAAAAAAAAGAATTTTAGACCAACATCCCTGATGAACATCGATGCAAAAATCCTCAATAAAATACTGGCAAACCGAATCCAGCAGCACATCAAAAAGCTTATCCACTATGATCAAGTGGGCTTCATCCCTGGGATGCAAGGCTGGTTCAACATACGCAAATCAATAAACGTAATCCATCATATAACAGAACCAAAGACAAAAACCACATGATTATCTCAATAGATGCAGAAAAGGCCTTCGACAAAATTCAACAATGCTTCATGCTTAAAAACTCTCAATAAATTAGGTATTGATGGGACGTATCTCAAAATAATAACAGCTATTTATGACAAATCCACAGCCAATATCATACTGAACGGGCAAAAACTGGAACCATTCCCTTTGAAAATGGCACAAGACAGGGATACCCTCTCTCACCACTCCTATTCAACATAGTGTTGGAAGTTCTGGCCAGGGCAATCAGACAGGAGAAAAAAATAAAGGGTACTCAATTATGAAAAGAGGAAGTCAAATTTCCCCTGTTTGCAAATGACATGATCGTATATTTAGAAAACCCCATCGTCTCAGCCCAAAATCTCCTTAAGCTGAAAAGCAACTTCAGCAAAGTCTCAGGATACAAAATCAATGTGCAAAAATCACAAGCATTCTTATAGCCAATAACAGACAAACAGAGAGCCAAATCATGAGTGAACTCCCATTCACAATTGCTTCAAAGAGAATAATATACCTAGGAATCCAACTTACAAGGGATGTGAAGGACCTCTTCAAGGAGAATTACAAACCACTGCTCAATGAAATAAAAGAGGATACAAACAAATGGAAGAACATTCCATGCTCATGGATAGGAAGAATCAATATCGTGAAAATGGCCATAATTCCCAAGGTAATTTATAGATTCAATGCCATCCCCCTCAAGCTACCAATGACTTTCTTCACAGAATTGGAAAAAACTACTTTAAAGTTCATATGGAACCAAAAAAGAGCCCGCATTGCCAAGACAATCCTAAGCCAAAAGAACAAAGCTGGAGGCATCATGCTACCTGACTTCAAACTATAGTACAAGGCTACAGTAACCAAAACAGCATGGTACTGGTACCAAAACAGGGATATAGACCAATGGAACAGAACAGAGGCCTCAGAAGTAATACCACATATCTACAACCATCTGATCTTTGACAAACCTGACAAAAACAAGCAATGGGGAAAGGATTCCCTATTTAATAAATGATGCTGGGAAAACTGGCTAGCCATATGTAGAAAGCTGAAACTGGATCCCTTCCTTACATCTTATACAAAAATTAATTCAAGATAGATTAAAGACTTAAATGTCAGACCTAAAACCATAAAAACCCTAGAAGAAAACCTAGGCAATACCATTCAGGCCACAGGCATGGGCAAGGACTTCATGTCTAAAACACCAAAAGCAATGGCAACAAAAGCCAAAATTGACAAATGGGATCTAATTAAACCAAAGAGCTTCTGCACAGCAAAAGAAACTACCACCAGAGTGAACAGGCAACCTGCAGAATGGGAGAAAATTTTTGCAATCTACCCATCTGACAAAGGGCTAATATTCAGAATCTACAAAGAACTTAAACAAATTTACAAGAAAAAATCAAACAACCCCATCAAAAAGTGGGCAAAGGATATGAACAGACACTTCTCAAAAGAAGACATTTATGCAGCCAACAGACACATGAAAAAATGCTCGTCATCACTGGACGCCAGAGAAATGCAAATCAAAACCACAATGAGACACCATCTCACACCAGTTAGAATGGCGATCATTAAAAAGTCAGGAAACAACAGGTGCTGGAGAGGATGTGGAGAAATAGGAACATTTTTACACTGTTGGTGGGACTGTAAACTAGTTCAACCATTGTGGAAGTCAGTGTGGTGATTCCTCAAGGATCTAGAAGTAGAAATACAATTTGACCCAGCCATCCCATTACTGGGTATATACCCAAAGGATTATAAATCATGCTGCTATAAAGACACATGCACACGTATGTTTATTGCGACACTATTCACAATAGCAAAGACTTGGAACCAACACAAATGTCCATCAATGATAGACTGGATTAAGAAAATGTGGCATATATACACCATGGAATACTATGCAGCCATAAAAAATGATGAGTTCACATCCTTTGTAGGGACATAGATGAAGCTGGAAACCACCATTCTGAGCAAACTATTGCAAGGACAGAAAACGAAACACCACATATTCTCACTCATAGGTGGCAATTGAACAATGAGAACACTTGGACACAGGGTGGGGAACATCACATACCGGGGCCTGTCGTAGGGTTGGGGGAGCGGGGAGGGATAGCATTAGGAGATATACCTAATGTAAATGACGAGTTAATGGGTTTAGCACACCAACATGACACATATATACATATGTAACAAACCTGCATGTTGTGCACATGTACCCTAGAACTTAAAGTATACTTAAAAAAAAAGAAAAAAAAGAAGAAAGTTCTAGGTGAAATAGGGCATTCTGTCATTAAAAAGCATTGCCCAGTGAGCTAGATGTCTTTTGTATGACTCTGGTTCAAGTTAACAATCCTGAGTTCAACGGTTTCCTGAGATGTTTTTAGATTTCAATCTGAGGAAAAATAAGTACCAGATATTTCCTGCCAAGCGTTCTAAATGACTCTATTTCTCAAACTAGTATTCAGAGAAACTGGGTTCAACATGTATTTATCCAGTATCAACTATGTGCAAAGCTCTGTGATAGATGGATTACAAGCATCTTTCATTTTTCTTGGTTTATAAGCCACAACATTGTCATGGTCACACCATCAACAGGTTAAAAAAACAAGGAACTTTTTTAAGGTCATCTATTTATCCTTGACTTAGATAAGGAATATCTTCTGCCTTCTTGTTTGTAGGTGACAATTGGATTCTCAGTCTTTTCCTTTTGTCTTACCATGAAATAGAAAACTGGCATTGCTCAAATTACCAGATGATTTCTTTTTATTTTTCAATGGCAACTTCATTTAGTTTACTTTCAAAAATATTTACTGAACATACGGTGAAGTCTGTGCCACATCCAAGTGCAAAATGATAGAGAAACAACCCCAGGACATTCTCAAGGAGCTCATAGCCTGGTGAGAGAAAGATACAGATACATCTTTATTCTCATGCCTTTCTTCAAAAGGATTTACAGAGGGGAACAAAAAGAGGTACAATATTAGAATAGAAACAAGTCCATTAGAAACAAGTGAGAAAGGCAAAGGGAAAGCAATGATGGGATCATAGACTAGAGGCAGGGTAATACACAAAATAAACGCAATGAAGACCTGCATGTATTTGCTAAGGATCCACCAAGAATTTGGATCTAAGCTTTTTGGTAATCTCTGTCAAGGGAGAGACAATCCACAAGTTCTGTTACCAAAACACCGGGGTTTCAGTCTAGGTCTTGCTGCTCGTGACACAGAAACTGAATCACTGAGACAATGAGTACTGCCAGGGAAGAAGGCTTTAATTAGGTGCTATGGTCAAGAAGATGGGAGATCAGTCTCAAATCCATCTCTCTGACTGACTAAAATTAGGGGTTTATACAGCAGGAAAGAATTTTAACCATGTGTGGGAAAACAGGAATTAGGGAGGGATGAGAAAAAGGAGCTGTTCACAGGAAGCAAGTGGTCAGTTAGGCCAATGATGATGGGTGAAGGGTCCTGTGTCTCATTGTCCAGACGTGGTGATCTGGTAAGTTTCAGTTCCTTGATACTATCTGGCAGTCCTCATGGTTGGTTTCCCGAGAAAGGAACTCAGATAAGACAAATGTTAACTTTCTCAAGTTTTAAGGGAGATTAATTTTTATGTTTATTCAAAGAAACCATAAACATCTGTTCCATGGGACAACTGGGGTGGTTTCAGTTCCACCAGATAAAAACAGACCAAATGCTCAGGAAAAGCATACCTATTCCTAACGTAAGGCCAAACAAACAAACAAAACCCTCAAGGATCATCCAAAGGCAAATACTCTCTCTCTTTTTTTTTTTTTTTTTTTTGAGACAGAGTCTTACTCTGTTGCCCAGGCTGGAGTGCAGTGGCACATTCTGGGCTCACTGCAACCTCTGCTTCCTGGGTTCAAGTGATTCTCCTGTCTCAACCTCCCGAGTAGCTGGGATTACAGGCATGCCACCACGCCCAGCTAATTTTTGTGTTTTTAGTAGTGACGGGGTTTCACCAAGTTGGCCAGGAAGGTCTTGATCTCTTGACCTCGTGATCTGCCCACCTCGGCCTCCCAAAATGCTGGGATTACAGGCGTAAGCCATGGCATCTGGCCCAAATGCAAATACTATGTGATATACTGAAGGACATTTTCAACACTATCCTTATGGTAAATGTTGTGGGGCTATTTTTTTTCTTTTGACCTCTTTTTTTGGTGTAAATGTAAGGGATAGAAATGCAATTGTATTATATGAATATATTGAGTAATGGTGAAGTCTGGGTTTTTATTGTTTATTATTCCATCACCTAAATAATGTACATTTTACCCATTAAGTAATTTCTCATCACCTATGCCTTTCCCACCTTCCCACCCTTCTGAGTTTCCAATGTCTATCATTCCACACTCTGCCCATGTGGACACATTATTTAGTTCTCACTTATAAGTGATGATATGCAGTATTTGGTTTTCTGTTTCTGAGTTATTTAAGATAATGTCCTCTAGTTCCAGGCGTGTGGCTGCAAAAGACCTGTTTCATTCTTTGTTATGGCTGAGTAGATTATACATATATAATTTTTTCTTTATCTATTCATCCATTGATGGACTTTGGGTTGATTCCATATCTTTGCTATTGTAAACAGTGTTGTGATAAACAAATGAGTGTGGTATCTTTATGATATGATGATTTCCTTTTCATTGGGTAGACACCCAGTGGGATTGCTGGATCTAATGGTAATTCTATTTTTAGTTCCTTGAGAAATCTTCATACTATTTTCTATAGAGGTTGTACTAATTTACATTCCCACCAACAGTGTATAAGTATTCCTTTTTCTCCACATCCTTGCCAACATCTGTTTTTTTTTTTTTTTTACTTTTTTTTAAAGAGAGAGTCTCACTTTATCTCCCAGACTGGAGTGCAATGGTACTGGGTCAGCTCACTGCCACCTCTGCCTCCTGGGTTCAAGCAATGCTCATGCTTCAGCCTCCTGAGTAGCTGGGATTACAGACATGTGCCAACACACCCAACTAATTTTTTGTATTTTTGGTAGAGATGGGGTTTCACCATGTTGGCTAGGCTGGTCTTGAACTCCTGGCACTAAGTGATCCATCTGCCTTGGCCTCCCAAAATGCTGGGATTACAGGCATGAGCCACCACACCCTGCCTTGACGTTTTAATAATAGCTATTCTGACTAATGTACGATAGATTCTCATTGTGGTTTTAATTTGCATTTCTCTGATGATTAGTATGTTGAGCATTTTTTCATATGTTTGTTGGCCATTTGTATGTGTTCCTTTGAAAAATGTCTATTCATGTCCTTTGCCCACTTTTTAATGAGGTTATTTGTTTTGCTGTTGTTGAGTTATTTGAGTTCCTTATATATTCTGGATATTTGCCCCCTGCTGGATACATTGTTTGCAAATATTTTCTCCTTTCTGGAGGCTGTTCGCTGTGTTGATTATTTCTTTTGCTGTGCAGAAGCTTTTGTTTAATTAAGCCCCATTTGCCTGCTTTGTTTTTGTTGCTTGTGCTCTTGTCTTACTCATGAATTCTTTGCCTAGAGCAATATCCAGAAGAGTTTTCACTAAGTTTTCCTCTAGTATTTTTATAGTTTCAGCTCTTACATTTTATTATATTATATCTCAGTATGGGCTGATGGCTTGAAAACCAAACCCCAGTTCAGCAAAAGCAAGTCTACAGAGTTTACTTAAGCAGACAATTTCATTTTGAAGTGGTAAGTACAATGACAAAGATATGCTTAAGGTGCTATGAGATAACAGAGGGGACACAGCTCTGGTTTTATTTTTCAGGGTTGGAGCAGAAATATCATTGAGAAGAGATTCTGGAAAATTCTATTCAATTTCTAAAGGAAATATACACATTTTGTTGCAAACACCTAATTTGCTGCAAATATTTATTATGGATGGAATATTGTGTTTAAAAGACTATCCCATCACAACAAACAAGCTTCATATGAAAAAATCAAAGCAGGTTTTAATTGAAAGATTCTCACTTTCTTTTTACTTTGTATATCTTGTCTTTTCCTTAATATTAAGTATAAGAAATAATAAATTAAGAAAGTAGAGTCTACCTGTCTGAGATGTGAGTGTCTAAAGAATCAATAAGGTTTTAGAGTTATATCAAGTGAAAGCAGATTTTCTCAGAAATCCAAGACCACAAAACAATAGGTGTTCTTTGGAGAATGGTTCTGGTTCCATGTTGAATTGCACTTTTAAAAAATGATTTGGTCAAGAGTTATATCTCTACCTAATAATAGAAAGAGAAGAGTAAAACAGAAAAGGGAATTTTAAACATAAAATAACCTGCACATCTGGTGTCAAAGAAAAAGTCTTAGGTTTCTAAAACATTCAATAAAAAAGAGTAACAAGATTTGCCTTGAAGCAAAAGAAAAATAGAGGGAAGGTAATATGCTTCTATGATTGGTTTTATGAAGGTAGTGTTTTTCTTCAGGATTCAGCCAGGTATGAAAGAAAAGTAGCACGTTCCAACCTTTTCATAGCGTGACTAGCTTCCTCATCAACAGATACAGAGGAGCCTCTGTGCTCAGTCCAGGTTTGTGGCAGACGGGACCTCCACAGCAATGTGATTGGCACTAACACCAGATAACTAAGGATAATATTAGGTTCCCACAGATAAAAATGCACAAAATGAGAATGAGTGGCACAGTTGAGAAATCTGAGACCTCCCTTGCTGACCACCTGAGGACCTGTGGAAACATTTGCATAGACTCCTCTGTCTTGAAGTACTTGTAATTATTTGCTGAGATGACAAAACTGTTATTTAATATCTTTACCCAGCAGTGCTTTAGATGCCAAGGTTGACAACATTTGGGGGTGTCCCAGAAATAAAAACTGAGTGTTTAAAATTCATCTGTCAGTCTGTAAAGGGGGTGGATCATTTAGCGAAAGGATCTTTTGTTTGCTGAGCACACATGAAGTCATCCTCAGGACTGCAGACACTTGAAGACAATATTAAGAGATGGGTGAGGAGGAGACGGGGTGAGATACATTTCTATGCATATGAGAATGGAAAGGTAGGTGGGGAGAAAACCAGGAAAAGAAAGAAGCTAGAGATCGTATGAGGGGGAGGGAGGATGAAAGAGAATAAGAGTCCCATCAACTGCAGGTGGGGACAGAGAGATCTGGGGGAGGAAATGGATTTGGAGGAGGAGACCTGTCTCAGTAGTGAAACATCTTGCCCTGTAACTACTTTCTACCCACCCAGTCTCCACCTACTCCCATGTACATATATAAAATCACAAGTCAGATACCAACTTCTCAACACTGGGTTATGAAGTAGATTTTCTTTTGGGAATCAATAGTCATGTTCAATCCTACACTACAAGTGAGGAGAGACACATTCTTCCTTTATGTTTTCTTAACTCTGGCAAACTAGTAAAAATAATGGAAAAGTGGCTGGCCTCTTTGGCTTCACCTCACTCTTGCCAACTTTAGCCATCAAATGCCCAGGCCCTGTGGATTCTGCGTCCACAGTCCCTCACAAGTAGACTGCCCTCTGTTCCGTTTCCATTGCCAGTTCCCTGATGCGACCTTCCCTGGCTTCTGGCAGAATGCTGTCTCTACCTCTCATTACCCATGACACTATTCTCTACTTCACTTACCCTGTTGTGCCCATTCCAGCTTATATTTGAATAATTTATGAAGATGCCATATCCCTTAGTGCAGCAAGTGCTGTGTAAGAGCTGCCTTTTTTTCACCTTTATAGATTTGAGATGACCTTATACAAAGATTTTAAGTGTTTTAGGAAATCTTTGTGAAAGCAAAGGAGAAAAAAAGGATAAAGGGAAGGAAAAGGGAACCAGAAGGACACAGAAAGGAACAGAATGGAAGGGGAGGGAAGGGAAGGGAGTGGAAGAAATTCGGTAGTGTCTTTTTATGTGGGGTATATAATAGACCTTCACAACAAGTCTAATTTTATTCCTTTTCAAAATAAACTTTTTTATACCCTTTATTTTTCCAAAAACAGATCCTTATTTTCTTTGGAATGAGTGTCTCAGTTGTACCTTCTAAGAACTTAAGTCACACAACGTTTACACATATCCAAATACCAATGTTTAGTGCCATATTTTTCTCTTACTCAAATACCTCTTCTATTTTGTTTTCCTTTAGAATCAATGTTCTTTATTCTTAAGATAATAGAAAAGTGCACTAAATAGTTTGGAGACTGTTCAAAATAATCATATTTTACTCTTTACTTCATTTATCCTTCTTTAATACCTGAGGTATTTCATGAAGGCTAGTATGTCATAGATCTAAAATGATTGTTTCCTCATTTCTATGGCTCAGAAAAATCTGACAAGAACCTCCGCAGCTGCACTGGTTATAGTCTCAGACTGTCATCCCCAGCCAGGTGCAAAAACAATGGCTGCCTATTAATATCCCCGTGCCAGCTGTTATCCCTACATGTGCAACATCCGGGTGCTGATGGGGAGAACACCATTTTATCTGCAGCCTCCCCTTTTTTGGTAAGGAATAAACTTTGCTGTCAACTTTTAAATGGCTCCTAATGAGTTAAAAGAAATAAATTATGTTTTATGCAATGTATTTTTCATTCAAAGGACTAATGACAGACCCTTTTAGGACCATCCTTATGTTTGAGGCATATACAGAGCACAGGACTTCCAGCCGCAAAGGTTATGGGTGGAAATGATATATGTGATTTCACTCAGGTCTGCAATGGAAATCAATCTTCCATGAAAGTACCCTGTAATCAGGTATAATTGACATAATGAATAGGTAAAACATGAAACAGAAGAACACATTGGCAGGTAAGAGGTAAGGAGGGGCCAGGGAAACATATGTAAATGGAATCCAAAACCATAAACTAGTTAATATTTCAGTTTTTGAAAGTTACTAACAGTCAGTCTAAGGGACCCCCAATAAAATGTGATGGGCTCCAGTGTAAAAATAAGCCATACTCTTTATTCTTGATGAGCTGAATTATCTAAAGTCAGAAATGTGACACCAACCAAAGTATTCAGTGTCAGATTTATTTTATTCAAAGTCATATAATTTTATATTGGGAAGAGACCTTGCAATTCAACCTTTCATCAAGCACTGGAATTCCTTCCACAATATCCCAAGCAGATGGACATTTAGTCTTAGCTTGACTCCTGACTTAACCTGATCATTTAGACATAGCTTGAGCTCCTCCTACAACAGTGAGCTAAGCACTCTGTAAGGCAGCCTACTATATTATTGGACGTTTTTGGTTCCCAGAAACTTCCTTTTTAGGTTGAGATGAATCTTGCATTTCTATAATTTCTGTCCATTGATCATGGCTTTGCTATTTGGAAGATGCTGTATTCTAATTTTGGGGGCAGGCTTAGGTTGCCTAGGTTAGATAGGGTGATGGTTTAAGATATCCTAGGTCCAAAGAGTAGGGAATTAAGAGAGGTGAAATAAGTACATACTTTTAAATCCAACAATTCTTTTTGGGTCTAAGTAAATAGCATAGGTCATTATTATAACTTATATTTAAGGTATATTCAGAGTTAAGCGTATATATTAAGATTTAAAGACCTGTAACACTTAAGTACAATGCAATACTTTCTCATCATTTAATTTTGTATGTTCATCTAATTTCTGGAATCTCCCCAGCCTAAGCTCAAGGAGGTTAAAAGTTTTGGGAGTAGGAGACGTAGGAGACTTTTTGGGGAATAATTTTTCCCCAAAATATATTATTGGATAGAATTTACTTTCCAGTCCAAAAAACTTGATGTTGAAATTGTCACTTATAATCAGAGGTCTCAGTAGACATCTGCATTGTTCCAGCCTTGGTAGAGCTTTGGATTCTGCAAGTAACACTCAAACTCTACCACTTCCCCTGCTTCTGAGGTTAAAAGCAAGTGCCTGTCCTCATTATGATAGTTAAGATCTTATCTTCTCTTGTTTTTCTACCTCTGATAGGCTGTTCTGGTATTTATCCTGGGGGCAAAACAGAAAAGTGGTTGATTTCTTCGTGGCTCAAACAGAAAGATCATCAGGAACATGCACAACACACACACACACACACACACACACACACACACACACACAAGCATTAAGCTCCCTGGGGCCTTGAGGCCTCTACTGTCACTGCATTTCTTTGTTTTTTTTTTTTTTTGAGATGGAGTTTCACTCTTTTTTCCCAGGCTGGAGTTGCAGTGGCACGATCTCGGCTCACCACAACCTCTGCCTCCCAGGTTCAAGCAATTCTCCTGCCTCAGCCTCCCAAGTAGCTGGGATTATAGGTATGCACCACCACACCTGGCTAATTATATATTCTTAGTAGAAACGGAGTTTCACCATGTTGGTCAGGCTCGTCTCGAACTCCTGACCTCAGGTGATCCACTCACCTTGGCCTCCCAAAGTGCTGAGATTATAGGCATGAGCCACCGTGCCCAGTCTCTCACCGCATTTCTAACTCTCCTTCTTCATTGGTGATGGATAAATCACCATGTCTTCTATCTGCTTTGGGGTTTTTCTTCTTCCTCTAAACAAATTTTTGAAAGGGTTATATTGTAAACATTATAGATTCGTACTTTTATAGGTGACTAATAGGCTAAATTCCTTCTGGACAACAATGGAGCTTATATTTCTTTCAGATGCTTCAAAGAATATAGAATGTAAGCTCTAGGAAGCATGCCAGAAACACTTTTGAATCCAAACGGCCGGGTCGAGCCGGGTTATACTGAGAAATTTTGAGATATTTAAAAATCATTACAGCTGACAGAATAATAAACACCTATTCAAATGCAAAATAGTTATTTTTCTCTTTACCTTTTAAAGTCAGTGAAAGAAGGTTCTCACCATTTTACAGCTGTTAAAAAATTTAACTATATGTCACCCACTTTCATAAATATTTACCCAATTTAATCCTTAAAACAAGCCTCGAGGCATTACTCTCTGCATTTTTGAAAATAAGGAAACTGGCTTAAAGAGGAAGAGTTGAGACATGCCTGACAATCCCAGGAGTTGAAGTTGAGGGAGTCTCATGACTTCAGAGCCCAGGCATGTTCACTCTATCATGACTATTCCAGTGACCTGCAGGCTCACTTTGGTCTGCTATTACAAATAAAAGAGACCCTTGAATTTGCTTTCTAAATAATTATCTTCATGCCAGTCACCATGGCTCACGCCTGTAATTCCATCACTTTGGGAGGCCGAGGTGGGAGATTGCTTGAACGCAGGAGTTCAAGACCAGCCTGGGTAACATAGTGAGACTTTGTCTCTACAAAAAATACAAAATTGGCCGGGTATGGTGGCACACACCGGTAGTCCCAGCTACCCGAGAGGCTGAGGTGGGAAGATCTCTTGAGCCTGGAAGGTCAAGGCTGCAGTGAACTGTGATCTTACTGCACTCCAGCCTGGGCAACAGAGCAAGACCCTGTCTAAAGTAATAATCCTCATGATAATAACAATAATATTCCAAACATCTTTTGCCCAGTAAATTTTGATGTTTTGGTTCTCAATCTATGGGCTGGGTAAGACATGTCCTTTGCTGGAGATTTCCACAGGTAAATTGGAAGAAATGACATCTAAGACATGTTTCAACTCTTATGATGGTTAGTTTTATGTCAACTTTACTGGGCTAAGGAGTGCCCGGATAGATGGTAAAACACTATTTCTGGTGGGTTTATGAGGGTACCTCCTGAAGAGATTAGCATTTGAATCTGTACACCAAGCAAGGAAGATCATCCTCACCAATGTGGGCAGGTATCACCTAATCCATGGAGGGCTCAAATAGAACAAAAAGGTAGAGGAAAAGTGAATTTGTTCTTTCTGCTTGAGCTAGGACTTCTATTTCTCTCTTACCCTTGGACATCCACATTCCTGGTTCTTGGGCTTCCAGGCTTAGACCAGGACTTACACCATCCACCTGATTCTCAGGCTTTCAGACTCTGACTGAATCACAGCACTAGCTTGCCTGGTTCTCTAGCCTGTAGACAGCAGATTGTGGGGCATAAGCCAACTCCCATAATAAATCTTTATGTATATGTGTGTGTGTATGTGTGTGTGTGTATCACCTGTTGTTCTGTTTATTTGGAGAACCCAAACACAACTTTAAAACATGTGATTTTGTGAGATTACATGTAACAAAAAAGAAAAGACAAATAAAGAAACATATACTTAAGTATAGACATATTAAGGTAAGTGAGAGTCCTGCTTTGTTTAAGACAAGTCTCACCTGTGAACAAACCTTTAAGTGACCTAAAAACTTTAAAAAGCAAATTGTGGGAGGCTTGCCTTCAGAGATTATGATTCCCAATTTTGTTCTTTTATTTCATTTTGTTTGTTTGTTTTTGTTTTACAGCTACCAGGGATACCAAATTAAAAATTCTTCTTTGGCTTCTTAAAAGCAACCTTTTTAAAGCTCCCCAGGGAATTTTACTGTGCAGCCAAAATTGAGAGCCACTGATTTGGGGTGTATAGGGAGGGCCTGTGGTGGGAGGTGTTGGGGAATGGGACCTGGACAGAGGATGGCCCTCTTAAGAGTCTACGTTTCTGCTCGTGATAAAGAGATTGTGGGAATAAATACCACAACAGGCATTCATCTGCATTGTCTGCGAAGGCTAATTAAAGGAGATGAAGCTTGAGCAGAGTTTTGAAAGAGAACAGAGTATAATTTTATTACAAGGAAAAAGGAGGCAAGATTAGGTCAGAAACTTAGATGTGTAAGAGTGAATTATGTTCAGAGTTGGAACAAAGCTTTAAGCTGAGAACAGTTAAAGAATACCAAGAAACCCATGATCCAAACTTTGTTTCCTTTAGGCACTCAGTAAGTAGTAATTAAATTTCACTGTAGTTGAACTGAAATAATCTTAGTGGAAAACCGTCAAGTGGCTCAGATTAAATTTTTGTATTTACCACTGTATCCATTTAATCCTGGATCTGCTCTCTCGGATTTAGAAATTCTAAAACCCAGGAATTACTCTGTTCATTGTCTCTTCCCATTGCATGTCATCTTTGCAGCGGCACAATGAATGGAAATAGATACTATTAGCAACTTACACTTCCTATCTTGAGCAGATCAAATATCTCTCTAACCCCATTCAATGAAAGGTAATGGATCTTTAAAATGTCCCAATATCCACAAACATAGTGCATCACTGCTCTTAAGGGTCCTTATGATGATGGTCCCATGACTACAGGACAGAAAGATCACATTTTTACAAAACATTTCCACTGAATTTTATAATCTAATCATACCTTAAGAATTACATCTAGTTCCTTGAAAAAAATTATAAAACATTTCCCATCCTGTTTTAAATATTACTTTTTTTGTTCAATAGAGAGGTAAGTCAAATATGGATAGTTTATTAAATACATAAAGGACCTATTCACTAGCTAATGAATTTAGAGTGAAATTTTAATACTTACCTGAAAATCAAATATGACCTTCCTGTCATGTTTGTCCTGTGTATTAATCTGTTCTCACGCTGCTATAAAGAACTGCCTGAGACTGGGTAATTTATAAAAGAAAGAGGTTTAACTGACTCACAGTTCAGCATGACCGGGGAGGCCTCAGGAAACTTACAGTCATGGTGGAAGGGGAAGCAAACACGTCCGTCTCCACATGGTGGCACAAGAGAGAGGTGCTGAGCAAAGGGGGAAAAGCCTCTTATAAAAGCATCAGATCTCCTGAGAACTCACTCACTGTCACAAGAACTGCATGGAGGTAACTGCCCCCATGATTCAATTACCTTCCACCGGTTCCCTCTCCCAACACCTAGGGATTATGGGAACTGCAATTCCCAATTTGGGTGGGGACACAGCCAAACCATATCATCCTGTCTTCCCTTGGGGACTGTGCCATCAACACTTAAAGATCAGCAAACTGTAGCCCCAGCATCCAATCAACACAACAAGCTTTTACCAGCAGTCACTATTCATAAGTAGCAAGGCATGGCAGAACAAAAGATCCTAATTGTCTTTACGTGGACATGTCATAAGGTATGCTGGACTCATTAATATGATTTGTGAAAATACTGTAATATCTGACCTTGAAAAACACAGAAACAGTCACAGTTTGTCTTTAGTGCCACCATCTCTCAATCATAAATTCATTCATTCACAAAATCATTCATTCAACAAACACTTCCTGCGGCTGCACTATGTGCCAGACACATGTTTGTCCTGTGTATTAATCCGTTCTCACGCTGCTATAAAGAACTGCCCGAGACTGGGTAATTTATAAAGGAAAGAGGTTTAATTGACTCACAGTTCAGCAAGGCTAGGGAGGCCTCAGGAAGCTTATGATCATGGTGGAAGGGGAAGCAAACACATCCCTCTTCACATGGTGGCACAAGATGTTTTTTTCATAGAGACCGAGTCTCGCTATGTTGCCCAGGCTGGTCTTGAACTCCTGGGCTCAGGAGGCGGTTATCTCCATGCTGTTCATGTGATAGTGAGTGAGTTCTCAGGAGACTAAAAGCAAGACAGGCTATTCTCTGCTTTCATAGAGTTTAGTGAGGAAAACTAGCAATTAACAGTTAAATAAAAATTACAGTTAAAAATTGAAACATAAATGGTATAAAGGTAACAGTGGGTCATGTGAGACATGTGTAAGAAGGAACCAACCCTGCACATGGAGAGAAGAAGGCTCTAGATGAGGCTGAAGAGTAAGGTGGTCACAGCCAGGTTTTACAGACCTCTTTTCTATTCAGCTTGGATCCTATCTGCTGCCCAGCGCCAGGAGCTGAGACTAGCCAAGGACACCTTCTGCAGAGCCCAGACTGAGCTGGAGCCTTCCTGTCTCCTTGGTGAAAACTCTCCCGCGGCAGACTCAGCGTTGCATTATGTACGCATGCACGCTGCCATCAGGGGTGTCGGTGGAGCAGGGGCGGGGTGGTGGGCTTGTTTCTCCATGTGTCTCTGTGTGTTGGTGGGGGTGCATATTGCTAGCATAATTCACAGGTTTTAATTTATTTTATTTATTTATTTATTTTTTTTGAGACAGAGTTTCACTCTGTCTCCCAGGCTAGAATGCAGCGTTGCAATCATGGCTCACTGCAGCCTCGACCTGCCAGGTTCAAGTGATTCTCCTGCCTCAGCCTCCCAAGTGGCTGGGACCACAGGTGTGTGCCACCACACCCAGCTAATTAAAAAACATTTTTTTTCATAGAGACAGGATCTCGCTATGTTGCCCAGGCTTGTCTTGAACTCCTGGATTCAAGTGATCCTCCCACCTGGGCTTCCCAGAGTGCTGACTGGGATTACAGACATGAGCCACTGCACCCAGCATCAGCGTTTTTAAAAACACATGGACACAGGAAGGTGAACATCACACACCGGGGACTGTTGTGGAGTGGGGGGAGGGGGGAGGGATAGCATTAGGAGACATACCTAATGATAAATGACGAGTTAATGGGTGCAGCACACTAATATGGCACATGTATACAAATGTAACAAACCTGCACGTTGTGCCCATGTACCCTAAAATTTAAAGTATAATAATAATAATAATAAAAACAGTTGTATTACGTATTTCTATGATGCCATGTGAATATCTTGTAATTTTAATTATTTAACCAAAATTTGCTTTAAAATGAGGCCATTGAGAAAAATAAATAAATAAAATAAATAAAAATAAAAATAAAGTTAATTATTTTTTTCTCCTGTAGCTGCAAACTTAATTTTTTTAAGAAAACTAAATGGATGATTATTCTTCACATTCGTTGCTTGCCAGAAAGCCCAAACGTACTGACAGTGTGGAAGCCACTTCAGAGAGGCCTATGGACCCTCTGACCCACTAACTTTTTGAGGTAAGTAGGGGATAGGGAAGAGGAATTCTACAACAAGAGCTTTGAAGTCTGTGATTCATGTCAGCAAGTTAGGGAACATCTCAGGGGGACCTATGTGACAAGCCATCAGCTGTGGCTGCACTATTTAGCTTTGAAGTCCTTAACTTTTTAAAACCAGCACCCCTTTTGATACACATAAGAAACTCATACACTCTGTTATTGGTTGAATTGTGTCCTACCGAAAACATGTTGAAGCTCTAGCCCCCAGTATTTGTGAATGTGACCTCATTTGGAAATAGAATCTTTCAGATGATCAAGCTAAGATGACGTCATTCGGATGGGCCCTAATTCAGTATGACTGCATCCTTATGAAAAGGGGAAATCGGACACACAGGGAGAATGCCATGTAAAGTTGAAGGCAAGGTGATGCATCGACAAGTCAAGGAAAGCCAAAGGCTGCCAGCAAACCAAAGAAGCTCAGCAAGAGGCATGGAACAGATTCTCCCTCAGGCAGAACGAATGCTGCTAATACCTTGATCTTGGACTTCTAGCCTCCAGAACTGTAAGACAATACACTTCTGTTGTTTTAAGCCATCCAAAGTAGTATCGCGTTCATGCTAGTTTGTTATGCAGCCAGCGCAAACTAATACATACCCCAACCATCCTATTTGAAATTTCAAAACAAATGGAAAAGAAACTTCTTGTTTCTACCTTTTTTTTTTTTTTTTTTTTTTTTAGACAGAGTCTCGCTCATCACCCAGACTGGAGTGCAGTGGCATGATCTCGGCTCATTGCAACCCCTGCCTCTCAGGTTCAAGCGATTCTACTGCCTCAGCCTCCTTTGTAGCTGGGATTACAGGTACACGCCACCACGCCCAGCTAATTTTTGTATTTTTAGTAGACACAGGGTTTCGCCATGTTGGCCAGGCTGGTCTCGAACTCCTGACCTCAGGTGATCCACCTGCACAGCTTCCCAAAGTGCTGGGATTACAGGTGTGAGCTACCACGCCGGACCTGCTTCTACATTTAAAAATAAAAAGCTACAAAATGGAGAAACATGACTAAATTTATTAAAATATTGAAAATGCTTTTAAGAAATATATATTGCAGCCCACCCATTTCTGGAGATGCTGACATTCCCTGTGAAAGGATATCACTCCTTCACGCTGTACAGTTGAGAGTCACTGCTTTAGCTTCTCTGGTTTATACTGCAGTAGGGAGGGAAGGCTTGGGCACCAGCCAAACCTTCTTTCAGCCTCAGAGGAAACCTCCACCAAGGTATGATATGGGGGAGAGGTAGTGAAATCCTATGCAATGCCCTACCAAAGACACCACCTGATTATGCCCATCAAACAATACAACAGCAGGCTGGACAATTATGTCCATCCTTAGGCATAGGCATCTAGAAAACCATCCAACTTAACAGAGAAGTGGAAACCAGGAAGGCCTCATCTTTATACTATCTTGACCCCAGTTCTAGCTTGTCATGGATAGGGGAATGTCGTCTTGCTTTGGAACTAAGGTTATGAATACTGTAATAGTTTCATAGGGCCACCATAACAAAGTACCAAAAACCAGGTAGCTAAACCAACAAAAATGTATTGTCTCAGAATTCTGGAGGCTAGAATTTCAAAATCAACGTGTTGGGAAAGTTGGTTCCTTCTGAGGGAAAATCGGCTCCATGCCTTTCATCCAGTTCCTGGCAGCTGAGATACCCCTTGGCTTGAAGATACGTCACTCCAATCCTCCTTCTTCATATGGTGTTCTCCCTGTGTGACTGTAACTGTCCAATCCTCCCTCTTCATATGGTATTCTCCCTGTGTGACTGTAACTGTGAGCAAATTTCCCATCACAATCCTACCTTTTTTTTTTTTTTGAGACAGAATCTCACTTTGTTGCCCAGGTTGGAGTGCCATGGCACAAGCATGGCTCATTGCAGCCTCAACCTCCTGGGTTCAGGTGATCCTCCCATCTCAGCCTCGGGGGTAGCTGGGACTACAGGCACATGCCACCATGCTGGGTTAGGTTAATTTTTGATAGAGATGGGGTTTTGTCATTTTACCCAGCCCGGTCTCGAACACCCGGCCTCAAGGAATCTGCCTGCCTCTATCTCCCATACTGCTGGGATTACAGGCATGAGCCACCACACTTGGCCAAATTTCCCTTTTTAATAAGGACACAAGTCATATTGTATCAGGGCCCATCCTAATGACTTCATCTTAACTTGATCACTTGCAAAGACCCTATTTTCAAATAAGGTCACATTCACACATACTAGAGGTTAGAACTTCAACATGTGTGCTGTGGAGTCTGGGAGTTCAGAATTCAACCTGTAACATGTACCAACTTGACTGTCTATACTGCGAGAATCTAAGGAACACCAGTGAGGTTTTTGGATCAGAACCTGATCCTGAAGGCTGGGCACAGTGGCTCACACCTGTAATCCCAGCACTTTTGGAGGCCGAGGTGAGTGGATCACCTGAGGTGAGGAGTTCAAGACTAGCCTGGCCAACATGGTGAAACCCCGTCTCTACTTTTAAAAAAATACAAAAAAAAAAAAATTAGCCAGGTATGGTGGTGCACGTCTGTAATCCCAGCTATTCGGGAAGCTGAAGCAGGAGAATCAGTTGAACCTGGGAGGCAGAGGTTGCAGTGAACCAAGATTGCGCCACCGCACTTCATCCTGGGCGACAGAGTGAGACCCTCTCTCAAAAAAGGAACCTGATCCTGGAGGCCCAGCTACTCAACCATTCAAAAGCTGCCAGGAGGACTGAGGCTATGCATATGCTCCTCCTGCTGTAAAAGTCAATGATGTAGTGAAACCACTCTCATCCAGCTGCATTTGTACCTACATCCCTAGCTAAAATTAGCCAATAATTTTCCTTCCTTGTTTGGCCCATGGAATCAAGGTTACCTTATTGGCATACCTTGGCATACCCAAGGAGGGTGGGGAGGCACTGTCCCTACTTAACTATTCTCTGGAATTATATATATAAGATGAGGATTATCTGTTCTGTTGCTTGAAGATAAAGTAGAACTTGCTTAGAAAACCATCTTGGCCTTAGGATGTTTTGTTTGTAGGCAAACTTTTTTTCTGATATATTACATTTGTACATGTGAAATTTTGTTACATGCATAGAATGTGTAATGATCAAGTCAGGGTAATTGGGGGGTTCATCACCCAAATATTTATCATTTCTATGTATTGGGTACATTTTATGTCCACTCTTCTAGCTATTTAGAAAAATATAATACATTGGCCGGGCGTGGTGGCTCATGCCTGTAGTCCCAGCACTTTGGGAGGCCGAGGTGGGCGGATCACGAGGTTAAGAGATTGAGACCATGGTGGCCAACATGGTGAAACCCCGTCTCTACTAAAAATACCAAAAAAAAATGAGCTGGGCGTGGTGGTGTGTGCCTATAGTCCCAGCTACTCGGGAGGATGAGGCAGGAGAATCGCTTGAACCCAGGTGGGGGAGGTTGCAGTAAGTCGAGATCGCACCACTGCACTCCAGCCTGGCGAGAGAGTGAGACTCCGTCTCAAAAAACTAAAACTAAAAGTAAAGAAGAAAAAAAGAATACATCGTGGTTAACTACAGACACCCTACTTTGCTATCAAACATTATAACTTATTCCTTCTGTCTAACCGCATGTTTGTACTCATGAACCAGCCCCTCTGTATCCACCCTTCCTCTCCACACCCCACCATTTACCCTTCCCAGTCTCTGGTATCTATCTCCTTAGACAGAGCCTCTGTACCTCCATGTGATCAATTTCTCTAGCTCCAAACTTTTAAAAACTGCTGTTTCAATTTCTTTAATGGTCTAAGGTTGATTTGGAGGTTGTGTTTCTTTTTTGAGCTAATTTTTTTACATTATGTTTTTCTAGAAAATGGACATTTTACCTATGTTCTCATAATTATGCATACACTTTTTCTTGATATTCTATTATAATTTAAAAATACCTACTATATGTTTGTTATGCCCTCTTTTGCATTTAACTTTCTGGTGTGACTTCACTTGTCTTTCTCACCAAGAGTTTATCTATTTTGTTAATCTTTTCAAAGAACCAGTATCTAATTTTTGTTAATCCTCTCTATTACACATTTTTTAACTTCTTAATTTTAGTCTTCATTTTTATTATTTGGCTCCTTCCACTTTTTTTTTTCTGGTTTACTATATTGTTCCTTTCTAACTTTTTAAGGTTGATACTTGGGATGTTCATTTTGAAACATTTGTCTTTTCTTAATGTGTGCATTCAAGGCTATTTCCTTTCCCAAGTAATTGCACGCTCTAGTTTAATTAGTGCCATTATTGTTCTTTAAAAAATATATCATTTGGGCCAGGCACGGTGGCTCACACCTGTAATCCCAGCACTTTGGGAGGCCGAGGTGGGTGGATCACCTGAGGTCAGGCGTTCGAGACAAGCCTGGCCAACATGACGAAAACCTGTCTCTACTGAAAATACAAAAATTAGCCTGGTGTGGTGGTGGGCACCTGTAATCCCAGCTACTGGGGAGGCTGAAGCAGGAGAATCGCTTGAACCCAGGAGGTGAAGGTTGCAGTGAGCCAAGATTGCGCCACTGCACTCCAGCCTGGGTGACAAGAGTGAAACTCTGTCTCAAAAAAAAAAAAAAAAAAAAAAAAAATATATATATATATATATATAATTTCATTATGATTTAATCATACACATGCACATTATTTTATTTTTAATTGAATGGAGATTTGATGACCTTCTTGTTAATTTCTAATTTTATTACACTGATATCAGATAATGTAATCTGCATGGCATTTATTCTTTGGTTTTTGTTGAAATCTGTTTTGTGGTTAGTAGTCATCCAATTTTTGTACAAGTGCCATGAGAATTTGAAAAGCATGTATATTTTCTTTTTTTTTTTCAGATGGAGTCTCACTCTGTCGCCCAGGCTGGAGTGCAGTGGTGCAATCTAGGCTCACTGCAACCTCCGCCTCCCACGTTCCAGCAATTCTCCTGCCTCAGCCTCCTGAGTAGCTGGTGTTACAGGCATGTGCCACCACACCCAGCTAATTTTTGTATTTTTAGTAGAAATGGGTTTTCACCATGTTGGCCAGGCTGGTCTTGAACTCCTGACCTCAGGTGATCCACCCACCTCAGCCTCCCAAAGTGGTAGGATTACAGGTGTGAGCCACTGCACCTGGCTGAAAAGCATGTATATTTTCTAAATATGTGCAGAATTCCATTTATATCAATTCGATCAAGTTTTTAAATTGTGTGGTATCAACCTTCTATAACTTTACTTATTTCTTTTAGACTGCTTCATTTATTACTGAGGGAATTATATGAATTTATCCATTTCTTCTTGTAATTCTGTTAGATTTTGGATATTTAATTCAAGGCTGTATTGTACAAGGTATAGATTCAGAGTTGGTACAGCTTCCCAATGAATTGTTCATTTTATTATTATGTAATGATCCTCTTTGTAACTAATAACACTCTTTTTTTCTTTAGAGTCTATTTTGTGTGGAATTACTATAGTTATACCAGTTTTCTTTCGATTGAGATTTTTCTGGTATGAATTATTTATTTATTTATTTACAATGTCCCCATGCTATCCTGTGTTAGGTGTTATAAACGTGTAACAGCATTTTTTTTTTTTTTTTGAGACGCTCTGTCACCCAGGCTATAGTGCAGTGGTGTGATCTCGGCTCACTGCAACCTCCGCCTCCTGGGTTAAATGATTCTCATGCCTCAACCTCCTGAGTAGCTGGGATTACAGGTGCCCACCACCACTCCCGGTTAATTTTTGTATTTTTAGTAGAGACAGAATTTCACCATGTTGTCCAGGCTGGTCTCAAACTCCTGACCTCAAGTGATCCACCTGCCTCAGCTTCCCAAAGTGCAGGGATTACAGGCGTGAACCACTGCTCCATTTAACTGGATTTTTAAAATTCAATCTGACAATCTCTGTTTTTTAAATACTGTGTTAATTCATTTATATTAATACATTATATATTTAGATTTAATTTTAGTATCTCATTTTGTGCTTTTATTATGCCGTTTACATTTCTTCTTCTTCCTCCTTTTTCTCTTTCTTCTTTCCTGACTTCTTTTTGGTGAATTTGGTTTTCTACATTTCCTTTTATTTTTCAACAGGTTTGGAAGTCTTACTTTTTAGTATTCCAATTAGTTTCATTTTGTTCTTAGATTTTTAACAAGCTACAGTAGGTTCTGGCCAAGCTTGTCTTACCTAACCACTCTTCAGCTTTGCAACCCAGGAGATAACTAGTTGCATACAACCACAGCCTAGATGTTATGTATAACTTGTGTACCCAGAAACAGAGGTTCAATGATACAGCTACCTAAAGACCGCTTTTGCAAACATAAAAGGTAATTATGTTGGAGTTTTAGAAACTGGTATACAAAAGGCATGATAAACAATGCCTTACCTTAAACAGGTGGAAAACTACTGCCCACTCAGGCATGTCTGTGAAGCTTTGGGGGGACTTGAAAACCATGCTCACTGCACGTCTGCCTGCCTGATGTTTTCCATTATGCTTAGAGCTTATCACAGTAAGATGCGACAGTACACGATTTATTAGTCAAAGTGCTCATTTTCATTAAGACCTGGAATCAGCCCTCGGTGGAACTACTTTGCCCAGACACTTAACAAAATCTAAATTCATTAGTACCTTGGACCTGATACTTGGCAATAGGAGAACCTGAACTACCTATATTCACAAACACCCTCTCATCTCTCAAGTAACTCATTTTCCATGTAACTATTTGTTGTTAACTCCCCCAAATAATCATCAATATTTGTTTTTTACTTATTTTTTAATAATTTATTTCATTGTTCACTTTATATTTCAAATTCCTGGGGGTATGAATCTTTGTTGTATCTGCTGTCACCCATGGTTAATGATATGTTTGTAACTTTCTGTGTATGCCAATAAACTTGTTTTATTCTGTGGGAATCCTATTAGCCTGGGTTGTAGGATAGTGCCTCCAAGGAAGTTTTGTATTTTTCTCTGCTCTAACTTGAAATAAATTTTTATTTAATTGCTAGATAGGAGGTTTACATACCACACACATAGTAAGCAAAGAAATACAGACATTACTAGACATAAGATTTTAATGTGTGATAAAGACTTACAAATTAGATGTTGAAGAAAAAAATTATTTTTTAAAGTAGTGCTGCTAACACAAAGAATATAGTTATGTATGAAAATTAAAACAAAACTAGGAGGTCAGGGGAATCCCAGGACGAAAGGCAGAATGTGACAAAACAATCTAACTCTATTACAAATGCATGAAACAGCCTTACAAATGTTTCAGGCGCTGACCTCAAACTTTGGAAATGAGCAAAGTCTGAGAAACTAAAGGCAAAAGAAACTACACAGGCACTATACTTCTAGCTGAGAAAGTTGTTTCCCACAGAGTTTAACAATTCTGCTACTATTCTACATGTATACTCTGGTTGAACAATGAAGTAAACACATGGCAGGTGGTAGGAGCCAGGTTTCTCACTGTTGAAGTTGGAGGTTACAGATAAGCAAGGGGAGAGTCTAGAGCAATCTTAGTATTAAGGAATAAAGTTGGAGGCATCAATATGAATTCATGTTTAGCTTAATATAGATACAGATGGTTACATATAGAAATTTGTATGTGTGTGTGCGTGTGTATATATATACATGTTAGTATACACACATAGATTTCCTTGCACTGTCTGCTAAGAGGGCCTAGAAACAACAACACTGGAGTAACAAGCACACTTAGCACCCGCATTCCAATAAAAGTAACCAGAGCATCTTGGTGAAATGGCTGATTCTAAGATTGAAACAGAAAATATACAAGGTGGGCCTGGAACATCTCATAGTGCCAGAAAGTAAGGAAGTGCTAAATCATGCAAACCCCCTGCCCCCAGACACACACGAACAATGAGGGTAGTCAAAAGGACCCAGGAGTCAAAGGAAAGAGCTTTCAATGGCCAAGCTGGAACAATTTGTGCAACGACAACAACTAAAAGAAATAACATTGGACTATCACTCAAAATATAAAATAAATATTTATGAGTCTATACTGATGCATGAGTTTTTTTCACCCCTTCACTGGACATGCGGCAGGGGCACCACGTCTACTTGGCCCACTGTGCTCAGCCCCATGTGGAGGGAGCTTGTGAGTGGGCGAGTGCGGGATCCAGATGGCTGCTCTGGGTGCCAACACAGAAGCAAGCTCCATGTGGGGCCTGCAGTCAGACCAGGTGTGTTGCCTCAAAGGGAACGTGGTGGCACCCAGGTGAGGGTGCCTATGACCCTGAAGGCCCAGAGCAGGTGTCACAGTGCTGTTTAATTCCATCATCTGCAGTCTGATGGACGGCAGTGTGTTAGCAGCTCAGCTGGCCCCTTGCCTCATTGTGTGGGGTGACTGCCCTCTGCCAGAGAGGGCAAAGGGCCAGTGTGACAACCTTTTCAGGGTACCCGCACTCAGTGGGTCCCAAGCTCTTGTCCAGCATCCAAGAAGAATGAGGTCACGTGGACGGCTGAAGGATGGTGAAGACAGAGAATTTTACTGAGTGATGAAAACAGCTCTCAGTGGACAGGGGAGCTGAAGAGGGGCCAGGAAGGGCAGGTCATCTTCACCAAAGTCAGGCTGTCTCCTCCTCTACTGACTGAGTCTGGGGTCTTCATAGGCACAGGATGAGGAGTGCATGCTGATTGGCTTGTGAGTATGCAAAAAAGGTTAAGGTGAAGATACCACTCAAAAGTGGGCATGACAGTATAGAAAACAAGTTAGAAAAGGATAGATATATGTAAAATAGGTGATGGGGATTAATCAGAGGAAAGCACGCCAAACAGGAGGACAAGTTCTCAATCCAGTCTGGGGATTTAACTTGTAGTTTGGCTTTCAGGCTTTAAACTCTCTTCTGCTTGGAGGTGGGATTTCACTGAGAACTCGCCACTGTCTGCCTAGGCATTTCGCTGCCTCCTGTCACTATCAATACTACATAAATAAATGATTAAATAAATACATTAGGGGAGAAAAGACAAATAATTCTAGGCACAACAATTCCAAATAATTTATGTAGAAGCTGCACCCCTGTGGGAGCATAACTCCCCAGTCTTTAAGTGTGGGCTGCATAAAGTGACTCTGTCCCAGAGAGTACATTACAGAAAGGGAAACAAAAGCAACTTTGTAGTAGAGAAACCTGACAAACACTACCTCAGCCAGGTGATCAAGTCATGATCAACAGGGATAAGTCATGCTGATAATATGTGTCCTTGACATGATGTGATGAAATAGAACTTGACCTCTATGGTTTTCTTCCCCAAAACCCAAAACCCCAGTTTAATTATGAGGAAAGCATCAGACAAATCCCAGTAGAAAGACATTATACAAAATACCTGACCACTTCTCAAACCTGTCAAGATCAACAAAAACAAATAAATTCTGAGAAATGATCATAGCCAAATAGAGCTAAGGAGATGATGACTAAATGTAACACGGTCTCCTGGATGGGATCCTGAGACAGAAAAAGGACATTAAGTGAAATGTGAGTAAAGTATGGACTTTTATTAATATGTCAGGATTGGCTTATTAGCTGTGATGAATACTAATGTAAGATGATAGAGGTAGGAGAAACTGGGTATGGAGTTCATGGGAACGCTGCATAGTCTTTCCAATTTTTCTGTAAATCTAGGTTTGTTCTAAAAATATACGCTTTTTTTTTTAAAAAAAGATAATGTTGCAATAAACTTCCTTTTGTGAAAAAACACTAATGGAAAATCTCAAAATCTAGAAAATAAGTAGAATTTTTTTCCAACCTGTAATATTATTATTCTGAAATATGGACTGTTAATTTTTTTAAATATGTGGTGCTGGAAAATTAAATAACAATTTTTAAAAATCATAGCAACTCCCACATTGTTCCATTTAGCAAATAAAAATTTCAAATTCAGTGTAACACAACAGAAAATCAAAAGAAAAATTTGTGATAAAAATATTTGCAATGATTATGAGAGAGAAAATAACATTAATTTCTAAGAAGTGTGTAACTTTTTTGACAAGAAAAACACCAAAATCCAAGAAGACAGCTAGTTAGAAGCATTAAAAAAATTTACAAAGAAAGGAATACAATAGCTAATATATATTTAGCAAAACATTTTACCTTGGTTCCTGGAATAATTGAAAATTGGTGAAACTGGGTAATGAGCACATGGGATTCTTTACACAATTCTCCCTACTTTCGTATATGCTTGAAATTTTTCCATATTAGAAAGACAAAACTTTCACCTTACTAAAGATGACTGCACATTTTAAGCATAGATGTTGTTGTCTATAAAATTAAATAAGTTTTATTTGTTTAATAAAACCCAACTATGGATATGTTACATTGAAATACTCTCACTGATATTCAGATTGTGGAAATGTATCTTTGCAAAGCTTTCATGGAAAGCAAGTTTGTTTTACACACACACACACACACACACACACACACACACACACACTTGGAAAGTTCTTGAATACTTTAAGATGGCAGACTGAGTACACATTTGTCATCCTTCTACCACCTAGTCCATTGAATTCTAAAAAAAGGTAAATGAAAAAGAAAATATGGATGCGTACCATTGGCTGACCACAAATTTTTAAAACTTCATGGAAAAGAGAGAACAAATAAAACCAAATTGACAAACTAGATTGAGAAGTGTCAGATCGGTATCAGGGTCTATGCTTTCCCTAACCAATCCTTTTTCCCCTTCATTTTATTTTTCCCAAGGTATATACCCTAATAAACCTCCTACAGTTAAAATAGCTTTTCAGCATCTGCTTCCCAGAGAACACGATGACACAGCTGTACATATGATCACAAAACTTCTGATCTCAAATTATTTCTTTTAATTCCAAAAACATACTGGAAAAGAGAAGAATAAGAATCATAGTGGCATCAGACTTCTCAGCTGCTAGACAGGGTGTTGAAAATAATAGGCCTATTTCCGCAAAATTTAAGGATAACAGATTTTGTGGCTATACCATAGTTCTATACTCAAACTGTATGGTTTAAAGGGAAAAATGATATACATACATGGAATCAAAAAGCTATCCTGCCACAGGAACTTTTGAGGAAAAAATTCTTAAATATTTTCTCCAGAAAAATTGAAAATAATCAGATAAGACATATTAATTAAATACTTTTTGTTTGTTTGCAAGTAACAGGAGTCTATGTGAACCAGCTAGGCAAAAAGGTGAGTTTTTATAAGGAAACAAAGTTATGTGGCCCAGCACGGTGGCTCATGCCTATAATCCCAGCACTTTGGGAGGCTGAGGTGGGTGGATCACTTGAGGTCAGGAGTTCGAGACCAGCCTGGCCAACATGGTGAAACCCTGTCTCTACAAAAAATACAAAAATTAGTCATGCATGGTGGTGCACGCCTGTAATCCCAGCTACTCAGGAGTCTGAGGCAGGAGAATCGCTTGAACCCGGAGGGCAGAGGTTGCAGTGAGCCAAGATTGCACCACTGCATTCCAGCCTTGGCATCTCAAAAAAAAAAAAAAAAGCTATTTTACAAAATCTGTCTTACATTGGGTTCCCTAGAAACCAAAGGCTGAAGCAAAATCTCATGTGCTACTATTTTATTAGAGCATACAAGCCTAGGAAGGAGAGAGGGGACAAAGCCAAGAAGGGAAGGAGGGAGAGCAACAACACAAGTGTGTTACCAAGCGTGTCATTCTTTGGTATCCAAAGAGATAAACTACCAGATCTGATGGGAGTCTGTATTTTCCAGGGAGCTTTATAAATGACTGAATATCAGGACAGTCTGTCCAACAGCTCCCGACTCCACTGGACAGTGGATGGCCCCACAATGAGTTGACTTCTTTGTACTTTTAAGTTGCACCATCATAAATGGGCACCACACAGATCCTGAAATTTCTCAATGCTTTAGAATCAAAGGGGAAGCCCCAGAAAGGAGGTGACCTGTGGAAGGGGAGAGGCAACTGGTGTTGGCAGCAGGGCCCTGTCTGATTGTGCATATGAGAAATCAGAGCCCCCCTAGAGCTACTCACTTGTTGGTTGCAACAAGAATTAGCCAAAGATTCTCAAAACAGGCAGAGGTGAAAGGATCTGAAGTGCATTTTATTTATTTATTTATTTTGTTTGGTTTTGGGTTTTTTTGAGATGGAATCTCACTCTGTCGCTCAGGCTGGAGTGCAACGGACAATCTCAGCTCACTGCAACCTCCACCTCCCGGGTTCAAGAGATTCTCCTGCCTCAGCCTCCCAAGTAGCTAAGATTACAGGCACCCTCCACCATGCCCAGCTAATTTTTTGTGTTTAGTAGAGAAGGGGTTTCACCATGTTGGCCAGGCTGGTCTCAAACTCTTGACCTCAGGTAATCCACCTGCCTCAGCCTCCCAAAGTGCTGGAATTAAGGGCGTGAGCCACTGCCCCAGGCCTGAAGTGTGCTTTAGAGGTATCTGAATCAGAGTCTAGGATGGAGTCAGGCCTCTGCAGTAGAGTAAATCCAGTGACTGAGACTCAGGAAGAGCACAGCCGCCCTTGTTTTTCATTTCTCTTTTTGCTCCTCTCTCAATGTCAGGTCTCCTCAATCAAGGTCAACTTGATTCTCTATAGCTACAGATGGAATTCCTCAGACATGAAAAGTGATTTAAAATAAATAAAATAAGAGAATAGCTTTGTACAAACCAAAGATGATGAGGAGAATGCTTAACTCTCTGAATCTAAGTTTCAAAAAAAAAAAAAAAAAAAGAAATAACTGGAATAACACATCATATGACTAGATGAAAGCCCAGCTATTATGAAGACGTAAATATTTTCAAATTAATTTATGGATTTAGTGTGATCCTAATCACTGTTGCAATGGAATTTGGAAGAGGATCTAAAAAGATTTTATTTTTAGCCAGAGAAATGAGTGAGATTAACTTTTAAAATGAAAATCAAGGGTAGTATGAATAAATTAGATATTCCAGCTGTTAAAGTCAGTCCTCAATTAAGGACTTGGATAGGTTCTTGGAAGCTGTGACTTTAAGTGAAACAATGTATAACAAAACCAATTTTGGCTGAGCATGGTGGCTCACGCCTGTAATCCCAGCACTTTGGGAGGCCAAAGTGGGTGGATCACTTGAGGTCGGGAGTTCAAGACCAGCCTGGCCAACATGGCGAAACCCTGTTTCTACTAAAAATACAAAAATTAGCCAGGTGTGGTGGAGCATGCCTGTAATCCTAGCTACTCGGGAGGCTGAGGCAGGAGAATCACTTAAACCTGGGAGGCGGAGGCAGAGGTTGCAGTGAGCCGAGATCACGCCATTGCACTCCAGTCTGGGCGACAGAGTGAGGCTGTCTCAAAAAAAAAAAAAAATTCTCATCAACTTTATTACTAATGACACCGAAAGAAATGATATTATTCAAGGATCTGTTCTACATTGTTGGGCTTAAAATTAGTTTCCAAGAACCTATTTATGACATTGAGGACCTATTATATATCCCATTATATTTAGGCTGACATAAGAATAAACAGATCATGAGAGAGAAATGTACAAAAAGATAGACAAGAATAGCCAGATAGCCCAGAACGTCTCCGGGCTATTAAAATTAAAATTACATTAACATTAAAATTCAAGTTATTAAGCCAATACTGAATCTGATAATACTTCGACTTGGGACTGTCATAGTTTTAGCTTGTGCATTTACTGCTCTCAGTCTCTGCCATTTAGGAATTTCCTCTTCTTCCTCATGAACTCAAGATGACATTAAAGTTGTTATTTTTATAGCCACAGGCCATAAAAAGACAGAGGCAGTGGCTACCCTTTCCAGTTGCTTCTACTCAATGATGTTGGCTTGTCAGGCCAAGATAACTGCCATGTGCATAAATGATAACTGGTACAAATCAAAGTAGAGATGTATGAGTTAGATGTGTTTGGTACCACTAGAGCCTACTGACCTTTCTCAACTGGGGTTCCGTGAGAAAGTTAAGAGAAAATGATTTTGATTATGTCTCAATTGCACACCCCCCCACACCAAGATGATACATTGCTAGTGCCATTACAGACACATAAGAAAGAAGTTAATTTGGCCGGGCACCAGTGGCTCACGCCTATAATCCCAACACTTTGGGAGGCCAAGGCAGGTGGATCACCTGAGGTTGGGAGTTCAAGACCAGCCTGGCCAACATGGTGAAACTCCGTCTCTACTAAAAATACAAAAATTAGCCAGGTGTGGTGGCAGGTGCCTGTAATCCTAGCTACTCGGGAGGCTGAGGCAGGAGAATTGCTTGAACCTGGGAGGTGGAGGTTACAGTGAGCTGAGATTGCACCAGTGCACTCCAGCCTGGGCAACACAGCAAGACTGTCAAGAAAAGAAAGAAAGAAAGAAAGAAAGAAAGAAAGAAAGAAAGAAAGAAAGAAAGAAAGAAAGAAAGAAAGAAAGAAAGAAAGAAAGAAAGAAAGAAGGAAGGAAGGAAGGAAGGAAGGAAGGAAGGAAGGAAGGAGGGAAGGAAGGAAAAGAAAGAAAGAAAGAAAAGAAAGAAAGAAAAGAAAGAAAGAAAGAAAGAAAGAAAGAAAGAAAGAAAGGAGGAAAGGAGTTAATTCTCCTTGTGTACGTTGAATACTTCCAAGCTTAATCCTCTCATGAAATCTTACTTGAGAAGAGTTAACATAGATTACACTTGCACAGAGCAAAATGGGCCACTTTTTTTGAGTAATTTGATGTTTCAATCTGTTACCGGACCCCACCACTTACCCAAAGTTAGCCTTTAGCTTGGGGGTTTCCTCAGTATTGTCCCTTTCGTGGTTGCCAGAAAGATGTTAGCAGAAAGGGGTCCCGATCCGGACCCCAACAGAGGCTTCTTGGATCTCACACAAGAAAGAATTCAAGGCAAATCCATACAGTAAAGCAAAAGCAAGTTTATTAAGAAAGTAAAGGAATAAAAGAATGGCTACTCCAGACAGAGCAACCCCGAGGGCTGATGGCTGCCCATTTTTATGGTTATTTCTTAATGATATGCTAAACAAGGAGTGGCTTATTTATGCCTCCCCTTTTTAGACCATATAGGGTAACTTCCTGACGTTGCCACGGCATTTGTAAAAACTGTCATGGCACTGGTGGGAGTGTAGCAGTGAGGACGACCGGTGGTCACTCTTGTTGTCATCTTGGTTTTGGTGGGTTTGGGCTGGCTTCTTTACAGCAAGCTGTTTTATCAGCAGGGTCTTTGTGACCTGTGTCTTGTGCCAACCTTCTATCTCATCCTGTAACTTAGAATGCCCAGTAGGTCTCAGCCTTATTTTACCCAGCCCCTATTCAAGATGGAGTTGCTTTTGTTCAAACGCCTCTGACAAATCCACTAAGTACTAGACAGGCAAAATTATAAGACAAATAACCTATTTTAGCATCTGTGTTATGGCCTCAGGAAATCTTGTGGCCTAAAAAGTTTAATCTCCATCAGGTTTTTATTAGTTCGCTGGGATTGCTGTAACAAAGTACCACAAAGAGGGTGTCTGAAACAAATGTATTGTGTCACAGTTCTGCAGACTAGAAAGTCTGAAATCAAGGTTTTGGCAGGGTTGGTTCCTTCTGAGGGCTGTGAAGAGAAGAGCTATTTCAGGCTTCTCTCCCTGCCTTGTAGACAGCCATCTTCATGTTCCCATGGCATTCTCCCTGTATGGCTGGCTGTGCCCAAATTTCACCTTCCTATGAGGAGTTGGATTAGAGCCCACCTCAATGACCTCATTTTAACTTGACTAACTCTATAAAGACCCTGTTTCCAAATAAGATCACATTCTATGGGAGTGGGGGTGGGACTTCAAGAGATGAATTTGTCAGGTGGCATTCTGGCTATTTAACCCATAACGTAGGCTGTATAGGCAACTGTCAGTTTTGAACTGAAATCCTCTTTTCAGTAATCTTTTTCAAAAATCACCACTGCTTCCAGGAGTAGACATACAATCCAGACTTGAACAATCAGAGAAGCCTATTGCCCTGGCATTATGATTGATTTAGGGATGGTCACATGACTCAAATCAAACCAATCAAAACCCTTGCTGGGACTTTCACTATTACTATCAGGAAAGGTTGCAGGGGCCCAGGACCACCATGTAAGCCTAACTGCAGGTCGCCATCTTGGGTGGCACATGGATAGATGCTGCCTGAAAATAAAGTCAACTGTACTGGATGCATGGCACACTGCCCAAATCACTCCCTCTGGACTGGGGCATTGATGTTTCCAGCTTCTTGGAATATTGGCAGCTGATGGCTCTCAGCTAAGTTGTTCTCCATGAATTGCCCTCAGCAAGAAAAGCCACCTCGCCCAAGGACTGATGGATTTGGGGCTGAGAGCTTATAAAGGCCCAGTCCCCTTTCCTCAAGACCAAACAACCCTAGATAGGTTTATTCAGTACCAGAGCTCATCACAGAATCAGCTGCCTCCCATGCCCAATCTTGCTTTCTTTACTCCCCTTAGCCATGTTTCTATTGAGAGCACTTCCCAGCAAACTGCCTGCATTCAACAACTCTTCATCTCAAACCTATGACACCAGCACAGAGGAAAGTGGCATTCACAATGCCCGATTACTTGTATCGGACTATGGATTCAACCTTTGCACCTGTTGGCTATATGAGCCAATAAATTTCCTTTTTTGTTTTTTATTTTACTTATTATATTTTATTTATTTATTTATTTTGAGGCAGGATCTTGTGCTGTCACCCAGGCTAGAGTGCAGTAACACTATCTTGGCTCACTGCAACCTCTGCCTCCAGGCTTAAGCCATCCCCCCACCTCAGCCTCCAGAGTAACTGGGACTACGGGCATGTACCACCATGCCCAGCTAATTTTTGCATTTTTTGTAGAGATGGGGTTTCTCCTTGTTGCTCAGGCTAGTCTTGAACTCCTGTGTTCAAGAGATCTACCTACCATCCCCTCTCAAAGTGCTGGGATTACAAGCATGAGCCACTGCCACCAGCTAGGCTACATTTTAATGACAGAAAAGGAAAATAAGCAAGTAAGAAATTAAAAAGTAGGTCTTCATTTCCAAGATGGCTGAATAGGAGCAGCTCCAGTCTGCAGTTCCCAGTGTGATTGACGCAGAAGATGGTGATTTCTACGTTTCCAACTGAGGTACCTGGTTCATCTCATTGGGACTGGTTGGACAGTGGGTGCAGCCCACGGAGGGTGAGCCGAAGCAGGGTGGGGCGTTGCCTCACCCAGGAAGTGCAAGGGGTGAGGGGATTTCCCTTTCCTAGCCAAGGGAAGCTGTGACGACAAACTGTACCTGGAAAAATGGAACACTCTTGCCCAAATGCTGTGCTTTTCCCACAGTCTTAGGAACCGGAAAACCAGGAAATTTTCTCCTGTGTCTGGTTCAGTGGGTCCCACACCCACGGAGCCTTGCTCACTGCTAGTGAAGCAGTCTGAGATCAACCTGCGAGGCTGCAGCATGGCTGGGGGAGGGGCATCCACCATTGCTGAGGCTTGAGTAGGTAAACAAAGTGGCTGGGAAGCTCAAACTGAGCAAAGCCCACTGCAGCTCAGCAAGGCCTACTACCTCTATAGACTCCACCTCTGTAGGAAGGGCATAGCTGAACCAAAGGCAGCAGAAACTTCTGCAGACTTAAACGCCTCTGTCAGACAGCTCTGAAGAGAGCAGTGGTTCTCCCAGCATGACGTCTGAGCTCTGAGAACGGACAGACTGACTCCTCAAGTGGGTCCCCAACCCCCATGTAGCCTAACTGGGAGACATCTCCCAGTAGGAGCCAAGAGACACCTCCACAGGTGGGTGCCCCTCTGGGACAAAGCTTCCAGAGGAAGGATCAGGTAGCAATATTTGCTGTTCTGCAGCCTCTGCTGATGATACCCAGGCAAACAGGTTCTGGAGTAGACCTCCAGCAATCTCCAACAGACCTGCAGCTAAGGGACCTGACTGCTAGAAGGAAGACTAACAGACAGAAAGGAATACCATTAACACCCACAAAAAGGACATCTACACCAAAACTCCATCTGTAGGTCACCAACATCAAAGGCCAAAGGTAGATAAAACCACAAAGATGGGGAGAAACCAGAGCAGAAAAACTGAAAATTCTAAAAACCAGAGTGCCTCTTCTCCTCCAAAGGATTGCAGCTCCTCACCAGTAAAGGAACAAAGCTGGACAGAGAATGACTTTGACAAGTTGACATAAGTAGACTTCAGAAGGTCGGTAATAACAAACTTCTCTGAGCTAAAGGAGCATGTTCAAACTCATAACAAGGAAGCTAAAAACCTTAAAAAAGATTAGATGACTGGCTAACTAGAATAAACAGTGTAGAGAAGACATTAAATGACCTGATGGAGCTGAAAACCATGGCATGAGAACTTCGTGATGCATGCACAAGCTTCAATAGCCAATTTGATCAAGTGAAAGAAAGGGGATCAGTGATTGAAGATCAAATGAATGAAATAAAGTGAGAAGACAAGTTTAGAGCAAAAAAGAGTAAAAAGAAACAAAGCCTCCAAGAAATATGGGACTATGTGAAAAGACCAAATCTACATTTGATTGGTGTATCTGAAAGTGATGGGGAGAATGGAACCAAGTTGGAAAACACTCTTCAGGATATTATCCAGGAGAACTTCCCCAACCTAGCAAGGCAGGCCAACATTCAAATTCAGGAAATACAGAGAACGCCACAAAGATACTCCTCAAGAAAAGCAACCCCAAAACACATAATTGTCAGATTCACCAAGGTTGAAATGAAGGAAAAAATGTTAAGGGCAGCCAGAGAGAAAGGTCGGGTTACCCACAAAAGGAAGCCCATCAGACTAACAGCAGATTTCTCTGCAGAAACCCTACAAGCCAGAAGAGAATGGGGGCCAATATTCAACATTCTTAAAGAAAGGAATTTTCAACCCAGAATTTCATATCCAGCCAAACTAAGCTTCATAAGTGAAGGAGAAATCAAATCTTTACAGACAAGCAAATGCTGAGAGATTTTGTCACCACCAGGCCTGCCTTATAAGAGCTCCTGAAGGAAGCACTAAACATGGAAAGGAACAACGGGTACCAGCCACTGCAAAAACATGCCAAATTGTAAAGACCATCAATGCTATGAAGAAACTGCATCAACTAACGAGCAAAATAACCAGCTAATATCATAATGACAGGATCAAATTCACACATAACAATATTAACCTTAAATGTAAATAGGCTAAATGCCCCAATTAAAAGGCACAGACTGGCAAATTGGATAAAGAGTCAAGACCCATCAGTGTGCTGTATTCAGGAGACCCATCTCACGTGCAGAGAGACACATAGGCTCAAAATAAAGGGATAGAGGAAGATCTAACAAGCAAATGGAAAGCAAAAAAAAAAAAGCAGGGGTTGCAATCCTAGTCTCTGATAAAGCAGACTTTAAATCAACAAAGATCAAAAGAGACAAAGAAAGCCATTACATAATGGTAAAGGGATCAATGCAACAAGAAGAGCTAACTATCCTAAATATATATGCACCCAATACAGGAGCACAAAGATTCATAAAGCAAATCCTTGGAGACCTAGAAAGAGACTTTGACTCCCACACAAGAAAAATGGGAGACTTTAACATCCTACTGTCAATATTAGACAGATCAATGAGACAGAAGGTTAACAAGGATATCCAGGACTTAAACTCAGCTCTGCACCAAGAGGACCTAATAGACATCTACAGAACTCTCCACCCCAAATCAATAGAATATACATTCTTCTCAGCACCATGTCGCACTTATTCTAAAATTGACCACATAATTGGAAGTAAAGCACTCCTCAGCAAATAAAGAATGGAAATCACAACAAACTGTCTCTCAGACCACAGTGCAATCAAATTAGAACTCAGGATTAAGAAACTCACTCAAAACAGCACAACTACATGGAAACTCAACAACCTGCTCCTGAAGGACTACTGGGTACATAACGAAATGAAGGCAGAAATAAAGATGTTCTTTGAAACCAATAAGAACAAAGAGACAATGTACCAGAATCTCTGGGACACATTTAAAGCAGTGTGTAGAGGGAAATTTATAGCACTAAATGCCCACAAAAGAAAGCAGGAGAGATCTAAAATCAACACCCTAACATCACAATTAAAAGAACTAGAGAAGCAAGAGCAAACACATTCAAAAGCTAGCAGAAGGCAAGAAATAACTAAGATCAGAGCAGAACTGAAGGAGATAGAGACACAAAAAACCCTTCAAAAAATCAATGAATCCAGGAGCTGGTTTTTTGAAAAGATCAACAAAAGTGATAGACCACTAGCAAGACTAATAAAGAAGAAAAGAGAGAAGAATCAAATAGACACAATAAAAAATGATAAAGGGGATATCACCACTGATCCCACAGAAATACAAACTACCATCAGAGAATACTATAAACACCACTACATAAATAAACTAGAAAATCTAGAAGAAATGAATAAATTCCTGGACACATACACCCTTCCAAGACTAAACCAGGAAGAAGTTGAATCCCTGAATAGACCAATAACAGGCTCTGAAATTGAGGCAATAATTTAGAGCCTACCAACCAAAAAAAGTCCAGGACCAGATGGATTCACAGCCGAATTCTACCAGCGGTACAAAGAGGAGCTGGTACCATTCCTTCTGAAACTATTCCAATCAATAGAAAAAGAGGGAATCCTCCCTAATTCATTTTATGAGGCCAGCATCATCCTGATACCAAAGCCTGGCAGAGACACAACAAAAAAAGAGAATTTTAGACCAATATCCCTGATAAACATCGATGCAAAAATCCTCAATAAAATACTGGCAAACCGAATCCAGCAGCACATCAAAAAGCTTATCCACCAAGATCAAGTTGGCTTCATCCCTGGGATGCAAGCCTGGTTCAACATAAGCAAATCAATAAATGTAATCCATCATATAACAGAACAAAAGACAAAAACCACATGATTATCTCAATAGATGCAGAAAAGGCCTTTGACAAAATTCAACTGCTCTTCATGCTAAAAACTCTCAATAAACTAGGTATTGATGGAACATATCTCAAAATAATAAGAGCTATTTAAGACAAACCCACAGCCAGTATCATACTGAATGGGCAAAAACTGGAAGCATTCCTTTTGAAAAATGGCACAAGACAGGGATGCCCTCTCTCACCACTCCTATTCAACCTAGTGTTGGAAGTTCTGGCCAGGGCAATCAGGCAAGAGAAAGAAATAAAGGGTATTCAATTAAGAAAAGAGGAAGTCAAATTGTCTCTCTTTGCAGATGACATGATTGTATATTTAGCAAACCGCATCATCTCAGCCCAAAATCTCCTTAAGCTGATAAGCAACTTCAGCAAAATCTCAGGATACAAAAACAATGTGCAAAAATCACAAGCATTCCTATACACCATTAACAGACAAACAGAGAGCCAAATCATGAGTGAACGCCCATTCACAATTGCTACAAAGAGAATAAAATAACTAGGAATCCGACTTACAAGGGATGTGAAGGACCTCTTCAAGGAGAACTACAAACCACTGCTCAATGAAATAAAAGGGGATACAAACAAATGGAAGAACATTCCATGCTCACGGATAGGAAGAATCAATATCGTGAAAATGGCTATACTGCCCAAGGTAATTTATAGATTCAATGCCATCCCCATCAAGCTACCAATGACTTTCTTCACAGAATTGGAAAAAACTACTTTAAAGTTCATATGGAACCAAAAAAGAACCTGCATAGCCAAGACAATCCTAAGCCAAAAGAACAAAGCTGAAGGCATCAAGCTACCTGACTTCAAACCATACGACAAGGATAGAGTAACCAAAACAGCATGGTACTGTTACCAAAATAGATATAGAGGCCAATGGAACAGAACAGAGGCCTCAGAAATAACACCACACACCTACAACCATCTGATCTTTGACAAACCTGACAAAAACGAGAAATGGGGAAAGGAGTCCCTATTTAATAAATGGTGCTGGGAAAACTGGCTAGTCATATGTAGAAAGCTGAAACTGGATCCCTTCCTTACACCTTACACAAAAATTAATTCAAGATGGATTAAAGACTTAAATGTTAGACCTAAAACCATAAAAACCCTAGAATAAAACCTAGGCAATACCTTTCAGGACATAGGCATGGGCAAAGACTTCATGGCTAAAACACCAAAAGCAATGGCAACAAAAGCCAAAATAGACAAATGGGATCTAATTAAACTAAAGAGCTTCTGCATGGCAAAGGAAACTACCATCAGAATGAACAGGCAACCTACAGAATGGGAGAAAATTTTTGCAATCTACTCATCTGACTAAGGGCTAATATCCAGAATCTACAAAGAACTTAAACAAATTTACAAGAAAAAAACAACCCCAACGAAAAGTGGGCAAAGGATATGGACAGACACTTCTCAAAAGAAGACATTTATGCAGCCAACAGACACATGAAAAAATGCTCATCATCACTGGCCATCAGAGAAACGCAAATCAAAACCACAATGAGATATCATCTCACACCAGTTAGAATGGAGATCATTAAAAAGTCAGGAAACAACAGATGCTGGAGAGGATGTGGAGAAATAGGAACACTTTTACACTGTTGGTGGGAGTGTAAATTAGTTCAGCCATTGTGGAAGGCCGTGTGGCAATTCCTCAAGGATCTAGAACTAGAATTACCATTTGACCCAGCCATCCCATTACTGGGTATATATCCAAAGGATTATAAATCATACTACTATAAAGAGACATGCACACATATGTTTACTGCGACACTATTCACAATAGCAAAGACTTGGAACCAACCCAAATGTCCATCAGTGATGGACTGGATTAAGAAAATGTGGCACATATACAGCATGGAATACTATGCAGCCATAAAAAGGATGAGTTCATGTCCTTTGCAGGAACATGGATGAAGCTGGAAACCATCATTCTGAGCAAACTACCGCAAGGACAGAAAACCAAACACCACATGTTCTCACTTATAGGTGGGAATTGAACAATGAGAACACTTGGACACAGGGTGGGGAACATCACACATCAGGGTGTGTTGGGGGCTAGGGGGCTGGGGGAGGGATAGCATTAGGAGAAATACCTAATGTAAATGATGAGTTGATGGGTGCGGCAAACCAACATGGCACATATATACATATGTAACAAACCTGCACGTTGTGCACATGTACCCGAGAACTAAAAGTATAATAATAATATTTTAAAAAAGCAGACAGAAAAAAAAATTAAAAAGTACAATTTTAAGTAAAGGCTACCCATCCAAAGCTAGCCTTAGGGGAGTGGGCTGCCACAGAGGCTGGCTCTACCAAGTTGGATGGCATTATTATATTTGAGCAGAATGGGCCATTCCCAGGTTCTGTACTTATGTCAGAAAGGCTCTTTGGAAGGCTACTATGACTAATTTAAAATCACCCACAGAGTCTGGGAGGGGCCTTGCAATCACCATGCTGCCCTCTGTTGCTACCTTTGACCAACACCTAGCTAGGCAACTCCAGAGATGTCTATCTCAACATCCCTGGAACTTTGTCTCCATGGACTTCACCTCAGTCCTGCCTGTCTCAGATCATCCCAAATGCCTTATGTGGATTATTTCACTTAGCACTCAAAAACCCCTGTGAGTGGACATTGCTATCTTCTTTGATAGGTAAGAAATCTGAGCCACAGAGAGAGTAAGTAACTCCTCCCACGTCAGAAAATGATGGAGTGGTTCTGAGCCCAGGCAGTTTGACTCCAGAGACCTTCGCAGTCCCTTTGGAAGCCTGCACAACTTAGCGATACTTGGCCCATGGTCACACCTGTCGGGGTGCCCATCAGACTTATACCTGAGTCTGTGTTTCTGGCAATGTTAAAATCAAGAGAAAAGAGACTAACATGTATTGGCCACCTACCTCATTCCAAATGATTTTTTTGTGTAAGTTCATTTAATCTTAATTTTTTTTTTGAGACAGAGTCTCACTCTGTTGGCCAGACTGCAGTGCAGTGGTGCCATCTCGGTTCACTGCAACCTCCATCTCCTGAACTCAAGCAGTTCTCCTGCCTCAGCCTCCCAAGTAGCTGGGATTACAGGTATATGCCACCACGCCCGGCTAATTTGTATGTACGTATGTATGTATGTATGTATGTATGTATTTTTGAGATGGAGTCTTGTTCTGTCGCCAGGCTGGAGTGCAGTGGCACCATCTCAGCTCACTGCAACCTCCGCCTCCCGGGTTCAAATGGTTCTTCTGCCTCAGCCTCCCAAGTAGCTGTGACTACAGGCGCACTCCACCAAACCCAGCTAATTTTTATTTTTGGTATTTTTTAGTAGAGACGGGGTTTCACCATGTTGGCCAGGATGGTCTCCATCTCTTGACCTCGTGATCCACCTGCCTCGGCCTCTCAAAGTGCTGGGATTACAGGCATGAGCCACTGCCCCCAGACTAATTTTTGTATTTTTAGTAGAGACGAGGTTTCTCCATGTTAGCCAGGCTGGTCTCGAACTCCTAACCTCAGGTAATTTGCCCGCCTTAGCCTCCCAAAAGTGCTGGGATTACAGGCGTGAGCCACTGCACCCGGCCTAATCTTAAAATTTTTTAAACCTGCAAGGTTGACATCATTGTTCCCAATTTTCACAGGAGGAATTCATGCCAGTAGAGTTTAATTAATGAGCTCACAGTCCTCCACTTAGTGCTAGAGATAGGTCTCAGACCTGAATCTGGCTGACTCCAAAACATGCACTCTTATTAAAACTGCAATTTAATCAGGCTATTTTTTCAAGCAAATGGTCCTCTTGGTCTATTGAGATTCAGTTATTTATTTTCATTCAATTTCCTCTTTAATAACAACGGAATAGAATTCTTTATGTTGGAGATTGAGAGTATAAAGAGATTAATTGGGAAGAATCCAGGCTATGCTACGGATTTGCTCTGCTCTTAGCCTGGATAAATATTCGTGTCCTGCTATTTATAAGGAGTAACACGCAGGGGTGGTTTCCATGCAGTCTGTACATGCTTTTTCATTAAAGAACTGGTAAATGTTTCTAGCCCTGTGAGCAGGGCCAGAGCCTTGTCTTTGTCACAGTCCGTAGCCTCACCCTTTCCCCACTTCTAGGCCTGACCTTGCCAGATTACTCTTTTGAAGTAGTTCTGACTTCGCAAGATTCTCCCTGCAATTTCCTTAGGCTTTTTGCCTTCCATCAGGTGACCATAGTAACTGCAGGGCTATTATATCCCATTTCCTATCACTGTTGGCATTTGTGTTCATTCATATACAGTATTAAACCCGTCACTGAGTGCAGGATCCTTCGCTGTCAGGTCCTGAAGATTTTTGGACTCCTGATTTGTTCTGTAATTTTTTGTTCTTTGCTCTGCCTTCTCAAACCAGTGATTTCTCTGTGCCCACCAACACCTGAAGACGATCTTCCAAGGAAACGCACCTTGGCTCCAGTACCACAAGGTCAGTAACCCCTTTCTGGCTCTCTGCACCCTCTAGTCCATCCTTACTACCAGGCTCAGTAGACACCTGGTCTCTTCCTGGGTGTCTGTTGTTCACTCTAATTGTCAGCTCTCATGCTCCTACTGTCTTCCTGAATCTTGGATCTGTGCTCACATCATGCTTAGAAGAGCCATTTCTGCCACCCCTGTGGTTTTTGGTGGAGAGGATTAAGTTCCTTAGGAATAGATGGCTCTTTTCTCTATAGTTGCTTCCTGGATCCCCTTTGAAAAGATCTCTTCCACAGCTTCAGGGTAAGGGACAAAAAGATCTGCATTTAATATGCAGGCTTTGCAACCAGGCTTGCAACTGCTTTTCCTGCAGAAAACCCTTATAGTATCTAAAAATTATTTTACTATTTCATGTTCTGCCCCCTTGCATATAGGTTACACATTTTTATCGCCATGTTATAAATTATGTAATGTAGTTTTTAATATAGTTAATATAAGTACAATATACTAAAAGAGCTGATGCTGCTATTTTAAGCATCGAAGTTAAGCTATAAAATACAGACTTGAACTCTGGTGCTGATAGTAAATACCATTTTTCTGTTATTTTGTCGTGATATAGTTACGAGTGCTCTGATAAATAACATATGCTTATTACTCATGCCATTTCCTCCAAAATGAACTCTTTAAAAATTTAAACACAAGTCTAGTACAATAACATTTCACAACATGGCTAAAAATAAAAGGAATCACATTTGATGAGCATTTACTATATGCCATGCTCTGAGCTAAGCACTTTGCAGACATTATCTCACGTAGTTCCTCAACAACAAGAGGCTGGTCCTATAACAATAATTGTCAGTGAGACAGCTGAAGCTCAGAGGAGTTAAATAACTTTCAAGTCTCAGAATGAGGCCACAATGGAGCTTAACTCCAAAGTCCAAACCTTAACTATCAAGTGATATTGGCCTCCCAAAACTAGATAAAGATAAAAGGTGTGTTTGTGCATCTGTGTGTGTGTGTGTTAAAGAGAGAGAGTGAGAGAATCAGATACTCAGAGCATAACAAACTGCAGGGTCTCACCAAATAGTTTACTGGGAAGAAATCTTCATTCTAGATTCAAAACACTTACATATAGTAAGCCAAAAAATATGACGGTATTTTTATTATACATAACCTATCATTTATACAGTTTTACAGTGTTGCAGAAAATTTCTTAAGGCATAGTACTAACAATCAGATTTGTTTTCATTGTTTAAATGTGGCTCATGAAAAACAAACAGCAAATGAGTCCAATAATTCCTTAACTCCAAACCATGGTTAATGGTGAGGTGCACAGGAAGCTGAATTAAGTTTTTCCCCCTTTCAGCCTACAAAATTACCACTTAGTATATTACCACTTTACAGTGACAAATAGGCAACTTCTTTACCCAGATTTCATTGTAAAGGGTTGTGGTGTTAATAATAGCATTCACAGTGAGTCACTGTGCCAATAGCGCCAGCCACCACAGTCATGATACTATATTTATTACAGGGAGATGGTGTTATTAAGGCTACAAAACCAGACATGCCATTTGTCATCTTGCCATTAATCTGGAAAAAAGCAAATGACTCCAGTTCAGCCCCAGAGTAGGTCCAAGAAGTTCTCATTTGTCCCTAGATTGATGAGAAAGTGCCAGGGTCTCTTTAATCCCTTCCCTATTTTGCCATTTCAGTCAATGCTGGCCCTTGAGAGTTGTGTTGGCACAATCTATATTGCCTGCCCTTGCTGGAGGCCTTGGGGGCATCAACTATTGCATGCTGACATTCACAAAGGGGCTCTGGGATTTTCCAAAAAACAAAACAAAACAAAACCACTTTTCCCCCAAGTTATAGGACATAAGTCCTTCTAACTGGACACCAAGATCTCCTAAATCAACATCACTGAAACTCACAGTGAAATTACTTATCAAAATAGACACTCCTTTATAAACCTTGTGATGGAGACTGTGAGTTGGCTACCTCAACATGCAACCCCTCCTCCTTCTGATTAGAAAGATTGGACATCTAAAAATGATCTTTCCAAACCCCCTTACAGCTCGGGTTCTGGATATGCATTGTACTCTGCCCAGTACATGAATCTTGGGAGAAGTAGAAGGGAGAAATGAGATGGAGGCCATATTGATGCCAATGTTTTGGTCATTTTTTTCTGCAGCAATGTCCCAGTTCCTGTTCTCAGCTTCCTAGGTGTGGAGGGCAGTTGAGCAGCAATGGTCATGCCTTGATTCCAGCTTCCTGACCGCTGGAACACAGCTGCAAAGCTGCACTCTTGAACTCACGGCTCTAGTAGCAGTCTCAGGAAGAGTACCTCCCCAGGGTGTCAGATCCATACGTTCTTGGACCTTTAAAGCAACCCAAGCCTTTAATGTTGCACTAACAGGATTGTCTGCCACAGGAAGGGCACACTCTCCAGCACCCCCCCGGTGAGGCTAGTGGACCAAGAGAGCAAAGACATGAGCTGTGGAGGAAAGTGGACAGGAATGCTCCTTCCAGGAAGCAGATCTAGGGCCTAATCAAGGACCTCACTTCATTGCCAGGACTCAAGTTTTCCCTATTCCCACCTAGCAGGAATTCATAATTCCCATTAACTAATGACTGCCATGTGCTTCCCATTCTTTGCTTTTCTAAATGAGATACTTATGGAAATTACCCCATTCCTACTTCTCCATGTATTTTGGGTGTGGGGTGGAGGACATAACACTTTTCTATTCATTTATGGGCCAGCAAACCCAATGATCCACTTCCAGCCCTGCCGGAGAGGATGGCACACCACCCAGAGATCTTGGACTCTGAGTTGGTTTTAGTCACTGGAAGGGTGTTTGGATTGTCTCCTTCAGGGAAGGAGTGAATGCATTCAGTATGTGAGGAGTATGCATATTTGGAAAGCAAGAGGGAGGGACTGTGGTAGAGACTAATTGTCCACTAAAATCCATTAAGGGACAATGACTGCCACAGTATCAAATCTATCTCTCAGCATCCCTTACAGTTTAGTATTGTCATGTTAGTAAATTCTGGCTGATGGAATGCGAATAGAAGTGACTTCTGTCTCTTTGTAGTGCCCCACAAAAGGAAGGGGTGTGTGCTCCCCACCCTTTCCCCTTTCCTGCTGCCTGGGAAATGAGCTTTGGGAAAGAGAAGACACTTATTGAGAATGGCAGAGCACCCCACTGGTACTGGCCTGATTAATTCTGGACTGTCAGGTGACAGATTTATATTGCTGTCTTATTCAAGCCGTTGTGTACTTGGATTGCTTCACTATAAAAGCTTATTTTGTACCTTAATATTTGTATTTTATACTAATGCAGAAACAAATAGAAAAGCTGATGACTAGCTGAACCTAGGACAAAATCTGGCAAACTAGAAATAGAAATTAGAAACACATATAATGTTACCAGTTCTTACCATTACAACTCCTGGGACTTTGTATTTCTGTGGTGTCTGTTGTAATCTGGTTTTTTTTTTTTTTTTTTTTTTTTTGGAGAAATAGTCTTACTCTCTTGCCCAGGCTGCAGTGCAATGGTGTGATCTCAGCTCACTGCAACCTCCACTTCCTGGGTTCCAGCGATTCTCCTGCCTTAGCCTCCCAAGTAGATGGGATTACAGGAGTGTGCTACCACGCCCGGCTAATTTTTGTATTTTTAGTAGAGACGGGGTTTCACTATGTTGGCCAGGCTGGTCTCAAACTCCTGACCTCAGGTGATCCACCCGCCTTGGCCTCCCAAAGTCCTGGGATTACAGGCATGAGCCACCACTCCTGGCCGGTCTGTTGTGATCTCCAAGGCATCTTCATTTCCATCTCCTCCTTTCTCTTTTCAGAAGCTGGTATCCTCATGATCTTTCCATTGTCCCTTTCTCTGAACCCATCAGTATATATGGAGAATAGAAGACAACTCCTAAGTATTGGGCACTTTCTCCATGCCTGACACTTTGCTACGCACTTTATATGATGCGAGGTATACAGTATTATTATCACTATTTCTCACATGAGAAAAGCGCAGCTCAGAGATACTTATTAATTTCACCGAAAGTCATTTGTCTAAGTGACTAGTGGCACCTAGCTAAAAGTCAGTTTTTCTGACTTTAAAACTTAGAGATACACAGTTATTATACACAGCTCTATTCATGCAATTTCAGGTGTCACTGAGTTGAATAGAAAGTGGGTTTCCTATCTGTGTTATATGTAGAGTCCCTGTATCATGACACATAAATATTCACATATTTTTGGAAAGTACATTAACACTTCAGCTCTTTGGGGACTTTTTTTTTTTTTTTGAGACGGAATCTCGCTCTGTCGCCCAGGCTGGAGTGCAGTGGCATGATCTCGGCTCACTGCAAGCTCTGCCTCCTGGGTTCACGCCATTCTCCTGACTCAGCCTCCCAAGTAGCTGGGACTACAGGCACCCGCCACCATGCCTGGCTAATTTTTTGTATTTTGAGTGGAGACAGGGTTTCACTGTGTTGGCCAGGGTGGTCTCGATCTCCTGACCTCATGATCCACCCACCTCGGCCTTCCAAAGTGCTGGTATTACAGGCGTGAGCCACCGCGCCCGGCCTGGGGGACTTTTATTTAATGTAGTAATGATGCCAATATAAGACACGTGACATTGATGCCTTTTTTGCATTAATTATTAAACTCTTTAGGTATTTTTCAATATATAATGTACTCTTTTTCCTTTAGGAGCATCTAGTGTTTTCCATGCTGCAGATTTATTGAAAAGAACATAGCATCCTAATGAAATTGATTTTTTCATAGCCCAATCTTTAAAAAATTGAACAAAATAGAATGGATTCTACCCAGAAATAAAATATCAAAATGTATTGTGAACAATATACATAAGTGTTATTTTGGGGAAACATTCTAATGTATACACACACAAGAAAGACAGATAGATAGAAAAAATATATATATATACATATATAGTGTCCTAGGGCTGCCATAACAAAATACTACAAACTGGATGATGCTGGCAGGGACACGTTCTCCCTGAAGCCTCTAAGGGAGAACCCTTCCTTGCCTCTTCCTGGCCTCTGGTGGTTGCTGGCAATCCTTGGTCTTCTTTGGCTTGCAGCTGTGTAACTGCAATCTCTGTCCTTTTCTCCACATGGCCTTCTTCCCTGTGTGTGTCTGTCACTGTGTCTCTTCTCCTCTTCTTATAAGGACAACAGTCATATTAGATTCAGGGCCCACTCCACTTCAGTATGGCCTCATGTTAACTAATTATATCTGCAATAACCCTATTTCCAAATAATGCCACATTCTGAGATTCCAGGTGAATATGCATTTTGGGGGGACACTATTCAACCAGGTGAAACCAAAAGAAAAACATATATATATATATATATATATATATATATATGCTTTTTAAATATAATATGTATTTATATCTACTGAGCCAATAAAAAATGTAATTCTTCCTGTTGGTCCTGATCACAAGTATGAAATCCTTTGACGCTTGTTGAAAGGGACATGGCATCTGCTTATCACAATATCAGCCAACTACAACCACACATACTGAACACATAAGTCCTAAGAGGATGCCAAGTAGACAAAAGAACTAAGCCATGTGTAGGCTCAACTTAACACCCACTTTCACATTTATTTGATAATAGATGTGTGGTTGTCTGGATCAGTGAGTGGAACGCATGATAAAATTTTGGAAACAGATGATGTCTAAATTACTCTAATGATAGTCTTTATGATGTCAGTGAACATGAGGAATTGTAATTATTTTTCAGCCACTCCAGTGATTTCAAGCCAAATTTGAACTGGTAGCCTAGAAAGGAGTTTCTTGAGGATACTAATGATACTTCAAGGATTTCAAACTTCAAGGTAGTCATAACGTAAACATAGGAAGTCTCAACTGTATATTATTATGAAACCCACACGACCAAGGACCAGAAACTGGTAAATTTCAAGGATACGATGAGCAGTGCCTGTGTTTATTTTTAAAAATTTCTTTCACACCATAATATCATGTTTTCCTAAACTAAAACATTCCTGATATATTGCTGATACAGTTAGAAGTTCATCGGGAAGAGCTGAAGCAAATTTAGCAAAATGATGACATCCAATTATGGTGAGTAGAACATGGATACTTCCCATAATATTCTCCATATTTTTCTGTATGCTAAAAACATTTTTGTCTTTCTTTTTTAAAGAAATGAATTGTGACAAACAGTATCATTTTGCTTATTCAGACCTCAAAGCCTCAACTCAGTGGCTGCTGGGTTCCGTTTTCAAAGCCCCTGAATCCTCCCAACCTCTTCTCTGGCCTTTGATGTCACATAGTCTTCAATTTCACCAGAAGACTTAAGCCTTAAGTCCCCATTGTGGAGTGTCATCCAGGGTTCTCTCCAGCTATCTGGTTAGTCCTCATAGTCTCAGAATGCCTTCAGTATCAGCTCTTGGGGAGCCCCAAAAGGGCTTGCCGTAATAACATCCCCTCCTAGGGAAAGCATGGAGCCTGGGCACTGACCCCAGCTCTGGAAGAGGAACCAGGCACACAAGGGTGATGTGTGTGTTGAGCATGGCAAACTGACATGGGGACTCGTGTCCAGGGGCATCTAAAGGTCCAGCTTCAACAGGGCCCCATGGCTCACACCTATAATCCCAGCAATTTGTGTGGCTAAGGCAAGATCACTAAGGCCAGTCTCTACAAAAAAAAAATTTTTTTTTATTTGAGACACAGTCTCGCTCTGTCACCATGCTGAAGTGAGTGGTGTGATCTTGGCTCACTGCAACTTCTGCCTCCCGGGTTCAAGCAATTCTTCTGCCTCAGCCTCCCAAGTTGCTGGGACTACAGGCACACGCCACCATGCCCAGCTAATTTTTGTATTTTTAGTAGAGACAGGGTTTCACCATGTTGGCCAGGATTGTCTTGACCTCTTGACCTCATGATCCGCCTGCCTCGGCCTCCCAAAGTGCTGGGATTACAGGCATGAGCCACGGTGCCTGGCCAAAAAAAAATTTTTTTTTAATTAGCCTGGCGCACACCTGTAGTCCCAGCCCAGGGTGGTGATTGCAGGTGAGCTGGAGCAGGAGGATCAGTTGAGTCCAGGAGTTCAGGGTTTCAGTGCTATGATCATGCCACTGAACTTCAGCCTGGGTGACAGAACTAGACCCCGTCTTAAAAAAAATAAAAAAATAAAAAACGAAGGGCCAGCTTCCATGAATGACAATGGGATATGGTAGTGGTATTCAAACTACATTTTGATCTGCTGCCTTAAAAGAGTTTGTAAAATTGGCCGAGGGAGGTGGCTCCTGCCTGTAATCCTAGCACTTTGGGAGGCAGAGGAGGGCAGATTGCCTGAGCTCAGGAGTTCGATACCAGCCTGAGCAACACTGTGAAACCCCATCTCTACTAAAATACAAAAGAAGTTGGGAGGCCGAGGCGGGCGGATCACGAGGTCAGGAGATCGAGACCATCCTGGCCAACATGGTGAAACCCCGTCTCTACTAAAAAAAAAATACAAAAAATTAGCTAGGTGTGGTGGCAGGCACCTGTAGTCCCAGCTACTAGGGAGGCTGAGGCAGGAGAATGGCATGAACCTGGGAGGCGGAGCTTGCAGGGAGCCAAGGTCATGACACTGCACTCCAGCCTGGGTGACAGAGCAAGACTCTGTCTCAAAAAAAAAAAAAAAAAGAAGTTAGCTAGGCGTGGTGGCGTGCACCTGTAGTCCCAGCCACTCAGAAGGCTGAGGCAGGAGAGTGGCTTGAACTGGGGAGGCAGAGGTTGCAGTGAGCTGAGATCGCACCACTGCACTCCAGCCTGGGCGACAGAGCAAGACTCTGTCACAAAAAAAAAAAAAAAAAAAAAAGATTTTGTAAAATTATGTACTGCTTGACACATTTTATTCCTGATTCCAGAAGTACAGAATCAGGCATTAGATTCTCATAGGAGTGCTACCCCTATTGTGAACTGTGCATGCGAGGGATGTAGGTTGCAAGTTCCTTATGAGAATCTAATGCCTGATGATCTGTCACTGTCTCCCATCACCCCAGATGGAACTGTCTAGTTGCAGGAAAACAAGCTGAGGGCTCCCACTGATTCTACATTATGGTGAGTTGTATAATTATTTCATTATATATTACAATGTAATAATAATAGAAATAAAGTGCACAATAAATGTAATGCACTTAAATCATCCAGAAACTATCCCCTCCCCCCATTCACAGAAAAATTGTCTTCCACCAAACTGGTCCCTGGTGTCAAAAAGGTTGAGGACTGCTGCCCTAGAAGTGTGATACTCATAAGTGTATGGTTTTAAAAGATCTGAACAAGAAGTTGCTTTTAGCAGTCAAAAATTTCACTTTGTCCCCTGCTAATTCTATTCTACCTACTCCACATAAATTTATCCAAATGTAGTATCATTCTATGCTTAAAAATCTTTTATAGATCACCACATCATATGATCTGCACAATTGTGTATATACATTGAACACTTTTTACTTTATGTGCTCATAATGCTCTAATTAACATTTTCTGCCATTACAATTGCTAATACACAGTTGATCAAAACAGATCAACATGCTGACACTTTTGATAGAAAATTATTAAACATAAAAGAAAATTTTTGTTGGGAGTGCATCTCTTTATGAGATGAATGTGCTTTGTTTTTAAAATTAGTTCATATGTCTATCCATGAATAGTATTTATTAATAATATGAAAATGATTTGACATCATTTTTGTTTTCATTTTATAAATGTAAGGGCTAAGAAATCTTGCTTATGTGAATAAATGGGGACAGAAAAGGTTTGCTGAAACAAAAATCAGTCAATCCTTTCAACTCGTTCTAAATTTTATGTCAAAAATCACCTAGCGATCTATCATAACATTATTTTTCATGTTCTAGCAAATGACAGCTTGATTAAGCTTGTCTTCAATTTTGTTAGATGAAAAGAGTTGGAAACCACCTGGCTTGCAAAGAGGTTTTTATCCAGGTATCAGGGTTTTCTCCAAGAAAGGCTTGCCAAGACTTATCAAATGGTTATTAAATATATATGTTATTTTTGGCTCAAAGGCATTTTCTAAAGTAAGAGATATTCAAAGGGGTTGGGAAAATAAAATTTCTTTCTTTTAATGTACCTTAGCCAATTCAGAATTTTTAATAAAATTATTTTTATCTTCTCACATGTTTTCAATATATTTTATGTCAAAACTTTGATGACCTAAGACAACAGATTTAGCTCACTGAATCTGTGGAAAATGTTTGCCATCCAACCTGATTGGCAAAGGCAACGTTAGGCTTACATTCTTCAGAAGGACTTCAGTTTCCATTCAAATAAATATGTTGATATGGATTTTAAGGAACATTGCAAAAACCATTAAATTTAAATTTAATAAATTAAATTTATTAAATTATGAAGAACATTTCATAAAGTAGATTGCTAAAAGTCATAAAGTCATTATGTAGAGGTAATAGGATTTTTTCATTTTTATAATAAATTATAAAACAAGAAAATAATGTGATTTCTTACAACAAATCTATAGTTAAGTGATGTAATATAAAATTCTGGCTTGGTAGAGGTCCCTAAAGTGGGAGAAGGAGTTCTGTGGAAGTGGGTGACAATGAAGACCCTTCCTAAATATGGCAGCCGGTTCTCAGGCAGATCAGTTTCAAGTAAGAGTATGTATGGAATTTGAGAACCTAGAAATTGATTCCCTTAGAACTGTGTGTGCTCACATGACCCTTGGAAAGTCTTCAGGTACTCCAGGAATATTCTAGTTTGAAGGCCACTGCTATTAAGAACCAAATAACCAACCTGCTTTGATACCTAAAAATAATCAAACACATAATCAATAACAATTATTATTGAGAAGGGCCAACTGTCATCTATAGGTCAAGAACCCCCCCAGATTATCATTAGTCGTGCTTATTCAACTGAATATCTCAGCTGGATAACTCATAGTAACCTCAAACACAACACATCCATAACTGAATTTATTGTCTTTCCACTGAGGCCTGCTACTCATCCTATATTTCCTGTCTCAGAGCATGAAACTAGCATCTCCACAATGATCTGTGGGAAATGCTGTTGTTGGCCACTCAGTATCCATTCTTCACTAACAGAATCACTTTTAGTTCAGAGAAGCAATCTATTCCGCTTAAAAACTTTCTTGGAAATATATGCAATTTTTTATTTTAAAAAATAATAAGGTAAACAAAGACACATATAAAAAATAAAATAATTCAACAACCAAAAAATAAAGAACCTCCCTTGCAACTAGGGGTAGCTATACAAACTGCTCAGGCTACTGCATATCATAATGACATGGGTGGGACATCCAGGAAGGCTCTATTTTTTTTTTTTTTTTTGAGATGGAGTCTCACTCTGTTGCCCAGGCTGAAGTGTAGTGGTGTGATCTCAGCTCACTGAAACCTCCGCCTCCTGGGTTCAAGCAACTTTTCTGCCTCAGCCTCCCAAGTAGCTGGAATCACAGGCATGCACCACCATCCCCAGCTAATTTTTGTATTTTTAGTAGAGATGGGGGGTTTCACCATGTTGGCCAGGCTGGTCCCGAACTCCTGACCTCAGATGACCCACCCACCTCAGTCTCCCAAAATGCTGGGATTACAGGCATGAGCCACCGTGCCTGGCCCAGGAAGGCTCTTTTTAAAAGGGCTGTCTCTGCCTTTTGCCCTGCAACCCTTCCCTTCATCCAGCTTGGACCAATGTGATGCTGAAAGTAGCACATGCTTCTTACATTAACAAGATGACAAGCACGAGGACGAAAAGCCATTCTAAAGAAGGTTGCGCAGAAAGCTAGGAGAGGCATCACAAATCTGCAGAATAGCAGTAGATTGTGTTGCCAACTGTGATAGTCAAGCACAATCCTGACATCATAACCAACCGAGAAACCTGGACCATTCCCCATGGCTCCTTCTCTCTCACTCCCCACATCCACCTAGTAGCCAAACCTTGATTCTTTTATATCCCTAACATCCCTACTGTCATTCCCGCTTTCTCTAACCCTGTAGCTAACTGCCTCAGTTTGAGACCTTGCTTTTTGGTTTTCCCGTTTTTCTGATGGCAAGGTTTTCTTATTAGAGTCTCAGCTTGTGCCAAAGCTTTAAACGGCTTTTGTTGCCTGTGTCATGAAGCACCAACTTCTTCAAGAGAAACACTAGATCTTAGCATATGCTCTGACTCTTCCTTGGCTTGCTAGACTGATTTTTGACCATATTTCTCCCATCCTTCACTTCAGACAAACTGAGCTACACTAAGTTGTCCTTTGTCTTTGGACCCTTTCTCTCTCTCCTCTGTGCCCTGAAATAACCTTAATCCCTCACTTCATCATGGCAAACATCTACTCTTCTCTTTTTTTTAGAGACAAGGTCTCACTCTGTTGCCCAGGCTATAGTGAAGTGGCATGATCAGAGCTCACTGCAGCCTTGACCTGCCAGGCTCAAGTGATCCTTCCACCTCAGCCTCCCAAGTAGCTGGGATTGCAGGCACCTGCAACCATGCTCCAATAATTTTTTTTAAAAAATTTCTGTAGAGACATGGTCTCCCTATTTTGCCCAGGCTGGTCTCAAACAGTCCTCCCACCTTGGCCTCCCAAAGTATTGGGATTACAGGTGTGTGCCACTCAAGTTATATCACTCTTGAAGCCTTTCCCAGACTCACTCCCTCCTTGTTGAAAAACATAAAGATAATTATGGGATTAGTAAAATGATTTAATTATCGCATTCTTTCTGAGACATGGGAATTTAAAATGCCACAATCTACTATATGGGTGTAGAAAAATTATTGTTAACTATTTCTATATCTCTATATATTCTATATCTATCTATCTCTGCCTATAAATGACAGCTGGCCTTTCTCAGCATAATAATAATTGTTACTGAGTATGTGCCTGGTGTGTTTAGATGTCAAGGAAGTTTGGTTGGTTGGTTCCTTTTTTTTTTTTTTTTGAGACGGAGTCTCGCTCAGTCGTCCAGGCTGGAGTGCAGTGGCCCGATCTCGGCTCACTGCAAGCTCCGCCTCCCGGGTTCACACCATTCTCCTGCCTCAGCCTCCTGAGTAGCTGGGACTACAGGCGACCGCCGCCACACCCGGCTAATTTTTTGTATTTTTAGTAGAGACAGGGTTTCACCGTGTTAGCCAGGATGGTCTCAATCTCCTGATCCGCCCGCCTGGGTCTTCCAAAGTGCTGGGATTACAGGCATGAGCCACCGCGCCCAGCCGTTTATTTGGTTCTTAATAGCAGTGGTCTCCAAACTTGAGTACTCCTGGGGATACCTGAAGACTTTCCAAGGGTCACGTGAGCAAAGATAGTTTTACTTGAAATTGATCTGCCTGAGAACGGGCTGCCATGTTTAGGAAGGTTCTTCATTGTCATCCACCTTCCCAAAAGTCATTCTCCTATTTTAAGGAGAAAAATGGACCTCCACCCGGCCAGAATTTTATATTACATTACTTAATTATTAATATATATCACTTAAAATATATGAAATTTTATCAATTTATGAATTTATGAATATATCACTTAATGTATACCAATTTAAATTCAAACTATGCCCTTTGAATTCATCCCATTATAGCTGACATAATTGGTTATGGATTTAATTGTTTTGCTGTGTTAAAAATAAAATCAGATCAAATTTTAAAATTGTTCCTAGGGAAAATATCTATTCAACTATCCCCCATATCGACAATAAGTTATTGTCAGAACATTTTGTGTCACTGGCACAGTTTCACTGGAAATCATGTGTAGTGTGCACATTCACTTTGGATGTTTGTTTTTTTGGAATTTCTTGTATAAGGCAACTTGCACAAATAATATTGTCCTGTTTACTTCAAATATTTTCCCCCTTAAGCCATGACTTTATTTGCTTTGTTGAATAATAAACATAACAGATGAAAAAAAATAAAAGAAACTAACTGTAGAAATTCATGGTGCACAAAGGAACAGTTAGAGAACAAGGAGACCTCAAATAAAATATGGTAAAAAGTCCTGTTCACGGCAGTTATGGAACAGTTTATAGAGCATTAAAGGAGCAAGTATTTTGACTTGTTTCATGACTGGCCTTTAGACGTTAACATTCTTTTTAAGGCAAGCAGAGCTGTTTGAGCTTGTTTGTCTACAGCTAATTGGTTTAATTTCACTGAATCATGTTGACAAGGATGTAAAGCTTATATTTTGTGTTTCATTTATAAATAGAGCTAGCATTTGGGAAAATCAGGATGACTCAAGTGTTGGCTACATGAGTATGGATAGATGGCCTTGAGGTATATCTAAACTGTGGCCTCCATTTTTTATCCCTTTTAATGTCAAAATTATCATTTTCATAGATGCTAATGGTATGACAGAATCAGCCAAGTAATTTCTAAAAATTGCCTCTTAGACTAACATCATTATTTTGTATATCTTATTAACATTGATGTGAATGTTGGGTAGTGAATGATGCCTGGGTGGTTACCTGCTTATTAATTTGCTTTATGTAGGCTCTGATCACAGCTCCACCAATATATCAGCATTTAATGAACATTTGGGGATGATAATCGTATACTAACAATGTCGTTCATTTAGCCATCACAATACAGATACCATCATGCTTTATGTGTTGGTTATGTACTCAGAGTTGAGAAGGGATAATGATACCCAGATTTTTGTTTGATTGTGTTAAAATAAACACTGAGTTTGAAACATCTGGCCAGTCTTTGTTTTTCTATAATATCCATTGATTATTAACTATTTTTAAAAGCCCTTTCTATAATGTCCAAAAACCCTGGTATAATGTACCAATTAAAAAAAAAAAAAGGCCAGGCGCAGTGGCTCACACCTGTATTCTCAGCACTTTGGGAGGCCAAGGCGTATGGATCATCTAAGGTCAGGAGTTTGAGACCAGCCTGACCAATATAGTGAAACCCCATCTCTACTAAAATTACAAAAATTAGCTGGGTGTGGTGGTGCACACCTGTAGTCCCAGGTACTTGGGAGGCTGAGACGGGAGAATTGCCTGAACCTGGGAGGCGGAGGTTGCACCGAGCCGAGATCGTGCCACTACACTCCAGCCTGGATGACAGAGTGAGAGTCCATCTCAAAAAAAAAAAAAAAAAATGGGGTCAGGCACAGTGGCTCATGCCAGTAATTCCAGCACTTTTGGAGGCCAAGGCAGGCAGATTACTTGAGCCCAGGAGTTGGAGACAAACCTGGACAACATGGTGAGACCCCCATCTCTAGAAAAAATACAAAAATTAGCCAGATGTGATGGTGCACACCTGTGCTCCCAGCTACTCGGGAGGCAGAGGTGGGAGGATTGCTTGAGTCTAGGAGTTTGCAATGAGGTGAGATTGTACCACTACACTCCCCAGGTGACAGAGCAAGACCCTGTCTGAAGAAGAAGAAGAAGGAGGAGGAAGAGGAGCAGGAGGAGAAGGAGGAGGAGAGGGGGAGGGGAAGGGGAGGGGGAGGGGGAGGAGGAGACTTGAGAACCTATTTTCTTAGCTTATTGGGCATTTATTTTTAATTATCATATAATTCACTTAATTGAAACACACTTGCAAAAACAGGGCACAATCCTCCAGGCATAGGGTGGCAAACATATAAAGAGAATAGAGGCATCTGCCCTTGCTCCTCAGCACGCATAGTATAAAACTGAGCCCAGTCAAGTTGCTTCAGAAAGAGCTTTTTCTTCCAATCCAATACAGAACTTTCTTCTACTCCTTCTTCCTTCCCATGAGGGCCACCGCTCAGTGTCCCCTTTGCCACTTCTCATTCTGCCCACTAAGCACAGTCTCCAGCTTTTATTCCCATCAAGTGCCTGTCTGGGAACAAGATCAGCAAGACTGTTTGAAAGAGGGAGGAAATGGGAGAAAGAAGTAGAATAAAATGGACCAGAAAATTAGAGGGACCAAGAAGACAGAAAAAGAGAGAGTCCTTCTCCCCATGCACCTTCATTACGGAGACTCTTAAAGAGAGAGAAGGGGCTGGAAAGATGAGGCGAAACTGCTCCTGGCTCCTCCCTCACCCCATCTTTCAGGGCTGCGTCCCAGAGCCACTACTCTAAACACTGTCCCAGAGCCCTAGCCCCAGCCTCTTGCCACCTAAGTGTAAGTGTAAACTCTCACCAGGAGATGGAGGCAGGGAAGACCTGCTCTCACTGCCTTGCTGCTGAAAAAAACTTGCAGCCAGGATGGCAGGAAGGAGAAAGCAACAGAGATAAAGAGGGAAATGTAGAGGGGAGGAGAAGAAAAGGAAAAGGAAAAGGAAAAGGAAAAAGGAGGAAAGGAAAATGGAGAGAAGGAGGAAGGGAGAAAGGAAGACAGGTAGGCAGGTGGGCAAGGAAAGGAAGGAAAGACAGGGATCCCAGGAGGTTTAAGGAATGAGGCCTTCTGCCGGGCGCGGTGACTCACGCCTGTAATCCCAGCACTTTGGGAGGCCGAGGCGGGCGGATCACGAGGTCAGGAGTTCAAGAACGGCCTGACCAACATGGTGAAACCCTATCTCTACTAAAAATACAAAAATTAGTTGGGCCTGGTGGCACACCCCTGTAATCTCAGCTACTCAGGAGGCTGAGACAGGAGAATCGCTTGAACCCAGGAGGCGGAGGTTGCAGGAGCTGAGATCGAGCCATTGCACTCCAACCTGGACAACAAAGTGAGACTCCATTTCAAAAAAAAAAAAAAAAAAAAAAAAAAAGGAATGAGGCCTTCTTCCTCCATGGGGAAGGGGGTTTAAGGAATAAGGCCTTCTTCCTCCAGACCTTGTGGAAAGGGATTTGGCAACTCATGTGCTGGGCATGTGTCCCTTAGGGCAGTAGCTACAACACTATGTAGACTGTTTCATCTTGGCTGGCAGGAGGAGGGAAATAAAGACCTTAAAGCCCAATAGCAGACACTGGATCTGTGACAGTAGCCCTAGCAAGGTGACAGCTACAGGCTGTCTACGACAGAGGTCACAATTCAAATGCCTACAGTGCCAGACTGATAACATGACAGTAAAGCCAGCCAAGGGGTGGCTCTGGGGACCCGGGGAGCCCAAGCCCCAGCTGTCTTTACTTTCCTCCTGCCAGATCTGTTTTATTTTTCTAAGAGAATCCAGGAATCCATGTTTTTTGAGAAATCTCCTGATTTTTACATGTCAACAACTAATTCTTACTGTTTTTAAACATATGCATCAAAAGGAAATACTTCTATGGGCCATATGTAATCAATAGGTTCAAGGTCAACTAAACATTTTTTTCTGTTCATATAACTTTGTGGCAAAAGACCTGATCACCCATTTTTGATATTTTCAAGAGGTCTAGGAAAGGGAAATAGGCAATCAGGAAATTAATTGTGAAAACAATTACCTAAGGAAATGGTTAAAATTACATAAATAGGGATACCATCTATGTCTTTCTGTGCACCTGGGAACATAATGTTATTTTGGAGGGGAAAAAAAAACATTTTTCAACTTCCAATAACAACAACAAAAAGAAACAAACTTTTGGAATTCGACCCCTTCATTGATTGAAGGATACTTTTATATGCAGTAGTTTGATCTAGGAGGGTTTGCTATACGTTATGATCTAAAGACATTTTGGAGAATTCCTGAAGACTTAGCTTGCTATCTGATGTTCTTGATATAACATAAATATCTATTCTCCGCTATAACTAAGCTACTTCAGCCAAGATTAGTATGATTGCCCGTGGCCCATGCAACACTAAACCATAAGATCATATATCACTTGGAACAGGATATAAATATCTTCCAGAAGATTGATGTGTTCTGCCTAAATATATAGCGAGGGCCATTTAAGCTGAGTACAAAGCTATTTTAACTCTAAGCAGGATTTATAGATGCTGTGATGGTTAATTTTATGTGTCAACTTGCCTGGGCTATGGTACCCAAATAGATGTTGCTATGAAGGTATTTTTTTGATGTGATTAATTTTTATAATCATTTGGATTAAGTAAAGAAGATTACCCTCCGTAATGTGTATGGGCTTCATCCAATCAGTTGAAGGCCTTAAGGGTAAAAAATGAGGTTTCCCAGAGAAGAAGGAATTCTGCCTCAAGATTGTTAGAATTCCTGCCAGAATTTCCAGCCTGCATGCCTGTCCTAGAAATTTCAGACTCACCAGCCTTGACAATCACATGAGCCAATCATTAAAATCTCTCTTTCTCTCTTCGTCTCTCTCCGTACATATATATGGTCTCTCTCTATATATATATACACACACATACATACATATATACACACACACACATACGTATATATATCATATCTTAGGTATATATATAACGTATCTTAGCTATAAAGGAGACTAGATATTTATGTTATATCAGGAACATCAGATAGCTAGCTACATTTCAAGAATTCTCCAAAATCTTGTTAGATCATATCTCATATATATGTATGTGTGTGTATATATATGTGTGTGTATATGTATGTGTGTACATACTTGTGTCTATATATGTGTTTATATGCATGTGTGTGTCTACACATATATATACACACATACATATAAACACACACACACATACATATAAACACACACACATATATACACACACAAAAACTTATTGGCTCTGTTTCTCTCAAGCATCTTTACTGGCAAAATGCCCATCAGTGAGGTCTGGAAACTGCCCTTCCTCCAGTTAATCTCTCCCACCTATTCATCAGTTCTACTCTAAAGCATTATTTTTCTAATGTAAGATTTATATCTCGGACAAAATGTGAACATGATGAAGTTAATACTTTATAATGTGGCTTTTTTCATGCTGCATTATAAGTTCTAATTCTACCTGCATTATAAGTTCTAATTGTATCTCTTACTCTATAGTGAAATAAGAGCAAAGGACCTAATCTTTATTCAGCAGATACTTTTTTTTTTTTTGAGATGGAGTCTCATTCCATTGCCCAGGCTGGAGTGCAGTGGCGCAATCTTGGCTCACTGCAACCTCCGCCTCCTGAGTTCAACTGGTTCTTCTGCCTCAGCCTCCTAAATAGCTGAAACTACAGGCACACACCACCAAGTCTGGCGAATTTTTGTATTTTTAGTAGAGATGGAGTTTCACCATATTGGCCAGGCTGGTCTCGAACTCCTGACTTCGTGATCCACCCACCTCAGCCTCCCAAAGTGCCGGGATTACAGGCGTGAGCCACTGCGCCCAGCACAGCAGATGCTTTTTATACTTTAGTCAACCAAACTTCTGAAGTAGACATTATTTTTATTATTATCTCCATTTTTACAGAGAAGAAATCCATTTCTAGTGCACATATCTATTTACAGCTTGATGAATTTTCAGTCTGAGCACATGTGTAGCAAGCAGCTAGATCAAGGAACAGAACGAGACCAGTACCCCAAAAGAGTCCTCAAGTACTACATTGTGTATGTGCATGTGTGCATATAAAAATGTATGTGTGTATGTATATGAATGTATATATATGCATGTACACATACAGATATCCACATAAAACCTGCATTTTAACAAGATCCTCAGGTGATGTAACTGCTACCCAGATCAAGACAGAAAATCTTTCCAGGCCGAGCACGATGGCTTACACTTGTCATCCCAAAACTTTGGGAGGCTGAGGTGGGAGGATTGTTTCAGCTCAGGAGTTCAAGACCAGCCCAGGCAATAGAGTGAGACTCCAACTCCACAAAAAAATTTTAAAAATAGCCAGTCATGGTGGTAGGCACCTGTAATTCCAGTTACTTAGAAGGCTGAGGTGGGAGGATTGCTTGAGCCAGGGAGAGTGAAGCTACAGCGAGCCCTGATTGCACCACTGCACTCAATCCTGAGTGATGGAGTAATGCTCTGTCTCAAAATAATAATAATAATTATTATTATTTCCAGCCCTCCAAATAGGCTCCACTTGAATCTCTCCTAGTCACTACCTCCTCTCAAAGGTAATCATGATCCTCACTTCCAGTAGCAAAGATTAGTTTTGCTTGTTTTTATACTATTTATAAACAGAATCATACAGTGGGTGTACCCTTTTTGGCTCCAGCTTCTTTCCCTCAGGCTTATTGTAGGATTCATTTACATTGTTAACATAAAATTGCAGTTCATTAAGCTCAGACTCAGAGATTGCAAACCATCACTTAAATCATATAAGAAAGTTATTTGACCAAGATCACATAGCTGTGGTAAGCAACAGAGCCAAGATTCCAACCCAAGAGTGTCTTAAGCCAAAGTCCATGGCTTTCTTCTGCTCTACCAATGTTTACCAAAATAGCATATGGGAAATAATTTTAGGAGGTGCATGGGTGAAGATTAATAGTTATGCTTTTCTTTTTTTCTCTCTTTTTCTTTTCTTTCTTTTTTTTTTATTTTTTTTTTGAGACAGAGTCTTACTTTGTTGCCCAGGCTGGAGTGCAGTGGAGCAATCTCAGCTCACTGCAACCTCTACCTCCCACGTTCAAGCGATTCTCCTGCCTTAGCCTCCCGAGTAGCTGGGATTACAGGTGCCTGCTACCATACCCAGCTAATTTTTGTATTTTTAGTAGAGATGCGGTTTCACCACGTTGGCCAGGCTGGTCTCAAACTCCTGTTCTCAAGTGATCTACCCCCCACCTCATCTTCCCACAATGCTGGGATTACAGGTGTGAGCCACCGGGCGCAGCCTTACAATTCCATTTTTATGAAGTTCAAGAAGAGGCAAAACTAATGTGCATAACAGATGGCGGAACAATGATCACGTGAGAGAGTGATATTCACTGGGAAGGGGCATGAGGGAGCATTCTGGGGCTAAGAAATGTTTTCTATCTTGATGGGGTGGTAGTTATCTCTATGTGTGGAGGGGGTATAAAAATTTATGGGGCTATATACATAAGACTTGTGCACTTTATCACATATTCTAGAAAAATCAATACAATTCAAAACAATAAATGCATTTCCACTTTTCTTTTAAATTTGTTTTAATTTATTTTTTTGACTTTTATTTTAGGTTCAGGGGTACATGTGCATGTTTGTTATATAGGTAAACTATGGGAGTGACATGGGGGTTTGGTGTACAGATTGTTTTGTCACCCAGGTACTAAGCATAGCAACAGAGAGTTTCCGTCCTTCCTTCCTTCCTTCCTTCCTTCCTTCCTTCCTTCCTTCCTTCCTTCCTTGCTTCCTTTCTCCCTTCCTCCCTCCCTCTCTCTCTTTCTTTCTTTCTTTCTTTCTTTTTTGAGACGGAGTCTCCCTCTTGTCGCCCAGGCTGGAGTGCAATAGCGCGATCTCAGTTCACCGCAACCTCCGCCTCCCGGGCTCAAGCGATTCTCCTGCTTCAGCCTCCCAGGTAGCTGGGATTACAGGTCTGGGATTAACCACTACACCGGGCTAATTTTTGTATTTTTAGTAGAGACGGGGTTTCACCACCTTGGCCAGGCTTGTCTCGACCTCCTGACCTCAGGTGATCCGCCCGCCTCGGCCTCCCAAAGCACTGGGATTACAGGCGTGAGCCACCGAGCCCGGCCCAGATAGTTATTTTTTCTGATCCTCTCCCTCAACCTACCCTCCACCCTCAAATAGGCCACAGTGTCTGTTGTTCCCCTCTTTGTGTCCATGTGTTCTCAATATTTAGCTCCCTCTTATAGGTGAGAACATGCGGTATTTGGTTTTCTGTTCCTGAGTTAGTTTGCTAAGGATGACGGCTTCCAGTTCCATCCTGCAAAGGACATAATCTTGTTCTTTTTATGGCTGCATAATATCTCATCGTGTGTATGTACCACATTTTCTTTATCCAGTCTACCAGTGATGGGCATTTTAGGTTGATTCCATGACTTTGCTACTGTGAATAGTGCTTCCGTGAACGTTCATGTGCACTTCTCTCTCTAGTAAAATGATTTCTATTCCTTTGGATATATACCCAGGATATATAATAGGACTGCTGGGTCGAATGATAGCTCTGTTTTTAGTTCTTTGAGGAATCACCACACTGCTTTCCACGATGGTTGAACTGATGTACACTCCTACCAGCAGTGTGTGTTTTCCTTTCTCCTCAACCTCGCCAGCGTCTGGTTTTTTTTTTACTTTTTAGTAATAGCCATTCTGACTGGTGTGAGACGGTTATCTCATTGTGATTTTGATGTACTTTCTTTAACGGTTAGTAATATTGAGCATTTTTTCGCATGCTTGTTGGCTGCATGTATGTCTTCTTTTGAAAAGCATCTGTTCATGTCCTTTGCCCGCTTATTAATGGGGTTGTTTTTTGCTTGTAAATTTGTTTAAGTCCCTTATTGATTCTGGATATTAGACCTGTATCAGATGCATACTTTGTAAATATTTTCTCCCATTCTGTAGATTATCTGTTTACTCTGTTGATTGTTTCTTTTGCTGTGGAGAAGCTCTTTCATTTAATTAGATCCCGTTTGTCAATTTTTGCTTTTGTTGCTATTGCTTTTGGTGTCTTTGTAATGAAATCTTTGCCAATTCCTATGTCCAGAATGGTATTTCCTAGGTTTTCTTCCAAGGTTTTTAGAGTTTTATTTTTATACATTTAAGACTTTAATGCATCTTGAGTTGATTTGCATACTTAAAAAGTGAATCTACTTAATCAAAAACCCTAAATGAAGAACATTTCCAGTGTTCTATAAGTATTGTGGGAACTAGGAAGATGTGAGTCACTTTGTAAGAGGTATTTGGGGCACATTGCCCTAGACCACAGCAGCCTGTAGCAACAGCAATGCCTGAGAAAGGGAAAGGGGATGTAAACTTGTTTCTCAATGCATAGTCTGGGGGCCAGCAGTGTTGGCATCACCTGGGAGCTTTTTAGACTTGCAGTATTTTGTGGCTCACTTCACACATATTGAAACAGAACTTGCACTTTAACAAGATCCTCAGATGATTCATCTGCCCTGAATGGAAAACAAAAGCACTGATAGAGAAAGTAGGAAGACTAATTGTTTCACTAGCATCAATTTCATCCTCCTAACTGGATTGTAACCTTCTTGAGGACAGCACTGAATAGGATCGGAGCACTCAGATTCCCACTTATGCTTCTTCCTAGCAGAATAACTTTGGCGTTTACTAGATTCCCTTAGTCTCAGAGTATAAAGTGGGAATAATAAAAACAGTATCATTATTAATACATACCTCATTGGATGATGTAAAGATTAAATAAGATAATGTTTGTGCATTGAAAGTACATGTTTTAAAAGAGCTGTAGGCTTCCATGGCTAGATGGTCTGTTAGAGTCAGAAATCTGAACACTGTCCTTTTATTCACACAGCATGCTTGGAGAGGTTTTAAGAATTCCAGCCCCACAACAGATGCTTGCAATACCTTTTGGTGGGTAAGATTCCTAAGAGAGAAAAAATTAGGTCCCCTCATTTTTACCCTCTGGAACAGTGTTTCTAAAACTTTCACATTCAGAACAATCAGCCAGATAGCCTGTTATGACAGATTCTTGAGTTCTATCTGCAACGTCATGCTGATCCTGGCAGTCGGTGGATCAGAGTTGGAGTAGCATTTATCCACTGTATTAGTATACTTTGTACTTGGTGTTTGTTCAACACATTACTTTCCTTAATTTTTTTGTTTTTTGAAGACAAGGGCTTGCCCTGGAGTGCAGTGGCATGATCTTGGCTCACTGCAGCCTCTAGCTCCTGGGCTCAACTCAGTCCTCCCACCTCATCCTCTTAAATAGCTGGGACTTCAGGCACGTGCCCCTACACCCTGCTAATTTTTTTTTATGTTTTTTTTGTAGCCAAAAGGTCTCACTCTGTTTCCCAGGCTGCTCTCAAAACTCCTGGGCTCAAGCAGTATCCCTGCCTCGGTCTCCCAGCGTGCTGGGATTATAGGCATGAGCCACCACGCCTGTCCGCTATTTCTTTATAGTGACGATTAAACATATATAGGCAATGTATAATTGGTAGAACATAGTCTACGAAACAGTGTGTTAATTGTGGGCAGTGAAGAATCATTGAAGTTGTGAAATTTGTATTTTAAGTAGATCATTGTAGTATGGCAAAATGGTTAGGAAAGAGAAAGCTATTTTGACTAACTGTTCATGATATGAGATATTGACTGTGATATACTTGTACGTTCAATGTTTCTTTAGGTATACTTGACTTATTCATTGAACTCCTATCCACTAATCTCAAAAGTATTCCTCGGGATAGTCTCCACTCCTATCATTTGTCCTCCTATTCATGAGACGGAAAAATTATGACCATGGTACAGAGTTGTATCTAGGAAATGAAGAACTAGAACATTGAATTGAAAGGTTTTGAAAGGGTTCATAATTTCTTTTCATTTTCTATTAATGTCTTCCTTTAAATTCTCTTAATAATAAAACTCTTTTTTCTAAAAATAAAAATAATAATAATAATAACATTTGTGGCCAGGTGTGGTGGCTCATGCCTATAATCCCAGTACTTCAGGAGGCCGAGGCAGGCAGATCACGAGGTCGAGAGATTGAGACCATCTTGGTCAACATGGTGAAACCCCGTCTCCACTAAAAATACAAAAATTAGCTGGGCATGGTTGCACACACCAGTAGTACCATCTACTCGGGAGGCTGAGGCAGGAGAATCGCTTGAACCTAGGAGGCAGAGGTTGCAGTGAGCCGAGATCATGCCACTGCACTCCAGCCTGGAGAGAGAGATGGTCTCAAAAAAAAAAAAAAAAAGTTTGTAAAGTAGCTAGTACATTGCCAAGTACGTAGTAAAATATTAATAAACGTTAGCTATTATTATCACCTCCATTCATGATGAATGAGGTGAAGGACATTTGTTCATTTGTTCAACAATTTTTATTTAGCACCTATTATGTGCCTGGTATTGTTTTAGTCACTGAAGACACAACTCTGAACGAAACACACGAAAAAAACCCCTGCATTGTTGGGGCTCCTGTTCTGGTGTGAAGGATGGTGGTGTGCAGCAGATGAGACCCTCCAAAGAGAAATATAGGAGGCTCTCAGGAAAATCTCCTAATTGAGCCTTGAGATATCTGGCATCACTGTGTACTGATTTTTCCTCCCAGATGGGCTGTGACCACCGTTAGTAAAGTTAGTAAAAGAAGTGTGCCAAGATCTTTTCACACCTTCCCTAGAGACAAGCTGCAATGAAAGAAAATGTAGCACCTGCAAATCTCTGGCTTAAAAATTCTTTTTAAAGACATCTTTCTTGTTCTTTTGATGTTTGTGTCTCTATAAATAAATTCGGAAGAAATGTCTCTATTTTATATCTCAAATAAAGAAAAATAATGACAGAACATCATATGGGCCCATGATTTCTGCCCCAAGGAGGTGATAACAAGGTCATAATCCTCCCCACACAACTGGAACAGTTGCCCAGGTGGGCAGAACTACCTTGTGTTCACCCCCTGTCTAAATGAACCACACCTGCTCTGGGATGCAGGCCTATCACAGCTATCCACGTCTGGAAGAGGGCTGAAAGCAATGCAGATAATACTTGACTATTTAGCATTTGATTTGATGGGTAACAAAAGGAGAAGGAACTCTTTCGCACTTCTCGGTCTCTTGGTGTTCTTCAATTTTTGTCCTATTGTATTTGAAAGAAACCTGTAGTCTAGCCCAAAATGAAGAGTCATCTTGGATTCTGGCAGATCCTAAAAGAGAGGCTAGTAAGTTGCTTTGGAGGGCCTTTTTCTAGTCTTTTCTCCCTGCTCCTCACCCCCATCTCCCATTACATGGGCCACTGCATAAAAAGCCTCTGAGAACACCTAAACCTGTCCAGAAAATCATTCCTGGGCTCAGACCTTCATTCCCAGCATTCTTGTCCCTCTCTTCTCATGTTGTCACCTTTCAGTTTGGGTTGGGTTGAGCCCTGTAGAAATGCTAACAGCAGGGAGTAATTAGACCTAGAATATAAATAGTCTAGGGCCATCTATGTTTTTGCTCAGTTAACAATCTAGGAATCTGGACTCAAATTCTGGATTCAAGTAACCTCCAATGTCAGACTATTTGGATTGCAGGAATTGATATCCTAATTCACTCAATTTGGAATTTCCCACCTCCCCAGATACCACGTTCTTAGAAACCCAAGCTATAGGGTTGTTTGCTTCCTTAGCCCCAGAATTACCAGATCCTTGCTTTCTCCTTTTTCCTCCTGCTTCACACTGGTCTATCTGCATGCTTTGCAGTCAAGTCTTCCTGAATCACGACACCTACACTTCCAAGTATTTGATAATAAAAGTGAAGTTAAGATTTTTACAGTAACCTAATAATTTTCAATGGAATTTTGGCTCTTTAGGACATTTCCCTAAATATCACCAACATACAAGTAGACACCCTTTGTTAAAAGTTTTACCAAGCTATTTGCTTGAACATTGTTTTTATTTATTTATTTATTTTTAGTGACAGGGTCTCACTCTGTTGCCCACACTAGAGTGCAATGGCACTGCCCTAGGTCACTACAGGCTTGAACTCTTGGGCTTAAGTGATCCTCCTGCCTCAGCCTCCTGAGTAGCCGGGACTACTGGTGGGTGCCACCACACCTGGCCTTTTTTTTTTTTTTTTTTTGAGATGGAGTCTCACTCTGTTGCCCAGGCTGAAGTGCAGTGGTGCAATCTCAGCTCACTGCAATCTCTGCCTCCCCGGTTCAAGAGGTTCTCCTGGCTCAGCCTCCCCAGTAGCTGGGACTACAGGCACGTGCCACCATGACTGGATAATTTTTTTGTATTTTTAGTAGAGATGGGCTTTCACCGTGTTAGCCAGGATGGTCTCGATCTCCTGACCTCGTGATCCACCCACCTCGGCCTCCCAAAGTGCTGGGATTACAGGCCTGAGCCACTGCACACGGCTATTTATTTATTTATTTATTTATTTTGTAGTGACAAGGTCTCACTATGTTGTATACACTGGTCTCGAACTCCTGGTCTCAAGAAATCCTCCCACCTCGGCCTCCCAAAGTGCTGGGATTACAGGCATCAGCCACCACACGCAGCCTAAACATTGTATCTCAAACTATTTGGACTATAGTTCATCCAAGTAAGGAAAATGACTCCATGCTCTACCAAGTCTGATTTTCAGTAAGAGAAAGAACTGAGTGATAAAAGTAAGCCATCACTCTATAAGCAAACACAGTGGGTTTTCTCTGTACAGCTACTCTAGCAATAGAGTATGAATTATCTACATCTCGAGTTCTAGTTTTGGGAAAAATTAAGCCCCAAATAGCACTGCTACAAATATATGTCACTACTTGCAAATGTCTAATCAACCAACCAACAAATTTAAGTAACAAAGCTAAATTCAGTTAGTCACTAAATAGCCAGAATGGTAGCAGCTGAAAATCATGACCAATTCAAGAAAACGATGATGATACACTGTTAACAAAGAATCCTTTCAAAAAACTCTAAGAATTCCAACCATCATCATGTGCATATGCAATACAAGCTCCACAACATATACACATGTGGTATTGGGAGTCAACCAGACTTGTCAGTAGACTACTGAATTCAATTTTTCATCAACTCTAATAGTACATTACTTTTAGTTTATAAATAGCTATGTTTAGCAACCCTTAGCTTTCTTAGTATGTTACTAGTGAGCGCCTCTTACCCCTAAGTAAGATGAAAGTCACTTGTACCTAAGCACCAAAAAAATAGCTGGCATGTTTCGATCAGTTTTGAGCTCCTCAAGAGGACCCTACGGTGGACCCCATTTTGAAAACCATGGCACTAACCTAGAATATGCAAACTAACGCTTCCTTGAGGCCACTTGCTGCCGCATTCCTCCTTTATTGATATCTCTGCTCCAAACCTACTACATAAACTCCCCTTTCTTAATTCACTGTCTAATTTTCTCTTTGTTATCTAGTCTCTCTCAACCCACAGTTTGAGGCCTCTCTAAACTTCCACCTTTATCAAAATCTTCCATTTCTTACTCTTATTCTTTAATTACCTGGGGAATGTTCTATTCAACAACAGCTTCATCAGCCAGACCTGTCCGTGCTGGAAACCCTATCAGCTACAGCTCTCTGGGAGAACAGCTACCACCCTTTCTCCCCCTGCAGCAAACTCCTGTGTGTGTATGGCTCTTGTTCCCTGATTCGCACATACCTAAGACTAGATTGTTCTTTATTCATCCCCAAACTTTTCACTTTTGGCAAAGGTTTATTTTTATTTTTCTAATTATAAAACATTGCTCTAAAAATTCAGCAATGAGATGAAAGGTTTGTTATTTCATAAAATATAGGAGACGTGTTACCTTTCTGCAACAAAGTAGTCATTTATTATCCAAACATTGTATGATAAAAGCTGCCAAAACACTAACAATTTTTAAAAAACTACAGAACACCCCCAATCAAAGAAAAATAATTGCCAACCCATATTCTTGTTATTTCAAGCTGTAAGTAACCATGGCACATGAACTTCTGATGAGCAAAACAGCAACCACAGCAAACAAACTCTTCTGCCTCATTCATTCATCCATCCATCCGTTCATTCATCCATTCATTCAACAACTATTTATTAAGCACCTAGTATTTCTAGTGCTGCTGTAGTCATTGGAGGGTCATCAGTAAACAGTCTTTGTAGGATAGACAAAAGTACAGTGAGTTATGAGAGACAGAGATTTGGCCTTCAAACAAAAATCCACCAGAGGAGAAGCTAACAATTGTAAATGTGTCTCTGAATTTAGTCCCATAACTTTCAGTAACCTTCGTTTCCTCCCCTTGAAGGCAGATGTAGTTACACCTTGGCCAGTGACTACCTCCTCCATTGATTGTAAGTCGCTCTCAAGGCCCAGGTTATCTTCAGAACTTCATGAAACAAATAATGGTAACAATTACAACTCCAGCAACAATTTTCCTACCAAAAGAAATAATAATAACAACTAACATTTATTGAGCAATTACTATATTTCAGACGTTTAATCCCCACAATAATCCTAAGAGTTAGGAATAATTATTTTCTCCACATTACAGATAAGAAGAGACCAAGACTTAGCGGTTATTAGATTTATCCACCATTCCAAGCAAAAGATCTATTTTCTTGATCTGCTCAATGCTTCCTGGCTGGTATGGAGAGTCCTAAGCTCTGTAGTTGACTCCAGCTCCAAAAATATTTCATCGTTATCAGGGCCCTTTGTAATAATACTCCTTGCTTCTCTCTGCAGCCAGCTGTCAATAAGCTCCTTTTCTGCAGATTACAACATCAACAGACAATAAATATTGAATATACGTGTAGACTGTTTACTATTCTAATCAAATAGTGCATTCCTCAAAGTTAATTTGGTACCTATTTTAGGAGACACATAATTGATATTGAATTGTATGGCAATAAGATAAACTGTTCCAATAAATTCTGTGATCCTCCCCCAAATAATTATCTTGTGTTTTTATTCCCATTTTTAAAAAACTTTCCAAGATCTATCATTTTCTGCTATGATGTGCAGTTTCTTCACCTTTTCTTCCTACATGTCCTCTTCTGTTTCTTCAGAACACACTCATGTGAAATAAAACATAAGGAGCCTAGGTTATATTTTCCAGTGGCCTAAATCCCACATTTCCCAGTGACGAGATCTTCCTGGGTTTCTCCTGGCACACTATACCTTCTTTCTTGATCCTCCTCTCTGCCAGGATGCCCTAGATGCTGAAGGATTGAGAGACAGCAGAAGTCAGGCAGAGCTTGCCTTGAGAGGGCTATAGATGTTTAGTATGCTGGAGAGTCACATGACAGTGATCTCCACCACCGATGATGACAAAGTGAGCTAAAAATGAACTCTGGATTGCCTGCATTTGCGATCTGGGAATCTAAGAGCAAAAAAATTAGAGAAAACATTTTGGACTGCAAAAAGGAGAGGTTTTCCAGATAAGTATGGCAAATCAATTAGCACTTTAATATTCTGTTTCTCCTGAACCATTTTTAAATGCAGCAAATACATGAAGAAAGTCACAAATTCACAAGGACAAAGAAAATATGAGAGGCGACAATAGCTGATGAGCAACATCAATAATCTTTTGAAGTTAGGAAAGCAGACAGTAGAGTAGGAATAGACTTAAGAAAGCTGCCACCTAAGCACCTATGGGTAGGGATACCAGTAGGAATTGAGCCAATCTACCCTCACAGATGCCTAGTGAGGCTCAGAACCCTTGTATACCTGGTATTTTCAGGGAACTCTCAAGGCAGGAAAAAGATATGTGATTGGAATTAGGGGGTTGGTTGCTCATCTGTACACTACATTGTTAGACCTGCCCCCGGTCCCATTACCCTTCCCTTGAATTCAAGTAACTCCTCCTCCTCCTGACTACACACAGAGATCAAGGTCTCCAAAAAAATGGAGAGAAAGTATTTCCATACCAGAGGATCCCAGGCACAGTAGACAGCAAGTGTGGGAAGCAAAGCTGAAAAGAGAGAAGTGAATACATTTTGTTGATTGAACGGTAGGGCTCCAGTTTCTTCCCCTGCTTCCAGAATGCCTGCACCCACGAGATATACCCAAGCAGAAATTAGCAGAGCTCTTCGGAAACAACCCCAAAACCCTACAATTTTGATGTTTGGAATTTTCACAATGAAAAGCTTGCTTACCAACTGACTACCATATAACAAAGCTCACTAGTATCTGTTGGCAAAATCTGGCCACCAATACAGAGCCTCGGATCAGTTTCCCAGTGACTCACTGTTATATATGAAGAGATAGCCAAAGATCTCTAGATATTTGAGGAAACATTCAGCATAAACACACAAAAATAGAGATACAAACAAATAAATTGACAAAAAAGGACTTCATTTGAACAGACAGGAGGCAGTAGAAAACATCAATGAAGTCATGATTAACATCCTCAGGGAGATGAAACAAAAGTGTCATATTCATGAAACAGGAACAGAATGCTATCCTTTAATAAAAGTGATGGAAATTAAAATTCAAAAATGGAGTTAACTCTTAATTTTTAACAAGAAAGCAAAGTAAATTTCTCAGAAAAAAAGAACAAAAAACCCCACAAAAGACAAGAGGGAAAACTTAGAATATTAAAATACCAATTCAGAAGTGCCAACATCCAACTATTAAGAGTTCCAGGGAGAAGAAAAAAGAAGAAGAAAATGGAGAGAAATAAATTATCAAGGAAATAACATAAGAAAACATCCCTAAACTAAAGAACATAAGTTTCCATATAAATAAAAGATAAAAAACAATGAATGCCCAGGTTTAATATGGCAGAACATTAGGACCTAGGGATTAAAAGATTCCAAAAATTCCCACAATTTTAAAAAGTCACATAAAAATGATTAGGGATCAGAATGCTACCTGACTTATCAGCATCAGCACTGGAAGGTAGTTGACAATGGATTAATCTATGATGGCTACTTTTCCTCCTAGAGCTTTCCTTTCTTTCTCAAATCTCTTTCCCTCTCTCCCTCTTTTTCCAAGGAGTCATGCTACCCCAGAAGTTGTTGGCAGCTATTTTTTGACCAGGAAGGAAGCCAGACTTAGGAAGAAAGCCAGACTTAGAAAGAAATAAATAAAACATATTACAGATGGCAGAATGGAGAAAGAAGGAAATCAGGATTTAGGGGCAACATCATTGACTTGCTTGATCAAATCATCCCCAAGGTCCTCCCTCTCTCTCAACATTATGTTACATGTGCCAGATAGTTACTCTATAGCGATTTATGGCTCAGCCTCAGAAATCATTAGGATCATTCCACTGTATTCTACTTGTTGAATCAGTCATAAGTCTGCCCAGATTCAAGGGGAGGAAATGTAGAACAACCACGGGTTCTGAGAACTGAAATGAGTAGTAGACCCTTAGGCTCAAATGCAGGCGTTCATGATCTAGGCAGTGTGTTTATTGTACCACAAAAGCATTCATAACCCGCGGACAAAGCACCCTAAGGAAACAGAGTTATTTCAAGGAATCCAGGAAACCCTATGTGTACCAAGCATTATTAACTTAAAAAAAAAATCACAAGATCTATAAATTTGGAAAAGGAGACTTTATTTCTTATAAAGGGTTACAACCTGCAAGGTGGCCATCTGGCAAGCTGGGAGGGCTACACCAAAGACAGGCACTTTGAAGGAGAAGGGATTGGGGTAGAAGATATATGATGAATGAGTTAGCTAAACATACATATTCAACAGGAGCTATGGATATTCATGAAGGTGGTCCTGATGCAGGCTAGGGAACAAACATGCATGTTACACACGACCCAGGTTCACCTGCGGGTGGAGACAAAACATTTAAATGCATTACAATTAGTCCGAATTGTGTCTTTTCAGGACATAATTTTGCTCTCTTCAAGACACAAAGACACAAGTGTGCAGCCTCTGTAAACTGGCCAGAATCAGTCCACGGTCAGTGGTCTTATCAGGACAAAGTTACTGAAATCGGTCTCTTGCCCAATCAAAGATGTAGTTATGGCTTGTGGGAAAAGGGTTGGGGGTCAGTTAGTCAGCATCTGGTGGAGCTGCAAATTGTTATAACATTGTGTCTCTCAAGGCCAGTGCTCCTTTAGCTGAGAGAAGAAGAAAAGCCTCCTGGATGTTAGAACATAGTTATTCTTTAAATGCAAGAGTGCATGACTTAACCCTTGCCTAGCATGGCCTCTTGTTTATAATTTGGTATCTTATTGCCACAAAGAGTGTTCTGTCAGACTTATGATCTCTACTATAACATTAATGCTGGCAAGTTGTTGTGTCCAAACTCTTTAGGAGTTTAGACACAACATAATAGGAAGGCATAATGGGGTGTGTCTGACCTCCTGTCCTGACATGCTGGGAACTCACTTTTTAAGTTTTTTCTGAGGTCTTCCCAAAATGGAATTCATTAGGTCAGTAGGGGGTTTAGGATTTTATTTTTGGTTTATACATTTTCTGTAGATTGAATAAATAATGTACCTTTTATACATAAATAAATGTATTATTATCTTTAAAGTATAAGTATTAACTTTATGATTAGTAACTCATGTAAAACCTTTGCTAGGCCAGGTGCGGTGGCTCATGCCTGTAATCCCTGCACTTTGGGAGCCCGAGGCGGGTGAATCACCTGAGGTCAGGAGTTCAAGACCAGCCTGGCCAACATGATGAAACCCCATCTCTACTAAAAACACAAAAAATTAGCTGGGCGTGGTGGTGTGCGCCTGTAATCCCAGCTACTCAGGAGGCTGAGGCAGGAGAATCACTTGAACCCAGGAGGTGGAAGTTGCAGTGAGCCGAGATCTTGCCACTGCACTCCAGCCTGGGCAACAAGAGCAAAACTCTGTCTCACAAAAAGAAAAGAACAAAAAAACAACAAACAAACAAACAAAACCTTTGCTAAAGGTAAAACAGCTTTTTGTATTTTTGTACTATGTATTATTATATTATGTATTTTATTCATCATAGATACTGCAAGTACAACAAACAGGTGGGGGTGACATTTTTTATGTTTAAAAAGGGTGATCATATCTTCCAAATTGAAAGTTACTGTCTTCATATTCTACCATAAATCCCGGAGAACGTCTGAGAAGAGGCTTGTTAGAATGCAATCACAATGCCTGCCGGATCTATAGGCACTGCAGAGGCAGCTCAGCTCCCTGATCCTGTTGCAGGAACGCTAGACAGCCATTTGCCCAGCTCTTCTCTCCCCTAACCACAGCCATAACTGATTGGACCAGGGGTAGGCAGCCGACCCAGCCAATCCCGGGCTGATCAATGACCTATGAGGTGGCTTGGAGCATAAAGTTATCAACTAGGGACAAACTGAGCTACTCAGGATTTTTCTATCTATTTGAATTCATACCTTGTACAGTTTAAGACCACTAGCAGCAAGAACCAGCACCAATAAATCAAAATAATGAGGGAACAAACCAAAGATTAAATAGAAGCTATGAATTAGAGAAAAGATAGAGGTTGAGGAAGCTAATTAGAAACATAAAGAGAAGCAAACAGAAAGAACTGTGTTTTAGTCCATTTTTACACTGCTGATAAAGACATGCCTGAGACTGGGTAATTTATAAAGAAAAAGAGGTTTAATGGACTCACAGTTCCACGTGGCAGGGGAGGCCTTACAATCATGGTAGAAGGTGAAAGGCACGTCTTACATGGCAGCAGGCAAAAAAGAGAATGAGAAGCAAGCAAAAGGAGTTTCCCCTTATAAAACCATCAGATCTCATGAATCTTACTCACTATCACAAGAACAGTATGGGGGAAAACCGCCCCCATGATTCAATTATCTCCCACTGGGTCCCTCCCACAACACGTGGGAATCATGGGAGCTACAATTCAAGATGAGATTTGGGTGGGAACACAGCCAAACCATATCAAACTTGATCTGTGAAAACAACAGAGTGGTGTTAACCAGGAGGCCCCAGTGCAGTAAAGGCTGGTTCTTCACCAGAGCTGCCCATCAGAATCAGCCTGGGAAACTCTTCATGGAAATGCTTGGGCCCCATCCAGATCTACTAAATTAGAATCTCCAGACTATTCATTCATTCATTTATATTTATTTTTATTTTTTTATTTTTTTTGAGATGTAGTCTGGCTTTGTCACCCAGGCTGGAGTGCAGTGGTGTGATCTCAGCTCACTGCAACTTCCACCTCCCAAGATGAAGTGATTCTCCTGCCTCAGCCTCCTGAGTAGCTGGGATTACAGGCATGTGCCACCATGCCCGGCTAATTTTTGTATTTTTAGTAGAGATGGGGTTTCACCATGTTAGCCAGACTGGTCTGGAACTCCTGACCTCAGGCAATCCTCCCACCTCGGCCTCCCAAAGTGCTGGGATTACAGGCGTAAGTGAACACACCCAGCTGCCAGAGTATTTAGATGTTGAAAGAGCTACAAAAGCCATTCGGACACGTTCTGGTTAAGAGCCCTCAGTCTGTAGAGGTCCCATCATGGTAAAGGGTCCTCTGTTGGCTTTCAATGGAGTCCCATATCTTCCTAGTTGCCCCGTATACATCCTGACGGTTAAACCCTTTTACCTGGCTAAGTGAATCTCCATTCCTTCTAGCCCAAAGTGTCTAACTAAAACGTTCAATAAAAGGAGGACTACAAAAAAGAATTATTCTTTAAGGAACCTTTTGTTGAGGCTGCTAGAGATAAAAACAACAGTAGAGGAATTTTCAGATAGATCAGCCTTCCAGAAAAGTCTGGTTGTTTCAGATTTCTCATCATAAAAGGCTTCTGAGGAGCTGGTTTCCTTTGAAGAGTTATTTATAACCTTTTTTAAGAAAGTGGAAACCCAGAGATTATTTGCCTATAAATAAATTAAAGGTACACGTATTTCTCTTGACTTTTTCTAGATTTATGAGGCTATAATGAGTCCAATGCCTCATGCCACAGAGAAGCCAGCTTGTTCCTTTGCCATGACATGTTTGTATTTTGTCTGTCAGTTCATTGAACTGTTCCTCCTTATTGTCTGGAATTGTAGGAATTGTGCTCAGACACTAGGGAACTCTGGGATGTCAGTGTTTCCTTACGACAAATTCCTCAAATCCACATTTCTGTAACTTTTTTTTTTTTGCTGACTCGTAAATGTTATAACTGCTGTTGATGGTAGAATCCTAGATTCTGAAATAATTTCTTTTCAAAAGTTAATTTTACCTTTTGCCATGGTAGCTTCAGTGACTCAGCCATTGTACTGAAAATGAGATAACAACGTCAGACATCTTTAAATTATGTTAAATAGGCATTTGTTGGAGCCTCAGTTTATCCAGTTTGGAAATTATCTAATCTATTCCACCTTTTCAACCCTGCTCAATCACTTGCCCCACTCCTCTTTTCTAATTTTGGCTATTGTAATGGTATATGGACAACTATCAGCTGATGGAATGAAAAGACAATTGCATCAATATATTAAGTTACCTGGTCTGTAATTTATTTAATTAATTAATTAATTTTTTTTTTTTTTTGAGACGGAGTCTCCCTCTGTCGCCAGGCTAGAGTGCAGCTGCACGATCGTGGCTCACTGCAACCTCCACCTCCCGAGTTCAAGTGATTCTCCTGCCTCAGCCTCCCCAGTAGCTGGGACTACAAGGTGTGTGCCACCACGCCCAGCTAATTTTTGTATTTTTAGCATCAGGGTTTCACCATGTTGCCAGGACAGTCTCGATCTCTTACATCGTGATCCACCCACCTCGGCCTCCCAAAGTGCTGGGATTACAGGGATGAGCCACCGCACCTGGCCATTAATTATTTATTTCTTTAGAGGCAGAATTTCACTCTGACACCCAGGCTGGCGTGTAATGGCACTGTCATGGCTCACAGCAGCCTTGAATTCCTAGGTATCCATGAAAGCCTCCCAAGTAGTGGAGACTGTAGTGGGTCACGCCACCACGACCAGTTAATTTTTTAAATTTTTTTGTAGAGATGGGGTCTTGTTATGGTCTGGAAATCCAGCACTCAAGTGATCCTCCTGCCTTGGCCTCCCAAAGTGCTGGGATAAGTGTGAACCACTGTACTCAGCCAGTAACTTATTTTTAAATTGTAACTCCAGGACACTAGGGTATGCTTGGACTTTCTATGACAGAAACTTAAGAAAATTCAAGACTGCAAACGTGGTAACTTTAATCAGTTTTCAATGAACAGTCATTCACTATGAAGATGATAAGCTATACTTATAGATTGTCTTATTTAATCTCAATACACAAAATAGCAATGTTACAGAACTTAAAAATTAAAGTTTCTTTATAATTAGTGGTACTTATCAAATATTTTATGTAAGTTTTTTTACAGTTCTTTGTAACTCACCATTATTAAGACATACACTTAGAATTGTTTCTTCTGTCCTAAAGGTTCAAAATAATGTTCCCAACCTTCCTTTCTGGCCTCAACTGTTGTTACACTACTTTCCTTCTGTACCTCAAATTACTTGCCTTTCTCTGACTTTGTATGCAGTAGTGACTCTACCCCTAAAGTCCTACCCTATTATTCTATTGCTTTAAAGCCCCAGGAAATGTCACTTTATCCATGAAAGCCCTCCAGGTCCCCTCAGGAATGATTCTTTATCTTTGCACCCATATCTCTATATCATTTACCCAAAGCTTCTTTTATACTGTTTATTAATAATATATAGTACTAATTGGGGTTTTTTGAGGACTAGAATAGAATTTTGTTTATTCTTATTTTGCTTTGCTTTAGTCCTTCCTAACGCCTAGAACAGTGACTTGAACAAAGTAGAGGTTCCATATTTTCATTGCGTGAATAAAGGAATGTTGGTATACAACTGTTGATAATCTCTAATTCCCAGCCAACTGTAGCCAATGGCACTTATTACTGAGATAATTAACTGCAATGCAGCTTATGGCCAAGAAAGAGTATTTTCACTGTGAATATAGCTCAAAAAAATCAAATCTATGATTTAAAATTTTAAGACCATGATCCAATAAAACAACTATGTATATGTGAAGTTGATACAAAGAACTAACCATCTTGAATCTAAAGGAAAATACATAAAACTGTATCGTGGATATCAATGGTAGATAGAAATGATATTCTGTCAGTTTTCTTACAATAACTGAACAATCACATGAATATACCTTTTCTGGAAGATGTTCATTAAATGTTAAATCATCAAGGGTTAAAACTAAACTTCATTTGATGCTCGCCAAGAAGACATTAAACAAATCATGACAGATTAACAATTTCAACTTCTATAGATTTTTTAAGATTCTTTTTGATTACACAAGGTCAGCTGCCTCATAAAATTCTGTTAGATGTCTTTGGGCTTCCTACATTGCTTCCATCTAAAGGTTGCTTCAATTTCTCAGCCTAGACTTTTACAAAGCCTGTAGATTGTTTGTCTTTTGTGTTTTCTAAGTGCCTGATAATTAAAATTTCAATTTAATGCTAATGAGAGTCAGAAGTAGAATTATCTATACAAATCAAAATTAAGGTGAAAATCAACCATGAACCGTAATTCCCAAGTCTCTGTCTACACTCCTATGCCTTTACTTAGCCTGGGTTCTAGAAGAAAATCCTCACCTACTTACTACACATTTCTACTTTAAGTACCTCAAGTTTACCATGCCCAGATCAAACTCCCTGAAACTAGCCCTCCTTCTCCATCCAATTTTCCCACCTCTGTTAATTAGTTCATCATTCTCTCAGTCACTGAGGGCATATATGATGGTAGCTTTTGACCATCGCTTCTCATTCACCTTTTCATTTTTTGCCACATAATTGTAAAGATTCATTCTTCAAAAGGTCTCTTATTTCTACAGTGAACCCATGTCGTTCCCATGTAGCCAACATCGTTTCCTTTGGAAAACTACCCTTTTCTTATTTGAAATGAGGTTGTGAAGCACAATAACTCACCCCATCCCCACTGAGAAACCAGCATGTTACCTGTGGCCTGTCAGTTCATGGTGTCTCATCTCCTTGGTAAATGCCATTGGTCAAAGGGGTAGGTTTATACTGCAGTGGAAGCAATCAGAATTTCCTTCTTGGAATTCATAATTAGATATTATAATAAATGCTCCCTCTACTAGAATTGCTAATCTAGAAATAAGTGAATTTGCAACTACTAGCAGCATCTTCCCAGCTATCTGCAGGGAGTCTATTTACAGTAGAAAGAGATCAAACCAGAGAATGCATGAGAGCCAATATGGAAAGGCAGAGAGTTTTGACATTGTTTAGTCCCTGGAGCCAGCCACGCTCAAAGTCTACGCCATCCCTGGAATTGCCAGTTAGATGAGTCCAATTTCAAAATTCAGACTCTACAACTTTCTACCTAGGTGAACTTGGACAAGCTACTTAACCTTTCTGTGCCTCACTTACCTCATCTATAAAATGGAAGGTACTATTAGTACCTACCTCACAGGGTTATATGAGAATTGGCATTGTAAATGCTCAATAAATGTTAGCAATAACCGTCAAGTGCCAGTGAATTCTAATGTTTGATCTTTGAATTGGGGTCCTGTCACAGCAGAAAGAGTACAGATGAGAGGGCTTTGATTTTAAAAACATGCTTGGAGTTCATTCTTCCCCCGCCTTTGCGTTATGGTCACCCCCATGAGATTCCTGAGCAACATTTCAGCTGGCTTGTCTGACCACTTCTTCACTCTCTACAATCCACCTGAATCACTAGTGTGAGGGCCATCTGCACTAAACATCACTGTCATCATGGAATGTCCTGGCTCCAGTTTCTGTTCATATTCCTCTTCCTGATTTCCCAGGTCCCACTTTCATTGTCCAATGAACGACCTCTCTCCCCAGCATTCTGGTCGGCCTCATATCCTGCCTTTCACGAGATCATGCCTTGCCAATTTGTATCCTTCTGCCTTTCCTTCAGTCATCACCCTCATCATCCCATCTTTTTTTCCCTCGAGATAATCAGCTGCAATCATTCCTCCATGCAAGTTCTGCCCCCTCCAGGATATCTCCCCTGGCCATTGTGGCTTTCACTGCTTTTATTCTCCTTGGCATTCCAAGTCATGTTAAATTCTGTAACATGCAATCAGAGATTATCCCATATTGTTTCAGATGGGTGTAACCCAACTAGAATGTGAAGTTTTTAGGTTAGATTTTTTGGCATGTCCCCAAACTCAGCAATAAGCACACAATCAGCCTCAAAATAAATATTTTGTATAGGGTCTAACCATAACACTAACCATTCCTCTTTTTTTTTTTTTTTTTTTTTTGTGAGATCAAGTCTCGCTCTGTCGCCCAGGCTGGAGTGCCGTGGGGCGACCTCAGCTCACTGCAACCTCCACCTCCTGGGTTCAGGTGATCCTTGTGCCTCAGCCTCCAGAGTAGTGGGTATTACAGATGTGTGCCATCACGCCCAGCTAATTTTTGTATTTTTAGTAGAGATGGGGTTTCACCATGTTGGCCAGGCTGTCTCGAACCCCCAACCTCAGGTGATCTGCCCGCCTCAGCCTCCCAAAGTGCTGGAATTACAGGTGTGAGCCACCGTGCCCAGCCCTTCCTATTACTTAAATTTGGTAGTTTTGAGAGAATTTGTTTCAGAGTAACACAACTTTTACTGCAGTTACCTAATCTTGATGCAAAAACTCAATTCTGAGAAGCACACAAATACTTAAATGACAAAATAAGGCAAATTTAAGACAGTTACATGTCTTTATTACATAAACATCATAATATTTCTCATAGGAGTTGGTCTTCAGTTTGCTTGTTGCTTTCGCAGAATGTCAAATATCTATAGAAAATGTCTAATTATTTATGAACAAACATTCCCATCCCTGCCCCGCAAAAAATCTCATTGCCTGCAATTCCTAACCAGATTCCTGAGAAAAATAATAGGATTTATTTTATAGCATCATACATAGATTTTCTTTCAAGATATAAAAAAGGACAGACTTCTAAAACATGAATCTCCTTTCGTTTACAAAGTTCTATAAAAATACATTAAGTATGTTCAAATGTTTGTTCTTTCACTTTATATTCCAGTTTACCAGAAACAAAAAATGGCAGTACATAAAGATATGTAAACCACATTAATCTTGCAGTAATATAATGTCAACATCATCATGAACACCTTGCAGAAGCAGCTCTCCTGGATATGTTACAATCTTCCTTCGTTTTGCAGCTTTAAGAGTTCCTACCAATGCTTCAAAGAGGTTGGCACATTTATCATCACGGAAGAGGACCCCAAATTTCACGCTTAACTTTCCATCAGCATCTAGTTTGAGAAAATACATTGTTAGCAAATGCAAAGTCTGTTTCATACCCTCAAGTATGGAAGACTTACAAAATCTTTAATAAATTTATAACTATGGGCTATCCAAGGTTGCAATTTAACACTTAACAGTCATAAATTCAACATATTCTCTTCCCTGATCCAAAAAGTAATGGAATAAATACATGCTATATGCCTCTTGGCCTTAGGATTATCCAGACAAAGACTGAGAACCAACATTTACAAAAGTTGAATGTGCTACAGTGCTAATACTGCAGATGAATTTCTCTCCCTCTATTTTTATTTGTTAATTGTTACGTGAGTTTTTGAATCAATAAACACTACAAATGAAAGAGAAAACCAGGATCAAGAGCAGTGTTTCTCTAAGTGTGTTCTGAACACTCGGAATCCCCAGGGTGGGAGTGGGGGGCTCCTTAAAAATGTATAATCATCAGCCATTCATCAGGACCACTGAATCTGAATTCCCAGTAGTAGACTCAGAAATCTGTATTTCATATGAGCCCTAGATTATCTTATTTGGAGGCCAGTTTTTAACATATACATTGAAAGTTAAGATAGACCAAAAGTAGATCTGTTGTTAAACATCAATAACCTGAAAACCTGGAGGCAAGGGTAATCTGGGAGACACCTCCCTATCCTTGGGCGATTCCTTTGACCACTTGACTGAATCCCTGACCTCTTCCTACCCCTCTACTGCAGGTTCTTCCCTTCCAAGGTTACACCCACTGTCAAGACGATGGCCATCACAGTGAGGGGAGGACCATTCCTTGACCAAAGGTTCTTGAGTTCCCATGCTCCCTGGCTAGAACTTCCCACTGGATGCTTGGCAAACTCCTACTGTGAGCGCAGCACTGTGTTAGACACTAGGGGCAGACATAAGGAGGTAGAGAATCACTTTCTAGAGAGAATAACTTTCTAGCTTTCAAAGCAATGACTTCAATTCCCATGAGGAAATAAGAACTATACACATAACAAGTAAAGCAACAGTACAAAGCAGTATGTGATTGGATGCCAAATGAGAAGCAAAGAAAATACATCCCGGCCGAGTGCAACGGCTCATGCCTGTAATCCCAGCACTTTGGGAGGCCAAGGTAGGAGGATACCTTGAGCCCAGAAGTTTGACACCAACCTTAGCAACATAGTCAGACCATGTCTCTCCTAAAAAAAAATATATATATATATATATACACACACACACACACACACATATATATATATAGAAATATAGAAATATATATATATATATATAGAGAGAGAGAGAGAGAGAGAGAGAGATGGGTCTGGTGGAATGCACCTGTGATCCCAGCTACTCAGGAAGCTGAAGCAGAGGGCTGTTTGAGCCCAGGAGTTTGAGGCTGCAGTGAGCCATGATCGTGCTAGTGCACTCTAGCCTGGGCAGCAGAGTTGAGACCCTGTCTCATAAAAAAAAAAGAAGAAAAAAAGAAAATATATTTTACAGTTTAGAGGAGGGCAAGATGTCTTTGGGCAAGAATGGTAAGGAAGACTTCATGGAGGAGACAGTACTTATTCTGGACTTTAAAGGAGACAATAACTTGGAGCTTTTTTCTTTTTCCTCGTCTTCATTGTGATGATATACATGAGCTTTTTAAAAACCTAATAGTCCTCAGTTGAAATCTCTGCCATCTACTAGTCATTTGGCCTTGGGCAACTTGTTTAAAGCTCCCTAAGCCTTGGCTTCCTCCTGTGTAAAATGGGGACCTGAACATCTTTTTCTCAGTGCTGCCAGGAGACACAGTTCGAAAGCACCCAGCACAGTGCCTAGCACACACTGAGTATCAGCAACCAGGGGCTCTGTTGTGACTGAGACAAATGGGGAGAGTGTGCCAAGCCACAGGCAAGGCTGAAAACGAGTAAGGTGGCTGGGGGAACAGTGACCAGCGTGAAGTTTACTCACCTGAAGTAGATAATCTAAGATGAGGAGGACAAAAGATGTTCTAAAGGGAAAACAGGGAATCTGACCATGTTTGGCCTGGAAAGCAAAGATGCACCTCTTTGATTTTTCAATTTCTACCTACATGACACTCTGTGCAACAGGAACCTGTCACTGATTACAGGTAGAAGTGGAGCTGCTGGTAACCTCAGGCAAGTCCTCCAAGCTCTCTGAACTTCAGGTATCCATCAAATGAGGGCAAAAATACCTCTCACAGGGCTGTTGCAAGGATTAACAGACATAATAAAGATAAAGCCTCTTATAGAGTCCCCAGCATACAGTAAATTCTCAACTTTGGTTAAAATTTTTAAAGGCACCAAAGACAGAAACCTGAGTGTAATCTTGGAGTTCTCATGCCCCCTCACCCCTCAATCTGACAAATGTTTGGGTGATTCCACCTTCTTTGTGCCTTCTGTGGCTGCTGCCTCTCCTCTCCAATCACAGTTAATTCCTTGGTTCAGGCCCTGAGTGTTTCTCACATGCATCACTGCAAGCTGCTGACTGAGAACTCTGTACCAGCCTCCTTTTCTGCATTTTTGCCCCTCAATACATCCTCCACATGGGTGTGGAAGAAAAAATGTGGAAGAAACTTTATGAGATGCAAAGCTCATTGTTACTCTTCTACTTTAATCCCTCTTTGGTTCTTTTTTCTTTTTTTGAGACAGGGTGTCGATCTGTTGCTCAGGCTGGAGTGCAGTGGTGTGATCACAGCTCACTGCAACCTCGAACTCCTGGACTCAAGAGATCCTCTTGAGCCTTCCAAGCCTCCCACGTAGCTGGGACTACAGGCGTGCACCACCAAACTTAATTTATCTTTATTTTTAATAAAGACGAGGTCTCAAACTCCTGGGCTCAAACAATCCTCCCGCCTTGGCCTCCCAAAGTGCTGGGATTACAGGTGTGAGCCACCTCATCAAGGCTACTTTAATATTTCAATGGCTCCCTATGACCTTCTAAATAAAGGGAAGTCCATGGCCTCACAGAAGAGGCTCTTCATCCTCTGGCCTTGCATCTATCACTTGCCTGGTCTTCTGCCATATCACTGCATGTACCTCCTGATCCAGTCACAATGAACTGCTTGCTGTGCCTAAGATGATATGACAGATTCTGCCTTTGTAACAGTGCCCGTGTTCAGCCGTCTGCCCAGAAACCCAGAAACTTCTTCCTAGCTAAATTCTTTTTCTTCAGGAATGAATTCAAATGCCACCTTTTCTAGAAGTCCTTCATGATCCACTCAGTTGAGTGAATAGCTCTTCTTATAAAACTGAGTATATATCTATCAAAGCACTCACCATCATTTATAGTATTAATAGCTAACATTTATTGAGTACTTGCTATGATCCAGAACTGTTCGATGTATTTTACAGTCATTAAAATTCACTTAATCTGTATTTCATGGAAGATAAGACACAATTGATTACAAGAAGCATCATTATTTTATATTATAATTAAACTGCCAATTTAACCATAGCATGCCATGTACTATAAGATGTATTTTTATTTTAGAGATTTTTTTTTTCTTTTGAGATGGAGTTTCCTTCTTGTTGCCCAGGCTGGAGTGTTATGGTGTGGTCTCGGCTCACTGCAACCTCCGCCTCCCAGGTTCAAGTGATTCTCCTGTCTCAGCTTCCCCAAGTAGCTGGGATTACAGGCACCCGCCACGAGGCCCAGCTAATTTTTGTATTTTTAGTAGAGACAGGGTTTCACCATGTTGGCCAAGCTGGTCTCGAACTCCTGACCTCAGGCAATCTGCCTGCCTTGGCCTCCCAAAGTGCTGGGATTATAGGCATGAGCCACCACACCTGGCCTATTTTAGAGATTTTTTAATGTGAAGAAATGTGTCCTTGAAATAGAGTATTATTGTTTTACAAATAAGGAAAACAAGGCACAGAAAAGTTTAGTAAAGTAGCCAAGGTCACACAGCAAGTATGTAGAGGAGCTGGGATTCATTTCCAGAGAGTCCGACTTTACAGCCCATGTTAATCACTTCCCTCTAGGTACTTCCAGTTTGTCTGTCTTTCAGCTACCTAAAGAGGACCTCAAAGATGGAGATGGAATTTTGTTCATTTTTACATCTCCAGCACTTGAGCACAAAGGGGACACTAAAAAAAATTTGTTGAATGAAAGAATTTAAATTTCCAAGTGCACTCTCCCCATTTAATCTTTTTTCGCTATATGAAAAATGAGACTTTAAGGAATTTGACTTTCAATGAAAAGATAAAACTAAATTCATCAGTTTTCATCCTCAGCTCATACATCATATGTAGACTAAAGCAAAATCACTCCAGATACAACTTAAATAATTAACCATAACACGTTCAAAGATAACACATATCTATATATGCTTTCAAACTCAATAAGTCATCTTTTGCCAGGAATGAGAAAGTCAAGGTATCCTGATGAAGCTGCAAAATTAAAAGTATTTCCATGCTTATAGAAGTTACGATAATTATCTTAAGTCTTCTAATGTGAAAGCTGCTAATTTTGAAGTGGAATTTCAGTTTGCCTTACCAGAATAATGACACTCTTCTAGTAATGTAAAGGTTAGAATTTAAAAACTAATTGAATATGACCAATAAACACTAGGCTGATATGGATAAAGAAAAGAAAATCCTACAAATCTTTGGAAATATGCCTGTAACACCTATAACTATCCAAACAATAGTAATGCACGGCTGGGCCCAGCAGCTCATGTCTACAATCCCAGCACTTTGGAAGGCTGAGGCGGGTGGATCACATGAGGCCAGGAGTTCGAGACCAGCCTGGCCAACATGGCGAAAAACTGTCTCTAGTAAAAATACAAAAATTAGCTGGGGGTGGTGGCAGATGCCTGTAATCCCAGCTACTCAGGAGGCTGAGGCAGGAGAATTGTTTGAACCCAGGAGGCAGAGGTTGCAGTGAGCCAAAATCGCACCACTGTACTCCAGCCTGGGTGACAGAGCAAGACTCTATCCCAGAAAAAAAAAAAAAAAGAGAAAAAGAAAAAAACAATAATAATGCTGCCAAGAGTAACATGACCTCACTGAGCTCAGGAAAAATCAGGAGTGTGGGAGGAGGAACAGGAGGGACATCACTATGGAAAATAAGACTCATCAGGCCTCCATCAAGTGGGTGTGGTGAAATGCGTGGGAGAAAAATTGAGTTAGGGAAGACTGTTGATTTCTTTGATTAGGAAACTAAATACATTATGGCCAGATGAAGTGGCTCACGCCTGTAATCCCGACACTTTGGGAGGCTGAGGCAGGCGGATGACTTGAGGCCAGAAGTTCGAGACCAGCCTGGCCAACATGGCAAAACCCCATCTCTACTAAAAATACAAAACTTAACCAGGCGTGGTCGTGGACACCTGTAATACCAGCTACCAGGGAGGCTGAGGCACAAGAATTGCCTGCACTCAGAAGACAAGAGGTTGCAGTGAGCCAAGATGGTGCCACTGCACTCCAGCCCGGGAAACAGAGTGAGACTCCATCTCAAAAAAGAAACTAAATAAATTATATTTTCCAATGTCTTCTCGGTGTTCTCTTCAAACAATACATTCATTCCCATTCCAAAAACCAACTCATGGATTTCCCCCTAAACTGACCTGCCCTCCACTTCAAAGTCCTACCTGAGATGCAAGACTTCATTGAGTGCCCCCAACTACTACAACTTCCAATAATCTATTTTGAAGGGACCATATTGCATGTCAGCACTTCATAGTTCAGCATACCATTTTTTTTTTCGGATAATTGCCTCATGAGTTTTTTATTGTTTTTGTTTTTGTTTTGAGACAGGGTCTCACTCTGTCCCCCAGGGTGGAGTGCAATGGCTTGAACACGGCTCACTGCAGCCTCGACGTCCTGAGCTCATGCAATCCTCCTGCCTCAGCCTCCAGTATAGCTGGGACCACAGTTGCATGCCACCATGCCTGGCTAATTTTTTATTTTTTTGTAGAGATGGGATCCCACTTTGTTTCCCAGGCTGGTCTTGAATTCCTGGGCTTAAGCGATCCTCCCACCTTGGCCCCCTGATGTGCTAGGATTACAGGCCTGAGCCATGGCACCTGGACTATGAGATTTTATCTGTTTTCATCAACTAAGTAGTAAAATCCCTGAGGAAAAGGAACACACTTTATACCACTTGTACTACACAGTTATTAGCATATATAGATACTCAATAAGTATTAACTGATATGATTCAACTCAGTTGTTGACTAACTTAGGTATGGACTTAGAGTCCATACCAGCTTTAATATGCCTCATTTATCATTTCTTGGTACATTTCAGTAATGACGACTCGGGTTTGATATAGAAATAGAGTGACTAAGACAAAAAAGAGGGAATAGTAGGAAGAATAAAGGCCCCCGAAGATATCCATGTACCAATCCCTAGAATCTGTATGTTACCTTACATGGCAAAAGGGACTTTTCAGATGCAATTCAATTAAGGACCCTACGACAGGAAGGTATCCTAGATTATCTGGGTGAGCCCAGTGTAATCCAAAAAGTCCTTAAAACAGAAGAAGGAGGCAGGCCAGGCACGGTGGCTCACACCTGTAATCCCAGCACTTTGGGAGGCCGAGGCAGGTGGATCACTTGAGGCCAGGAGTTCATGACCAGCCTGGCCAACATGGTGAAACTCCATCTCTTTTATGTTTGTTTGTTTGTTGAGACAAAGTCTTGCCCCATTGCCCAGGCTGGAGTGCAGTGGCACAATCTTGGTTCACTGCAACCTCCGCCTCCCGAGTTCAAGCGATTCTCCTGCCTCAGCCTCCCTAGTAGCTGGGATTACAGGCACATGCCAGCATGCCTGGCTAATTTTTTTCTGTATCTTTAGTAGAGACAGGGTTTCACCATGTTGGCCAGGCTGGTCTCGAACTCCTCACCTCATGATCCAACCGCCTCAGCCTCCCAAAGTGCTGGGATTACAGGCGTGAGCCACTGCGCCTGGCTGGTAAAACCCCATCTCTAATAAAAATACAAGAAACTAGGCCGGGTGTGGTGGCTCACACCTGTAAACCTAGCATTTTGGGAGGCCGAGGCAGGTGGATCACCTGAGGTCAGGAGTTCAAGACCAGCCTGGCCAACATGGTGAAACCCCATCTCTACTAAAAATATAAAAATTAGCTGAGCGTGGTGGCAGGTGCCTATAATCCCAGCTACTTGGGAGGCTGAGGCAGGAGAATCGCTTGAACCCGGGAGGCGGAGGTTGCAGTGAGCTGAGATTGCACCACTGCACTCTAGCCTGAGTGACAGAGTAAGATTCTCTCTCGAAAAAAAAAAGAATTAAAAGTGGAGGATGTCAGTATGATGCAATGTGTGGACTCAATCAGCTCTTGCTCGCTTTGAAGACAGAGAAACACAGTCATGAGCCAAGGCAACTTCTAGAAGCTGGAAAAGGCAAGGAAACTGATTCCCTCCTGGAACCTATAGAAAGGAGTCCCCGGCCAACACCTTAATCTTACTCCAGCAGGACCGTTGTCAAACTCCTGACCTACAGAACTCTTAAGATATTAAATGTGTTGTTTTACATCACTAAATTTGTGGCAATCTGTTACAGCAGGAACAGAAAACCACTGCAGGGGACATTTGATATTAATGGCTTAATGGAATTTTCCAAGTGTGTCCTGTTACTTCAAAGGATTTGTGATTCAGGAACAGATAGTGCTTTAAGAAGAATCAAACTATAATGACACAAATCTTGAGAGCTTGTGAGGTACTTTCTAGAACTGTTTTTCACTTACATGATGTAATTTTAAAACTTCGAGTTCTATTATCCTAGTTGTTGCTGAATATGTCTATTATTCTTATTATTTTCAAAATGCCCCCCAAATTCTTGCATATCTCATCTGAGATGTACCAAATACCTAAAGCCGCAAGTATAATAGTAATTTTCATTACGACTTAGGAAGAAGACACTAACACTACCAATTTTGCATGTCACTATCTTCAAGGAAGCTGCCTAGTTATTGCTGAAGAAAAAGATAATTTTTCTTAAACACTACCTAAAGGATGATTTATTTTAGTTACATTACTTAATATCTGATTATACAAAACTCAAGATTTGGAGAAAATAAAGACAATTTAGTATAATTTAGTATAATTTCAATGTAAATCCCTAGTCATTTAGAAGTTTGTAAAATGATGATATTTTAGATAAGATGATTTGAAAAAAAAGAAGTTTGTAAAATGATGGCAGAACAAGGCAGAAAACATGAATTTTAATAGTATGACAAGTAAAAATTTGAACATGATTCAATTACCAAATTTCAATGCAGTCAAATACAAGAAGCTTGGTAATTTGCTTTCTATCGAAAAATAATGAAATATCTCAACTATTCCCTGCATCAGAATCACAATACCCCAAAAGCCCCGTGTCTCCAGATGTCAATTCCTGGCTAAGGGCAGTTATAACCTGGGGCTGTGGGCAGAGCTCCCAGACCTGTGTCCTGAAGCCCTGGGTGACCCCTTCATAGGCTTCTCCAGCATGCCAGTCTCACCTGTTCCAAGGTAAAGCCAGGAGAAATACTCTATCTCTGTCAGATACTTACTTTTTGAACCCAAACGATGAATTTCCTCCACTAAGAGGTTAACCTCGTGATCCACATTCATTGCTGCCTGGGAGAGAAAAAAAGGAAGTCTAAATTATCACCATTACATTCCATTAAGCACATCCAAATCCAAGAGCCCTTTGTCTTGTTCAGGTCGCGTCTGTCACTATTAATTTACCATGTTCCTTTTCCTAAAAATATTTGTGTGATGCATGTGGCACTGAAGTGTCCCCATTTTCCCTCTACCTTTGTAACCGCCCCCTCAGCTCCCTGCACTCCTATTCTCCACGTCTGTGGGGGAGAATACAGCCATTCTCCTTGCACCCACGATTCACTACAGCCATTCTCCTTGCACCCACGATTCACTATGCGTAGGTCCTCTTCATGGTATCCTGCCAGGCACCAAAAATACAAAAGGTGTGTAGCACAGGATCTGCCCTCGGGGATCTCACATTCTAAAGGCAGATGAGGGCCTGCAATGAAGAGCAATGAGACGAATACTCTTTGAGTGGTGGGTCCAAGGCATATGGAAGCACAAAGGAGGAAGCAGCAGGAGGCTTCCTGGAGGTCACTGGGGAGGACTGGTCCAGCCAGACTGGTGGGGTAGGGCACTCTACACAGGAGGAAGTGCATACACAAAGCAAGGCAACAAAGGAGAAAACACACGGCACACTTGAGGCAGGCCTAAGCTGGGGGCTGGGCACCCCAGAATGAACTGACAAACACTCCCTGCCCTTCAGGAGCCTGTAGTCTAGTGGGGGAGGCAGATCAATACAACAGCAATTTTAATACCATCCGGTCAATCCAGTGACGTACAGGGACGTCATGGCCTTCTCTGGGCAGTGCCCAGTAAATCCGATTGCAATAAATAGCTCACGGTGAAGTTCATTCATCTGCAGATAAGGAGGAGTTCAGAATAAAACAAAAGCTGAGCCTTACCTTGGTTCACTAAGTCCTCCACGAGCTGGGTCCCGCACACTGTTCCAGCCTCTTCCACCCCCTTGAACTCTAGGCTGTAGCCATGTGGGACTTTTTAATCTCTCAAATGCCCCCTTGCTCTCTCACCTCCAGCCTTCACACATACTGTGGCTTCAACCCAGACTATAGCTATTCCTCCTTCCAGGAGCTAATTCACACACATCCTGCTCCAGCTTAAATAAAAGCCTTCCCTGAAACCGTGGAGGAGGAGCACCTCCCTCACTGTGTGTTCCCATAGCACCGGGTGCCCCTCTTCATTTCACTTAATTGGAATTACATTTCTGGACTTTCACTTCTACAGGGTAAGCTCCCCTCTGCAGGGATCTGACTATAATGCTCACTGCTCTATCATGTCTGGCACTAAGAGTAGAGGGTAAAGAAATATTGACCTCATGAACTGAAAAGAACACGCAAAGGCATGAGAGGGATTGGAAGTACACCTGCAGGATGTCAGGAAGTATGAGCAACTGGGTAGAAGATGCATCAGTTCAGTCTGTTTTCAAATCATAATTTTTTCAAATCATATAAGAGACCAAAAAGGGGGAGTTGTGTGTATGGTTTCCTTTGGGGTGATAATTTGGAAGAAACAACTTTATCCAGATGGATTGTAACTAATTCTTGCTAGCTGTTAAAAACAAGAGTGACACCTATGACTATATACCACCTGCTTACATGATATTGATTGGGACACTAGATTTTCTATCTGCTAATTATTAAAAGTGCCACTACCATCTGCTCTGTTGCTTGTGCGAATATTATAATTTAAGAAGCTTAGATTGCAATAAAACGCAAAATATTCAATTAAATGCATCTTCATAAAACTTAATATGAAAATTTATAGTGTTCAAATATTGAGGACTTTGTGTTGGTGAAGTCATATCTGTAACATTATATGCAATTCAAGACTAAAAAGCGAAAATATACACAGAGTACACAGGCACGAGGCCTGAACACCATGCCATGAGAATAAAAGTAGGAAAGCCCGGGCGCGGTGGCTCGCGCCTGTAATCCCAGCACTTTGGGAGGCCGAGGCGGGTGGATCACGAGGTCAGGAGATCGAGACCATCCTGGCTAACACGGTGAAACCCCGTCTCTACTAAAAATACAAAAAAAAAATTAGCCGGGCGTGGTGGCGGGCGCCTGTAGTCCCAGCTACTCGGGAGGCTGAGGCAGGAGTATGGCGTGAACCCGGGAGGCGGAGCTTGCAGTGAGCCGAGATCACGCCACTGCACTCCAACCTGGGCGACAGAGCGAGACTCCGTCTCAAAAAAAAAAAAAAAGTGGGAAAAAACTATTAATAGCAGTGTGGTGGGCAACTGTTGTTTTGTCTGCCCAGCACCCATTTCCCATTCTGGCACCAGCAGTCTATGTTTTGTTTGGATAAAGCCTTTCCCTCCTTATGCTAAACCCATGTATCCTGGGTAGAGTCTTACCCTGGGCCCAGAAGCAGTTCAGGGCCAGAATGATTGGTTTGAGGCATGACGTAGCTGAGCCCATCCAGAACAATGAGGTTCAGCCCTGTGATTTTGCTAGAACTATTAGTAAAATGACACTCTCCTTTCACTGGGTTCTATGATATTAGTTTATAGTCCCTGATGTCAATGGCCACCATGTGAGAACAGCTTGCCAGGAGTAAAGCTAACACAAAGAAATGTCCAGCCATATAACAATGACTGAGCCTATATATGACCCTGGACTTTCCAACTACATGAACCGGTATCTTTCCTTTTTGCTTGTGTTGGTTTGATTGAGTTTCTATTACTTGCACTCTAAAGAATCTTGACCCATAAAGTTAGCTTAGAGAAGAACTGCTGCTTTAAAAACAAAACAAAAAAAACTAAAGCTCTTTTTTATGTACTTATATGAATAGTCTTTGTGTTCCTCTACTGGGTAGGATGGGTAAGTGTAATAGAAAGGCAGATTTGAGAGCCATATAAAAAAGTTATCTAGCAATTAAAATTGCCCAACAATGAATAAAGTTTGCACCCTGTTCCTAGAAATATTAATGCAGACATAGTAAGGATCTGTGAGGGATGATGAGGAAATTAGCCTGTACTGGACAGAGGGAGAATGAAAATGTCCAAAGAAATTAAGGAACTTTCCAATTCTCTGATTCTCTGATTCCCGACCCCGGAAAGATGTTATCTCTTTAACACCCTTCTTCGCTCCTTCCTCCCACCTCCAGCAACATACTTCAGACTTAGCTCTCATTGAATAATGAGCATCAAAGGGGAAATTCATCTATTATATATAGTACGCATACCTGCATTATAGTAAGCAGATGTACGTTCATCCAATTTTAAGCATGAAAGGCAACCAGCGTTTCTTTATAATTAATTACACATCAGGCTCCTTATCTACGTTAATTCATGTAGTTCTAAGAACCTTGCAAGGCATTTATTTACCTCTATTTTAAGGATAACGAAACAGGGGTTAATGCCCCACAATTAAATGCTGTCTCTACCACATCGTGGTGGCTGTTTCCCCGCTTCCTCTTCCTCTTTTGCCATTATGCAAATACACTAAATATAATAGTGAGTGGTATTTGTATGAAACGTGACATGCTGAGCTCTTACCAAGGCAGAACACTTACAAAGCAAGAAAGGCTCCCTGCCCAGACCACCATAAATAGGAAAATAACAGGTTTAAAAACAATTGCTAGCATACATAATTTGACGTTTTATTTATTTATTATTTAGGAAGGAGAGGGACAAAGGGGGAAAAATACCTATTGTGACACAATCCTTTAAAGACCCATGGCCTTTTATAATAAGGACAGAATCCCAGGACTGCAGAGAGCAAGATGAAGAACAATGAAGGGGGCGGAGGGTGAAGAGAGGTTGATGGGTATAAACACAGAAGAAATAAGACCTGGTGTTGCATTGATCAGTGGGGTGACTATAGTTCACATTAATGGATTGTACACTTCCAAATGGCTAAAAGCAAGTTAAGTTGAATGTTCCTAGCATAAAGAAGAGATAAATATTTAGGGTGATGGATATACCAATTACCCTGATTTGGTTATACGAATGTAACACATTCTCACGAGTACCGTGAAACTATGTCTAAGAAAAAAAAAAAGAAAAGAACAATGAGGAGAGGTGAGAAGCAGAGCAAGTCTAAAGGGAAGAGCTTAATGGTGAGCGGCTGGACCAGAAGACAGGAAAAGGCTCCAGGGAAGGCGAGGTAGATGACGGCCAGGCACTCTAATTGTCGCAGAATCGATTTCGGCTTTGTGCGTGGGAAACACAAAGGAAGCGGAAAGTCGGAGGACTGGGCAGAACCCGAAACTCACCACCAATACACACTTTAGAATGTATTTAAGGACCCTCAGGGCATTGTTATTTTTCAAAAGTTTGGAGGCAATGCATGGAGATTTTCTAATATCCAAGGAAATAAAGCCTACTGGAATAGGTATGTCCGGAATCAGGAACCAACTTTACACACTCGGGCTGGGCACGTTTTCCCAGCCCTTCTTCGCAATCGCGGACAAGCAGCTGGTGCGGGTCAAAGGGTGACTGGGCTCCTTACTCCCTCCGGTCTGGGGCGCGCTCACTCCATATTTGGCCATTCTGCTACCAGCTTGGGGTTCTGCCTGGTAGAGGTCCCCTAACCCCGTGCCCTGCAGCCCATCATCACACGGTCACCGCCGGCACCAGTGCAGGGCTGGGGAGCGCGGGGCTGGGCCCCCCGTGGCGGGGCGGCACCGCTGGCGCCCGGGAAGGGCCGCGTCCCGGAAGTCTTTGTCTCCGCAGCTCCCGGCCCGGCGCCGCGGGTCTGCCTCCCCCGTGGCCCGGGCGCCCCGAAGCGCCGCGAGAGCGAGCACCCAACCCGGGCGACGAAAACGGACCCTGCCCCGGGCTCCACGAGCCCCTGGTGTCCCCTCACGACTCTGCACCCCCTGATCTGGAGCGCACAGAGCCGCACCCACCTCCGGCGCTGCAGAGTCCACTGCCCTGAGGCCACCACGTTCCTCGGGGCAGCCTCTCCTCTCGCCCCCAGCCCTTCCCCACCCAGCTCTGCAGAACTGGCTCCTGAACCACCGCCAAGTGCAAAGCCGACACGTCGCACCGCGGTAAAAATCGTTCCATTTCTGCCGGCTTCCCAGTCCGCCCCCGGCCGGCGAAACGTCACGTGAGCCGAGTGCGGAAGTCGACCCGAGAGGTGGGGGCGTGGGCGGCGCGCGCCCCACGGGACCCCAACCCGCGAGGTCTCGGCCCAGCCGGTCGCAGCTTCCGCGCGCCCTGAGCCCCCTCCCGGCCCCCTCCTGACCCGACTCTCACCGCAGCCCGCGGTGCCCGGCGGCGCACCACGGACACCCAGTCCATCCCTGCTACCTAAGCCACATCTGCCCGGGCGCTCACGCACCTCTCTGCGCGGTTTTCCTTCCCGCCGGAGAACTGGCGCCGCGTGGGTCTGGACCCGGTTACCTTCTTCAGTGCACTGGGGAGGGTGAGGCCAAGGAAGGAAGTGGCTGAGGCAAAGAGAAAGACGGCTGTGGAGGAGGAGGAGCAGGGTAGGGGGAAAAGTAAGTGTTTCTGCGCTCAAGAAAGGGGCCGCCCACACTCCCAGGGACAAGCCTATGAGGAGGAAACTCAGGGGAGGAGACGTCCAAGAAAGGGGCTGACTGCAGACAGGTGAAGCGCCCTGGGCTCCTAGGAAAACGGGCCCAGAGCCTGGATTACCTCACTTTTCCACCGTGCTACTCAGAGCCAAGGATCCCAGGATCTGCATCTGATCCTGGGCGTCGATTTCCTGATGGATTTCTCTCCCAACGTAAGAAACAAAGCGCCCTCAAATTGCTGAAGGCTGCTAGAAAGAACGTGGCATTCATGGGTTCCGGATGCCGGGGGCCTCCAGAAAACTACGACTCATGACTTAAAAATGGCTTAATTCGCAAAACAAAATGCAATCTTGAAAGCCAATTTGTCAGACTGCAAAGAAATTTTACTTGGACATAGATAGTTGTTGACCCTGGGTCAGTATCGGTTTCTTCCCTTGTTCATTCATTATTTCATACATTTAACTTCATAATTCAATTTATTCATGCTCCCTTTGTTTTAGTCACTGTTATTTTAATATATGCGTGTGTGAGAGAGAGATGCTTACCGTACCCAGAGAGTCCTTTTGGAAAGGAAACAGTTACCCAAACTATTTCTAGAGCAGGGGTTGCACAAATAACTACAAAAAACGTTCCTTACCCCCTCCCCACCCCCAGCCCAGCTAATTTAAATTAAGAGTGATCGCGTGACCCAAGAGCGCACAATCCGTGATGTAGTCATCATCCTGTGAGGTGACCTGGAGCAAACAGTTCTCATCAAACACGGACTCTGATAGTTAGTAAGCCAATCAGACACTCCCTTGGAAATGGAAAGTGGAGAATGCAGAGACGGAGCTGTCTGATGTAAGAGAAAGGTTGGAGCTAAGAGAGGGTAAGGCAGAAGGGGCCAAAATGGGCTTCGGATGCAAAACATTTGAGTAAGCAGAAACCAGGAGAATGTAGCAGCAGGTTGGGTGGAGGCACAAGTGGTAGAAGCCAGTCAAAGACAAGCTGAGACCAAGTGATGGAAGGAGAGCAACAAAGACCTGCTTCCCAGGGGCATGTGAGTGTTCAGTTCCCTGGGGCTGCACTGGATCCATCCACTTCCCACGCTTCATTCTAGTCTTTACGGTGAATACCTGTCTCCTGGGTGTGACTGAAGGAGTCTCTGTTCTGTAATCTTCAACAAAGGTCTGATTCTTCTAAGTGTCTCATGGCAGATAAAGTTTAAGGTGACTCCAAGATCTTTTCAGACCTATTTTTTTCTTTTACTTGTTTTATATTGTTACCAAAATGATTGAGGCCTATTTTTTTCTCACCAAAAGAAAGGTGAGAAGTTATAGTTTATATCTTTCACAGTCGACATAAGGCAAAAAATATATAATTCAAGAAAAATATATTTAGCAATTATCGAAGCAGGACCTCGCTATTTTGGCCTGTGACAGGGATCACAATTCATCAGTCAGATAATATCCAATGATAGGAATAATGAGTCTGGAGAGCACCGCTTCTGTTATGATTAGGTAATTAGTATTGCCCTAATTGCCAACCAAAGAAAAAGAAATAGGTTACTTTACCTAAAGAAGTAAACATCCTTGTTAATATAAAAATAAACTCACCCAAAAGATACTTTGTTTACACATGTGCTAAACTAAGTATAACACAAGCTTTATGTTAATCTATAAGGAATTACAATTTAAGAAAATTGTTTTGTCGGCTGGGCGCAGTGGCTCATGCCTGTAATCCTAACACTTTGGGAGGCCAAGGTGGACGGATCACCTGAGGTCAGGAGTTCGAGACCAGCCTGCCCAACATGGCAAAACCCCGTCTCTACTAAAAATACAAAAATTAGCCAGGCGTGGTGGCACATGCTTGTAATCCCAGCTACTCTGGAGGCTGAGGCAGAAGAATCACTAGAACCCAGGAGGCGAAGGTTGCAGTGACCCAAGAGCGTGCCACTGCACTCCAGCCTGGGCAACAGAGTGAGGCTGCATCTCAAAAAAAAAAAAAAAAAAAAAAAAGGAAAGAAAAGAAAAGAAAAGAAAAAAGAAAGCTGTTTTGATAAAAGAAATATTAAAAAATCTTAACTAATATTTTTCATATCCAATCCTAGTCCTTCAATTTCCAAATAGACTTTTGTTATCTATTCTTATTCCCTCAGGAATATCATCATGTACAATGTAAGCAATGTGGAAGTTTAACCTAAAAAGAAAATAATACAATTTATCAAATTAAAGAGTATTTAATATATTTTAAATAAATGTGCCAGCCACAAAGTGCCAATACTAAATCGTCCAAAGTAGCCCATGACCTGTCCTTTGTCAAACAGAACTGCAAGTAATGTACATTTGAAATATTAAAACAATCCTTATCCATGTATTTAATTGCATGCATTGTAATTTAATTGCATGTATTTAATTCGGACCAGCACTGTCCGAAGGAAATAAAATTGTGAACAACACGTCCAATTTAAAATTTCTAGTAGCCACATTTTTTTTAAAAAGGTGAGATTTATTTTAATAATATGTTTTATTTCACCCAGTATATCCAAACTACTATCATTTCAACCTGTAATGGATATTTTGAAATTATTAATAAGACATTGTACATTCTTTATTTCATACTAAATCTTGTAAGTCTATTTTGTATTTTACATTTACCCAACATTTCAGGTGCTCAATAGCCTTCTATGGCTAGTGGCTGCTGTATTAGACAGTGTAGCTATAGACAATTCCAGAATAAAGCGTTATATTATATGCTAATACTTTACTTAAAAACTTATTACATGTTCCTGGAAGGAGAAAAATAACACTATGATATTTAAACACTCATGGAAAATCGAAGTCATTATTTTAAAAATGCAGTTGTCTGCACTGTAATGAATAGAAAAAACTTTTCTATTTTTTCCTCTATCTTAGAGGATCTCTAGGATGGCAATTCCATCCTGGGTATATACCCAACAGAAAAGGGAGATACATTCACCAAGAGACATGTACAAAATATTCACAGGAGCACTGACTGTGCATATTTCTTTCTTCTTCTTCCTTTTTTTTTTTTTTTTTTTTTTGAGATGAAGTTTCGCTCTTGTCACCCAGGCTGAAGTGCAGTGGCGCAATCTTCACTCACTGCAACCTCGGCCTCCCAGGTTCAAGTGATTCTCCTGCCTCAGCCTCCTGAGCAGCTGGGATTACAGACATGCACCATCATGCCAGCTAATCTTGTATTTTTAATAGAGATGGGTTTTGCCATGTTGGTCAAGCTGGTCTGGAACTCCTGACCTCAGGTGATCCACCCACCTCAGCCTCCCAAAGTGCTGGGATTACAGGCATGAGCCACCATGTCCGGCTGTATTTCTAAAATACATAATATTTCTAAAATACAGTGACTCAATCCCCCAATAACATCAGAATAAATTGATAAATGTGGTACATTCATATAATGGCCTATTATCCACCAAGGAGAAAAACAACCAACAGCTGCATGCAACATGATGAATCTCACAAATACAGTATTGAGTGAAATGAGGGTGACTATTATTCCTTTACACAAAGTTTTAAAAGCAGGTTAAACTAATCAGCAGTGTTGGGAGTTAGGATAGTGGTTATTCCTGTTGGATAGTGAAGGGTAGTGACTGAGAGGGGGCACGATAGTGGCCTTATGAGGGGCTGATAATGCTCTGCTTCTTGACCTGTGTACTGGTTACATTAGTGTTTTATTTTTAAGAATTCATTAAGCCAAATACTTTAGATAAATATGTATACATATATATGTATGTATATATATGTATGTGTGTGTATATATATATGTGTATTTTTTCCTGTTTTAAAAAATAAAACATTTTTTTAAATAAAGTGTAGTTGTCAGGCTATGCTTAAGAAATATAGAAAATAAAAATGAAGAATAGAGTATCATGATCAAGCAAGGCATATTCCAAGAATGTAGGGATTATTCAACAACATTGAGAAATGTAATAATCCCATATGGCCTTATCTCCAACTTTTATCTCATTCCTTAAAATGAGGTTTCTCATTTGGGCTTGTCATTCTAGTTCAGAATGTCATCACCTTGTGCTCTCATTTATGAGGATAGCAGTAATAATGATGGTTACATGTCTTGGGCACTAGTTCTTGATCCAATTGTAGTATGGCTTGAGTGCCTTAGATGATACGCAGAAGTAAAAGTAAACTCTGTGCCCTTAAGAAATAATGTAAAAAGAATTATACGCCATAAGCAAGTGGGATTTCTCCCAGGAATGCACAGTTGCTTCAACTTATAAAAATTAATGTTAAATAATTAATTATATTAATATATATAAATTAAATAAAGAGAAAAATCCACATAATCATTTTATTAGATGCAGAAAGAGCATTTGACAAAATTCATTATCCTTTCATGATTAACTGGGAATACAAGGGAACTAGAAATGGAAGGGAATTTCCTCAACCTAATGAAGGGCTGCTACAAAAAAAACACAGTAACATCATACTTAATGGTAAAAGACTGAAAGCTTTTCCCCTAAGATGAAGAACAAGACATGGGTGTCTGCAAAAGAATCCACTAATAAGCTAATAGAACAAATAAACTAATTCAAAAAGATTGCAGGATATAATATCAATATATAAAAATCAGATGTATTTCTATATACTAGCAATGAAAAATCTGAAATGAAAATTTTTTTAAAATTCTACTCCAATAACATCAAAAGGAATTTTTGCACAGGCAACAAAAGCAAAAATAGACAAAAGAAATGATATCAAACTAAAAAGCTTCTGCACAGCAAAGGAAACAACCTACAGAGTGAAGAGACAACCTGTAGAATGGGAGAAAATATTTGCAGACCATACATCTGATCAGGGGTTAAGACCCAAAATATGTAAGGAATTCAAACAACTCAATAGCGAGAAAACAACCTGATTTTAAAATGGGCAAAGGCACTGGGCACACCTTTAATCGCATGTCTGTAATCCCAGCACTTTGGGAGGCCGAGGAGGGCTGATAGCTTGAGCCCAGGAATTCAGGAGCAGCCTGGGCAACACTGTGAAACCTCTTCTCCACAAAAAAAGGCAAAAATTAGCTGGGTGGGTGGTGCATGCCTGTAGTCCCAGTTACTCAGGAGGCTGAGATGGGAGAATTGATTGAGCTCGGGAGGCAGAGGTTGCAGTGAGCCAAGATCATGCCAGCACACTCCAGCCTGGGTGAAAAAGGGAGATCCTGTCTCAAAAAAAAAAAAAAAAGGCAAAGAACCTGAGTAGACATTCCTCAAAAGAAGCCATACAAATGACCAACAGGCCTATGAAAAAAATGCTCAACATCACTCATCATCAAGGAAAAGCAAATTAAAATCACAATGAGACATCACCTCACACCTGTTAGAATGGTAATTTTCAGAAAGGCAAAAGATAACAACGTGTTCCGAGGATGTGGAGAAAAGGGAACCCTCATACACGGTTGATAGGAATGTAAATTGGTACAGGCATTATGGACAAGAGTATGGAGGTTCCTCAAAAAATTAAAAATAGAGCTATCATGTGATCCAGCAATGTCACTTCTGGGTATATATCCAAAGGAAATCAGTATCTTGAAGAAATATCAGGCCAGGCACAGTGGCTCACGCCTGTAATCCTAGCGCTTTGGAAGGCCGAAGCGGGTGAAAGATTAGAACTCTTTTTTTTTTTGAGACGGAGTTACGCTCTTGTTGCCCAGGCTGGAGTGCAATGGCGCAATCTTGGCTCACTGCAACTTCCACCTCCTGGGTTCAAGTGATTCTCCTGCCTCAGCCTCCTGAGTAGCTGGGATTACAGGCATGCGCCACCATGCCCGACTGATTTTTGTATTTTTAGTAGAGACGGGGTTTCTCCATGTTGGTCAGGCTGGTCTTGAACTCCTGACCTCAAGTGATCCGCCCACCTCAGCCTCCCAAAGTGCTGGGATTATAGGCGTGAACCACCGCACCTGGCCTAAAAGATTAGATCTTAAAGTTTCTTACAACAAAGAAATGATAAGTATGTAAGGTGATGATATGTTAATGAGCTTGATATAATCATTTTACAATGTAAACATATTCAAAACATCACATTGTTCACCTAAATATATTTTTTGTCAATTATACCTTAATACAAATTTTAATACTCAGAAAAAGAGAATAAAATGCTTAGTAGTAAGTTTAATTAAAGGAATGCAAAATTTGTACACTGAAGACTACAAAATATTGTTGAAAGAAAACTTTATTTAGAAAATCTAATCAAATAGAATGACATCCCATGTTCATAGATTGAAACACTTAATATTGTGGTGATGACAACACTCCCTCAAATGATCTACAGGTTTGATGTTATCCCTATCAAAATTCTAACTTACTTTTCACAGAAATTGACAAGCTGATCCTAAAATTTATATAGAGATGAAAGCGACCCAAAAAGTCAAAACAATCTTGAAAAAAAAAACTAAGTTAAAGGACTCACACTCCCTGATTTCAATTTGCTACAAAGCTACAATCAGTGGTACTGGCATAAGGATAAACATATAGATCATGGGATAGAATTGAGAGTCCAGTAATAAACCCATTCATTGATGGTGAACTGATTTTTCACAAGAGTGCCAAGACCATTTAATGGGGAAAGATGGTATTTTCTTTTTATTTTTCTTTTCTTTTCTTTTTTTTTTTTAGGGAGACGGAGTCTCGCTCTGTCACCCAGGCTGGAGTGCAGTAACGCGATCTCGGCTCACTACAACCTCCGCCTCCCGGATTCAAGCAATTCTCCTGCCTCAGCCTCCGGAGTAGCTGGGATTACAGGCATGTGCCACCATGCCCGGCTAATTTTTTTGTATTTTTAGCGGAGACAGGGTTTCACCATATTGGCCAGGCTGGTCTCGAATTCCTGACCTTGTGATCCACCCGCCTCGACCTCCCAAAGTGCTGGGATTACAGGCCTGAGCCACCGTGCCTGGCCAAGATGGTATTTTCAACAAATGGTGCTGGGTCACTGGATATTCACATGGAAAAGAATGCATTTGACCCCTATCTCATACCATTATATTAAAACTCAAAATAGATTAAAACCTAAATGTAGGAGCAAAAATGATAAAACTGTTAGGAGACACAGGTGTAAGCTTCATGACTGTAGTTTAGGCAATATTTTCTCAGCTATGACACCAAAAGCACAAGCAACCAAAGAAAAAACAGATAAATTAGATTTCATCAAAATTAAAACATCTGTGCCTCAAAGGACAATAAAGTGAAAAGACAACTTACAGAATGAAACAAAATATTTACAAATCATACAACTGATAAAGATCACATATCCAGAATGTGTGAAGAACTCTTAAAACTCAACAATTTTTAAAAATCCAATTTTAAAATGGGCGAAGAATTTAAATAGACATTTTTCCAAAGGAGATACACAAATGGCCAATAAGCACATGAAAAGATGCTTTACCTCATTAGTGATCAGAGAAAGGCAAATCAAAACCACAATAAGATACTACTTCACACCCACTAGGATGGGTATAATCAAAAAAATGAACAATAATGAGTCTTGATGAGGATGTGGAAAAACTTAAGCCCTCATACATTACTGGCGAGAATTAAAATGGTACAGCTTCTGTGGAAAACAGTTTGGCAGTTCCTCAACAAGTTAAATATATATTTTACATTCTTTTTTAAGTGTTACATACATATATTATATATAGGATACATAATAAATATATATATATATTAGAGACAGGATCTCACTCTGTGGCCCAGGCTGGAGTGCAGTGGTATGATCATAGCTCACTACAGACTCCAACCCTTGGACTCAAGCGATCCTCCTGCCTTAGCGCCACGCCTCAACCCTTAAGTAACCAGGACTACAGGCACACTCCACCACACCCAGCTAATTGTTTACATTTTTTTGTAGAAACAGGGTCTCATTTTCTTGTCCAGGCTGGTCTTGAACTCCTGGCCTCAAGCAGCCCTCTCATCTTGGCCTCCCAAAGCCCTGAGATTACACACATGAGCCACTGTGCCCAGCCTAGATTTTTCATTCTTTGATCCAGCATTTCCATTTTTGGTTATATACCCAAGAGTACTAAAGGCATATGGGCTGTGCACAGTGGCTGATGCCTGTAATCCCAGCACTTTGGGAGGCCAAGGCCGGTGGATCACTTGAGCCTAGGCACTCAAGACAAGCCTGGGCAACATGGTGAAACCCTGTCTCTACAAAAAATACAAAAATTAGCCAGGCATGGTGGCACGTGTCTCTAGTCTCAGCTTCTCGGGAGGCTGAGGTGGGAGGATCACCTGAGCCTGGAGAGGCTGAGACTACATTGAGCCGTGATCACACTGCTGTGCTCCAGCCAAGGCAACAGAGTGAGACCCTGTCTCTAAATAAATAAATAAATAGAATGAAAGCATATGCACACACAAAAACTTGTACATAAATGTTCATAACAGCATTATTCATAATGGTCAAAAGGTAGAAACAACCTAGCTTGTGAAGAAATAAAATGTGGTACATCTACACAATAGTTTATTACTCAGCCATAAAAAGGAATAAATGCTGATACATGTTATAACACAAATAAATCCTGAAAACATCATTCTAAATGAAAAAAGCCAGAACAAAAAGGCCACATATTGTGTACCTTTATTTATATGATAGCAGATAAATTCAGATCAAGCAAATCCACAGGAAAAGCAGGTGGATTTGTGGTTTTCAGAGGCTAACAGGAGGTAAGCAGTTATTTGGTGCAGAGTTGGTGTGTGTGTTGGGGGGAGGTGATTTAAAATGTTCTGGAATTAGATAGTGGTGAAGATTGCACAATCTCGTGAATACACTAAAAACCGCTGAATTGCACAGTTTAAAATGGTGAATTTTATGATATGTGAATTATATCTCAATTTCATGTTTTTTTTTAAAAAGAAACAATGGGAAGACAAGACTAATAGATGATTAATAATTAAAAGCTAAATCAGAGAGCAAATAAAGATAATTTAGCTGAATTTTTTTTTTTTTTTTTTTTGAGATGGAGTCTCGCTCTGTCACCCAGGCTGGAGTGCAGTGGCATGATCTCAGCTCACTGCAAACTCTGCCTCCCAGGTTCACACCATTCTTCTGCCTCAGCCTCCCAAGTAGCTGGGACTAGAGGCACCTGCCACCACGCCTGGCTGATTTTTTGTATTTTTAGTAGAGTAGGGTTTTCACCGTGTTAGCCAGGATGGTCTCAATCTCCTGACCTCGTGATCCACACCCCTTGGCCTCCCAAAGTGCTGGGATTACAGGCGTGAGCCACCACGCCCAGCCTGAAAAAAATCTTGAAAAAAAGGATTGATTAGACTGTTCTAGGAAGTTGTTGCATGTCCCCACTGCTGCTTTATTCATTCATTCATTTATTTACTCATTCATCAAATATTTATTGGAAACCATCATGTGGCAAGTCTCATGTGTCTCCCTCCCAAAACTTGGTCAAAGACAACAAACTCCTCATATGAAGGAGGATCATTCTTTGTCAAATGAAGATGAGGACTCTTCTAAACTGGCTTATTATACTATATATCACCATTATTTCTAGAATTTTCATGGAATTTTCCGGTTTTTCTTTTATCCTTCCTCCATATCTTGCTTTATTGTTTTTTTCTCTTCTCTAACTCCCAAATTGGAAACAATGTCTTCAACAAAGCTCTTTAATTGTAAGATGTGGAAACATATTAAACTAGCTCCAGTAATTGAGTTATTGAAAGGTTACAACAGAAATTCTCATGGACATCCAAGAATAAGAAACAAAAACATTCAAGTGACCTTGGCCTTAGAATGGAAACGTTAGGACCAAAGCATTATTGTCTCCCATGAGACAACTCTCTCTCCCTCCCTCCCTCCCTCCCTCCTGTCCTCCTTTTACTACATGATTTCTAATCCCTACCAGCTCCCCCATAACTGATGTTGCAAATGGCCTTGGTCTCCTATGGCACAGCCTGTACTGACAACCCTACTGGTAATGGTTCAACTCACCATTACCAAATGAATACAGTCTTTTAGTATCTTAATTCCAGACTTTTTTTTTTTTTTTGGAGACAGGGTCTCACTCTGTCACCCAGGTTGGAGTGCAATGGCACAATCATAGTTCACTGCAGACTTGAACACCTGGGCTCAACCAGTCCTCCTACCTCAGCCTCCCGAGTAGCTAAGACTACAGGCGCACCACCATGCCCGGCTAATTTTTTATTTTTTATAGAAATGAGGACTTACTACGCTGTCCAGGCTGGTCTTGAACTCCTGGGCTCAAGCAATGCTCTCACCATGGCCTCCCAAAATGCTGAGATTACAGCATGAGCCACTATGCTTGGCCTCCAGATTCTTTAAAGAGAGAACCTAACTGACCTAGTTTGGATGGATTGTTAGTCACGCTCCCCCCACGCCCTGTCAAATCTGCTATGCCCGCTACTAGGGCTGCTCCTTCCAAAAGAGATGCATGAGATCGTTTCTCTGTGAAGGACCTGTGGGAGAGGAGTCACCCCTACATATGTCTAACACAGAAAACAGCAACTCTTATTGTTCAGTAAGTAGCTACTAGACCCACATGGATATTTTCTTTTTTATTCCTTTTTTAAAACATTTTTTAGAGACAGGGTCTTGTTATGTTGCCAAGGTTGGTCTCAAACTCTAGCCTCAAGCGAGCGTCCCGACTTAGCCTCCTGAGAAGCTGGGACTACAGATGAGATACATGGCACCTGGCTCTAATTTTCATTTACACTTAAATTAGTTAAAATGAAATAATATTAAAAATTCAGATCCTCAGTCATAGTAGCCACATTTCAACTGCTCAATTGCCACAGGGGATTAATGACAACTGTATTGGATAGCACAGAAATTTTCTACTGTCTGAGAAAGTTCTACTGGACAGAGTTGTTACAGATGGTAAAAACAACAACAACAACAAAAAAACCCCACAGGAACATTGCTAAGAGTTCTAAGATGATAACCACTATTTATTTTCCAATTCATCCCCCACTTTCAACCCACCAGCTAACACATTTACAAATAACCTTTTTTTCTAAGCCTCCTAATCTTCTGATAAGAAATCTAAACGATTACCCCAAAATAATCCATCGAAAAGGCAAAATCTAGGACAGCCCTAGTCAGTTTGGGACAACTAGTCACCCCACCCATGTTTCACTTCTTTTTTGTAAACTTCTTTCATTCAGTATACAGTCCTTCTACTTCGTTTTTTCTGAGTCTTTGTTGTAGCTCCAGTAAGAGAGAGGCTACATTATCCTTTTTTGAGCCTAGGCCAAATGGTCAGTGCTGCCAACTGAGAATAAAATTTCCAGATCATTAAATTCAGTCATGAGGGCTTAAGTGCTAGGTGCAAAGAGCAGCCAGGCAGGCAGCTGTGGTGATCACAGTGGAGTCAGGGGTCAAGGAGGGCACCAAGAAGCACAATTTCTAACCAAATGTCTAAGGTGCTGTCTCGGGAGTCTACAAAGCCTAGAGTGGAAGGGGTTAATGCCACAAAGCATTGCAGTGGCAATTAATCTGACTACATATTAGGATCACCTGCCAAGCTTAAAAAGCAGTACCTAGGACTCACTCAAACCAATTAATTCAGAATCTCTGGGACACCCACGTTTTAAGGTTCCCAAGTAATTCTAATGCGCAGTTAAGATCGAGAACTACTTGGTCTAGACAAGCTTGTATAGCCAGCAGCCAGTGAAAGCTCACAGCAGCAGCTGCTCCAAGGAATTCAGAAAAACTTCTGCTGCTTTTCAGCTAGAAGGGCTCACTGATGTCTTTCTAATGTATCCCACAGAATGTAAAGTATCTCTGCTGCTCTCTTCCTGGGCTCCATCATTCATGGTATCCCTAGGAGGGGCACTCTCTCAGGATGAACAGAGGACAGACTTATACCTCGGCAACGCAGAGGCCCAGCCACATTGCAAAATTTAAGGGGTGCTCAGGAGTGTCTCTTTCACCATAAAATATCTCTACACCATGAATTTTCACCTGGAATTCCAGTATTTACACATACAGATTGCTGTCTGTATATGTATATACACACACACAAACACGTCAAATAAGCATGCAGTTTCTGTAGAGACAGGCAAATAACAGTGATTGAAATAAGCCTGGCTGACTTCCTCTTTTGAAGGGGGAGCTCCTATTCAGCTGCATGTGGGAGTGTATACCCAGTGTTACTAGACTGTACCATTTTTCAAGAAAAGATAGAAATCTGGATTTTTTGAAAAACCAAAACTTTCCCTTTAGAAACAGATGCGGCAACTCATTAAAATGTTTTAAAAACAATGTCCAGGCCCAGTGAAATCTTACTGCAGGCTGGAAAAAGTCCCTTCAAAAATAGAAATGTCTTTGTGAGTAGCAATGGAAGATTTCCTTTCTCTTATCTCTCTGTTGGGAAATTTTTCTTTTTCTACAAAGCAAATATTTCCTTCAGTTTATTCATGAATCCCTCCCTCAATCCTGCTGAGGGCTCAAGATTCCGTTTTCTCTTTGTCTTGAGATTTTCAGAAAGTACTTGAAGTTTGCTGCTTCTTTCCTTCACCACCTACCATTTATTTCACTACTTGTAATCTGGCTTCTACCTTCACCTTTATTCTTCCTTCTTTTTTTTTTTTTTTTTTAAGATGGAGTCTTGCTCTTGTTACCCAGGCTGGAGTGCAATGGCGTGATCTTGGTTCACTGCAACCTCCCTCTCCATTTCAAGTGATTATCCGGCCTCAGCTTCCCGAGTAGCTGGGACAGGAGCCTGCCACCACGACCAGCTAATTTTTTATTTTTTTATTTTTAGTAGAGACAGGGTTTCCCATGTTGGCCAGACTGGTTTCAAACTCCTGACCTCAGGTGATCCACCCACCTCAGCCTCCCAAACTGTTGGGATTACAGGTGTGAGTCACCGCACCTGGCCTACCTTCACCTTCTTACTAAAGCTGTTCTCTCTAGCCTAAGGTCACTAATGACTCCCAACTGGCAAACACAACAGCTTGTTCCCATTTCTTAATATTCTGCAGCTCTCCATAGCACTGGACATTGTCACCAGTCCCCTCAGTCACGGTCATCCCTCAACATGGAGACTAAGTGGTTCAGGCATACTGCTGGCTTGGAATCTGGGCTGCTGGAGATCGGGAAGAGCCCACTCCAGCTTCCTTGTGTCAGAATCTCTAGAGAGCTTCTTAGAAATGCAGAATGTTAGACTTAGAAATACAGAAGTCTGCATTACATGAAGTTTAAGATGCTCTGTTCTGGGCTACCCTTCAGTCTAATGTCAGGTTAATTTTCTGAAAGTACAGCTTCAAAATTTCCACATGGTCTATTAAATCAAATATAAGCTTTTCCCATCTTTTAAAACCTTCCACAACTTGACCACTATTACCTTCCAGAGTCCTGACCCTCCATTGCCATCTGTGATACACCACGGATCTATCAAACTGCACTATATCCTATTCCTGCATCTGGTCCAGACTATAGTGAGGGCATGGGGTGGAGACCAGTTTTGTTCTGTAAATGTTTATTTAGTATGTTCTTGCCTTCCTGCCTTTGCTCTGATTGTTCCCTCTGCCTGCTGAGTCCTCCCCTCCCACCTTACCTTTGCCTACTGAAATCCAAGGCCAAACTTCAGTGCCAGCTCTGGCACTGAAGCTCCATGTGCATGTACAAAGCAGAGGTGACCCAGTCACGCGGGCTGGCTGTAGTTCTGTTTGCATGTGTTCTTGGAAAAATTACAAACCCCTATGAGCCTCAGTTTTCTATTCTAAAACTTAGTGATAATGAAATCTGCTTGCAGAGTTGTTGTAATGGAGAAATAAAATTGTGTGTGTGTGTGTGTGTGTGGTTTTTGTTTGTTTGTTTGTTTGTTTGTTTGACACAAAGTCTCACTCTGTTGCCCAAGCTGGAGTGCAGTGGCGAGATCTTGGCTCACTGCAACCTCCACCTCCTGGGTTCAAGCGATTCTCCTGCCTCAGCCTCCCAAGTAGCTAAGACTACAGGCACATGCCACCATGCCCAGCTAATTTTTGTATTTTTAGTAGAGACGGGGTTTCACTGTTTTGGCCAGGCTGGTCTTGAACTCCTGACCTCGTGATCCTCCTGCCTCGGCCTCCCAAAGTGCTGGGATTACAGGCGTGAGCCACCATGCCTGGCCAAAATTGTGTTTCTTATTTAAAGTATCCTTCCTCATTGCAAAAGGATTTGAGGAGAAATGAACTAATATAGAAAGCATACCCAGCCCTGCTCCTCTTCCTCCTGTCCACTCCGCTTGGTGTCATATCCCCCTCTTGGGAGTCTTACAGCACTTTGAACTTCTTCTGGAACAGTTATCTCGTGTCACTTTTTTTTTTTTTTTTTTTTTTTGAGATGGAGTCTCCCTCTGTTACCCAAGCTGGAGTGCAGTCGCACAATCTTGGATCACTGCAACCTCCACCTCCCGGGCTCAAGTTATTCTTCTGCCTCAGCCTCCCATCTCATACCACTTTTATGTAATGCAAATATCACCCTCACCTTGACTGTACTCAAGTTCATGATTCCATATCCTCTAGGAAGTTCAATGCTCTTCCTTATATTTTTGGAAATTCTTGGGATGTATGTTCTCATGCTTTCTGCTGGTTCCGAGTTCTCTAATTCCAGTTACTTCTCACATTTCATGGATGTTCAACCATTTCCCCCAAAAAACAGGCATGGAAGAGCTCCATTTCTTAATTTATTCCCCATATCAACCTCCCCCCACCCACCCAAGAAAAAAACTAGCATTTGGGGCTGGGCATGGTGGCTCAACCCTGTAATCCTAGCACTTTGGGAGGCCGAGGCGGGCAGGTCACCTGAGGTCAGGAGTTCGAGACCAGCCCGGCCAACGTGGTGAAACCCCGTCTCTACTAAAAATACAAAAATTAGCCAGGCATGGTGGCGTGTGCCTGTAATCCCAGTTGCTGAGGCAGGAGAATCGCTTGAACTCGGGAGGCGGAGGTTGTAGTGAGCTGAGATCGCACCACTGCACTCCAGCCTGGGCCACAGAGTGAGACCCTGTCAAGAAGGAAGGAAGGAAGGAAGGAAGGAAGGAAGGAAGGAAAGAAGGAAGGAGAAGGGGAAGGGGAAGGGGAGGGAAGGGAAGGAAAGGAAGGAAGGGAAAGAAAGGAAAGGAAGGAAAGAAAAAAGAAAAGAAAGAAAAGAAGAGATGTCCTACCTATTTCAAAATCCCTTCAGGTGCCCCCCACCCCACCTGTGGACTTGCTCAGGGCCCCTGCTCCTCCCAGCTCCAGCCTCCTACCTGCTGCCAAGCCCTGTCCTCACCAATCCCTGTCTGTTTCCAAGTTCCTACTCCTCAGGCACCAGAACTTCCAGTTCTCTCCTTTGTTACACAGAGCAGTTTAGTTTTCTAGTCCAAAATCCAAACCCTCATTAATGTGCTCTGCTGGGAACACAAAAACAAACAAAAACAAAGCACCTTTGCCTCTGACCCTTGGGCATCTTGGAAGACCTAGCAGAGGCTTCACAATTTATCTTTTTCCCCTTTATTTCATTTTTCTTTCTTCTTTTTTCTTGCCCATCTCCAGCACTAAATCTCTATCAGTGAAAGTAAGCTTTATAGCAACTTGTTTTCTCAGTGATGTGAATTATGGCAACCCTCTTAGAAGACAAAGGTGCTAAATGTGATGTTTTAAATAACATATTTATTTAAGCTTGTATTGGAACTTGTACCATAGTCGTTTCCCCTTTAACTTAGACTACAGTTATTGAGGGTGGACAATGTCTTATTCATTTTGTGTCTTTGCAGTGCTTGGCCCCATGCCTGACAGGGAGTGGGCGCTCAATAACTGTTTAGTTGAATGGACTTGAGGGTGGACTATCTAACCTCTTGACCCTCCTCAGGGCTATTTGAAATGAAAGATTAGATGTATGAATCAATTATCTTAGCCATTATAGACTAAATATCTTTTTAAATTTTCACCAAAATTTAAACAAATTTCTAGGGAAGAAGTAATGTTTTAAAATTTACTATGTATTAAATACATATAATTATCTGCATTTGTATTCCATTTCCACTGTCTTTTTAGTGAGATCAATGTCTAGTATCTCTACCCTTGCTGTCTCTGGATCATATTCAATTGAAAGAAGCCACTAAAATTTGTAAAAACTAGTTGCATACATTTTTGATGGGCTAAAGTGGCAAGTAATCACCACAATAAAAGTTTCATTGATATTCTAATTTCCAATACGATGTGAATTTTAAATATCATTAATTGCATGTAAAATTATTCATAACAGCTGCCTTTTAGCTATCAGTTATTAGTAAGTGGTCATAATACACATTTATTAACTCTTCCTGAGAGAAATTACAGAGACAACAGAATTATGGGTTGATATTTTGTGAACATAAATTTAAAAGATCTACAACAGTAAATTTCTTAAGTCTTTTGGCAGTCTTTTCTATATATTTAATTGAGGGATAAAACAGCAAAAACATGTGAGGGAGGAACATAGACCGCATTCTTTTCTTCTTGGTCTTAGCAGTGTTGATTAAAGCTGTTTAGGGTGTTCTAAATATAAGCCCTTGGAATTCTTTGATAGAGATTTTTTTTTCTAGAACGAATTCCAATCTCTTCACTGATTTCTTAAACGCTCACAACATGGTTTTCATTGCCACAAACTTCCTTAAAATAGCTAATTGCCTTCCTTGGGCTTATGAAGTCCAATTGAGTTTGACAGGTTATCACTCAAATATTTAGATTTCAATTTAAAAATTCAAACATCTAGATGTTTCTAGATGGGTTTCTTTTCTAAGTATTTAGGTGGCTTTGGGGTGCTCCTTCACGTATGACACATATCAAGAAGACTGATTAATGTTAACCAAGTGTATAGAAGATTTTGTTTGTTTGTTTGTTTGTTTTTTGAGACAAGGTCTCACTCCGTTGCCCAGGCTAGAGTGCAGTGGTGCCATTTCAGCTCACTGCAACCTCTGCTTCCTGGGCTCAAGTAATCCTCCCACTTCAGCCTCCTGAGTAGCTGGGACTACAGGTGCATGCCACCACGCCCAGCTAATTTTTGTTTTTTTGTTTTGTTTTTTGTTTTTTGGTAGAGACAGGGTTTCGCCATGTTGGCCAGGCTGATCTCAAACTCCCGGGCTCAAGTGATTCGCCTACCCTGGCCTCCCAAAGTGCTGGGATTCCAGGTGTGAGCCACTGCGCCCAGACAGAAGATTGTCTTTGAAACATCAATATTAGTATACAGTAAGAACTTCAACTGTAAGAAAAATTATGTTATCCATCTAGGGTCATCTATGATCTACAAACAGTATTGCTGTACATTCAAAATCAGATTGTCTTCAAAAAAGTGGTTTTAATATTCATAGAATTAAAAACAGAATAACTTGGATTTCCTAGTGGTTAATCTAATTCCCAAGATATTAATAAGATTTAAAGCTTATGAGAGAAAAGAAGGACGATGAGTAGGTATGAATAGTAATGCAAAAATTTAATACTAGTATTTTGGCAGTTCAGTTATAGTTGTCAATGGTAATTATAACCATTAAACAAACATTTATTAAACAAATATTTATTGAGTACCTGCTGTGAACTTAATAAGTCACTTTTTCTCCCTAGTAAGGGGTTTTTGGTCTGCTATCTAAGACCATTCACTCTCTGGTATCTACTAGATAATGCTTGACCTAAAATTCTCTAAGTCCCTTATTAAACTCTCTCTTCTCAATACTTCACAATGATCTTCAGAAGCTTTTGTCAGGTTGTTAAACTATTGTTCTGTCCCCCTCAAGGGCAGAGAACCTCTGATAGCTAGCTAAATCCAAGCTGATTTGCAAACCAATTAAGGCTAAAGATGCCTTGAATACACATGGGGTGAGGCAGCCATTTGTGTGGAAAGATTTGAGATAAGAAAGATCTTCTACTAAGAATACCAGTTGCTGGCTGCAGTGGCTTATGCCTACAATCCTAGCCCTCTAGGAGGCCAAGGCAGCAGGATTGCTTGAGCCCAGGAGTTTGAGACCAGCCTACACATCATAACAAGATTTCATCTCTACAAAAAATTAAGAAAAAGGCCGGGCACAGTGTCTCATGCCTGTAATCCCAGCACTTTGGGAGACCGAGGCAGGCAGATCACGAGGTCAGAAGATCGAGACTACCCTGGCTAACGCGATGAAACCCCTCTCTACTAAAAGTATAAAAAATTAGCCAGGCATGGTGGCATGCGCCTGTAGTCCCAGCTACTCGGGAGGCTGAGGCAGGAGAATCACTTGAATCTGGGAGGCAGAGGTTGCAGTGAGCCAAGATTGGGCCACTGCACTCCAGCCTGGGTGACAGAATGAGACTCTGTCTCAAAAAAAAAATTAAGAAAAAAAATTAGCCTGGAGTGTTGGAGTGCACCTGAAGTCCTAGCTACTTGGGAGGCTGAGGTTTGGAAGATTTTACTTTTTAATGATCAAATGTCTATTTAACCATGTTTATAATGAATTATAAGTGACTTTAAGCACATCATTATTAATTGACTGTATATCATTGTATATTTGCATCAGTTTTATTTGTGGCCCATAATTTTCCAATAAGCCACTGCCAAATGACATGTATTGAAAAACACCTCAAATTTGCTGTATGGTAACATTCAATTCATTATATGCTCCCAATGGGTCTATACTATGGAATTAACTTTCATCATACTTACATACTTACTCACTTATCATATTTAAGTGAAGTATAATAACTTATTGTGCTATTTTGCCATTTATAGATATTGTTTTAAGATATATAAAATGTGTAGAGGCCCTTATTCCTGTAAGTAAGCTAAATGTTTCAAGCTAGAAGTTTACTGTAGCTTTTTTATTCTCTTTAGGTTTTTATTATCAAAAGGTTTTTGTTTTTTGTTTTCCCCAACAAGAAAAAGTAGGTCCAGAGAAGCTGGTGCCTTCATCCAACACTTGTGAGATGTTAAAGCACACACTTTGGTGCCCAACAGGCCATTAATAAAATTCCAGCTCCACCACTTAATGTGTGTCCTTGGGCTCAACGTCTCATATCCCTCATATATAAAATGGGAATAATAACACCTTCTGTGTAGAGTACTCGTGAGGCTTAAGCATACCTAGACCTTCAAAGCAATTATTCAATGAATGGTAGCCATTATTATTGTGTACTTTGTGATTAAATGATGAACCTAACCTCACACCTGTAACCCCAGCACTTTGGGAGGCCAAGGTGGGTGGATTGCTTGAGATTAAGAGTTTGAGATCAACCTGGACAACATAGTGAGTGAGACCCCTGTCCCTAAAAAAACAATTAAAATTAGCCAGGTGTAGTGGCATGTGACTGTAGTCCCATCTACTTGGGAAGCTGAGGTAGGAGGATTGCTTGAGCCTGGGAGGTTGAGGCTGCAGTGAGTCATGATTGTGCCACTATACTCCAGCCTAGATGACAGAGCAAGACCCTGTCTGAAAAATAAAAATTAAAAAGATGAACCTTGCCTGCCCAGGCCTTGGAAGACACCTAGTCTAGGGTGAGGCCAGGCAGACTGTTATGGAATTGGTAGGTGGGATTTTTGTGTTGTAGCCTAGGTCCAACACAAGAAAGTTGGTGCCATGCTCCTTGTACTGACTTGCATGCTTTAGGGATCCAGGAAGCTGAAGTAAATTGCCACGCTGTCACAGCAGGAACTTCTGATCTTGCACAGACATGGTAACCCAATTTTCTATTTAGCTATAGAGGGGTTAATATGGATTATATAGAAACCCCCTTGGCCTTCTTCTCATCAACTGGATGAGACATTCCAGGACTTGCAAAGAGGTCCTTTCAAATAATATCAGGTGCTCAAGGGGATAATTAAGAGTGTGTCTTAAGCCCACGAGTTTGAGCTCTCATTGTGTGCCAGAGCAGCTTACTCAACAGCCTGGTTTTCTACCTGTACAGCAGAATACAGGAAGCTGTTCCTCAGAAATTGCTAGAACGCTAGTATGGTTCAGGAAACTAATGAGCATAATTACTCAAAGGAACTTGACAGGTGGACCCTACAGGTAAGCTAAACTGGAAACAGGGTAGTGGTACAGATAACCTTGACTTTGTCCTAAAGCTCAGGGATAGAGCCTGAATCTCTCCCTTCCCTTTGGGCAGAGGAGAGGAGAACTTAGCCTGATTAGGACACTGGCCAAGGAGCACAAGGTAAGCTGGGGCTTCACTGGACGGGAAACACAGAAGCTATAGGAGCAGAAAAAGTCAAAATTATGCAGGACAGCTGATATGGTATGGGAGTGTCCCCATCTAAATCTCAACTTGAATTGTATGTCCCAGAATTCCCACGTGTTGTGGGAGGGACCCAGTGGGAGGTAGTTGAATCATGGGGGCCAGTCTTTCCCATCCTATTCTCGTAATAGTGAATAAGTCTCACGAGATATGAAGGTTTTATCAGGCATTTCTGCTTTTGCTTCTTCCTCATTTTTCTCTTGCTGCCGCCAAGTAAGACGTGCCTTTCACCTCCCACCATGATTCTGAGGCCTCCCCAGCCATGTGAAACTGTAAGTTCAATTAAACCTCTTTTTGTTCCCAGTTTCGCGTATGTCTTTATCAGCAGCATGAAAACGGACTAATACGATGGCCAAGATCCAAAGGGCCAGAAGTGTAAAGAGCACCAAATCTAGGGGTTTAGTTCAGAAAAAAGGCAGCTAATATAAGAAAAGGCAGAATATAAGCAAGGCAGAATGAAATGTGGTAGAGGGGTACAAAAAGGGAGAGAAAGGAATGGAGTTTCTGAAACATTTTCTAGAATATCATTTAATGACTTGTTGCAGGGACTGAAGAGGTGTTGATGGCAAATGCTGTGTGTGGGTGAGCACAGATTAAAGGGTCTGGGATAAAGGAGGCAGGTAAGAGGGAGGTCAGTTATTATCTCAGCCGAGGCTGGTTTTAAACTTCTGTGGTTCAGCTCTTAATCCAGAATGGGGAACTTCCCACCTCTTCCCCTTCCCCACCAAAAGCAAAGCCCTTGTGTGGATATTCTGGTCATGGCAATTTTGGTGAGGAGTCAACCATGGTAATCACATGGGGAGTAAGCCTGAAGGAACTTCACTCTGCTGAGCGGACCATGGGTGGAGTCAAGTGTGCATTGGTGTGGACAGGAAGGATGACTGGTTTGGTCCCTGTGTGTAGACAAAGGGGTTCTTTAGTAAGTCTGTGTCTCTGAGATTTAGCCTCTTATTCATGGGCCCTTAAACAGTGCCCCCTTTTTATGTTTTTTTGTTTGTTTGTTTTCTTTTTTTTTTTTTTTTTTTGAGACAGGGTCTCACTCTACCACCCAGGCTGGAGTGCAGTGGCACAATCTCAGCTTACTGCAGCCTTGACCACCTCCAGGCTCAAGCAATCTTCCCACTTCAGCCTCCCAAGTAGGTGGGACTACAGGCGTGCACCACCACACTCGGCAGATTTTGTTTATTTTTGTAGAGGTGATGTCTCACTATATTGCCCAGGCTGGTCTCCCACTCCTGGGCTCAAGCAATCACCCACTTTGGCCTGCCAAAATACAGGGATTACTAGGGTAAGCGACCATGCCCGCCTTGGTGGTCCTTTCTGAGATCTGCTCACCTTGCTCCTCTTGAGCAATGATGCAAAGCCTTCTTAGGCCTCTTCTCCAGGATCAACTCCTGATTCCCAAAGGTTCCTCTGGTAAGCCCCTCCCATGGGAAACCCCTCTCATGGGACAAGCCTTCCTCCCCTACTTCTTTTTTCTCTCTGAGGCATTGCTTGTCTTCCTTTACATTGCCTTTTCTTCCTGTGACACTTTCACAATATATTTTGAGAATTTAGAAATTAGTTTACTAATTAAAAACTGAAAACCTCACATTCCTTGAGGGAAGGGAGAGCTTAACTCCACATCCTCCCTGGCAGTGAGGTGGAACATTCGTATTCCATCTTTCTACTGCAGACAAGCAAGGGAAGACAGGTTTCCACAGGGAGCAGTCTGAAAGTTTGTAAGCTACCGCAAAATGTTGACATGAAAGGGGATCAAAGGCCTTTAGAGGAGAACCAGACATCCTCAAACCAGGAACAAAACCAAGTTTGGACTTAGAGCTAGAAGCAGGGGTGGGGAGCTGCATAGATAGGAAGCGCCACAGAGGGGAGAAAAGTTAAATAGCATGTATTTGTCTTCTCCACTGAATTATAAATTCCTCAATGGCAGGGATCATGTTATTTGACTTTCTGTTCTCAGCATCTTGTAGTTATTAACACACAGTATTGTAAGCATTGGTATTAGGCAAAAACAATCAGACAAACAAACAAAACACATAACAAATGCTCAATAAATATTTATGAAATGAATTAAACTGACCAAACTGTTTTCATGGTAGGAATTTATACATATGTTCAAAGCCCCAGGCTGCCTTAAAATTCCTAGCATCTCAGATAACTTTTGAGGATTCAAGAGTTCATTGATATACATTCTTTTTTTATTTTTTATTTTTTTATTTTTATTTATTTATTTTTGGAGATGGAGTCTTGCTCTGTCGCCCAGACTGAAGTGCAGCAGTGCGATCTCATCTCACTGCAACCTCCGCCTTCTGGGTTCAGGGGATTCTCATGCCTCAGCCTCCCGAGTAGCTGGGATTACAGGCACGAGCCACCGTGCCTGGCTAATTTTTGTATTTTTAGTAGAGATGGGGTTTCACCATATTGGCCAGTCTGGTCTTGAACTCCTGACCTCAAGTGATCCACCTGCCTCGGCCTCCCAAAGTGCTGGGATTACAGGCGTGAGCCACCTAACATACATTCATTTAATGTTTCAATACATCTTGAAACGTTAATTGAGATTCCACAACCTTTTGGGGATTCAAAATATATTGAAACATTAAATGAATGTATATCAGTGAAGGTCCTGAGAACTAGGAGAAAGACAAAAGGAAATAGGCAGATAAGTACCTTGGTATAGAAAAATAAAGTAAGTGATGACTCTTTTGTTCCAAAGGCTGTTGCCTTTTAATTCCACTCTACTTGATCTAACTAGAGCACAGCTAGAAATGTGGAATAAATAATGCTTATCTCCAAAAAGCATTTTTTATCAAAATGATGCAGGCAATAGGGCAGGAACTACAAAAAGGAAAATGTCACGTAGATTCTGGGGTCTGACTGGTGTGGAGAATCAATCACTTTGCCAAGGCTCAGTCTGGTCAGCATAAGGATTTGCGTTGTGGGAATATTGTTTTGCTTTTCTCTTTATTTCATCCTTCTGTCCATTTTTCTCACGCTCTTCCATTTCCCTTTGCTTCCAAGGCCACCTCTAGTTCTATTCTCCACTTCCCCATCTTCAATGACCCAATATGAAATGTCATCATGTTAATCTTGTTAACTCTCACATGTCCTGCTCAATCTGTCAAAGTTTAGATAGTCATCCTGCAGTTCCTTCCGGAAGGAGGGGTCAAAAGATGAAACTGACCTACTTCTGGCCACTCCAGGCCTGTGCAGGACAACTTTGCTGTATATTCTAAAAGTACTCTTTCTCTCTATTAGACCATGCACCATGCCGTATCGTAATTACTTGTTTACTCATAGTGAATGTCACCATCATTTGCTTCTTTGCTATTTAAAGCAAGAAATGATTTCTTTAAATCTTCAAATTTAGAACAGCGCCTGACATACAGTAAGTATTTAATAAATGAGTGAAAGGGATGAAGGGAAGAGAGAAGGAGGGAGCAAAGGAAAAAAGGAAGGAACAAAGGAGGAGGAAAAAAGTTAATTAGTTGGGAAATTCTATTCAAAAAAGAGAGTAAAATTTGACACTAGATGACTTGCGGAAAGCAATTATTCATAGGCAAACAAAATCACTGTAACTGCTCCTCAGCCTGGTCACTTGAAGTGAACTGGCTAATTAGGGAGCATATCTTGAGTTAGGTCAGAGAGACTAACATCATAAGATCACAATATGTTGCAGCCTGCAGAGTAAGGTAGGAAATTTAAGCAATTATTTATTTTTGTTTTTTTAAGGGTCCTTAATTCTACAAATATAACCATCAACAACAAACACTAAGCCGAACTAACCAAATAACAAACTTCATTTTGTTTTTCAGGCAACTTAAGGGAAGTTTTATTTTTGACTTTGTAGCTGCATTTCTCTAGTTCTCTTATTTCTCTTTGTACATATAATGATTATCTTAATGACTACCTTCCTCACAAATGCCTTTGAAAGTGATCCACTTTAGGCCGGGTGCAGTAGCTCACACCTGTAATCCTAGCACTTTGGGAGGCTGAGGCGAGTGGATCACCTGAGATCAGGAGTTTGAGACCAACCTGGCCAACATGGCAAAACTCCGTCTCTACTAAAAATACAATAAGCTGGGTGTGGTGGCATGCACCTGTAGTCCCAGCTACTCGGGAGGCTGAGGGAGGAGAATCGCTTGAGCCTGGGAGGCGGAGGTTGCAGTGAGCAGAGATGGCAGCATTGCACTCCAGCCTGGGTGACAGAGTGAGACTCAGTCTCAACAAAAGAAAGAAAGAAAATGATTCATTTTAAATAAATCAGTTTATTGAATTAGAAGAGGAGATTTTCCCAAAAAAACTACTTTGGTAAAATAAATAACTTTCTGTCTTTAAATCAAAGTATTGTTCCAGGAAACATGGGTTTTGTGAATCCTGGGGCCACTGAGACTAAGTATTCTTATTGGCTTCTTACTGGATTGACACATTGAATGTCTTTATTATATGTCCCCTTCTCTCTTCCAACCAAGAAATCATGTAAGCTGATCTCAACCCCTAACCTCCATTGACCCCCATGACATCTGGGAGAAGAGCAAGGAAAAGAGGAAGTGCTGGAGGCTGAGCTATAAGTGAAAGATACTGTATTTCTTAAATGATTACAATTTAACAGAAAGATCCTGAGATATGATTAGTGACAAAATTAAGTCCAACCCACTTGCTGCTACTGAGGAAGATTATATTCCCTGGAGAAGATTTTTAAAGCTACATATAGTGTTTAGAATGTTTGGTCCCAACACACTTATGTACCTGCATCAAAATAATTTTTAAAAAAAGACAAGTAGATTTTAGGCACTAAATGCTTACAGGCTATAATGCTTGTTGATAGTACCCAAATTACTAGACATGGTCAGGCTTTCTTTGTGCAGTGGATTTACAGAACAGTAACAACTTGAAGACTAGGAGGAAATGGATATTATAGATGATAATGACATGTTGTAAATAATTGTTTATGTCTTAATAAAGGATCTCCTCCTGGTTGTTTAAATTATTTGAACAATAAGCAAGAACAAATATAAATAATCCAGATTTTAATTAATTATGTTTGTCTTTGATAATGTTGCCAGTTGTTAAACACCACTTAGATAACAATTTTGACATACATTATCTCTTATGGTTACTCTGACCAAATAAGGCATCCCTTTTTACAGAAGAAGAAAATGAGGCTAAGAGACATTAAACTTGCCCCAGATTATTCAGCTAATCATTTCCAGAATTTGGCTTCAAACCCAGGTGTATTTTACTTCAAACTAGGACCATTCTGTTTCTCTTTCAACTTGTTGCCTTCTTATTGTTACAGCCAATCAAGATTTATATTTGTTTTTACTTTCCACAGTTTTAGTTTTTAAGATTGCTCAGAGACAACCACCAAGAGTCCTTGGAAATTGAAACATGGACAACAGCAAAGCATGCCATAGTTTAAAACGGAAATAGGCGCGGTGGCTCACGCCTGTAATCCCAGCCCTTTGGGAGACCAAGGCGGGTGGATCACCTGACGTCAGGAGTTCGAGACCAGCCTGACCAACATGGAGAAACCCCGTCTCTACTAAAAATACAAAATCAGCCTGGTGTGGTGGCACATGCCTGTAATCTCAGCTACTCAGGAGGCTGAGGCAGGAGAATTGCTTGAATCCTGGAGGCAGAGGTTGCGTGCGGTGAGCCAAGATCGCGCCATCGCACCCCAGCCTGGGCAAACTCTGTCTCAAAAAAAAAAAAAAGGAAATAGACTTTACAAAGCAAATAACCTATAGCTCTAAGCACCACAAAGGGTTATGAAACATATAACCATATAAAATATTTTCATGGCAGGACCATGGGGAATTAAAGAAAATAGTGAAGGTTATAGAAGTAGCACAAAGGTCAGTTTACTTTTTGTTGTTGTTGTTGTTAATAGTTTGAAAAGATCAAGTTTTTGGAGATGATCCTATCCAAGTGCAAAGGTTTGGCTTTTGAAAAACTACTAATGGTAAGCAACATGCATTTAGCTTTTCCTACAACTACTTCTCCATATTTCAGTCCTAATATTATAAAGACAAAGAGGAAACCACTTTGACTTTTTTCAGGTTAAAAATTCAAAATCCTGAAAGCACATGCAATTGAGAATATTTACAAAGGAAACTTAAAGGAAAATTGCCTTGCATAGGGTAGATAAGTCATAACCATTTGTTGGTTTGACTTTTATTGGAAGGAAAATGCTTTTTTAATTTTTGGTTAATCTCTCCTGATAATTTTATTTATACAAAAAGTTGATTTATTTTTCCTCTACCAACAGTTTCATAAACGTTTCCATGCCTTTGCTCCTGATGAATCTAATGCTAATATGAGATCTTAAATTTATCTGGCATTTCTATTTCATGATTAAACTACTGATTTATAAGTGCAACATCCAAAAAATAATAAGTTTATGATTCTCTCCTAGTTAGGTAATGGAAATATATCCCATTAGTAACATTGCCTCATGTGGTTTCTAGAGAATAACAGTTGTTTTTCTTAAGTTAGTCTTATTGTATCATTTATATTAATGACTTCAGAAGAAGAAAATAAGTAAGATTCATAGTTGAGCACACAAGACTTGTTACAAAAGATATAACAAAGAAATAAGGGAGGCTGGGCACGGTGGCTCACACCTGTAATCCCAGCACTTTGGGAGGCTGAGGTGGGCGGATCACGAGGTCAGGAGATTGAGACTATCCTCACTAACATGGTGAAATCCCGTCTCTACTAAAAATACAAAAAAAATTAGCCGGGCGAGGTGGCGGGCACCTGTAGTCCCAGCTACTCGGGAGGCTGAGGCAGGAGAATGGCGTGAACCCGGGAGGCGGCGCTGGCAGTGAGCCGAGATCGTGCCGCTGCACTCCAGCCTGGGCGACAGAGCGAGACTCTGTCTCAAAAAAAAAAAAAAAACACAAAAAACAAAGAAATAAGCATACAATGTCAAATAAACGGATGCATTTTATACATAAATGTATTTATATAACATGTATATATATACTATGTATAGTATATTTATACTATATATAGTAATTATACAATGCATTTATTTGATATATTTGATTATATGACATATAGTAATACATACACGTATATAGGATGTAATGTGTATCTATTTATATGTGTAACACATCCATTTATTTGACATTGTACATGCCTTTTTTGTGTATTTTAAACAAATGATGTTAAGAAGGATATTCACTGAAATGAGGTTGCCTGTAGTTGGTGGAATTACAGGTAATTTTTATTTTTTATTTTCTAAGTTATTTTGAGTTTTTACAATAAACATGTTTATTTTTACAAAAATAATAGATTTCTCAAAAATAAAAAACAAATTATAATTACAGGGAATAAATTACACTCCATCCTAAATTCTACATCAAACAAGAAGCATACATTAAACACCTGGATACCATGTTGTTCTGAGACAGAGTCTTGCTCTGTCACCCGGGCTGGAGTGCAGTGGTGCGATCTCAGCTCACTGCCTCCTGGGTTCAAGTGATTCTCATGCCTCAGCCTCAAGTAGCTGGGATTGCAGACATGTGCCACCATGCCTGGCCAATTTTTGTATTTTTAATAGAGACTGGGTCTCACCATGTTGGCCAGGCTGGTCTTGAACTCCTGACCTCAAGTGATCCACTCACCTTGACCTCCCAAAGTGTTGGGATTACAGGTGTGAGCCACCTTGCCTGGCCCCAACTCCAAGTCTTTCTTTATGAGAAAATGCCACAGATAATTCAACAACAACTATTCTTAGCAATTTACCATCATGGTGTCTTCCCAAAGCATCATTCTTGATTTTTACAGAAACAAAAATCATCTTTTTGTTTGCATACTTAATGTGTTTATGTAACATTTAATCCAATTATAATAATTACAATAATAAGTATAAGAGGATGGTAAGCACCAGCTAACTCAACTAATGGGAGCAGAAGTGTGTAGGTGGCTGGCTTAGATCGGGTTTCCCAGGAAACCTGATGGAGATTTGGAGATAAGAGGTTCACTGGTAATTGTCAGGAACAACACTCATAAGGAAGAGAAGAAATCCCAAAATTGGGCAGAGGGAAAACTGTAATGTGGTAGCAATGGAGGCCCCCACCAATCCCTGGAAGATCTCTGAAGCAGAAATGACGCTTCAAAGTTGTCCCAAAACAACAAGGACCTTTAGGCTCCTAAATCCACTGACTAGTCATTGGATGTGGACTGCCCCTGTGGCAGAGGTATAACTTGAGTAAGACAACTTCCTTCTCCCAAGGGCATTTCCTGGAGAGGGATTCAGCTGTGGGTCCTTGACATCTCAATACTTTCAGTAGCTAAAAATATGAGCGCCTCAGTCCGGGTGGGTGTGGTAATCTGGGTTGCATACCACAGCCTGCAGCCACCACAGCCTGTGCTTGCACCACACAGATCCACATGCTTTATATATTTACTCCATATAGGAATAACTCTTCTAGCATTCTGATTGGTCTCATTTCCTGGAAACTGTTAGAAGAGGGAGGTTAGTGGAATGAGCTACATTTGCCACCCCTGCAGCTCATGGCAAGGCCACATCTGATCCTCATTGTCTCCTTTCTGCTTCTCATTCTACATCCCCCTCACCCTTAGCCAACACCTCTGCTGCTCTAGGTGGCTCTTCTTGCAGGGTGACCCAGACTCTCATCCTCCTGGTGGTCTGAGTCCCTTGTCACTACACCCTTCTCTGACTATGGCAGTTACACTTATCCATTTACCATCAACACTGAACAGGGCAGTGTAAAAAAATTATTCAATGACATTTGTTAAACCATGGTAAAGCAGACTTTATTCAGGACCATTCAGAGAGGCATAGGAACCACTGCAATCAGATTTTGCAGTAAGGCAAAAAGATTGGGCTCAACTCCAAATGCAGCCTGGGCAAAGTGGGAAATTATAGCCAAGGAGCAGAGTGGGGTTCAGTGGATGGAAATTACATAAAAGAAACATCAGGGGTAAGGGGGATTCTCTGGCTGAATTGACTGAACAGGATTCTTGCTAAAGACAGAGCAGGATGATCGGACATCACGTGGGGAGAAAGTGGAAGATGAGGAACAGGATCAGCTTTCCAGGTTGATCAGATTGATCAGAATCAGCTTTCCAGGTTGGTCAGATTTTCCAGGTCGATCACATATTGAGGGTGGGGGCTTCTTGCTAAACTGACTTAGCATGTTCTTTGCTAAAACTGGATTTTACAAGGAAGTGCACAGATGGGCCTAGGAGAAGTTTTAGGAGCCTGACTAAAGTTTGGCCAAGCCAAAAATTTTTATCGGGGGTAACAAGAGATACCAATCCCAATAGATCTCTTAGGTGTTTAACTTATTCTTTCCTGCCTTAATTGTGTAAATTAAGTGTTATTTCCTTCTGATGAGTAAATTCAATTACCCTCAGGTGTGTTAATTATTTTGTTCCCTATTAAGGAGCCCTTAGTAACCGGACTGCATTTGTGGCTGAAATTTTAATGGGACTAGTAATAAGCCTCATAGTGGAAGCACTCCTCTTTGACAACTAGGACCTCCAGACGCCCAAAGCCTAGGACTGAGGGGACAGGAAGAGGTCTCCAAGTGGGTCACTCCTAACAAAGGCAAGTGGGGTCAGTCTAACTTTCACCAGTTGGTTCTCTGTCTCATAGAGAGCCCACTGATCAGAGACACTGTAGCATATACAGTCATTAATTTAGGGTCTTCTCTTGGCAGAGTATCATCTCCAAACTGACACACAGCTACACCTTCAAAAGACCATTCTATCACTCTCCTGGTCAGCAGCTTCCATGGGGTATAGTATGTGAGAGGTCCCATGGTCATGTGTCCAGTGATGTACATGTAAGCCACCTAGAGCAGCAGAGGTGTTGGCTGAGGGCGAGGGGATCTAGAATGAGGAGTAGAAAGGAGACAACGTGGATCAGTTGTGGCCTTGCCATGATCTTCCAAACTGTCTCCTTCCAAGCCCCTGACCAACCAGCCAACTCTTTGTTACTGTCCCTGGGTTTAAAGTATATTCTCATCTTGGTCCACCTCTCACTGATGTGAATGGGGTCTCTTGTTCTGAAGCAATATTACACAGATTCCAGGTTGGTGATATAAATATTCTGCTAAAACACCCTCCGACAGTGGTGCCGGCTGAGGCCCTGAGGGCAGAAAAGCAAACATATGCCTAGAATATATTTGATTATGGTAAAGATAAATCAACTTGTCACCAAGTATCCGATTGGTCTCCTTGAGGAATGATCCTGTGTCGGGAACCGAACTTGGGTCTCGTTGCTGGCAGGTTGGACATATGGTCTTGGTAAGTGGGAGTCTATGGTGTAGGGCCCATGTGTAGCTTCCACTGCTGCTGCAGAAGCCATTCAGTTCCCAAACCCAGTGTACCAGCATGGGGGTGGCTGATTGCAGGGGCTGCCTGTCAGCAACTGGCCAGGTCGTTTTGTCAACTTGATTGTCTTGTGCCTGCTCTCTACTTGGTTGTCTTGGGTGTGAACATGTAGTACAAAGATATTCCCATTTCATGTCCCTTCCATAGGCTCAACCACATGCTTTTCCCCCAGATATCCTCCACTCTAATTTTCCAAACTGTCTCCTTCCAAGCCCCTGACCAACCAGCCAAACCCTTTGTTACTGTCCCTGGGTTTAATGCATATGCTTATCCTGGGCCACTTCTCATACACAAAGTGAATGACTAAGTGCCTTAACTGAAACCCTCTCCAGTAAATTTCCCCTCACTAATGTTCTTTAGGCCCCCAAACAAGTTGGTCTAACCCAATTTTTAACTATTCTGTTCTGTAGAAGACACTCCTAAGTGAATAAAAAGTCAAGCCACAGAGTTTAGAAAATACTTGCAAATCACGTCTAACCAAAAAAACTTGTATAAACAATGTATAAAGGATATTAAAACTCAACAATAAGAAAACAAAGAACTCAATACAGGCCAGGCACAGTGGCTCATGCCTGTAATCCCAGCACTTTGGGAGACTGAGGCCGGTGGATCACTTGAGGTCAGGAGTTCAAGACCAGCTAGGCCAACATGGTGAAAGCAGTCTCTACTAAAAATAAAACAAATTAGCCAGGCTTGCTAGTACACGCCTGTAATCCAGCTACTTGGGAGGTTGAGGTAAGAGAATCGCTTGAACCCAGGAGTGGGGGGTTGCAGTGAGCTGAGATTGCACCACTGCACTCTGGCCTGGGCAACAGAGCGAAACACTGTCTCAAAACAAACAAAAACAAAACCAAAAAAACCCGCAATATAAAATGGGAAAAAATTTTGAATAGACACTTCACCAAAGAAGATATTCAGATGGCAAGTAAGTACATGAAATGGTGATCATTTGTTTTAGGGAAATGCAAATTTAAATCACAGTGAGATGCCACCACACACCTATTAGAATGACATTAGAATGATTTATGAGGTTGTAGAACAAAACTAAAATTCGGATGCATTTCTGGTGGGAATGCAAAATAGTTCAGCCATTTTGAAAAAATGACTTTTTAAAAAAATAAAGTTAAACACGTTAAGCATTCACCAAACAATCCCACTCCTAGGTATTTTATTAATAATCACCCTAAATTGGGAGTAACCCCAATGTCCTTCAACTAGTGAATGGATAAACTGTAATCATCTATACAACAGAATACTGTTTAAACCACTGATGCAAGCAAGAACATGGAAGAATCTCAAATGCATTAATCTATGTGAAAAAAATCCAGACTTAAGAGGCTACATACTACATGATTCCATGTAGATGACATTTTTGGCAGAAGAATAGGAACAACAAACAAATCAGTGGTTGCGGGGGGCTGAGGGTAGAGGGTGGAGCTGAGTACAAAAGGGCAGCACAAAGGAATTTTTTTGGATTGTGGAATTCTATATCTTGATTTTGGTGGTGGCTACATGACTGTTTGCATTTGTCAAACTTCACTGTACGTAATTTATTTATTTTAAAAACGATATTAGAGATTTTCAGTTAAAAAACAGCTGATGCATTTGCCGGCAATAACCAACTAGTTGGTTTTACCTGAAAATCAGCATTTTAAAATCTGTCTATATAATATAGACCACCTGTATTAAAATAGCTTTCTCATGATGTCATTTTTAAAACTGATATTACTAAAAATGTATAGGAAAGATTAGACTTGAACCCAAAGGGCCAATGTGTTACATCGTATTTCTTTTCCTTTATAATTGGAAATATGAATTTAAGTGACAGATCTAGAGAAAAATTTAATTCATTGTGAAACTGTTAGCCTTCTACCACTCAGCCCACCCAGTATCCATCTCGGAAGCAAGGAGGCAGGCTCCTCCTCTTGTAGGCTTCCCTGTCTTTTTGAGCTCCTGCTTCCATGGAGGAGTATGTATTTGTTTGGAGGGGCTCTCACACAGACACACTGCTTCTCATAGACTGATGACATCTAGGACTCTGCCTCCATCCGGGGATGTGTGCCTGCAGGTTGAGGCAGTGGTTGCTGGCAGTAAGGTCCATTCAGTTGCCTACTAGTAATCCCATAAGGAAAGGGGTCTGACTTTATTATTTTCCTTTTTCTTTTATTTTGAGATGGAGTCTCACTCTGTCGCCCAGGCTGGAGTGCAGTGGCGCAATCTCGGCTCACTGTAAACTCCACCTCCCAGGTTCAAGCGATTCTCCTGCCTCAGCCTCCCAAGTAGCTGGGACTACAGGCGCCCCCCACCATGCCTGGCTAATTTTTTTTGTATTTTTAGTAGAGACGGGGTTTCACCATGTTAGCCAGGATGGTCTCGATCTCCTGACCTGGTGATCTGCCCGCCTCAGCCTCCCAAAGTGCTGGGATTACAGGCGTGAGCCACCGTGACTGGCCTATTATTTTTCTTTAGAATGTGTGGTACTCGTGACTTTTGGTCTTCGGCTTGGCCTTGGTTGTCAATGAGAAAACTACTCCATGTCCTGTTACATTAGGAAAGCCTCATAGAGTAATAGAACCACTGGAAGAGTCCCTCTCAAAATCTGATAACACACATGTTGTGGCCAATTCAGTTATTTGGCCAGGGGTAGAGTGCATGAAGGAATCAAGGGTGCTAGCAGAGTACCCTGGACATAATGACAACAAGGTCCCTGAACTGTATGATCCCTGAAGAAAAGACCATGAAGTTTGTTTTACAATGGCACAAGATGCTCAAAGTATATTTTTGAATACATTAACTATGTGCTGGTATTGAGGAGAACCTGAAGGTTATAAGGAGCATATTAGTCCATTCTCATGCTGCTAATAAAGACATGCCTGAGACTGGGTAATTTATAAAGGAAAGAGGTTTAATTGACTCACAGTTTAGCATGGCCAAGGACACCTCAGGAAACTTACAGTCATGGCGGAAGGGGAAGCAAACATATCCTTCTTCACATGGTGGCAAGGAGAAGTGCCAAGCAAAAGGGGAAAAGCCCCTCATAAAATCATTAGATCTGGTGAGCACTCACTCACTATCACGAGAACAGCATGGAGGTAAATGCCAGCGTGATTCAATTACCTCCCACCTGGTCCCTCCAGCAACATGTGGGGATTATGGAAACTACAATTCCAGATGGGATTTGGGTGGGGACACAGCCAAATCATATCATTCTGCTGCTGGTCCTTCCCAGATCTCATGTCTTCACATTTCAAAACACAATCATGCCTATCCAACAGTCTCCCAGTCTTAACTCATTCCAACATTAACCCAAAAGTCCATAGTCCAAAGTCTCACTGAAGACAAGGGAAGTCCCTTCTGCCTATGAGCCTGTAAAATCAAAAGCAAGTTAGTTACTTGCTAGATACAATGGTGGTACAGGTAAACACACCAGTTCCAAATGGGAGAAATTGGCCAAAACAAAGGGGCTACAAGCCCCATGCAAATCTGAAATCCAGCAGAACAGTCAAATCTTAAAGCTCCAAAATGATCTCCTTTGACTCCATGTCTCACATCCAGGTCACGCTGATGCAAGAGGTGGGTTCCCATGGTCTTGGGCAGCTCCACCCCTGTGGCTTTGCAAGGTACAGCCCCCCTCCTGGCTGCTTTCACGCGTTGGCATTGAGTGTCTGTGGCTTTTCCAGGCACATGGTGCAAGCTGTCAGTGGATCTACCATTCTGCGGTCTGGAGGATGGTGGCCCTGTTCTCACAGTTCCACTAGGCAGTGCCCCAGTGGGGTCTCTGTGTGGGGGCTCCCACCACACATTTCCCTTCTGCACTGCCCTAGCAGAGGTTCTCCATCAGAGCATCGCCCCTGCAGCAAAATTTTGCCTGGGCATCCAGGCATTTCCATACATCCTCTGAAATCTAGGCGGAGGTTTCCAAACCTCAGTTCTTGACTACTGTGCACTCACAGGCTCAACACCATGTGGGAGATGCAAAGGCTTGGTTCTTATGCCCTCTGAAGCCACCGCCTGAGCTGTACCTTGGCCCCTTTTAGCCACAGCTGGAGTGGCTGGGACGCAAGGCACCAAGTCCTTACGCTGCACACAGCAGGGGGGCTGTGGGCCCAGCCCATGAAACCATTTTTCCCTGCTAGGTTTCTGGGCCTGTGGTGGCAGGGGCTGCTGCAACGGTCTCTGACATGCTCTGGAAACATTTTCCCCATTGTCTTGGTGATTAACATTCAGCTCCTTGTAACATATGCAAATTTCTGCAGTGGGCTTGAATTTCTCCCCAGAAGATGGGGTTTTCTTTTCTACTGCATCATCAGGCTGCCAATTTTCCAAACTTTTATGCTCTGGTTCTTCTTGAACACTTTGCCACTTGTAAATTTCTTCTGCCAGGTGCCCTAAATCATCTCTCTCAAGTTCAAAGTTCCACAGATCTCTAGGGCAGGGGCAAAATGCCACCAGTCTCTTTGCATAGGAAGAGTGACTTTTACTCCAGTTCCCAAACATTTCTTCATCTCCATCTGACACCACCTCAGCCTGGAATTTATTGTCCAGATTATTATCAGCATTTTGGTCAAAGCCATTCAACAAGTCTCTAGGAAGTTCGAAACTTTCCCACATCTTCCTGTCTCCTGAGCCCTCCAAATCTCTAGGAGGTTCTAAACTTTCCCACATTTTTCTATTTTCTTCTGAACCCTCCACACTTTTCCAACCTCTGCCTGTTACCCAGTTCCACAGTCACTTCCACATATTCAGGTAACTTTACAGCAGCACCGCACTCTTTGCAGTACCAATATCGCATTAGTCCGTTCTCATGCTGCTAATAAAGACATACCCAAGACTGGGTAGTTTATAAAGGAAAGAGGTTTAATTGACTCAGTTCAGCATGGCTGGGAGGCCTCAGAAAATTTTGCGGAAGGGGAAGCAAACACATCCTTCTTCACATGGTGGCAGTAAGGAGAAGTGCTGAGCAAAAGGGGAAAATCCCCTTATGAAACCAACAGATCTGCTGAGAACTCATTCATTAACAGGAGGACAGCATGGGGGTAACCGCCCCCATGGTTCTGTTACCTCCCAATGGGTTCCTCCCACAACACATGGGAATTATGGAAATTACAATTCAAGATGAGATTTTGGGTGGGAACACAGCCAAACCATATCAAGGAGCAAGTATTTTTTGTTTGTTTGTTCTTTTTTTTTTTTTTGAGACGGAGTCTCGCCTTGTCACCCAGGCTGGAGCACAGTGGTGTGATCTTAGCTTGCTGCAACCTCTGCCTCCCGGGTTCAAGCGAATCTCCTGCCTCAGCCTCCTGAATAGTGGGGATTACAGGCGCACACCACCATGCCCAGCTAAATTTTTTTTTGTAATTTTAGTAGAGGTAGGGTTTCGCCATGTTGGCCAGGCTGGTCTCGAACTTTTGACCTCAGGTGACCCACCTGCCTCAGCCTCCGGAAACGTTGAGACTACAGGTGTGAGCCATCGCGCCCAGCCTAGGGTGCATGCTTATTTGAGGACTGGAACGTGAGAGTGAAAGGACAGCATGTTATGGACTGAGAAAGAAGTTTCAGAGTTCCAGAACTTGGAAGTGAAGCAATCCTATAATTACTTTGGGTTGCTAAAGAGGAGTGGTGCTGGAGGTTTCTAAGGTTAAGGGTGCAAAACTAGGAGGAGATTAGAAGGTAACAGGTCCTTCAATAGCAACATTGTTTCATTATAACATTGATGAGAAAAAATAAATGCATTCCCCGTAGGCACCACTGTCTGTGTGAAGTCTGCATGCTCTCCCTATGTCTGTGTGGGTTTTCTCTGAATCCTCAGGTGTCCCTCCACATCCCAAAGATGTGCACATTAGATAAGTCAGGGTGTCTAAATGGTCCCAGTCTGAGTGAGTGTGGATGTGTGTGTGTGTGTGTGTGTGTGTGTGTGTGTGTGTGTGTGTATACCCTGTGATGCAATCACATCCTAGACAGGGGCTGGGTTCTACCTGTCCCATGAGCCACTGGGATAGGCTCTTGCTACCCACAACCCCGAAATGGAATAAGTAGGTAGGAAAATGAATGAATATAAGTGACTGAAAAATAAAAATGTGTAAAGCATATGATGATCATACAGATGCAAAACAGTAAACAAGGTGGTGCCAGAGAGCTCAGCAAGCCACCATGTTTGTGATGATTTTGAACTTCACTTTGCAGACATTTATTCCTTGATTTAACCCACCACCAGGACAACCGTGGTAACTCACCAATATACCAAAAATAGGGTAAGTAGTTATTTTTTTTTTAGTTAATCATTTTAGTTGCATGTGTAGCTTACCTTTACTTAAATGTTTAATATTAGAAGTGTTTTGGTCTCGATTTAGAAATTTGGTGATTCTGTGACCAGAAATATGTCACAGCAACTTAACTCTTGTTTGTAGCAAATTATCAATTAGCCTATGATAAAATTGGTTTCGTGATACCGTAACCAAGTGCAGCCTTGGCTGTTTGCCCTTTGCAAACCCAATAACAAGGGGTGAAAGGAAAGTGACTTTATTTTTCAAAGCTAGCAGTGGGGAAACAGCCAGCTTACACCTCTGGAAACTGCTTCAAAAGTCTGGGCTGAAGGCAGAGGTTTCAAAAAGGGAACCTTGATATGGGAAACATGCAAGAGTTGTGCCGGGAGCCCGGGCTGTGTGTCTTGCTTCAACGCCTATCTTGAGTTATGGTCCATCTAAAATGCAGGCTGGCGTCATCTCGCCTGTGGCCAGGCTGCAGATTATCTATCTTGAGGCAATCTTTAAGTGGGGGACAATTCTGCAGCTGGGCCTTTGTGCCTAGTTCATTTTAAATTAGCCCCTGGAATTTTTAAGAAGCATACAGTTAGATAAATGTGCATTGGGTAAGGGAGTACATTGTGGGAAATAGAAGGGAGTGGAGTTTCAAAGTATGTTTCAAGGCTATATTTTAAGACTAAAGAGAAAAGGTTTCTACAGTTTGTTTCAAGGTTACAGCTTGAGACTGGCAAGAAAGGAGAAAAGAAAAAAGTTTTCTTTTGAAGCTAAACTACTTGGTTAGAATACCTTGTTTTGCTTAAAATTAGTTTCCACGGACCTATCCACAATAACATTAATTGAGGACTTACTGTATTGAATGGCTTATCACATCAATGTCAAAATTGATGCTTTCATTCATTCAACAAATTATTATTGATACACATTATGTGTCACATACTGGGCTTTGGCACTGTGGCAATGAAGAAATATTTTCCTTCTTTTCTTGCTTGCTTGCTTTCTTTCTCTCTCTCTTTCTTCTTCTTCTTCTTTTTTTTTTTTTTTTTGATACAGAGTCTCGTCCTGTCTCCCAGGTTGGAGTGCAGTGGCACAATCACTGCTCGCTGCAGCCTCTATCTCCTGGGCTCCAGTGATCCTCCCACCTCAGCCTCCCGAGTAGTTGGGACCACAGGTGCACACCATCATGCCTGGCTATTTTTGTATTTTTGGTGGAGATGGTGTTTCACCGTGTTACCCAGCCTGGTCTTGAACTCCTTAGCTCAAGCAATCCACCCACCTCAGCCTCCCAAAGTGCTGGGATTACAGGCATAAGCCACCATGCCTGGTGAAGAAATATTTTCTTAATAACAAACTTAACAAAGAAATTAGACAGGCAAGATAGGGTAGTGATTTTTAGAGTTGAGACAGCCTGGAGTTTGAATCCCAGATCCGGGTATTTAATAGCAACATGACTTACACAATACTTAACCCATTTTGCCTCAGTTTCCTAATCTGTCAAAAAAAAAAAAAAACCTAGTAGTACCACTTAATAGGGTTGTTGTGAATAATGTGGTTATTAGTGTAAAGCTTTAGAACAATGCCTGAAACTTAGTAATTATTCAATAATTAGCCGTTAAAAATGTAACAGCTATATATGTAATGTCAGATAGTGAAAAGTGTTATAAAGAAAAAGAATTCAGGTTGGGTGCAGTGGCTCATGCCTGTAATCCCAGCGCTTTGGGAGGCTGAGGTGGGTGAGCCCAAGAGTTTGAGACCAGCCTGGGTAACATGGCAAAACTCTGTCTCTACAAAAGCCACATACACAAAATTTAGGTGGGCATGGTGGCCTGGGCCTGTGGTCCCAGCTACCTGGGAGGCTGAGGTGGGAGAATCACCTGAGCCTGGGAGGTCGAAGCTACAGTGAGCCAAGATTATGCCACTGCACTCCAGCCTGGGTGACAGTGGGAGACTCTGTCTCAAAAGAGAAAAAAAAGGAATTCAGATAAGGGGATAGTGCATGGTGGGATTATTTTACAGCAGCTGTTGCAGGAAGGCTGCTCTGAGGAGGTGACATATGAGCAGGGACCTGAAACCATATGAGAGAATACGCCATGCCATGGTTTGTGGAAGGACTATTTTAGATGGCAGGAACAAAGGCCCTGGGGCCGACAAGAGCTGCAAGGCCTAGGAGAGGTGGCAGAGAAAAAGATGCAAAGACAATTGTGAGCCAATCCCTACCCCATTGTGCTCTTTCTGTTTACACCTTTGGAAGGCAGCTGTCTGGGGGGGGTCTGATCACTTGCTGCAGGTGCCCTGAAAGGACACATGAGGGGCTGCTGTAGCAAACTGAAAGTCTTAGAGATGGGAAATAAGCTTAATGGATAGTATATACTTACCTTTATCAAATACTACTAGTCAAGTCAGAAGACATTGACAGGTCTAAAATCCCTTATCTTTCTTAAAAAATAGAAAGATAATAGAATGCCTGTGACTGTGTACATATTAACATTCTACAAAGACCTGGAGTGAAATGAGTAAATATTGACACTAAGTGGGATCCATAAAGGCTAGAAATAGCTTCATGCAAGCTTAGTTTAGATTTTGCCTCCAAATGAGGCAGGGCAGGTTTTACTTCCAAAGGGTTACAAAAAAAAGTCTTTGGGTTTTCAGTGCGCTTTGAATTTTGCAATTACAGATAAATGACTGGGAACCTGTAATAATTTCCTCATATGTGTCATTTATAGGATCCGCACTCTGGGAAACAACTTGTAGAAGACAAAATAAAAACCAGAACTCTGGGTAATTCTGCCTTAGCTCCCGTCTTTGAAGTATTTTATATTTGCTAAGTATAAATTCTTAAGATATTCTACTTGAAATAGCTGAAGAATCCCCTCTCTGGGACAGGTGCAGATTAAAAGAGCGCCACTCCATGATTTTCATAAAGGAGAAAATACGGAAGGCAGCCCCTGTGGGCAGCCCCGGGCCTACATGAGTTGATAGAGTTGAAGGTATAAATGTAGAGTATTAAGTTCCCAGTGACCGGAATGACCTGGTGAACAAAGAGGACAACTTTGCCAGTTTTCCCCTCTATTCAGCACATTTTGTTTCTCAGGTAAACATGGCTTGAAGCACGAGTGAGATGAAGCCTCAATGTTGGTGTCTACGTGGAGGCTTCCCGGATAGCCAGGATGTTCATAGCCCGGATGTTCATAGCCCTTCAGAACAGATGGAAATACTGCATTTATCTTCATCTGTACCGAAAAGGTACAGATAGAATGATAATAACCTGAACAAGGCTCCCCTTTCAATCCAATTATTCAGACGCTTAGGACCAGAAACTGCGAAACATAAAAACTGCAACCCGGATCTTAGTTATCTCGGTCTTAATGAGCTGCCGGCTGTTTCCCACTGCACCCCCCTTTCCGGGGGTCTTGCTGCTGAGATCTCCGCGCAGAGGGCGGCTCGGTCATCCCGCCGCCGGGCGCCGGCCACCAGGGGGCGCTGCGGCCTCCTCCCTCTCCCGGGAGCGGCCAAGCCAGCCCGGTGGGTGTTTCTCTCTCCCTCTCGCGCTCTCTCCTCCCGGCCTCACATCCGGGTCTGGAGCGCGGCCGCCGCTGTCACTGTTGGTGCGGGCGCGTCGGGGCCGGGCCGGGGCACTGTAAATGGCGGCGGAGGGAGGCGGAGCGGCGGCCACGCTCAGCCCAGATCCCCCGAAACTTTAGGTTCGAAGCCCCACAACTTTCCGGGAAGCGCTGCCGCTCCGGAGGCGTGGACGGAAGGGGAAGCCGAGGCGGGAAGTCTGGGGGAATCGGCAGGGAGCCGGGGAGACTCGAACCCGCGGCGGGGGCGGAGTCCGCCAGTGCCTCGCGCCTCCGCGGCCCCCGCCTCTTTCTCTGCACCCTCCCCGCGGCCGGAGCCGGAGCCGGAGCCGGAGCCGTAGTCGCAGCCGCAGCCGCAGCCGCGCGCCGGGCCTCGCAGGCAGCGGCGCGGCGAGCGCAGCCGGGCCCCCTCCTCGCGACCTCCGGGCCCTGTTGCTCGGGCGCACCTGGCGCGTGTGAGGCCGGGGCCGGCGTTTTCGGGAAGCTAGCAGGAGGCCGGGCCACGCGCAGCCCCTGCCGGCCCAGGTTCCTGGGGCCGGGCCCCGAGTAGTGCATGCGGGGCGGGGCGGCCGTGAGCCGGAGGCGAAGATGGAAGGCTTAACGCTGAGCGATGCGGAGCAGAAATACTATTCAGATCTCTTCTCCTACTGCGACATTGAGAGCACCAAGAAGGTGGTGGTCAACGGGCGGGTGCTGGAGCTGTTCCGGGCCGCGCAGCTGCCGAACGACGTGGTCCTACAGGTAACGTCGCGTCCCGGGGCCGGCGGGCGGCTTAGGCCTGCAGTCACTGGCCTCCAGGAGTGGGAGTGGGCGCCGATTCCTTGGGGCCCGGCGGGGGGCTGGTTCCTCGGGGGGTCCCCGCAGCGGGCAGGGGCCGCAGGTGCCCGGGAGGCCTGGACTCGCGCCGCGGCCAAGGGGGAGGGGGTTGCCCTTAGAGGACGGAACTCCTGTGGTGGGGGTCTGAAGAGCCTCAGCCGGTATCCCCCACGACCCTGAGAATCTGTGCTCTGTACTGCAAGAGCTATCTCACTTGAAGGATCTTAGGTTGTTAATGTGTGTGAATCCTAGAACCTGGCATATAGAGAGCTTTTCGGATCCTGCAGAGTAGTAAAGTTATCAGTATGGGCAAAATGGTTTTTTTAATTCTTGGATTAACCGAGAAGACGTGATAAAGTGAGTTCTATAGATTTAGGAATCGAAGAAGCAGTTTTTTTAAAGGAAGCAAAATTCTTAGGGAAATTTTTTAAAATGTGAACTACTTAGTAGTTTTACAAGTAGGCATACAAGAAGTTGTAATTATCTGTAGAACGTGTGTATGTGATGAGACTGAACAATGTTTTTCAACAGGCATTCGAAAGCATTTGTGGAACTTGTGGATTTGGGTTGGGAGATGAGTATTGAACAGCTGGTAGGCAGAAGTGCGTTATTTGCCCTAATCTGAAGCCCTGGAGGAGCAAACCCTGTAGGTTTAAAGCCTTTTTTTATCATATCTGCTTTTGAAACAGAGGACTTCCTAGAAGTTCTTATCTAATGTATGTGGTGAGCATTAATGCTACTCTGTTTAATGATTCATAGCTGCTAGTAGGAGTCTGTCTAAACAGTATGTTAGGAACAGGTTTTAAGCTTTCATCTTTTATATTGATCCAAGCTAGTTATCCACATCTCCAAAATTTAAAGCCACATGTATAGGTGTATGTAGTGGACTGCAAAGCATTGGACCAGGGTTTTGAAGGCTGGGTCCTTGACCCTACTCTGCTGTTAACCAGCAGTGTGACTTTGGGTCAGGCACTTTCCATTTTCAAGCATAAGTATGTTCATCCACAGAATGAAGGCAAGTTTCTTCCAACAAAAATTCTGTGAAGAATAAAAATGTCCACACACAGGTCTCTGTTTTAGAAGTTAAGTCTGCATTAACTATGACTAAGTTGAACGAGTTCGATCTTTTTAAATGGTCTTGTGTTTTACATTGCTTTTTTAAAGGTGGGATGTCTTACGTGCCAGTGAAGGGCAACGAGGAGTCCCAAATTCATCCTGTTGAAAAGGGACAAATAGTAAATATTTTGGGCTTTGCTGGCCACATATGCTCTCTGTTGCATATTCTTCTTCTTGTGTTTACAAAACACAAAAATGTAAAGCCATTCTTAGCTCAGGGAGATACAAAACAAAGCCTGTGGTCTGCTAACGAAGGGTGCTGGTAGTGTGGTCTATGGTACTCTCCTGTTACAGCTTTGGAGTAGGACTTAGAGATCTGGTCAGAACATGCTCATTAATCATACTCTTTTTGCTCCTTTTGAAGAAATAACAAAGTATACCTTCAAGTTAGGATCTAAATAAAATTAAGGAAAAGCCTTCTCTGTTCTATTTTAGTTTGTCTTTGAGGTGAGAAAGAGTTGAAATAAAACTTTCAATCTTTTTAATGGGTACACAAAGACTTTAGAACTTGAAATGTAATTTTTAGGACAGACACATTAGCATTAATGAATCTTTACTTCAAACATGTTTAATTCAGTGCAAGTTATTTTTATGTTTTGCTCAATTTTATTAACATTCAAAAAATAAATTTCCATTGTCTTTTGGCATAAAGAGAGAGCTTAAATATTCAGGGTTCAGTTACAAGTTGGAACTCCCTGGAGCAGAACTCTTACAGTTATGTATACTAAATAGCAGTCTAGATATCTTGAAGGCAATTTACTTAAAAATTGGTCTAAGACATAGAAATATGAGACAAAAGGAGAATATGTGCTTAATTCCCTTAAGGGAGTTTGGGATTGTCTGAAAACACAGTCCTCCATTGCTTTCTAAGTGGGAAACATTTGGGGCAGCTCATATCTAATGCTTAGTTCTCTACTTAACACTGGGCTAGGCATTGCAGGCATCAGAAGAGGAGTAAGAAGCTCTTGAGGATCTTGTCAATTATAGGAGTGCTCATGTATAACATAAGGTATAATGTATGCCATAGGAGAGGTGCCAAGTGTTATGAAATGCTAAGGAGGTATGACCAAGAAAGGCTTTTTGACTTAATTCAGATGGACTTTAAATTAGGGTGGAGTGAGGGGAATGGAATTATGAGGGCTTCCAGGCAGAGAAAAGTGATCAGAAGTGGAAAGTGTAGGAGCCTTTTCAAGGACTAGTGTTTTCGGGATAACAGAATATAAAATTAGAAAGAGGCCATATTGGGAAAGACTCTGAAGAAGGGCAGCAGATAACGATATTTCAGCAAGCAATGGAGACCCATTGAAAAGTTTTTGACTTTGAGTGGCAGAAAGGGTAAGGAATGACACTCTTTCAGTGGTCTGGATTGGGTGCTAGGTCATGGACATCCAACCAGGGTGACAGCAGTAGAATAGAAAGGGAGAGACTGGATATGTTATTGAAGGACTGCTGGGTAGCCACTATATGAGGTGCTTTGTGGAATAATGTTTAATTGAGGCCAGATTATCAAGGTTGGATGGAGAGCTTTGAACTAATTGTGTAGGTAACAGGGAGTGGTAGATTTAAGAGAAATGACTCATAAAGCAGTGCTTTAGGAGTCGTTTGTCAGGGCCACAGGAATTAGAGGAATAAAACTGTAGACTTAACTTGGGGGCTGATTTTGTATGGCAGATACGAAGTGAGAAACTGGGCCAGTGGTACTCAAACATGGGAATGAAGGTGACAATGGGGAAGAGGCATTTGGCAGTGTCTAGAGACATTTTGATTGTCATAACTAGAGGGGAGAGAGCAGTTCTACTGGCATCTAGTGGGTAGAGGCCAGAAATGTTGCTAAACATCCTGCAGTGCACAGGACAGCCTCCACAAGCATTATGTGCCCAAGATGTCAATAGTGCTGAGACTGAGAAACCCTAACCTGGACTATAGTGGTGGGAGTGGGACAAAAAATCAGATATGGGCCGGGCACAGTGGCTCATGCCTGTAATCCCAGCACTTTGGGAGGCTGAGGCAGGTGGATCACCTGAGGTCAGGAGTTGGAGACCAACCTGGCCAACATGGTGAAACCCTTTCTGTACTAAAAATACAAAATTAGCCGCATGTGGTGGCGCATGCCTGTAATCCCAGCTACTCCAGAGGCTGAGGCAGGAGAATCACTTAGAACCTGGGAGGAGGAGGAGGTTGCAGTGAGCCAAGATCGCGCCACTGCACTCCAGCCTAGATGACAGAGCAAGACGCTGTCTCAAAAAAAAAAAAAAAAAAAGAGAGAGAGAGAGATGGTAGAGATTATGAAGGTAAACGTGATAGGCCTGGGTTATTTGGCAGTGTTTTGGTGAGAATACAGTGGGGCAAGGATTATTCTTTGGACACCACTCACAGTTAGAAAAGGGGCAGGAAGAGGGCTTACTTTTTAAAAGAGACAATGATGAGTTTGGTTTCAGACATTCTTAGATGGCAATTCAGATCTCTTGGAGACAGTGGGAAGTGGGTGGAGATTTGTCCACCCCAACTGCTGGTTCTTACAGCAGTTCAGGTTCAGAGGTTCGGGATTTCTTCCTCTGTTTTGCTCACCTAAGTGTTTAGGGACGGGAGACAGTGTCACATAGACTGGGCATGCACATACATATCAGGACCTTGGTTGGTACAGTAGTTTTCGGTGTTTGTTAGTAAAAGTTAGGAGGAGACTGAGTCATCTGGGGGCATGAGTGTAGAGAACAAATAACACCGAGTCCAGAACCAAACGAGGAAGGAGCTGGCATTTATCGAGTGCCTATTATGTTCCTTTAACCAGGCAAATCATTTTCATGGAAGAACTCATTTGATTCTTGCAACAACCTTGTGAAGTGGGTGTTATTCTTGTTTATTTTTATTTTTATTTTTATTTTTTGAGACAGTCTCTCGCTCTGTTGCCCAGGCTGGAGTGCAGTGGTGCAATCTCGGCTCACTGCAACCTCCACCTCCCAGGCTCAAGCGATTCTTCTGCCTCAGCCTCCTGGGTAGCTGGGACTACAGGCATGCGCCACCACCACACTCGGCTAATTTTTGTATTTTTAGTAGAGTCGGGGTTTCACCATATTGGCCAGGCTGGTCTTGAACTCCTGACCTTGTGATCTGCCCACTTCAGCCTCCCAGAGTGCTGGGATTACAGGCTTATTCTTGTTCACTAAGAACTTGATAGCAGATAAGTTAAATAATTTATTTGTGAATATTCGTATCTCTCCCTTACTATTATTCACGTCCCAGCTCTTACCTTCTCTGGTCATGTGGTTTGGGAGCAGGGTGAGGAATAAAATTCAGTTGGTCTGATTTTGACTTCCCCATAGTTCTTATGAACAGTAGGGATTTTAGAATATCTGATTTTGTGTTACGTATCAACTTACTCCTTTGCGTAGTAAGTAGTTTAATGTATGATGATGTCTTGAAACACAGCCACTTCAGAGAAAGAGGGAGATTCTTGTAGTTGGTGTTCAGGGCACACACAAATACAATTTTTCTTTATTACCACTGTCAGATGTTTTAAGGTGTGTTCATTACAGTTGCTTTTGAATAGCAGAGGAAAATCTATTCTGAGTTTAAGAGTTTGTTTTTGAAGACAGAATGTCAATAGACAAAGTGAAGGAGTGCATGCTTTGTAAAATTATGCTCCATGCCACATAATAGCAAGATGAGGGGGAGAAAAATCTGGCTCATAGGATTTAATCATGAGGAATTTTGCTGTCTGCCGAGCAAGAAAATATTCAGTGTTGTGGCTTAAAAGTCAGCTTTTCCCAAAGTAGTTTATTTTGTTTTTTAAAGATTAGGAAAGATATACTATTTACCACACTAATCAGAATGTTTTCTTAGCTTTTACCAAAAGCTTCTGTTTTGGGAAATGTCTTAAAACTTCATACAGACTTTGAATGCATAATAGATTGATAAAGGGTTCTAGTACTAACTGTTCTTTCATTGAGGTTTGTAAGCAATGTACCCTGTTAATGAAGCTGAAAATCTTTAGATCATTTGTGTAGAGCAATATCTTGTTAGAATATTTGCATAACACATAAATTTAATGGGGAAAAGCAATAACAGTGAAACAAACCATTTTGTTTTTGTCTTGAAACTTGTTTAAATCAATTACAAGATCTGGCATTAGTGATAAGTTTAAAAATAGGAAAGCAGAGCTCATTTCTGTGTTGAAAGTTATAAACTTAATAAGTCTCAGGTTTGTTATTCTGGAGTAGTGGTTTTTAGTTCTGAATCACTAAAATAATTGTAATAAACTACAGAAATAATCTTGCCATAATCACTTACCTATACACAGTTGAAAAAGATACTGTTTGTGAAAGAAGTCACAGTCAATGTGTTTCTGTAGTGTCCTATTTATTTACTTTTAAAATTTCTGTCTTCTTGAGTTTCTTGTGCTAGTTTCAGTCATTTTGTTTGTTTGTTTGTTTGTTTTAATCAATAGCCCAGAGTTAGAGTTTTAGTATATTGGGAATTCGTGCCAAACATTTGATGGAGCGACACAAGAGCATGAGAAGCTGGTATAAAGAGCACTAACTGTGGGAGGCAAGTTCCAGTTCTGGCATCAGCTAACTTTGTAACCCTGAACAAATCACAGAATGTCTGATATAGCTATGGGATTGGGTTTTCATGATTTCTGACTCAAATGAGAGTATCTTTGTGTAGGAGCGGCTAATCTATTCCAGCCACACCCCTTTAAAAGTAGCACAAAGTCTTGTGGTTAGTTGCTCCACTATCTTGACACTGGAACAGGATTATTTGACATTCTTTGAGGAATACAAAGAGGAGATATATACAAGAGGAAACTGATGAAAGGGTCATAAATCCATGGGTGCTTAGTTCTTCAAGGTCGTGAGAATTTGAAATGGGTGATAAGACTTGTCATTTCTGATGTTTTCCCTTATATAGGTTTTATTTTCTGTAGCCTTTCCTATTATAGATGCATCTTCACTCATCTTTTCCCTCTGTGTAAGAAATTTGTCTAATGGAAGTTAAACTGTATACCAGATTTCATTGAGATTTGATAAATTCTAAGACTTAGGCTTTTTAAAATTAAGAATACTACATCTCTTCTGCATTTTGTTTCAAGAATTAGCCAGGTGTTGAATTTGGGGTCTGTCTCATTAAATAATGAAGACAGAATTTATTAGTCTGTCTCTTTTGGGCTGTTGATTCCGTTGAGATTCTGCTGCACGCACTGGACATCTGCTTAGAAAACATAGTTCCACAGAATTTTGCACTTAATTTGTGATTTCCAGCCTTCCCCTAATTGAGTCAAGCTCATCTTATGGACTTCTACATTAATTCAGTTTTAAGGAAGAGCAGGCTGACCTGTGAAATGCTAAACACTTCTGTCTTAAATCAGTTTTAAATACTTTCAACAAAGACTTCTTTGTGGCTGTTCTTTGTATTGGGGGTATACATGCAGTGGTGAAGGATCAAGACATCTTCTCTGACTTGTGCCAATGTCGAAAAGAAAAAGAACTGGCCAGGCGTGGTGGCCTGCACCTGTAGTCCCAGCTACTTGAGAGGCAGAGGCAGGAGGATCACTTGAGCCTGGGAAGTTGAGGCTGCAATGAGACATAGTAAACATAGTAGTGTCATTGCACTCCAGCCTGGGTGACAGAGCAAGTCTCCGTTCCCCCCCCCCCCCGCCCCACCCACAAAAAAAAAAGGAAAAAAGAACTGTGTACAATAATAGAGAATCATTGGGTGGTAGAATCAGAGGAGGTAGTGGGGACCTACTTAGGTGTAAGGGAAGGCCCCTTAGAGGATGCCTGGATGGGGGGTCAGGGGAGGGAGAATAAGGTGTTTCATATAGAGAGAACTGGGAAGGGCCTGAGGCTGTGAAGAGCACAGTGTGTTTAAGGAACTGAAACTGTGGACAAGAGGGGAGAATGGCAGGGACTGCATAAGGCAGGCCCTTGTACTCAGTGATAAGGAATTTGGATTTTAGTGGAAATATACTAAAAGTTTTTATTCGGGGGTGTAGCATCATCTGAATTATATTTTAAAAGATCATGCTGACTGCTGTATGAGCAAAAAGAATACTGGGGGCAAGTGGAAGCAGATACGCTAGTGGATATGCAACAGTCCAGGCAGCAGACAGCAATGGCTTAGATTAGCGAGGTGGCAGTAGGATAGAGAGCAGTGGACATCTGTGAGAATTTTTTAGGTGGTAGAAATACGAAGGCATAAATAGGGTTGGATATGGAACATAAGGGAGGGGAAAGAACTCAAGGATGTTGCTGGAAGTTGCCACTATTGGATGGTTGGAAGAGGAGTGGATTTTGGGGGGGATTGTTTCGTGGGAGAGGTAAGGGTGAATTCAGCAGTTCCCCTTTTGTCTATCTTAGTTCTCAGAAGCCTGTAAGATTGTCAAGTAGGCCTGTTAGAGAGATCTATACATCTTGAGGAATTCAGAGATACTTGGCTTAGAGATGTCAGTTTGAAGATTGTCACTATGTTAGTGATACTTAAGGTAATGAAATAATTGAAGAAAAGATTATAAAGAAGAGAGAAAGATTGACTAGAACTGGAATCCTGAGGAATGCTGAACATTTCTAAGTTGGGTAAACTGGAAGGCTTCTTGGAAGGACGCTAGGAAGCACACAATCAGAGTGGTACAAATTGGGAATGTGTAATATATAGTATTATCATGTCGTGGATGCCAAATAATGCAAGTATTTCAAGGGGGTGGGTAGTCAGCTGTATTGAATTTCACTGAGAGGCTGAGAACATGTGGGCAGGAATGTGGCCATTGGATTTGGCAACCTGGAAGTTATTAGTAACTTCAGTGAGCCAGTTTCATGGACTAGTGTAGATGGATGCCAGATTTGAGTGATTTGAGGGATAAATGATGGCTGAGGAACTAGAGACAGGGTGTATAGATAGCTTTTAAAGAAGTTTACCTATGAAAGGGAATAGATACAGGGTAGAAGCTAGAGATGTATGAGGATATAAAGGAAATCTTTTTGTTTGTTTCTTTTTGAGTGTGAGAAATTCTGCAGAATGATTTTAGTTGTTAGGATTGCTAAGATAAGGGAGATGAGAAGTCCTTGAGAAAGCAGGAGTGGTCAGGATCCTGACTGCACAGAGTCCTTTGATAGGAAGGGGATACTTCTTCAGTTTTTTTTTTTTGTTTTTTTTTTTTTTTTTGTGATGGATTCTCGCTCTGTCGCCCAGGCTGGAGTGCAATGGCCTGGTCTTGGCTCACTGCAACCTCCGCCTCCCGGGTTGAAGCGATTCTCCTGCCTCAGCCATCAGAGTTGCTGGGATTACAGGTGCCTACCACCACGCCTGGCTGATTTTTGTCTTCTTAGTAGAGACAGGGTTTCACCATGTTGGCCAGGCTGGTCTCGAACTGCTGATCTCGTGATCTGCCTGCCTTGGCCTCCCAAAGTGCTGGGATTACAGGCATGAGCCACCGTGCCCGGCCACTTCCTCAGTTTTAACAGTGGGGAAGAAAGAACAACATGGTTACAGACGCAAGTAGGAATATAGATTTAGTGGGTGGAATATAGATTTAGTGGGAGGATGTTCTGGCCTAATGGCTTTTATTTGTTTTCTACAAACTGAGGCAGGATTAACAGTGTAGTAGTAACATAAAATCTTAATATGAAAGTAAGAAAAAAATACATTCACATTAGCTTCAAAGAGGCCTAACATACTTGGGAATAAACTTAAGAAAAGAGTCACCAAGATTTTTGTATTTAAAACTACAAAACAGGGCTGGGCACAGTGACTTATGCCTGTAATCCTAGCACTTTGTGAGGTTGAGGCGGGCAGATCACTTGAGCCCGGGAGTTTGAGACCAGTCTGGGCAACATAGGGAGACCCCTGCCTGTAAAAAAAAAAGATAAAATAAATTAGCTGGGTATAGTGGTGTGCACCTGTGGTCCCAGCTACTTGGGAGGCTGAGGCAGGAGGATGGTTTAAGCCTGGGAGGCAGAGGTCAGGGAGGCAGAGGTCAGAGAGACCCGAGATTGCGCCAATGGACTCCAGCCTGGGCAACAGAGCCAGACCCTGTCTCAAAAAAAAAAAAAGAAAAGGAAAAGAAACAAATAATTGGGCTTTATTAAATATTTTTAAAACTTTTACAATTGAGAAGATACTTAAGAAAGTATAAAAAGATAAGCCACAGATTGGGGAGAAATATTTGCATATTATAAACATGGTAAAGGTCTTTAATCTAGAATATATTTGAAAAATCTTACAACTCACTTATAAGGAAAAAAAAAAAACTGGGCGAAAGCCCATTCTTAGGCTTAAGCCCATTGAATAGGTATTTCACCAAAGACAACAATAAGAATGGCCAATAAGCATATGAAAAGATGTTAACCCCATTAGTCATTAGGGAAATGCAAATTAAATCACAGTGATATACTATCACACACTGACCAGAGTGGCTGTAATTAAAAAGACTGACAATACCTAGTATTTGTATTGTTGAGAAACTGGAACCCTTAGGCACTTCTTGGGACTGTAAATGACACAGCCACATTGGGAAACAGTTTGGCTTTTTCTTAAAAAGTTAAGCATAAATTTGCCATAGCAACCAGCAGTTCCACTCTTAGGAATCTGCCCAAGAGAAATGAAAATACCTGTACAAATAAAGAAAGGTATGTACATGTCTGTTAGCATTATTCACAATAGTCAAAAACTGGAAAGCAATTCAAATATCCATCACATGGTGTTTGAATACATAAAATGTGGAAAACTATTCTGCAATAAAAAAGAAACAAATTAGTGATATATGTTATAACAAACATGAATGTCAAAAACATGTCTCTGGGCAATATAGCAAGACCCTGTCCCAAAAAATTAATAAATAATATTAGCTAAATGTGATGGCACCCGCATATCATTGAAGCTATTCTTGGAAGGCTGAGGAAAGAGGATAGCTTAAGCCCAGGTGTTTGAGGCTGCAGTGAGCTGTGTTCACGCCAGTACACTCCAGCCTGGGTGACAGAGCAAGACCTCATCTGTAATAACAACATGCTAACTGTCAAACCAAATACAAAAGAGTACATATTGTGTGGTTACATTTATATGGACTGTCTACAAAAAGCAAATCTATAGAGATATAGCAGATTAGTGGTTGCATCAGGCCAGAGCAAGAGAAATGGTATGGAGGAAAATACTTGGGTGATAGAAAAATTCTAAAATTAGATTGTAGTGATAGTGCTCTATACACTGTATAATTTTCTTAAAACTCAATGAATTGTACACATATGATGGTTGAATTTTATGGTGTATAAATTATACCTCAAAGCTATGAATTAAAAATTACAAAATAGTCATCTTGGGGAATGTAAAGGTTGAATGTGGTGGAGAATGAAGGACTGTGTACTGCTTACATAGTTTAATTACAAAACTTCAGCATAATGTAATCTGGCATTTTGATAAAGGATTTAAATTTTGAAAGATGATGTACTGATAGATTTTTATGTGTAGAGGAGATTGCCATATCTCATCTTCCAAGATTCATTAGAACTGAGTATATTTACATTACATTACATTAGCATCAAGCTAACATTTATTCACTGTTCTGTGTGACAGGGACCGCTCTGCGTGCTTTATATGTGTTATTTTACAAGTACATTATTTATTGACCTTAGAAGGGGCTAAAAATAATATGATTTAGAATGAAGACCAGTTTCCATCTATTGACCTTTGGTGGTATGATGAATTTTTGTACACTTAACTCAGATATCTTAATATTATGGGAAATTATAGAAATATAATACCTCAAAGAATAATGCAAGTTTGAAGTAGTCATGACTGACAAGTAATAATTTTAATGAAATAGTAGTTTCAGTCTACAGGACTATTTTGGGTTGCTTTGTCCACTGGAATAATCACCGTCACTATCATGAATCTTTTTGTGGGCCATTCTAATGTTACTTAAAGGGACTGATTTGGTGTCTTTGTATTTTGAAATAGCTGTATTCAATCTGAGTTTGCATAAGGAGCTAGATCTTGGTCCCAATCCTCACAATTATAATAGCATGTTCCTGTGGAGAAAAAAAAATTGCATGAAGTGATTATTGCTTCTTTTTGTCCATGGGTTATGCAAAATGTTGTACGTGGAAATAGAAATATCTATATCCTTGAAACAAGAAATCATTGTCTGGAAACTAAGAGTATACTAGTTTTTTTTTGGTGTCTCATTTGTGACTGGAAGGATCATAGGTTTGACTTCAAAGTGTTTATTGATACTGTATATTAATAGCTGATTTAGAAGAATGCATATTTTTTCTGAAGCACTTCATTATATTCCATAGAAAAGTAATTACAACATCGTAGTAATTTTCTGTGTCAGCAAGTATTGAGTGTAGTCAAAATAGCATAGACTTTGGAATACGACAGTTCTAGATTTTGAATCTCCAGTTAGTGCTTATTAACTTCTCATCTTTTGTAAGTACTTAACCTCTCTTGAGATTTCATTTCCTCGTCTGTAAACTGAAGCTAATACCATTTCTGAAGGTTTTTTTATTTTTTTTGAGACGGAGTCTGGCTCTGTCTCCCAGGCTGGAGCGCAATGGCACAATCTCGACTCACTGCACCCTCTGCCTCCCAGGTTCAAGTGATTCTCCTGCCTCAGCCTCTCGAGTAGCTGGGATTACAGGCGCCTGCCACTGCGCCCAGCTAATTTTTGTATTTTTTAGTAGAGATGGGGTTTCATCATGTTGGCCAGGCTGGTCTCGAACTCCTAACCTCAGGTGATCCTCCGCCTTGGCCATTTCTGAAGTTTTAATGCTACCAAACTGATAGTGCCTGGTTCTTAGAAGGTTATCAAGTAAGTTTCACTCACTCAAGCTCTGCTCTATAGAAGAAAACACAGAATTTGTGGAATCTTGGCTTTAATACTACAGAAAATTGTCTGTTGTTCTTCAAACCTAGCTTTATACCTTTCGTTGATTTTGTTGTGTGAACTTAATAATGCTTTCCCAACCCTTCTATTCTGTCAGTAAGCCTTTTGTTTTGCCCTTTCACTGGATAATTAATTTGAGGGTTTGCTCTCTTGAAGTGAAGTTTAGCACTAGAGGACTCAAAGAATGATTCTGAGGTTTTGAGCCTATAGAATGGTGATGCCATTAACGTGGAAATAAAGAAGCAGAGGGCAAAGTAGGGGGTTTGGGGAGAAGATAATGTGGTGGATTTTGTATGTGCTGAGTGTGATGCCATGTTCATTCCTTCTGGGCAGCAGAGTTAGGAGGGCATTTGAAAGCTTGAGAGTAGTAGCTAGGTGGCTTTAGAAGCGTGTGCAGACTTGGTGGTGGTTCCTGAATGAGGCCATTCACTAAAAATGAGGAATGCAAGCCTAACTTTTTTTTTTTTTGAGACAGGGTCTCACTCTGTCACCCAGGCTGGAGTGTGGTGGCATGGCATTATCACGGCTCACTGCAGCCTCAACCTCCCAGGCTCAAGAGATCCTCCCATCTCAGCTTCCCAGGTAGCTAGGACTACAGGCACATGCCACCATGCCCAGCTAATTTTTGTATTTTTTAGCTGTTGTTAAACTCCTGGACTCAAGCAAGGATTACAGGCGTGAACCACCATGTCCGGCCTTAAAGTCTGTATATTTGAAATATCCTTTCAGAGTTAATTAACTCTGATATTGTCCCAGAGATTTCGGTTTCTGTTTTCACTTAAGACCTCAGGAGTTTTCTGAAACTTTCTTGAAACTGTTAGGAAGGCCATATGGGTGTGGAAGTATAATGTCTCTTCATCTGAAATTAGGTCAGCCTCCAAAGACTTGAATCTTAGATATTAAACCCAAAGGCACCTTACATTTTAAACCCAAAACACATTTGGACATTTAATATAAGAGGTTTTAGCTATTTGTATAAACAACCCCTAAACACCTGGACACATAGTCATTGTATTTAGCTGAGGAGTGAGGCTTGGAGCTGAAGAATCTAGCCTACCTCTTCACATCAGCATCTCATTGCAGCTTTGTGATTCTCATGTAACACAGGATCTCATTTAATCCTTGTAATAAGCGTGCCATTTCATTATTTTTTATTAATAGGAAAGTGCATGCTCTTACGATATTCAAGAATTGATAGATTCTTGAAGGTTTGTAGACAGATTTCTTGAGGTTTAGTTATCCTGTGGCATTGCTGTACCATTCGTTCAGGGGATGGATCTGTTGAATTCCTATTCTCCATATATTCAGAATTTTTTTTCAATTTAATACCCTATAATTACACCTTTCATTAATTCAGCAAACACCATTCAACAGCTGCTGTGCTCCAGGGTATGTACCTAGGGCACTGGGTTTGCAGAGGTGAGTGAAGGAGACATGGTTCCTGTCCTGGAAAACTGAATCTTCTAAGCTCCAAGGGGTCACTGTGCCTGTCTGCTTCCTGACTGTATTCCTGGCACATTGTCAGTAGTGAATATTTGTTGAATGAGTGAACATGATTTATCTTTTTTCCCCAAAAATATGTTTGCTTATCTCTAACCTTAATATACATTGCCAGCCAATTCAAATGATAGTAATAATTAATGCTGATGTAGTGCCTACTACATCAGCATTGTTTGTGGCCCTTTATATATGATAATTCATTTTACTTTCAATGATCTGAAGTGGATACAGTTTATTATCTCTATTTTTAAAATGACACAGAGGATAAGTAACTTCTCTACGATTACACAGCTAGTAAGTCATTGAGCTGGGATTTAAGTAGTTCTGCTTTAAACTACTACACTCTGTATGTTTCATGGGGGCTTAAGAGTGAAAGTCAGATTACTTTCTGACACGCTTGTGTATTACTCCTTCAAAAATGTTTTCTTATTCAGACTTTGACTGATTCCCAGTAGAATTTTTTACAGTCTTTATATATTGGCTGAGGTTTTATTAAACTTACTGTATTTTTTCTTGGGATCCAGAGCAAATTCTTCCTATGATGAATTCTTTTCTACATTGAGATATTTACAGACTAACTCATTATTTGGTTTCCTTCATAATTTTTATCACAGGCTTACTTACCTAAATCTGAATCATCAAGTTATATCTCTAGAATGTTGTATCATCTTTCATGAATTAGAAAGGTCTTTGAAATAATTTTTGAACTTTCACTTAAAATACCATGTGTTTTTTGTTTTTTAGTTTGACATCCTACTTGAACTTTTTCCTAATCATCCCAACCAGATAACCCCTCCTTCTGTAGTCTCCCAACTCTATTCTGTATGTTTGCACTTGTATACAATTTGTACTTTAGGTTATTCTTCCTGTGTATCTGTTTCCCTTGATAGGTGGCAAAAAATTTGAGGGTAAGTTTTAGCCTTGTTTGTTTCCTTTATTATCACTTTGTTCCTGTTAGGCACTCACTCAAAACCTATTAGACTGCTTAGTTGGTGCTTTAGAACTTCATTCCTCATCAGTACATTGATGGGTGCTAGCCTAGCCTCTTCATTTTATCATACCACTTAAAAAATTCCAAATTATAATTAATGAGTTTTTTTCAGCAGTATGGAACTCTGAGACCAGACTGCATAGTGCTTTCAATTAGCCTGTGAATATTCTCGTTAATACTTTTAAAGTTGGTCAGGTGATGCTAGTCAAACACTGAGCATGCTTGCTAATAACTTTAAGCAATCGTTACTTCAAGGCTGTTCTCTTAAATTTTTTTTTTTTTTTTTTTAGTGGTATTGTGGGTCACTTTAGTAGTAAACTCACATGTATTTCTCTGCCCTGCAGAGGCATAATTTTCAATTGTTGAACTTGACAGTGAGTAAGCAGTGGTAGACAAGCATGTAGTCTAAATAAGAAAACAGGTCAGTGGAGTTTCTCATTTAATTTAGTTAACTCTTTTGGAGGGAAGGTATAGCATTCCCATAAAATGAATGGTGATAACAGAGAGCATTTCAAATCTGATTAGTCATGCGTAATCAGCCTTAAAAGCTTCTACCAACTCACTGCTACATCTCACAGGCTTGTTTCTGATTATTCTCCTAATAGGGACTGTGTGTTCCTTCCCAGCAGATCTGTTTTTCTGTTTCTCACACAGCTTTTACTTGTTCTTTATCTATTCTTTTTTATCATGTAACTTCCCTCAGCTACAGGACTCTCTCCTCACTTTCGTGCTTATTCCGCCCCCCTTTTCAAAACATGGCTTAATTGACTTTTGTAGGTTTTGGAAATTAATTTGAACAACTTCACTCTCACTGAGACCAGTTTCCCTCCTGCCTATCCTTTTGTATATGTTTTGTACTGTATTGATTTTTGTTCATTTATGCTGTTGCTTGGTGTGTATATGCCATTGCTTGGCTGCTTCTCCAGTATCTCTATATCCCAGCAATATTGTGAGCAAGTTGTGAATAAAACTCAGATTTCTTTTCTTTCTTGATGTGCAGAACAGCAAAAACACATAATAGATGTTTAGAAAACATCGGCAGCTTTTTAGGGCAAGCCATTTGCTTAGCCCTGCTTGGCTGTGCATTCATAGACGTGATTGGGATGATGACTTAAAGCAATTCTGGGCTCCTCACCCAGGGAAGTGAAAAGTGGGGGTGGTGAAGCTTCAAGCCTTGGATGTTCCACTGCCTAGCACTATGGGTACTCTCTCCCCACCCCAATCAACATTCTGGGCATGAGAAGAGAAGGAGGCAGTAAGAACAGAACAATAGCACAGAATTCTCTGAGCTCTGACTTCGCTGCTTTGCTGACAAGACATTGCTGCTTTCCCCTCCCTCCCTTTCAGGATCTTTTTCCCTTACCTACCCCCACTTTTTTTTATCTATAGCAGAGTAATTGTAAGACATTTTTTAAAAACTGATAATTTATTGGCAACTAAAGAAATAAATTATGGTAGAATCTGGACACCTTGGCACTATAGCGTATACTTTTTTTTTTCATAAAATATAATGAGGCAAAACTTCTACAGAGTTCCAGTGTGCCTGGCTGCAAGTGGAGGCCCACAAGTCAATTTAGAGATGAGGGTGCTGGGTTGAGTCATGGTACACTCACAGGATTTCACACATTCCCTAGCACAGTCCACTGAGACATGTGCCACGTCAGAATTACAGATTGTACTACTTGTCATTATCTCATAGGAATAGTAGAAACTGCAGATCTTAAAACTTTGAAAGCTAATGACCCACTGTATTCTGTGCCTTCATTCAGAACACTAAAGAATTAATGGCTGGTGGAAGGGAGCTTATGGTTAGATTTTTTTCTGTTTACCACCCACAGTTTTGAACCCTGAGAGAAATCTTTTACTTCCCTAAGTACATTTCCCTCTAAGATTTGATTCTGGAGTGAATCCAAACTTACTGTTTCTCACTAGCACTTAACAAATGGCAAAAAGGGAATTGTCATAGTTACTAATTGTATTGTTTCATGGTTATTTTCTACATAATGTTCCTTTTTGCTTCTGGTGTTACTCATTTGACCTTGCACACCCATCTAGCTGCCTTCCTATTTTTCTTCTTCCTTTTACTGCCAAATAACAAATGACCTGATTTCTTCTCTACTGCCTGTACCCTGGCCTGTTCTTAAGCACTAGTAATCTAACTTTTATTTTTATTTGCTGATTTATCTTCTGAGACAGGGTCTTGCTCTGTCACCCAAGCTGGAGTGCAATGGCACGATCTTGGTTCACTGCACCTCTGTTACCTGAGCTTAAGCGATCCTCCCACCTCAGCCTCCCGAGTAGCTGGGACTACAGGTGTGCACCACCATGCCCGGCCTTTTTTTGGGTATTTTTATTAGAGATAGGGTTTCGCCATGTTGGCCAGGCTGGTCTCGGACTCCTCAGCTTAAAAGCAATCTGCCTGCCTTGGCCTCCCAAAGTGCTGGGATTTTAGGTGTGAGCCACTGTGCTTGGTGTAATTTAACTTTTATATTCCCCCTCCTTTTTTTTTTTTTTAAGATATTCTTAAAGTTCATTGTTATCCTGATCACCAAATCCAGTGACCTTTCACTTCCCTTGCAACTGGCAGTGAATCACTTCTTGGTGGATATTGTCTCTTCTTGTTCATCGTGGAGCTGAAATACTCTGTCTTTAACGTCCTGATTGTCTTCCTACTGTCTTCTTTGGAGTCAGCTTTGACTCCTCTTTTCCATCTATCCAACTTACAAAGTCCTTCAGATTCTCTTTGAAAGGACTTAGCCAATCGTTCTTTTCTGTTCTTAGTGTTACTCTAATCCAAGCTCTGAACACCTCATTGATGAACTACTATAGTGGCCTCCTAAATCTTAAGCTTTTCTGTGATTGCTGAAGAATAGATTAGTGAATTATAAATTATATGCTACTCTTCAGAAATGTTCAGTGAAAATTAGTGTGGCATTTAGAGCCTTCATCATCTAGCTTCAGTGTACCACCTAGCCACCACTACAGTCCTTGCATTGACCTACTGGCACCCCGAATAGGATTGCCTCTCTTGTTTTGACTGACCAAAAAACTGCCCATTCTTTAAGGTCTAGAGATGAGGTACTTACTAAAAAAAAAAAAAAAAAAAAAAAAATCCCAATTCACAGTAACCTCTTTCTTTATTTAATTCTTACAGGGGCCAAGTACTAATTATATAGCACCTATAATGGACCAGACATCAAGCTATTTGACATATATTTAACTTTACATTTAGAGATATGTATTATTTCAGTTTTTCAACTGAGAAACCTTGAGCTACAGAGAGGCTGCATGTGCAACATGAGCTGGGATTCAAATTCAGTTTCATGCGATGGCAAAGCTTGTGCTCAGGTTGCCAACCATTTTGATGCTTAAAATTACAGCCTTGCTGGGTACGGTGGCTCATGGCTGTAATCCCAGCACTTTGGGAGGCCGAGGCAGATGGATCACTTGAGCCCAGGAGTTTGAGACCAGCCTTGGCAACATAGTGAGACCCCATCTCTACCAAAAAAAAAAAAAAAAATTGGCCAGCTGCAGTGGTGTGTGCCTGTTAGCTGCTCAGGAGGCTAAGGCAGAAGGGGTTTGAACTAAGGAGGTTGAGGATGCAGTGAGCCGAGATTGCACCACTGCACTCCAGCCTGGAAGACAGACCTGGGAGACAGAGCGAGAGCTATCTCAAAAAAAAAAAAAAAAAAAAAAAAAAAATTACAGCTTTGTATCATAGATTGTGTGTTGTTTGCAACTAGGGCAGAAAGTTTTTAAGAAAAAGGGTTCTGTGTTAAAATTTTGTTTTCCTCCCAGGGCCAAGTGTATATTTTCAACATTGTATGTAAGTACTTAAAAGAAGATTTTGATGAGATGTTTCTATAATGCTACTAGGTATAATAACCAGTCTGCAATTCAGTGTTAGCACATTCTATACAATATTGAGAATACATGAAAGACTGCAGATACGGGTGTGTACTTGAATCAAGGAGAGGCAGTAGAGCAGCCTTATGTTTTGTTCCCCAAAGAGTGAGATGTGTACCCAATTCTTGCACATAGTGAAGAAGCTGTTCTCTTTTTTGTTGTTTGTCACATCTGATTATTCATGGAGAAAGTTGCAGCTTGGGGCTAGTAAAATTTTTTTTTAACACCGTTCTCATATTATTTGCTCTCTTCTTTTAATAAAGGACAGATAGGCCTTGATGTGGCTGTAAGCACATTTAGCAGACAGTGGTGTTTGGCTGAAATTACAGTTTTGTTTTCATTGAATATATATTTTTTATCTCTATTTCAAGTGAAGTAGAATTTTCCATTTATACATGATACAAAGTTTCTTTTAAAATAAGTTTAACTTTAAAAAAGTGTCTCATTTAAAGAAAAAATACTAAGTACATAATAGTGCAAGTGGTCCATGAACATGGCAGAATTTGTGAAGGTGGTATGCAAGGGTCTGAAATTTGGGAGATACTGGCATAGTGGAAAAAAACCAGGCTTTGGAGTTCTACAAAACTGCGTTCATATCTTGGCTCTGCTGATTTCTAGTCAATATCCTTGGGCAAGAACTTTCTCTTTGCCCATTACTTTGATTTGTAAAATGAAAATAACAATGCGTAATTTTTAGGGTCATTTTTGAGGATTGTATTAAAGAAGTACTGACACACCACTCAATAAATGATAGCTTTTTCATCATTGTCACTTTTATTTTGTTTATTTTCATTTAGTCAGCTTAAAATCCTTGATGGAGTTTTTAAGTTGAAGTTTAATTCTTAGGAGTTACCACCATCAAGCAAGTACAGATGGTCCCTGACTTACAATGATTTGATTTAGGATTTTTCACATTTACAGTGGTGTGAAAGCGATACACATTCAGTACACTCCTCAACTTGTGATGGAATCACATTCCAGTAAACCCATCATAAGGTGAAAATATTGTAAGTCGAAAACATACTTTTGACTTGGGATATTTTCAGCTTAGGTTGGGTTTATCGGGATGTGACCCCATCGTAAGTTAAGGAGCATCTGTACTTAACTGCTCTGAGCCTTAGTTTCTCTGGGCATTAATTAGTTTTTTTCTTCCTGTGTTTGGGGAATAAAGGTAACCCCTACCTCATAGGATTGTTTTGAGGACTAAATGAATTCATTCATAAAGTACCAGGAACAGCGCCTGGTACTTGGAATAGTGCTTTATATAGCTGTTAGCTAATACTGTTGTTATTCTTGTAGGAAGCAGCTTTTTGGAGATCCTGAGGCTCTTTTTCTTTGTTCTTATCATGTGTTGGGGATGGAGTGTGTTTAGTGATGTTTGTATATGTTCATTAAGTACCTACTGAGTATAAAGTGTTGCTGCACTGGGATTATGGTAAATAGGCAAGGGAGAATAAGAAAGTCTTCAGGAAAACTACTCTGAACTACCTTTACCCTAAAATTATTGCTGCCTACAGCTATAGAAACTCAAAAGGAAGACACTAATAAATCCCAGCAGATCGAGGGGCCTAAGGTTGAGTCAACCTCAACTTTTGTGTGTGATACTGTACTTTTTAATTGAGTAAAATGTGAATATAACTTCTTGTATATTTGATTTCATAATCATATTTAAATAACCACCTGTGTTATTTTTCAAAGGAGTCACATATCTAATCTATGTCTGGCACTTTGGCAGAAATAGATTTTTAAAGATTAGATGTTGCCTTATCCATTTTATGTTGCTATTTTAAACAGAATACCATAGACTGGGTAATTGGTAATGAAAAAAAAGTTTATTTCTTACAGTTCTGGGGGCTGGGAAGTCCATGGTCGAGGAGCTCATATCTGGCTAGGGCCTTCTTGTTGTATTATCCCATGATGGAAAGCAGAAGGGCAAGAGAGCACAATTGCATGCGCAGGAGCGGGCCCAATTGCCTTTCATAATGAATCAACTTCTGTGATAAATTACATTAATCTATTCACGAAGGCAGGGCCCTTGTGACCTAATCACCTCTTGAAGGTCCTGCCTCTCAACACTGTTGTTGTATTGGAGATTAAATTTCCAAAGCATGAACTTCAAACCATAGCCTGTGGTTTAAAGCGTATCTTCAAACCATAGCAGATGTTTTCAGCAGGTAGTTTGTATTGTAGTTATATGAAATGTAAGGAAATTTGCATTCAGAGAAATGATATTTGTATTAGAAGGGACCTTAGAGATAAAATTCACCGTTTTCTTTTTTTTAGGCAGAAGCTTGAGAAATATGACACCTATCAAAACTTGGTTCTGCGGCCTTCCAACCAAAAACTTAACAACTCGTGTTTTATGATGTAACATACTAAAACTGTTATAATGCAGCTTATTAGATGAATGTACTACTGGGCAAATATGATCCCTTATAAAATAATGAAGTGACAAAGAGCATGGGTTTCAATCTAAGTTCTGTCACTTGCTGTGTGTCCTTGAGCAAGTATGGTCAGTTCTCTCAGCTATAAAACAGTACCTACCTCATAGGGTTGTTAGGATGATTAGGTTAGTTAACACGTTACGAGTTTGGGACAGTACCTGACACATTGTGTGTGCACAGTTAATGCTTGTCATTATTATAATAATCATCTTTTTGTCATTCTCACCCTGTGATAACCCATAGCACGGGTGTAGTACATTATCCTAACAGTGGAATGGGTTTCTCTTTATCATATTATAAGTAAAGAAATTTCCCTGTCCCATTTGCTCCTGCTTGACCAGTGGTAACAAATATATACCAGAAATTATATCATGCTTAACTCTATTTAACCACGGTTCTACTCACTTGAGATACTTGAGAGCTCCACTGTATTCTGTGCACTTAGGAATAATTGTGGGCTCCTGCTTCTCCCACTAGAGGAGCAATAGTGGCAACATAGTACAGTTGGTAAGAACACACTCTGGAATCTTCAACTTCATCACTTACTGTGACCAGGGCGAATTACTGAGCCTCTCTGTACTTCAGTTTTCTCATCTGTAAAATAGGATAGAAATCTCTGTCCTTCTGGGCTAAGATGATTAAATGAGCTATAAAGTGCTTAAAATGATGCCTGGCCCACTGTGTTTAAATGTTTTATTGTAAACTTTTATTATTTTTTAAAATTTCTGATTAGGAGTCATTGTGGTTCTGGAATAATCAAGTTTCAATGTAAGAAAAGAGAGGTTTGATTATTAGTAACTGGTTCTTGAAAAATACTACTCCTTAATCAAAACATTAATATTTTATGTGGCATGTTGTAAGGCAACAGGTTGCAGGTGTTGTCTTTCCATGTCACCTTACACACTTTATTGGTTGAATGGGATTATTTATCTTCAATGAGTTTTACAAGCAATTATGTCTGGGTTTGCTTAAGACAGTCCTGGTTTATGCCTCTTGTTTAGGCATAATTATAAACAGTGCCTCTTTCACTCTACACATGTCTCAGTTTGGATGTAAATTTTATGATCACCCTAAGTATACGATAGTGATCAAATTAATTTTATTGGACTATCTCCATACCCTATCGTATTTTCTAAAGGCAACTAGTACTATTTCAAGCTTCAGTTTTAGGTGGTTGTAGTATTTTTCAAACTACTTTTGCGTATTTGTGGTTTTTCTCCTTTCTTACCTTTAATCTTATTTGTTTTTTTTTTAAAGCCTTTTTGTCGTTGTTGTTGTTGTCATTGTTAATGTAGATAATACAAATAATTATTTTAATTGGGAATTTGAGACCTGAATCAAACTATCAAACTTTAAAAGTAGTCATACTATTTTTCACATTGGAGTTCTTATGTTTGAGGCTATCAGAAGTGTTTTATTTGTTTAGATAACAATGACAGTGAGACTGATTATGAGCAGTAAAATATTTATTGGCCTGTATGTACTACTTTTATCAGAGTAGACTGACAGTGGGAGTTTATATTTCCTAAAGCAAGAATTTATAGCTAAAGAACCAGGAATCACATATTGCTAAGGAGAATCTCTTTAACCACATATACTATGCAGAAATTGAAGTCAAGAACTATAAACTTCTTAAGCTGCTTCAGTCCCCTTACATTGGTTGTTTGACTGAACCCATTCTTTATGATTCCCTTCTATAGCAGATAGAGTGAATTCTACCCTCCAAATATTAAGAAGCTTCTAGGTCATATAGCAGTAATCTATATTGTGATGGTGAGTTCTCTTGATGAATGTCTATGAAAATATTAGTAGAGGAAGAAGAATATGTATATATATTTGAACTTTCTGTGCTGAAAAGTTACAGAAGACATTTCTAGGGTTTTTTTTTGTATTGAGAAATATACTGTTTTTATATTTATATACTAATACTTGTATAGAAAGGAAATTCTTATCTCGTACTTATGTAATTTTTCTTGTCTATTTTTAAAATTTTTCCTTAACTGACAAAAATTGTATATATTATACAACATATTTTGAAATATGTATACATTGTGGAATGGCTAAATTGAGTTAATTAACATACTTATTTTGTGTGTGCATGTGGTTCTAATATTTCTGTGTTAAAGTACCTAATATACAGTAAGGGCTCCAGAAAAGTCTAATGTTACTATTTAGCTGTAGTAATTCTTCTATGATGAATTTTATATATTTCTTATTTTTCAAGTTCTATAAAATAATGGACATCATTACGTCAACATCATAACATATAGACAGTTAATTTTACCTAAGGACATAGTGTTGGGGGAAAGACCTGGAGAATTTTCCCTCACTGAGGTAGGAAAGTGGTTGAAATGTAAAATGGAAGTTATAGATAAGTAAAATGGAGTTTGGGTGAAAGGTAGGAAAAAAAAAACAAGAGAATGTCTGTTTACATAAGTGTTAAGATAAAATCATGGCAGGTAGGAAAGAAGCAATGTGGTCTTGGTGTGCAGGCTTGAAATCAAAGAGCATTTGAGTTGTGTAAGCAAAGCAATGAGCAGTTAAAAGTTTTAGATGAGAAATGTAGTGAAAGTGAGATGAGCTATTTGCTCTAATATAACTGATAAGTATCTCAAAAGGGTTGAAATGATTGCATTTCACTTTAGAAAGGAGTTTAAGAGGGAGTTGGCAGTGGGGTTGGTCAGTAAGGCATAGCAAGAGTCATTGAGGAATATATACATGGCTTATGAATACAGTAATAGATATGAATTACCCTCTTGTTTGTTGGATTGTGCTAAGTATTGAAATGAAGTTGTTTTTGTAAGGAAAGAAAATATTAGAGATTAGTATGTACCCGAAGCTAAACATATTCTGTTTTGATAGCAGAAAGGAAACAGCCATTTTGGAATGACGGGGCTTTGGCGTGTGTCCATCCTCTTTGCCACTGATTGTTTTTCCTTGAACTTTTCTAACAGTGTACTTCAATGCTGAAGATGATGTAAAGGTGTGCATGGATTGTGTGTAATCAAAACCACTTGGACAAAGCAAACATTGTTTATTATTAGAAAATGTTTAATTTTTAAAGAAATGGTGAACATGATCTTTCCAAGTAAGAAGGGGTTGATTCAAATGAAGGCTAACAGTGAATTCGGTAAATCAGGAGGGTATGGGCATGACAGGGAGCAATTCCCTTCAATAGGTATTAAGTGCCTACCATGTGCAAAGAACATTGCCAGACCTTGCAGTGGATTTCAGTGTACCTAAGCCATAGTCCTGCCCCCAAGGAGCTTAGTGGAAGGGAATGTGGGTACGGAATGTGTGGTGTGGTTAACATAATACATGGATAATACTAGTAACTCAAATGGTAAAAGTTCGGGTACTAGCACAGAGAAAGAAAAGATCATTTGGTTATGGAGTGGGATGGATAGAAAATGTTACAGGAAGGAAGTAGGTCTTAAGATGTATCATGAATGAAGGAAGGGTGTAATTTTATTATTTATTTATTTATTTAGTTAGTTAGTTAGTTAGTTATTTCGAGATAGAGTCTTGCTGTGTCACCCAGAGGTAGGATAGCCCAATCTAGGTTGGCCAAAGTAAGTTTGGGGAGGAAGATTGGGGTTATACATTATGGAGAATCTTGAATGCTGAACTTAGAAGTTTGTTCTTTAAAATACAATAAAGTTATATGGAGCTATACTTTAGGACTGTTAATCTTGTAGCCTGTGTGTAGGAGTGGAGAGGGACCGCAGAAAAATTAATCATAAATAACATTTCATTCATCCAACCAACAAATATATATTGACACTGTGCGTCAGGAGTTGGTCTAGGTGCTGGGAATATAAGAGGCCTTCCTTATTCTCTGGACTCTCATTCTTTTGGGAGACATACAATAAATAACAGTAGAGTGCTCAAGGAAGGCCTCTGAAAGCATGACATTTAAGGTGAAACCTGAATGACAGGAGAGGTCTGAGGGGAAAACATACTGAAGATACAGCAAGTGTGAAGCAGTCTTGACTTACTGAAGAAAGAAGGGAAGAGGTATTTTAGAATTCTTGTATTATTTATTCTATTGGAATATGTATTTAAGGGCTGTACTGACATACTGGTGAAGGATGAGATAATGTATTTTTTAGTAATTAATTTCCCTTGGTTACTACTCAGTTGTCTTAATACCTTGAGTCATTTTGCCAGATAACAAGATCTTATATAAAGCTATTATATTTTATATATATAAAAAATATGTAATAATTCATTGATGGCCTTAGAATAATTTTTTTTTCTGGGCATCCAGTGTCTTAGGCAGCTGAAACTCTCTAGGACCATTGTATCATTGGGAAGGGAGGTTAATATATAATAATGCCTGTATGTAAGATTATCTTTCATGAAACTTGGTTTTACCCTTCTTTCCCACCCTGCCCTTAACCTACTTGCTAAAGGACACAAAGGGACATTATTGCAGTCTTGCCATTTATTTTATTGCCATTTTTCCAGTATTGTGAATACCTTTGGGACAGAAGATGCAAGTAGGTGGTCCAAGTGTTGTGTTTGGTCTGCATATTTTAAAAAATTATTTTGACTCCACACTAGCACTTGAAAATGGGAATATATTATAGAAAATTCCGTGTATCCAACTTTAGAAAAATCTCTTCATGGTGTCATTAGGCAAGTATTCTTCAATAGCAGCAGTCAGCTAGAGTTGAATAGCAGCTGCTTCCTTTACACCTGCACTCCTTAGTTCACTACTTTCCTCACCTTGCCAGTTTTGCTAATTCATATTAATTGCTTGCTCCCATAAGGCATGGTTTTCAGTGGCTGCTTTAAGGGAGGTGTAGTACACAGTGATGGGATCAAAACCAAGAATTCCTTCTATCACTGTCCTTTATTTTTACTCTGTAATAACATTTCTCAAAGTATGGTCTCCAGACCCTGGTCTGTGGGGTCAAAGTTATTTTCATAACAATACTATTATTAATTACCTTTTTTACTGCGCTGACACTTGCATTGTTGGTGTAAAAGTCATGGCAGATAAAACTTTCGGTTTCTTAGCACAAATAAGGCAGTAGCACCAGACTGTGCTAATATTGTATGCTGGACTGCCAAGCAGTTTCACTTAAGAATGCCCTTTGAGCCGAGCATGGTGGCTCATGCCTAGTACTTCGGGAGGCCGAGGCAGGTGGATCACGAGGTCAAGAGATCGAGACCATCCTGGATCCCCGTCTCTACTAAAAATACAAAAAAATTAGCCAGGCGTGGTGGCGGGCGTCTGTAATCCCAGCTACTAGGGAGGCTGAGGCGGGAGAATGACGTGAACCCGGGAGGTGGAGCTTGCAGTGAGCCGAGATCGTGCCACTGCACTCCAGCCTGGGCGACAAAAAAATAATGCCCTTTGAGTAGCAATAAAAAATACTAATTTTATTAAAATTTGACCCTAAGCATACATCTTTTTAATATTTTATGTGATAAAATGCTAAATGTGAATAAAACACTTTGGTTCCATAATGCCTATCTTGAGAAGTACTTAAATTATTGTGTGTGTTGAGAGCTAAAGTAACTACTTTTTTCATGAACATCATTTTTCTTGAAAGAATAGCTGACTTAGGTATTGGGCAGACAGTTTCTTGAAAATGAAGGAAGTGGGCCTGCCATTTAAGGAAAACGGGTGATGTTCTTTGTTGCTAATGATAAAATTCACGCTTTCCAATGAAAATTATAGTTTTAAAGAACTTTTATCTGCTACCATGTGCGATACTTCCCAATACTTAATGACTTTTCTGGTGAGATCAGTAGTGATATTAAGAAATGTGATTTGTAAAATATTTTACAAGCAAAATACGTCACATTTAGAAAAGTTTCTTGATGTGGTTTCGGATTTATATTGAAATTAACCTTTAAGCAACTACCACTTGTTGAATTTTGATGTAGTATCGAAGAATAATCATCAAAATTACCTAAAAAGCTATCTAAATACTCCTTTTCCAGCATGTATCTGTGCAAAGTGTGAATTTCCTCTACACTTTAAACGAAGCAGCATATCCCAATAAATTGAATACAAAGGCAGATAAGAGAACCTTTTCCTAAGCTAGACATTAAGGAAATTTGCACATTTGTAAAATAATACACTCTTCTCACTTGATTTTTTTTTTTCAGTTTTGGAAAATAGTTATTTGTATAAAACTGTGTTATATGTGATAGGATTATTGTTGTTTTACATGAATTTATTGATACTTTTTTATTTCCCGTTTTAAATTCTCATATGGTAATATCAATAAATATAACCCACAAAAACAAAAACTTAGGGAAAGGGGTCCTCAATAGTTTTTTAAAGCATGTATAAGGGATCCTAAGACCAAAATTACTAAGAATCACTGCTCTAGAGTCTACAACATTGAACCCCAAAGTGTTTTATATAGAGCCTCTGATACATAGACCATTGGCTCTAAAGCATTTTTGTAGGTATTAAACCAAAAGGGGGTTTGTTTCTAGATGGTAAGATTTTTTAAAATTACTTCTTGTGGGCTAAAAATGCATTCTGAAGTCTCCAAAGAGGCTGTTATATACCTCAACTTACTCGACTACAGAACCTTTAACTGGACTGGTGTTGTTTGGAATACATTTTGAAACTACTACTCCATAAGCAAGCACGGTTGAAGTTCTGTCTAGCTATGTCTTGGAGGCATGTGGGAACAGGGAGTCTTCAGACTACTCTGGCGTTGAATCCTTACTCTGCCACTTACTAGCCTCAGTTTTCTTTCCTATGAACTGGGGATAATGGTAGCCAACATTAGAGGATTGTTCTGAACATTAAGTAGAATAACAAGTAAACATTCCTAATAATAGGTATTTGCTATAATTGTTCCCTCCTTTATTGTAGATGTGAATCTTCATTACAAGGATTCCCATGTTACTTAAGTTAGTGAGTCAGAATTGTGGGGCCTAGTCTAACAAGTTAGTAGAACAATAGAAGTTATAGTGACTGGCTAGCCAGTGTTGTACATTTATAAGTCGATCAGACTAGGCTTTTAAGGCACCAAAAAACATAGCATGCCCACTGACCCCGTTCCATTTAAACTGAATAATTTTTACAAAAATGAAAGCGGTAGAATAAACTTCTCATTTTTAACCTATTAATGACTGAAAAGGGAAGATCCTAATTTTGATTCCATTTTATTAAACTCATTCATAAAATTTCATTTTGGAAAGGATATTGGCAGCTTATCTCAGTATTGTGTATAGTTCCAATGCATTCGTCATTGTGTCTTTTGAGTTTTTTTGTTTTGTGATTCAGCTCATGGATTCAGGCTCTTACATGTAATTGAGCATCTACTTGACTTCGGTTTTTTCTCACCAGGAATAAGAAGTAGCTTCCGTGTACCTTTATTGTTCTTAGCGTTCCCTGCAGTCTCATTCTGGGCATAGGAACAGAGAACCTCACTATGCACTTAACCACTCTTTGCTGTCACTATGTGCTAAGCAATGTGGAAAATCAAAACATGCTTCAGGACTTCTTGGGGGTACTTGCCCTGAGGAAGCTGACATTATCCTGGCAAAAAGACCAGGTATAGCATGTCATGGTGGAAGAAGAAAGGCATACATTTTTATTATAACTCTGCCGTTTATTGGGCCCTCTGGCCTTAGGCAAGTTGCTTTTCTCTTTTTTCCTCTGTAAAATGATAGTACCAGTTCTACTCCATTATATCTGGAAGTAAAAATAGATGCTCATGTAATTTTCTCCTTGGAGAGTTCTTTGGGTCCTTATTAAGGAACTATTCTTGTTTTATAGTTTTAAAAACTCATTTCTGTTTTTAAGCCTATGGCATACAAGGCAAAAGGGCAACAACTAGAGACTGCTGATAGAGCAAAAAACGATAGTTTGGCAACAAGAAAAAAGTCACAGATTATTACAAAGAACAAAACAAAAACTGTTAATAGTGTTATTCCATTATGTGAAAGAAAAACATTCTACTTTTTTTAAGGCCCTGAATACATAATTGCAGTATACTACAATGTACTAATATGTTTACAAAATTTGCATTGTCAAAAATCTATATGCTTTTGTTCTCACTCATAAGTGGGAGTTGAACCGTGAGAACACATAGACACAGGGAGGGGAGCAACACACACCAGGCCTGTTGGGGAGTGGGGGGCGAGGGGAGGTAACTTAGAGGACAGGTCAATAGGTGCAGCAAACCACCATGGCACACATATACCTATGTGACAAACCTGCACGTTCTGCCATGTATCCTGGAACTTAAAGTAAAAATGGTTTCCATAAAAATAATTTCTGCTCATGGTTTTAAAAAGTCAGATAGTTCACAAGAACTTAACAATAAAAAGCAACCATTTCCTCTACTTTCCCTTTTCCTGTACTGCTTAGTGTTGTTTCCTGCAAAAACCACTTCGAACTTATTAAACTCTTTCTTCAGTGATTACTTCCATATCTCTTAAAACTCCACTTTATGTAGGTTTATCAGTTATAGACATTATCCAAATATAGAAAGTAAATGAAGATTTCACTCAAGTTACTTCTCTGTATTCCCTCAAATTTTATGTCAGGTTCTCTGTTACCTTTGAAACTTTTCTTTCTTCTTGTCCTGTTAACACTTTTCTAAGTTGAGAATGTGAGCCAATGCCTTTTCCTTTGACCTTTCTTATACTTCTCCCACTCGGTTTCTTAGTGGTACTTTCACATATGTAATATTAATAACATTTATATTGTTCTGTAACCATAATTAATTGTTTAATATGTTTTGACTTTAGGTTGAATCTAAAAGTTGAAAATGAACCAAAAATATTCATGTGATGACTATATAAATATTTTCATGGCAGAGCCAAGTATTCAGTATTGTACTATGATTACAGCTTTTCCCCTGGGGTTTCTTAACTGTCTTTTGTTTTTTCTCACAGTTTGCCTTCATAGCCGTTGAGTTCTTCTTCCTCTTTATTTTTCCTGAAAGCTTCCTCCTGGAGACTTCTGTCATTGCACTTTGATCTGGAGTGGTTGCTCTGTAGGCCGGTTGCATAGCTGACATCCTGCAACTTTTTTTCTCTGTTTTCTTGGCATGTATCTACTTTTTCCTGGAAGCTGTGTCTTCACACTTTGCTGAATGACATCCTTCAATATTTTTCCAAGAATGGGTTCACAGGAGATAAACATTTAAAAGTTTCTGCCTGGTTGAAAATGTCCATTCTTTCCATGATCTTGATAGTTTGGATAGAATTCTAGGTTGAAAATTTTTTTACTTAGAACTCTCTGGATATTGCTTTATTGTTTTCTGATATTCAGTGTTACTGCTAAGTCTCATTCTAGTCTACTCGATATTTCTTACATGATTAACACTTCTCCGCCATTTCTAATGTTCTCCCCCATCTCTAAATGTTTTAGGATCTTTGTTTTCTCCTTGCTGTTCTGAAGTTCACAGTAATGTGTTTAGGAATTTTTTTGGTTCATTTTGAGCACTCTGGATCTTCACAATCTTTAAAACTTGTGTCCTTTAGCTTTGGGCAAAATCTCTTACTTTAATGATTTACTCTTCTATTTTCTCTGTATTTGTAGACCTTATTTTAATAAAAATTTGGTCCTTCTAGATGAATTCTTTTTTTTTTGTATTTTTCTAATTTATCTTTAATATTCCTACTTCTGGAGACATTTTTCTCTATTTTATCTTCTAGTGTTTCTATTGAGCTTTGTAAATTTCAAGATATCTTGTTCTCTGATGGTTCTTTTAACATAGTATCTTGTTCTTGTTTTACAAATGGAGTATTTTCTAAAATCTATCAGAACAGGCACTAGAGTATTTTTAAGATTCTTTCCCTCTGTGTGGTTTTTTTTTTCTGTTTGTAAATTTGGCAGTCCTCTTCAACTTTATAGGCTTTCCCCAGGTGCTTACTGATCTTTGGTAAGCTGTTCATATTTAAGGATGAGGCAATAGAAAAACTGACTGAGTTCTGTGTACTTGGGTATAGCTTATCTTTTTTTGAGGGGGCAGGGAATAGCTTCTTAAAAGGCTGTCTTTTCTTTTAGGTGGGGTGGGTCAGGTGCTCATTCTTAATTGGGATCGGTAAGTTCTAGAAAGACTTACCAGGGGCAACAGCAAAGTCTATACCAGCTGTCCTAGTTTTTCTCTAACGTTTCATTCTTTTAGGTATGCCATCCAGTGCTTGTTTGTTTGCTTTTGTTTGGAGGGTAGGGTCTGGTTGCTAGTAACTGTGAGCAGCAGTGGAGATGGGGATCTTCGTTCTCTGTCCCAGTCCCATCCCTAGTCATACCTAGCATTTCTGGGTGAGTCTCTGGATTTTGTTGGGCAAATTGTTTCTTCTCCATGGGTATTCTTGGCACTCATTTCTTCTACCTTATTTCATTAGTCACTATTCTGTTTTCTAATTGCAAAAATTTATTGAAATTTTCTGTCAGCTAACTTCCTCTTTATTATTGTGGGTTTATTCCCTTACTGTCATTATAATGAGAGTCCTGAAGGCAGAGCAGGTAAAATCCTGGGTTCAGAAGTTGCAAATACTTAGGAAGACATGAGAGCGTCCTATATTTTAGAAGGCTTTCCATCAGAAATTATAACACTCATATTAATGCATAAAGGCGTTAACTCTTGGCTCTCAAGAAAATGTGGTTTTCAAAAATAACTTAGTCTCTGAAGTCTCTAACTATATAAAGTCCACTATGATCAGGGTAGTAAATGGAAAGTAATAATAATATTTCTGGGCCAGATACTTTTTGAAGTGCTTTATTGAATACAGCCTCATTGAATGCTCACAGCAACTGAAGGAGGTAGTGTATTATTTTCCTCAGTTAATATATGAAGAAACTGAGGCACAGTAAAGTTAGGTTCTTGCTCAAATACTGTATGAATGACATAAACCATGATTTCCTAGCCATGTTGATCTGTACAGGTGTTAAGTGAACTACAGTCTAGTTTATCTTTTTTCCTAGAAGTTAGTGGCTTTTTGGTAAATATTATGGAATGAAACATTTAGAAAAGAAGTCAGTACTGACTTCTCTGGGCTGATATTCCTTGGTAAAGCCAGTAAAGTTAAGGAAAACATTAACTTCCCTCTCTTGTCTCAGACCACAGAGCCAGGATTTTGTGCTGGTCAGTTAGATGTAATAGTCACTCATAGTTTTTAGTACTTGACTGTTATTTACACACACACACACACACACACACACACACACTTTTTTTTTTTTTTTTTAAAGAGACAGGGTTTAATTCTGTTGCCCAAGCTGCACAATTCCTAGCTCACTGCAGTCTGGAGCTCCTGGGCTCAAATGATCTTCCTACCTCAGCTTCCCTAGTAGCTAGCACTACAGGTGTGCCATCACACCCTGCTTATATGTATATTTCTTGTAGAGACAGGGTCTCACCATGTTGCCCAGGCTGATCTTGAAATGCTGGCCTCAAGCAATCCTCCTGCCTCAGCCTCCCAAAATATTGGGATTACAGGTGTGAGCCATCATACCTGATGGACTATGTTATATATTTAAAGCATATTCCATTTCTAAAGATTTGTTCTATAGTTGTACAAGTGCACAAAGACATGCACAAAAATGTTTACAATATTATTTGTAATAGAACACTGGGAAAACCTAAATATCCATCAGTAGAGGATTGGTTAATTTGTGATAGGTGCATCCATCCACACAATGAAATGCTTTATAAAAAAAGATGTATGCGGATAGAGAAAAATCTTTGAGTAATATATGAAAAAATAATGTACAGTGACCCTACCTGTGTAAGATGTATGTATTATGTGTGCTTGTGTGTTTGTGTACATGTAGAAAAAAATTAGAGTATATGAAAGGAAGTGTTACTTTAAGTTTACCAATGTGGTAGCTTTATTACAAGTTGCTTTCAGATTTATATTGCATAGCTAATAGGATACCTTGGGATTAAAAAGTTACCTGTCTTATGTAATCACCTTTTATTTTCATTTTATTTAAAAGAATTAATAATTGTCCATATTCCTGGGATACAGAGTGATGTTTCAAATATATAATGTGAGCTTGTCCAGCCTGCAGCCCATTGGCTGCATGTGGCCCAGGATAGCTTTGAATGCAGCCCAACACAAATTTGTAAACTTTCTTAAAACATCATGAAATTTTTTGGGGGATTCTTTTTTTTTTTTTTTTTAAGCTCATCATCTATTGTTAGTTTTAGTGTATTTTATATGTGGCCCAAAACAGTTCTTCTTCCAGTGTGGCCCAGGGAAGCCAAAAGATTGGATACCCCTAATACAATGTATAGTGATGAAATCAGGGTAAGTAGCATATCCATCATCTCAAACATTTTATCATTTCTTTGTGTTAGGAGCATTCAGTATCCTTCCCCTAGCTATGTGAAACTATATATTATTGTTAACTATAGCCATCCTAGAGTGGTGGAACTTATTCCTCCTATCTAGTTGTCATTTTGTGTCCCTTAACAAATCTCTCCTTATTCCTCCCTTTGTCTACCCTTCGTAGCCTTGGTATACTCTGTTCTCCTTTTTACTTCTATGAGATCAACTTTTTTTTTTTTCCACATATGAGTTTAATTTTCTGTTCCTGGATTTTATTTCACCTAACACAATGTCGTCCAGTTCCATCCATGTTGCCATGAATGACAGGATTTCATTTTTTATGGCTGAATAGTATTCCATGGTATATATTATATAGCACATTTTCTTTATCCACCCATCTGTTGTTGGACACCTGGGTTAATTTCATATCTTGGCTATTGTGAATAGTACCACAGTAAACATGGGGGTGCAGTGTCTCTCTGATATAATAATTTCCTTTCCTTGGATAAATTCTCAGTAGTAGGATTGCTGGATCATATGGTAGTTCTATTTGTAGCTTTTTGAGGGACCTCATACTGTTCTCCATAGTGGTTATAACTAGTTTGCATTCCCACCAAAAGTATATGAGTTCCCTTTTTTCTGCATCCTCGCCAGCATTTTTTTTTTTTTTTTTGATAATAGCCAGCCTCCCTGGGGTGAGATGATACCTCATTGTGGTTTTGATTTGCATTTCCTTGATGATTAATAGTGATGAGCAGTTTTTCATGTATTTGTTGACCATGCATATGACTTCCTTTGAGAAATGTGATTTGGGATCATTTGCCCATTTAAAAATCAGTTTTGTTTTGTTTTGTTTTTTGCTGTTGAGATATTTCAGCTCCTTGTATATTTTAGATATTAATCTTCTGTTGGATGGTTAGTTTCCAGATATTTTCTCCCATTCTGTAAGTTGTCTTTTACTCTGTTGATTGCTTTCTTTGCTGTGCAGAAGTTTTTAGTTTGATACAATCCCATTTGTTTATTTTTGCTTTTGTTGCCTATGCTTTTGAGATCTTATTTATAAAATATTTGTCCACACTGATGTACCGAAGCATTTCCTGTCTGTTTTCTTCTAGTAGTTTTATTATTTTGGGTGCTATATTTAGGTATTAGATGCATTTTGAGTTGATTTTTATATAGGGTGAGAGGTAGGCATCTAATTTCATTCATAAAATATATAATTTGGCGCAATGGCTCACACCTGTAGTCCCAGCACTTTGGGAGGCTGAGGCGGGCAGATCACTTGAGGTCAGGAGTTCGAGACCAGCCTGACCAACATGGAGAAACCCCATTTCTACTAAAAATACAAAATTTGCTGTGTGTGGTGGCACGTGCCTGTAATCCCAGCTACTTGGGATGCTGAGACAGGAGAATCGCTTGAACGCAGGAGGTGGAGGTTGTGGTGAGCCGAGATTGTGCCATTGCACTCCAGCCTGGGTGACAAGAGTTTTTTGAGAAACTGTGTCTCAAAAAAAAAAAAACAAAAACAAAAAACTATCTGTCTGTATCTCCATATTTCATATGGATATCCAGTTTTCCCAGCACTGTTTATTGAAGAGACTGTCCTTTCCCCAATGAGTGTTCTTGGCACCTTTGTCAAAAATCATTTGGCTGTAGGCTGGGTGTGGTGGCTCATGCCTGTAATCCTAGCACTTTGAGAGACTGAGGCAGGCGGATCACTTGAGGTCAGGAGATCAAGACCAGCCTGGCCAACATGGTGAAACTCCATCTCTACTAAAAATACAAAAATTAGCCAGGGGTATTGGTGGACACCTGTAATCCCAGCTACTCAGGAGGCTGAGGCAGGAGAATCGCTTGTACCCAGGAGGTGGAGGTTGCAGTCAGCTGAGATCGCGCCATTGCTCTCCAGCTCTGGGTGACAGAGCAGGACTCTGTCTCAGAGGAAAAAAAAAAAGAAAAAAAAATGCTACTGATTTTTGTATATTGGTTTTGTTATTTTGCAGCTTTACTGAGTTTATCAGATCTGAGAGTTTTTTGGTAGAGTCTTTAGATTTTTCCATTTATATAAGATCATATTACCTGCAAACAGGGACAATTTGACTTCTTCCTTTCCAGTTCAGATGCCCTTTCTTTCTTTCTCTTCCCTAATTGCCCTGGCTAGGAGGAATTGTTACGTCTGATGGGGATGTAGGAACTTTAAATTCTATATCCTTAACTACTATTTTATTTTACCATGAGCATGTACATTTTATAACATTAAAAAAACAAAGCATGGTAGTTTTCAGTATTATAGCAACAATCACTAACTGGCCCTTGGTGATTTAGATTTCCTTGGTGAGTTAGAAATCTAATGGGAGCAGTTCGGGAATCTATATCCTAACAGGTATTTCAAGTGGTTCCCATGGTCAGATAACTGTGCTAGAGAAAAAGTGAACTGCATACAAATATGCACAATTAAGATTAAGTGGAAATCACTATAGAAAGGAGATTAAAAGAATGAGGCTGCTTTGAATGATGCTCAGCTAAGAAATTATAAAATTTGGAGATGATAAATGATTTTCTAGGAAATTATCAAATCTTAGAGATGGTAAACCTAGCTTATTTCAGATAGAATGGAAGAAACTGAAAAACATATGAGAGCTATTGCCTCACCTGTATCACAGGTGAATTATTTCAAATCTTCATGAAACACCTAATTCCTAATCTATTTAAAGTATTACAGAGCAGAGAGAAAAAAGTAGTTTGCGAGCTCTGCTGAAAAAGCCAATATAACACCAACTCCAAAGCACGGCAAAGATTATGTATGCTTTAAAACTTAATTGTTCTAAGATTGTGGTTAAAATATTTTATAAATATTATTTGAAAAAGTAATACACCACGTCTAAATGAAATTCATTCCAGGAATCAAAGGAAGGTTCTATGTTAGGAAATCTGTTAATATACTTACTTATATCTTAATATACTTAATCTCTTATATCTTATTGATATACTTATTAATGGACCAAAGAGAAAAATTATGATCTTTTAGTTTTCTGTGCAAAATCTGCATATGATAAAATTAACATCTTTATGTGGTTTTTGAAAATATAAAACCCAAAACAAGATTATTAGAAGAACAACAGAACTAGAACTAGCTTTTCTTTTTCTTTTCTTTTCTTTTTTTTTTGAGATGGAGTTTCCCTCTTGTTGCCCAGGCTGGAGTGCTATGGCATGATCTCGGCTCACTGCAACCTCTGCCCCCCCGGGTTCAAGTGATTCTTCTGCCTCAGCCTCCTGAGTAGCTGGGATTACAAGCATGTGCCACCACGCCCGGGTAATTTTGTATTTTTAGTAGAGACGGGGTTTCTTCATGTTGGTCAGGCCGGCCTCGAACTCCTGACTTCGTAATTCGCCCACCTTGGCTCCCAAAGTGCTGCGATTACAGGCGTGAGCTGCCGCGCCCGGCCTTAAGAGTTTCTTTAATCAGAGATATTGGCAGAGTGTTAGCCAGTATCATGCTTAATGATAAAACACTAGAAATGATCTTGTTAAAGTTTGGAACAAGACCATAAATCAGTTGCTGCCCCAAGTAAAATCTCAGTTTATTCTGACAAATGATTCTAAGGATTATTTAGAAAAATAAGTATATGAGGATAATTCAAAAATTTCTAAATAGCAAAAAAATTGAGGGGTGGACTAATCCTATCAGATGTTTAAATATTATAAAGCTAAAGTAATTAAAACACTGGGTTACAGCTCCAGGACTAGCATACAAAACGGTAACATAAGGAGCCCAGAAATAAGCACATATAAATATAGCAGTTGCTTTTCAAGTTAATGGAGAAAAGATGAGTTTTTAAATAAATGGTTAACTTATTCTTTTTTTTTGCGGGGGGAGACAGAGTCTTGCTCTGTTGCCCAGGCTTGAGTGAAGTAAAACCATCATAGCTTACTGCAGCCTTGAACTCCTAGGCAAAAGTGATCCTCCCACTTCAGCCTCCTGAGTAGTTGGGACTATAGGCATGTGCCACCACATCCAGTTAATTTTTAACTAAATTTTTTTTCGTATAGATGAGATCTCACCATGTTGCCAGGGCTGGTCTTGAACTCCTGGCCTCAAGCAGTCCTCCTACCTTGGCCTCCCAGAGTGTTGCAATTACAGGCATGAACCACTGCTCCTGGCCTCAATAGTTAACTATTGAGGAGGATCAAAAGGATATCTGATTTGTTTCTCATTCCAAAATAAATTCCAGTTTGGTCAGACTTGTATATTTTCAATATTAATCATAAACATTCTAGAAGAAAACATGTATAAAGACCTTTTTTCTAAGTCTAGCAAACCCAAAAGTCCTAAAGGGGAAATGACAAGCTTGTATAAAAATTGGAAAATTCTGTATCACCAAAACAGCTTTTTTGGAAAAAACAGATAAACTAGAAAACAACATGTGCAATATGATCTGGTTTCTGCCTAAGTCATCAGCTCCATCTGCTGCATTCCCTCCTCCCCATCAATTCTACACACACTTACAGCTACACTCTGGTCTTTCCTTCCTGAGGATGCTCAGTAAATAGTCATTGAATAAATGAATTAATTCCATGACAGTTTGCAGGTCAATATGTATAATATAATAAAACCTTTTTTTTTTTTATGAGATGGAGTTTCAGTCTGTCACCCAGTCTGGAGGGCAGTGGCATGATCTCGGCTCACTGCAACCTCCATCTCCCGAGTTCAAATGATCCTCTCACCTCAGCCCCCCGAGTACTTAGAATTACCAGTGCGCACCACCACACCTGGCTAACTTTTGTATTTTTAGTAGACATGGGTTTCACCGTGTTGGCCAGACTGGTCTTGAACTCTTGATCCCAAGTAATCTGCCCTCCTTGGCCTCCCAAAGTGCTGTGATTACAGGCATGAGCCACTACCCCTGGCCACAATAAAACTTCTTAAAATGAGTAAAGAAGATTAACAGTCCATTTAAAGTTGCCAGAGAACAAGTTGGGCAAGTCAGGAAAAGAAATGCAAATGGCTAACAAATATAAAACTTTTAATAAATACCAATTAAAACAGCATTGAGATTCTGTTTCCCTTCTTGAACACTACCTCCTCATTTCTAACCATTTCCCTGGTGTCTTCCCAAAATGTCAACAAACCATACTGTGATCTCCTTTTAGGTCTTCCCTCTGTCTAGCATATACCTGGCATATGTTAGTTGCATTGTTATATAAACAAAAGTATTTAAGATATGTAATGAACCTCTAAGAGGCGTCAAGTGGGCAGAAGAGTAGAGGATTGGGGCTGCATGACCTTGCCTTTTTAAACTCCCCTTTTCCTCATAGTTCCCTTGATGGTGTTAACCTGCCTGTTTATTCTCTTTGCCCTTTTACATTTCTTCAGAAGGACATGCTCCTTAGTGGCAGGAACAGGAACTTCTTCCAGTGCTGGTCAGCCAGCAAAAATGACTCTTTTTTGTGTATGTAAATAAATGGCTGTTATTGTTGTGATACAATTGCTTAATCATTAATAGGTCCTTTTTTTGAAGTCCTGTGAATAGTTTTATTCAGACTTAATACCACAGCATCTCAGATACCTTATCTTCCTTTGAGTGTTATGGAAAAATAGACTAAAACTGCTCTCTCTATACAAAAGTTTGTGTTATTTGAAAAGATACAACAGGCATGCCTAGTGTTTATTTTAAGATAAGATTATAATATCTGCATAGTAGAAACCTCCAGCTTTTAGAGTTATGATTTTGTAATCTGAAATCCTATTTTTTGAGTCTAATATTTACTTGTGCTAGCAAGTCTAGAAATACTTGTTGAAAGACTGGAATGATTAATGTAGATCCTTGAACACTTTCATGCTCTAAAAAAGACAAATTTTGTTTGTTTTAAAGAAGAGTAGTGTAGCCATATTAAACACATTTGGAAAATAAGAGGGAAAACCCGACTCAATCTCATCTGAAAAAATTGTGATAGACTTTTAAAAAATAGTTTCCAAATTTGTATTTATGTGGTTAAAATTAGGTATCTTGCCTTTCTTCCCCACTTGATAAATCCTTAGTATTTTTCCATGTTGTTATATCATTTAAAGACCGTCACTTTAAATGGCTGCATAATAGTCTCTTAGTCACATGGTCCTATTGTATGTGCAGTGCTTATGAATAAGAGTGGGTGGTACGTTGTTTCTTTAAAAATGTGACTCATAACAAAAATTTATTCTAAGAAAATTGCTAATCATATGGATTTTGATAAATAGGAGAATGATGACCTTATTGCAAAGCAGTGACTTTTTGTTTGTAAACATATGAACCTGAAACTTGAGGAAGTTGGTTGTCAGTTGTGAGTATTATACCATCTATTAGATAGATATTTTGAGACGTTACAAACAAGTTGGGTAGCTGCTTATTTTTGAAGGGAGATTTTTGTTGTGAATCTTAATGTTAACATTATGTTATTTTATAGATCATGGAGCTTTGTGGTGCAACAAGACTTGGTTATTTTGGAAGAAGTCAGTTCTACATTGCTTTGAAACTTGTAGCTGTTGCCCAGTCTGGTTTCCCTTTAAGAGTGGAAAGTATAAATACAGGTAAATATAGAGTACACTAGTAACCGAAAGAAAATAGGCTTCTATTACAAATGAAGTCAAGTCAATAGAACTCTTGTGTCTTTCTGATCTTATAGTGGCATTTGTGACCTTGAGTGAAGTGTCGTGACTTTATTCCCACTACCTTGCATTTCTCACTTGAAAATACTAGAAAAATATGTCTGACCTGTATTACGGCATAGTATATGTACTTCATCTGTATTTGACTATATGTACTGTTCAAATGGCAATTTTTTAAGAATTAATTTACCAAAAGTTGTTTAGAAATATTTTAGGCGAATAGTTTTATTAAGGTAAATGATAAATTACAGCGACCATCTTCATGTATAGCGTCCCTGTGTTCTTCATTTCCAATAAAACAACATTATACTTTGTATTTTTGTTTGTTTGTTTGTTTGGGAAGGCTGTGGAGGCTTCAGTTGAAATTAAGAAGTAACAGTTAACCTAAACTTTTTGATCGATAAGAGACAATATTAAAATATTGGCAGACTAAAATCTAGTTATAGACATCTGACCACATTACAAGTTTGTATTAGTCCATTTTAACACTGCTATAAAGAAATCCCTGAGACTGGGTAATGTATAAACAAGAGAGGTTTAATTGACTCACTTCTGCATAGCTCGGGAGGCCACAGGAAACCTACAATCGTGGCAGAACGTAAATGGAAAGCAAGGCACATCTTATGTGGCCACAGGAGAGAGAGAGAGAGAGAGAGAGAGAGAGAGAGAGAGAGAGCAAGGGGGAATAGCCACAGACATTTAAACCATCAGATCTCATGAGAACTTGCTCACTATCACAAGAGCAGCATGGGGGAACCGCCCCCATGATCTAATCACCTCCCATGTGGGAATTACAATTCAAGATGAGATTTGGGTGGGAACACAGAGTCAAACCATATCGAAGTGTTACATCAGATAATTTGTTTTTCAAGTATTTAGAGGCTTGTTGATGTGAAAGAAGATAGAAATTCTATAAAGAAAGGCACTTAAATGCAGAGGGTTCTTTCATTTTCATAGAGTAAAGGGGAAAGAGAAAAATTAAGATTTTAAAAATAATCTGTACAGAAAAATTTCTGTAAAATTCTGTAAATATCAGAATTTGTAGAAATAGTTTTAAGTACCAGTTTAGTTTATTGGTCGGTAGAGGTTTTCATTGTGGACCTCTAGTTTGCCACACATCATTCTTCTAGTGTTGGGAGTTTACATTCTTTTCAGGTAATTTTGAATTCTTTTACATGTATATTGAATAAGCTTAATAGTTTCCTTCCTTCATGTGGAGGTTCTAAACAGAGACGAAAGTAATCATGTAATGGAGGTAAGTACGCTTTCCTCTGAAATGATTTTGTAGCTGTATTTTTTCTGGTCTAAAAGTATCACTTATTTACCTGCAAACAGTTTCTCAGTCCTTCATCTTTCTCCTCTATTTAAAATTGAATGTAGAATATCTGGCTGTAGGAGAAACATAAGCCAGACTACAGTGGATAGATAGAATACTCTACCATATTTTTGGGGGGTGAACAATAAGGTATTTTTAAGAATTTCTGCCATGAAAATTTCTAAATCTAGTCTCAGACTTAGTGACATATTCTGTGTTTTACTTAGAGGTCTAAAATCTTACTTTAAAGACCCGGTGTGAGTAGAAGCAGCCTAGGCTTTGGGGTCTGACTGATCTAGGTTTATATCTTAACTGTCAGTTACTACAAGCATGACCTTGGCATCATGGAGCCTCAGTTTTCTTATCTGTAAATAGGAGCTTTGCAGGGGTACTGTGGTTACGAGGTGAAATAAATATTCAGTGGCAAGTATAGGGCCAAACATACGTAGACATTTGATGTAGCCATTGTTATCACTCATTAGAAGGACAATTTGGTTTTATTACTTCTTTCTAGATAAGAGTCTCCCTAAATAATGTAAGGGAGATGGTGGTCCAAATTTTGTGGTGATAGACATTTTGTGCCTCTTGTTTCTGTATCCATTTTTACAAAAATTCTAATATCTAATTCATGTCTTATTTTAGTTTTCAATATATATGTCCTTTTTTATTTTGAAGTAATGATTATTTTGTGGTTAACAGTAAAGGACCTTCCTCTGCCAAGATTTGTTGCTTCAAAGAATGAACAGGAATCTCGCCATGCAGCCTCATATTCTTCAGATTCTGAAAATCAAGGGTCGTATTCTGGTGTAATTCCCCCACCACCTGGCAGGGGGCAAGTGAAAAAGGGATCCGTAAGCCATGATACGGTTCAGCCTCGTACATCTGCAGATGCACAGGTAATCACATGCATGTAAATATTAGCAGTTGATGCCCTGTGCAAATGCTTCACTAAGGCTCTTATTGGTAGCTTAATAATTAAAATGTCTCCTTAAAGTTAAAATTTTAAAATAATATTCTTTTCTAGGAACCTGCATCCCCAGTAGTTTCACCACAGCAATCCCCACCAACTTCTCCACACACATGGAGGAAGCACAGCCGTCATCCCAGCGGTGGGAATAGTGAGAGGCCTCTCGCGGGACCTGGGCCATTTTGGTCTCCCTTTGGTGAAGCACAATCAGGTATTTAGAGATTGATTGATTAGAGTGTCATTGTGTTGCCCAGGCTGGTCTTGCACTCCTGGGTTCAAATGATCCTCCTGCCTCAGCCTCCTGAGTAGGTGGGGATTATAGGCTTGTGCCACAGAACCTGGCTTAGAGATTTTTTGAAAGTAACAATTATTTAGGGTTGTAAATTGAAGGAAACTTGATAATATTCCTTCAGGAGTTGCCTCCCAGATAGTTTTTAATTGTAAGTTTAAGTTAAATAGAAGCAAAAACCAACTATGGAAATTTGTAAGTGGATACATTGCTTTGAAAAGTGGTAATTGCATTTATGTGTATCTGTGATGTTTAGACAAGTTTATGGATACCAGATTCTCTAAAGGTAAAATGAATAATTATTTCCCAGAATATTATGTATATATTACATACATTTTATTGACAAGGAGAGCACAAAATAATTGAAGATATTTAAATGAGGTATAATTTCTAATAGAACAGAAAAGATTCCATTTTGGAAATTGTTAGATTTCTTCAGAGTAAGAGTTGGAAAGAAAACTTCCTAGTAACTTTTTTCCTCAAACATGAGTCAGCATGTTTACCCATTCTCCTTATAGGTTCTTCTGCTGGTGATGCAGTGTGGTCAGGGCATTCCCCACCTCCACCTCAAGAAAACTGGGTCAGTTTTGCAGATACTCCACCAACCAGTACTCTTTTAACCATGCATCCTGCTTCTGTCCAGGTGTGACATTTTATTGGTATTGCATTTTTATTTGCTTCATTCAGAGTATTGCTCCAGTCGTTGTTTTTATATTTTGCTGTTGCAGATTTTATAAATGCAAATCCACTCATTTATTTAAAAGCAAAATTCTGCTCTGTGCATTTCAAATCTGTTATCATTGGAATGTTTCAGCTGATTTTATTTCTGTTTCTGATTCCCTAGTGAAGTTTTGAAAGGTTTCTGCATCTGGAAATATATTTGCTTGGCTTTCTTAGCACATTTTCATAACTTTCTGTTGCTTACATAATTGCTGTCATTCTACTCGTTTCTATAATCATTGTGCAAAAACATATCCAATAATCTGACTGTAACAGATGTGTGGTTTTACATTTTAAATATACACAAAAAGCAAGTTTTACTTTCAAAGATAAATAACCTAGCAATCTTGGTCCATATAATCATGTAGGTAGATATTGTACTGAGGAAAAAATGTTTCATTACAGGACCAGACAACAGTACGAACTGTAGCATCAGCTACAACTGCCATTGAAATTCGTAGGCAATCCAGTAGTTATGATGATCCCTGGAAAATAACAGATGAACAAAGACAGTATTATGTAAATCAGTTTAAAACCATTCAGCCTGATCTAAACGGATTTATTCCAGGTGAGTTGTTGAAAACAGAAGTTCTTCTAGATGGGACAGGAGAATCTCAATTTCATAATATCAAAGACATTGTTTTATTGGTCATAGATTTTAATTATAAAATAATTATCAGATTATTTGTCTAAAAAGAATTTATAATCACTGGGGGCCAAAAACATGACATATTCACATATTAAAAATATCTTTTCCCAGTTAAAAAAGTCTAAGACTCTTACATTCTGTTCGTGGATCCGTAAGTTCAGAATAACATTAAACAACACTGTTTTAATATTTCAGGATCTGCAGCTAAAGAGTTTTTTACAAAATCAAAACTTCCTATTCTTGAACTTTCTCATATTTGGTAAGTGTGGTATATCATTAGTTGGGTAACTGGGTTGCTTCCAAGGAGTTTCTAGCAGATAGATTTTAGAGCCTTAAAAAATAAACAACTAACCCCTTCAAGAATGCTGTCAAAGAACTCAGTATTGCCTTACAATAGCCAGCTTCTCTCTTATTCTGCAGAAAAGAAATAAGTGATACTGATACAGTAGTTCTTTGTAAAGAGCTAAAATTCTTTAAGCTGTATCAGCTGTTTTTTTGTTGCTAGCATAATGTATGAGATAAAAGTTAGTTTGCACATACATGGTTATATTTATCCCATTGGTTTTTTATCAAGTTTAGTAAGTCCTATACCATGCCATAAGTTTAGGAATGGTGTTAGCTTCCATTTAACCAGAGACTTAAGAATAGCTGTGTTGGAATATGGTTCGAATTGGCTATTAGAACACAAAGTGTAATCACAAATTACTTTATAAAAATAGGCCAGGGCCGGGTGCGGTGGCTCATACCTGTAATCTTAGCACTTTGGGAGGCCGAGGCAGGTGGATTACCTGAGCTCAGGAGTTTGAGACCAGCCTGGGCAACATGGTGAAACCCTGTCTCTACAGAAAAATTAGCCGGGCATGGTGGCACATGCCTGTAATCCCAACTACTGGGGAGGCTGAGGCACGAGATTCGCTTGAACCTGGGAGGTGGAGGTTGCAGTGAGCCAAGATTGTGCCATTTCACTCCAGCCAGGGTGACAGAACGAGATTCTGTCTCAAAAAAACAAAACAAGCAAAAAGAAAACACAAACTGGGTGTGGTGGTTCACGCCTGTAATTCCAGCACTTTGGGAAGCCAAGGCAGGCAGATTGCTTGAGCCCAGGAGTTCAAGACCAGCCTGAGCAACATGGTGAAACCCCATCTCTATTAAAAAGAAAAAAATTAGCAAGGTGTGGTGGTGCAAGCCTGTAGTCCTGGCTGCTTGGGAGGCTTACATGGGAGGATTGCTTGAGTCCAGGAAGCAGAGTTTGCAGTGAGCTGAGGTCATACCACAGCACTGTAGCCTGGGCAACAGAGTGAGACTCTGTCTCAAAAATAAATAAAAAACGATTATCAGATAAACATAAATGTTAATTCCAGTGTGTATCAATGTTATTTCTCTATATTCTAAATCATTTTTAATAGGTTTTTGGTAGCATAGAGTGCTGTAGTACAAGGTAGGTAGATAACACCTAAAACTGAAAACTCAAAAACTAGTAATATATGCATGCTATTTATAGTTTAAGGCAATAAAGACAAAAGTGGTTGTCTGTATCTAGGAAAGGGCATAGACAGCAAGGTGGAGTGGCTGTATTTCTGTTTTAAGCCTTGCAGTTCTACTTAGTGATTTAAAGTACGTACATGTCAGCCGGGTGCGGTGGCTCACGCTTGTAATCCCAGCACTTTGGGAGCCCAAGGCAGGTGGATCACATGAGGTCAGGAGTTCGAGACCAGCCTGGCCAAAATTAGCCAGGCATGGTGACGCGTACCTGTAATCCCAGCTACTCAGGAAGCTGAGGCAAGGGAATCACTTGAACCCAGGAGGTGGAGGTTGCAGTGGGCCGAGATCGTGCCACTGCACTCCAGCCTGGGTGACAGAGCGAGATTCCATCTCAAAAAAAATAAAAACAAAAAATAAAGTACATACATGGTGAATTTTGATAACATAAAAACAGACTTTTGAAAAATTTCACTAACTTATTACGTATGCCTTCTAAAAATGCATGTGAATTATAGGTCATTCTTTTTGGTGACCTTAATTATTGGGGCTGCTTTTTAGAGAATTTCAAACACACAGGAAAGCTTAAAGAAGAGTACCATAAGCATTCATATACTACCACCTAGATTCTGGAGGTAACATTTTGCTACATTTGCTATATTACACATCTTTCTGTGTATGGGATTTTTATAATTACTGAGTTCTTGCACTTTCTCATGGAAAATATTTCTCTTGCTTCTTTTTGAGAAATAAAAGGATCCAAAGCGGAATGTGATTATATTCACAATAAACTTATCTTCTAGGGAACTCTCAGACTTTGATAAAGATGGTGCATTGACACTGGATGAGTTTTGTGCTGCTTTTCATCTGGTGGTTGCTAGGAAGAATGGCTATGATTTACCAGAAAAACTTCCTGAAAGCTTAATGCCCAAACTGATTGATTTGGAAGATTCAGCAGGTAAGATTGGGAGCTGAAGAGAGCTGTTTGCATGCCTTGATAAACATAATGCTTGATTCTGAAAGAAAAATCAAGATAGAGGTTAACCTTAGCTTAATAGCTTAGATATTTCATCAAGTGTACATAGATTTGTCATCAGAATAGGATGTATGGGCCAAGCTTGAATTTGTCTTATTCAGTCTATTTTTAAAAATAAAGATGAGTAATATATACCACTATTTTACCTTTGTATTTGTGACTTGCCGAGATTTGAAGAGCATTTCAGTGTCTTGTTATTTTGCCATCCTTTAATTGTGATATATATTGTCTCGAGTGGATAGAGTAACCCATCTTCATTATAAACATTTTTCTCTTTAATACATCTTAATTTGTTGAAGGGAAATTACTTGGTTCATCATTAGACCTTTATAGTTGTAAGTATTTTTCTTTAAAATACCACGCTCTCTCCTGCAGACTCTAAAGAAATCTGGACTTTCTGTGTATGATTTTAGAGAATGCTGTGTTGTTAACAAGAATGCTAAATGTTCATATTTATTGGGACCTTTCTTTCTTTCTTCCTTTTCTTTTTTTTTTTCTTTTTTCTTTTTTTTGAGTTGGAGTCTCGTTCTGTCACCAGGCTGGAGTGCAGTGGCACGATCTCGGCTCACTGCAGTCTCCACCTCCCGGGTTCAAGCGATTCTCCTGCCTCAGCCTCCTTAAGTAGATGGGACTACAGGCACGCACCACCATGCCCCGCTAATTTTTGTATTTTTAGTAGAGATAGGGTTTCACCATGTTGGCCAGGATGGTCTCTATCTCTTGACCTCATGATCTGCCCGCCTTGGCCTCCCAAAGTGCTGGGATTACAGGCGTGAGCCACCATGCCCAGCCTGGACCTTTCTTTAAAAAGAAAAAGAATATCAAGGGCTAAAAATTAGTAAATTTTTCTTAAATTCTGAATGAATAAAAGGAAACCTAATGTTTAATTCTTAATGAGCCTAATTAAAATAAATTACTGTCTTCAGTGTTTCCATCTATACTCTCATTTGTATATGATGATGGAAAGAATTTTATACTTTTAAAAGGGAAGTTCAAATAGAATTTGGGTCTCAAATGGGCATTTATCTATCAGGCAGCATCTCTTTAACCTAAAAATATACATGGTCTGACTTAGTTGTCTAAATTACGCAGAAGGAATCAGATGCATGAAATTACTGTCACAAAAGAGAACAGTCTCCTTGGAGTCAGTAATCTGAATGTGCTTCTAGTTTTGCTAATTTAATCTGTGACCCTGGGCAAGTTCTAATCATTTACTGTATTTTTCCCTTCTGTTTCTCCACCTGAAATGTGGATTTGATGCCATTCACATTTCAGGACCTGAATTGTACACTGACCTTTTATCAACGAATAGGTTGATTGTAAAAATATGGCATTGATTTTAATTTCTTAAGCACATTTTTCTATGATAATCCTAGGATTTTGGGATCATTTCAGTTGTGAAGCGTCAGCCTCTGACTTGAGCTGAAAGCTTAGTATCTTTATTAGGTAATTTTGATTCAAAGTACTTTAATTTACCTACTTAAGAAATAAAAACAACTTCTTTGTTAAACACCTATGATAGTAACCAAAAGAGAAGAACATGTGGTAACTTCACACTTTCAGTGTCATTGATTTAGAAATTGGACTTGGACCTAGAGCTTTTATATGACTTCAAGCCTTTGAAAACCGACAGCACAATAATACAAGAAACTAATTTAAATGAAGTTTAATCTCTTGTAGGTGATTTTGTAGAGGCTTGTCTGATTCTGTCGTCTGTTATATTTGTCAGTGAATCTGGCTTTTGCATATATTTAATTTTTCCTTTAATTTAAATAAAAAACAAGTTCTTTGTAAATTGGATCTATAAGGTTGATGGTTCAGGAAGAAATTTTTTTCTGGGCATTTATCTTTTTGTCTAATTTTACACCTGTTAGATCTGTTTAACAAAGACAGACTGATTTTATTGCCTGTGTATATCTGTGCACTGTTGCTCTAAATATAATTTTAAAAGTATCACAGACCCAGATAGTTTTTTCCCCCCTCACAGCATATGGTTTTCTGACCAAATTTGTTGTAAACATTTGGATCACACGGTATTATATTACATTCAAATCTGCTTTTCATATTTACAAATGATATATTTTGGTATTCTGTTGATTCTGGGGTGATGTAATATAACTTATCATTTTTCTTCCACCTATCATAAACCTGAGATTCACATGACAAAAGGTCCTTTGAGTATAGAAATTGTCTTGTGACACTGTGGGTCCGTCAGTATCCATAAAAATCATTATAAAAAAAATTAGCAGGGTGTGGTGGTGTGCACTTGTTGTCCCAGCTACTCAGGAAGCTGAGGCAGGAGAATTGCTTGAACCCAGGAGGCGGAGGTTGCAGTGAGCCGAGATCACGCCACTGCATTCCAGCCTGGGTGACAGAGTGAGGCTCCATCTAAAAAAAAAAAAAAAATTATAAAAATAGCTGTGTTTTTAAAAGGTCACGGTTAAGAGGATAATACTCAAATAGTTTCTTTCGGCTGACATTAGAATTTATTGTAAATATTCCTCTGTGGAGCCTTTCTGACTATAGGCAGAGGTGGTTTCTCTCATTTCTGATCTCTCATAGCATTTTCTACATGCTAATTACTGAAACATACCACACTAAATCCTGTTTTGTTTTTTTTCCCCCATCACTGTACTCTGAATTCCTTGAAACAAGGGAAATGTATCCTATTTATTGTAGTATGCTCAAAACATACAACTTTGCCAGGCACTGCACTAATATTGGATGAATTAATTCTACATGTGTGCCATTTTCAAAGGAAGATATTTTTCTTGACGTTTTTCTACCTTTGAAAATACAGCGATTTGTTACCCTAGGTTTATGATGTTGGAACATACTGAAACATTAGTTCCACAAATATTCTATACTTAAAGTTTAACTCTTAAGAAGCAAATAGATGGTGAGCAGTGGTCATTTGAGTTACAGCTCCTTGGAGTAACATGCTAGGCTTTCTATAGGCATGCAAACATGGTTGGGGTAAATGTGCATTTTTTCCAAAATTGCTTGAACAGGTATGCATAGATAAAATAGAACTACTAAGGTTCATAGGCAGAAGTACTTCTGTCGACCTGAATTAGAATATTTAATAACATCAGCACTGAATTTAACAGCTAAAATAGAAAGGGAGACTTGATTTTTGTTGTTTTACAAAAGAAAGCATACAAAAATTCATCTGCAGAAAGAGCTTTCTGAAGCTGAATTAAAGAATATTTAGCTTTTTAAGAATGTTTGTCTTCTTTAAAAAAAAAAAAGATTAAGATGACCTGCTACAAACACGTTGAGGTACTCTACATTTTAATATCTAAAGAATCTTCTCCTTTGCAAAGCACAGTTGCAATTTTACATGTACTTCTGTGGTTGTTTGATACATATCTTTCTCTCAGACTAGAGCCTTCTAGGAAGGTAGGAACTGGATCACTTTTGTTCATTATATCTCAGTGCCTAGCAAGGTGCAAATTGAGTACAGGAATAGACAGACATTCACATTGTTGAAATGATTAAATGACTGAGCCAATGATTTTTAACTGTTTTCTACCTTTACACCACACTGCTCACATGTGCAACTCAGCAGTCTCTGAGATGCTGAAAGAAGGAAAGGGATGTGTGCTTCCCTGTCTCCATCTCCTTCTGCATGATCCCTACTTTACACAGTAGATTTGGGCACATGTTTCATTGTTAGGGTGCGTTGCATGGATCTACAAACTCTGAGAAGTACTTCCAACACGAATTTTTTTTAAGCCAGAGAAGAGAAGGCACATGAAGACTTTCCATGAAGAGTTTACTAGAAATCCACATAAATTCAGATTTGAGATTACCTTGGTGCAAGTAAATCACTGTTAAGAGTTTCTCTTATATTCATCCAGAAATTTTTAACATATATATAAAAACCTACACACAGGTATTGGTGTTTATACAGACGCAATCATACTATACATCCTTCATTGTTTTTTTCTTATAATGTTGGACATCTTTATACTTTATAATTGATATGGTTTGGCTGTGTCCCCACCCAAATCTCATCTTGAATTCTTATGTTTGTGGGAGGGACCCGGTGGGAGGTAATTGAATCATGGGGGCAGGTCTTTCCCATGCTTTCTCATGATAGTAAATAGTCTCATGAGATCTGATGGTATTATAAGGGGAGTTTCCCTGCACAAGCTCTCTCTTTGCCTCCTGCCATCCATGTAAGATGTGACTTGCTCCTCCTTGCCTTCCACCATGATTGTGAAGCCTCCCCAGCCATGTGGAACTGTAAGTCCATTAAACCTCTTTCTTTTGTAAATTGCCCAGTCTTGGTATGTCTTTGTCAGCAATGTGAAAATGGACTAATAGAATAATATATAGAGCTATCACATTTATGATTCAAGGTATTCCATAATATGATGTACCTTAATTTAACCAGTTTCTTATTGATGGATTTTGGGGTTGTTTTCTGGCTTTATCTTTAAAACACTGCTGCAGTGAACATGCTTATATGTATATCTTTGTTTTGTACAAATAACCTAGAATCTTTGTTTTTGAAAATTCGTTATTCAGATACCCTTAGTTGCAGAGGAAAAAATAATGAAAATACGCACTAATGCTTGTCATTAGCTTTCTAATTAAGAAATTACCTCCCACCTCTACCCCCCCCCAAACATACTCTGTCCCTGTCTGTCTCCCCCCCCACCCTGCCGTCTCTCTCTGTCGTGTGTCATTTCTTTCCAGATATTTGGCTGTTGTATCTGATAAATCAGTACAGTTGAATTACAGATATTAGTAAAGATACACCATTTAATGAAATTGGTCAAAATAAATAGAACTCAAATCCTGACAAAGACATTGACAAGCAAGGGCAGATAATACTTGAAGGGCAAAAACTCTATGAGGGTGATAGCAATAGTAGGAGCTTTAAAAGATTATGGTTTTGGTCAGGCACAGTGGCTCCCAGAAGCGCTTTGGTAGGCCAAGGTGGGAGGATCACTTGAGGCTAGGAGTTCGAGGTTACAGTAAGCTATGATCTCACCACTGCACTTTAGCCTGGGTGACAAAGCGAGACCCTGTCTCTAAAAAAAAAGATTATGATTTCAAATTCAGCGGATTAGTAAGTGTCCTTGGGAGTAATTAATGATACTCATAATTATTTTTTGTAGAAGTGACCTTTTTCCTTTGCAATTGTGCTATGAAAGTCGAAAGTGAATGAAAGATGAACATCTCTGTCTTCCTCTGTTAGAGAACTCCATGGGAATGGTACCCTTGTCTTGTTCAGTACTGGATCTTGAGAGCCTGGAACCCTATAGACCCTCAGTAAATGTTCACTGACTCAATTAGTGCTTTTTAATTTTGCCACCAAATTATACCCCCAAAAAAAGTAACATTATCTTTCTCCCTGGCCACCACTCCCCCGCGCCCCCCCCCCCCGCCAAGATGGAGTCTTGCTCTGTTGCCCAGGCTGGAGTGCTGCGGTGTGATCTTGGCTCACTGCAACCTCCCCCTCCCAGGTTCAAGCAATTCTCCTGCCTCAGCCTCCCGAGTAGCTGGGATTACAGGCATGCGCCACCATGTCTGGCTAATTTTTGTATTTTTAGTAGAGACGGGGTTTCACCATGTTGGCCAGACTGGTCTCGAGCTTCTGACCTCGTGAAGCGCCTGCCTCGGTCTTCCATTCCCAAAGTGTTGGGATTACAGGCATGAGCCACCACTTTTTCTTTCATTCTTTGTTCTTTATACTCCATTTCCACTATTTTCTCTGTAGATTTTTAAGACAAAGCTCCAATTAACTGTTTTCCTCTTTATGGAATTTTAGTATTTATTTTGAATGGATTAACTTTAAATGGATTTTTTCCCATGTTTAGCTATCTTTGGATAATAGGAACCTCCTATATATTGTAGGTAATATTCTTTGAACTATAATAATTGAGTCAGATGTTGAGCAGTACTGTCAAATGTTGATAAATACTGTAAAAACTCAGCAAGTTCAGTTTAATAAGAATTTTGGGTGAATATTTTGTTTCTTTTCAAATCTTGTTGGACACATTTTTACTTTGATTTTTTTAAACCTTTGGTTTTAATTGAAAACAATTAGTTTTCTACATAGACCCCCTTTTAAGGTAGTCTTACCGAATAAGTTTCATAGACCCTCATAAGGTCTGCTTACTAAGTTTCCATTTTGTGAAGTGTTGGGGAAAAGTGGAGTTCATTTTGGAAATAGAACTTACTAGTTTTTTGATGCATATAATATCATTCAAGAAAAAACAAAGCACATCTTAAATTTTATCTTTCTACATATGCGTTGCTTATGCCTGTCTTTTAAATATGAATGAAAAAGTTAACATTTGTAGTTTTCCTTGAAGACGTAAAAGTCATGAACACTCGATTGTTTTTCATTTTCCGTATTTTTTTCTTACAAGAATAATACTCTTCAAGTAAAAGTTATTTTTGCCTTGATAAAGTTATTAATGAGATTGGAACATTGAACCATCGTTATTGAATAACTTTCTAGATTTGTTTGCTGCTTGAAAGCAAAATAAGTTTTAAACTGTAAGACTTTAAGGGAGTGTATATATTTCTGTAAGATTAATAACAGCCAGCAGTCACTTTCGAGACAATTTTTTAGTATATCAAGTATAATACTAAGAAAATAAGAGAAATTTAGGATGTGTAGGTTACAAAGCTAGAATAAAAACAAAGCTCTGAGAAAGAGGTTGTTTAGCAGGTACACTGTACTGAATTGAATCGGGGAACTTTCCAGATTCTTTGAAAGGATAGATAGGTGAAACTTCTTCCAGTGTTTGCAAACTTAAAACAAATGTAGAATAAGCCGTAGGTCAGTGTGATCATACTGGGTTGTCTCTTTCAGACACACTTTTGTACGTGGAAATACTTTTTGCGTAACAGCCCTTTTGGGGTTAACTTTAACGAATAATTTAGGCTCATGCTCTTCTTTTTCAGCCCTGATGCTCTGATGATGTCAGGGGCAGAGCAGAACCCACAGGAGGGAGGCAGGGTTGACACAGTGTTCCAGCAGGAGGCTAGGTTGGAACACTGCATCAGGTAAGAGTAAAACTACACCCCTGCCTCCGGAAAAATACAGTCTTAAAGACTAACATTTGTGGGTGGGCAGGAAGCTCTTTGTTGGAGTACTTATTTGGAGCAAAGTTGAAGGAGGTACAGTTTATTTCTAGACTGAATGGTTGTCCATAGACTCTTGGTTTCTAGAACATAGGAAAGAAGCAATGCGTAATTTGCTAATTTATCCCAGAAACAATTTTTGGATTTTCTAGGACAGCAATTTTTCAAACTTTTAAATCTTTTTTTCTTTGGTTGGTTTTTGTTGTTGTTGTCGTCGTCGTTTATTTCAATGTGGAACAAACTTTTAAATCTTAAGACCCCTTTAGGCATTCTTAAAATTTGTGGACCCCAAGAGTCTTTGTTTACATGGGTTAAATCTATCAATACTTACATTATTAGAAATTAAAACTGATTAATTTTTGTTTTTACTTTATGTAAAAAAGCAATAACAAATCCATTACCTATTGGCATAAATATTTTTAGGAAAATAACCATATTCTCCAAAATTAAAGAAAAAATTGTAAAAGGGGTGGCATTATTTTACATTTTTGCAAATTTCTTTTACATCTGTCTTAATAGAAGACAACGAAATTGTCATATTTGCTTCCACATTGTCTGTTGGATATGTTGTTTTGTTTGAGGTATACCAGGGGTCTAAAAACTAAGCCCTGTGAGATAGATCCAGCCTACTGCTCATTTTTGACTAGCCCACAAGCTGAGAATATTTTTTCTTTTTAACTGTTGAAATGAAAAGAATAATATTTTATTACACATTAAAAATTGTATGAAATTCAAATTTCAGTGTCCATAAAAATTGTATTAGAACACAGCAGTGCTCATCACTTATTTATGAATTGTCTAGGACTGCCTTTGCACCATAATGGTGGAGCTGAATTGCTGCAACAGATACCTTATAGCCACAAAACCTAAAATAGTTACTATCTGGCCTAATATAGAAAAAGTTTCCAAATTAAATCTAGCCTCACACAATAAAAGGAAGGACTATTTCATGGCTTTTTCAGATAACGTAATTATTCTTTGGTACTACATCAAAGCACAAATGGTATTTCTTAAAGGTTACTTGCAGTGTGGAAACTGAAGCCACTTTAATGCATTTTTTTGTACTTTAACTTGATTTTATACCGTAATGCATTGGATATTTGTAAAATATCAGTTCATTGAGTTACACAGATCTTTCAGATGTTGACATCTTTCATTATAAAAATATTTAAAAAGTGCATTTGCTGATTTCACAACATATCAAGCCTTTAAGTGCTGGAAGCTCTTGAGATTATGGACGTGGATATACATTTTCCAAAATTTGAGTTTTCCCTTGAAACCTTCAGCATTGTCATTAGTAACCATTGGAAACAAATACTGAAAACATTGCTTTCCTTGAAATGACAAGCTCACTTTGTTCATTTTTGAAAAAATGCCCGCGCGATACCCAAGTCCGAATTATTATAGATTATCAGCTGTTCTTTCAGGAAAAATGGTGTTCCACGAAAAAAGTGGCTTGTTCAGCTTACAACTGAATCACACAAGTACTTTTCTCTGAGACAACCATTGTACTTACATATGCAGCAGAAATGCTGTGTGTATGTATTTCCCATTTTGACACACAGAGGAAGATGTGTTTTTAGGGCTGAGATTTAATAAAATTAATTTGTACTGCTTCATGAACATTCATAAGTGAGATCAGCATGCATATTTATTTATATTTAATGCTTATGTATGTGGGGGGGGGTAAGGAATACAATAACTGTAAGTGAAGAATACAATAACTATATTTTGTCGCCACTGCCTTGATTCAGTGCAAATGTCAACATGGGAAAAGCATTATTACAAGAATAGTTTTCACCTTTCAGGTCTCTTTTAAAAGAGTCTTGGGGACTCTTAGGGGTCTGTGGTCCACAGTTTGAGGTCTACAACTCTAGGAAAATAACTCTATTGAAATAGCGGTAAAGTATAATTATTTGGGTGACTAGCATTTCACTTTGCAGCCTCAAGCAGCTAGACCCACTTCAGCTTTGTACCAGTGAACCAGAAATATTCCCAGAATCTGTCCCAAATCATAACTGCCCTGAGGTGGGGGTGTGGTACAGCTTGGCCCTAAATTTGTCAGTAGAAGAAATCATGAGAACTGTGGTCTTGAAAACCCAACCAGGACTTGCAGATTGCCCTAAGATTGATGTTTAAAAATAAAGTAATAGAGTCTTGCTTTAAATAAATTCTTTCGAAAATTAGTCATCTTGTAGTTAATACTGTTTTAATTCTGTTTATTTTCTTCAGTACTCACCTGCTTTGGGGAATCCCTTGAAGATACTTCTTTATTATTCTCCTGGTAGACTTTCACTTTCAGTATATTGTCAAATTTATAGCTACTGTTTCCCTTTCCCTTTGTTATCACTGGGGATAAAGTTTCATAATTTTTTTTTCCCAATGAAAACTATCCAATGAGGAATTTGCTACTATTGTTTATCCTAAATAATTTTTTCATAAGTTCTTCTCTAAGAACTTTGAGTTGAGGTCTTCATAGAATAATATGTGAAGTCTTCCTACTTCTGTACTACCCAGACACTTCTATTGAGAAGATATAGGACTTAAGAAAGAAATAATTTCTGATCTTAGAAAACAAAAATCAATCAGAATACAATTCTGGACTGCAGATTAGAACTTGCAATGTGGTATAATTATAAAGGTATAACGTCTGGGTAAGTAAAAAGGAAATATTTTGAGGGAGGCATGTAACAATAGCAGAAAGGACATTTGGAGAACTTTTTCAACTGTCAGTACTTAATTGTGGTCTTAGGAAAATGGCAGTAAAGGTGAATGAAGTTAAATAAAAAAGAATACACAAGGCAACTGATTCAGTAAATACCTGAGTGCCCGTATGTATTAGGCCCTATGTTAGGCACTAAAACTTAAAGGATTTACTGATGAATAGATTGAGAAGTTAAAAGCTATACATTGCTAGCTTATATTATATGGATGTCTATTTAGAAATCTGAAGTATAGTGCTAACATTTAATGGCAGCTGTCTTTCTGATGGAGAAACTCAGGTGCTGTTTCATTCAACTTGCCCATGGTCAGACACAATGATATTGTAATGATATTTTTGATATGAGTTCTAAACCGATTAGGTACTCCCTGTTGACTGGGGTTATATTCAAAGCCAGCTTGGAAGAATCGGAATGAGAGTTTAGTGACCTTTGAAATTTCCTTCTGTTTTTAAATATAATTTAGAGTTATTTTAAATTAAGCTTAACTATGCTTAAAAGTAGAATATGATACCTCAAAATACTTTAAAAACCATTTTGAAATAGTATAATGGATTTGTAACTATCTCAGTTAAGTCTGTAAGTGCTAGTGAGCTTAATAATAAAAGTTAAGTTTCAGACAGAGCTTATTGACTTTGCTTTTTTCCCGTGGCTGGGGACTCTCTCCTTCTGCTTTGTGCCTTGCAAGTATGTTCTGTTTTTTTGTTAACAAGGGAGATTTGTAGAGGATATATGAGTGAATTAGTATAAATTGGCAGTTCCCAAAGTATATTCCAAGGGAATACTGAAGGATTTTATTTGATGAAAAGGATGTGTGTCTGGAAAAAAAAAAGTGATTTAAACAAAGCTTATTTTAAACTTTGAGACATCACAAGTCTTGATATACAAATGTGCATACGGATGCTCCAACAGAGAATTATTGTTTCCCCAAACTTACTTGAGCAGAAAACCTAATTTTTCAAAGCCACCTTACTGATGAGTATTCCATGGAATAGAATACACTTTGGGAAACTGGTATAAATCTATTTCTGTTATCAGAAAATTATTTTAAAGCATGTGACCTATTGCAATATTATTATGTATAACCTTCTTTTTATTCCTAACTAGATTTTATTTTCATGAAAAGCTGTGGTTTTGAGTAGACCATAAGTAGCAGGAATAAGTAATGTCTGTTAAAATGCTTACTCTGAGAACATGAGGAAAGGAGATTTAGATTATATATTACTACTTATGAAAATCATCGGTTGGCTTTTTTTTAATAAGTAAATATGCCTAAAATAAACTACAATGTAGTCTTTATAGAGAATTTCTCTATTTTTAAATTGCAGATGTTGGGGATCAGCCAGGTGAGGTAGGTTATTCAGGCTCTCCTGCTGAAGCTCCTCCAAGCAAGTCACCATCGATGCCATCACTAAACCAGACATGGCCTGAGCTGAATCAGAGCAGTGAGGTTAGCAAAGCTTTCCTTTTCTTTCATTAAAAGTTAACTCTTTTAAGGTAAGATGTTCCAAAGAGGGCAATTTCAGTCTGTCTCTTCCAGCATGCATGCATAATTGAGAGAACATATCAGATATACTATGATAAATGTTTGTAATTATGTGACTTTTTCGAGGTTTTCAAAGTATATATTCTGTCATTTGATTTCCACCACTTATCCCCATTAAAACCTTGTGAGTTTAGAGAGGCAGATTCAGAAAGTTTAACCATCAAAAGGTAAATGACTTGGCCAAGATCTCATATCCAGTGAGGGACGAGAGCTAGGATTTGAACGTAAGTCCTTTGATATCTAGTCAACTGCCACATCCACTGTGTCACACTGCCTTCTCAGTCCTGTAAACAAGGTATGTAATAGTACATTTGGGATCTTAGCATTGGAAATGATAAAATAAGTGACTGATTCAGTTTCCATATGAAGAAAGTATGTTTTACAACCTGAAAACTCTGTATAATTAGTTTTCTTCAATATAGAATGTTTAGCCATATTAACTGCATTAAGATGTGTCATATATGACCAAGCACAGTATGCAAAATGGAATTTGGGACACATGCACTGTTCCCCAATTTATTTGAAATTCCATTATGTAAAGCATCAAAAGGGCCACTGATCAGAATAAGGGAAGAGGACCTGAGGCCCTGCCTCCCCTAAAACACCTGCTTAGGCCCCTCTGTTAAATTTTAGTGCCCTGGAGAGCTCCATTTGGAAACCATTGCTGTAGCCTATTAGAGCAGTTTTCTTTGTGAACAAGTTACGTTTTTTTCTTATTTTTTTTCTTTTTGTAGCATGTAGGAAATGCTAAAAATACAAAAGTTTGTTCACTTTCAGGAAGAAATTTTAAGCTTCTGTCCTTTCCATGCCTTTTAAAGCCAGAAAAATGCTGGATTAAAGAGCATGCTAGATATTAATAATTTTGGACAGTTGGAAAACAGAACTAACTGGTGGTTTTATACTATTTCCTGCTTTATGACATAATTGCAGCCAGGATACTTGTGTCTGAGACATTATAACATCACACCATCCATCCTACTATTGGATGCAAAACCATTAATACAAGTGTTTTTCTAGATGAAGGGATTACACCTTGAAAGAATTTGCTAATAGAGAGGGTTTATGGAAAGTAAGGTAATTGTTGAGACACTACTATTTTTGCTGCATCTATTCATCTTGTGTCTTTTTTAAAAACCAGTATTACATTAAAAGAATATTTGTATTCCATTGATATCAGTTTGTAAATAAAAACATTCTTTCTAAAGCATCTCAAATCTAAAGCCCATGTTCATTCTAAATAAAATCGTATGTGATCATTAGAGACAGAAATGGAAGTCCCTTCTAAATTCAGGTAGTAGTACTTGCATTTTCCCTACTTAAATATTCCCATAAAGTTTTATTTATAGTATTTGGTAATGAGGTCATGAATGTCATAATTTTTTTTCGATATGTGAAAAATCAAAATGTTAATAAATCATTGATTTTGAGACATCTAATGATATTTCTAAAAATATCTAGTTAGGATATGGAATTTAGATTACATTTTAATTGTCTTCCAGAAAGCACTAGTAATCTTTCAACATAGATTTATTTAGCACCTGTGGTTACGGATAAGACAGTATAGGAGATGACCCTAATAATCTCTAACCTTTATGGAGCACTTTTGATATGTCAGTTCTGTTTAAAAAACAATACAAAAACAAACTCTTTATATATATTAACTCCTTTAGTCCTCTGAACAATCTTATGAGGTAGATAATATGTTACAGATGGAGAAACTGAAGCACAGAGAAGTTATACAACTTGCCCAAGTTTGCACAGCGTAACTGGGATTCCAGTAGTCTGGTTCCACAGCTGTGAGCCCTTAAAAATTAAGTATGAAGATGATAAGAGAGTCCCTTTGTCCTCCAGGTAACTTACATGCAGTCTTGTGAAACAAAGTTAAACTTCATGCCACCCAAATGAGGTACACAAGTAAATACCTTCTTTTTGGCAAAAATCTTCTGTAAACTTTTCTCCACAGTTAGTTAATTAGGATTTTAAAACTTCCTTCTGTGTCCCTGTAACAATAATTATTGAGGAAAAAACTAATTATATTAACAGATATTGATAAGTAACTTTCCTGAAGTGATGCCGCATGATAAAAGTAATTATTGTGGGATTCTTAATTCATGAAATACTTTGGATCAGTATTTCTCAGAATATCTTAATTTTCATATGAAAACTAATCTGTAGGAAAAGTCGTTGAATTATTGTATTAGCCGTTTTTGTAGGTAATTTTCACCAGTGTGCTCATTTGCTAATATTTAATTTTTACATATCTTCTCAACTTAAATGTCACTATTTTAAATAGTAAGTTGAACTTTGAAGCATAAAAATGTATACTTTCCCAAAGAGGATTTTGGTTTATGGGGTAGTTTTGTCTTTGTGTAAATATTCGTGTGTATACATTGTATGTGTGTAGATGTTTTTTCCTCTTTAGAGGATAACTGATAATTCTTAAGAATCAGATTTAAATGATAATTTTAATGCAATTTTAATGTAAAAATTCTATACCATTTTATTACTAAGATCTCCAAAACAAATGGAATTTACTGTAATTAATATTGACTTATCACTCCACCTGTTTTAAGAGGTATGATTTTTTTTGTGTACCTCTTTTAGAAGAGTAGTATTTCATATCAAAATACATCTGTATATAACTCATGCTCAGATGCTTGATTTGCTCTCATTGTGGCCGCATTCTGATTTTTCTAGCATGGGGTAGGGAGTGGGGAAGCGGGGGTGTCTGATTGGCAGTTCTGTCTTGTGGTCTGGCATGGCCCTGTTTGTAGTGCTGATTGCAGGGGTTGACTTGCTACAGATTGACATAAGCTCTACATATATTAATTCCAGAATTCTTTGCATTTTATCTCAATTATATTTTATTAAATATCTATACATATGTGTAAAATATGTGCACGTACATAATAGAATCATCTTTCAGGGGTCGCACTGGCAAGTCGCACTGACTTGCTTTGTTTTGAACAAAACTTTGATTCATTAGGATCACAAAATCAGTACATTAACATTTGAATGTTCAAAGAAGAATTTGATGTTATTCTTTCTTTCTTTAGTCAAGGCATGCCTCTTTAGCATTTTTACTTGGTGGACATTTATATCACTTAGACTTTGCTCCTGTATTGTGTTTTATTTTAACTCTGTAAGGCTTTAAATCTCTTCCATAGAGATTGCAATAAATCATTACTATACTTTTGATTGTGAACTCCTCACCTTACATTACAAGTGACCCAGAATAAATATAAAATGTTGACGGAAAAATAGAAATTACTGAATTTTGTTAAACCTATGAAACACAACTTGCAGTGCAACCTCTGAATTACTTTGCTAAATCTTCTCCAGTGATCTTTTACTCCATCTTTCTCATCATGCTGACTTGTCTCTCCTCTGTCTGTTCAGCAGTGGGAGACATTTAGTGAACGCTCTTCAAGCTCACAAACTCTGACCCAATTTGATTCTAACATTGCACCAGCTGATCCTGTAAGTCAATCACTTAGCTTGCTTGTTTGAGATTAATTTTATTAACCCAAATTTCCATTCATTATCGTTTTTAGCTGATATGCATGATTCAGTGGAGTGCTTAGAGGGAAGTGGCGGCAGGCTTTTTGGTTTTTGTGTGCTTAATGGTGGGAAAGACATTTTTTGCCATTCCTTTTTTCTAGTTATTTTGTTGAGAGAAAACTACGTTTTTAAAATCTGGTACATGTGTCTAGAGAAGCATTTTTTGTGACAATCTATTTTGTTAACCTTATCATTTGCTAATTAAGTGTATATTTTATATACATACTGTTTATTTCAGTGTAGTGACTCTTTATGTATTATCTGTATGCTTACACATCATGTAATATGTCCTACATATGTAACTATTTATGCAATGTCATCTTTTATTTTGACATGCCAAATGACATGGCTTTTATTTAATTAGTATGTTGAGTCCTGTTAGAGAGAATCAAGTTCAGCAATACAAGATGTTGGTCAAATATTCCGCTTATGCAAAGGAGCCTCTGTCTTGTCTTCTTGTGGCTTACTGTGTTGCTTTGAAAATGCTACAAAGTTCATATCCTGATTTAAAAAATAAATTCTGTCCCCATAGAGTTAATTTAATATATGCTACACCTGTCCCTTGGGTTTTTTGAAAACCTTAGCTGTTAATCGTTCTTCTCCCTGTTCACTTCTCTGCTTTTTCTTTTTCTTTCTCTCTCTGTCTTTTTTTTTTTTTTTAAGACAAGGATGTGCTAATAAGCACTTTCCAAAAAGAAAAGAGGGAGTAAGCAGAAAGTGAAGAAATGTGTAAAGGCAGAATTTTTAAAATGAGCTGAGTAGAAAGATATGGAGAAAATGACATAAGTCGTTCTTTCTAGATGATCTGATCAAAGACAGCCAGCATTTATTAATTAAATGTAAAAATGGTCTTGTCATCTAAAGAGATTTTGAAGAAGTGGCATTTAAAGATAAAGTATACCATTAGCAGTTAATGGGCCTTTGATGTGGTTTGTTTTTTGTTTTTGTTTTTTGAGTTGGAGCCTCTCTCTTTCGCCCAGGCTGGAGTGCAGTGGTGCGATCTCAGCTCACTGCAACCTCTGCCTCCTGGGTTCAACCGATTCTCCTACCTTAGCCTCCCGAGTAGCTGGGACTACAGGTGTCCGCCACCATGCCTGGCTAATTTGTGTGTGTGTGTGTGTGTGTGTGTATTTTTTAGTAGAGGCGGGGTTTCACCATGTTGGCCAGGCTGATCTTGAACTCCTGACCTCCAGTGATCCACCCACCTCGGCCTCCCAAAGTGCTGGGATTACAGGTGTGAGCCACCACACCTGGCCTGATGTCTTTTATCATTTTAAAGAATTTATATGAAATCTAGAGGCTGCTGTTACATTTATTGAATTCAAACAGATAATGTACAATTTTAAAATGTTTATTTTATTGTCTATTAAGTATTCAAGGACCAGTTGATATGTAGATTATCTCTGCCTTTTGCTCCTCATTTCTTGCTACATTTAAGGCATTTATTTTTTATTTTAGTCTCTGAAAAATGTAGGAGAAATACAAGGCAATGATTGAAAACTTTGCTGCTTATTGGCAGCTATAATTAAGATCTCTTAGGAATTGACAAGTTCTGTAAATTAGAAGTTTTATCTTTGTTTTCTTTTTAAGTTTAAAGTTTTGCCTTTAAGCTTTAAGTTTTGATTCTCTATATTATTCCTGTCTCATTATTGTACAGTTAAGCTAATATGAAAGTACTTAATGAAAGTATATGGGAAGGAAGGTTAGATGTAGCAATAAAGAAACTATTATATTCTCTAACCCTTAAAAAATAGTGACAATAATCACTCATAGTATTATGATTCTTTGTCAGGCCAGGCAAGAACATTATGTATAAAAATCTAGAACTCAGAAGCGAAATAAATTGACCTACGACTGACAGGAAATGTAGAGAAATAGTTGGTTGAGTAGCAGTGATATTATTGACATTTCTTGGAAATAATATTCAGATTTGCAGCTCTAGTGTCTAAAATTATGTGGCTCATTACTTTCCTTTGTTATCTCTAGTGTGTCAGGAGGCTCTAGGAAAATAGAGTGATTAATTTGCATTTTAAACTTGAATTTAGACCTCTGAATTGGATTTTAAAAAATTGTCATTCTTAAATATTTATGTTTATAATCTAATGCCTAGAAATATTTATTTTATGTTGGCAAACTTAAATCTGAACTTTGTTTCCCAACCAGTATTCTTACTTTAAATTTTCGGTTAGAAGAGTAGCCTGCTTTCTCTTAGTTGTGTCCTACAGTGTCTAAGTTTCTTAACCTTCATTTGATACTTACCTGAAGTATTACCCATCTACAGACCCACTACAGCCTGTAGCCACAATCCCACATGATCCTTTGCAAGGCTTTATATAAATAAGGATTATAAGTAAGTAAATAAGGCACATTCAGATTACAAGGGAATCACCTGGGGGGAAAAACTCTACTCTTCTATTATGAATTTAACATTTCTTACAGTATTGGAAATATTTAACAGACTATTAAAAAGAAACTAAATTGTAATAATTAGCCATTTGCTCAGTAAAAGTCAGTGCAAAGTTCCAAACTGGTCTGTAGCATTTAGAGACAACCACTACACAGTGCAGTGACCCCATTTGCAAACCAGATGGTTAGTTATTAAGCTTTCATAGTTCTGATGAAATTGAGATTCTGATGGTCTTGTTTCCAGAAACTTGATCTCTTTTCTTGAACTGCTTGTCAGTTAGTAGCCTTTGGTAGAATCTGCTTCTGCTAGGATATACATGAATGAAAACACAGGAAAATTGTAGGTGGATGAGAAGTGTAATGCGTTAGTCTTTGCTGTGATTGATTGCACTGCAAATATATGAAAATGCTAGTTAACATTCCCAGCTGTTCCAAGCTTTATAAATCTGATTTTATATACACATACACATACGTCGAATATAGATTAGATGAATGTTATGAATTAAAGCATCTAAGAAGTTTTTCTTTTTTAAAATTTCTAATTTGCTTTGTATTTGGAATAAGACTTATTTTCTCATGAACTATCATTTTTTTCTCCTTTGATCTTGCCTTATAAAGGTAAATTCTGATTTTCTTAACAGTTATTTCTGGTATTAAATGTAAATTAAGAAAATAGTAGAGTTGCTCCTAAAGCCATGTTTTTATAACCAACATATAACTTAATATCTTAAAGGTATTCTTATAAATACTTTCCTGAGAATGACTTATTATTATAAGACAAATCTAAACTTTCATCCATCTATAATGTTAATATTATTTGTAACTATAATTTTTGAGTTGTAGGGCAAATGTTAGGTTGATTGGTTAAGTACATGAACCCTGTCCAGATTCTCTGTGGTGTAGGGGCAAGAAATTACTTTGAATGAATTTGTTAGTATAATAGATGTAAAGAATTTGTTACAAGTTGTTTGAATTCAGAGATAAACATAAGGCAAGGAGATATGTCAGATAAGAGAGGGTATGCTGGAACTTCGCTTTCTCTAGCAAGGGCTTGGTGTTAGCACAGTACTGTCTCACCAAAACAGTTTCCAACTTAAACTGAAAGGCCATTATCCTCCACACTAAATTATAAACTTAATTCATGACTAGATATTCAAAATTTAGGATCTCAAATTCAGTCTTTAGCGGCCGCATATACAGAGTGTGAACTGACCCCTCATAGAAGGAGCTGGGCCCCCTTGGTGATGTTTCTCAGCTGGTCTATTGCTGTTAAGCCAGGTGCTTGATCTGGTTCTGGTTTCTGCCCTGGGAGTCTCAGTCCCTAAGATCAGGCCTACTGTGTCCTAGGTACACCTCTCTTTTTCTTCTTTTTCTGAGAGGCTACCATTGTCTTCATTCTCTCATCCTTTCTTTTGTGCTTTCATTCTAGTCAGAAGTCTTTATTATCAATTCCTTTAGTCCTCTAACTAGACTAGACTCTCATGAAGTTTAGAAATATCAACTGTATTACAGTAATGAAAAATGTTTAAGAAAAGTATTAGCTTCTTAGAATGGGAGTCTTGTTCCTCTTAAAAAAAATGGATTCCTTTGTGGCAGTTTCATGCTAAATTTTGAGACAATCAAATTTAAACACTTTGAATTAATCCGTAGGAAGTTTGTATTGTGCCTACTATTGCAATGTCATAGGCATCTCATTAACTTTGTTTTATAGGTTAAAGAAAGTGTCAAATTTTCTTGAGCAGTTTACTGAAAATGAGTTTTCAGTCTGTTACTTAGATTTTGGATTCTCATGAAATAGTTTATTTTAACTTCAAGGCTCACATTTGCATAATTTTATCAGATCATTCCTCACTTTTTAATATTGTCTTGAACTGTGTTTTTATAAGAGCATTTTTTAAATGTAAATCTCACACACACACACACACACACACACACACTTTTTGAGATGTGGTCTAGCTCTGTCACCTAAGCTGAAATGATGTGGCATGATCACAGCTCACTGCAGGTTCCACTCCCCAGGCTCAAGGATCCTCCTACCTGGCCGGGCGCAGTGGCTCACGCCTGTAATCCCAGCACTTTGTAGGCCGAGGCGGGCGGATCACAAGGTCAGGAGTTCGAGACCAGCCTGGCCAGCATAGCGAAACCCTGTCTCTACTAAAAATATAAAAATTAGCCGGGCATGGTGGCAGGTGCCTATAATCCCAGCTACTTGGGAGGCTGAGGCAGGAGAATCACTTGTACCTGGGAGGCGGAAGGTTGCAGTGAGCCAAGATCACGCCACTGTACTCCAGCCTGGGCAACAGAGCGAGACTCCATCTCAAAAAAAAAAAAAAAAAAAAAAAAAAAGGATCCTCCTACCTAAGCATCCCCGAGTAGCTGGGACTATAAGTCATGGGCTATGCCCAGATCGTTTTTATATTTTTTGAAGAGACAGGGTTTCACTATGTTGCTTAGGCTATTCTCTGGGCTCAAGTGATTCTCCTGCCTTGGCCTCCCAAAGTGCTGGCATTACAGGTGTGAGCGTCAGTGCCCAGCCTTCATGTAAATCTTTAATCACTCCACTTAAAATGTTTTTTTTTTTTAATTAAGCAGATACTAGGCATATATAGTGAGCTTGATTTTTAAATAGAATTCTAGAGCTTTTAACTTACAAAGCTTATTTTCATGCCTGCCTTAGTGTAAATGGGAAAGCCTGTCCACTGGTTTTTAGTTTTGTTTGTTTTGATTATTGCATGGCATTAGCTTGACATTTTAATACAAATTCTTTATTTCCTCCCATTTGTCTCTAGGATACTGCTATTGTTCATCCAGTTCCCATTCGTATGACTCCAAGCAAAATCCACATGCAGGAAATGGAACTTAAAAGAACTGGCAGCGGTAAGGAAGCTGTTGCTGGTTTGTATTTTAGTTTTACATCAAACTGAAATATGTAATTATTCTGTCAAGGTTCAAATTTCTTTCATCGCTTATTTTTTAAGCTAGTACTTTCTACAATTATGTATATGTTCATGCATATTTATTTATGTTGCTGTTTTTAAAAGGAATTTATTTTAAATTACGGAGTTTTAAAATAAGGACATTTGAAAATGTGACATTTCTAATACCCCGTGGGTTTTTATGTTCATCCTTGTAAATTTACGTTTAAAATATGTTAAAACTTTAACTGAAGAGATATATGTTAAAATAAATTTTGGCTTTGAAATTATATATTTTGCTTGAACTCTTGGAATGTCTCATTTTAGACTAAATGTTTCAGGGTTTCTCAAAGGTAGATTTTTTTTGTGTAAGTCAGCGTTATAAATTAACTTACTTTACAGTTTACATATGTAGTGTTTAAGTGTGCTGCAGGAATAAAATTAAGTGTGAACATGCAAATAAACTTTTTCATTATAAACTATCTTCTATTATGGCAGAAAATAAAATTATAAATAAACAGTTTTACATTTGTTTTTATTAAAAATATTATTTTGTCTTACATTTTATGGATTTACCTGCCACTTCTTTGGATATTTAAATGAAGTCTTACACTCTGAGCTTTATGAGTTTATCAGTTCAAATACCTATGTCTTGTATTTTTACCTATTAATTCTCTATTAGATCATACAAATCCCACTAGCCCATTACTTGTGAAACCATCTGACCTTTTAGAAGAAAATAAGATAAATTCATCGGTGAAATTCGCTTCTGGTAATACTGTAGGTAAGTGAAGTATTACATCTTCCATTTGAAGTTTACTAAGTCTGGATTTAGAGTCTGACTATTTCAGATGTGTATGCATTTAATACCGTCTTCACTAGATAAAGTAGAGGAGAGTGAACCCTTTCGAACACTTTGCCCTATCAGTGAATAAATGGTTGCCCATTGACTCCTGCTTCAATGCAGGCTTCCTGTTTGCCATCCCTCTCTGTGTAGCCAGGTTTGATCTTATGGCTCTTCCTCAGTGGTTCCTTCCTTTTCTATCACACAAGAAATTGTGTATACTTTCATTCAGCCAGTGTTAATTGGATACAGTATGCCAGGATCTGTTCTAGGCACTGGAGATTGAACAGTAAAAAAGTCTTTGCTGCTATAGAGTTTACATTCTGTAAGGGAGATAAAAGGGAGATAAAAAATAACTCTTATATTAGAAAGTAACTAATACTGTGAATAAAAATAAAGCTGGGAAAGGGTGGAGAGAGTGCCATTTTAAATAGGATGGTCAAGGAAGGCCTTACCAAAAAAATGTCATTTGAGTGAAAACTTGAAGGAGATGAATTCAGCTGTACAAATCCAGAAGGAAAATTAAGGCACAGCAAACAGCAAATGTAGAGCCCTAAGGCAGGACCTGCTTTTACTAGAATAGCAGGCAAATACCTGGAATAGAATTAGTTAGCAAATTTGGCAGGGAAAGGTAGCAGTGGTAGGATAGTAACAGGAGGCAGTGTCAGACTTTCTTTGACTTAGATGAAAAGCCAATCGAAGGTTTGAATGGAGGAGTGACATGATTTGAGCCTGCTTTTTAACTGGATCAGTCTGGCTCTCCTAATGGTAATAGGCCAAAAGAAGGCGAGACAAAACAGGACACAATTTAGGAGATAGCGGTAATCAGGCAAGGGAAGATGGTGACAGCTTGGTGTCTAGGGTGCAAGCAGTGGAAGTGATGAGAAGTGGCTGGACTCTGGCTATATTGTGTACATTGTGGAGGAAAAGACCTCAGGAGTTGCTTTTACCTGTGTGCTATAGGATGTAAGAGAGAAAGGAGTCAAGGGTGGTTTCATGGTTTTTGGCCTGGAGAACAGGAAAATGAGGAAAACTGATAGCTGTAGGTTTGTAGAGAAAGAATCAAGTTCAGTTTCATATGCTTTAAACTTGAGGTGCCTGTTAAAATATCCAGATGGAAATATGTTCATTTTAATGTCATTCTTGTACCAACTAGATGATTCTGTGATTTACAAGAAAAAGGAAAGAGATACATTTTGAAATACAATTAAAATAACCAGTCCCTTCAGCTTATGACTCTTGAACATATGTAGTAATATTCCTTCAGATTGTCTCTAGAGTTTCTATCTTAAAATTTCTTTTTTCTGTCACAACTCTTAGTCTATTTCTGGGATTCTCTTGTGCTTCATGAGACTTTGAGGAAATTGAAAATAAATGTTTCCTCTGCAGAAAAAGCTGGGATCCTTGGCTAATTTCATAATTATTATTATTGTATAAGCACATTTTATTCCCATGTCAAATTTTTAATTTTCACATTAACAATTTTAAAATTACTTTTATTTAAAGTATTTCTAATTTGTTCTTTAAAAGCGACCTTTTTGTCCATTACAGAAGTAACGTATTTATTGTAGAAATGTAATAGATAAAAATGAAATAATTATTCATATTCTCACTATTCCACAAATGTCTGTGATTAACAGATTCATTGTCAACTTTAGTTCTCATTCTGCACATATGTAAGTTATGTTTGTATCTAATGTGAAATTGTAATACAGTCATCCCTCAATATGTTTAGGGAATTGGTTCCAGGACCCCCATGGGTACCAAAATCTGTGAATGCTCAGCTCTCTGATATGTAGAATGGTGTAGTATTTGCATGTAACCTATGCACATCCTCCTGTATACTTTAAATAATCTCTAGATTTCTTATAATACTTAATACAATGTAAATAGTTGTTTTATTGGGCCAGGCACGGTGGCTCACACCTGTAATCCCAGCACTTTGGGAAATCAAGGCAGGAGGATTGCTTAAACCCAGGAGTTAGAGACCAGACTGGACAATATAGCGAGACCTCATTTCTAACCCCCAAAAAAATATACACACGCACACACACACACACAAACATACACACACACACACGCATGCAAACTATATTAAAAAAACGGTCATGCTGCATGGTTTTTTATTTGTGTTATTTTTATTGTTGTAATGTTACTTTATTTTCTAATATTTTCTGTTTGCGGTTGGTTGAATCCTCAGCTGTGGAACCTACAGATACAGAACCACAGATTTGGAGGGCCACATTGTATATGTACTATTTTGTGACTTATTTTGAATATTTCTGCATCATTAAGTATTCATTATTTTTTCTAGACTATAACTTGCTTTGTCTACTGTGTAAATATGCCATGATTTATTTGTAGTTAATTTTTTACAGTTAATAACACTAGGATGAACTGTTAGCCTATTAGCCAATCTTTGACTATCTCTGGCTTGAAACAGCATATCACTTATATTTGTTTGGAGTAGATAGAGCAAAAAGTAAAGAAATGATTATTATTAAATAGGACATATCCCATTTATCAGCAGATGGTTACAGTAGTTCAGACTCTTTTACTTCTGACCCAGAACAGATCGGGAGCAATGTAACTCGTCAAAGGTCAGTATTTCTGTCAATGAAAAGCATGTTAAACTATCTTGCTGCGTTTTAATGTTTAAAACTATTTAGAACCAAGCACAAATGATTTTGTTCTCTGAAAGCTGTTAGGTTACTTTTTGATTTATGTAAAAGACAAGTAATTTTGATCCTTTCCAACTTGAATAGAAAAACAAAAAGAACCCTGACTTTCTAAATGGTATGTTGTGGAAGCTCTAAAAAGAGGTGATAACTTCTTGACGATAGAAGTTTTATAAGTCCTTTTTGTACCTAAACAACGAGAATCTGTCAAGTAATACATGTATAGCCTTATGGTAAGTACCAAAAGAATTCTGTGTTTTAAAACACCATCCAAAAGCACAGCCCAGTGGTGGGCCACCTCCCCACCCTGAAGTTCTGCGTTACATATAACCTTTCAGGCACAAACAAGAAGGGTGTGGGATAGGGTGGAGGAGGCTAGAGATTTGTCTGCAAGGGCTTTACCATCCACTAAAAGCTGTGTGCAGGACAGAAGCATCTTTCTCTCCTCACTTTTTGCACGTGTTGAGTATCATTTTGCTGTGTGCCCAGTGGATGTAGCGAGGATGCAGAATCTCCAAGCAGCTTAGAGTCAGAAGGCTGCTTGTCTTCCTTTCTGATTCTTCATGTAGTTCTTCCTGTGTTTCTTAGCATTCTCAGTCATCTTGGATTTTACTCTGCTGTTTATTCCCATATATGCAGATCAGATTACCAGAGGCCTTGGAGACTCTTTTCAGAATATGAAAGACTTTGGTAGCAAAGAAGTGAATCTCTAGGGCGAGTTGAGTTTGAGCATAGTCACCTCTAAAATGAGATGGCCTCTGCGGACACATGAAAGGGTACTTCAGCTTACCAAAATCCAGAACTTAATAGGTTGAAAGCTAACCATATCTGAAAGTAGACTTTCCTTTATACAATTATTTTTTTTCAGACTATTATTACTTTTAATTGAATGGGAAAGCGTAACACTAAGTATGCAGTCTATTATGAAATCATGTTGACAACTAAGTTTCTTTTCAAAATTTTTGAGGCCGAGCACTTCTGTAATCCTAGCACTTTGGGAGGCTAAGGTGGGCGGATCACCTGAAGTCAGGAGTTCGAGACCAGCCTGGCCAACATGGTGAAACTCCGTCTCTACTAAAAATACAAAAATTAGCCGGGCATGGTAGCATGCGCCTGTAATCCCAGTTACTTGGGAGGCTGAAGCAGGAGAATCGCTTGAACCCAGGAGGCGGAGGTTGCAGTGAGCCAAAATGGTGTCACTGCACTCCAGCCTGGGCAACAGAGTGAGACTGTCTCAAAAAAAAAAAAAAAAAAAAAAGAAAAAAAGAAATTTTGCTTAATAACTTTATTAAAAAAATTGTTAGCCACATAAAATAATCAGTTGTTTAGGGTACATCATAAACAGTGCTATCTTAATTTATTGTAACACTTACATACTTGAGTGTTGAGAAAATGTCATGCTAATAAGATCCTTTGCTGCTTAGCCAAGTGTAAATGTTTAAAAAGAAAAAAGCTCTGATATCAGTAGTATGACCAATTATCATGGGGTGAATTTTGCAGGTCTCATTCAGGAACGTCGCCTGATAACACTGCACCACCACCTCCCCCTCCAAGGCCACAGCCCTCTCATTCTAGATCATCATCTTTAGATATGAATCGGACCTTTACAGTCACCACAGGTAGGGGCTAGAGAACCATAATATACATTATCATTTAATTTTAAAGTTAATCCAACACACATACACATTTTATTTTTGTTTCTATTACATGTCTTTTAAAAATATTTATCTGGTCGAGTGTGGTTGCTCATGCCTGTAATCCCAGCACTTTGAGGGGCAGGCAGATCACTTGAGGTTATGAGTTCGAGACCAGCCTGGCCAACATGGTGAAACCCCATCTCTACTAAAAATACAAAAATTAGCCGGATGTAGTGATGCATGTCTGTGGTCCCAGCTACTCGGGAGGCTGAGGTGGGAGAGTCCCTTGAACCTGGGAAGCAGAGGTTGCAGTGAGCCAAGATTGCATCACTGCACTCCAGCCTGGGTGACAGAGTGAGACCCTGTCTCCAAAAAAAAAAAAAAAAATTATCTGAAGGAAAATTTTGGATTAAAAGACAGCAGATGAGAGGCAATTTCTTTTCTTAATGACTACTTAAAGTGTGTTTGAGTGCAAATAATGAAGATGGGAACCTGAGAGATGTCACAGGAAATTTTAAAAGAACGGTGTTGTGATATTAAGGGGTTGGGGGGGTGGGAACTGATAGGTCTCAATTTGGCTGATGAAGAAGAAGAGTCATAACTTACCCAGGTTTTTAATTTTTGAAGAACTGGCAGTATTGTTGTTACCTTGGTTAAAATAGAAAAGTTAGGGCAGAGGATGATGAAGTTATGTTTTAGTCACTGTGAGTTTAGAATGGTGAGGAAAAGTGAAGTGTTAAGTGAAAGGGAAAATTTGGAAGTTTTCATTTGATACCTAAACAGCAGTCAGAGATACACGAAGAAAATCAAGATTGTTTGCTATTATGGGAATAGGCAGGAGTATGCCAGGAGGGCTTCATGTAATAGAGGTAAGAAGCAAAGTGAGATCTGATGAAAGGCTGTGAGATTTGGTCTTTAGGTTACATACAGACCATGTAACAAGTTAGTACTTGCCTTCTAATACTTAACAAACATTCTTAGAAATCTTTATCATGTAGTCACATTCATTCAGCCTATTTCTTCTATTAACAAAGTGATTATACAGTTACTAAAAAGAAGAACTTTTGTATTCATGCAGGACAACAACAGGCTGGAGTTGTTGCCCATCCTCCTGCAGTGCCTCCAAGACCACAGCCCTCACAGGTAATTCTCCAAGGTATTTATTACTAAATGTCCCATGATCACTTTGCCTGCTAGGTATTTAATTCTATTCTCAAATTATTTGGAAGGTCAGGAATGATCTGTTGGTAATCTTTAATGAGCATTTAATTCAGTGAGGCTGAATCTCATTTTGAAAGATGCACATTTCAAGAATGATCTGAGTTATTTTTTGAAAGAGCCTTAAAAGTGAAACAAATGATAATGTCTTGACAGAGAAGAGTTTAGTGGAAACAACAATGGATTGGGAGATAGGAAATATCCATTAATGTCCTGGGTCTAGCAGTGACTCACAAAATCACTTCACCAGGCTGGGTGCAGTGGTTCACACCTGTAATTGCAGCACTTTGGGAGGCTAAGGCAGTAGGATTTCTCAAGCCCAGGAGTTCCAGACCAGCCTGGACAACATAGTGAGACCCCCATCTCTAAAAACAAAACAAAAAAATTAGCTGGGTGTGGTGGTGTGCACCTGTAGTCCCAGCTACTTGGGAGGCTGAGGTGGGAGGATCTCTTGAGCCTGGGAGATCAAGGCTGCAGTGAGCTGTAATTGCACCACTGCACTCCAGCCTGGATGACAGAGTGAGACCCTGTCTCAAAACAAAACAAAATACCCCTAAATAACCTCACTGCATCTCTCTGGATGTGTTTACCACATGAGTTAAGGAAGTATAATGACCTCTGCATCCCTTCCACATCAAAATTAGAGTGCTGTAGTAGACATTTATAAAATGCTTTGGGACAGCCTTAGTGGCTAAAGTTAAGGATCACATTATACATGAAATGAAGGAATGAGACTTAGCAGGGACTTGAAAGATAAAGTGGAATTTATTGGGGAAAAGGTATTCCAAACCGAAGGTATGACATCCACAAAGCGATGGAGGTTTGTGTTAAGCCTGGCACATTCCTCAGGGGAAAACAAGTTAGTTCAGCACAACAGGAGTAGATGTGTGGAGTGATGAGAAATGAAGCTGTCCATATCGTAGTAAGAAGGATAGACTTTTTCTTAGAGGAGATGAAGAATTTTTAAAGGGAAGAGACTTCAGATTTCTTTCTTTAGTATCCTTTACTTCCTTTGTCATAAAACATCTCACACTCTATTTTAATTTCTTATTTACTTATTCTCTTCTCCTGCTCCGGACTGTCAGCTTTATTAGAGTATAAGTGGGCCTCATTTGTTTTGTTCACAAGTACATATTCAGTAAACATATTTTTAGACTGAAGATGGAGCAGCATTGGTCTGGCTGGCAAAGGAGTGGAAGATGAATTGAAGGGAAGTGTTCCTGACATGTTGGGAGGATAGAGCAGTGGTTTTCACACTTTTTAGAGCAAGCTTTTTAAGAAACAGTGAAACATTAAAAAAAAATAACTTATTTAAGGAAGAAACTATTGTGCATTAGTCCAATTAAGAAAAAAACACATGCAAGTGGAGAATGGGGGTAGGGCCAGACCTACCCTCTCCTTCATTGTACTTTCTTTGCAATACAGTTTTTGAAAAAAAATATCTTTTTATTGGAGGTTTATCATCTTAATTTTTTTTTTAGTGTCTTAGCTTTTCACTTATGGTTTAATCATTTCTTTAGAGCTAAATGTTACTATAATACACCTCTCTGAACTTACAGATAATAAAACAGGTCATCTTTATATACTAAGTTTTCGAAGAAGAAGAAGATGACTCTGTGACACTGATAGGCTGATAGAATGTGTGTTCCTCTGTTCTGAACCATTGCACAGGCTCCTGGTCCTGCTGTGCATCGCCCAGTGGATGCCGATGGCCTCATAACTCACACTAGTACCTCACCTCAGCAGATACCAGAGCAACCAAATTTTGCAGATTTCAGTCAGTTTGAAGTATTTGCTGCATCAAATGTAAACGACGAACAAGATGATGAAGCCGAGAAACATCCAGAAGTCCTGCCGGTCAGTTTTCGAGGGCTTGGCTAATTTTCTGCAGGCAGTCACTTCCCATACCATGTTGTGTCAACAGAGCAGATATTAGAGGGGACATCAGTGAGTAAAATATTCCCTGGGTCAGTGCTTCTCATCTTTTTTATTGGCCTCCAATATCTGCTGGTTGCAGTGTAATGCTTACTAAGTATCAGAGTCTGGTGGGGGTGGGGGATTGATATCACATGCAAAGACACCACCGCCTGGCCGTGGCTAAAACGCTGCTTTGGGGGTTTCCATCTTAATGCTAAGCATCTGTCTGTGTGATTTGGTGAAGATTTCCCTGTCATAAGAGGCCATGGTTACCATAGCTCCACTCATTGCAACTTTTCCCCAAGGGGAATTTCACTATATGTAACTTTTAGATCTAATTACAACTTTAACTAAAAACAAATTTCAGCCAAACTTCTAATTAAAGCATTTAAAATTTGTATGAGAGTAAGTTGCCTTAGTTAAGCAAAGACTATAGGATACCAAAATTTAATATTCACAGTGTTCTAGGATATTCTATTGTAGTTCCAATGGCAAGAACCTCTCTAGGAATCTCTGACCTAAATTGCTGAGCATAAATGTGGAGTTGGAGAGACCAGAGGAATTCTGCAATCTCTTTCTTATAGGTCATAGCCATGGAAAATTTCCTACTAGCTCCCTTTTAAAACCTACAACTTTCTGCCGTGCCCATTAGGGGACTGGGCTGCATCTAGGAGGGTCAGAGTGGGCATGTAGAGGTGTGCACAGGGTACCGTACTCACTCCCCTGGGTGGATGCCTCCCTTCTCCCAACCACGAAGACTTCCCAGACTAACCACTTAGAGGTTCGGTGCAGTGGCTGCATCCTCACCCCGTCCTCCTCTCCCTCACACATTTATGACCTGCATCCTCGCCTGTCCTCCTCTCCCTCACACATCTATTACATAGCTGCATCCTCGTCCCCTCCTCCTCTCCCTCACACATCTACTACCTGCATCCTCACCCCATCCTCCTCTCCCTCACACATCTACTACCTGCATCCTTGCCCCGTCCTCCTCTCCCTCACACATCTATTACCTGCATCCTCGCCCCATCCTCCTCTCCCTCACACATCTGTTACCTGCATCCTCGCTCTGTCCTCCTCTCCCTCACACATCTGTTACATAGCTGCATCCTTGCCCTGTCCTCCTCTCCCTCACACATCTATTACCTGCTCTCCCATCTGCCTTTCAGTAGCAGAGAAGGCTCATTTAATAAAGTTCCTTCAAGTTTCTTATCATCATCTCAGTTTTCTTGTCAGAATATTTAACATTTTATTCTGATTTGGTACATATTCTATATTTATGCATAATTACATGTTATGTAGAATTAATAGTGATAAACATATTCATTTTTAGGCTGAAAAAGCTTCTGATCCTGCAAGTTCTCTTCGAGTTGCCAAAACAGATAGTAAAACTGAAGAAAAGACAGCTGCTAGTGCTCCTGCCAATGTGGTATGCAAAATGTCTTTTATAATAATAATTTTGTACATCATAAGTAATGTGAAATAATTTTTAGAAATAAGGTCAGCCAGAAATCATCTAACCCATTTCTCTGCCTTTAACTGTAGTATAGTCAGTCTAGCTCAGAACAAAGTCTGCCTATTTAATGGAGATGATATTCTGTAATCTATGTTAAGTATGTGTCACAGGTTCTCAAAATTTAAGTGGTTATTGCATTCTTCCCACTATATAAGGTAGAACTTCTTTATAGGTGAAATTCAGTTTCTTTTATTGTAGTCTTCAATATAATAAAGAAAAATTATCAGCCCTCTAAGGTTGTTATTATTCCCTGTTCTCTTAACTTGTTCTTTAACTGTTTTAGGTATAATTTTTTCCCCCAACATTTTATTATGAAAACGTTTAAGCATACAGAAAAATTGAAACAATTTTTCATTGTACATCAGTAAATTCACTACTTTATACCATTATTATTTTAGGATACTTGCTTTACTACATATCTCTCCATGCCATCTGTTCATCTGTCAATCCTTATATGTTTTATGTCTGTGTTAGTCCGTCTGCATTGCTATAAAGGAATATGTGAGACTGGGTAATCTGTAAAGAAAAGAGGTTATGCCGGACACAGTGGCTCACACCAGTAATCCCAGCACTTTGAGAGTCCAAGGCAGGCGGATCACTTGAACTCAGGAGTTTGAGACCAGCCTGGGCAATGTGGCGAAACCCCGTCTCTACAAAAAGTACAAATATTAGCCGTGTGTGGTGGTATGCGCCTATAGTCCCAGCTACTTGGCAGGCTGAAGTGGGGGGATCGCTTGAGCCTGGGAGGTGGAGGTTGCTGTGAGCTGAGATAGTGCCCTACACTCCACCCTGGGTGACAGAGTGAGACCCTGTCTCAAAAAAAGAAAAGAGGTTTATTTTGCCTCATGGTTCTGCATGCTGTACAGAAAGCATGGTACCAGCATCTGCTTCTTGTGAAGCCTCAGGAAACTTAGAATCATGGCAGAAGGCAAAGTGGGAGCCGGTGTGTCACATGGTGAGTGAGGGAGCAAGGAGAGATGCCAGGCTCTTTAAACAGCCAGCTCTCATGTGAACTCAAGAGTAAGAACTCATTCATTACTGTGAGAAGGGCACCAAGCCATTCACAAGGGATCTATCTCCATGACCCAAACACCTCCCACTAGGCCCACCTCCAACATTAGAGGTCACATTTCACCATGAGATTTGGAGGGGACAAATATCTAAACTATATCAGTGTACTTTAGATTGCAAGTATCAGCACACTTTCCCTTTGAGGGAATAATTTTGGTAACTTTTTTTTTCTGTTATCTAGACATTCCCAATAGTTATAAAAACAGCATGTGTTTCTGAAGTGCTTAAATTCTACTTTCTGGACACTGTGTGTGTATTAGTCTGTTTTCACACTGCTATAAAGATACCACCTGAGACGGTAATTTATAAACAAAAGAGATTTAATTGACTCACAGCTCTGCATGGCTGGGGAGGCCTCAGGAAATTTACATTTATGGCGGAAGGCAAAGGGGAAGCAGGTGGCAGGATAGAAAAAGAGTGAGGAAGTGCCTCACTGTAAAACCATTAGGTCTTGTGAGAACTCCCTCACTCTCATAAGAACAGCATGGGGGACCACCCCCATGACCCAGTCACCTCCCACCAGGCCCCTCGCTTGACACATGGGGATTACAATTTGAAGTGAGATCTGGGGACACCGAGCCAAACCATATCACTATGTTTTATTACATTAGTAGTCCTGTGAGTTTTTAAGTAATGAACTTTATTTTTGTCAACTCACAGTAACAAATTAAAAATATCACTTAACTAAAGAGATAGCAGTTGACTATTGTTTTTATTTATTTACAGGTAAATCAAGTTATGGTAAATGCCAAAATGCTGTTTTTTATTCTGCCAAGGGCAGATTCATAATCACCGACAAACTGTCAACTCATTTTCAGAAGTTATAATTACTGTGCATATTAATAATGATGTTTTTGGTTTTTTAAAGAGTTGCCTAGCTTTCCATTACTTTATAATGTTATTTTATTCACTAAGATGAATGTTAGTATTTTTGAGTAAGAAATCCTATGGTGATAATGCATAGATATTTCTGGAGACTGCCTTTGTTTATTGTTGAACAGGTATATATTGATTCTGTATCATATTTATGTTAAAACTGTGAATATTACAGTCTTGCATCAGTATGTTGCTCTAAAAATACTTATATTGCAGGTACATTCATGATTGTGGTGTCAACTAGAAACATCTTTTCTCACTGTAATTTAAGTTAGCTCTTGCCACAAATATATAGATTTAAAGTAGGACAAGTAACTTTCAATTTTCCAAGAGCAAATGGCTTAAAGAAAGCAAATGGTGTTGCAAAGTGCTAACTATGAATGTCTTCAAAAATGCTTATTATTAATGGAATTCTTGTCTTAAAGAGCAAAGGCACAACACCACTTGCTCCACCACCTAAACCTGTTCGAAGAAGATTAAAATCAGAAGATGAATTAAGGCCAGAAGTTGATGAACATACACAAAAGACGGGTGTCTTAGCTGCTGTTCTTGCATCACAACCTTCTATTCCCAGGTAATCAAAGCTATTCCTAGACACATTTAATTACTAGGAAGAAAAAGCACGACAATTAAAAGTAATCAAACTGGCCCAGGCGTGGTGGCTCACACCTGTAATCCCAGCATTTTGGGAGGCTGAGCTGGGCAGATCATTTGTGGTCAGGAGTTAGACCAGCCTGACCAACATGGTGAAACCCCATCTCTGCTAAAAATACAAAAAAATTAGCCGGGTGTGGTGGTACACACCTGTAGTCCCAGCTACTCGGGAAGCTGAGGTAGGAGAATTGCTTGAACCCAGGAGGCGGAGGTTGCAGTGAGCCGAGGTGGCACCACTGCACTCCAGCCTGGGCAACAGAGCAAGACTTCATCTCACAAATAATAATAATAACAATAATCAGACTGAAGTAAATTATGGTCAGACTAGTTCTTTAATTGAGCAGAGCCTCCTCATGTACGGGTAGGTATTCTTCCCATGTTTCCCCCTTTATTAAGTTGAATTCAATGCCATTTTAACACCCTGTTTTCAAACCCCGTAGCAGTACATTTTTTAAACTTGATAGTTTATAGTAAAACTGGTATTTTAATTATGGTGTTCTAGACCAGGAATCAGCAGATTAAGTCTTAATGGGCCAAATTCAGCCTATGGCCTGTTTTTGTATAGCCCATGAGCTAAGAATGACTTTTTCTTTTTTGTAGAAGAGAGAAGAAAAAATAGAAGAGAAAAGAAAACAAAAAACTAGAATATGAGACAGAAACTCTTTGGCCCACAAAGCCTGAAATTATTTACTATCTGGTTTTTTACAGAAAAGGTTTGCCAGTACCTACTTTAGACTCTTTTACTTAAATTCAGGTGATTCTACAGAAGAAGAATTTTTTTAATAATTTCTTTTTTTTTTTTTAACCTTTCCTATAGTGCTGAAGCTTATATACTACTGCAACTGAGCAAGTGAGGTTGAGCTGTGCTAGTAAGGAAAAAGATGCTCTTTTTGCTTCTCATGTTTAGAAATAGATCAGGAAGGAATAGAGAGGATTTAAGATAAGAAATGAAGGTTATGGGTTTTTTTGCCTTCTTTATCTTCTCAGATCTGTTGGGAAAGATAAGAAAGCTATTCAGGCATCAATTAGACGTAATAAGGAAACCAACACCGTTTTGGCCAGATTGAATAGCGAATTGCAGCAACAATTAAAGGTAATATAGTTTCTGAATCTTTATAATGTTCCTTATCTTAGTAAAGAAACCTAAAGAGAAGGAATGTGACCTCAGATACCTCCAAGATCACATATATGGTTCTCTTCTCTAATTTTCTAGATGCTTTGACTGTGGTTAGTTAACCCCTCCCCGCCACACACACACACACACACACACACACTTTTTTTTTTTTTTTTAAAGAGACACGATCTCGCTCTATCACCCTGGCAACCTGGGCTCAAGCTATCCTCCCACTTCAGCCTCCTGAGTAGCTGGGATTACAGGCGTGAGCCACTGCACCCAGGTCCTAGTTTGTCCTTTTATCAAAGACAACTCAGATTCCATTAAAGGGACTTAAACAGGTCTAAAGAAGAAGAGAAGTGGCAGCAATTTCAGTCATCTTGCATGTGGAAAGAGAAAAGGCAAGCCTTAAATAGAAATGCTGCTTATGCAGTGTGTATACTGTCACCTAATACCTGAGAGGAATGTGTTTGTTTTCTAGTAACTATAATTTCTTTGCATCCCTAGAAATAAAAATTACTCTTACTTACTCCTTCTTTATTGAGTCAAAAAAAAAAATTACTCCCAGAATTGCTTATGGTTCCCCAACATTATTAGGTACTCATGTCTTACAAACCAGTGGTTCTCAAACCTTAAGGCATATACAGGTAATCTTGGGTCATGTTAAAATGAAGATTCTGGTTTTTGTAGAGCTAAGGTGGGACCTGGGAATTCTGCATTTCTCCTAAGCTTCCAGGCAGTGGAGATGCTGGAGCACTGTTGGCCCCACTTGGAATAGAACAAAGATGAGATGAGAGTCCATGGAAATGAAAAATGAATGCAGTTAGTTCATTCTCCTAACATTCTGTTCATGCTCCTCATTTAGCATTTATTACACTGTCCTGGAATTATTATCTGTGACACATTTGTCTCTCTGTCCTACTACAGTGAACTCATTGAGGGTAAATCATAATCATTTCTGTTTAGGAAGACCACGTAATATACCATCCAAATCGAGACACTTTTGAGAGGAAAAAAAGAGGGTGGTATTACTATCATTTAGGCCAAGACACTGGGTATAAACTGGGATTGTCCTAGATAAACTTATGACCGTCTTGTCCCTCTCCTCGAAACCTAGTATGTTAGGCATTTTTTAATGTCTGTTGAATGAATGATATAAACTTATGGCCACTTTGTGTCTATCCCCAAAACCTAGATCATATTTTAGGCATTTGATAAACATCTACTGAATGAATGATATTGTTGTATAACTCTATGATCAGAGGAGAAGACATTTGTAGTTATATGATTATTAATTTAGTCCATCGTACAGGAAGAATGAACTTAAAGACAAGCTTAGTAGTATAATACCATGAAGATGAAAATTTTGTTAATGCATGTTTTTCTGAACCAGGGAAGACCATTGAAACAAGTATATAGAAGCTATTTTGAAAAATTACTTTTTTCCTTACTTCTGAGAACAGAAAATGGGAAGTAAGGTACAAAATAGAGGTAGTTCTGGTTAAAACACAATACTGTCAATTTGAAAGAGAAAAATAGGAAAGTAAGTAAGTTAGAATATGGTGGCTAACTGAAAAGACTGCCTAAAATCAACATTGATTAAAAATTCTGAATGCAAAGTTATTCTTTGGGAAACTAAAGCTCAAAATGAGATCTAGGAGTTGATATAGCCAGATGTCATCACTAGGGAAAAGAAGCTACATTAACAAATTCATCTACCAGGGGGCGGGTTTATTGCAAAATTCAGGTGTTAATACCCATTGTTGCAAACAGTGACTTTTCTAAAAACTAGACATTCTATTTCCCTGATTTGTGTAATAAGAAAATGTTTGAAATTACTAGGATCTTATTTTAATATTAAACATATAAAGAGACTACATTTCAGCCGGGCGCGGTGGCTCACGCCTGTAATCCCAGCACTTTGGGAGGCCGAGGCGGGTGGATCATGAGGTCAGGAGATCGAGACCATCCTGGCTAACAAGGTGAAACCCCGTCTCTACTAAAAATACAAAAAATTAGCCGGGCGCGGTGGCGGGCGCCTGTAGTCCCAGCTACTCGGGAGGCTGAGGCAGGAGAATGGCGTGAACCCGGGAAGCGGAGCTTGCAGTGAGCCGAGATTGCGCCATTGCAGTCCGCAGTCCGGCCTGGGCGACAGAGCGAGACTCCGTCTCAAAAAAAAGAAACTACATTTCTAAAGTGAAGTATACTTTTAAAATATGAATAAGCTCTCCCTTAGTTGTCTTGACAAATTTAAATTGTTTTCTTGAAGCAGAGCTGTTGTTAGATATTTCTTCATTTTTATATACTTTGAAACATAACTTGGCCTTTGCATCTTTTTCAGGATGTTCTTGAGGAGAGAATTTCCCTGGAAGTTCAACTGGAACAACTTCGACCATTCTCTCACCTATAAGCCAATTGCCGTTAACTGTGAACATACTTGTTTTTAAGTGGTTTTGGGTTCAAAGCCAATTTGGAGACCTAGACATTCAGCTCACTGCTTAACTCAACATTAAATTTTATGATTCTGTTTTGCCCTATATGTTCACCGTTGTATTTAAGTATCTTTTATTTTTTAATTTCGACAATAAAAAGGTCAGGATGGCGTTTTCTGGAGGGTAGATTGTGTTTGTTGGCACACCCACCTTTTCTGTTCCCTAGCATCTGGGATATGCAATGCTTCTATGGCTAATACCACACACCAATTTAATTTATAGAATGGGCTCCTCATTTACATCTCAGTCACAGACTCAGAAATAAATTGTCAGTTTGTCCTTTTATGTTTAATATTTTACATAAAGCATCTATTCTATAAAAATCTTTAGAAAGAGTTTCCCATTTAATTTTGATTTTAAAGAATTATATTGGATAAGGTGGTTTTCACCATAAGCTAATTTACTCTCTGCAGCCGTCTACATTCTTCACAAATCATGTGGTACATTGAAGCCTCTTTTACATGTCAACTTGTGACAAATACAAACATGTGAGATTTTATATTTTCCTTGTGGAAATGTGATCAACTTCATCAGCGACTTCGAACTATTTTATGAGATTCAATAATTCAGCAGTCATGTAAACTTATGAAATAGGTATGAGTAATGGCCTTTCTTAATTTTTTTAAGTATTGTTTTAAAACTTCTGAGGATATCAGTTATTCCCAGAATAAAGGGAAATTCCTTAGGATTTCTAGTTTACCTTTAGCCATCTTGTCACTCATTCTTTTGCTATACAGACAAGTTTTTCCTATTAATGAGTTTCTGGAGTATGCCTTATTCAGGACAATATGCTGTTTTAGATTTTGTTTAATATTAAATGATATATACATTTCGATCCATTGCTAACAGCAGATATTCCCTTTAAGATTTATTCTGTCTATAGGATCATAGATTTTAAACTGCATGGATATATCTTGGCAGAATCAGAAGTGTGGTTTTACACCAATAAAACAGCATAATATTTTAACTTTTGTTCATCTTTTTAACAAGATTTAAAGTTTTAAGAAATAGAAGATTTTGTATTTTCATTTCTGAAAGAAAAAATGTTTAAATACTATAGATTCACAGTCCTAAACTGCACCGATAGACTTTGTTACTGTAAACAAGAATTTGAAGAACAAGGGAAACTGACAACCTCAAGCTTCCAAGATTAATACAATTTTTACCTGACAATATCTAGGTAAAAATATACATCAGCTGAAGTTTCCAAGTGGCTTTCAGTATGGCTTTAGTTGTTAAATAATAAATTTAAAGCATTAAAGGCCCAGGAAACTACTCAACACCTGTTTTTCTGAGTGTCTTTGTTTTCAAAGAAACATTTTTACTCAGCTGTATTTCATTACAAGCAAGTTTTGCTGTTTCCATTTAGTTTTGTTTTTTAAAATATGCTTTTTAAAAATAGCCTTCTAATTTAACAATGTCAAAAATATTTGTTAAAGCTTCTTAGAATTTAGCCTTCCAATAAATAACACTTAAAAATTATAGAAAACTTTTTAGTACTTTGTAGTGGTATATCTTTAATGCTCTCTAGAGGAGTACATTCATACTAAGGATAAGTGTGACAAGTTTTTGAGTAAATTGCCATTTGTATTTCTTGTCCTTTTTTTTTTCTTTTTTTTTTGAGACAGAGGTTCGCTCTTGTCACCCAGGCTGAAGTGCAATGGAGCCATCTCAGCTTACTACAACCTCCGACTCCCGGGTACAAGTGATTCTTCTCCTGCCTCAGCGTCGCAAGTAGCAGGGACTACAGGCGTGTGCCACCATGCCTGGCTAATTTTGTATTTTTAGTAGAGACGGGGTTTCTCCATGTTGGTGAGGCTGGTCTCAAACTCCTGACCTCAGGTAATCTGCCACCTCAGCCTCCCAAAGTGCTGGGATTACAGGCGTGAGTCATCATGCCCAGCCCTCTTATCCATATTTTAAATCAATAATTGTTTCATGAAAATGTTAAAAATGGTAAATCACCAACAAATTAAAATATCTTTCTAGACTGATCACTTAAGAAACACTTTCATTCTGCTTTTTTCATTAGATCATAAAACAAAGCTTTACACAATGTGCTTGCTCTGTCTTAGGTTTCATCACATCAAATTACTCTAAATAATATTATCCATGAAATACAGCTACCAAAAGAAGTAGTTCAAAATTTTGGACTCAAAATGTACTTATACATTCTACATAAGTGAGCACAAGTGATAAAGTTTAAAAGTTGGAAAGATCCTATGGGTCATCTTAGTTTATCTCATCATCCATGACAGTTATTCTGTTTCTTACTGGATATTTTGGAACAGAAAATACATGTTGTCTGTCTTTGCTGGGGAGAATTGGCACCCCTGAAGTTTTCAAGTTCGGTCTCACTTCTCCATACTGCTTTTGATTGCATTTCGAAGTACTGACAGCCATAGGAACTTATCATCCTCTATTTCTGTAGCACAAATCCATTTATATTTTGGACCCTGAAGAATAAATGCATTCTTGACATCTGTAAAAGCATTTGAGGTATACTAATTAATCTTTGCAGATAACAATCAAAATGAGAAAAAATGTTAATACTCAAAAATCATCATCTTTAAGAATTTTTTAAAACCTAAAAAGAAATACATATTCAGTGTAGAATATAACTTCCTAAAATTACTGAATAATTCACATGCAGTGTAAAATGATGTCTTTATATTACAGTTATTGTAATTAGCAATTATTTTAAAGACTAACGGATAGATGATGTGATGTTTTTTAATTCCTTGTCTCAATCACTCCAGAAGGAACTGGAATCAGTAACAGTCTTTACTGATAGTTATTATAAATAAAGATGCTAAGAGCTAGACCTAGACGACCTCAGTATGAGAGCCAGTGACAGAATCAAGCCAGCTACTTAGCTGAATGCCCACTGTCTATTAGGTTACTTAACAATGTTTTGACATAGGTCACAGCTGATTGTCATGGTGGGAGGGGAACTGAAGGAGACATGTTTCATACACTAACCATACCCAGTGATGATAGTTAATTAAGCCTTTTTAACCTGAGTTTGTATTCTAGGTGGAAATACTCATTCTTTTCTCAGGCTCAGATTTAGAATGGGGCTAAAGCCACTGGGAAATAGCCCTTTTATTTAGTTTGGTACTTCTGTAAGGTCTTGGGTTCCAACTTTAACCAAAGTCCTGTCTTTACATGCAGTGAAAAACATTGGAATGAGAGATGTTACATTCAGATTGCCTGGCCTAACAGATATAGGAATAAGATACAGATCCTTTTAAGCTTGGGAAGTAAAGTATAGGATAATAACAAAATATGTATAGTGGGTTTAAGTAGGATTTCGTTTTCGTGACAAAATGATATTTCTATTGGAATTACTGTGTGTGAATAATTTACCAAGCATCCTTTGCATATCTGTTGATTCCTTTATTTAACAACTCCTAGCTTAGATGCAAACTTAAGGAAGGAAAGGTAGTGTCAAATATGTAATAATCACTTAGTCCTAGTAGAATGGGAAAGTAATAGATAAAAATTTAAAATATGCTTTAAGACTGTGGCATCTTCAGACAGTATAGAATAGTGGTTGAGAGCTCCAGCTCTCATGTCACTGCTTCAAAGAACGGAAATAGGGGCCTTGCCTCCCTTTGTGATTTTTGAAAGCTGTTTTCCTAATGTCTAAGGTTCATGTCTGAATGCCAGAAGCCCTGTCTTTAACCATTTCAAAAGTAGATGAAAGTTTACATTGTTTAATGAAATTCTAATATTGGGGGAATTGTTTGCAACCTGGTAAATTATAATTCCAGTCCTTTTTCTACTGTTCTGTTAAAGAGCTTTACATTATATAGCTTTTTGAAGGTATCTGTCTCTTGGAAGGAAAAGAATACATACACTTGGAATCTGGAATATTTTCTATGAGTAACCGATGAAGGGCCACTGATGCAATGAACTGGTAGGTTGTTTTTGAAGTCCTCTCAAATGGAGTGTGAGATGTGCCCCGACTAGAAACGAGCAGGGCATCATTGAAGAGGAAAAGGCTGAGATCATGGATGTGTTCATAGAGCCTGTGTTAAAATGGAGAAGGTACAGTTTTAATACATAACATACATGCTTTGTTACATAGTTAAGCATCTTGAAATTGATAAGTCACTAGTCAAGGCTTTTACCCCACTACTGACATTTTGAATGGCTGGTTGAAGTTCTCAGTATAATATTCCTCCTGATGTGATTCGCCCCTCCTGTGTCTCTGAGGTCAGGTCAGTACTGTGGGCCATCAGGGCTCCTGGTGGAGTGCTTTGCGTTTGTCCATGGGACAAGTATTTGATAATCCTTGCGGGAAAAATGAACACTGACTTTCCCTTCTTTATGAAATGAATTACTTTGTATCTGTGTTGTTAGGTACTTTGATGTATTTGGGCAATCTGAAGAAAATAAGTCTTTGTTTTGTTTCACCTTTAAGGATAACAAGGCTGGGCGCGGTGGCTCACGCCTGTAATCCTAGCACTTTGGAGGCCAAGGCAGGCTGATTATGAGGTCAGGAGTTCCAAAACCAGCCTGGCCAACATAGTGAAACCCCGTCTCTACTAAAAATACAAAAATTAGCCATGCATGGTGGCACATGCCTGTAGTCCCACCTACTTGGGAGGCTGAGGCAGGAGAATCACTTGAACCTGGGAGTCAGAGATTGGAATGAGTTGAGATTGCGCCACTGCACTCCAGCCTGGGTGACAGGGCGAGACTCCGCCTCAAAAAAAAAAAGATAATAAGTTGGGGTAGAGAGAAACACAAGAATAAGAACTGATGTGGCATGAGGTGTATTAATAGGAGAAAAAAGCATTTAACTATGTAGAAGTAAATATAAACATTTTTACTTTTGATTGGAAAGCAGTAGATAACCTAATATAGTTCATCAGTTTGAAAGGTAAAAATTAAATAGTTCTTTGTTTTTGCTGAGGTTGCTACCATGGTCAACTGTAGGCATATTTATCAAGGGGCAAAATTTGGTGTCCTCAACCTCCCATCTGTTATCCTCTTTGCTTTTCTGTCATTGGAGCGAGATTGCTGTGTTGGGCAGGCCTCACTGTGCTCTAGTGTGGGTTATTTGTCCTGTGGGAGTGTTCTAGCCGAGCAGTGAGTGGTGATAGCCTGGGAGGAGCTTGGGGAACCCCACCCCACCCTCCCACTCCCCAATTCCCCCTCCCCACCAGGGGTGGCTAAGTGAAGCAAACTAAATGTTTTAATAGAGCATAATTGTTTTCCTTCCAGAAGCATCAAGCAACCCTCAGGAAGTTACTCCAATGAAGAGTCCATATATTTATGCTTGTTCAGGTCTCTTATTTTTCTTCACCATTTTTGTTTAATTTTTAAATTGTCGGAACATAAAGTGTTACAAAACGCTTAAGTGACATCAATCCCTGCTATTGGCTTTTATTTAGTGTACCTCTTTCCCCTCTACTTTTCCACATAGCACAGCCTCACCCCTGTCTTCACTCAGGTCACCCAAGTTATCAACCTAGTACGTATCCTTCCACTGTTTTATACTTGCTCAGGTACACACACACACACACACACAATCTATGTACAGGAAAGGTTATTGCCATTATCTTACAAAAATGCTAAGATTTTCCCTACTCTTTTCTTGCTTTTCTCAATCAGCAATGGAAATCACTTCAAGTTAATGGATAGGACTTTTATTCCTTCTTTTTAATGACTAGTACTTCATGGTGTGGGTGCACCATCATTTATTCAACTCTTCTGCTATTGATGGGTGTTCTCCTTTGATGGACATTTGCTTTGTTTAGAGGCTTGGGTCCCCTCCTTTTTTTCCCTCCCTCTCTCTCTTACTTCATTTTTTTTTTTCTGTATTGCCACTGTGAATGTTGCAACAAACGATTTCTTACATAGAAACAAAGTCCTAATATTTGTTCTTCTGTCAGATACAATTCCTGAGAGTAGGACGGATTGGTCAAAGGCTACACAATAGTCCCCCCTTATTTATGGTTTCCCTTTCTTCAGATAAACCTTTACATAACTGTTACCACTTTATGTCATTATAATTGTTCTATTTTATTAAATATTGTTAATCTCTTATGGTACCTAATTTTTAAACTAAACTTTATCATAAGTATGTATGTATATCAAAAAACGTGATGTTATAGGGATCAGTACTCTGAGGTTTCAGCCATCTACTGGGGGTCTTGAAAGGTATTCTCATGGATAAGGGGGGACTGCTGTGTATATTTTTATCAAAGACCTCCAGGTTGTTCTTCATAAAAGCTGCTATAATTCATATTTATAACTCACTTTATATGGTAATGGCTTTAATTTGCTTCTGATTTACCTGGTGATTTTGTTAAAATGCAAATTCTGATTGAGTAGAGCTAGGGTGGCCTGAGAATTCTGCATTTCTGGCAAGCTCTCTGGTGATGCTGAGTCCACAGATCTGCAGGCCACACTTCAAGGAGCAAGGCACTTCAGTCATTTATTAGTTACAGCTATGCCTAAGAACTGGGCAAAGGACTGGACCAGGTAGTTTAAAAATGTCCAAGAGTACCATGTTTCAGGTTCAGCTACTTGGACAGCGTTAGGAAGTAGGAGTTGTTTTAGGTGTGTGGGTCAATGGAAACATAGTGGTCACCCAGCCACTAGAGCTAGCTCTTTCTTTCAAACATTTTCTTCTTGTCTTTGGTTATGATTTAGGCTGGAAGGAGTGGGGTGCTTCACATTTACTGATACCTTGCAAAAAATATTTCTAGATCGAGTCAATAGGTTATTCTGAGAATAAAGGAATGAATAGAACTAAGGATGAGGGAGAGAGGAAGCAAGAAAGGCAGGAGGTGCATTTTAAGTCTGTGATGGGCAGTCTGTGGTGAGTAGCCATTTTGAATAGGCAAAAGAATTCTACCATGGTCTTGCTTTTTTGGGGGAGAAGGGGAGCAATTTTTTTTTTTTACCATATCCATGATAAGAACAATTATTTCTCCTATCATAGAAGTTTAGAAACTGTTTAAATCTGTAATAAAACTGCTGTATCCGAATTATCAGGAAATATGCCAACAGAGTGCTTTGAAGAAGCAGCATTCAAAGAGGTACTTGCTTTGGTAAATTGATGTTCAGTTTTTTCCTTTGGAAGGGACAATGCCGATATTAGAGGTGAATGAAAGAGAATTCCAGTTTTGTGACCCACTTGGACCAGGTGGATGGTTGGCCCAGGGAAGGGATGGAGCAGCCACACTAACTTGAGCTTAGAATTGAGCCTTTCGTAATCCAAGGACATGAGTGAGGGAAAGAAACACACAATGAGGTTATTATTTCAGTCTGATTCTGAGAGGGCTATTTTATATATAATTTTTATCTAGAAAAACTTTTCAAAAGCCATTTACTAAATTAAGCCCCTCAAGATCTCCAACAATGTTTATCCACAGACCAAACACCAAAAACTCTAAAAGTTTAACCGTAAATACGGTTAAACTAAATACGCAAAAGCAGATACAGTCATCCCTTGATATCCATGGGGAATGTGTTCCAGGACCTCCTGCGAAAACCAAAATCTGAGGATGCTTGGTATTTGCATATAATCTGCATATTCTCTCTAGGTTACTTATGATATCTAATACAATGTAAACACTATGTGAATACTTATACTGTATGAGGTTTTTATTTGTTTTTTTAATTGTATTTATTTATTTTTTAATGTTTTCCATCCTCAGTTGAACCCATGGGTGTGGGGCCTGCAGATATGGCTGTAATTTCATCTTTAGTATTGACATAATGGAGCAGCTGCAGTGGCTCCTAGTGTTTCAGAAATCTGCCTCTGCTCACACTCAGAACCAACTCCAATGGTGGGTTTTGTTCTGAACTTGAATAGAGTTTCTTTGCTTATTTACAGATAGATTCAGTGATTCAGCAAAATGGAACACAGCTACTATAATGTACATTCTTAACTCCATTCTAGAAGTGTTTTGTTATTGTTGTTAAACTACTGTATTAGCCAGCACAAGAGACACAGAGAAAGGCAGGAAGTACCCAACTTGTATAAATACATAAAACTTTAAAAGAAAGTTTTAGGCCAGGTGCGGTGGCTCACACCTGTAATCCCAGCACTTTGGGAGGCCGAGGTGGGCAGATCACAGAGTCAGGAGTTTGAGACTAGCCTGGCCAACATGGCGAAACCCCGTCTCTACTAAAAATACAAAAATGAGCCAGGTGTGGTGGTGCACACCTATAGTCCCAGCTACTTGGGAGGCTGAGGCAGGAGAATCGCTTGAACCCAGGAGGCGGAGGTTGCAGTGAGCCGAGATCACGCCATTGCACTCCAGCCTGGGCAACAAGAATGAAACTCTCTCAAAAAGAGAGTTTCAGTACATGGAGAGTTTCAGTACATGGACAACAGCAGGTCATCAGCACCACTGTGAGCTGACCTGAGTCAAAACTGATTATCACCTAGCCTGGTGGATCACAGTGGCGTTTGGGGTCCCCAAAATGAGTCAATTCTGGACCAAAGTCTAGTATCCTTGAGAAGCCTGGGTACATTTTCTCTGTTGCATAGTTACCCTGCTAAGTGACTGTAGATCCCTTTGGGGAAAGCTAAGAGGAAAGTTTACAGTGTATCTTTTTGGCAGTATAATAGGATATTTCCCCAAGGAAAATTGGCCTGGGAAGTGGATGGCTCTATTTGATGAACAAGGCCAGGCCTCTATTCACCAGTCCTGCACTGGTGAATAGACCTTTGGCAAGACTCCATTGGAAGAAAAAAAGCATGCTTAAAAATCAGTAAGCTTTGGCCACGTGCAGTGGCTCACGCCTGTAATCCCAGTACTTTGGGAGGCCGAGTTGGGAGGATCATCTGAGCCAAGGAATTCAAGACCAGCCTGGCCAGCATGGGAGGACCCCATCTCATTAAGGAAAAAAAAAAAAAAATTCAGCAATGAAAATCAGTGTTTATGAAAAAAACGATAATACAGAAGTTCCAAGGTACAAAATATATTCTAAAAGCTTAACATACCCAAAATAATGGTCCATGTCCTCAGAGGAACAAATTGCCCTCTGAATTTCCCAGCTCTTAAAATAACTGTGTGACTTCATCTCTATTTTAAATTTCATTTAGGATGCAAACACTTACTCGTTCTTTTTGTGTCATAGTTATTGTTTGTTATTTGTGGCCAGGTGCAGTGGCTCACACATGGCCAGGATGGGTGGATCACTTGAGGCCAGGAGTTCAAGATGAGCCTGGCCAACATGGTGAAACCCATCTCTACTAAAAATACAAAAAAATTAGCTGGGAGTGGTGGCACGCCCCTGTACTTCAAGCTTTTTTGGGAGGCTGAGGCATGAGAATCGCTTGAACCCCGGAGGCAGAGGTTGCAGTGAGCCGAGATCACACCACTGCACTCCAGCCTGGGCAACAGAACGAGACTCTGTCTCAGAAAAAGAAAAATATATATATATATGTTTAGTAATTGTTACTATGTTAGTGAGATTATTATGAGGAAGGCTTGGTTCACCTTTCTACCTTCTGGTCCAATCACTGGAAACGGCACTGCCTGTGCACTGGGAGACCTGGTTCTAAATTCCAGACCAGCACTTATTCTATGACTTTAGGCAACTTAAGCCAGATTGCCCACCCATAACGTGGTTCCTGTCCTACCTGCCTCATCAGGTAATTGTAATTAAATCTATCAAATGAGAGAAGCTAACATATATGGTAAAGAGTAAAGCCTTATATGAGTTGGTACTGTATGTATAAATACAAGCAGAGTATGTTTCCTCTAAGTAAAAATTCCTGGTAGAAATCATGGGGATGGCATTCCTTGGGTTTTATGTGATTTTCTAAAATGACAGAAAACAAGGTTGCAGGCTAAGTATTGTGTGATATCTTTTTGCATTTACCTAATTTCAAAACGTTTTTTTTTCCCCTGTAGAGACGGGGTCCAACTATGTTGCCTAGGCTGGTCTAGAACTCCTGGCCTCAAGTGATCCTCCCACCTCAGCTTCCCAAAGTGCTGGGATTACGGGAATGAGCCACCACACCCAGTCAATTTCAAATATTAATTTGAAATTACATTTAAATTTATTAGCAAATAATATAAATGTAATCACTGAGACAGTGTCGTTGACCTAAAAGGAAGAAGCTGAGGCAAAATCAATATAAGTAGAGTTTATTTGGGCTAAGCTTGGGGACTGCAACCCTGGAGCATAGATTCAGTTACCAGGAATATACACCCCAATTAGTAGCATTTACAAGTGGATTTTTAAAGAAAAAGAAGAGGCAGTTCCAGAGTTACCAAGATTTTATACTAAAATAGCACAAGCTATTGATTGACCATAATTGTTCTTTGTCTACAATTTCCAGTATGTGAAGATAATGGGTGAGGCAGCCCAGGAACAATTGCCCTAGGCAAGCATGGATGGGGAGGTGTGACTGAAGTCCCATACTCATGTCTCTGGGCCTGGTAAATTTTTCATACCTCATACCTCATAGCTCAGAGTAGTGCCTATTTAAATATAAATGTACCTCACAATTAGAGCATAAAATGATTTTGGATTATCCTAAATCTTCAAAGTATTTTCATTTGTCCAAGTACTGTAGACCAAAGTCTAATTTCTGATAATTAGACCTCCAGCTTCCAGTCCACATGTAAAGAGCTTGGAAGTTGTAGGCCGGGTGTGGTGGCTCACTCCTGTAATCCCAGCACTTTGGGAGGCTGAGGCGGGTGGGTCACAAGGTCAAGAGATTGAGACCATCCTGGCCAACATGGTGAAACCCCATCTCTACTAAAAATACAAAACTTAGCTGGGTGTGGTGGCGTGTGCCTGTAATCCCAGCTACTTGGGAGGCTGAGGCAGGAGAATCGCTTGAACCTGGGAGGTGGAGGTTGCAGTGAGCTGAGATTGCGCCACTGCACTCCAGCCTGGCAACAGAGTGAGACTCCGTCTCAAAAAAATAATAATTAAAAAGAAAGAGCTTGGAAGTTGGTAATTCTGTCCTCACAACAACAACAAAAAGCTGAAGAACTCAGAATCAACAGCTTTTTTCCGATCCTTTATAGAATTGAAGTTATCACCCCAAAAGCTGGAATGATAGGCTGCTACAGAGAATCAAAGCTTATCAGAAACAGAAATTGCCTGCATGGAGTAGGGATGCTTGAAGGGTATTGGCTTAATTACTAGAGATAAAGTGTGGACTAGCTTTAGCATTTAATAACTCTGGGCTCACACAATGGTGTGAGTTTTGCCTCTAGGAGCCTGCCAGATTCTTGCAATGAAGAGCTAATAAAAATTTCCTTATTCTGGCTGGGTGCGGTGGCTCACGCCTGTAATCACAGCACTTCGGGAGGCCAAGGCAGATGGATCATTTGAGGTCAGGAGTTCGAGACCAGCCTGGCCAACATGGTAAAACCCCGTCTCTACTAAAAATACAAAAATTAGCCGAGCAGTAACAGCGTGCACCTGTAATCCCAGCTACTCAGGAGGCTGAGGCGGGAGAATCCCTTGAGCCTGAGAGGCAGAGGTTGTGGTGAGCCGAGCTCAGGCCACTGCATTCCAGTCTGGGTGAAAGAGTGAGACCTTGTCTCACAAAAAAAAATAAAAATAAAAAAATATATATATATTCTTACATGGTGGAGAGGAGAAAAGTACCATTTTGAAATATGCCCAGAATATTTTGTTCTTAACAAAGGCCTGACCTCAAGGGAAACTTGTACTAGAACCTAACCAACTGGGACTTTACCAGTGCCTAATCAACCTGGGAGAAGGGAAATACCCAACTCCAGCCACCTCTAACCTTACGTCTCATGTTAGAGGTGGGGAAAAAAAAACAAAAAAAAACAAAAAAAAAACAAAAAAAAACTGAGAAGCACTTGTGAAGGTCACAGTCCAGAAGTAACAGACTCAAAATTGATCATAGAACTATAGAATGTTTCTCCTCTGACATCTTAACTACCACAGCAGTAGGGCTCTGGTATAATAATGGGATTACAGCTAAAATAACTGTAAGGCTCAGACCCTATTTAAGAAGGGGTCTCTAAGGAAACCCAAAGATGATAGGGAGAGAAAAGGACACTGGAGAAAACTGTAGCCTCTGATGCCAAGCTGCAACAAACAGTTAATATGACCTAACTCCCAGCCAGGTAAACATAAAACTTCACACTGAAGACCTGTTTAGTTCCTTTTACCTGACACATCGTGTCTGCTATTCAACAAAAAGTTATAAGCGGTGCTGGCTGGGCATGGTGGCTCACTCCTTTAATCCTAGCACTTTGAGAAGCCAAGGTGGGCAGATCACCTAAGGTCAGGAGTTCGAGACCAGCCTAGCCAATGTGGTGAATCCCATCTCTACTAAAAATACAAAAATTAGCCAGACGTGGTGGCACGTGCCTGTAATCCCAGCTACCTAGAAGCCTGAGGCAGGAGAATTGCTGGAACCCAGGAGGCAGAGGCTGCAGTGAGCCTAGATTGCACCACTGCACTCCAGCCTGGGTGACAGAGTGACACACTCTGTTTCAAAAAAATTATAAGGGGTACTAAGAGGCAAAATACACAGACTGAAGAGACAGGGCAAGCATCAAAACTAGGCTCAGATATAGTAGAGATTTTGGAATTATCAGAGCAGAAACTTAAATATGATTAATATGTTAAGGGCTTTAATGGAAAAAGTAGACAACGTGCAAGAACAGACAGGTAATGTAAGAAGAGAGACCAAAACTCTAAGAAAGAAAAGATAATACCAGAAATAAATATAACAGAAATGAATGCCTTTGGTGGGGTCATTAATACACTGGACACAGCTGAGGAAAGAATCAGTGAGCTTGAAGATATGTCAACAGAAGCTTACCAAGCTGAAAAGCAGAAAAAAGACCAGGGACAAAGTAGGGGTATCGGGTAGGGACCACCAGGGGAAAGAACAGAATATCCAAGTAATAGGGACAGTTACAAAAGGCAAATCATATGCATAATGGGAATACCAGATGAAGAGAGACAGAAGAAATATCTGGAGTAATAATGACTGGAGATTTTACAAAATTACTGACAGCAAACCATAGGTCCAGGAAGCTCAGAGAACACAAAACAGGATTTTAAAAAAAGTCTACATCTAGGCATAATACATTCAGATGTAGAAAATAAAAGAGAAAGTCTTCGTCATTTCAGAGAATACAAAAACATAAACCCACCTTACTGTCAACAAAGAGTCAAACTGTGTAAAATAGATTTATTCTGAGCCAAATATGGGTGACCAGGGCCTGAGTCACAGTCTCAAGAAGTCCTGAGAAAATGTGCCCAAGATGGTTGGGTTACAGCTTGATTTTATACATTTTACGGGGATAGAAGTTACAGGCAAACATCAATCAATATATGTAAGGTATACATTCATTTGATCCAGAAAGATGGGACAGCTTGAATTAGGGGCTTCCAGGTCATGGGGGGGATTCAAAAGATTTTTTGATTGGCAATTGGTTGAAAGAGTTAAGTTTATCTAAAGATCTGGAATCAGTAGAAAGGAGTATCTGGCTTTAGATAAGAGATTGTGGAGACCAGTGTTCTTATGTAGATGAAGCCTCCAGGTAGCAGGCTTCAGGGAGAATAGATGGTAAATGTCTCTTATCAGACCTTAAAAGATAACATACTCTCAGCTGAATCTCTCCTGGATCAGGAAAAGACCTGGAAAGAGGAGATTCTCTACAAAACGGAGATTTTCCCCAAAAGAGATGACTTTGCAGGGCCATTTCAAAACATGTCAAATAAATATATTTTGAGGTAAACTATGATTTATTGCAGGGTCTGCTATCTGCCATGTGATACTATACTAGAGTTGGGTTAGAATTTGGTATCTTACTTCTACAAGGAGTTCATTTTATCAGTCTTAAGATCTCTGTTTCAATGTTAATTTTGGTCAGTTGTGCCTGAATTCTTAAGGGAGGAGAGTATAATGAGGCATATCCAATCCCCCCTTCCTATCATGGCCTGAACTCATTTTTCAGGTTTACTTTGGAATCCCCTTGGCCGAGAGGAGGAGTCCATTCAGTCGATTGGGAGGCCTAGAATTTTATTGTTGGCTTCTATTACCTATAGAGGAAAAAGGATAAAAATTACACTGGACTTCTCTTCAGAAACCATGTAAGTAAGAAGAGTGTGGAATGAAATAAGGAAAGTGTTAAAAGAAAAAACCACCAACCTAGAATTCTGTATCCAGCAAAATTGCCTTCAAACAATAAATTTTTTACACACAAAAAATTTGAGAGAATTCATTGACCCTAGTAGAACATTAAGAAATGTTAAAAGAAGTTCTGCAGAGAGAAGAAAAATGATATAGAAAATCAAACTTATGTAAAGAAAGGAAGAGTGTTTGAGAAGGAATACATGAATGTAGAATAATCTAATAATCAAAAACTGGAATCATCATAGAATGTCTTCTACCAAACCAGTGTGTTTAGAATTGCTGGTTTGGTAGCTAGTTTCTTTCCATCATTGTAGCTGTTTTCTATTGCTACTGACCAAAAAAAAAAAAAAAAAAAAAAAAAAAAGATCAAAGAAAACAAAAATGTCATGACAATGAGAAAAGTGACATATTGTGTGATTTGATTTTCATTTAAGATCTAGTCTAGGTAAGGATGGAGGTGAGGGGACTGATTTCTTCCACCTACCCTGCTACCCTGTGCCTTTGAGGAACATTTGTTGAAATATTCATTGAAATAACAAATCAATTTTTATTACATTTATTGGAGTTGAACAAATTAAAGGAGTTAATTCCCCTCCCTTTGGTTGCTGTTTGCTGAATCACTCTTTGTCATTAATACTGAAAATCAAACTTATGTAAAGAAAGGAAGAATGTTTGAGAATAGAATTTTATTTGATTCTATTAATTATTTTGTTATTTATTTTATTTCTATTTTATTCATAGTTTGATGAACAGTTTTCTAAAGCAGATATCACCACACTATGGCCCACACCTGTTCTTGTAAATGAAGTTTAATTGGAACATAGTCATGTTTGTTCATTTATATCTTGTACTGTTTATGAATAGTGTATTACTTGTTATGTGTTGTGTCATTGATAGAGCTGCTTTTGTTTTACAATAGCAAAGTTGGGTAGTTGCCACAGATATCATTTGGCCAGCAAAATCTGAAATATTTACTATGTGAACCTTTACAGAAAAGTTTGCCCATCCTTGTTCTAAAGGAGTAAAGGGGATACTAATTTATAAAAATTAGCATCCTTCCATCTTTTTTTTCTTACACTACTCTGAGCATTGTGCAAACTAAATACTGTAAGGTCTTTTTAAAAACTGACCTCAATAACTATCTGAGGATAATAAATTGGTCCTCTCTTTCTTACATTTGAGCAGATCATTGGTGTGAAAATCCCACAACACTTGGAGCTTAGCTAAGTAGAAAAGTGGCCGGGTGCAGTGGCTCATGCCTGTAATCCCAGCACTTTGGGAGGCCAAGGCAGGTGGACCACTGGAGATCAAGAGTTTGAGACCAACCTGGCCAACATGGTGAAACCCCATCACTACTAAAAATACAAAAATTAGCTGGGCATGGTGACGGGTGCCTGTAATCTCAGCTACTTGGAAGGCTGACGCAGGAGAATAGCTTGGAGGCGGAGGTTGCTGTGAGCCGAGATTGCGCCACTGCACTCCAGCCTGGGCGGCAGTGAGTGAGACTCCATCTCAAAAAAAAAAAGAAAAAGAAAAAAGAAAAGTGACCAACCTTTAGAATGCCTGCTTATGTGGAGTTTGTGGTCCTGGCAGGGACAATTTATTTCTCCCATTCTATCCAGTAGCTGGCTGGAATGTGAACATGGTGATAAAATACCCTACACTATCTCAGAGGGAGTCCTCTGTAACTTTTCAGTCCAATGCATAGATTCATTTCAAACCTACTGTGTCAGACATTGTACTGAATGCTGGAGCTACAGGATGAGTAAGACAGTCACCTGCTTGGAAGGTGTCCACAGCCTTAGGATAGTTAACTATTGTTTACCTTAAAGAGAAACTTATTTCTTCATCACAGCAATGAAGTTGGGCTACATCTTGTACCCTAATCAGATATCTGTTTACTTCTGATAGAGTCTGTAAAATCAAAAACAAAATTAGAAGTACATATAAATTTTTTTAAATAAAATTACTACTGCAAACCATTTTATATCTCAGAATATGCAAATGTTAACTAAAACACAGTTCAAGTATGAAAAAGTGAATATTTTCACTGTTTATGAAACAGGTTTTCTTAGAAAGACCACAGTATTGACAAAGAAAACTATATTTAAGGGGAAAAAAGTAATCTTTGTCAAAGTTTTAAAACTGCTGACATGATAGTTTTATTTGTAAGTGCTTTCCTAATATCAAAAACAAAGTTGGGGGTTGGGGGATAAGAAGGTAGCTATTAAGAAAAAGAAGTAGGCTGGGCGCGGTGGCTCATGCCTGTAATCCCAGCACTTTGGAAGGCCGAGGTGGGTGGATCACCTGAGGTCAGGAGTTGGAGACCAGCCTGGCCAACATGGTGAAACCCTGTCTCTATTAAAAATACAAAAAAAATTAGCCAGGTGTGGTGGTGCATGCCGGTAGTCCTAGCTACTTGGGAGGCAGGAGAATTGCTTGAACCCTGGAGGCAGAGGTTGCAGTGAGCCGAGATCGTGCCACTGCACTCCAGCCTGGGCAACAGAGTGAGACTCCATCTCAAAAAAAAAAAAAAAAAGAAAAGAAAAAGAAGTGAATGAATTGGTACAGAATAAGAAGTCAAGCCTTTATATTGATCTAGTCATGGGGATGAGCTCTTGGTGTGAACAGTGATCCAGAGAGAGTTTTGTAGACTCTGAGTTTCAAGAATTTGGATCTTTGCAAACCAATCAACCTCAATTATCTTTCCCTACAAAATGTCCAGACCAAAATTATGACAAAACAACTTCATCTTGCTTCCCCAATTTGACTAAATAAAAATAACATTTCTAATCAATTGATACTTTAATTCAACGTAACTCACATCCTGAGCTCCTCTTATGTGCCAGACATGAGAAGGCAAGTAAATCATAGCTCACACATGATGGAGCTCCCAGTTTCATGAATAAAGGATTGCAGTAAAATGTAACAGGAATGTTCAGGATGCAAAATCCCTACAAAGAAGCCGCTGACAGCTGGAAATGCTGGGGGAAACTTTGCAAAGGATATGATGATTGAACTAGATTTTTATAGAATGAATAGGGGTTTATCCAGTGAAATAGGAAAGAAAAGCAATTTCAGAGAAGAAAGAGTATGCACAAAGCACAAATGTGTGAAAAGAGGTTAACATTAGAGAATCGTGAGTGGATCTGTGTGGTATGATTATAAGGAAGTCAGGAAAACTGTAAGAGATAAGGGAGGGTGGGGCCAGATGAAATTCTATAGGTTAACACGTCGCTAACACAGGCCTTCTAAAGCTTGTTCAGATACCATCAGGGTGCAGAATCCTGCACCAGGTATCATATGCAGGGAGATAGAAAACAAGTAGAACATGGCTGGGCGTGGTGGCTCACGCCTGTAATCCCAGCACTGGGAGGCCGAGGCGGGCAGATCACAAGGTCAGGAGATCGAGACTATCCTGGCTAACACGGTGAAACCCCATCTCTACTAAAAATACAAAAAATTAGCTGGGCGTGGTGGTGGACACCTGTAGTCCCAGCTACTCGGGAGGCTGGGGAAGGAGAATGGTGTGAACCCGGGAGGTGGAGCTTGCAGTGAGCTGAGATTGTGCCACTGCACTCCAGCCTGGGCGACAGTGTGAGACTCGGTCTCAAAAAAAAAAAAAAATTAAAGAAAAGAAAACAAGTAGAACACATGGCCCCTTTCCTCACAGGGCATTGTGATCACAGTAATACCAATAAAGGAGCAAAGACTGCCAAAAAGTTATGGGATAGGGGCAAGCTCACTTGTGCCCCTTCTTATAGAGCAACCTTGCAGGTAACAAGGATGTGAAATGGGAGAGCATGGCAGTGCCTGGCACGTAGCAGGCATTCCACAAATACTAGCTGCCTTGGGATCTGTAGGTCTCCTTTTGCAAAAGACTGGAGGTTGTATTCATGAGCATGAGATACAGCAAGTTCCTAAGAATACATACAGGGCATCCCCAGATGATTCTCTGTATATCTGACAGATGATCCTTCATAGTGATGTTTTGCTTCATCTAGGGGAAAAAAAGTACTTTTAGGCAAACTAAAATTGTGACATTTTTATTCATAAAAGAAATAGATTAAAATATTTTATGGCGCTTGATACAGGGCTTGGTATTTTCATATGTTATAATAGAAAGTTTCAAATTTCTGGGCCGGGTGTAGTGACTTTCGTCTGTAATCCCAGCAATTTGGGAGGCTGAGGTGGGCTGATGGCTTGAGCTCAGGAGTTCAAGACCAGCCTGGGCAAAGTGGTGAAACCTCATCTCTACACACATTTTAAAAAAGCCAAAAAAAGAGCCAAGCATGGTGGCGCCTGCCTGTGGTCCCAGCTACTCAAGAGGCTGAGGTGGGAGGATTGCTTGAATCAGGGAGGCAGAGGTTGCAGTGAGCCGAGATCACACCACTACACTCAAGCCTTGGTGACAGAGCCAGACCCTGTCTCAAAAAAGAAAAAAAAAATTTCAATTTTCTGTACCCAATGTTTTAAAACAAAGGCAAGTGACAAAACTGAATGCAAAAAAGTATCTGCATGGAAAAATGTGTTAGCAGTTTACATTCAGCCCAGATGCCTGTTTACAGTATGCACAATATAATAATAATATTTTCAGAATGATAGTACTGTACTCCAAGGTGCTTAATTACTTCTTCAGAGAATAATTATGACCATTGTACTCACTGAGGCAGGAAAGCTAATTAATGCATTGAAAGTACTTTCAGAAACAAAGGATTTTACTTTTTTTTTTTGCCTTTTAGTTGTGTAAAAAATCAGTCCAAATACTTCATTCTTCAAACTTTCATAAAAATTTCATTATATTTGTACAAATATCTGAAAACATTGTCTCATGTTGCTTGGCTTAGAATAGATGCCCTTAGTGTTGGAAATCACGGAACACACTATTGATTTAGCATTAAAAGGATGAAAGACTTTAAAGCGAAGAACCCCACAAGAAGATAAGGTGTCTCAGGATCTTTGAGTGGGAGTACCACAAAGGCATTGTAACATGTTTAAAGGACACAGATTCTTATCAGCAACCAACCTGATCTATATAACCTTTATATTTTTTGATTTGGTCAATTGCAGTGGTCAAGTCCCCACGGTCAACATGCTCTGCAGGGGTATGAAGCCTGACAGCGTAGAGAAGATTAAGGTATTCTTCAAATCTTCGGGATGGGTACAGCAGCAGCTCTGGCAGGCTGTATGAGGCATAGAGAAGGGAGCTCTGGTCTCTGAAGGCCCAGGAATGCCCTCTCTGGGGGGACCCCTGCTGTGCTCTCCCTCAGAACGTACCTCAGCATTTTGGTAACAATGGTCTTATCATGCCTCTTCAGGAAAGTTCGGAATGCTGGTATCATTTCTCTGCACTAAAAGGTGAGGATTATATTGTCAAAACTTTATGAGATAGTTGTAAAGTCCACTGTTCCACTGAGCAAGCATGATCTATGGAATGCCTGAAGCAAAAGGGCAACATCTATGTCTAACCAATTAGTAGACTGTTAGTAGTGCCATTGGTGTCTTCCTAATATGTTAAGAATGTGTGTTGGCCGGGCGCTATGGCTCATGCCTGTAATTCCAGCACTTTGGGAGGCGGAGGCAGGCGGATCACGAGGTCAGGAGATGGAAACCATCCTGGCTAACATGGTGAAACCCTGTCTCTACTAAAAATACAAAAAATTGGCCAGGCGTGGTGGCGGGCGCCTGTAGTCCTAACTACTCAGGAGGCTGAGGCAGAAGAATGGCATGAACCTGTGAGGCGGAGCTTGCAGTGATCCAAGATAGCGCCACTGCACTCCAGCCTGGGCAACAGAGCGAGACTCCATCTCAAAAAAAAAAAAAAAAAAAAAAAAGAATGTGTGTTAATTATACATAGACCTGACCCTATTCATTGAACTTAATCAGTATAGACAAATAAGAATGTACTTTGCAACCAGGTGGGCCTGGATTTGAATTAGAATAAATCGAATATATAACCTTGTCAAATTACTTAACTTTTCTGAGCCTCAGTTTTCTCATCTGTAACATGGATATCATCTCTAATGTTGTGGTGTGGAAAAAAAACAATCCTATCCATAAAGTGGCTGTCACACAGTAAATGTTATTTCAGTATAGTAAGATCTTGACTATTAATGGTATTCACCTTTAATACTTCTGTTAATTACGTTTTCCATAGTAATATTTATTATACAGGTATTCTACTGTACTTAATATATTTTTTTTGTTTTTTGTTTTTTTGAGACAGAGTCTTGCTCTGTCATCCAGGCTGGAGTAGAGTGGCATAATCTCGGCTCACTGCAACCTCTGCCTCCCAGGTTCAAGCGATTCTCCTGCCTCAGCCTCCCAAGTAGCTAGGATTACAGGTGCCCGCCACCATGCCTGGCTAATTTTTGTATTTTTAGTAGAGACGGGGTTTCACCATGTTGGCCAGGCTGGTCTCGAACTCCTGACCTCAGATGATCCACCTGCCTAGGCCTCTCAAAGTGCTGGGATTACAGGTGTGAGCCACCGCACTGAGCCTTAATATCTGTTTTAAAATGTATTCATTTATCACTATTAGAGCACCCGTAAAGTTACCTCCCTTTCCATGCCTGAAAGATGTCAGCAATGCTAACTTACAGAAATCAAATATTCACTGATTTCATTACTGGACTTTCGGCTAAGACCAAGTGAAATATTCATGGATTTCAATCATATTAATAGCTAACATTGGCTGGCATGGTGGCCCACACCTGTAATCCCAGCACTTTGGGAGACAGAGTTGGGCAGATTGCTTGAGCCCAGGAGTTTAAGACCAGCCTGGACAACATGGTGAAACTCCGTCTCTACAAAAAATACAAAAAAATTAGCCAGGTGTGGTGGCACATGCCTGTAGTCCTAGATACTTGGTAGGCTGAGGTGGGAGGATCACCTGAGCCTGGGGAAGTCGAGGCTGCAGTGAGCTGTAATCATGCCACTGCACTCCAGCCTAGGTGACAGAGGGAGACCCTGTCTCAAAACAAACCCCACAACCAAATAACTAACATTTAAGCTAAGTACTTACTTGTGTGCACACACTGGGCTAGTGAACTAGGCATCATTATCTATAGCTAAAAAAATTTAGGCACCAGTGTGTTCCTGATACCATGTGATACTTTGCTCCAATCCTTGTCTCCAAGGTCGGTTCTATGAAACTACCTTATTTATGTAACTTTTGAATCATCAAGTTGTCCAGCAGGGACTAGACTCCCTGGGTGGGGTAGAAGGAATACTACAAAGGAAGCTGTCCAAGGGCCGGAGCCCTCCAGAGGCCTCCCAGCCCACAGGCCTTTCCTGCAGGGCCTCAGTGAAGACGAGTGGTCACAGTGGACTCTGGCAGAAGTGTGCTGCCATGTGACAAGGTAGCCTTTTCTAGGCTTTCGATACCAATTGAGGAGGGAAGAAAGAGGGATGTTATTCCCATAAGAAGGTATCCCCACAAGAGCAGCAAGTGGTACATGAGGGAATTGGATATTCCTGCTCAGATTAAATAATGCCAGAAATTGCAACAGGGAAAACTGTTAATAATTTACTCTCTAGGAAATGTAAGACCAAGACATTCCTTACTTGATAGTGACATTTCATAAATTGATTGTTCTTCCAAGAAAGATGTGGATGATTAATTTATTTTCTACATGAGAGAGTGAACTTGTCAAGGATACACAGGATTGTAGTAGCAGAGTGGATTCCAAGCTCAACTGTGGAGCATTTTCCTGTAAGCTGAGGGTATCTGGGGCAGGTGAAAGCCTGGCCATTTGCATGAGGATGAGTTCAGTTTAAGAACCAGTTCCTGGCAATGCTGGGTGTCAAATATTGTGCTAGCCCCTAAGTCAGGGTTCCTGTCCTCAGAGATCACACAGTATGGGAAGACAGCTGGGAGCTAAGAGCAGAGAAGCCTTTCTTATTAACGCTGGTCTTTCGGGTTCCACACGTAACTTCCTTTCTAGCTCAGGTCTTATAGAATGATGGAATTGAAACTCATTTACCTTCTCAATAGTTTTCAGAATGACAGGGTAATTGTTGAAGAAATTGGTATATGTGTTTAACTGGCTTCCAAACTTCGTGACTATTTCTCCCACACAGTGAGCTGGGCCCCATTCCTGCAGTCTGTCTCTCAGGTTATCTAGAAACTGCCTGTGGTATGAGAAGAGCATAAGCATGAAATATTCACTTGTGATAACTTACAAACCCAAATATCCATTGTCATCAGCATGGGCATTTTCACCCTAGTCCTTTACGGTAGGGTTTTGGTCAAGTCATTTCTTCCTAACACAGAGAAGTGGAGATTTGACAGGAAAGGGAACTGGGACGTGAAGGAGTAGGTTGGCCGGGGTGGAATCCCACCTCTTCACCTCAGTTCCTTGAGGTGAAGGAACCACACAATGGCCACAATACAGCTGCTGCCTAATGTCCTAGTCTCTTGCCTCCAGATAGGCAGATGGGTGAAAGTTCTTACAGTTTGTAGAGGAGAGTGCTCCACTGTCTTCAACAGCTGAATGCCATAGCCTCTGCTTAGCTCAGTTCCCCAGAGCTCTAAGAAAATCCCTCATTCATCCATCAGAGGCTTTGAACAGTGAAAGAGGCCCAGTTCAACCTCTTCACTGTAGGAGCTGGGGCCCACTGACAGGAAAGAACTTGTTCCAAGTTACCTAGAGAGTTACCTTCAGGGAAGGACATACTCAGGTTGCCTCCTTTTACCACAGGCAGAAATGATCACTTTTCTCTCTCATGTTATGCACTTGAAAATATGTTGTTATTAAACTGACCCTCAGCCTTGGGCTTTCTAAGCTAAGTGTCCTGGTGGCTTAATCCCATTAAATCCTTCTGGTTTTTTCCCATTGCTTAACTGAACATTGCTGATTAGGAAGGAGCGTATGACTCTCCTCCTTCCTGCTAGCTTTTGCATGGACAGTCTATTGGTTACAGCAAGGGTTCCCAACCCCCAGGCCATGGATAGGTACCAGTCTGTGGCCTGTTAGGAACCAGGCTGCATAGCAGGAGGTGAGTGGGGGTTGAGTGAGTGAAGCTTCACTGATATTTACAACCGCTCCCTGTTGCTTGCATTACTACCTGAGCTCCAGATCAGCAGTGGCATTAGATTCTCATAGGAGTGCAAACACTATGGTGAACTGCACATTTGAAGGATCTAGGTTGCATGCTCCTTATGAGAATCTAATGCCTGATGATCTGTCCTTGTCTCCCATCATCCCAAGACGGGACCATCTAGTTGCAGGAAAACAAGCTCAGGGCTCCCACTGGTTTACATTATGGTGAGTTGTATAATTATTTTATTATATATTATAATATAATAGAAATAAAGTGCACAATAACTGTAATGCACTTGAATCATCCTGAAACCATTCCCCCCACCCCTGCTCTGTGTAAATATTGTCTTCCATGAAACTGGTTCCTGGTGCCAAAAAGGTTGGGGATCACTGGGTTACAAAATGCCTAGGTCCTGAACACCACTCCTTGCACCATGGCTATGAACGGGGGAAGGGGTGTCCTTGGGAATCACTACTGGTTGCAGCCCGGTAGGTAATGTGATGAGGATCTCGCTGCTATAATCAGGGTCCCTAAGAGGGTCAGAGCATCATTGCACCTCCATACTGCTTTTGAAACAATAAAGCATGGGCTCTTCTCAGTGCACAATGAATATTAAAAAAAATACATATTCAGGGTTTACCTGTTGAGACTTAAAATCTGTAGAATGTCACAGAAAATGATCTGGATATTGGCAGCACTCAGAATCGCTCTGTTTGATGACAATGCTGCTTTCAGTGGTGCGACATAAACATCTCTCACAATTTCCAGTATCTGCACGTATTTTCTCTCACTCTGTAAGAGTTCTCTGACAACTCTAGCTCGCTTTTCTGCTGAGTCCTTCTGGAGTATTCTCTCCTGTAGAGAAGTGTTAAGAACTCAAGTCAGTGATGGAGAAGTAGAAGTGCTGAGCAGTCAGGCAGCTACACGGAGACCCCCCTTGCTGGTTTGTGCTGTTCAGGTTGAAGGGGACTTCACGGGGGCTACGGAGGACCCCGCTGTCCATCACTTGTCCCTAGTATCATCAAAGAGCCCCTCATATGGGGCCAGCCTGATGGCCAAGTAGAGAAGGGACTTTTAATCTTGGATCTAAAGGAAGGCAGTTTGAAACTTATTTTTATCCATCTGTCCATCCAAATCCATATTAGGTGTCTTATGCTGGTGCTGGCCATGTAATGATGAGAACAAGACAGAGTCCTGTCTTCATGGAGGTTACAGTCTAGTGAGGAAGACTTTGGCTTGTCTACTCTTGTTTGTTTTCCTATTTCTTTTTCCAAGTAGTGTTTTATTGATTATCTTGCAAACAGAAGAACTGAAATGAGCTAGCCCTCTGCTACAGTTTGAATGTGTCCCCTCCAAAATTCAGGTGTAGCCAATGTGACAGTATTAAGAAGTGGAGTCATGAAAACATGGCTGGGTCATGAGGACTCCTCCTTCATGAATGGGATCAGGTGCCCTTAGAAAGGGGCTTGGCAGAGGGAGTTGGTCCTCTCTTGCCTTCCACCATGTGAGCACTCCAAGAGAAGGCCCTTGACAGATGTTAGCATCTTGATCTTAGACTTCCCAGCCTCCATAAAGAATTTCTGTTCTTTGCAAATTACCCAGTCTCAGGTATTCTACTGCAGCAGCATGAACAGGTGAAGACACCTTTTCATTATTAACTAATTTGCTTCCCCAGCTGACATATGAAAAATCTGAAGCATATGCTCTTCTTTCAGTATTAAGGATCTAACTTCAGTATGAAGGATAGACTTGGAGCTATGAGCCCATCTCTCCTGGCTAGCCAGGTTGCCAGATGTGCTATGTTATGTTTCCAACTGTTGTTTTGTGTATTTATTTATTTTATTTTATTTTTTTCTTTTGATATGGAGTCTTACTCTCTTTTCCAGGCTGGAGTGCAGTGGTGTGATCTCAGCTCACTGCAACCTCCGCCTCCTGGGTTCAAGCAATTCTCCTGCCTCAGCCTCCCGAGTAGCTGGGACTACAGGTGCATGCCACCATGCCCAGCTAATTTTTGTGTTTTTGGTAGAGACGGGGTTTCACCATGTTGGCCAGAATGTTCTCGATCTCTTGACCTTGTGATCCACCCACCTCAGCCTCCCAAAGTGCTGGGATTACAGGCATGAGCCACCTTGCCCAGCCTCTTGTTTTATTTTTTAATGCAGAGGTGAAAATCATACACTGGCCTAAAGAAATTCCATACCCTGATGTTGTGTGTGCTATGTTTATATGGAGAGAGAAATTAATTTTTATTGCTGGTACTAGATAATTTTTTTCTTTTATTTGCATATTTCAAAAGCTATAAAATGAGCATCTTTATACCAGAAAATTTATAATATCTAAATTTCAAAAACATAATGTCCTTCAATTTTAGCCTAGAATTATTATTTTCCCTCCAGCCCTAAGTATACCCCACACTGCCCCCAATAAAATATGACAATACTGCTTCTGCCACTTGTGCTGCTTGCGGACCTGAGGTGACTCCAGCACTCAGCATGGTGAACAGAAAGCTCAAGGAAGGGTCAGAACTGCTCATATTAATTTTAGGGTGGTGGGCAGGATGGTTCCTTGGTGCAATTTAAGATTAACAGGCATACACCACTTAGTAAACTAATGAAAGCCTATTGTGAATAGCAAGGCTTGTCAATGAGGCGGATCAGATTCCAATTTGTCAGATGGCCAATCAATGAAACAGACACACCTGCAGAGTTGGAAGTGGAGGTTAAAGATACAATTGATGTGTTTCAGCAGCAGGCAGGAGGGGTCCAGTAAAAAGAGAACTTGCTATTTTACGCCAGAGGCTATTCTTACAGACCAAGACTGCATTCTCAACTAAAAAACTGCAATCTGGTTCCACTACATCCTAACTATTACAGTATAGTTTGCTCTATTCTTTCATTTCCTTCCCCATTCCTTTATTGTACATAAGGTAACTGATGAATATGCACAAGCATTTTTAAAAAAATTAGTGGCTAATGGTATGGCTAATGTATTCGTGGCTAATGGTATACCATCAACATCAAATGGAGATGAGAAGGGGAAAAATGCTTCTGTGAAAAGACCTCCTTGGCCACGTGCGGTGGCTCATGCCTGTAATCCCAGCACCTTGGGAGGCTGAGGCGGGTGGATCACCTGAGCTCAGGAGTTCGAGACCAGCCTGACCAACATGGCAAAACTCTGTCTCTACTAAAAATACAAAAATTAGCTGGGTGTGGTAGCACATGCCTGTAATCCCAGCTACTCAGGAGGCTGAGGCAGTAGAATCACTGGAACCTGGGAGGCAGAGGTTGCAGTGAGCCGAGGTCATGCCACCGCACTCCAGCCTGGGCAACAGAGCGAGACTCCATCTCAAAAAACAAAAACAAAAACAAAAGGACCTCCTTTCTCCCTTCGTGGCATGCTCATTCAGCAGTTATCTTTATATTCCAATCTGTTATCTTGCTCTCATTGTTTTAACAACAGCAATATATGTATATATGTATGTGTGTGTGTGTGTGTGTGTGTGTGTATATATATATGTATCTAAATCCTTGCATACCTTGTTCAATTGGAGAATTCTCATGTTTTTCATTTATCATTGTAACACAAAGGGCACATTTTATAACGTTTTCGTACATACCTCTTATATGTAGGGCAATCTGTCTTTAAGTGAGGATCCATTAGTTGATAAAAATGATTACCAGATAGTTTTTCCTTCAAGTCAAACACCTTGTTGTTTAAATAAGTGCCTTGTTTAAAATGAAAAAATGTGTAATGCTATGTGATCTTCACCAAGATGAGTTAACCATAATTTCATTAACTGGAATTATAATGTAAAAAAACTTAAGAGAAAAATGAGAGAACTCACTGTATTTGAAATATTATAAACACACTCTTCTTTTTTTACATTTTTTATTTTGAGACAGGGTCTCCCTCTGTCACCCAGGCTGAAGTGCAGTAGTGCACTCATGGCTCACTGCAGCCTCGACCTCCCGGGCTCAAGCAATCCTCCTGCCTCAGCCACCAGAGTAGCCACCACAACAGGCTAATTTTTGTAATTTTTTTGTAGAGACAGGGTTTTTCTATGTTGCCCAGGCTGGTCTCAAACTCCTCTGCTTAAGCGATGCACCTGCCTTGGCCTCCGAAAGTGCTGGGATTACAAACATGAGCTGCCAAACTCTTCTTGTTTATTTTCCAAACACATGGTCTGTCTAGAATACCTATTTAGACATATCTAATAAGGTAAAAAATACATCTGCATCCTACTTGGCAGTTGGCTTACAGTCCATATTATTTTTTTAATATTATATGTGTATTTCTGTATGTATATATTTTTACATATTGGAGTTATCCAACATTTATAATCATTTTGAACTAAGGTTTTCATTGTCAAACCTTGTGTTGTTATCTTGAAACCACTATGAGGTATTATTACTAATAGTCAGATGAGATACCCTCATATCCACTGCTCTATGGAACATGCTCCTCCTGGGTGTTCCTAGGGATGGGTTTGGGGCAAGTGGGCATCCATGTCCTGGGGCTCCACGGCCTGCACTGTCTGCAGCCAGGGTGTCTGGGGCTGGGAAAGAGCCCCAGGTCTGAGCTCAGGGCTGCAGGACTTAAGATTTTTCTTGCCCAATTGTCTGGCCTTAGGGAAGTCATTTGACTTTTTTCCCCCATGTAACTTTTCTTAACTCTAGTTCTTTATCTATAAAATGTGGCTAGGGATGTGTCCTTTATAGGATTCTGAGAATGAAAGGTGATAATAAGTGTGTTTGTGTGTTGAAGAAAACAAAACAGTGTGCCCATGCCGTGGGTTACACAGGACGAGACCGGCCCCTGCTGAGGCTGCAGCTTCCTCCACACTTTACCCTTGACACAGAAAGACGGAGCCCTAGACATTGTGTTCATTAGATTCAACTTTTGAAGTCAGACTGTAAGTTGGTAGATTAATTAGAAACTGTGAGCCTTTGTCCATGTGCCATTTCTTTAAAAGACATCCTAGTACCATAAAGGAAAGTCAGGGAGTAACATACAGATTGGTTTTGCTCCAAGATGTTACACTGCTATCCTTCTGGCTCAACTTCTTTTCAGTCTGGGGCTTATTTGAAAAAAAAGTCTGCCAGCTGAATTCTCTCTAATAATTTTTGAGGTTTTTTTTTTTTAATCCCCCAAAGGGAAATTTTCAAGGAAAATGAAGAACTAACCAGAATAAAGGCTGAAATTTCACTATCAGGAGCAAAACCAATGGTAAAGTTACATTATATAATAGCTTACCAGATTAATCAGTGCTTCAAAATTTAAATCATTTTTGCTGAGCCTGGACTTTGTGTCCCAAGAATTGTCTTCTACAACATTTCTTTCCTGAAGATTGAATGGAAACTTGGTTATTGGAGGCAGGTCTTGACATCTCTGAAAACTCAGTACTGTGCCCGCAGGAGGCCCTCAGAAGCCTCTGCCTTCAGCCCCAACCACAGTGTTCCCTACACACAATGAGTTAAGTGCTTGCAAATGGGATGCCACTCTTACATTCAATTTTATGTTTTTTAAAAATAGCCTTTGCTTCTTTTGAACTACATAATACTTGAGAACTAAATCCAGCGTAGCTCCCTCTTCCTTGGGAGCCAGGGAAGTGATGCTGGGCTGGGGCTCCTCCCAGGCTTAAAGACTCACACACATTCCTGGGTAACAGACTTCTTTTTTTTTTTTTCTTTTTCTTGAGATGGAGTCTCACTCTCGCCCAGGCTGGAGTGCAATGGCACAATCTCGGCTCACTGCAACCTCCGCCTCCCAGGTTCAAGCGATTCTCCTGCCTCAGCCTCCTGAGTAGCAGGCTTACAGGGCCCACTACCACGCCCCACTAATTTTTGTATTTTTAGTAGAGATGGGGTTTCACCATGTTGGCCAGGCTGGTCTGGAACTCCTGACCTCAGGTAATCTGCCCGCCTTGGCCTCCCAAAGTGCTGGGATTACAGGCATGAGCCACCAAGTCTGGCCAGGTAACAGGTTTTTGCCTCAGCTCTGCTCTGTTCCTTCTCAGTTGAGGGCAAATAGGTTATTTTTATTTTTAAGATCCAGAAGGAAAAGCTCACAAAACTCACTCCTTTTTTCACCACCAAGTGAAAATGTGTCATAAACAGTTCACATAACCTTTCTAGACCTGCACATTTAAATAAGGCTTATTCTTTCTTCACTTTACCTTGTTAACTATTCTTGCTGTGGCCTCTCTCAAACTTAGCACATTTTTTTAAAGCCCTCCACCCCCACCCCTGCTGCCTGCAGTACCCCAGGGTCTACCCTAGCAACACAGCAGTGGTCCTGTGTTTATGTTGAGGGATGATGATGGTCAATGGTCGTTATTGCTGCCTTCCTCATCAAAGACAAAACTACCAATGGCAACCCTTGGATGTCCAGGGATGAGGCTGGAAGAATAACTTCAATTTGTAACCAAGGCTCCTTTTACCTTACTCTACTGAGGCAAAAGCGAATTTTTATTTTGGAGATGCCACATTGCTCTGGCAGCCTGAGCCTCTGCAGAAGAACCCTGGTCTGCAAACCTGCAGCCAGCTAGCTCAGTCCCAGATGGCAGGAGGTCCCACCTGAGCCTGAGTGCTTCCTGTCTGCTCCAGGGAGTCTTCTAATGATTTCTTTTGTCCTCTGCACTTGTGGCTGTCTCATACCAGCCTGGCATGTATCCATACTTATGGCTTGGAGCCAGGGAGGAGATCTACTTGTTTTTGTTTTGTTTTGAGACAGGGTCTCACTCTTTCACCCATGCTGGAGTGCAGTGGTGCAATATTTGCTCACTGCAGCCTCGACCTCCCAAGCTCAATTGATCTCCCACCTCAACCTCCCAAGTAGCTGGGACTACAGGCATGTGCCACCATGCCTGGCTAATTTTGTTCATTTTTTTTTAGAGACAAGGTCTCACTATGTTGCCCAGGCTGGTCTCAAATTCAAGTGTTCCTCCTGCCTTGGGATCCCAAAGTGATGGGATTACAGGTGTGAGCCACTGTGCCCAGCCAGTATCTTGCACTCCAGCGTGGATGATGGAGTGAGACTGTCTCAAAAAACAAAAACAAAACTCTCAGGTTGGGCCAAGATTAAGATAACCCAAACAGCACACAATTGTATTGTGGATCTCACAGATAAGGGAGCCATCTTTCTCTGGGAGATCACCTGACTGTACAGGCTCACATGAAAATTTATGCATTAAAATTCAGGTGTCATCATGGACCCCCCCAGACCACCTTGGCTATTTTAGAACCTGCTCGCTTACAGTTGGGCTTTGTTTCACATTCCGGCTCAGCAGCAACTTACTTTTTTAAATATAATTTTTTCTTTGTGGATAGGACATTGATTTGGCATAGTAATTTTGTTTGAACCTAAAATTGGCAAGTTCACTCATTTTATATTATATGTTTAATTGCCAGAATTTTTACAGCTTAATTTTAGATTCCGATGCTATCTTTTACTTAGTTTTTATGGATGAATTCAGAGGAAGTAACATGGCAGAAACTTTGCACATTTATAAGACAACTATCATTCTGGGTTGGTGGGTCTTTGCCTTGGCTCTGCGGGACATATAAGGAAGACCATTAAAAAAAAGCTCACAAAGAACATGTTAGGAATTTTTCTCTAGGATGGAGCATGGGCAGACACTATTTTCCAGAGACATTCTAGTCATTGTTGATGCTTCTGCCAGCAAACACTCAGCTGCCTGGATAAGGGGCCAGAAATAGTTGTGAAAATGACAGGTAGAGTTCAGGAACAACTATAATTCTGGCGGGCAGCCATCACCATGGTTGCATGGTATCAGTGTAAACATTATAGGCAGACAAAAACCAGGAGCAAATAATGATTGGGCAGCAGGATGATAGGTAGGTAGGTAGGTGGATGGATAGATGGATACATGGATGGACACACACACACACACACACACACACACACACACACACACACAGTCCTGGATTTGACAGATAATCCGTATTACACAAGCCTCTCTGGGAGGGTTTGTTTTTTTTGTTTTGTTTATTTTTTTGAGACAAAGTCTTGCTCTTGTCGCCCAGGCTGGAGTGCAGTGCTGCAATCTTGGCTCACTGCAACCTCTGCCTCCCAAGTTCAAGGGATTCTCCTGCCTCAGACTCCCGAGTAGCTGGGATTACAGGCGCCCACCACCAGGCCCAGCTAATTTTTGTATTTTTAGTAGAGACGGGGTTTCACCTTGTTGGCCAGACTGGTCTCAAACTCCTGACCTCAGGTGATCCACCCACCTCGGCCTCCCAAAGTGCCGGGATTACAGGCGTGAGCCGCTGCTCCCGGCTGGAAGGGTCTTTAAAGCAATTATCTCAGAGAAGCTTTCATTTTCCCCTCCTTTGTCTCCTGAGGCTTCTGAATGAATATCCAGTTTTAAAAATAAACCCTAATGTAAGGAAAATCAGCTTTTCTATTTTTATCCTAATGCAACACTGACGTTTAGCTGTGGTTCTTCCTCCTAGAGGTCTCCGCATTTGTTCTGTGGGCTTTGTGCCCAAGCTCTTTAGTGTTAAATAGTAGAGAATCAAATGAGAATCTAATATGTATTTTTTTCTAATTCGATTTTTTTTAATCAAATTTCCAGGCATTAAGGAGTTTTGCATTTTTCCAGTTTTATTACAGGCAGACAATGTAGCAATAGAGGGCCTGATTTCCAGCAATGAGGAACTTTCAGCCCAAATTTCATGCATTATTTTATGAACATAATGAGCTGTTCGGATCAATAGCCAGTTGAAAAGACTTCATTCATTTTGAATTTTATTTGGCAGAGGAACTAGAGGAGAAAGTGCCTCAGAGGAACTGCTCCAAGTGATCATTCCCTTAGGTTTCAATGAGCCCAGAAATGGTTCTCACCAAGAGTTAGGTCTTTCACATGTGAGAGTGGCACTTCAGAGGAGGAAGCACCTTAGTTTGGTCCTTATTGCTTTCTTGCTCCAAAGAGGGGGTTTTCTGGGATCTGTATGCCTGGGTTTCGAGGTAATAGCTTCACCCTTAGGAATAAAGGTGGGTGAAAGAATCCAATAAGGATTCCAGGGAGTCAGGAATCAGCAGATGTTGAAAGGACTTTGGAAGAATTTGGAACCTGTGTAATGTGGTTATATGTTGATCATTCCCTTTAGTGAACCAAGGGAAAATGAGTGGTATTAGAGGCCTGGGTGCTGTTTTTCAGGTTTTCATAGGCTAAAGGATGGATGGAGACTATGTCCACCCTTTTGGGAGAATAATCTCCAAGAATTTCAAAGAGATGGTGGCTGGCATAATGAAATGAAAGCAGCAGCCTCTGAGAAGCAGAAAGAGGAGTCTGGACTAAATGCCCATCTGGCGTTCCCACCCTGGGGTTCCCATCCCAGCCCGTGCGTTCTGTTAACAGGTGCTAATCATGCTGCACCACCTATTTGTGTATCAGCCTCATCCTCCACAAAGGCAGGAACTGTCTTACTTTGCTGTCTAGTCCCAGGATTTAGCAGAAGGTCTAGCATGTGGTTAGCTGGTTAGCTCCTGCAAATATTTAGAGAATGGAACTAAAAAGATGAGGAATTGCCCTCTGCCTGAGAAGTTTCCTGAAAATACCGATTTGGGGGCAGGGCAGCCAGCAAGCAGGGCTTCAACCTGTAAAGGGCTTAGATATCCCTGGAAAGGCATTTAGACTCCTCTTGGGATGGCCAGGCGTGGTGGCTCAGGCCTGTAATCCCAGCACATTGGGAGGCTGAGACAGGAGGATGGCTTCAGCCCAGGAGTTCAAGGCTATGGTGAGCTATAATTGTGCCACTGTACCCCAGCATGGGGTGACAGAGCGAGGCCCCATCTCAAAAAAAAAAATTAAAAAATAAAATAAAGACTCCTGTCTCAGGGAGTTGCTTGTGTTTGGGAAGAATAAGCCACTTGGGCACTTTGTCGGGGAGGGGAGGATTAAAGTAAGGGTTGTGCTATGGTAACAGCAGAAGGGTAGGGTTTTTTGTTGTTGTTGTTTTGTTTTTTTTTGTTTGTTTGTTTTTGAGATAGGGTCTCACTCTATGGCCCAGGCTGGAGTGCAATGGCGCGATCTTGGCTCACTACAACCTCTACCTCCCTGGTTCAGCGATTCTCCTGCCTCAGCCTCCCAAGTAGCTGGAACTACAGGTGTGCCCCACCATGCCTGGCTAATTTTAGTATTTTTAGTAGAGACGGGGTCTCACCATGTTGGCCAGGCTGGTCTCAAATTCCTGGCCTCAAGTGATCCACCCACCTCTGCCTCCCAAAGGGCTGGGATTACAGACGTGAGCCACTGCGCCTGGCCAAGGATGGGTCTTAATGACGGCAGGCCGTGTGCTGCTGAGTTCATTTGGGGCAGCAGGCAGAGGGAATGCTGCCTCCAGCAGTTCTCTATGTCTGCTCCTGCCCTGCCCTGCACTGTCCTTTAAAGAAGCATTAACAAATACTTCCAGAATATCAGGTTAATAGGGCAACAAATGATTTGCCTGCTAGAGGTGCTCACAAGTCTCTTACTCCTAGCAGCCCTCCATGGTGAGATTATGTTAGGGACTGCCATCCTACGCCTTCAAACATCAAAGACAGGTGACTTTCCTATGGACATAAAATGGTTCTAAAACAGTATTTTCCCCTACATAGAAATCAGTTATGTGAACGACAATGTAATTCTCAGCATTTCTTGAATCCTGGTTATTTCATGTAAACAAGAATGCTTGGATTCCTAATATAGTACTGGCAAAATTATTCTTTTTGGCCTGATGAACTAGTTTTATTTATTTACGACAGAGTCTCACTCTGTCACCCAGGGTGGAGTAAAGTGGTGCGATCTTGGCTCACTGCAACCTCTGCTCACTGAACCTCCCCGGGTTCAAGCAAACCTTGGCTCACTGAACCCCCCTGGGTTCAAGTGATTCTCCTGCCTCAGCCTCCTGAGTAGCTGGGATTATAGGCATGCCACGATGCCCAGCTAATTTTTGTATTTTTAGTAGAGACGGGGTTTCACCATGTTGGCCAGGCTGGTCTCAAACTCCTGACCTCAAATGATCTGCCCGCCTGGGCCTCCCAAAGTGCTGGGATTGCAAGCGTGAGCCACCGCGCCCAGCCAGAACTCGCTTTAAACCCATTTTTTTCTTTAATGAATTTGAATCTCAACTAAGAAAAAAAAGAACTATTCTTAGTTTCACCTCCCTCAAAAAAAAATTCCCCTTAAGTTCTCTCAGGGCTCATAAATGTCAAAGCAAAATGCAAATTTCTACCTTTCTCCCCACAACCAAATAGTGTTACTCAAGTTAACATGTTGCAGTTTATGCTTTTAAGCGGCTTAAATGTTACTCATATTATGAAACTACAAAACACCCTATTTTAGTAATACTTCATGAAAATAAAATTCTTTGGAGAAATGACAAGTTAAAGCTTCCCAGTAGAGCTCATATAATGATTTATGAATTTCTTTATCACATGTGCCTAACTCTACAGAAAAGCAATGGCATAAAAATTCAGCAGCAACTTTACCTTCATGAATAAACTGAATGTTGTCTTTGGGTCACATTTTGTTGGAATAACATTTCCTTCAACATCTTTGATCTTTTTGCCACATTTCTTCAGCAGAAAATACGACAAAAATTCCAGAGGTTTGTCCTAAAGAATGCCCAACCCCCCCGCAAGAAAAATGCCCATTTAAAACATTCTTCTGAAATACAGATGTCAATACTGCAGCAGAAGAGAGAGCACACTTTTTAGCAGGGATTTCAGCTTTCTACCTAATTAATTGACATGTCCAGAAAACAGAGTGACTAGTGCTCAATTCAAGTCAGTACATGAGACTTTCTAGTTCATCTCATATTCCAGTTACCATATGTACTCTTGGTTCTCAACAATTTGTCACAATCCAGTTAAGACACCAAAATTTTATGGGAGGGTCTCTCAAGATCTTTGGAACCAAAGTGGCCCACACCAACCCCTTGGCCAAATGAGGAAACGGGACAGGAAGGATCTTGTTGTCTTTCAGGGGGAGGAAGAAGGCCTGGGAGAGAGGCTGCAGTAGCAGAATTGCTGGGAAAACATGCTGGGGCTCTCAAATTTGGTTCCCCTCAGGCTATAGGTTTGAGCACCATCCAAATTATATCATACATGGTTATTTTTAAATAATTAGGTGGAAATAAGTACACTGAACTGACACCAAGCATGCTGAGTAATCCTTCAGTGTTTTGGCAGACAGTGAGGGGGCACCTCTGTGAATATCCCTGCTCATTTTATCAGCAAGGCTCGCCAAAGGCCTTTCGTCATTGGGCTGCCTGAGCCTCACTGCAGAGCTGAGACTTCACAGGAGACAAACTACAGCTAATGCAGCTTCGCAGCCCCCACCCAGTGCAGGACAGCTACGCCCAGAAATGCCTGGTGCAGACCCAGGAAGCCACACTGAAACAGGAGCAGATACTCAATAATAAGGAGAGAGAGAATGTGTGCAGAGACAATGTTAAATTCACCCACAAAGCAGAATTATGATGGTGGAAGAGAAAGATTTGAGACTCTCCTTGAGAATTCCTTGGAAACTAGAGAATTTAGATTATTGAATATGTTAACAGCAGCCCTATCTCCATTCTATTCCCGACTCCCCTCAGAGGGAGAGCTGCACGTTGCCTTTTCTTTTCTTTTTCTTTTTTTGAGACAGAGTCTTGCTTTGTCACCCAGGCTGGAGTGCAATGGCACGATCCCAGCTCACTGCAACCTTCACCTCCTGGGTTCAAACAATTCCCTGGCCTCAGCCCCCTGAGCAGCTGGGATTACAGGTGCCCGCCACCATGCCCGGCTAGTTTTTGTATTTTTAGTAGAGACGGGGTTTCACCATGTTGGCCAGGCTGGTCTCCAACTCCTGATCTCAAATGATCCGCCTGCCTCGGCCTCCCAAAGTGCTGGGATTACAGGCATAAGCCACCACGCCTGGCCACATTGCATTTTCCTATAGCCATGCTGTCCTCTTTGGGGCTGGGAGAGCTGTCTGGAGACTGGCCTCTCCTCACTATTTTCTGAAATGTGGACTGGCTCCTTCTCACTGTTTTCTGAAGTGTAGACTGACCTTAATGAGAGAGAACCTTGGATCTGTGTCTGATGAAATTGTTTCTTTGGGTTTCTCCTACACCCATCCCCAGCCGAATTACTGATTTGCTTCTTTCCGTTCCGTTGTGTTCTCTTTCCCTTCCTCTCTCATCTAGCCCCTTTTCCCGTCATCTTTTCACATCTGGGTCACACTTTCTCAGATTTCTCCTGAAACTAGGAATTGGTTTCTCTGTTGAGTAAAGTTTATGTGAAATATAAAGCCACTAACATGTTTTATTAAAAAAAAAAAAAAGTCACTTCTGACTGAAATTAAGCACAAGACAGAAAACAGGGCACAATGTAATAAACTTTAAATAACCTAGAAGATTTTCCTACTTGTCTGTTTTGTGTACTTAACACATCTTGGGCCCAGAATCTCTTAGTGGCTATTTTTATAAACTGATGTAATTTCTCTGAGGAACTGTGCTCTGAAAGGGATAAACTGGTCAAAAAAATTAATAATAACTGCAAACAGAATTTATTTAAATGTTGGTTTTCATAGTTTACTTTCTTCAAAGAAACACTTACAGAATCTTCTTTTGACAACTCCATCAATCCATCTGCCAGAGCTTGCGCAGTATCTTGGTTGTTTAGAATGTTGGTCATACCCATGGTGTCAAACATAAACTGCCCTGTAAATACAAGGCCACATGCCCTGTAATTGATTTATGTAAGAAATGTGATTTAAAAACAACAACTCAGTCCTCACAGTTTCTTTTTTTTTTTTTTTTTTTTGAGACAGAATCTTACTCTGTTGCCCAGGCTGGGGTGCTGTGGCAAAATCATAGCTCACTGCAGCCTTGATCCAAGTGATCCTCCCACCTCAGCTTCTCAAGTAACTGGGACTATAGGCATGCACCACCATGCCTGCTTAATTTTTTAACTTTTATTTATTTATTTATTTTGAGATGGAGTCTCGCTCTTGTCACCCAGGCTGGAATGCAGTGGCGCAATCTGGGCTCACTGCAACCTCCGCCTCCTGGGTTCAAGCAATTCTCCTTCCTCAGCCTCCTGAGTAGCTAGGATTACAGGTGCCTGCCACCACGCCCAGCTAAATTTTTTTTTTTTTTTTTTTTTTTGTAGTTTTAGGAGAGACCGGGTTTCACCATGTTGGCCAGGCTGGTCTTGAACTCCTGACCTCAAGTGATCCTCCTGCCTTGGCCTCCCAAAGTGCTGGGATTACAGGCGTGAGCCACTGCAGCCAGCCAACTTTTTAACTTTTTGTAGAGATGGGGTCTTGCTGTGTTTCCCAGGCTGGTCTCAAACTCCTGGCCTCAAGCAATCTGCCCACCTCAGCCTCCCAAAGCATTGGGACTACAGACATGAGCCACCGTACTGGACCCACAGTTGTTTTTTTAGTGGATAAAAATGCAAAGAATAGCAGTAAAAATTCTATTATGCAATGAGGATTTCTACTATGATAAAATATAAAATGAACCAAAGTAATTTAAATGTCTAGTCTATAAAAAGTGCCCACTCCGGCAAAGCTGATATTGAATGAAATGTATAAATTGGACAATAAGGAGAGAGCATGTGAAAAGGAGCTCAATAAATTTAAATGTAAGACTCTCGATCCTACCAGGAGTTCCTCTATATTCTCCTTTATCTCTGCGCTCAAGTAGGCATTTGTTTTTTTGTTTTTTTGTTTTTTTGTTTTTTTTGAGACAGGGTCTCATTCTGTTGCCCAGGCTGGAGTGCAGTGACGCGATCTCAGCTCACTGAAACCTCTGCCTCCCTGGCTCAAGCAGTTCTCGTGCCTCAGCCTCCTAAGTAGCTGGGATTACAGGCACACGTCACCAGGCCCAGCTAACTTTTGTATTTTTCTGTGGAGACAGTGTTTTGCCATGTTGCCCAGGCTGGTCTCAAACTCCTGAGCTCAAGCAATCCACCTGCCTTGGCTTCCCAAACTGCTGGGATTACAGGCATGAGCCACTACACCAGGCTTCAAATATATAAATATTTTAAAGTCCAAAGTAAATAACATGCAAACATACATACACGGACATCTTTTAATTTTTAAAATATTTTTAACACCATGCAGTTATTTAAAAAATTGTTTTTCCATTTTCTTCTCATTGCCTACATATATTATTTAATAAATACTCTTATCACTTGAGGTCAGGAGTTCGAGACCAACCTGGCCAACATGGTGAAACCCCGTCTCTACTAAAAATACAAAAAATAGGCTGGGCACGGTGGCTCACACCTGTAATCCTAGCACTTTGGGAGGCCAAGATGGGCAGATCACTTGAGGTCAGGAGTTTGAGACCAGCCTGGCCAACATGGTGAAATCCCATCTCTACTAAAAATGCAAAAATTAGCCGGGCGTGGTGAGGCACACCTGTAATCCCAGCTACTTGGGAGGCCCAGCCTGGGTGACAGAGTAAGACTCCATCTAAAAAATAAAAATAAAATAAAAATTGGCCAGGCATGGCGGTGCATGCCTATAATCCCAGCTACTCAGGAGGCTGAGGGAGGAGAATCCCTTGAACTGGGAGGCAGAGGTTGCAGTGAGCTGAGATCACACCATTGCACTCCAGCCTGGGGACAAGAGCAAAACTCTGTCTCAAAAAAAAAAAAAAAAACTATGAAAAATACTTTCTCCCTGTTTACAACTTCATAACCATTTTAAAATAATGGTTGAACACCTCCTAAATGTGATAGAGTAGGTAGTACAAATAAGCAGGAAGGCAAATCCCTGTTTTGGAAGCATTTATGTAAAGAGATATAGGACATACATTGACAGATATCTACTTGCACGCTTGCGTGTTACAGCTCTTGTGTAGATGGTAACTATGTAAACAGACCTTAAATATGGAGCTGGGCAGAGGAAAAGAAGAAAGGCATAGATAGAGGGTGATTTGATTCATATGGTGTTTTAGTCAGGCGGAAAGTAGTAGGGGAAAAATTGAATAGATATGAGTAGTTGCAGATGAGAAAAAGAAAAACTCTTTACCTAGATGGTGAAATATACTTAAAGAATGGACTAATTTAGGTAAAGATGCAAAGTTGAGGAAGTAAATTGTTTTCAAAGGGCTCTGCTGTGATCATTCATTCCGTCATGGGGCTGGGGTGTGAATGGAAACATTCATTCAACCACGTCTAATAGGCTCAGCAAAGGCCCATGGAGCCCATCACTGAATTATATATTTTAGACAGAAAATAAATAGAACTTTAATTGTAGAACAATTTATGTAATAGGTGCTGGGGTATAAGAGGCGCTTAACTTTCAGAGCAAATTCTAGTGGGAAAAGTGCACAGCTCTCTGGCTTAGCAAACAGCAAATTGTGTCTAGGTAAATAAGTGACAAACAAGAATTAATAAGGTGGTAAAATGTTAAAATAAGAACGAGCTTCAACATTTTGAACCTGAATATATTTGTTGTTAGTGGTTGTTCGTTATATTTGAAAGGCCGTGTGAGCAACCTAGGAGATAAAATTTTACTGGAGATGTTCAAGAGTAAAATTTTACTTGCGCCATAACTAAACTTGTATTTACTCGGGATATGAAAGCAACTTCATAATTAACCTGCAACAGAAGTAGCAAGACTGCTTACCTATCATCCTGCCACTGATGCTCTTCTGCAGTTCCTTGAAGAAAGGATACAGCTGCTTCCTTACTGTTTTCAAGGTTTCTTCTAGGAAGTCTGTGAAGCTGGACCACGTCTGTAGCTTCGATTCGCAGAAGTAGATGGAAGAGGGGGCCTTTCCCCATTGGGATCCCAGCCAATCACTAAGAACTGACATGATTTTCTTCTGTTATTATTGCAGGCTTGAGCTCAGATGAAACAATTCTACATCTTGTTTAAAGTACAACAAAATCTTAGTTGCATTTGTATTGAGTTTATTATCGTTTCTCATTAGAAGACTAAGACAAACACCCATCCTCTGTTTTCAAAGGTAAAATTAGAAACTCGAAAAGGATTCAATGAATCATTTCAAATGCATGTCTACTCTTTGATAGCTGAGGCTGACATATTCCATTCAATGTTTAAAGAAAAAAAACAGCTGCTGGATTGTGCATTGGGAAGCTGAGCTGTCATCTGAGGAAGAATGCACTGCTTTATCTTTCCAGTCTAAAAGTGAAAACACAAGAAATCCCACGCTACACGGCTTCCCCATCAGGCCATTGGAAGTCAACCCTGTCATCGCCAATGGAAGTCAACCCTGTCATCACCAAATCCTTATCTTTCTTAAATTATGTCAAACTGCTACCTCGCTCTACAAATCTGTCTACAGGACTGTAGCAGGTGCTTAAAGAAAGTTTCTCTTCTTAAAAAACAATTACTGGATGATGCAGTGGTGTGTTAAATTTGATTTTCTGTCCTGAATGGATACATAGTGTATTTGCTTTGTTTCCTCTACTGTTACTGATAGACATGTGAAAAGGTTCACAACATGTTTTTGTTTCTGTTTGAGACAGTCTTGCTCTGTCACCCAGTCTGGAGTATGGTGGCACGACCTCAGCTCACTGCAACCTTCGCCTCCCGGGTTCAGGCAATTCTCGTGCCTCAGCCTCCTGAGTAGCTGGGATTACAGATGTGTGCCACTACTGCCCAGCTTATTTTTGTATTTTTAGTAGAGACGGGGTTTCACCATGTTGGGCAGGCTGGTCTCGAACTCCTGACCTCAGGTGATCTGCCTGCTTCAGCCTCCCAAAGTGCTGGGATTACAGGTGTGAGCCACTGCGCCCGGCCACAACATGCTTTTTTTTTTTTTTTTTTTTTTTTTTTAAATACGGAGAATGAGAACAAGAGAGGGAAAAGGAGGATGAACAGGAGGAAAGGAAGGCAGAGGAGGAGAAAAAGAAGAAAACCTGTTCCCGGCCAGATGCGGTGGCTCACGCCTGTAATCCCAACACTGGGAGGCTGAGGCGGGCGGATCACAAGGTCAGGAGATCAAGACCATCCAGGCCAACATGGTGAAACCCCGTCTCTACTAAAAATACAAAAATTAGTCGGGCGTGGTGGCACATGCCTGTAGTCCCAGCTACTCAGGAGGCTGAGGCAGGAGAATCGCCTGAACCCAGGAGGCGGAGGTTGCAGTGAGCCTAGATCGAGAACGTGCCGCTGCACTCCAGCCTGGCAACAGTGTGAGACTCTGTCTCAAAAAAAAAAAAAGAAAGAAAACCTGTTCCCTATTACCAGCAACAGCGTTCATACCCTGCTGTGCTCTGCTAGGCCAGTTCCTCTCTCCGCAGAGCCAAATGTGCTACCGTTTGGTGACGCTGCTATATTAACTAAAATTAGCAAGTGACCTCTGCTTCAAAACTATGTTAGGTCAAAGCACTTTTGTTATATCTACAAAGAATATTTTCCCTTACCAGTTTCACAGTTGTGCCAGCTTTCCCAAGTTCTAAAAGGCCCTTGGCATTTAGGAGTAGAGAAGCAATGATTTATATAGTTTCTGCATCACTCTCAGCCCTACTTGATAGGAATCAAGGGTGTTTTAAAGAGGAAAATGAGTGGTGTCGGTGTAACAAAGCAATTTGGTTCTGTTGTTGGTCAGCCCGTGTTACATTTTAATCTAAATTTGCAGCTTTAGTATCTAAATGAAAGTTTGCTTTCAGGTGTATTTTCTCTGATTGTTTTTCCTCTCAGATAATGCTACTGTAATGGAAACTAAGCCAGCCTCTTTGCCATCTCTTTGTAGCTACGATTTATTTTTCCAAATAAAACCATATTGACTATATATATGTTACTAAGAAAAGTTTTTCTTTGTACTTCTTACTTTTCTAGATCAGCAACTTTGCTTAATTGCTAAAGATTATGTTTTCAACAGTTTTTGAAAATGATGATTTGGGGCAAATATGTGCAATAAATAATCCTGTTCTAAGCAAATGACTGAATGATAGGAGATTACCTAGTTTGGGAACTAATAGCGTTCCTTCAGGGGAGGAATGAAAGAGAGTAATGGATATCAGCCATACCAGTACTATTAACTGGATTTTGTCTTTTGGTGATTCTGGAGTTGGCTTGTGTTATTGGACGTGGCGCTCAGCTCCCATAACACTTACTGTGCTGGTAAGAGCCAGTTGCAATCCCAGTGGGGGCCGTAAAGAACGTGCCAGTTAGTTGAGACAGCTGGGAAAGAACTTCAATTCCTGCCTCTGCATAGTCAAAAACACTTTCGTTAGTTTCCTCATATATTTTGCCATGGAAGATCATATAACTTGGATATTTGTTCCCTCCAAATCTCATGTTGAAATCTAATCCCCAACGTTGGAGGTGGGGCCTGGCAGGAGGGATCATGAGGGCGGATCCCTCATGAATAACTAGTGCCATCCCCTTAGTGATGAGTGAGTTCTCACTCTGAGTTCACACAAGATCTGGTTGTTTAAAAGTGTGTGGCACCTCCTCCCTCTCTCTTGTTCCTGCTCTTGCCATGTGACACACCACCTGCCCCTTCACCTTCTGCCGTGATTATAAGCTCCCTGAGGCCCTCACCAGATGCCAAGCAGATGCCAGTGGCATGCTTCCTATACAGCCTGGAGAACCATGAAGTAATTAAACCTCTTCTCTTTATAAATTACCCATCCTCAGGTATTTCTTTATAGCAATGCAAGAACAGACTAATCCAGAGCAGTTAAATATTACGTAGGGGCACTAAAGAGATGGCCAAGAAAGGCCACTAGCAGTTCTCATCTTCCATTCAAACCTCTCCATTGAACAGTCCATGAACACTTCATCATTCACCCCTAAATATTGAAGCTGAAACAGTCTGAGGACTAAACTACAGGATGGGGAAAGAGGGCATGGAGTTTGATCTGAGGCTTATTTTCAGATTTGGAATACCCAGCCCAAAGAAAGAGAAAAATCTATATATTTTTTTCTAAAATAGTCTGACTCAAAGGAGAAGTCTCATTGTAAGAGGACAGATTTTAAAAAGTTAAAAACAGGATGGAATATGATGGTTAAAATTTAGCCCCTTCCCTGGGCAAAGACTTCATGACTAAAACACCAAAAGCAATTGCAACAAAAGCCAGAATTGACAAGTGGGATCTAATTAAACTAAAAAGCTTCTGCACAGCAAAAGAAACTATCATCAGGGTGAACAGGCAACCTACAGAATGGGAGAAAATTTTTGCAATCTATCCATCTGACAAAGGGCTAATATCCAGAATCTACAAGGAACTTAAACAAATTTACAAGAAAAAAAAATCCCCATCAAAATGTGGGCAAAGGATGTGAACAGACACTTCTCAAAAGAAGACATTTATGCGGCCGTCAAACACATGAAAAAAAGCTCATCATCACTGGTCATTAGAGAAATGCAAATCAAAACCACAATGAGATACCATCTCACGCCAGTTAGAATGGTGATTTATTAAAAAGTCAGGAAACAACAGATGCTGGCGAGGCTGTGGAGAAATAGGAATACTTTTCCATTGTTGGTGGGAGTGTAAATTAGTTCAACCATTGTGGAAGACAGTGTGGCGATTCCTCAAGGATCTAGAACCAGAAATACCATTTGACCCAGGAATCCTATTACTGGGTATATACCCAAAGGATTATAAATCATTCTAGTATAAAGACACATGAACATGTATGTTTATTGCAGCACTATTTACAATAGCAAAGACTTGGAACCAACCCAAATGTCCATCATTCGTAGACTGGATAAAGAAAATGTGGCACATATACATCATGGAATACTAGGCAGCCATAAAAAAGAATGAGTTCATGTCCTTTGCAGGGACATGGATGAAACTGGAAGCCATCATCCCCAGCAAACTAACACAGGAACAGAAAACCAAACACTGCATGTTCTCACTCGTAAGTGGAAGTTGAACAATGAGAACACATGGATGCAGGGAGGGGAACATCACACACTGGGGCCTGTCAGGGGGTTGGCGGGAAAGGGGAGGGAGAGCATTAGGACAAATACCTAATGCGTGCAGGGCTTAAAACCTAGACGACGGGTTGATAAGTGCAGCAAACCACCATGGCACATGTATACCCATGTAACAAAGCTACACACACTGCACTTGTATCCCAGAACTTAAAGTAAAAAAAAAAAAAAAAAAAATAGCCCCTTCAGTGGCACAACATATAGATTGAATTATTTAATTCAGCATACAGGTTGAATTACTTGGAATGAAATGGGTAATTTATTTTAACTATTTGTGGTCCAAGAATAAATAAATACTCCAAAATGCTTCAATTACTGCATGAAACAGGATGACAGCAGCTGAAAGTTTGGGATGTCTCTCACTTACTGATGTCTATAGCACTTTTATTGACAAATTCATCAATGAAATCAAGTAGAGAGTCCAATGTACACATACATAGTCAATAGATTTCAACAAAGGTGCAAATGAAATTCACTGGAAAAAGGATAGTAGTTATAAGGAATGGTGAAGAAACAACTAGCCATATGTAAAAAAAAAAATTAACCTCTATCCATATCTCATATATTACATTAAAAAAACAGTCAAGTGGATCACAGACCTAAAAGTCAAGCTTAAAACTATAAATCATTTAGAAAAAACATAGGAGAAAATCTTAGTGGCCTTTGGTTAGGTAAATCGTTTTTAGATATGATGCCAAAGATGATCTATACAAGAGCATTTGATATATTTGATGTCATCGAAACTCAGAACTGTGCTTCAGGCTGGGCGCGGTGGCTCATGCCTGTAATCCCAGCACTTTGGGAGGCCAAGGTGGGCAGATCACCTGAGGTCAGGAGTTCAAGACCAGCCTGGCCAACATGGTGAAACCCTGTCTCTACTAAAAATATTAAAAAATTAGCCGGGCATGGTGGCGGGCATCTGTAATCTTGTAATCCCAGCTACTCAGGAGGCTGAGGCAGGAGAATTGCTTGAACCTGGGAGGCAGAAGTTGCAGTGAGCCGAGATCGCGCCATTGCATTCGTCTGGGCAACAAGAGTGAAACTCTGTCTCAAAAAAAAGAAGAAAAAAAAAAAGAACTGTGCTTCAAAAGAAACTGTTCAGAGAAGGAAAAAATATTTTCTACAGACTGTAGAAAATATTTTTATCCAGTATGTATAAAGAGCTCTTAAAGCTGAATAAGAAAACAAACAACCTAGTTTTTAAGATGGTCAAAAGAATGGCAAATAAGCACATGAAAAGATCTTGAGCATCATTCGTCATTAGGAAAATGCAAATTAAAACTGCAATGAGATACCACCACATACCCACCCAAATGGCTAAAATCAAAAAGACTGGCCGTACCAAGTGGTAAAATGATAGGCAACTAGAGTTCTCAGATACTGCTTGTGGAAATGTAAAATGCTAAAGTCACTTTGGAAATCAGTTTAGCTGGTGTTTTCATAAAGTTAAACATACGTCTACATATAACCTTGCCACTCTACTCCCAGGTATTCATCCAAGAGAAATGAAAGCATAAGTTCATAGCAGCTTTATTTGTAAAAGCAGAAACCAGGAAGAACTCAAATTTATCTATCAACAAATTAATGGATAAACAAATTGTGGTATACGTGTAGAATGTAATAATTCCCAGTAGTAAAAAGGAGATACTGATACATGGATCGGATGGGTAAATCTAAAATAATGATTGAATGAAGAAAGTCAGACAGAGAATACATACTGTATGATGCCATTTATAGAAGATTCTAGGCCAGTGCTTGCTTTGGCAGCACATATACTAAAATTGGAACAATACAGAGAAGATTAGTGTGGCCTCTGCACAAAGATGACCTGCAAATTTTTGAGCTGTTCCATATTAAAAAAGAGAAAAGGAAAAGGAAAATTCTAGGCCAGGCGGGATGGTGCACACCTGTGATCCCAGCAGGCTGAGGAAGGAGAATTGCTTGAGCCTAGGAGCTCAAGACGAGCCTGGGAAACATAGGGAGACCCTGTCTCTACTAAAAATAAAAAAAAATTAGCCAAGCATGGTGTTGTGTGCCTGTAGTCCCAGCTACTCAGGAGGCTGAGGTGGGAGGATCGCTTGACCCCGGGAAGTTGAGGCTGCACTGAGCCGTGATTTCATCACTGCACTCCAGCCTAGGCAACAAAGCAGACCCTGTCTCAAAAAAAAAAAAAAAAAAAAAAAAAAAGGAAAATTCTAGAAGATGAAAACTAATATATGTGAAAGAAAGACCAGTGGCTGCCTCAGGTTGGGGGTGGGGAGGAGCAGCAGAGAGAAATTATGGAATGGCATGAGGAAACTTTTGGGGGTAGTGAATATGTTCATTTTCTTGATTTTTCTTATGGTTTCATGGGGCAGGCCTACATATGTCAGAATTTAGTCAATTGCACACTTTTATTATGTACAGTTTATTGTATATTAATTATATTTCAATAATGCTGTTTAAAAATGTTTTTAATGCCAAAAAGAATGAGTCTCAGATTCTTAGATTTTTGGCTTATGCAGTAACTGTTGAATGATATTTTTACTGAGGAATCTGGGGAAGGGGTAGGTTTGGAGCTGGGGAGGCAATCAAGGGTTTGATTTAACTTTGAGATGTCTATTAGATGTGAAAATTAAACATCCAGTATGAAGATTCCAAGTGGGAATTAGATATGAGTCTGCAGCTCAGAGATTTCAGAGCTGGAGACATAAATTTGGGGTCCTCAGCATATAAATTACATTTAGAGTCATAGTGATATGGTTTGGCTGTGTCCCCACCCAAAATCTCATCTTGAATTGTAATAATCCTCACGTGTGAAGGGTGGGACCAGGTGGAGATAATTGAATTAAGGGGGCAATCTCCCCCATCCTCTTCTCGTGAGAGCGAGTGAGTTCTCACGAGATCTGATGGTTTTATAAGGGGCTTCCTCTTTTCCTCAGTTCTCATTCTTCCTCCTCCTGCCGCCACGTGGAGAAGGATGTGTTTGCTTCCCCGGCCCTGCAGAACTGTGAGTCAAGTAAACCTGTTTCCTTTATAAATTACCCAGTCTCGGGCAGTTATTCATAGCAGCGTGAGAATGGAATAATACACATAGGAATAGTGAGACTGCCTAGGGAGGAGAGTGCGTATGTGGAAAAGGAGAGAGGCTAGGATCAAGCCCTAGGGAATATTTAAGGATCTTGCAGAGAAAGAAGAGCCTGCAAAGGAGATTGAGAAGAGGGCACTGAGGTGGGAGGAAACAGGGAGAGTGTGGTATTAGGGACACCAAGAGAAGGAGTATTTCAAGAAGGGGCGTTCCTCTGCATCAGATGCTTCCATAAAGTCAAAGTGAGGTGGGAATGGAGCAGGGACCACTGGATTTGAGCACATGGAAGTCACTTACAGTCCTCCAAAAGTAGTGCCAGTACAGACAGAGACCCACTGGAGGAGCTTGAGGAGAGTGTGGGAGGTGAGGATGGAGGGCCTAGAGGCAGCAGCATCACCATCACCTGGAAACTTGATAGAAAGGAAAATTCTCCAGCCCCACCCCAGACTTAACTGAGTCTGAAACTCTAGGTGGGACCCAGCAATGTGTAGTTTAACCAGCCCTCCAGGTGATATGGATGCGCGCTCAAGTCTGAGAACCTCTGGTCTTGTCAACTTAAAAAGTGGTGAGGGAAAGCTTATTGTCCTTTTATTTTTTTAAGGCAGGAGATACTACAGGTGTTTCTGATTTGATAGAAACAATCCAATAAAGAGAAATGAGGGCACAGGAGAGGATTGGATGTGGAAGTCTGGAGAAGATGAAAGGCAACGGGCTAGATTCCAAGTGCAGTATCTGATCTTGTTTGAGAGGGATGCTTCTTCCATCAGGGCGAAGGGAAGACAGAGAATAAAAAGTAAGAGGTGGAGCTGGTGGTGGATTCGACGGTAGGAGGAAAATTAGGGAGTTCCCATATGATTCAGTTTGCTTGGCGAAGTAAAAGGTGAGGTCAAAGCTGAGAGACAGGGTTATTGAAAGATTGTCTAAAGAGAAGAGATAAAATTGTCATCTCAAAGAGTGTGAAAATGAATTTACCAAGGAAATTGCTCATCGGTGTTGCAATCCCATTTGACAGTTATGTCACCAAAGTAAAGTTAGACCAATCAGAACGGTTGTATCACTTATTCCAACAGTCTTTAAAGCTGCTTTAGTACCCACAGGTATAGTGTGTGCAGAGAGTTGTGTTTTAACCAAATGAATTGGGATTTAGCCAAAAAAGAGAGACAAGTTCAGATTCTTTGCAAGGGAGTGGTGAGAAAATTGGGCCATTAAATCCAAGTTTAACAAGGAAGGAAGCAAAAATGAAGACATGGTGGTAGTGAAAAAGTTGGAGTGTGTAGGCTGGAGGTCTTAGACAAAGAATTGCTGGGCCAGGTGTGGTGGCTCATGCCTGTAATCCCAGCACTTTGGGAGGCTGAGGTGGGCGGATCATGAGGTCAGAAGTTCTAGACCAGCCTGGCCAATATGGTGAAACCCCGTCTCCACTAAAATTACAAAAATTAGCCGGGTGTGGTGGCACATGCCTGTAGTCCCAGCTACTTGGAGGCTGAGGCAGAAGAATCGCTTGAGCCCGGGAGGCGGAAGGTTGCAGTGAGCCGAGATCACGCCACTGCACTCCAGTCTGGGCGACAGAACGAGACATCTCGGGCGGTGGGGTGGGGGAGACAAAAAGAATTGCTGTGGTGGGGGTATTTGAGTACATGATTTGAAAATGGTTCTCAAATACTTGAAATCGAGATTTTAGGAGTGATTTACAGCCACTGGGCTGACAAGCCTAAGAGGGATGCCTGAAGTGGTGGAAAAGAGACATTTGGACTGAGAAGTCAATGATCTTTGATGCATCCAGGTGGATATTACATTTGATGAGAATTTCGGGGCCCAGAATGGTGATAGAAAGCCTATTTTTTGAGTGTCATTAAGTTTCACTTGAGACAATTTTTATGTCACCAAATCCACTTTTCCCGCTTTATTCTTACTCTGCCTTTCAATACTTTCCCAAGTCCTTTCTTTTTCTTCTTCACTTAAAATATTCGCTTTGTTCTATTATAAAAGTAATATTAGTTCATTACAGGAAATTGAGACAAAATACATTTTTTAAAAGGGAGAGAAAAAGGAAAACTCACTTATATCCAACCAGTGTGAATACCTTGGTATACATCCTTCCAAATCTTTTTCTATACATACACCACCTCACACATATGCATGTTTTAAACAATGAGATCACACCATCCAACTCTTTGTAACCTAGTCTTTTAAAACTAATTTCAAAGTAGAAAAGTAGAAAAATTATAAAACACATCTAGAAATAGGTGCTGTTAATATTTTGGTATATTTCCTTTTAGATTTTTCTATGCATATTTTCTTTTTTTTCTGAGGTGGAGTCTCACTCTGTCGCCCAGGCTGGAGTGTAGTGGTGCGATCTTGGCTCACTGCAACCTCTGCCTCCCAGGTTCAAGTGATTCTCCTGCCTCAGCCTCCCGAGTAGCTGGGATTACAGGTGTCTGCCACCACGCCCAGCTATTTTTTTCTATTTTTAGTAGAGATGGGGTTTTGCCATGTTGGCCAGGCTAGTCTCGAACTCCTGACCTCAGTTGATCTGCCCACCTTGGCCTCCCAAAGTACTGGGATTACAGGTGTGAGCCACCACACCTGACCAGCATATTTTCTACATAAATGAGATTTAATAAATATATATATGTATATAAATATAATTGGAATAACTTTGTAAATTTACATGTTTAAAACAATTCTTTCCCATTCTTTTTATTTTTTCCTGTCCTCTGATTGAAGCCTGCCAGGGGGCTTGCTTTGCATATGTTGAACAGTCCTGTGAAATTTGAGGAGTAGAAAGAATTTTAAAACTCACAGTTACCCAAGGAATGGCTAACAACAACAACAAAAAAAAACAGTATGAGAAAATTTAATTTCACATTCCCTCTCCCCTGCTCTCCTTGTAAACATTGTGCATGAATGCAGAGCTTTTATTGAACAGATCTCCAAAGAATGAATTTGACTTAATGCTTCTGAAGTTTCTCTTCAAGCATAGAAGTCAACTTTGAATCACAGTTGCTGATTCTAGACAGGCAGCCACTTAAAATGATATCAGCAACCTCAGTCATCATTAGCCATACTCATCTTTACAAAGCACCTCACTGTTTTTAATATTATCTAAGAATTTACACTGTGTTTATTATTTAAATATGTCATCTTGAGATTCATAAGTCCTTAAGATGCACTAAGGTACCATTGTTCTAAATTTCATATGAGGAAATGGAGGTCCACAAGTTTGCCTAATGCCACAAAGCTAAACAATGACATTGGCGGGACTCAAGTTCAGGTTCTTGGTCACCAAAGTTCATGCCTACTCCAGGTTCAGAAGGCGGCAGGGGGTGTTTTCTCGGATTGAATGATTATGGCTCCTATGATGGTCAGGCACTTTCCCTTATATCCTGGATACTGGTGTTATTGTGTTTTCCAGAATAAATATAAATAATGCTCCTGGGTCTTGCCATTTAGGGACCGTATTTCTGTAGAGACAGGTTACTTTCATCACTATCCCTCACTGCTACTTTCTTGAAATACCTGGATATGTGAAGTACAAAGAAAAAAGAAATTGAAGCGTGAAATGTGACTGAATCATTTGACCCAGGGGCACTTCAATAATTCACAACATATCCCCATGAAGTGGCATGGCCACTGTCTCTCTATAAGGTGTTCTGAGCTAACCTGATGCTCCAAGGGGCACGAAGAAGTCCACGTGACCCCCTTCTTCTTCAGTGGCCACATAGCTTCCTAATTTCTCCCAGAAATCTCTCACTTCAGGCCTCAGTAAATTTTTAACACCAATTTTATAGCCTGAGGAAAAAAAATCAAAATGTCATATTAGCTTGTAACATAATACTGAACAGAAATTATTAGCAGCTTGTGAAAATGTAAGCACAAAATCAAAATGCCATCTGCCTGCAAGACCAAGACACCTGAGGCATCTCTGCTTCCTCCCGTACCATGTTGGAGCCATCTCCATGGTCCTGGTCTCCTTCACATCCTGGGTAAATTGGACACTATGCACTCAGGTTTACGACATTGCATTTCTGCCTCCACTGTGCAGCAGGGTAAGATATCAGGCGCATGCAGGGTTTAGGGGGACGGTCAGCAAGTCCTGGGATTTTGCAACCAAGTTCCAAAGTAGAAATGTTTCCCAGGATTGTCAATCAAAAAATAAGTAGTGCAGAGCAGAAGTTAAGGCTCCCAGAGATGGTAAACAGCAACTGAAACTCTCCTTTTCTCTCACTTCCCGACAATTCTGTGTGATGATTCCACTAAGCTGCATGGGTCTGGACCCATTTCTAAAGGAGTCCTGGAAACTCCGCATCCCCAGGCTCCGGTGATGAAATGAAAACAGGCAAAGAATTCTGATGTTTCACTCCCTCCCACTGGGAGGTCTAGATATTTTATAAATATCTAGAAAGGACTTCTTCATGTGACAGGGTAGCAGACTTTGTTTTGATGTTGTTTTTAAAGCAAAAGCTTTTGGGAAAACACAATTATATAGAAGTAAACTAGGTCTTTGAGGTATTTTGTTGCTGTTACTGTTGCTTAAGAAAAACAAAATAAGGGCCAGGCGCGGTGGCTCACGCCTGTAATCCCAACACTTTGGGAGGCCGAGGCAGGTGGATCACAAGGTCAGGAGTTTGAGATCAGCCTGGCCAATATGGTGAAACCCCATCTCTACTAAAAATACAAAAGTCAGCTGGGCGTGGTGGTGCACACCTGTAGTCCCAGGTACTCAGGAGGCTGAGGCAGAAGAATCGCTTGAACCCAGGAGGTGGAGGTTGCAGTGAGCCAAGATCGTGCCGCTGTACTCCAGCCTGGGCGACAGAGCGAGACTCCATCTCAAACAAAAACAAAAAATAAACAAACAAACAAAAAACACCCAGAATGAGGAAAAGGCAGAGTTTGAAAACTTTTCTTACCTGGAGAACAAAAAGGCTGAGATCAAGAAACTCTAACAGGACATTCCACACGAGATAAACTTACTCCCATCATATAAACTTGCCAATATCTCTGCACCATTTAGAGAAGAGTTACCATGTCATTTAAATTTAAACCCCAAACAAATAGTATCTGTGCTTTACTTTGGGAGGACATAGAAAACTGATGTGGAACACAACTTGCCCCAGGCACAGGTAAGCTAAACAAGGAAAACCAGAAGTAAGGTAAAGTGAAACAAACGTCAATTCGTTTCTGCCAATGATAAATTTCACTGAAACTTTCCAAGTACACGAAGTCCCAACCACAGAGATGGCAATTTGACGGGTGTCTCAGGGACTCACTTTGCCATTTTGCTGGTTTACTCCAGCCATATCTGGGATCATCTTATTCCTTCTCTCCCCTCATCCCACAATAATGGAAGATTTCATTTGAGTAAGTTTTAAAACAATTTTACTTTAAGTATAAGCAAGGAACAATGCAAGCTATAAGAAAAAAATAGAAACTAGACGTCTACTTCTAAAACATTCATCATCTCTTTCTCCCGGAAAAAAAAAAAAAAGTAACCGTTGAGGTTTGTTTTGAGGGGCAGAGGGCTGGGGGGTTTTTGGTTTGTTTTTGTTTTTCTTTAAGACAGGGTCTTGCTCTGTAGCCCAGGCTGGAGTGCAGTGGCTCAATGACTGACTTCAACCTCTGCCCCGCCGGGATCCTCCCAAGGAGTAGCTGGGACTACAGAGGTGTGTGCCACCACGCCCAGCTAATTTTTTTGTATTTTTTGTACAGATGGGGTGTCGCCATGTTGCCCAGGCTGCTGTGGGCTCCTGGGCTCAAGAGAGCCGCCTACCTCAGCCTCCCAAAGTGCCAGGATTACAGGTATGAGCCACCATGCTCCACCCCACTGAGATTTTTGACGGCTGCCCTGTAACAAGTTGATGATATCAGCCATTCCTTTCCTTTGTAGGAAACTAGGAATATAATAAATCTGTAGCCAACTAGGAATATAATAAATGTTGTTAGTGTACACCAATTTATAGATCTTGGTATTTACTATTAAAATTGCTGCACTTTCATCAAATTTAAAACTTTTGTGCATCAAAGTGTACAATCAACACAGTGAAAATGAAATCTATGCAATGGGAGAAAATATTTGCAAATCATATATTTGATAAGGGAATAGTATTTAGAATATATGAACTATAACTCAACAGTGAAAAAAATCAAATAACCCAATTTTTAAAAATGTGCAAAGGACTTGAATAGACATTTCTCTGAAGAAGATAACCAAATGGCCAACAAGCCTATTAAAAGATGCTTGACATCACTAATCAGAGAAATGCAAATCAAAACCACAATGAGATATTACATCCATTAGGATGGCTACTATTTAAAAAAAAAAAAAAAAAAAAAAAGGCTAGGCACAGTGGCCCACACCTGTAATTCTAGCACATTAGGGGCTGAGGTGGAAGGATTGCTTGAGGCTAGGGGTTCCAGACCAGCCTGGACAATGTAGTGGGACCCCATCTCTAAAAAATAAAAATAGAAATTAGCTGGATATGATGGTGTGCATCAGCTACTTAGGACACACTGAGGAAAAAGGATCACTTGAGCCTAGGAGTTCAAGGCTACAATAAGCTATGATCACACCACTGCATTTCACCTTAGGAAACAGAGCGAGGCTCTGTCTCCAAGAAAAAAACCAACAAAACAAAAAAAAAGCACAGATACACACAGAAAATAAGTGTTGGCAAGGATGTGGGATGTGTAGAGATTGTAAATGTCGTGCACTGTTGGTGGGATTATGAAATGATGCAACTGCTATGGAAAACAGCATCGAGAATTCAAGATTTCTTTTTCTTTCTCTCTTTCTCTTTTTTTTTTTTTTTTTTTTTTTTTTTTTGAGATGGAGTTTCGCTCTTATTGCCCAGGCTGGAGGTGCAATCTTGGCTCACCGCGACGTCCGCCTCCCAGGTTCAAGCGATTCTCCTGCCTCAGCCTCCCGAGTAGCTGGGATTTCAGGCATGTACTACCACACCCAGCTAATTTTGTGTTTTTAGTAGAGATGGGGTTTCTCTATGTTGGTCAGGCTGGTCTTGAACTCCTGACCTCGGATGATCCACCTGCCTCAGCCTCCCAAAGCGCTGGGATTATAGGCGTGAGCCACTGCACCAGGCAGGAGATTTCTTTAAAAGGTAAAAATAGAACTATCATATAATCCATCAATCCCATTTCTGGGTATATATCCAAAATTGAAAGCAGGATCTCAAAGAGATGGTTGCATACCCATATTCAACAATAGCAGCACTATTCACAATAGAAGTGGAAGCAACCCAGTTTCCATCAGTGGATGAACAGATAAAACATACTATATACATACATGCCCTTAAAAGGAACACATACAACATGGATGACCTTTCAGGACATTATACCAAGTGACATAAGCCAGTCACAGCCGGGCAAAGTGGCTCATGCCTGTAATCCCAGCACTTTGGGAGGCCGAGGCAGGTGGATCACTGGAGGTCATGAGTGCAAGACCATCCTGGCCAACATAGTGGAACCCTGTCTCTACTAAAAATAGAAAAATTAGCCAGGCATGGTGGTGGACGCCTGTAATCACAACTACTTGGGAGGCTGAGGCAGGAGAATCGCTTGAACCCCGGAGGCAGAGAGAGGTTGCAGTGAGCTGAGATTGTGCCGCTGCACTCCAGCCTGGGCGACAAGAGCAAGACTCTGTCTCGAAAAAAGAAAAAAGTCACAAAACGACAAATACTGTGTGACTCTCCTATAAGAGTATCTAAAATACTCAAATTCATAGAAATGAAGTCGAATGGTGGTTGTCAGGGCCTGTGGAGAGGAGAAAAGAGAAGTTTTTTTTCAGTGGGCACAGAGTTTCAGTTTTGCAAGATGGAAAATTTTTGGAGAGCTGTTTCACAACAATGTGAACAAACAATACTGAACTGCACACTTCAAAATGGTTAAGACAGTAACGTGTTTCTTTAATCAAAATTTGAAAAAACGGTCATCAAAAAAATTGCTTCACAGCTGGGGTGTGGTGGCTCACCCCTGTAATCCCAGCCCTTTGAGAGGCTAAGGCAGGAGAGAGTTTGGGACCAGCATGGGCAACATGGAGAAACCCCATCTCTACAAAAAATACAAAAATTAGCTGGGCGTGGCGGCACACACCTGTGGTCCCAGCTGCTCAGGAGGCTGAGGTGGGTAGATCACTTGAGCCTGGGAAGTCCAGGCTGCAGTGAGCCGTGATCACACCAGTGCACTCCAACCTGGGTGACAGAGACCCTGAATTAAAAAAAAAAAAAAAAAGCTTCGCTTTTTTCATAAAGCCAAAAAATCAACACGTCTTAGCAACTTGGAACTGAGATAGTCCTCCGGAAGTCACACTGTGGACAAAGTGCACAGCGCGAAGTTCCATGGTTGTTCATCCGCCAATCCCCAGGCCTACCTTGGAGTAAATTGATTTCTCTGCTGTCTCCATCGCTAAATATTCCGATGCTCTGTGCCTTCTGCCCATCCAGAGCTTTTTCTATAAGATACAGAAGGCTTTCCAAGGTTACGCTGTGTTCATATACCACAGAAACAACACCAGCCTTCACACTCTCCATCACCATCTGGAGAATGAAACCAAAGCTGTAAGAGCCAAGACCCACTATTTTAGAATATTTATTAATGAAAGAAATAGAACGGATACAAAATACGCCGTGATTTCTAAAGAATTTTCAGAGATTATGGAAGAAGATAAGCTTCCTCCTTGGTTTCTATTAAAATTAGTTTATTTCTAATTATAGGAGGAGAAAATTAAGTACACATGTAATTCTACTCAGAGATAAATACTATTAACAATTTAGATTACTTTCTTCCAGCCTTTTAATCTTTATGCACGCCATGCACAAAGACATATAAATAACTTTTAAAAAGTAATAATGGCCAAGCACAGTGGCTTACACTTGTAATCCCAGCACTCTGGGAGACCGAGGCTGACGGATAACTTGAGCTCAAGAGTTAGAGACCAGCCTGGGCAACATGAGGAAACCCCTGTCTCTACAAAAAATACAAAAATTAGGTGGGTGTGGTGGCGTGTAGCTGTAGTCCCAGCAATTATCCTGCCTTTGCCTCCTAAAATGTTGGGATTATAGGTGTAAGCCACCATGCCCGGCCAGCATGATGCATTGTTAAACACTGTGGAAGCTATGGCCCACATGGAGATCAAGGATCTGATCTTGCTTTCATGTGGATCCACTGAGCTCACCGGTTATCAGTGATTAGAGCTGACTCTTAGATGCCCGGAAGAAGTGAGTTCATATCTTAAAAGGAGCTATTTTGTTACAAATAGAAACTTTTCTAAGTATATATCCCTATGTGTGCATATTAATACATACAGGTACACATATATACATACATATACACTCACATATATAGATACAAAGGTCATCTTTGTGCTTCCTTTATTTTTATATTATTCATATTAAAATTAAAATATATAACTTCATTATAGAAAAACCAAACAGGATTTCTGACATTCTTCTTTTTTGAGATGGTGGTTACATAATACTATTTGGGAATTTCAGAGAAGTTTTAAAGTAATTCTTAATCAGCATGCTCCTTTTTTGGATTAAATGCAACAAATTCAATTCAACAAAAATTTATTGGACATGCACACTGATATGGTTTGGCTTTGTGTCCCTAACCAAATCTCATCTTGAATTGTAATCCCCATAATCCCTGTGTGTCGAGGGAGGGACCTGGTGGGAGGTGACTGGATCATGAGGGCAGTTTCCCGCATGCCGTTCTCATGACACTGAGTGAGTTTTCATGAGATCTGATGGCTTCATAAGTGTCTGGCATTTCCTCTGCTCATTCTTCTCTCTCCTGCTGTCATGTGAAGAAGGTCCTTGCTTCCCCTTAGCCTTCTGCCATGACTGTAAGTTTCCTGAGGCCTCCTTGCCACGTGAAACTGTGAGTTAATTAAACCTCTTTCCTTTATAAATTACCCAATCTTGGGTATTTTTTATAGCAGTGTGAGAACAGACTAATACACACGCTCACAAATGTTCAGACACAGAGGTCTACATGTAGCATCAATGGGTGAAGCTAAAAGAGTGTTGGAATTTTAGGATTTTAGGTTCTATTGTTTGCAACTTTGACACTTGAGTGAGTTATCACCTCTCAGTTAAAAGGCCTCAGTTAAAAGTTTGGGCCTTTAGGCTGGGTGCGGTGGCTTACGCCTGTAATCCCAGCACTTTGGGAGGCCAAGGCAGGCGGATCACGAGGTCAGGAGATCGAGACCATCCTGGCTAACACGGCTAAACCCGTCTTTACTAAAAAAAAAAAAAAAAAAAAAATTAGCCGGGCATGGTGGCGGGCGCCTGTAGTCCCAGCTACTCAGGAGGCTGAGGCAGGAGAATGGTGTGAACCCGGGAGGCAGAGCTGGCAGTGAGCCGAGATTGCGCCACTGCACTCCAGCCTGGGCGACAGAGTGAGACTCCATCTCAAAAAAAAAAAAAAAAAAAAAAAAAAAAAAAAAGTTTGGGCCTTTAATGCTTTTTCAAAATAATTTTGATTTATGATTACCTTTATTGCTTCTGGGGTTTTTGTTTGTTTTGTTTTGTTTTGTTTTGAGACAGTGTCTTACTCTGTCACCCAGGTTGGAGTGCAGTGTCCTGATCACTACAACATCCATCTCCTGGGTTCAAGCGATTCTCATGCCTCACTCTCCCGAGTAGCTGGGACTACAGGCACACACCACCACACCCGGCTATTTTTTTTCTACTTTTAGTAGAGATGGGGTTTCGTCATGTTGGCCAGGCTGGTTTTGAACTCCTGACCTCAGGTGATCCACCTACCTTGACCTCCCAAAGTGCTGGGATTATAGGTGTGAGTCACTGCACCTGGCCTTTTTTTTTTTTTTTTTTTTTATAGAAACAGAGTCTCACTCTGTTGCCCAGGCTGGAGTGCAGTGGTGTGATCACAGTTCACTGCAGCCTCCATCTCCTGGGCTCCAGTGATCCTCCCACCTCAGCCTTCTGAGTAGCTGGGACTACAGTTAGTGCCACCACACCTGGCTTGATTTTCCTTTTAGAAGTTGAATCATTTTTCATACACATGGTGGCCAAAAGCTTGTCACACACCCTCTAGTCTAGATGAAAAAAAACAAAAAACAAAAAAACAATCAGGACAGGACTGGCCTCATAACATACTCTACCTCATACGCAGGAATCCGGGATGATATTAACATGAAGTGTGGCCGGAGAGCATATGAAGATCTGTCATCATTTTTATGAACTCCATGCCAATTTTTCTTTGATAATAAAGGGTAGGAATGGCTTCCAGAAATATTGCTTCTATGGAGTAAAAGGAAATATGAGAAGTTTTCATTTTCTCTTACCTTGAGTTTTGGTAAGTACACAGCATATGTCTCTGGGCATCAGCTCTACTCTACAAGGCACGTGGCCTCCATGCCTTAGCCTCACCCTGTGTTTTGTGAGGACAGTAGTAAATGGAGCTCCTGGGTGTAGTGAGGCCAAATCTGTTCTCTGAGCCTCTCCTCCACCACATGTGGGATGCTGGAGCAGTCTCTTGGAACTTACTTATCTCTTATTGGGCACTTAAATGAAGGTAATGACATATTTGGGAGTTCAAAAAGATATTTAAAAAGAAGTAGCTGAGAGATTTTGAATTTCCTTCTAGGCCTCAGTTGTTCCTGAGTAATGTCTTCATTCTCTCCACAGCCACCCTCACCCCCAACAATACCAGGAGCAGGGGCTGTTCTGTGCTTCTTAAAATTCTTTTTATAAAAAAAAAAAATTTAAGTGACAGGGTCTTGTTCTCTCACTCAGGCTGGAGTGCAGTTGTGTCATCACAGTTCACTGCAGCCTCAACTTCCCAGGCTCAAGCAATCCTTCCACCTCAGCCTCCTGAGTAGCTGGGACCACAGGTGTGTACCATCACACCCAGATTTTTTTTTGGGTGGGGGGAAAGATGGGGTCTCGCTGTGTTGCCTAGGCTGGTCTCCAACTCCTGAATTCAAGTGATCCTCCCACCTTGGCCTCCCAAAGTGCTGGGATTATAAGCGTGAGCCATCATGCCTGACCTCTTAAAATTCTTTATGTGCCTTGAACAAGTAAATGTACATGCACACATTCACAAATGTTCAGATACACAGAGATCCATATGTAGCATCAGTGGGTGAAGTTGAAAGAGTGCTGGAATTTTAGAGTTTTAGGTTCTAGTGTTTGACACTTTGACATGTGGGTAAGTCATGTCACCTTCCTAGGCCCCAGTTTCCTCATTTGAAACTTAGGTGAGTGAGATTACATGATCTCAAGAATCCAAAGTTGGCTGGGCATGCTGGCTCATGTCTGTAATCCCAGCACTTTGGGAGGCCAAGGCCGGTGGATCACCTGAGGTCAGGAGTTTGAGACCAGCCTGGCCAATACGGTGAAACCCTGTCTCTACTACAAAATACAAAAATTAGCTGGGCATGGTAGTGCGCACCTATAGTCCCACCTGCTCTGGAGGCTGAGGCAGAAGAATCGCTTGAACCCAGGAGGCAGAGTTTGCAGTAAGCTGAGATTGTGCCGCTGCACTCTAGCCTGGGTGACAGAGTGAGACTCCGTCTCAAAAAAAAAAAAAAAAAATCCAAAGTTAAAAGTTAAAAAGAAATTCTAAGCAGATGCACAATGGTGATGGTTATGAATGTCAGATAGAATTGAATTTCTGGTAATTTCACTCTATAGTATGATTTGGTAACTGAATACAGCCGATGTTTCTCTATTATAAAAGAATTATATTTGTACATACAAATATAAGTGGAAGTTATATTTGGATACCATTTGGATACTCTTACTTCGTAGAAAACACTTGTGGAAAAATGTTATTTTTGTTCAGTAACTTAATACAGAAAATATACTACATCCACAATATAGCTTCAATGCAGAGTTGAGAATATGTAAAGCTGGGCTCAGTGGCACATGCCTGTAATCGCAGCTATTTGGGAGGATGGCGGGAGGATCGCTTGAGCCCACAAGTTTGACACCAGCCTGCGCAATGTGGCAAGACTTCATATCAAAAAAAAAAAAAAAAAAGAACATTTAAAATGTAAGTTTTGTATGTTATATGTTTACCTCTTCAGAAGGCATGTTTGACTACTGTTCTAGAAAATTAATTATCTTTACTGATATTTCATAGGATATGAGCCACAGAATTACACAAGATTTCTGCGTGATAGCTAAATTTATTCTAGAGTGAATTATTGGTATTGGGATGGTGTTGAGCCTTCAGTAGATGGAATTTTGCTTACCGCTTGGGCAAGGTTTCTAACGATGTCAAAACAAGCTGTTTCTCCAAAGCTTCATGTAATCCCACTCGCTCCCTTACAGTCTGGGAGAGGCGTGGTTGGCATCTGGGCTTTAGCACGCTAGAGCAGCAAGTTCCACTCACCCAAGGGGGTCGAACTTTGAATAACTCCTCTGAAAAACAAAGAACAGCAGGCGGGGCTGATTACTTCATACTTCTCCCAGCCAAGTCCACACAGATAAAGGCATCAAAAATAAAGCTGTACCAGGGCAAGGTTCCAAATGACAATAATTACAGCCATTTTCATGCACTCGGTTTGGATTTCTCATCCTCTTGGCACTGTGGCTGTGAGCTACCGGTCATTTCAGGTCAAGAAACAAAGCTCAGAGAACAAGCAAACAAGCAACCCTTTTCTAGTGGGGACCAGTTAATCAATTGATAGGTGTCACATTCATTTGTGCCCTTCTTCTTGCCTTCAAGCAATTTCTTATTTGTCACGATCTCACCAGAGGGTTAGTGGGAAGAAAACATGGGAGAACTCTAATCAGTTTTGCTGTTTTCTTTTACACACTGCATAAAGCATAAGGCCTAGCTGAGGCTGGGCGCCGTGGCTCTGCCTGTAATCCCAGCACCTTGGGAGGCCAGGGTGGGCGGGTCACTTGAGCCCAGGAATTCGGGACCAGCCTGGCCAACATGGAGAAACCCCATCTCTACAAAAATACAAAAAATTAGCAAGGCATGGTGGTGTGCACCTGTGGCCCCAGCTACTCAGGAGGCTGAGGTGGGAGGATCACTTGAGCCTCAGAAATCGAGGCTGCAGTGAGCCAGAGATCATACTACTGCACAGCCTGGGTGACAGTGAGACCCTGTCTCAAAAATAAAATAAATAAATAAATAAATAGGGGGCTTAACTGAAAGAGGCTTTAAAAAGAGCGGAAAGAGCTGTCCTCTTTCTCCCTTTTTAAATGCCATTTTCCCTGCTTCCATTTTCACTTGCATTTCTCCTCCTCTTTTCATCACTCCCAATTCCTCTGTTTTGAACCTATTTGTTTGCTTTTTTCCCCATGTTCAAACATCTTTATCCTCTTTGTTTTTGGTCTTATAAGCCTGAGAGGAGCCAGAATAGCAATGGAAGCACTGATATTTAACCTTATGTATTTTGTCTGAAATCTTTGTTTTTCTCATCAATTAACTTGAAATATACAGTACGGAAAAAAGCTCATCTGGAAAATACTTAAGACTGCCACTCAGAGTATTCCGAAAGACAGGGCTGTCCTCTGTGGGAATTTGTATGTGAATCCATTTGTGTCTACAATATTTACCTAAGATATAAAGGTTTAAAATGCTACTTACTCTTACGTAGTGCAATTTTCTCCCAAATTCTTTTCCTCAGGCACTTTTCTCTTTGTCTCTCCAGTAGTTCCTCATCTTCTGTTTTGGGTTCATTCAGCGTCCCATAAGTAGCAGCAGCCTCCCTAGGTGTCAGCCAGTCTAAGTGGGACACACAAGCAATGTAATGGCGCTTCCAAGCACCATACTCATTATCTGTTGGAGTATAGGGCAGAAACCATCCGAACTTAACGCATTTGGGCATCCATAAGCAATCCTTCAGAAACAAGAGGAAGATGAGTCACAAATTGTTTTCAGACAGTTTTCTAGCAATAATATTTTCAGGTACACAGATACTTTTTCATTACACTGAGATTTCTGGTACAAAAATCTCTGAGAATTTGTATGCAAATCCATTTGTTTCTACAATGTTTATATAAAATTGAAAGTTTTAATTTTTTTTATATTTTATTTTACTTATTTTGAGACAGAGTCTCACTCTGTCGCCCAGGCTGGAGTGCAGTGGCACGAGCTCGGCTCATTGCAAGCTCCGCCTCCCGGGTTCATGCCATTCTCCTGCCTCAGCCTCCAGAGTAGCTGGGACTACAGGCACCCGCCACCACGCCTGGCTAATTTTTTTGTTTTTTTAGTAGAGACGAGGTTTCACCGTGTTAGCCAGGATGGTCTCCATCTCCTGACCTCGTGATCCGCCCACCTTGGCCTCCCAAAGTGCTGGGATTACAGGTGTGAACCACCGCACCCGGACTTTTATTTTTATTTCTATGTTTTTTTTTTGAGATGGAGTCCTGCTCTGTCGCCCAGGCTGGAGTGCAGTGGCGCGATCTCAGCTCACTACAACCTCTGCCTTCTGGGTTCAAGCAATTCTCTTGCCTCAGCCTCCTGAGTAGCTGGGATTACAGGCGCATGCCACCATGCCCACCTAGTTTTTGTGTATTTTTACTAGAGGCGGGGTTTTGCCCTGTTGGCCAGGCCGGTCTGGAACTCCTGACTTCAGGTGATCCTCCCGCTTCAGCCTCCCAAAGTGCTGGGATTACAGGTGTAAGCCACTGCACCTGGCCAGATATAACGTTTTTAAATGCTATTACTGACTTACTATCTGAACTTGACTTGGAAATAAGAAGCGTATCTTGTTCCACAGGAAAAATATTATTTGATGAATATATATGTTATATGTGAATGTATGTATTAGACATCTTTGTGACACTTATCCAATGTTCCAATAGCATTTGGTTACGTTAACCCTAGATTCTGAGAATTCAGCTTCTAGCAATAGTGGAATAGTTTCTTTCAGATTAACCCTCTCATTGAGAATAATTTTGACTGAAGCGTACGATATTGCCAATATTCAGCCATTTTGACATACGACAAGAGAAAATTTCATGTGGTTTGAACTGATGAAATACCTAGACCAAATATTATACAAACAATTATTTGAAGGCTATATTATAGAGCTATCAATGCAATAAGGACTTGTTCAACCAAGACCCCAGAAAGAAGGGAAACCCAGAGAGGTAAGCCTGATATTTGGCATCACTTTTTACTTCAAGGCATTTGTCAGTTCCAAAGCAAAGCTTGTTAGGCTGAGAAGCAGAACAGAAAGTTATGACTAAAAGACTTAGATGCTAAAAAAGAATCTTAGGCATTCTCACAGGGAAGAAAGGACACAAATGGAAATTTAGGGCCCACTAAGACGGGAGAGGCTTGGTAATCACACCAGCTTTCAGTTAAGATTCTTTTCAGGAAGGATAATACTTAATTAGACAAACTCTCACAAAGACTGAAGCCAGCTTTGAAACATCTCATTCCTTGACTGGATTTGTAGGATTTGTTCCTAGCACTAGACGTGCCAGAAGCAAAAGTAAATTCTCTCTGGAGGAAGAAAACATCACCCAGAGACTCAAAGGATCACATTAATTTTGTATACTCAGTATCTGGTACTCAATGAAAATTAACTAGAACACACAATAGACAAGAATTCTTTTTTCTTTTTGGTTTTTAATAACTATAGAGAGATCCTCAGGTGATCCAAATATTGTAATCATCAGACATGAACTTTGCGGAAATAAATACTCTATAATTAATATATCTAAAATAAATGACTAGGTAGAAAATTTTGGCAAAAGAATTAAATCAATATTCTAGAACTGAAAATATACAGTAACTGAAATTTAGAACTCAATGGATGGGTTTAAGATCAGATTAGAATCTAGCTAAAGAAACAATTAGTAAACTGAAAGATAGGTCCAAAGAAAATCCAGACTGAAATACTGAAGGTCACAGAAATGGAAAATGTGTATAAAAGAATATGAAAGTTATGAGACGTGGTGAATCTTTCCAACCTATAAGTATTGGAATACTAGGAGAAAAAGGGAGAGAATGGGGCAGAATCAATATGAAGAAATAACATCTGAGAACATTTCAAAACTGATAAAAGATATTAAGTCTCAGACTCAAAAATCACTACAAAACAAGATACATACAAACACACACCTAGGTATATCACAATAACATTACTGAAAATGAAAGAAAAAAAGTCCAAAAAGCAGCTAGAGATGATAGAAATGTTACCTTTAAAGGATCAACAATAAAACTTCTGACTTCTCAAGAAAAAAAAATGAAATATTTTCAAAGTTCTATAAAAAAAAATTAGCTGCCAACCTAGAATTTAAATTTCGTATTGAAATAATCCTCTAAGTATGAAGATGAAATAGATATTTTTAGATGCACAAAAACTAAGAAAACTTAGCAGCACACTTGTGCTAGAGGTAATATTAAATAGAACGCAAAAGGAAAATTATTCCAAATGGAAACTCAGAGATGCAGGAACAGAAAAAAATGAACTACAGAAAAAAATATGGTCACATATAAATCAATATTGACTACATAAAACAATAGTAATAAAGATTTGTGAGATATGTGTTTATGTGTTATCTATGTTTGGGTTTGAACTGCGTGGGTGCATTTATATGCACTTTCTTCCACCTCTGCCACCCCCAAGACAGCAAGACCAACCCCTCCTCTTCCTCAGCTTCCTCAGCCTACTCAACATGAAGATGATGAGGGTGAAGATCTTTACAATGATCCATTTCCACTTAATAGTAAATATGTTTCCTCGTGAATTTTTAAATAACAATCTCTTTTCTCTTGCTTGCCATATTGAAGAATACAGTATATAGTACATATATAAAATGTGTGTTAATCGACTTAGCATTATCAGTAAGTCTTCTGGTCAACAGTAGGCTATTATTAGTATATATAAAATAAAAATCTTTAACAAAAAAAGCATGGAAACTGAGAGGAAGGTAAATGAATTTAAAGTGTTTTAAGCTCCCTGCATTGTCTTAGAAATGGTAAGATAATATTAATTCAAGGCTATATGTTGTAGTCTATGGTAACCATGAAAGAACTGTTAAAGAATCCATAATTAACAATTGAAAAAAAGTTTAATTCGCACAAAGGAAGACAGGGAGAGGGAAAAAAACATAAAACAAATGGGACAAACAAAAAATAAATAGTAAAATGATGGATTAAACACAAATATATCAGTGTTTACAGAAATATAAACAGACTAGGCCAGGCACAGTGGCTCACGCCTGTAATCCCAGTACTATGGGAGGCCGAGGTGGGTGGATCTCTTGAGCCCAGGAGTTCAAGACCAGCCTGGCCAACATGGCGAAACCCCATCTCTGCTAAAAATACAAAAATTAGCTGGACGTGGTAGTGCATGTCTATAGTCCCAGGTACTTGGGAGGTTGAGGTGAGAGGATCTCTTGAGCCTGGGAGACAGAGGTTGCAATGAGCCAGATCACACCACTGTATTCCAGCCTGGGTGACAGAATGAGATCCTGTCTCAGGAAAAAAAAAAAAAAAGTATGTGTTTAGTTACATTTTATTAAATATTTTACAAGAAAATGAAGAGACAATGAGGCCAGAGGCAGAATTAATGGCAAAAGATGTTGATTTTAAACAGCTGCTGCTGTTAACTGCTTTCAACTGCTGTTGACAGATCTCAATGTATGTTCTTTAACAGATGTTAAGACAATAAGGGATTAGTTGAGGCTGTGGTTGTGTAGCAGTTTCTAGAGCTGAGTTATCAGAGATAATATACAAAATCTAAAGCATAAATCATTTTTCATGAAGAAAAGTGAACTCCTTGGCCGGGTGCGGTGGCTCATGCCTGTAATCCCAGCACTTTGGGAGGCCGAGGCGGGCGGATCACAAGGTCAGGAGTGCGAGACAAGCCTGACCAACATGGTAAAACCCCGTCTCTACTAAAAATACAAAAATTAGCTGGGCGTGGTGGCACGCGCCTGTAATCCCAGCTACTCAGGAGGCTGAGGTGGGAGAGTCACTTGAACCCAGGAGGCGGAGGAGGTTGTAGTGAGCTGAGATCACGCCACTGCACTCCAGCCTGGGCAACAGAGCGAGACTCCGTCTCAAAAAGGAACTTCTTTAACCAAGATAAAATGTTTTCTAAACAATTATACTGAGTATTTAAAGATTTTTTAAGTAACAGGAATTATTGGACTAGTCTATATTCCTTATTTATAGAAATACATTATTGTATTTCACTTTTCCCCATTTTTTCTCTCAAGGGTAAGTTAATGATGGATCAGGTACCCTCAGCTATTGTCTTCAGGGACGGGAGCTACCCCAGTAGCCTCATTACAGATTACAGCTGTACTTGTGCCCTATTACTAGGAAGTGGCAAATAGTAAACCTGTTCAGTTAAAAACTTCCAGGGCCAGCTGACTTGGGCAGCGGCACACAAATCTTTCGGACTCAAAAAGGAAAAGATATATAGAGAAATGAAGCGTGGTAACACTGTAGAGAAGTCCACTTTGGCCACTTGCATCCTTTCTGAAAACCAGTCTTGGACAAACCTAAAAAGAAAGAGAAATTTAGTTTAGAACACTAATGTCTAAAATTTACTAAAAAGTCAGCATAAATATTGGTCATTGATCTTCCTCCAATGTTCTACCTATAAAAAATAAATCCTAACAAAACATAAATCTAGATTTAAAAAATTTTCAGGCCAGGTGCCGTGGCTCATGCTTGTAATCCTGGCACTTTGGGAGGCCAAGGTGGGTGGATCACTTGAGGTTAGGGGTTCAAGACCAGCCTAGCCAACATGGCAAAACTCTGTCTCTACTAAAAATACAAAACATTAGCTGAGTATGGTGGTGCGTGCCTGTAATCCCAGCTACTTGGAAGGCCAAGGCAGGAGAATCACTTGAACCCAGGAGACTGAGGTTGCAGTGAGCCGAGACCGTGCTACTGCACTCCAGCCTGGGCAACAGAGTAAGACTCTGTCTCAAAAAAAAAAAAAAAAGTATTCACTTTGAATTATCCATTCTAAAAAGGAAGACAAAGAACAAGAATATCTAAAATTCACAGGAATAAAACAGTCTTGGAGTAAACCTAGTTTGATGTGATTTTCAAGAGAAAAAGACTATAAAACCTTTTCACTATCAATTTAAAACAACTCAAGATTTTTAATGGAGTTGAAATTCAAAGCAAAGATATATTCACTGAGATTTTCTTGTGTGTGGACGTTTTTGGGTTTTTTTAATTGTTGTTTTTTTTTTTTTTTGAGACCAGTGCTTCTAGAAGAAACTTATTTTTCCTTTTAAGTGGCTGCCTGTATTATAAGACCAAATTCTCTTCCCCACTGGACCTAACACACTATATTATGCGATTTATTTAATCCTTCTTTTGACACAAAGCTGGCCACATTCTGAAATGCCAGTCATTTCTCCTGAATGTGTAGCAGGTATAGAAGAGACTAGTGTGCTGTTACGGGTCAGTAACAGGGTTTGCTCAGCCTGGCGTGGCCACAGGAAGAGTGCGGAGAGACTCAGTGGGGCAATAGCCGTGTGCAGAAGGGGAGAAGGAGACGATTGCTTCTGAATGGCTGGAAGATTGGTTGTTTACAGGGGGTTGGGAAAAATATGAAGATTATGGGAGCTAGGTTTCTCACTTTTGGAAAAAGGATCTACAAGTATGTAAAGGAGGAAAGCTAGACTAATCTATATGCAGTTGGAGAGAAATTGGAGATATCACTAAAATCTCATGTTTTAAAATATGTATATAAATGAATGATACACAGAGACAGATGGCTGTATATGTACACGTGTGTACATATATTTCATGTTAGAGCACCTAAAAGCAATAACATCCCAGAAGCAATGAACACACCATAAACTCAGATCTTGGTTTCTCAATTCCGTTTCCTAATAAAACAAACCAGAGCTTACTGGAGAAATGGTATACTGATACCAGGGCAGGGACAAGGAAAGTATAAGATGGGTCTGGAACATTTTGACACCAGAAAATAAGGAAGTACTTAAAGAATCATGGACATACCAAAAGAATACAGAAGCTAATTTATTAATAAAGTCACTCCCACTGGCAAAATATGGAATAATTTGAGTATCAAAGTATATAATTAATGTAATATAGCCTATTGAATAAAACAGGCGTTCCTGAGTCCATACTGATATAAATATACCCATGAATGAATAAATAAATAGGGGAGAAGGAAAACTACCTCACAACAGAACACCAATTAGTACAAGCAGAAGGAATTAAGAAATCAGGAAATCACCACTTGGAGGCCATCATAGTAATAATTGCTTCAGGTAAGAATCATCAATGAGTGGCTCACGCCTGTAATCCCAGCACTTTGGGAGGCCGAGGTGGGTGGATCACCTGAGGTCAGGAGTTTGAAACCAGCCTGGCCAATGTGGTGAAACCTGTCTCTACTAAAAATACAAAAGTTAGCCGGGCATGGTGGTGTACGCTTGTAATCCCAGCTACTCAGGAGGCTGAGGCAGGAGAATCGCTTGAACATGGGAGGTGGAGGTTGCAGTGAGCCGAGATCGCGCCACTGTACTCCAGCCTGGGTGACGAGCAAAACTCCATCTCAAAAAAAAAAAAAAAAAAGATTAATGAATGCTAAAAGTAGTGGGTGAAAGCTTGATAAGAAACAGGATATTTACATAGAATAGTTTTTGATTACTTTAAAATTAATCAAATACTTTTAAATTGCTTATTAAATATAAATTAAGTACAAAATACTTAATTAGCTATCTTAACCAAGGGATGTAATCTCCAGCTATGGGACAAATTGATATGCTATGCCCCCCGACGCGATCCACTGAGAACACAGCATCATTTCCGCGCTATTCCTGCCAAGAAGGCATAACCTGAGCGTAATCTTGAGGAACCATCACCCAACCAGAAATCGAGGGTCATTCAACAAAGCAGCAGGCCTGTGCTCTTCAAAAGTATCAAGTCATAAGAGACAAGGAAAACCTGAGCATTTGCTCCACATTGAAGGCAGATCTAGAGACATGGAAACTAAATACAGTAGATAACCCTGGGCTGGATTCTGGACCAAATGGAAAAGGGTGATTATAAAGGACATTGCTGGAGCAATCAGGAATATGGGAATGGAGTCTGCAGGGTGGATGTAGTATTGTATCAGTGCTGATTTCCTGGTAATGCTGGATGTACTTTGATTTTTCAGCAGTGTGTCCTTGTGTTTTAGGAAACACACATTGACACACTTAAGGTAATGGGCATCATGTTCGTAATTTACTCTCAAGTGATTCTAAATAATAAGGCAAAAATGGTAAAATGTTAGCTATTAAACTGTTAACTATTTTTTTTTTTTTTTTTGAGACAGGGCCTGGCTCTGTCACCCAGGCTGGAGGGCAGTGGCGCAATCTCAGTTCACTGCAACCTCTGCCTCCCGGCCTCAAGCAATCCTCCCACCTCAGCCTCCCAAATTGCTGGGGACTCCAGGCATGCACCACCATACCCGGCTAATTTTTTTGTATTTTTAATGGAGATGTGGTTTCACTATGTTGCCCAGGTTGGTTTTGAACTCTTAAGCTCAAGCGATCCGCCTGCCTTGGCCTCCCAAAGTGCTGGGATTACAGGCTTGAGCCACTGCGCCTGGCCATAACTATTAAAATGTTAACTAAATGAGGAAGTCCAGGTGAAAGGGATAAAGACATTATTTGTACTATTCTTGCAACTTTTCTGTAAGTTAAAAATTATTGCAAAATGAAAAGTTTTTTTTAAGTGGCTAAAATTTTTTTTTTAAGTTTGCTTCAGTTCCAAGTTTTAACGATTTATTTTCTGTGTTCTTCCTCCCCTGGCCTTAAGTCACTGCTGTTTTTTTGATCCCTGTCCATGTAGCCTTGTCACATCCTGAGACAAAACAGAGTGGCGTAAAATGAACCTGTTGGCAGGCCGTTGTGAGGAAAGAGACAGAGAGAGAGAATGAGAGTGTGTGTGTGTGTGTGTGTGTGTGTGTGTGTGTGTGTGTGTAAACGGGGGCAAAGAATGGAGCCGGGCCTGTACTGGTAGCATGTAGTATCCACAGACAGAAGTGTCACTTGAGGATCTTGTCAGTATCAACAATAAAGCACAGGTAATAACTGTCATTTCCTTAGAGATTAACATTCAAGCTGAACAAGACTGTGACAATGCCAAGAACAGTTAATTTCTAATGAATTACTGTCCTCATTGCCTGAGTTAGACTTCAGGATCATTTTGCTAGCCTTTGAGATAAGTTTTACTCTCATTTACTTGGAATTATAAAATACAGTAATAAAATAAGAGGCAAAACAGAGATGTTTCCGGCCTCCTTTCCAAAGAAGGGTCTCAGTATCTTTAGATTTTCATGTCTACTACCTTCCCACCTCACAGCATCTATTGTTCCATCCCAGCAGAGCAAAGGAGAATTGAATATGAATTACTTCCAAAAGTAAACCTTGGTTATACATGTTTTATATTTGTTCCTATTCTATGCTGCTACAAGGACACGTTTGAGTATAATGAATCTTAAGAAGAAAGAAAAATGCTTCCGTCACATTAAAAAAAAATACATGATCAGCAGAACTAAGGTAGGGTAGTTTGTAGTAATGACATTGCAGGGCTCATCACATTTTAGTTAATGTTGCAAAGTAAGAAATCTGTGAAGAGAAATAACAACATGTAAGGAGACAGTGAAAAAATGTGTTTTGCTCATTTATTGTGACGAGGATGGTGTCATTTAAATAATTCATGATAATGCTTTGCAGTGTGCCACTGAATGTACAATGTGTACTTTGCAAAAATAACAAAGCTTAGTAATGTGGGACTTGAATTTAATTATCTGCTCTTAAATTTCTGATAAGAAGTAGAAGCTGCCAAAATTGTGATGAAAATGACTAGGAGAACAGCTTGGAGAGAGGCCTGTGGAGGGGAGAGTGGATTTGGCAGAGGTCCCTGTTTTCTGGTTGCCTAGGTAGCACCTCTAAGCCTTGTCGGGTGGCTTCTTTACAAACACTTTTATGGCTTGGTCAGGGTCTGGGTGCTGTTCATACCCCAGTTTCAGTCCCTGGTGCATTTTTTTTTAATTATTTATTTATTTATTTTTGAGCTGGAGTCTTGCTCTGTCACCCAGGCTGGAGTACTGTGGCGTGATCTCTGCTCACTGCAACCTCCACCTTCTGGATTCAAGCGATTCTCCTGTCTCAGCCTCCTGAGCAGCTGGGATTACAGGTGCATGCCACCAAGCCCGGCTAATTTTTGTATTTTAGTGAAGACAGGGTTTCGTCACGTTGGCCAGGCTGGTCTCAAACTCCTGACCTCAGGTGATCCTCTGGTGCATGTTTTAATGGGGCCAAAAGGAGATGACACAAGGGCAAGGGGAACCATAGGCATCTGTGCAACTCCTGAGTTGCATGAAAAGGAAGACAAGTTGGTAAGTGACAAATACCGATGGCCGTACAAATGTGCTTTTGGATCCAACAATTCGTCTTCTAGGGGTTTTTCCTAAAACAATGATTAAAGATATGTCTAAGGATTTAGCTAAAGGATGTTCCTCTAAGTGTTGTTTTTAGTAGCAAAAGCTGGGGGAAACAAGTTAAATGTCTGAGATAAGTTATGGCATATCTATAAAATCTAATCTTCCTAGAAATCAGTAGACTGAGCTGAAAGGGGAATCTATGTGATATGGTTTGGCTTTATGTCCCCACCCATATCTCATCTCCAATTTTAATCTCCATAATCCCCACATGTCAAGGGAGGGACCTGGTGGTGGGTGAGTGGATCATGGAGGTGGTTTCCCCCACGCTGTTCTTGTGATAGTGAGTTCTCATGAGATCCAATGTTTTATTGGCGTTTGACAGTTCCTCCTTTTCTCTCTCTCTCTCGCCTGCCGCCAGGTAAGATGTGCCTGCTTCCCCTTCCACCGTGATTGTAAGTTTCCTGAGGCCCCCCAACCCATGCAGAACTCTGAGCCAATTAATGCTTTTATATTTATAAATTACCCAGTCTCAGGCAGTTCTTTATAGCAGTGTGAAATGGACTAATATGCTATGAACTAATTTCAAACAGCTAAAAGCACTGGGATTATGAAGCATAATCTCTTCAAATGGAAGAGTAATGAAAAAAGAAATCAGCAAGTTATAAATTAAAAAAAAAACAACAAAAAAACACAAGGACACTAAATGGGAGCTGAAATTGAGAAATTCACAGAAGAATTGGGCCCAGTCTTGATGAGTAGTGCTAGGCTTTCCTACTGACAGGAGTCCAGACCTTGCAGGGAAGAAGCAAGGAAGCACACCTTCTCCTGGGCTGCTAAAGGAAAGGGAGACCTGGGGGAAATCAGAACAGGCCTGTACCTTGCATGGGCTTAAGTCCATATTAAATCTCCTGGCACATTAGAGACCCTGAGCTACCATAGAAACATAAACGCTGGTGAGAAAATAAGAAACCCAAGGGGTTCCTGGAGAGGAAGATACATATGTGAACCATCCCATGTGCCTCCACAACCCAGGGCAGTTATCCTCCCTTTGGAAAATAACCTCAGACTAAAACACCATGAGGGAAGGCCAGCAAATGAAACAAACAAGGGATCCGTCATCTCCAGAACTGAAGGTAATGAAAGAATCCAAGAGATTTTAACATAAACATGCTGAAAATATTCAAAGAGAAATCAAGGTAATAATAGGAGTGAATGTTTGAAATGTTCATTTGGAAAAAAAAAAAACAGACATTTGAAGTAAAAAATATATAGTTTTTGAAATTAAGAGAAAACTGAGTAAGTTGGATAATAAACTTGAAACCAAAGGAGGGAAAACTAGAGAATCTTAAGCAAAATCTGGACCATTGAATATTATAAAGTCATTTAAAATGATAAAAAAAATTGAAGACATTTCACTTAGTTTCATGCACTATTATCCATAGGAGAGTTTCATGCAGCATACAAAGTTCCTGAAATATCTGGTAAATTTTATATCTATGCATATATATGTCTTTCCTGGGGGGAAGATTTATAGTTTTTGGTGTAATTTGAATATCTCTTCTCAAAGGAATACATGATCTAAAATTGTTTAATTAAATTGGTATGTGCATGTTTACTGTGATTGTACAGTTCACGGATTCACTTATTAAATCAACATTATTTTGAATCCCTTCTTACATTCTGCGGTTTTAATGAGACAAAGAAAAATGACACAATTCCTGCCTTTATGGAGCCTACAGTATGGTTAGGGACAGCACCAATTTTTAAAAAAATCTAATAAATAAAGGTGAAATTACAACTGTAGTTAATCTTCTGAAGAAAAAGTACATGTGTGGAAAGGCTTCCCTGCGGGAGCTAAGTGGGTTAAAGGCAACTGGGAGAAGAAGGCAGTGGAGGTAGAAGAGCCTCCTAGGTAGATGGCAATGTCAAGGGCAAAGGCAGCATCCCTGAGGAGCTGGATGAAGGTGAGTTGGGCTGAAGCACCAGGAACTATGGAGAAAGAGGGAAGAGGGGAAGCTGAAGGGGTGGTTAGAGCCATATCCCTGCAGGGCCTTGGATGCCATGTTAAAGGTTACAATTTTTTAAACTAAAACTTTTAAACAGGGGCATGATGACATGGTCTCAGTGCCATTTGAGAAGCCAACACTGACTGCACAGGGAGAGAGTCCAGAATGATGGGGAGACCAATTAGAAGGCCATGGCCATAGCCATAGCCCAGGCCAGAAATAATGGTAGGTTGGCCTAAGCTGGTATTGATAGAGATGTAGAAAATTGAACACATGAGAGATATTGGGGGTAAATTGATAAGTGGTGATTAGATGAGTCTTGGGTTTCTAACTTTTGAAACTGGATGGCTGGTGGTACCATTAAAATAGAGAATATAGTCACATTGTGCTTACGACGATTGTATATACTTGGACATGTTGGTTTTGGGGTGTTCTCAAGACATTCAAAATTAAATATCAAGTAAGCAGCTGGATATATAATTAGGAACTCAAAGGCAATGTCTGGGCCAAAGATAAAAATGGCCTGATCACTGTTAGAGAAATATTAAATAAAAGCCTGGGTATGGATCAAGTGCTCTACACAGAGAGCACAGAGTGAAAAGAGAAGCAGAGTTCCCACAGGCTGGAGGAATGCCCACATTTAACGACATGTAGAGGATTTGTCATTAAACAACATGGAAAGGACAGGACCGAGAGGTAGGAGGAAGCCAGATTAATCTTCTGTCATGGCATCCACAGGAAGATTGTCATTTCGAGGAGTGAGTACTTGTTCATACCGAAAACTGCAGAGAGGACAAGCAAGATAACCGAAAAAAATCCAAGAGTCCTTTGGAGGCAGCTATACGGACTTAAAAGGGCAAAAACCAGTTTAGGATGGGGTGAGTAGTGAGTTGAAACTGGGGATCTGGGGACAGTCCCTGCAGATGACTCTAGAGCAGGGGTATGGCCTGTGGACTATATCCATTCGTTTTTGACATCCCTTTTTGCAAAATGTTACTGGAACACAGCCACACCCATTGACTCACATATTGCCTGTGGTGGCCTTCATACTGCATCGGTAAAGCTAAGTCGTTGAAGCAGGGATCACAGGGCCCACAAGGCCTAAGATTGTTGCTATCTGGCCGTTTAGAAAAAGCTTGTCCACCCCTGTTGTGCAGAGATTTGGAGGGAGGGAACAGAGCACAGAACACAGTGGTAGAAGCTAGATTTTTCTTAATATACCTTGTTTTCTAGATGTGACTTCTGTAACCATATGTCTTTTAATATTATCAAACAAAATTGGATTTGATAAAAGCAATCCCTAAAATTCAAAAGCAAAACAAAACAAACTTAATTGTGTGTTGAATTAGTTGAATAGCCATACAGATTGGGATTATTCCATTCTAAAACACAGAAATTTAGGCTGGGCGCGGTGGCTCACGCCTGTAATCCCAGCACTTTGGGAGGCCGAGGTTGGCAGATCGCTTCAGGACAGGAGTTTGAGACCAGCCTGGCTAACATGGTGAAACCCCATCTCTACTAAAAATACAAAAAATTAGCCGGGCATGGTGGCGAGCGCCTGTAATCCTAGCTACTCTGGAGGCTGAGGTGGGAGAGTCGCTGGAACCCGGGAGGCGGAGGTTGCAGTGAACTGAGATCGTGCCACTGCACTCCAGCCTGGGAAACAGAGTGAGACTCTGTCTCAAAAAAAAAGGAAAAAAAAACCAAAAACACAGAAATTTGACTCTATGTCCCTAAATGTGGCATACCTTAAGGACAACAAGAACTGCAAAAATTATTTTTAACTGATTTCAGTAATGATATAGGGAGTGGTAGTGATGGTTTTGTTGTTTTGGGAATGTTGTGCATGTATTATTATGGAACAAAGAAAATGAGTAATAACGTCATTGGGAACCAAGATTTCCTGTGTGAAATCCTATGTGAATTTCCTGTGTGAAAGAGATATGGATGCAATACAGAAGGGTTCAATACAAATCCTGTTGACTTGAATTTGAATTGAGAGTATGGATCCGAACTCTTGATGCATTGTAACTTTTCTTTAAAGTTATTTTTAGTTCTGTGTACTAAAAATTCCTAGAAACTATGAACAACCTTATAAGATACTTATAAGAGTGCTCTATTACGGCAATACCTAATACCAAATATTTCCCACCGAAAGGAAACAGGGCTCCTTGGGGAAATGGTATCCCAAGTCTGAGGCAGGAAAAGGACAAGACGAGCGCAGAAGGTTTTCTCACACCAGAAAGAAAAGAAATTATTAGAAACTAACAGGTGTGGTGGCTCACGCCCTGTAATCCCAGTACTTTGGTAGGCCAAGGTGGGAGGATAATTTGAGGCCAGGAGTTCGAGACCACGCTGGGCAACATAGTGAGACTCCCATCTCTACAAAAAAAAAAAAAAATTTTAAACTTAGCCAGCGCCTTAGCCTGAGTGACAGAGTGAGACCCTGTCTCAAAATAAAAAAAGAAGAGAAATTAACATGTCAAAAGAACTCAAGAGTTATCTTGAGGAGGCTCCCCTGGCCAGGAACAACACAATTTGAATACCAACAAGAAAATAACTGAAATGGATTGAAACATAAGATACTTAAGTTCATGAGTTTATAATACTACAAAGAACTCAGTGATCAATTTTGGAGGATGACATAAATCCAAGCTATTGGTTAGAAAATTGGTAAATAAAATCAACATGTGTCTTTCCTGTATGAACTCTACCTCGGGAAAGCAAGTCATTAAGGAGGGAAAGTTTCTCTTTATAGAAGTATGCTAACTAGTAAACAGAAAAGGAATGACGAGGTAGTATGTCAACATTTTGCAACCCCTAATGAAACAGTGGACCCACGGGAAGATTGTCAATGGCAGCTAACAGCACACACAAAAACCACTGGAACTCGCCAGCTTCTGAAGGAAGAATAAAACACCACCTTTGAAGTATTCTTATGAAAAAAATCAAACCTGACTTTCATCAGGCCCCAAACTACCAGTTTTCAGGAAAAGGGGAGGCAGAAGGTTACAATCAGCAAAATGCAGACTGTGGGAAACCCTACAAGACAAGGGAGAAAAGAAAAAGGGTGAGGGGAGAAAACCTATACATTGAAAGAAATCTAGAAGTCATATTAATCAATTGCAATGTATGAACCTTATTGGGTCCTGAGATAAATAAATTATTTTAAAAGTAAGAAGTTATGAGGTCATTGAGGAAAATTGATTACTGACTAAACATTTGATAATAAGAGATTATTAATTTTTTCAGGCTGATAATGCAGTTGTGATTATATTTTTAAAAATAGTCCTTTATAACACAGGAAGGGGAACATCACACACCAGGGCCTGTCATGCGGTGGGGGGAGGGATAGCATTAGGAGATATACCTAATGTAAATGACGAGTTAATGGGTGCAGCACACCAACATGGCGCATGTATACATATGTAACCTGCACGTTGTGCACATGTACCCTAGAACTTAAAGTATAAAAAAAAAATAGTCCTTTATAAAAAAGTTATGTCCTGGAATATTAAAGTAAGAAATGACATGATATCTAGAGTTTGCTTTAAAATAATCCAGGGGGCTGGGCGTGGTGTCTTATGCCTGTAATCCTAGCACTTTGGGAATCCGAGGCTGGTGGATCACTGAGGTCAGGAGTTTGAAACCAGTCTGGCCAACATGGTGAAACCCCGTCTCTACTAAAAATATAAAAATTAGCTGGGTGTGGTGGCATGCACCTGTAATCCCAGCTACTTGGGAGGCTCAGAGGCAGGAGGACTGCTTGAACCTGGGAGGTGGAGGTTGCAGTGAGCCAAGATTGTGCGGCTGCACTCCAGCCCGGGGAACAGAGTGAGACTCCATCTCAAAAAACAACAAAACAAATAATAACCCAGGGTATAAAGGGTGGTTACAACTTTGGGAAAATAGATGAAATAATGTGAACCATGAGCTGATCATTGTTAAAAATGGGTGCTGAATATACCGGGGTCCCTTATATTGTTTGTATATGTGTTAGGCCCTTCTTGTGTTGCTATAAAGAAATACCTGAGACTGGGTAGTTTTTTTTTTCTGTTTTTTGTTTTGTTTTGTTTGAGACAGAGTCTCACCCTGTTGCCCAGGTTGGAGTGCAATGGCACGATCTCAGCTCACTACAACCTCCACCTCCCAGATTCAAGAGATTCTCCTGCGTCAGCCTCCAGAGTAGCTGGGATTACAGGCATGCGCCACCACACCTGGCTAATTTTTTGTATCTTTAGTAGAGACAGGGTTTCACCATGTTGGCCAGGCTGGTCTTGAACTCCTGACCTCATGATCCGCCCACGTTGGCCTCCCAAAGTGCTGGGATTACAGGTATGAACCACCGCACCTGGCTGAGACTTGGTAGTTTATAAAGAGGAGAGGTTTAATTGGCTTATGGTTCTGCAGGCTTTATAGGAAGCATGGTGCTGGCATCTGCTTGGTTTTCTCAGGAGGCCTCAGGGAACTTCCAATCATGGTGGAAGGTGAAGGGGAAGCAGGCACATCACATGAAGAAAGCAGGAGCAAGAGAGTGAGACAGTGGGGGATGGGTGGAGGTGCCACACACTTTTAAATGACCAGATCTCTCAGGAACTCACTATCACGAAGACAGCACCAAACCATGAGGGATCTGCCCCCCGTGACCCAAACACCTCCCGCCAGATCTCACCTTCAGTATTGGGGATTACAAGTCAACATGAGATTTGGGTGGGAACTAATATCCAAACTCAATCAGTGTAGTTTGGTTTTCTTTTTTTTGAGATGGAGTGTCTGTTGCCTAGGCTGGAGTGCTATAATGCAATCTCGGCTCACTGCAATCTCTGCCTCCTGGGTTCAAGAGGTTCTCCTGCCTCAGCCTCCCAAATTACAGACAACTGCCACAACACCCAGCTGAGTTTTGTATTTTTAGTAGAGTCAAGGTTTCACCATGTTGGCCAGGCTGGTCTCAACTCTTGACCTCCCGCCTCGGCCTCCCAAAGCGCTGGAATTTCAGGTATGAGCCATCGTGCTTGGTCTATATCATTATAGTTTTAATTAAACTTGAATTTTCCCAAAATAAAGAAAAAATAATTTCTAGTAAACAATCTACCTTGCTGTTGGCTTTCTCCAGTAATTCTTAGTGGCTGGTATGTATGTTGGGGGGAAATTTAAAAGTTCAAGTATTCAGACTAGGATTTTGGAATTTGAATGTGATAAAAATCCAGAGCAAGAGAGCTGAGAGAATTGGAATATGAATTACTAACATGGCAGGCCATGGCCTCTAAGTGGGGTGATCAGGCAAGTTAAGTACCAAGGAAAGGGCTGATTGATAGAGAGCAGAGGAGCCTGTGGACTGGAAGGTCAGTGAGTGGAACAGCGATCAAGACGGGGATAGCTGAACAGGCGAACTGGGCGAAGAGGGAATGCTTCCATCAGTGACTCTGGATTGACTGTAATGCATTTATTGTGGGAGTCGTTGACTAAGGCAGGGGGAGAAAAAATTCATTTTGGGCGATAAGTTCAACTGGGTGTTCAGAGTGTGAAGTGGGTTTTCCTCATGAATGCCAGTGTCACACAGACTAATGACTGGGCTTGGGATATAAAGGAAATGAAGAAGCATGTGCTAAAGTCTTCAGAGGACTAGAGAGCAAAACTAGATATGGGTAAAGCAATAAGGAGAGTGACTGAAGTTTCTTTAAGAAAAAAAATTCTGGCTAATTGGTCTAATCGGATCCATATATAGTCATACGAATGCACAGAAGTGTAAAAAGGCTGTATATGGGTGGTGGATTATTGGTGATTGGTATTTCCCTCTTTTTGCTTATCTGTATTCTTTTCTTTTCTTTTCTTTTCTTTTTTTAGACGGAGTCCTGCTCTGTCGCCCAGGCTGGAGTGCAATTGCACGATCTCAGCTCACTGTGACCTCTGCCTCCTGTGTTCAAGTGAATCTCCTGCCTCAGCCTCTCCAGCAGCTGGGATTACAGGTGCCCCCCCACCACACCTGGCTAGTATTTTTGTATTTTTAGTAGAAGCAGGGTTTCACCATGTTGGCCAGGCTGGTCTCGAACTCCTGACCTCAAGTGATCCACCCGCCTCAGCCTCCCAAAGCGCTGGGATTACAGGCATGAGCCACCGCGCTCGGCATTATATGTATTTTCTAATGCTTCTACAAAAGCCTGGTATTGGTATTGAGCAGGCAAAGAAGAACCAAGGCTCTCACACATGCTGTCCCATCCAGATAGAACAGTCATTCTCTGAGTCTTTGCTTGTCTGACTCCTACTCATCCTTCAGACTCCAGCGTAAATATCCCATCCTGAGGGCAGCTTTCCCTGACCGTCTGGCCTAGGTGAGGTCCCATTACTTTTCCTTTGTCACTTCTCACAGTCATAGCTACTTCTTTGTTATGTCAGGCTGGCCAGGCCGGCCTTGGATCATGGGAAATGACGCATAATGCATGCACACACACATACTGTTGCTGCCTAATTGCAGTTTGACTTCCTGTGTGTTCATAATAACTTAGGGCCAATGAGTTGATGTGGTTCCGGGGGGTGGAGCCAGAAGTAGCTGGAACGAGTATCGTGGGTTAGAGTCCTGTGGCTGGTGAAAGCTATTTTGGCAACAACACAGGCAACCAGATCAGGTGATGATAGTGGAGTTTTAGAGTGACATGTCTGGGGTACGGCGAGAATCTCCCCATCTCCTCAACAACCATTCCTGCTGCCCAAACACGTCCCTATGGGAGGCTGACTGACACTGAGCACTCCTGCTTAATGCCGTCTCATAACCTTTGCTGAAACCTGTGTCCTTTACACTTGATGTGCATTACAGTGTAATCTAAGCACTGTTTTGTGTTTTTTTTGTTTTTGTTTTTTGTTTTTTTTTATAGTTTTTTTTTTTTTATTGCTTTTTTGGAGGAGGTGGATTTTATAAAATTACTTACAAATTTAAAAAAAACAGGAAAAAAGATAGTTGGAGTTCTGCTGCATACTTATTCAAGTACTAAAATTATGCAGGGAAATCGTTCTTGTATTAAAACTTAGATAATTAAAAATAATTATAAATGCCTTTTAACATGAACCTCTTTAATAATCTGTTTTAGATGGCCTAACTTATAGCATAGTGGGTTTTTTTTTAACTTCTTTTATTTTGAAATTATTATAAATTCACAGGAAGTTACAAAGATGGTACAGAGTGGTCCTGGGTACCCTTCACCCAGTTTTCCCCAATGGTTCCATCTTACATAATTATACTATAATGTCAAAACCAGGAAATTGAAATTGGTACAATGTGTGTATACAGTTCTGTGTCATTTTATCACTTGAGTAGATTTGTATAAGCACCACTGCAACCAAGATACAAAATTATCACCACAAAGCTCTTCTTCGTTACAGCAGAGTGTTATTCACTTATGCCTGTTACAATTATTTTCCTATATTGTTCATTTTAATTTTCATGTTTTGTACATTTATTATCTTGTTTCCTCTTCTTGGCTTTTATTTCTCCCCCTTCCCCCAACCCATTCTTTATTATAAGTTGCAACCACGGCGTCTGAGATTTGAGTTTCAGAATAATGCAGATGTTTTATTTGAGGGGAAAGCATCATTCATATGTATCCAAGCAAAAGGCAGAGCAGTTTTACCTTTAAATGCTAAAAGTACTGGTTGGCTCTGTAGGACCCTCAGAATCAAAAGGAAACTCCTCCACACTTTGTCTCTGTCTTCTCCAGGACCCATATTTCTTGGCCACTTTCATAACGTAGTTTTTGAAAGATGCTCCCATAAAAACATAAAGGATTGGGTTGAGGCAGCTGTGAAAGAGTGCAATGCTTTCTGTGACTTGGATGGCGATGTCCATGCGTTTGCTCATGTTGCAGCTGGTGATCAGGGAGTAGATGATGTCTATGGCTCGGCAGAACTTGACAATGTTATAAGGCAGTTGAGTGACAATGAAAACTATAACGACTGTGAGCAGAACTTTTAGGGGTCGAGATATTTTAATGTTTGGCATCTTCATGAGTGTCCTTGCCGTGATAAAGTAGCACACCCCCATAATAAGAAAGGGTACTACAAATCCAATGCAGATCTCTAGCATTTGAATCAATGCTTTCATTGATGTTCCTAGGTAGCGGGGGAAAATGGGAATGCACCTAGCATTGTCATTTACTGTATAAAAAACCAGCTGGGGTATGCTCAGCAAGATGGCAGCCATCCAGACACAGAAACAGATGATCCAGCATGGTTTTCCCACTCCTGATTGGCTGGGGACATTAGTTACTGCCACATATCTGTCTATGCTGATGCAAGCCAGAAACTGCATTCCAGAGACAAAGTTTAGTGTGTACAAGGCTGAAGTTATTTTGCACATTATTTTCCCTAAAACCCACCCATGAACTGCATTAACAGCCCAAAAAGGCAGAGTGAATAGAAGGAGTAAATCTGCTACAGCCAAATTCAGGATGTACACATCTGTTTTGGTTCTCTGTTTCTTGTAATAGGCATAAATTGCCACTACCATGGAATTGCCTGCAAGTCCAATGACGAAAGCTATTGTGAGGAATACAGGGAGGAAAACTTTTGCAAATTCTCTGACATCTTCTTTGATACAGATCAATTCATATTGACTGTAGTCATAAGTGCCATTCATTTCATTTTCCTCATAATAATAATCTGTTGACTGGTTCTGTTCCAAAGCCATGGCTCCAATCTCAGATGGAAATGCAGAAATCACCCGTCTTCTGCGTCGCTCACGCTGGGAGCTGTAGACCGGAGCTGTTCCTATTCGGCCATCTTGGCTCCTCCAGCTGTTTTGTGTTTTTATTCTTGCTGACCCAGTCCTTTTTCAGACTCCACCATTTTTATTTGTTTGTTTGTTTATTTATTTATTTATGACAGGGTCTCTGGCTCTGTTGCCCAGGCTGGACTGTAATGGTATAATCTCGGTTCACTGCAACCTCCACCTCCCAGGCTCAAGCAATTCCCCTGCGTCAGCCTCCTAAGTAGCTGGGACCACAGGCACACGCCACAGCACCCAGCTAATTTTTGTATTTTTTAGTAGACACAGGGTTTCACCATGTTGCCCAGGCTGGTCTTGAACTCCTAAGCTCAAGTGATCCGCCGACCTCAGCCTCCCAAAATGCTAAGCTTACAGGCGCGTGAGCCACTGCGCCCGGCCTCCTTCCCCATGTAATGTCTGTCTCTATTACTGTTTTGTTCACTGCTCTGTCCCTGGCAACTGGCAGAGTGCTTGCAGCATGGCTGGGGCTAAATAAATGTGTATAAACTAAAATAATAAATGAAAAAAGAATAAACGTTGAAAAATAGAAAAAGCAAATCACTGCTTGTATTAGTTTCTTGTTGCTGCTCTAACAAATTTGTAAACAAAGCTACCACAAATGTAGTGGCTTAAAGCAGCACAGACTGATCTTCTTACGGTTCTGGAGGTCAGAAGTCTGAAGTCATTTTCTCTGGGCTACAGTCAGTCCCTGTGTCTTTTCCTGCTCCTGGCAGCTGCCTGCCTTCCTTGGCTCATGTCCTCTTCCTCCGTCTTCAAACCCAGCAGTGGAGCCTCTTCGGCCTCCCCATCAAGGGGCTAGAAGCTTTGATGTCTGGCTGCTTCCAGGGTTCACCCTTTTTCTATTTTAGTTTTATTCTACTAGAATATAAACTGCAGTGGGCAGGCCCTTTTCCGCTCTGCTCACTGTTGAGTCCCATGCACTCAGAACTGTGCTTGGTCCATGGTAGGCACTCAGTCAATATTTGTTCAATGCTAAATGAAGAAACTAGCTTTTGTCATGCTTCATTTACTTACCCTTATGTAGGTGAAATAACCCTAATTTCTATCTGGCGGTGCACACAATTCTAAAGCTGACACCACAGCTCTGAAAAGCACATGATCAAGGTACAGGCCAATCCCCTGGCCACAGCAAGTGGCCAGAAGTGGGCATGGGCCTAAACGAGTCTAATCAGAGTAAAGCCCAAACAAATGTTTTTTTTTTTCTTCTGGACACATCTGAGGGAATGGAAGGAGAAAGCCATGGCTACAGAGGCAGAACAGAGGCGCAGGAAGAAAGAAGCCATTGGTTTCACTACGGAAGCACTGCAAGAAGCTTCAGCTGCAGGAAGACCCATATCTGGAGTTTTCAATGATGTGAGAACAAACTATTTCCTTCATTATTCACATCAAGTTCGGGCTGCCTGGAGTGAAACACATTCTAAAGCCAGTAGGTAGCATCACAAGTGCAAAATGAAAAAGGCACCCACAGAACTGGGACAAATTTTGTTTCATTGCACTGAGACTAGAAGGGACGAGACAGCTCATGTGGTCTGTGTTCCTGCCTTCAAGGAGGAGTAGAATCAAGAAATGGAAGAAGCCTTGGGGCTTTCAGGTCACCCACGCCTGTGTCTGACCCTTGGCTGTACACCAGATCACCTGGGGAACTTTGTAAAAACAGCTTCCTCCACCCCATTCCATTGCGTTGAGCCAAAATCTCTAGGGGTGAGGCTCATTATCTGTTTCACAAACTCCAAGTGATTCTGAGGGACCATCCCTTAACAACTGTGAACTTTCCTTTGGTAGAAGGAAGCAGCATAGCAGATCCTAATGCTAATGCCGACATCAAATTCAAAGCACTGAATGTGTGTATCATGGTCT